>NC_000011.10:82440197-83824698 GCF_000001405.40 Homo sapiens
CAGAAAGAGTTTCATCAGGCTTTTTAATTAAAAGCAAATTGTTCATCTAGAGTCAGTAATTTGCCATTGACCTCTTCTTAACACTCTCGTCTAAGGCGACAGAAATGACAATGGGACTTTCAAATTAAAAACATCAAGTTCGCAAAGATACTGGGCCCTTCAATTAGTAACTGAGTCAGGAAAATGCGGTGACTTGGTAAAACAATTCCATTTTTCACCTAACATTAAAGCTCAGAGATGTTTACAAGATCTTAAATTTCACAGGAGTTGACATTAGAGATTAGAGGTATCCAGTTATATGTGTAAATAAAGTATGTAAATATATAAATAGATATACATCCATGTTTATATAACATTATATGAACATGGAAAAAAGTAAAAAAGATACTTCCCAAGGTGTTAATATGATATTATTACAGCAGTGGATGGAAGTGAGGTGAAGGGAGAGTAACGTGGGAAAAGGGAGGGGAGAGAAAAAGAAAGGGAAAAAAAATTGGAGTAAAAATAGAAAGCATGAATGCTATGATATCTTTTACTCCTTTTTTGTTTTTATTTGTACAAATTTATGGGGTACATACACAATTTTGTTACATGCACAGATTGTGTTGTGGTCAAGTCAGAGCTTTTAGCACACTCATCACCTGAATAACGTACTCTACCCGTTAACCAATTTCCCTTCTCCTATCCTCTCACCCTTCTGAATCTCCAATATCTATCATTCCATTTTCTACATCCATCTGAACACACTTTTAGCACCTACTTATGAGTGAGAGCATGCAATATTTGTCTTTCTGTGCCTGGCTTGTTTCACTTAAGATAATGACCTACAGTTCGATCTGTGTTGTTGCAGAAGACATCATTTCATTCTTTTTAATGGCTGAATAGCATGCTATTGTGTATATATGCCACATTTTCTTTATTCAGTCATCCATTGGTGAATACTTAGATTGATTCCATGTCTTTTCTATCATGAATAGTGCTGTAATAAAGATACAAGTGAGGATATCTTTTTGATATAATAATTTTATTTTCTTTTGGGTATACCCAGTAGTGGGATTGCTGGATCGAATGATAGTTCTATTTTTGTTCTTTAATAAATCTCCAGAATATCTTCTTAGGTACAAATCAAAGTTTTAAGGAAAACAATACAGCACGAGATATAAGAGGTACTAAGGCATTTGGAAGCTCTGAGGAATAATAAATACTGTTGTTGGAAAGTTGTTGGAGATGAAGCTGAAGATGGGCAGAAGCCTAAATAAAGATGACTTAGTGCAGAGTGTTAAGGAGCTTAGACTTTCTCCTGAGGGCAAAAGAGAGCCACTGGGGGCTTGGTGGAGGAATTACTAAGGAGAGTGACAGGCTCAGATTTGGGTTTTAGGCAGGTCATCCTGCCAGTGGTGTTTTAGTTGGATAGGGTAGAGGAGGAGGGAACTAATAATCTAAACAAGGAAGATGCATTCCTACATGAGGGCAGTGGTTATGGAATTGTTTGGAAGTACAGAGCTCCAAAACAATAGCTACTGCTACAACCGTCACTATCTCCACAATCACTACTTGACATATTCACTACTAGTACTACACTATTACTACTACAATCACTCAGCCGCTACTATTTAATCAGCATTTATTATGTACTAGGTGTTAGGCTAGGCATATAGCCAGATGAGCAGGCAAGGGAGCCCCTGGGAAAATAAATCCTGGAGACACTGCCCACTGACAGCAAAAAAGACAATGGCTACACTGGGTGCTTCTGGCCTTGTGGTTGGACGCCTCAGGCCCTAGCAGGAGACAACTATGGTAAGGACTTCCCCACTGAGGAGCATATGCACCCCTCCAATAACTCACCCTAGAGTAGCTTCTTGCTCATTATAATAGTAAAAAACACACCTTGGGTGGAGATTTAAAATGCTAATGAGACATGTGATGCGTATACTAGCATTACACAGATAAGACCTCTAACTTCCAGAAACTCACCTAGTTTACAAACTGTAACCCTGCTTAAAACATAGGTGTTAATTTATACCCTAAAACCACTCCATGACTAACTCCAGCTGCTAAGATCCTGTAATTCCCATCACTAATCATTAGAGAAATGCAAGTCAAAACCACAATGAGATATCACCCCACATCCATGAGTACAACTACTATTAAAAAATAGAAAATAGGCCGGGCGCAGTGGCTCACACCTGTAATCCTAGCACTTTGGGAGGCCGAAGAAGGTGGAACACGAGGTCAGGAGTTTGAGACCAGCCTGGCCAACATAGTGAAACCCCATCTCTACTAAAAAATACAAAAATTAGCTGGGCATTGAGGTGCACGCCTATAGTTCCAGTTACTTGGGAGGCTGAGGCAGGAGAATCACTTGAACCCAGGAGGCAGAGGTTGTGGTGAGCTCAGATCGCACCACTGCACTCCAGCCTGGGCAACAGAGTGAGACTCTCTCTCAAAAAAATAACAAAAATAGAAAATAACAAGTATTGGTGAGGATGTGGAGAAACTGGAACCCTTGCACACTGTTGGTGACACTATAAAGTGGTGCAACCCATTATGGAAAATAGTAAGGTGTTTTCTCAAACAATTAAAAATAGTACTACCATATGATGCATATTTTTTCAAAACGATTGGTAGCAGGACCTCAAAGAGACATTTGCACATTCATGTTCATTGTAACACTATTCACAATAGCTAAGAGGTAGAAGCAACCCATGTCAGTTGACAGATGAGTGGATAAACCAAATGTGGTTTATGTGTACAATGGAATATTAGCCTTAAAAAGGAAGGATATCCTGTCATATGCTACAACATGGATGAACCTTGTGGACATTAGGCTAAGTGAAATAAGCCAGTCACAAAAGTACAAAAACTGTATATTCCACTTACATAAGATATTTAAAGTAATTAAATTCATAAAAACACAAAGCAGAATCCTAAGGCTGGGAAGAAGGAGAAAAAATGAAAGTTGTTGTTTAGTGGGTATAGAGTTTCAGTTTCACAAAATGAAAAAGTTATAGAGATATATTTCACAACAATGTAAATGTACTTAACACTACTGAATTATACAGTTAAAAGTGGTTAATATGGCAAATTTTGTCATGTGGTCCTTATTGAAACTAAAAGTATTTGTTTTAGAAAAAAACCCTTGATGAATGTATAAACCCAGCTCTGAATGATCAGGAGACTTCCCTAATGGTCTCTGTGGAGACTTGGACCCCATGCCAATCACACCCTGCAGGTCACAAGCCTTCCAGAGCAGTGTCAAGAACATGGGCTTTGAAGCCAGACACATTAAAGGCCTTTTGAGTCCTACCTCTTCCGTTCATTAGACGTGAAATTTGGGGAAATTGATGAAACCTCTTTCATCCTCATTTCTTCACCCATGGACTGGGAATAAGAGTATTTCATAGTATTTCTTAGGCATTCCAATGCCTAAGACTAGGCATTAGAAGTGTGATGCAGAGGTGCTCCATCATAACGGGGTTTCACTTCTGGTAGAAAAGGTGAATGTGAACCCAAATAATACACAGAAGTGAATTAGAAGTGTGGGTAGGAGAAGCATTGAGAGGACCATTCAATGTCCAGGTTCCAGATTAAAATACCATTGTTATAGGACTGTTCTTAAATCCCTTCTACAGGAAAGTTAATAATAATAATAATAATAATAATAATAATAATAATAGTAATAGCAACTTGCTTCATTTTGGGAGACTAAAAGTAAGCTGGATAAAGGAGCCAAAGATAGAATCCATCAGCTTTGTTTTTTTCTTCACCACACACTTATTTTTTAAAAAATAATTTCACAAGCTTAAATTGTTGTCAGAAAGAGAATCCAGGAACAGAGTGTGATTAGTCTTGGGACTTTTCCTCTTTCTTCTTCCAAAAAAGGGGAGAAGAAAAACAAAATCAATGTACTGTATGCACAGTGCTAATTACATTTATATATGATATCAAATTCTTCCTCATAGCATCTCTGTGAATCATAATTAATATTCTAATTATACAGATTACAGAAATGAGACTCAGATGTTCTACCACTTGCCCTTTATCTCACAACTGGCAAGTGTGAGAACTCCAGTCTGCATGACCTGGAATCTTGTGTTAGTTCCAATCTCCCAACCTGGAAGGAGCTGTAACAGCCCTTCAGTTGGAGCTGTCTTATTTCTTTCCAATTCTTTAGAAAGAAAACAGATCCAAGAAAACTTTTACTGGAGACACTTTTTATAAATAAGAAATTTATCCAAAGAATCTTACATTTTCAAGCTTCCTAAGTTCTTGTGACTAAACAGATGACAAAAGAAAAGCTGCATTAAATATTGCAGCTAGTTAAACTTTCTTTCAAGACAATTTTTGAATTCTACGCCCATGCATGTCAAAGAAGTTGAAACTGCAAATGGATATCCATATAATCCTGTGTTAACATTCACTGCTCATTCTCTCTCCTGCTTCACTGGCGGAAAAGATTAATATATCATTCAGTTAATACAAAGTGTAATTTATTTGCAAAGTGGTGTGTTTCCTTTACAGCATCAAACCTGGCAGCTCTATGCGAGTGTTGTTCTGTCAACTGGAATAACGCCTTTAATGAACTTGTCTGTGGAATATCAAATGTGTAATCTGCTGCACAACCTGCACCCCTACTGCCCAGGCCTTCACCATCTAGCCTACCAACTTCCACATCAGTTGCAATTTTAAAAAAGAATCCATCCTTGACCTCAATAAGTTACAAACCATCCACCAGAATCTGCAAAATTAGTTCTAGCTTTCTCTTATCCTATTCAGCAATTCTGCTACTCTAACCACAGAGCACGCAGAGGGTGAAAATAATCCCTGCCAATATGTTCACCAGTCCTTAAGCATTCTTCCCCTCAACAGACAATAACCTCCAGGTCTATGTGATTCAGCTTTCCTCCCCCAATAAGTTGAATAGGGTCACATGGGATCCTAACAGCTCCTCCTCTGGCTCTCCCTGAGTAAGGCTTAGAAATGCTCCAAAGCCAATGCATGGCTAGCAACTAGACTTTACCATCCTTCCATGTTGCCTCAGTCCTTTAAGAGAAGTTTATCTATCAGGTTTCTAAGAACCAAAAAAGGGAAGCCAGAAATAACCACTTCTCCCCATAGCAATAAATCTGGACACTCTTCTACCAATTATTTATTACTGAGCTGCTCTCTTTTTTTTTTTTTTTTTTTTTTTGAGATGGAGTCTCAGTCTGTCACCCAGGCTAGAGTACAATGGTGCTATCTCGGCTCAGTGCAACCTCCACCTCCTGGGTTTAAGCGATTCTCCTGCCTCAGCCTCCTGAGTAGCTGGGATTACAGGCACCCGTCACCACGCCAGGCTAATTTTCTTTATTTGAGTAGAGACGGGGTTTCACCATCTTGGCCAGGCTGGTCTTGAACTCCTGACCTCGTGATCCACCCACCTCAGCCTCCCAAAGTGCTGGGATTACAGGCGTGAGCCACCGCACCTGGCCGAGCTTCTCTCATTTTTATCCTTTTCCTACTCAACTACCACTGAACATCAAGATTTACCTCTGGCTTCTAGAATTTGAACACTGTATTGCTTTCTGATCTTTTCCAAAGGAACCCCAGGTTCACCTAAGTACTGTGTAAATTTGGCTCAGTTGGTTCATTTAACAAAAGTGTATTAAATATTTACATGTGCCAGGCATTAATCTAGGTGCAAGGGACAGCAAAGATCAGTGCAAAAAAAATTATCTCATAGAGTGTACATTCTGTGGGATGAAACAAATAAACCCAATGAAGTACTCAATTATATAAAGTGATGGATGCTAAAGTGAAAAAAATCTGTAGGAGGAAAGTGGATGGGGGAGTATAACTGAACTGCAAAAAGGATCCTCAAGGAAGGTTACACTTTGGAGGTGATTTTGAGTAAAGACTTGAATGAAGTGAAGGAGAAGGTTGTTAGTGTCTTGAACTGCCTCAGGTAGGAACAACCTGTTAAATCAAAGAGCCATAGACAGCATGTTCTTTGGAGTACAGTAGCTTTACCTCTTGCTAGTTAGAGAGAATTCACATATTATTTATCTTCTCTGAGCCTCAATGCTCTCAACTGTAAAGTAGAGGCAACAGTACCTTTCTCAAAGAATTTGCAAATAGATTTCAGTGAGATAATATACATAAAACACTTCACTTCATAGCATCTCAATCAATGTGATTTATATAGGTAGATGACATATAAGTAGAGAAATAGGCAGATAGACAATAGAATATAATAAGTTAGGATAAGATTAGATAAAAATAGGATAAGAGAGGAGAGTACAGGAAAGAACAGGATAGCTATAGATGGAAAATAGTAGCTACGGGGACAACAGATACGTAGGCCCACAGAATCCAACCTCATTACTTGCCCACCCCTCAGCTGGCCACCTACCTATTGTATCTATAAGTTAGGTAGATTTCTGTGGTTGTGTCCTAGACCTAACTCTAATACTGAAAATCATCGTGAGCTTGGTCAGGTCACTTCGTGTTTCTGGATTTTATTACCCTCTTCTAAATTGAGCAACGTATACCGAAGACTTACTATGCCTTTTCCAGTTCTATTTATGTATGCACTAATAAGCCCCCAAATTTAATTTTATGTGTTTTACCACTTCTAAAGAAAAGAATCATAATTATTTATTCAAAAGGATGAAGTTTCTTTTCTTAAAAACAGTGAGGTATTGAACAACCTTCCTGTTTTATAATAGCATCAAAACAAAGAAACACATCCATGAAAGCAACAATTTAAAAATTTAAAATCAGAAAAACATAGTCCACAGCCTGAAGACATGGGTATTTAAAATATATACTAGCCTTGACTTCTTGCATTTGTAAAATTCAGCATTTGGGAGAATCTTCCACATCAATTTTCTATTTTCCTACAATCTGTATTCTTACAAATGTAAGATTATCTTAATTTTCAGTTTTTAAAGTTTATTTCAGGCAATAAAAAAATAATTTCATTTGATTCCAATTAAATGCAATAATCACAAGTACTTTTTGAATGAATAAATGAATAAAAGGTATGCAAGCCCATTTTCCTGACTTCCATGAGATTACATACTACAATTTATAAATTGATGAACATTCATTCACTCATTCGTTCATTCATTCTTGAGCAAATATTGACAACCTGACATGTGCTAAACACTGTATCTACATGCAAGAAACACATAAACATCAAGGCCTTTGCTTTGGAAAGGCACAATTTAGAAGAAGATACAAAGAAAAGAAAATAGCTAGAATATTGAATGATAAACACAATAATCAGTGTGAATAGATAATATAGGTATATCTTAATAGAGAAGCAGACCTATCACTGTGGAGTATTCGAGATTTCACAGAAGAAATACAGTCAATGAGTTTTAAAGGATTAGTTTGTCAGGAGGACAATTTTTCAACAAATGTGTATCATATAATCAGGAAATAGTGATAGTCATTATTTCTAGATAATCGGATTGTGGATTATTATTTTTCTCTTTATCCTTTGTATTGAATCCAAATCATGTATTATTTTTACAATGCAATGATAATATTGCAAAATGAACTATATGCTATTTATGATTAAGGTCGAGTTTTATACAGCTAGACATAACGTTTCTCTAATTCATACAAACTGACATATGATTTAAAGAGGCAAACATGTAATCTGTAGTTTCCTGGGAGACAGCTAATGTAGTCAGCAATGACTACCTAGCAAGCATTCCAGACAATTGCAAGTTCCAGAAAGCAATACCACTTGAAGAATTCCCATATTTTATGCACAGGTCTAAGTCACTTCTGCCTCTACATCTCTTTTCTTGCATCTCAGGGGGTCCACACACTTTACACCTCTTGCAGACTCTGAATACATCAGGCTGATTGGTACTGTCTCCTTTACTTGCCAGCTTTTCTTAACTGTTTGCCGTGTGTCTACATATGAGTCAAGATTTATCATCTGGCATTTCTTCTGTAATGCCTTCTGAGATATAAAAATATATAAGAGATGTATCTGTTAGTTTTCATTCCAAATAAACTATCACAGGGTCTTAACAAAGGGTGTTGCTAGTTTTAAGGCCTCAGCTCAGCCCTCCTTGCCTTGGTGATTCCTTTGGGCATGAATCTTCCATAGTCAAACCCTCAATGATCCTTACTGAATATATTGTGTTATTGACCTTCTGGTCCCTCTCACTTTGATTGTGGGTAAGCTACACTCATTCACCCTCTGGTCTGACCTCATGGATTTCTTACATGCCTAGATACCCCATGGGAACAGAGGCACTGGAAAGCTTTAACCTAAGAATCAATTCTGTGCAGTGATATTCATTCTGTTATACTGACCGGAAGCTTTATCTGGCTAGGGAATGATTTTAATGTATGTCTTGGTATATGGGCTTTTAATAAAAATGGAACTATAGTTATTATCCAGTAAATACAGTTTGTGAAACAAAATGTCTTTAAGACATTAAATAAATTTTATTGAATTTTTACTATGTGCCAGACATTATACTTATACTTCATGGAGTATGTGTTGTAGTGCAGGAGACAGAGTAAGTACTTCCAAATAAAAAGATGATAAACTACTGGAAAGACAACTGCCTTTGGCATGAAAAATAAGTGTTCAATATATTCTAGAGAAACTTTTCAAAAAGTTTAATTTGTAGCTGCCATCCTGCCAATACCAGAACGGGTTGAGCACCACTCCACTGTATTCCTAAGGTTCTCTTTGCATTTCTCCTAAGAATGCATGTCTTATTACTTTGAAATTGTCTATTTATATTTCTCTCTCCTATTACTGTGAGCTTCTCAAGGGCAGATGTCACATCGTTTTTTAAAATTTGGCATAAATCAATCTTCCTGTAATACGTCATAAAAGCAAACATACAATGACTATAAACCATGAAAATCACTTACAATAGTAGAATCATGTTCCAGGATCTACAGAATATCCATAAACTACACATATTGATTGAATATGTAACCCCAACAGGTTGCAAAGAAAGCACACAACCCACACAAAGAATTGACAACATAACCTAAATTGTCAGAGCTGACTAGAGAGAAAAACGCTCAGGTCTATTTTCTTCAGGCTCCTTCTCCCACAAAAATCTACATGAATATGCACAAGGAGCAAAAAACCACAGGATAAACAGGTTGATTCAGCCTGTCAATAGAAAGGAAGAAATTAATGTTAATTTCAAAATAGATTTATTATTGAGTAGAACTCAAAGTTTGCATGTCTTTTGAAGATAAACCAGAGACTTCAAAATAAAGCCATGCTTTCAGGGGGTCGCACTGAACCACATGCTCCAAAAAAAGGGGTGGTGAAAGCTAGAGCCAGGGAAGAGGGAAGAGCCACACTATACCATTGAGGGAACTTCAGTGAAAAAGCTTATGATGCTCTGGTCGGAACCCAACCCTCATTTGAAAAAACAGGCGTGCTGGCTCACGCCTGTCCCAGCACTTTGGGAGGCCAAGGCTGGCTGATCACCTTCGGTCAGGAATTCCAGGCCAGCCTGAACAACGTGGAGAAACCCGTCTCTACCAAAAATACAAAATTAGCCAGGCATGGCTGTAATCCCAGCTACGAGGAAAGCTGAGGCAGGAGAATTGCTTGAACCCGGGAGGCGGAGGTTGAGGTGAGCCGAGATCCAGCCATTGCACTCCAGCCTGGGCAACAAGAGTGAAACTCCATGTCAGGAAAAAAAAAAAAAAAAAAAAAGAAAGAAAGAAAGAAAGAAAAAGAAAAAGCAGGTTTACCATTTCACTATACCATAAATGGAAATTGTTTAATAAAATATGCTAGCTCTGAGTAACATGAATTAAGCTTTTCAATAGCATCTTCCTTTTTTTAGAATGCGGAGAAAACTTTCAACAGATGTTTTGGGATAGACCAGTTCTATACAAAGAGAAATGAAAATAAGCACTAAAGTCAATTGGTTCCTTCTTTTTTGTCTTGATAAACTTAAAAGGAAATAGCATTCAGAGTCATGTCACTGGTCTTAAGCTAGTTCTTACCATTTAAATTTTTTGACAAATTTTTAAATAATTGATGGCCTTATGAAAAAATAAATATGTCAAAGTTTTGTAAAAAAAAAAACTTGAATCTTTTTGTCTTCAACACATATAGTTTTCTTTCCTATTTTACCTTACTTCACAAAAATATAAAAGAAAACTGAGTAAAAAAGTCCCTAAAAAAGCATGTGGAGGAATGTGTGAAAAATGGGAAGAACAATCTCATTGTATTTTGCCTCAGCGGCAAATGTAGAATAGGCATGAATTGAATGTGCAAGCTTAAACCAGCCATTCTTATAATATTTTACCTGAAACTCTACGTCGCTTCAAGCCTACTTATTCTCCTTTTGTGATTGAAAAAGAACATAGCATTAAGAAGGGATGTAAGGGAAAACAAATAAAAACTCAAATGACATAAAAACAGCAACCAAACCACCGTTAACCTAAAACAACACTGATGATGCTCTAATAACAAAGTTTTAGAGATTCTAACTGTCTCTCTGGATGTATATTATCAGTCAAGTCTGAGAAGATACCCAACTTAACACGACAGTCAAAATTCTGAGTTGACTACTGCTTTAGGATCGTCAGTACAGCCTGAAAGCATACCAATTAAAGGATACTGATAGCCCTTAGTCATACAAAAAAATGAAAGTCATTTGTCCATCAGGATTTGTAAAAGATTTTATTTTTATCAATTTGAAAGCAGTTAAAAGTATACAGCTGGCCAAGTGACCATGAAAAACATCTCAAGCCTCTCTAATGTAATCAGAAAAGGTCTTTTTAGAATAATCTTGTCAAATTCATTTCCTCACTAGTGCTTCTTCCCTAAATCATTGTCTGCCTGGAGAACTCAGGAAATCTTGTTTATCTGTTCAATCACATTCAACATCATCTGTATCATTTGTGAAGACTACTGAGTAATTTGGGGATTATGAGTTAAGTAAGCCTACAGTACTGTAAGGAACTGTAGGATGAATTATATTTCTCAAGAGACTTATTGTGCAATAGCATTTTATATTTTTAATAACAATTCAGATGGTAGAGAAGAGAAGCCTATGGGTGAGGCTTCTTTAAGACAAACACAGGGTGGCCAAAAAAAAAAAAAAAAAAAAAACCAGGACATAGTTATCAAAAACATACTCATGTGACCAATAGATTAGGTAACTAATCCTTAGGAAATTAGTCCTTGGGGTTAATTGCATAACCCAGATACCCGTACAGTGGCATTGAGATTATTTAGAATTTAAGATGAAGATTGAGAGGGAGCCATTTGATTGAACAACCTAAAGATTGTTTATGAGCTTAGTAAGAGCTGTGTAAGTGAAATGATGAAGCTAGAACAAAATCAGAGTGGGTTAAGGAGGCAGTAGGAGATAAGGAAATAAAAATCACAAATACAAAAGAAGAGGAGGATAAAGAGAAGGAGGAAGATAAAAGGAGAAGCGAGTAAAGGGGAGGAGGAGGAAAAGGAGAAAAATCACTCTTCTAGTGAAATGGAGAGATGAGGCAAAGCTGAAGGAAACTAAGGGATCAATGATAAAGAGGAGATACTTGTAAATATTTAAAATGGAGCATATAATGGTAATTAGAAATAAAATCTGGAGCCAAAATGCCAAGTATCAAATCTCTGCTCCACCATTTACCAGCTGTGTCACCTTGGGCAAAATAGTTAATCTCTCTGTACCCAATTGTTTTATCTGTAAAATGGGAACAACAACAATACTTACTCCACAGACTGCCTGTGAGCATGCCAAGAGTTAATACTTACAAATTGCTAAGACAGTGTTTGGCAAGCAGATAAAGCCATGTAAGTGGTGGTGGTTGTTATTTCTTTCCCTTTTTTTATTTTTTCAAGGTCTTATTCTGTCACCCCGTCTAGAATGCAGTGGTGCAATCATGGCTCACTATAGCCTTGACCTCCCTAGGCTTAGATGAGCCTCTCATCTCAGCCTCACAGCTGGAACTACAGGTGCAGGCATGCACCACTATGCCCAGCTAATTTCTGTATTTTTTGTGCAGACGGGGTTTCACCATGTTGCCCAGGCTGCTCTCACACTCCTGGGCTCAAGCGATCCTCCCACCTCAGCCTTCCAAAGTGCTAGGATTACAGGTATGAGCCACTGTGCCTGGCTATTATTGTTATTTCTAATGGGAAGAAACTAGCTCAGAAAGTGAGATAGAAGTTAAAGAAAAAAATAAATAAATAAGGTTTTTGAGAGGAAGAAGGAGCAGAACACAAAGCAGAGATGGAATGATTAACTTAAACTAGGAGTAATGTTAGTTTGTCTATTGTAAAAGAAAGAAAAAGAATGGAATACTTGCAGATATACAAAGGTCTGTAGTTGATATTGGCAAATAAGACAGCTCCAGTCTGGTAACTTGAATTTTTTCTATTATAAATGGGAGCTAAGGACATCAAAAGTGTTCTTGAAACAATGACATCATAGAATCAAGATTTAATGAGGACAATGAATAAAGGAAAGATTTCACAGTGGAATAAATGCAGAAGGGTCAATGAAATGGGGGATCTTTCTTAAGGTAAGGAATGATCATAGGGTGAGTAGTTGAAACTGGAAGAAGATAAGTTTATGGTGATTAGAAATAAAGTCTGGAGCCAAAATGCCAGGTATTAAATCTCTGCTCCACCATCTACTAGCTGTGTGACCTTTGGGCAAAACAATTAATCTCTCTGCACCCAATTGCTTTATCTGTAAAATGGGAATAACAACAACACTTACTCCACAGAGTGGCTGTGAGCACGCACAGAGTTAATACGTACACATTACCTAACCAGTATTTAGCAGGCAGTAAAAGCAGTGAAAAATGAGAAATTTGAATTAAGGACAGTTTTAAGCAAACAATTACAGGTGTTAGCAAGGCCCAGATTATCACCTTGTTCTCGTGGGAGTTGTGAAAATTGTCAGTATTGAAATGGAGTCACTTGTGTCAACCCTGACAAAATAGACCAGGGAAGGCCATGAAGTCAGTGTTCTCACACATGTATGCCTGAGAACAAGAACTATCACAAAAGACTGCAAAAACCAAAAACTTGCCAAAGACCCCCATAACCTTTCACATACAAAAAAAGACTTCTGCAAAGATATCTGCCCAGCAACTACTTGTTCAACCTTGGACTGACACCACCCTTGCTATTGATTTTTGTTGCCAAGAATAATTGTTTCAAAACAACTTATGTAACATCCTCATTTTTTCTTTAAAGTCACTTGTCTTCCTTTACTTCTGTGAATATCTCCATTGTTTACTACATTGCAATGCCCACTCCTGAATAAACTTATTATCCTTGGAGCATCTCTTCTTGCCTGTTATGTAGGTTGACAAAGTGAATGTCTAAAGTAGAGCAAAATAGTAGCTCATTGAAGGATGAGGTGAGGACAGGTTACCTGCACATATAATGAAGTCATGGAAACTGTTGGTGGGCTTGTGTCAATGATTTGATAAATAGGAAGTAACTATGGCCAGGTTTATATCTGTGGGATGAACAGCTATGCTTCTCCTAAATTTTACTAACATTTGAAAGATGAACTAAACAATTATTTTAGCACTGAAAAATTTGAGAATATAATTTTTAAATGTCTAGCACTTCATGTGCATATACTCTACTACAATAATATAATTTTAAATATCATCATTAACCTACTTTAAAGATGAAAGTATTGAAGGTTGAGTAACTTGCCCAAGTCACAAATATTCCCAGAGGCTGAACTGTTAGTCAAACACAAATCTCTTGACTCTAGTTCCTGCAACCCCAAGCCTAATCTAAACTAGATGCCCTCTACAAACTGAATTGCACATGTCTAGCTCATTTGGTTCAACATCAGACTCACCTTGAATGGTTGATGAATATGGCCCCCACATGAGGAGTGATACTTATAAAAAGCATACAGAGCAGGAATATGAAGTCCCTTCTAAATTTGATGTTCCATCATTTGAATGTCCTAACATGCCTTTTGTAATGAATAAGTTTAATAACCTTGATCATTTTCTATGTTCCTAAGAAAAATCTAGGCCCAGATATTTCCTGAGGCCCTTAATAATACAATCGATAATATCTCAGTGAAACATCCTCAGAAACAGAATAAATGTAATAGAAACATGTATATCACTAAATTTATAGGTTATTTTTTGACATCACACACTAGAGTTTAATTTTTTATTGGACTATTTTCAAAATCGTATGTTGAAAGAGAAGAAATGTGATCTTGGTCCACTGAGGAAAATGATTCGACACTCAGAATTAGATTCCTTACTTTGCATAAATCCTATTTTGTAAGAGTGAATTAATTATCCATAAAAAGAAATGAGTAGCTTTAGTTGTATTTTAAAGCTTGATATACCCTCACCAGCACTGGAAATTGAAAAGATCAATCTTGCAAAGAATGGGAAGTTGTCTTCAAGCCATAAAAGATGTTTTCAGAATGACTATCTCAAGGAGGCATGAGAGAAAGAAAGATGAACGGAATGTCAAAGCAAATTGGCATTTGTCCCATACTTTCTTGGGTAATGTTCTCATGGAAAGAAAGAATTTTTAGTCTTTTTCCATCAATCTGTAGATTTTAAAGGCTTGAAGGTTATCATAGTCCATTTCACTCAAAAGCCTTTATACTCAGAGAATATAGGAGATATTGGTGGGTTTTTTGTTTTGTTTTGTTTTGGCCACCAGTAATCCATTCAATTATCCATTATTAGACCAGGTGATTTAGATGAAGCCTCCAACTAAAGGGTCTAGGATCAGATTATGGGACTTAGTCAACTATCCTGTCCCTAGTCAATATCTTAGGGATAGATGTGTGGCTCTTGAGTCAAGTGAATCAACACGAGTCAGAGGTGATCCTGGGGACTTTGCTTAAGTAACAGAAAAGGCATTTTACTATTTTCCTCTAGACTTGCATTTGGAAAGATATATGTTGGAGCAATCTTGAAAACTTGAGGGTAGACACTCTCTGAACATAGAGCCAATGTGGAGGAAAACAGAGTCAAAGAATAGAAAAATAAACAAAGAGAAAAAAGTAAAAAAAAGTCATGGTGGCAACTTACATATGTTCAACACAGGCCTACCCAAACTCTTCCTCTGGAGTTTGATATTGTACAAACCATTATGTTCCTTCATTGCATAAGCAAATTTAGTTAATATTTTCTGTCACAAGCAAATGAGTTCTACCTGAGAAAATAACTCAGCAGCTACAGTCCAACAAAATATCAAGATTCTGGAGATCCATGCTAGAGGAGAGAAACCCAAGAGTATGATTTCTGAGGCTATGTTATTCTAGAATTCTGGCTTCAAGTTGCTAAATTATCTTTAAACTTTAACCAGGGGTGTAATATAATTTTGAAGTCCCGCTGTCCTATTTAATCAAGTTGAGTAAGTGATTTAAGTTCAGTGTTATCATCTGTGAAATGGGGATAATAGTGATATTTTATGGAATTATTTAACACAAAGCAGGATAGTGTATGTTCAACTTCTAACAGAGTACCTGGAACATATGCATATTCAATACCTGGTGGCTTTTATTCTTTGCTGGTCTGTTCATCTCCCATCTGTTGATTAAGTTGATCAAAGTTATCTCTATCTCTACACTGGTCAAGAGCCTTGCAAAGAGTAGGCAATAAATAATTGTTTGCTAAATGAATAAATGAGCTAGTGAATAGTCCATATTTATGGTTATCATATTGTCCCAAAGGGCTTGAAATAGTCCTGTTACCTCTTGTAGTATCAGTTCCTTTATTCTCAAAGTGTTCTTGTTTGGATAATAAATTACATAGTAACCCAATTTATATAATTCTTATTCCCTGTTTCTAAGCCAGTCTCTTTAGCTTTAATCCAAGCAGACTTTTTCTTAATCAGCTCTCCAAGAGTACAAAAAAAAAACTTGATTAGGATTATCCCACAAATATTTTTTGTCAAACACAAGCTAGTTTTTAATCACGTTCTATACAGAGGAAGACTTTGTGGTAGAGAACAGAGCACTGGAGTCAGACTCCAAAAGACTTGTGAAGTCCCAGTCCTGCAGTTTATCTACTGTGAGACCTTGGCCAGGTCACGTAACTTCATTTTCCTCGTTTATAGTAAAATGAGATTAATAATTTCTACTACATAAGAATGTTGGGACAATTAAATTAAATAATATAATAGAAATAATGCTTCGAAAACTCCTTAGCACTATGTCAGTAACTATGATTAATGTTTTGAATTAATGAGGAAAGGGCTTATTCTTCTGTTTTTCTACCTTGGATATAATTGATCAAAATCTTTAATCTTCAAATTTATTCTTGCTCTTCATCAATTGAAAGGGGCTTGAAGGTGCTTTAGATTTTAATGAGAGTTTCATTATAAAGCAGGAGAAAAAAATGGAAGAGAGGTGCATTTCACAAATGCTCTTCCCTTAGCCTGAATTTTCCTTCTCTCAAACTGCTTCTCCAACCCACCAACCACACTCCACACCCCCAGATCCATCTGTTTTCCTATGTACCATTTAAGTCTCGTATCCCCTATCATCCACTATAGAGAAATGTTTTCCTCAGATAGAACTAACTACCAGTTCTGCTAGGTCCCCATTGTATGAGTGCTCCATTTTTCTACCTGTCATGCAGAATAACGCTTACCTGTTTATATATTTGTTTTCCTTTCTAAACTATGGTCTCCTTGAAATACAAGTCTATGTATTACTTATATTTGTATCACCTACACTTAGCATAGACAATGACACATAAAAGTCCAGCATGCATGTCTTTTCAATTGAATGGAAGTGAGAATTTATTAATCACATATTACGAATCAAAAAAATATGCTAGGTGCTTTACATATGTTGTCTCATTTAATCCTCAAAACAACCTAGTAAAATGGAAATTTCGTTACCATTTTAAAACGTAAAAAAAACTGAGGCTGAAAACCATGCAAAGTCCATTCCATAATCTTCTGGATGAACTAAGTTTCCAACCTGTGCTCATTAATAAGAATATGAATTATAGAAAACTAATAGCTATATATCTCTCCTTTTTATAACTATGGCCTACAAATAACCATTGTAATTGATAAAGACCATTCTGAATTCTGTGAGCATGCCTAGACTTGTTGATTAGCCAGAAAAGAGAACAATCATTCATCAGATTTTGTGACACAAAAAGTCTGATCATTCTAAACTGCATTGGAGGAGCTGTCCCTGAGACATTAGAGAAAATAAATGTAAGTATACAAGCTCTATCTGAGAAATCAAAAAGCTAGTCATGTCCTTTATCTATTGGAGAAGAGCAGTAGTTAATCAATATGAGCTAGGAGCTACAGGATCAAGGCTTACCGATAAAATAATGGTACCCCTGGTAGTTGAGTTAAGAATAAACCATGGGGTAGTAAAAGATAAGGAAGACATATTCAGATAATTATAATTATAAATGACTTTTAGCCTCAGCAAAATTAATTGAGAATCTCTTGATACATGGTTAAGACTGAGCCCTAAATGACATTGACTGTGAGATATGACTTTCTGGTACAAACTCTGAGAGAATTTCCCTGAAGTGAATCAAAGCTAGATCTATTCCAATCACAATGCATGAGATGGATCAAAAATGTGTCCAGTGATTGATCAGATGCTTGACCACAGGGTTGCTGAGTATAAATTTTAGAAATTGAAAAGAAGTTTTTACAAGAAATTGGGCTTTAAACTACATGATCTAGGGAGGAAAAAGGAAGGGCACAGAGAATAGATGGCCTCAGTGGGAGGCAATAGATTAGTCTCTGACTTAGTCTTTAAATTCCTGCATGATGGCCTATCATCAACATCTTCTGATCATCTAATCCAAACTCCACAGTGCCATTAGCATTATCATTTTCAAACACAGAACAGCTCAAAATATTTTAGGGCTCCCAGTTTTCCACAGAATGAAATCCCTTCCTCCTCATATGGCATGTATTGTCCTTTACAATGTGGACCAGACTTACATTTACAGGACTAGCTTCTTCCTACCTAAAGCATAACTCTTTCAAATATATCATACTTTTTACATGCTAAAAAGTGTCTAAGATGCTCTTTCCCCTTCCTGCCATTTGGTGGATTCTATGCCAGTATTCCTTTTCTGTGAATCCTGTCTCAGTTCTCCTAGGCAGGATAGTGATATTATCTGAACACTCATCTTACAGCATTATCCTGTCACCTCATAATTATCTACCTCCTCCTCCAAACAGCAAGCAGAGACCAGGACATGTCAACCTTTGCATACACTCTAGGAACTAATGTCTGATCTCGAGCTCTCACTATATTCCTTAGGTCCTGAAATACAGTAGTAAACAAAACAAATCTTTGCTTTATATTATGGTGGTGGAGAAAAAAAGTAAATTATAAAATCAGCAAATATATGATAGGTAATAATAATTGCTAGGAAGAAAAATTGAACAGGGTAAGAGAATAAAAGAATAGGAGATGGGTGTTAATTTAACTTGTGCAATCAGCAAAGATCATCTGAAAAGGTGATATGTGGTAGCTACACAGAAATATTTAGCGGAGATATTGAGAAAGTAAGCCAAAATATGCCATCATCTGGGTGGCACCCAGATAGGGGAGCATCATAGGAGAGTTATCCAGTGTTCAAGAGCAAGAAAAGCTGAATGTAGAAAATAAGCCACATCCTAGAAAAGACTAAAGTCAAAGCTGAAGAATCCATACAGACAGCCCTAACTCTGATGTCCAACCAACCCAGGTTGGTATCCTAGCAACACCAACTGTCAGCTCTGTGTGTGTGCGTGTGTGTGTGTGTGTTGAGAGAGAGAGAGAGACAATGCGCACGTGTATGTGTGTTTATGAGAAAGTAAGGTAGGGTGGGTAGATTGCAGATTTCCCTAGAATCTTGAACATCCAGTGGCCAAACTCGCAATGCAAGTAGCTTTAAACAACATCAGACACTTGCATTTCATTTCCCTGTGTGCAGTGCCACAGTTAACAGCCCATGGGGAGCTCAGAGGTAGGAAGAGTTTGGAGATCAGAATCCTTGCAATCAAGGGTTTCTCAATAGCAGTGTATTCACAATTCAGACCAGACAATTCTTTGTTGTCAGGAGCTGTCCTGTGCATTGTAAGATGTTTAGTACCATCCCTAGCCTCTATCCAGTCTCCAACATTGCCAAATGGGCCCTGTGGTTAAGAGAAACAAAATCTCCCCTAGTTAAAAAACACTTTTATAGACAGAGGGACAGAGCAGAGAAGCCATGAAGACATCCCAGAGACAATTAAAGCCAATAGGCCTGAGGAGACTAAGACAAATTTTTATTTTAGTTTTCATTTATAAGTTAGCAACAATTAGCCAGAAATGTCTTCATAATCCTGTTTCTGAACTCTTGAAAATCTTTAATTATCTGAATCATTTATGCTAATTTGACCAAACCAAACAAATTAAAATAATTTATTTTAGAAGGGTTTTTAACAAGGTTTGAAAAGATAGCAGGAGTTCATTAAATTCTCCTTTCTGACATACTACAATTAATCTATGTTTTGTTGACTTGTAACAAATGTCAAATTTATTTTTGTGTTCCCTAAGGATTGGATTTTTTTGAGGTGTCACTTTTATTCCTTTATTATAGACAAGCATACATTAAATGATTACCGTGTGTTCGTATATAGGTACTTAATAGAAATAAGATACAGTCTCCAGCCTTCAGGATACATAATGAAAAAGACATATATATCCTACTTCTGATCAGTTCATAACTTGGTGCAATAGCATGTGCTGCTCCTGAATACTGAATTAGAGATGCCACAGAAGTGATAGGAAGAAAGTTGGTGGATCCCAGATACTGACCTAAAAATCTATGAAAAATTCCTGGATAGACACAGTGACTGGGTCCTGGGGTGTCAGGGGGAAGATTGGGGAAAAGTGGAGAGAGAAATGACAGTCCAGAGCAAAAGAGAGCTATGCCATAAGATCCCATTCCTCTCTGCAAATAGGCATTACCTACCAAATTAGCTGATATTTTCAGGGGACTATTCACTTGGAAAAAGAAAGATATACAAAGTACAAATATTAGAAAAAGCTATACAGTCTACATTATTTGAAACAGTCTTAATGAACTAATCAAATAATAACTCAAAATAACCATATTAAATATTACCAAACAGGCTGGGCGTAGTGGCTCATGCCTGTAATCCTAGCACTTTGGGAGGCCAAGGTGGGTGGATTGCCTGAGCTCAGAAGTTCGAGACCAGCCTGGGCAAAATGGTGAAACCCTGTCTCTACTAAAATACAAAAAAAAAAAAATTAGCTGGGCGTGGTGGTATGTACTTGTAATCCCAGTGACTTGGGAGGCTGAGGCAAGAGAATTGCTTGAACCCAGGAGGCGGAGGTTGCAGTGAGCCGAGATCGCATGACTGCACTCCAGCCTGGGTGACACAGCGAGACTCCATCTCAAAAAAAATAATAATAAAATAATATTACCAAACAAATAAAGGAGGATACCAGGGGAAATGAGCAGGAACAAGAGCAGTGGGCATCAAGAAAACTAGAATAGTTATAATAAAGAGTTCAATTAATTGGTTGAATTAGCAGAATGGATCTTTTCAAAGAATAAATTAGTGAGCTTGGAAATCAGGATAATGGACTCTTCCAAAAGCCATCAGGAATAACAGAGATAGACAGATTTTTAAAAATCATTAGTACCAGAGGAAAGAAAAATAATAATAGATGAAAAATATTTTTAAATTATAACTGAGAATATCATAAAATTATAACTGAAAATTTCATAGATGTTAAACTACTTCACAAATAATAGTTTAAATTTAACATTAATTATGGTACTATAGGCCAGGTATGGTGACACACCTGTAATCCCAGCACTTTGGGAGGCTGAGGCAAGTGGATAATTTGAGGTCAGGAGTTTGAGACTAGCCTGGCCAACATGGTGAGACCCCGTCTCTACTAAACAACAACAAAAAAATACAAAAATGAGCTGGGTATAGTGGCACACTCCTGTAATCCCAGCTACTCAGGAGGCTGAGGCAGGAGAGTTGCTTGAACCCTGGGAGATGGAGGCTGCAGTAAGGTGAGATCGTGCCACTGCACTCCAGCCCAGGTGACAGAGTAAGACTCCCTCTGAGAAAAAAAAAAAAAAAAAAAAAAAAAATATATATATATATATGGCACTACAAATGAGTTAAACTTATATCAAAAGACAGAGACTCTCAAATCAGCTAAAAAAGCAAAATCCAGAAATTTATTAGCTGTGTAAGATAATTTTAAAACAAAATAATATACCAAGTTAGTAAACACACAAATAAATAAAGATAATCCAAACAAAAGTCATGGTTAGCAATTTTA
This sequence comes from Homo sapiens, assembly GCF_000001405.40. Lineage (NCBI taxonomy): Eukaryota > Metazoa > Chordata > Mammalia > Primates > Hominidae > Homo > Homo sapiens. The sequence goes on from NC_000011.10 coordinate 82,461,509, forward strand.
TATCAGTCAAAATATAATTTAATTTGGAAAACATGAGAACTATAAGAAGAGCTGCTACATATTGGTATAATGAGCAATAAATTGTGTAAAAAAATCATACTTTTTATACAAATTTAACATTATTGTTCCAATCTATATAAGAAACAGTTGATATAAATAGGTAAAGATTAAATAAAATTATAGTTGGAGATGTTAATATACACCCACTCAGAATCTGATAGAGTAATTCGGCCAAAAAAAAAGACAAAACGACAAAAGATATAAATAATTCATTGTCTGTGAATTATTTACCCAAATGGCTATAAGTATATAAAGACATGCTAAAACTCATTAGTAATGAGGGAAATGCTTGTATTTTTTCTATCTTCTCCATACTTCTTTTAGGATCAATGGATTAAGTATATGGTATATATAATATAGATACATATTAAAACCTAATTGTACAGTAAAAAAGAAGAAAATACATTTTAGCATACATTTGAAAACTTAAAACATATACAAACAAAATGAAACTATATAATTTTTAAAAATTTATGCATAGCTAAGAACATAAATAACATTCATCAGAGGGACTACCCATTGGGTAGAGATTAGAAGTAAAAAGATGACATGGAGAACAGAATAATAATGTGAAATTAAAGGAGCAGTCTTTTGCATACAAATAATGATTTGTATGCACCCTGTGAAATGATGAATATGATTTAATCAACTCTATGAACTGATAAAAAATAAATTACATTATTTTGGAAGCAGAGAAGGAGGAGAAACTTGTTGTACGTAAGAAAAATGGGTTGTAAATGCCTCACAGAGGCAAGAACAAACAACTAAGCTGAGTCTTCAAAGAGAAGTAGGATTATTTATACTGGGTGGAGAATGTGGGAAGAAAATTGTTTCAAGGTTATGAAACCTTGTATTCAAGGGCATAGCCAAGAAGGAGATCATCATGTGCAGGGAACTGCAGGTAGAGTGGTGAGTATAGACTGTACGATTTGGTGGATTGGTTGGGGAGAAAGGAGTCACAAGGCTGGTGTCAAGGCCAGAGTGATAGATTGGGTCCAAACCGTGAAGCTCTTGCATGCCCTGTTAGAAAGCTACTAGAAACCTATAGAGGTGGGAATGAAGGGTAGACTGACCCTTGGTGGCTTGTGAAAGCCACATGAAGAATTTCCCAGCTGTCACAAAGTAGCCAAGCTGTCAAGATTCCAGAACTGGAGCAGAGTAAAGCAGTTAACTAAAATGAGGCTTCTGTGAAGAATGTCCCTGTCACTCTGTCTGGGGTGGCATCTGCTGTAACTAGAGATTAGCAAGTCAGCAGACACTTTGATTGTCAAATGATTTATGTCAGCCATCATGTGTTGGAGTGGCAGCCACACATCTGTCATCAGGACAATGTTGTACAAAAGCGATTTTAATTGCCTCCGGATTATAAATAAAATGAGCACAGCATCACAGAGATAAATTATGGGATCACTGCTAATTTGCTAGATTGTGTTATGAAGGACAAAGTAAACCCCCAATGGGCTTGTGGGGGAAAAGTTATTTTACTTATGGGAGGTGCAGGCAGGAGTGTTTTAATAACAAAAGGCAACATTCGTCCTATGACAAGAGCCTGGATTCAGAAAATGTCAGGCTGACGTATTCTATTTTCTGTCCTGTATTTAATCAACTGTAGAAGATATTGATGGAAGAAGCAGGCTGTAAGAAAAGGACTTGTGAATGTCAAAAGTTAAAAGAAATATTTGCATCTAGGTAATCTTTTCAAATTTGCTATGCATAGTGGCCAGAATTTAATGTCTTCGTACCTACTTTTCACTTGCCTTTCTCTAACATTTCCCTCCCCTCCATTCCCTACCGCCTATGCCCTCATGTTAATGCTTACATTTCTCTTCCTCACTTGTGTCTCTCACCTGTCACTGCAGAATGAATCCTCCTGAAGCACAACTAGGGTTACTCCAGCCCCTTGCTTAGAAACTCCTCTAGGCTGACCACTGCCTGCAAAATCCAGTTCTTATTCTTTTTGTGGTCAGAGTCCTTCATGATACCCATTCATTGATTCAGTAGTTATTGAATACCTTCCACATGCCAGACACTGTTCTGGACACTTTTAGAGCATATCAGTGAACAAAACCTTACAAATACCCCTGCCTTCATGAATTTTACATTCTAAGGAACCCCTAAACTTAACACTTCAAACCAAATTTCCATCAGACAGCTAAGCAAACACAAACGAGGTTACTCATAGACCGACAAGCTCAATCTCTACTTTGGCTTGACTTTTTAATTTACATATTTAATAAGTACTATTTTTCTATTAAACGTCTTTTACATTGATGTGTATAAGCCATCCAATTCCTTTGGCTCTCAGTTCCTCAATCTTTTCTTCAAAGATCCCTTCCACCTCTTCACCTCAGCCACCATGGTCATTCATTTGACATCCCACCAAAAACAGCACGAACTCTTAACTCTTTATTCCAAGATTCCTGCCTCTGATGACCACTTCCTGATCTTCCAGCTCTCCTCTGTCAGTGCTCAGCTGCCATAATTCCCTGACACCATCAACACTTCTAAGAGACACCTTCTCACTCACTATCAGTCCCCATTACCATGTCCTCGCTGAACTCCTTACTCAGATTTAAGGCCAAATTATTACATTTTTAACATCATATGTCCATGTCACTATCTCCCCACGCATATATTTTTGTCATTATATCCTTGAGACCCACGACAGTAAACATGCAATAATCACAACTCATATTTATTGAGTACTCACACTATACCAGGTTCTGATCTAAAATGCTTTAATATGTGAGCCAATTTAATCCTTATAGCAACTTTATTTTCTTCCCTTTTAAGGATGTGAAAACTACTATTTTGCAAGTTTCAATTATTTTATTTTTGATTATTTCAAATTTTATTTTAGATACAGGGGTACAGATGCATGTTGGTTACATGGGGATGTTACATAATGCTAAGATTTGGAGTATGGATTTCAACACCCAGGTAGTGAACATAGTACCCAATGTGTCATTTTTAAACCCATTCTCCCACCCTCTAGTAGTCTACAGTGTCTATTTTTCCCACCTTTATGTCCGTGTGTGCTCAGTGTTTAGCTCCCACTTATAAGTAAGAACATGCAATATTTGGTTTTCTGTTTCTGTGTTCATTTGCTCAGGATTATGACCTTCAGCTCCATCCATGTTGCTGCGAAGGACATGATTTCTTTCTATTTTATGGTTGCATGGTATTCCATGGTGTATATGTACCACATTTTCTTTATCCGATCTACCATTGATGGGCACCTAGGTTGATTCCATGTCTTTGCCATCAGGAATAGCACAGCCGTAAAAATACAAGGGCGTGTGTCTTTTTGTAGAATGATTTTTTGCGGGGGTATACATCCAATAATAGGATTGCTGGTTTTAATGGTAGTTCTGTTTTAAGTTATTTGAGAAATCTCCAAACTGCTTTCCACAGAGGCTGAACTAATTTACATTCCAACCAACAGTGTATAAGCGTTCTCTTTTCTCTGCAGCCTTGCCAGCATCTGTTGTTTTTTGACTTTTAAATAATAGCCATTATAACCCGTGTGAGGTCGTATCTCACTGTGGTTCTGATTTGCATTTTTCTGATGATTAGTAATGTTGAGCATTTTTTCATGTGTGTTGGCCACTTGTATGTCTTCTTTTGAAAAGTGTCTGTTCATGTCCTTTGTCCATTTTTAATGGAGTTATTTATTTTTTGCTTGTTGATTTCAGTTCCTTATAGATTCTAGATATTAGGTTTTTGTCAGATGCATAGTTTGCAAATATGCTCTTCCATTCCGTAGGTTGCCTGTTTGCTCTGTTGATAGTTTCTCTTGCTGTGCAGAAGTTCTTTAGTTTAATTAGTTCCCACTAATCTATCAAACTATAAAAATCCTGGAAGACAACCTAGGAAATACTCTTCTTGAACTCAGCCTTGGCAAAGGATTTCTGGATAAGTCCCCAAAAGCGATTGCAACAAAATCAATTCTTTTAAGAGCTAACATATAATTATAATAAATATCCTTGATTTATGAAATCTAATGTTAATAAGAGGCCCTAAGAGCTTAAGAAAGCTACTCAGGTTCACACACCTTCCACGTAATAGAACAACTATTCAAAATTCAAACACAGAAGTCCTGGTTCTAGATCTCATTTACTTAACCACTACACTATCCTGGAACACAGTAAGTACTCAATAAATATTTGTAAAATGGAAGAACAAATGGTTCCTCTACTTATAAGTCATGCATTCCATGTGATTCTTGAAACTCTTCCACTCTATCATGACTCAGCTTGACTATTACTTCCTTCTGGAAAACTTCTTGCTAAGTCTTTCTCCTTCACCAGTTCAATTAGAAGCAAAAAGAAAATCTGCTAGCTGTCCTATATAAATCTTGAAAACAACCTTATGAGGTAGAAATTATGTTTACTTTACAGATGATAATAACAATAATTGTAATAATAGGCATTTTTGAGACCCTACTATATTCCAGGACGTTTAAAAGAGATACAGATCTACTGTCTCATTTAATACTCATAACATCCTCATGAAATAGGTTATATTATTATCCTCATTTTATACATGAGGAAACAGAAAATTAAGTAGTTTCAGAACATGGTCATAGGTAAACAAGTAAGTTCTTTTGTTTTTTCTTTTTCTTTTTTTTTTTTTTTTTTGAGACCGAGTTTCGCCCTGTCACCCAGGCTGGAGTGCAGTGGTATGACCTCAGCTCACTGCAAACTCTGCCTCCCCACCTCACACCATTCTCCTGCCTCAGCCTCCCAAGTAGCTGGGACTACAGGTGCATGCCACCACACCCGGCTAATTTTTTTTTTTGTTGTATTTTTAGTAGAGACGGGGTTTCACTGTGTTAGCCAGGATGGTCTCAATCTCCCAACCTCATGATCTGCCCACCTCAGCCTCCCAAAGTGCTGGGATTACAGGCGTGAGCCACCACGTCCAGCCTAAACACGTAAGTTACAAATAAAATTATAGCTGCTCAGTAAATGTACAGTGAATATAACTCAATCCCAATGTAACTAGAAACCACATACTTTTAGGAACAATCTTACTCACTATTATTGTGTTAGTAAATATCAATGTCTCTTGTCCACAACACAATTATCCTTTAACTTCTGCCTAAATGCAATAGGGTTGTCACCAAAATCAACATGAGATGAAATTATCTCTTTTGAGTTTACTCTGGTTCTTTCTGTGTCTAGCCCAGGCCGCAGACACACTGGCTTGGATGTGACTAGATCACAACTCAGCAGCTAAAAAGTACAGCCAAGGACTGGTTCAAAGGAGACCTATCTTTCTGTGAGTGGACTGCAATGGCAAACACCATACTGATTTGGCAAATGGATTCTTAGAATTTTAGGATTCCTATAGGATGGTATACTAGGCAGAACAGTGCCCATGGAGTCAGAAACCTAGGATTCAAATTCTAGCTCTGTTATATCTCTTCAGACAAATTCAGTAACCTCATTCTTTTTCCTCATCTGAAAAATGAAACAAATTATGTCCACTAGATAGAGTTATTTTTAGGACTACTTGAGCTTAATATCCATGGCAGCAACTTCATAAACTATGAAACACAATAACTATTAGACTACTTGATATTGGCTTCAAAATTCCAGTCCACCCAAAAACATGCCTAGTCACCAATCCACCAAAGCCTAAAATTTCATTCCTGAATCTATCTAGTTATCAGGGAACCAGGTTTCTTCTTTACTTCTGTTTTACCATCTTTACCAAATGGATTCCATCCTCAAAGTCATGATATCGCCGTAAAAGGTATGCCATCATGTCTGCATTCCAGCCAATAAGAATAATAAAAACAAAAGAAAAAGGGGAGGATATTTCTCCCTGCTAAATCAATCTTATTTAAAGTATTTCCTGAAAAACCCTCAAAAAAATAGAGTCATCTGTTGTGCCCACTGCTACCATGGAAAAGTTGAAGTTTTATAACTAGGGTAGAAAAAAATTGGTTACTGATAATCAAGTAACATTCTTTGTTATAACTTATATTAAGTTTTAATTTTACAAAATAATCTAAAGTTAATTTACCAATTTTATTTTCCTAAAAATTTTACCAAGTAATCAGAATAAGAATTATTATTCACATTTTATAGATAGAAAAACTAAGGGCTGTGCTATACAGTGTTTCAGAATATGCTTTTAAAAAACATGTTATTGTAAAATATGACACATACAAATAAAAGTCCACTTAAAAACTAAAGCTCAATGATTTACTGAATGAAAAAAAAATGTAATGACCATCCTAAGTTAAAAACAAACAAACGAACCTTGCCAGTACTCCAGAAAATCTCTATGTTCTCTCATCTCCCCAAAGGCAATAATTAGTCATTTTAATTTTAATTACTTTCTTAGTTTCATAGCTATTTTTCCCACTAAATATAGAACGTATAAAAGTATAAATGTTATCTACCAGAATGACTGAGGATCCCAGGATGGAATGTAGACTGTGAAGAAGAATTTAACTGTACTAACAATGTAAAACTGAAGTAAGCGGGAGAGGGGTGGAGGAATTAAGTAACTTTTGAAAACAATGTTTTCACTGGAAAGAATAAGGCTAAATAAAACTATACATAAACACCTTACTTTCACTGATAAATGTGTTTCTCATCAGGGTGTGGGTTAGCAGTTCTGAAACTACATGTGTTCTAGGATTCAACACGTAACTAAGTCATTTGTCAATAAGACCAAAGTTTTTCACTGTCAGAGAAAGAAGTTATAAATAAACAAGTGGGGAAGGCTAGAAAGGACTCTGGTGTGCCAGATTAAAGGCCGAGATATCAGCATGAACACATATTCATTTAGATAGATAGGAGGCTAGATAGGAAGACAGATAGGAAAATGATAGATAGATGGATAGATAGCGATAAATATGTACGTATACATGAGTTAGTATACAGACATATATTGACTGTCTTTGTCCACTAAGAGAGCTGAGAATCAGTAACACCCCAGTTGCAAAAAATACACATAGTACCCAGATCTTTACATCTAAATACTATTATTCAATGAAAGAAACCAGAGATCCTTGGAGAAATGACTGATTATAGGGCTAGGATAAGTAGTGAAAAAAGATGAGCCTGGAGCATTGTGTAATGTCAGAAAATAAGTTAGTGCTCAAAATGAGAGAGAAAAAAAAAGACTCCTCAAAAAGTTTGAGAAGCCAACCTGAAAGTTCCCAGTGACCACATCTGGAACAATTTTGTCAACAAGGTAAATAATGATACTATTGGATTATAAGCTAAAAATAAATATCCATGAGCCTATATTAATATAAATAAATTATTGAATAAATAAATGGAGGAGAAACAAATCTTCCTCACAAAAGAATTACAAATAATAAATACAGAAAAGAATAAGTGAAATAAAAATTACCAATAAAACACCACACAATAATAATTGTGGCATAAAAGATATGCTAATGAATGTTAAAATTCGTGGGCAAAACTTTTTAAGGAGCAACAGGATATTTCTATCGCCTCAAAATATCTCTTCCAAAATATTTTGGTTACTGTGGTAGTTTTAACTCATGTCCACAAACTCCTTCTAGGAAGTAAAGTTTAATTTTTCTGTCCTTGAATATGGGCTGGACTTAATGATTTGCTTCTAAAGAACGGCTTATAGTAATTAGCTGGGCATGGTGGTGGGTGCCTGTAGTCCCAGCTACTCCGGAGGCTGAGGCAGGAGAATCGCTTGAACCTGGGGGGCGGAGCTTGCAGTGAGCCGAGATCATGCCACTACACTCCAACCTGTATGACAGAGCAAGACTCTGTCTCCGAAAACAACAACAACAAAAAGAATGGCTTATAGTAAAGAAAAAGTAGCAACTTTGCTGTGGAGAAGCCTGGCAGACACCACCTTAACCAAGTGATCAAGGATAACATCACCAGTAATAAGTCTTGTTAATATTATCGCCCTCATCCCCTGCTGTGATTCAATGAGTGTTCCCCAGCTATGACACTCTACTCTGTGGTGTTCTTCCCAAAAGTCTATAACACAAGTCTAATTAAGAAAAAGTAGACAAACTCAATTTTAGGCAAATTCTACAGTATAACAGGCCAATTCTCTTCAAAAATACCAGTCATGATAAACACAGACAGACTGAGGAAACATGATGACTAAATGTATCCTGGAACAGAAAATGAACATTAGTTCAAACACACAGGTGAAACAGAGTAGAATGGTGTTTAGCAGAAGTTAGGGAGCGTGAGGTGGGAATAGGGAGGTGTTGATTAAAGGATATAAGGTTTCCATTAGACAGAAGGAATAAATGAAAAGTATTTGAGGTGATATGCTAATTACCTTGATTTCAATCATTCCACATTGTGTACATATATGGTAATATCACTTTGTACCCTGTAAATATATGCGATTATAATTTGTCAACATTAAATAAAATTTTTAAAACACAGGTGAAATCTGAAGAGAGTCTATAGTTCAGTTTATGGTATTAGACCAATGTTAATTTCTTAGTTTTGATAAATGTACTATGGCTATATAACATGTTAACATGAAGGGAACCTAGAAGAAGGGAACCTTTGCCACTCCTCTGAAAATCTAAAATTATTTCACAATAATTTTTTTAAATTTTTAGGCAATTTGTTTTCCAAACTTTGTGTAAATGGAATGAAATCATATATATTATTGGTTCCCTGAGTTCTTTCAACACATAATTATTTTTGTGAAATATACTCATATTGTTCACTAACTTTTGATGTTGCAGAGCGTTACATAATGTCAATATATCATAATTATTTTTAATGGAAATTTGGGTTATTCCCAGTTTGTTATTAAGAATACTCATATAAATATTTATGTAGATGTCTTTCAGTGCCCAAATGCACACATTTCTGCTTATTATACACTTGAGAGAATTGTTTGATTCCAGATAAGGCCTATGTCCCGCTTATCAGACAATGCCAAATAGTTTTCCAAACTGGCTTTACCAAATTACATTCTCGCCAGCAGTGTATGTGAATTTCAACTGAGTCTCACATCTCAAACAACACTTGATACTGCCAGCATTTTAACTGTAGTTCATTTTCATCGTGTCAATTTTAATATGTATGATTATTGGCCATTTGTATAGCCTCTTTGCTAAAATGTCTGTTCAGGGCTCCTGACAATTTTTCTACTGAATTTGTTTTTACCTTTTTACTTATTAAGTTGCAGATTTTTTTATGTACTCTGAATATGAATCTTTTGCTATAATATGTATTGCAAAAAGTTCCCTCCATTTTGTGCCTTGTATTTTCATTCTCTTGATGATGCTTTTTAAAATATTTTTCTGGATACATAGCAGTAGATCTTAATTTTAATGCAGTCCAACCTAACAATCATTGCTTTTGTAATCAGTGATTTTTTAAATAAATTTTTTATCTAACCTAAGATTGTAAAGGTATTTTCTTATGTTCCAGAAGTTTTATTGTTTTCATATTTAGATCTACAATCTACCTAAATTTTGTTTATGTCATTAGATAGGTTTCAAATTTCCTTTGTTTAATATGAATATTCACTTGATAATCAACTTTCATTATTATACCACTCTGCAATATTATTTTTATGCAAAACCAAGTGTCCATGTAAGTATGGATTTGTTCCTGGGGTTCTTAATACTATCCTCTTGGTCTTGTTCTCTGTTTCTAGGCCTACATCAAACTGTAGCTCTATAACAAGGCTCAACATTTGGTAGAAAAAGCCTTCCTACCTCGTTCTTCCATAAGAGTGTCTCAATTCTTCTTGATCCTTTGCATTTATATATAAATTTCAGGTTTAGTTTTCCAAATTACACCAAAAAATTTTTTAGAATTTTGATTCAGATTGTATCAAATCTATATAGATCAATTCAAGGATAATTGGCAATACTTAGACTGATTTCATTTATTAATATTAATGTCATTTTAGTTTAACTTGCTAATATTTGGCAGTTTTTATTAAAAGGTGTTGTACGTCATTTTTAAATATATTCTTATATACATATTTTTGATAGTACTCTAAGTTGAATCTTTTTATAAACTTTGTTTTCTAACATTTTATCAGTAGCACATACAAACAAAATAGTCATATTTTATCTTTCCATATTAGTCATATTATCAGCAAGGCTAATCATTTAATTCCAGTAATTTATCTGTATTTTTTATTTCCTATTTACTCAATCTAATCATCTGAAAATAAAGGCAATTCTTTATTATTTAACAATGATTCTTCTGTCTTTCCAAACTTCATAACTTTTATTCATCTTGTCTTACTGCAAAGGCCAGGATCTCCAATACAATATCAAATAGAAGTAGTGATTGGGTTACTAGGTCTGTTCCTGTTTCTATGACAGAATACCACAGATTGAGTAATTTACATAAGACAATATTTCTCACAGTTCTGGAGACTGAAAGTTCAAGATCAAGGTGCCAGCAGGTTTGGTGTTTGGTGAGGACCCCGTCTTCTAGGACCCAAGAAGGTGCCTTGTTGTTGTGTCCCCTAGAGGGAACAAACACTGTGTCCTCACATGATGGAAGGGCAAAAATGTCCCATCTAATCCCCCCTGGCCCTTTTATAAGGTCATGAATCCCATTCATGAGGGTAGAGCCCTTATGACCTAATCCTTACCAGAAAGCCACATCTCAATACTGTTGCTTCGGGGATTCCGTTTCTACATTAATTTTGGAGGGGATACAAACATTCAAGCCACAGCAGTGAGTATCTTGTATTGTTTAAAACAAAAGCTTTCAATATTTCACCACTTAGCATGTTTTCTATAAGCTTTTTTAAAGGTACCCCTTGTTAGATTTAAGGAAGTTCCCTCTTTTTTTTTTTTTTTTTTTTTTTTTGAGACAGAGTCTCGCTCTGTCGCCCAGGCCTTAGTGCAGCGGCGCGATGTCGGCTCACTGCATGCTCCGCCTCCCGGGTTCACGCCATTCTCCTGCCTCAGCCTCCCGAGTAGCTGGGACTACAAGCGCCCGCCACTATGCCCGGCTAATTTTTTGTATTTTTAATGGAGACGGGGTTTCACCGTGTTAGCCAGGATGGTCTCGATCTCCTGACCTAGTGATCTGCCCGCCTCGGCCTCCCAAAGTGCTGGGATTACAGGCGTGAGCCACTGCGCCCGGCCGGAAGTTCTCTCTATTAATACCTAATAATTCTCTTTTTAAATATAACTTCCTGTTGAATCTATTTAAACTTTTTCTCCATCTTCTGAGATGATCACACAAACTTCATGTTTTATTTTGTTAATGGGATTAATTGCATAGATTTTTTAACTTTCTATTTTGAATAATTATAGATTCTAATTATAGATTCACAGAAGGTTGCAAGGAAATACCCAGAGATGTCCTGTATATGCTTGATCCAGGCTTCCCCAATGTTAACAACTTATACAAATCTAGTACATTTCAAAACCAAGAAATTTACATTACGATAAGCTATAGAGCTTATTCAGATTTCACCAATCTTAGTTGCACTCATTCATGTGTGAACAACTGCAATTTTATCACACAGATATCCTCCTGTAACCACCATCACAATCCTAATACTCAACTAATACTCATCAACACAGGACTCTCTCACATTATCTCTCTGTAGCCCTCCCTATTCCCTCCCCAATACTTAACTCCTAGAAAACATGAATCTATTCTCCATACCCATAATTATTCTATTTCATCAATGTTACATTATTTAAAATCATCCAGTTTGTATCCTTTTGGGATTGAACTTTTTCTATTAGGTGAAATTCCTTGAGGTTGATCCAAGTTGTTGCATGTATTAATATCAAGTTTGTTCCTTTTTAATTGCTGAGTAGAGTTTCATGGCATGGATACATCACAATTTGTTTAACCATTCACCCATTACAGGACTTTTGGAGTGTTTCCAATTTGAAGCTATTAAGAATAATGTTTCTGTGAAGACTAATTTATAATTTCTCATGTGAAAAGTAAGTCTTCATTTCTCCAAGATAAATGCCCAAATACAACTGCTAGGTCATTTTATAAGTCCATTTTTAGTTTTGAAATGAACTGCCAAACTAGTTTTCAGATGGGTGGCACCATTTTCATTCCTACCAGGGATGCATAAGTGATCCAGTTTCTCACATTTTTGCCAGAATTTGGTATTATCACTATTTTTTTTTCAGTAATACTAGTAGGTGGATATCACATTGTAATCTTAATTTGCATTTCTCTAATGGCTAATAATATTGGATATTTTTCTCATGTTTATCATCTATACATCATTTCAGTGAAATCTCCGTACGTTTTTTGCACATAACTTGATGTTTAATGTTGAGTTTTGAGAGTTCTTTTTGTATTCTAGATTCAAGGCTTTTTTTCAGATATGTAATTTGCAAATATTTCTTCGACTCTATAATTTGTTTTTTCATTGTTTTAACAATCAATCTATTTTTCCTCTTATAGATTGTGCTTTTGATGTTAATCTAAGAACCCTTTACCTACTTCTAGTTCCTGAAAATTTTTTCCCATGGTCTTTTCTAATAGTTTTATAGGTTTAAATTTTATATTTAAGTCTATAATTCATTTTTAGTTAATTTCTGTATAATGCGTGAGGTTCAGTTTAAGTTTCTCTTTTTCTTTTCCTTTTTTTTTTTTTTTTGTCGTTTTTGTTTTTGCAGGGGAGGGGGTTGGGGAGTGGCTGTTAGATGCCCCATTACCACAGCATCGTATGTTGAAAGTCTTATCCTTTCTCCATTGAATTGTGCGTGTTCATTTGTCAAAAACTAATTGAGGACATTTGTATAGATCTATCTTTGAGTTTTCTATTGTGTCCCATTGATCAATGTGTTTATTTCTGTGATGGTACCACAATGTCTTAATTACTAAAACTATATAGCAAGCCTTATTATTAGGCAAAGTAATTCTTCCCACTTTATTCTTCTTTTCAAAATTGTTTGAGCTATTCTAGGGCCTTTCCATTTACACATAAATTTTAGAATAAGCTGTCTATGTCTACAAAAGCACTTGAATTTCTGACAATGTATATTAAAACTAAATATCAATTTAAGAAAAATTGTCATATATACTATGTTGAGCCTTTCAATTCATGATTCCCAAATATGTAGGTAATTTTTTTATTTCTTTTATCAGTGTTTCATAATTTTTATCAGATTTTGATCATGTTTTATATGAGTTATAACTAAATATTTCATTTTTTAGGGTAATTGTAAATGCTATTTTTTTGGATTCCACTTGTTTGTTGTCAGTATGTAGAAATGCAATTGATTTTTATGTATTGGTCTTGTATCCTGTAGTTTTACTGAATTCACTTTCTTGTTACAGGATTTTGTGTGTATGTGTATATTCCTTGAAGTTTTGTACCTTCACAAGCATTAGTGTCTGAAAATAAGGACAGTCATATTTTTTCTTTCCAGTTATTTAATTTTTTTTTACCACATTGCAGTGGCTAGACCTTCCAGCACTGTTAAATATGTGTATAGTGAGAGAGCAACATCTTTGCCTTATTCTTGAGTTTAAGAAGAAAGCATTCAGTTTTTGTCATGTTTAAGTATGACGTCAGCTCTAGGTAGGTGTCTTCACCAGATTAAATAAGTTCCTCTTTAATTCTAGTGTACCGAGAGTTTTTATCTTGAAAGGATGTTATATTTTGTCAAATGCTTTTTCTGTGTCAATTGATATATTCATATAATTATTTTGTTTATTTAGTCTGTTGATAAAGTAGACACGTAGATTTTTGAATATTCAAATAAGTTTGCACTTATAAAGTAAGTTCAACTTAATTATGATACATTATCTTTTTAATATATTGCATAATTCAGTTCCTTACACTTTTTTACAGTTTGGGATTCTATGTCTTCTCTCTCTTAACTGTCCTGTAGGCTTTCATGTCAACATTATATTGCCTTTATAAACTGAGCTTCAGTGTCATTCTTCTTTTTCTATCTTCTGTGGAAAAAAAAGTTCAAACTGTTATTTATTCTTAAATATATTATATATTTTATAGATGAAGGTATCTTCTGTCCAGGATAGTTTTTAAATTATGGATTCAATGTCTTCAGTAATTCTAAGATGATTGAGATTTTCTATTTCTTTTTGTGTCAAAATTTGTAAGATGTATTTTTTTAGGGCTTTCTCCATTTTATATAAATTTATTAGCATAAAAATTTGTATTTTGAAAGTCTGTTCAAATGGAAATTATACTCTCATTCCTGGTATTGTTGTGTGTTTTGTTCTTTCATTTTTGTTTGTTTGTTTTTGAGACAGAGTCTCACTCTGTCACGAGGCTGGAGTGCAGTGGTGCAATCTCTGCTCACTGCAACATCTGCCTCCTGGGTTCAAGCGATTCTCCTGCCTCAGCCTCCCGAGTAATTGGGACTATAGGCATCTGCCACCACGCCCGACTAATTGTTGTATTATTAGTAGAGACAGGGTTTCACCATGTTGTTCAGGATGGTCTCAATCTCTTGACTTCATGATCCGCCCGCCTCAGCCTCCCAAAGTGCTGGGATTACAGGGGTGAGCCACCCTGCCCAGCCTGCTCTTTTATTCTTATCAGTATCACCAGCAGCTTGTCAATTTTATTGGTCTTATTAAAGGATCAATTTTAGATTCATTGATCTCTCATATGTTCTTTATCTTTTTCTTTAATTTTTGCTCATCCCTTTCTAATTTATCACACTCTGCTTTTGAAGTTTAATTTGTTATCATTTTTCTACATTTTATTTTATTTTTTATTTTTGTAGGTACATAAGTGTGTATATCTATGAGGTGCATCAGACTCCCCAATACAAGCATGCAATGCATAATAATCACATAGACATAGAATTTAATGGCAATGACAAAGTGACTATAGTCATTTTTCTACTTTTTGAAATGAATACCTATTTTACTGATTTTTGTCTTTTTCTTTGTGTAATAGATTATTTAAGCTATAAATTTCACTCTAGTCATAGTATTATTGGCATCCCATAATTATTTTTAAAAAGCTTGTGTTGAATTATTGCATACCTATGGAGAACTGCACAAGCACACTTGTCAGTTCTATTTATTTACCAGAGTACATGCAGTCACATTGCCGCTTCTCCCCAGCAGATTTCTAAAATAATAGTTTACTTTCATGTACATCTGGAATTGGTTAAATAAAACCATATCAATTATTTTGTGTCTAAATTCTTTAACACCACGTTAAGAATATAAAATTCATCTATATAGTGGTATGTAGCAGTAGTTTGTTTATTCTCATTGCTGTACAGTACATTATTAGGGAAATATACTACAATTTATTTTTTCATTTTGCTGTTGATGAATACTACTTATTCTCAAGTTTTTGCTATTTAAAAAAAAAACTATTATAAACACTCCTGGTTAGGTCTTTTGATGCCTACGTGTACAAATTTTTGTTGGGTATATTTGCAAAAAATGTATTTTTTCCTATTTTCTGAAAATAGATATTAACGTCATAAATTTTCAGTCTTCTTTTCAATTGCATGCATTTAAAGCCATTAATTTCCCTAGTTCATGGCTTCACCTGAAGTGTACAGGTTTTAAGATATCATATTTTATTATTATTCAGTTCAAAATATTTTCTTCTTTATCTTATAAATTATTCTTTGACCATGAGTTGTTTAGAAAAAGAGGACTTGATTTGTACTATATATAGTTATTAATATTTTCTAGATATTTTTCTATTATTGATTTCTAGATTTTTTCTATTATAGTGGACAAAAATTATGCTCTATGTAATTTCAATCTTTTAAAATGTTAAAAAATATTTTACTATTCTAAAATTAATATGGAACTGTGAAAGAAAAATAAATCTTGGGGCCCCCAAAATCACTAAGCTAAAGGGAAAAGTCAAGCTGGGAACTGCTTAGAGCAAACCTGCCTCCCATTCTATTCAGAGTCATCCCTCTGCTCAATGAGATAAATGCATATTGGATTGCCTCCTTTGGAAAGGCTAATCAGAAACTCAAAATAATGTAAACTTTGGCTCTCACATACCTGTGACCTGGAAGGCCCTCCCTGCTTCAAGTTTTCCCGCCTTTCCAGATGGAACCAATGTACATCTGGATATATTGATTGATATCTCATGCCTCTCTAAAACATATAAAACCAAAAAAGAGCTTGTATAGCCAAGGCATCATGCTACCCGACTTCAAACTATAGCACTACAGTAACCAAAACAGCATGATACTGGTACAAAGACAGACAAATAAACCAATGGAACAGAACAGAAAACACTGAAACAAGACTGCACATCTACAACTATCTGATCTTTGACAAAACTGACATAAGCAATGGGGAAAGGATTCCCAATTCAAGAAATGGTGCTGGAATAACTGGTAAGCGATATGCAGAAGATTGAAACTGGACTCTTCTTTACATCATATGCAAAAATTAACTCAAGATGGATTAAAGACTTAAATGTAATATCCAAAACTATAAAAACTATAAAAAGACAACCTAAGCAATGCCACTCAAGACCTAGGCACCGGCAAATATTTCATGACAAAGATGCCAAAAGCAATTGCAACAAAAACGAATATTGACAAATGGGATCTAATTAAACTAAAGAGCTTCTGCACAGCAAAAGAAACTATCAACGGAGTAAACGATTTACATAATGGGAGGAACATTTTGCAAACTATGCATCTAAAAAAGGTCTCATATCCAGCATCTATAAGGAATTTAAACAAATGTACAAGAAAAAGACAACCCCATAAGAAAGCGGGAAAAGGACATAAATAGACACTTTTCAAAAGAAGACATACATGCAACCAGCAATCATATGAAAAAATGCTCAGCATCACTGATCATTAGAGAAATGTAACTCAAAACCACAATGAGACACCTTCTCACACCAGTCAGAATGGCTATTACTAAAAGGCCAAAAAATAACAGATGCTGGTGAAGTTTTGGAGAAAAAGGAACACCTATACACTGTTGATGGGAGTGTAAATTAGTTCAGCCATTGTGGAAGACAGTTTGGCAATTCCTAAAAGACCTGAAGACAGAAATACCATTCAACCCAGCAATCCCATTGCTGGATATATACCCCAAAGGAATATAAATCATTCTATTATAAAGACACATGCACACATATGTTTATTGCAGCACTGTTCAAAATAGCAAAGACAGAGGATCAACCCAAATGCCCATCAATGATAGACTGGAAAAAGAAAATGTGGTACGTATACACCATGGCATACTATGCAGCCATAAAACAGAAGGAGATCATGTCTTTTGCAGAGACATGGATGGAGCTGGAGGCCATTATCCTTAGCAAACTAACACAGGAACAGAAAACCAAATACCACATGTTCTCACTTATAAATGGGAGCAAACTGATGAGAACATGTGGAAACATAGAGGGAAACAACACACACTGAGGCCTTTTGGAGAATGGAGGGTGGGAGGAGGGAGAAGATCAGGGAAGATAACTAATGGGTATTAGGTTTAATACTTGGGTGATGAAATAATCTGTATAATAAACCCCCTGGATGCAAGTTTACCTATGTAACAAACCTGCACTTGTACCCCTAAACTTAAAATAAAAGTTAAAAAAAAGAGAAAAAAATGTTTTACAACACAAGGCAAAGTCAATTTTGGTAAAGCTCTATGGGTACTTGAAAAATACACACGCATTCTTCAGTGTGCTATATAAGTCCACTAGGCCACTTTTGTTAAGGTGTTCAAATAATATCTATCTTTAATGATTTTTGCCTATCTGCTCTGTCAATTGCAGAGAAAATAATTTGAAAATCTTCCCATATGATTATGAATTTATTTGTTTTTCCTTTTAGTTTTGTTAAATTTTTCTTTATATATTCTAGGATTATTTTGTTGGGTGCATACAAATTTAGAATTGTTATATTGTCATCATAAATTGAACCTTTTCTAATTGAGAAAAGCATTCCCAGTTATGTTATAATTTCTTAAAGTCTTTGATATTGATATGGCTACGAAAACACTCTCACTTAGTGTCTGCATAATGCACGCTTTTTCATCATTTTACTTCTAAACTTTTTGCCACCTTGTATTTCTTACAAGATTTCTAAAATTCAATACGTTAAGTGTATTTTAGTTGAGTCTAAAAATATCAATCTTTTGATAAGAACACTTAGACCATTTACATTGAAAGTAATTATTGATATATGCAGGTCTAAGCTTACAGTGTTACTCAGTGATTTGTATTTTTCTGGCTAATTCCATGTTCCTATTGGTCTGTTTTTATTTATCCTGTCAGATTACTAATTTTATTATTTCTTCCCCTTCACATGTTTGCAATGGTCAATAATTTTAGTGTTTACATAAATTATAAATTCTTAATTTACGAAGTGCAATGCTAATCAGTGCATTATCTTTTTAAATTTCTTATTAATATATAATATTTGTACATATTTATAGGATATATGTCATATCTTGTTACAAACATAGAATGATGATCATGATCAAGTCAGTGTATTTATTTATTTATTTATTTTTATTCTTTTATTTATTTTTCTTTTTTTTTTTTTTTTAGATGGAATCTCGCTCTGTCGCCCAGGCTGGAGTGCAGTGGCATGATCTCGGCTCGCTGCAACCTCCGCCTCCTGGGTTCAAGCAATTCTACTGTCTCATCATCCTGAGTAGCTGGGACTACAGGCTCATGTTGCCATACCTGGCTAACTGCTGTATTTTTAGTAGAGACGGGGTGTCATCATATTGGTCAGGCTTGTCTCCAACTCCTGACCTCAGGTGATCCACCCACTTCAGCCTCCCAAAGTGCTGGGATTACAGGTGTGAGCCACTGTGCCTGTCCTCAAGTCAGTGTATTTAGAATATGCATCACCTCAAGTATATATCATTTCTCTGTGAATGCATTATCTTTAAACTGGAAGTTTGTGAATAAATCATTCTAATGACTTTTACTGAATCCTTGGTTATAGTTTTGAATTGATTAACTACATGTTTTCCTATGTTGCTTTGTAATAATTTAAACTGAAAAAGCAAAAAATAAATTATTTAATGTGTCAGGCATCAGACCATGAATTTTCACATATATTGAATTATTTAAAAGCTTCCAGCACTATGTATTATATGTCCTGATATTCTGATTTTGGAGATGAGGAAACTAAAACAAAAAGAAGCTCTTATGTATTAGAGTGCTGGAATTTTGGTTGCTGTTTTCCAAGGCCCAGCTTGGTTTTACTTTTACTGCTGTATAGTTACTGCACAAAGAAAGGGCAGCGTGACCTACAAGGACACAAAAAACTGTTTGGCTCTCTAACTGTCGGGACCTTTCTAGAAAAAACAAACTCCCCATGAAGAAATGGTCCCAAATGATAGGCTGAACTATCTGGTTATCAGTCCTCCGCACTGTCCAACTGTTAATTTGGCACTGTCTTGATAGGTCTTCAATATCCTTAAGCAGATTTATGTTTACATTTTATCTAGATCTTCTAGGTATCTTCAGTTGTAGTATTGGCCCAAATTACTCATTCTACCATTACTGGGAGAAGTCATAATCAACTTTTTTCACCCAATATTTGATCTCAAATATAGTCTCATATCAACAACCCACAGTTTATGTTTTTTTCCTTATTCTAAAAAGAAATGGGATACATGGGAAGAACGTGCAGGTTTTTTACATAGGTATAAATCTGCCTTGCTGGTTTGCTGCACCTATTGACCCATCCTCTAAGTTCCCTCCCCTCAACTCCCAACCCCCAACAGGCCCTGGTGTGTGCTGTTCCCCTCTCTGTATCCATGTGTTCTCAATGCTCAACTCCCACTTATGAGTGAGAACATGCAGTGTTTGGTTTTCTGTTCCTGTGTTAGTTTGCTGAGGATGATGTCTTCCAGCTTCATCCATGTCCCTGCAAAGGACATGGTCTCATTCCTTTTTAGGGCTGCATAGTATTCCATGGTGTATATGTACCACATTTTCTTTATCCAGTCTATCATTGATGGTCATTCGGGTTGGTTCCATTGTAAATAGTGCTGCAATAAACATATGTGTGCATGTGTCTTTATAGTAGAATGAGTTGTAATCCTTTGAGTATATACCCAGTAATGGGTTTGCTGGGTCAAATGGTATTTCTGGTTCTAGATCATTGAGGAATCACCATACTGTCTTCCACAATGATTGAACTAATTTACATGCCCACCAACAGTGTAAAGGCGTTCCTATTTCTCTACAGCCTCTCCAGCATATATTGTTTCCTGACATGTTAATAATCACCATTATGACTGGTGTGAGATGGTATCTCACTGTGGTTTTGATTTGCGTTTCTCTGATGATCAGTGATATTGAGCTTTTTTTCATATGTTTGTTGACCGCATAAATGTCTTATTTTGAGAAGTGGCCATTCATATGCTTTGCCCACTTTTTAATGAGGTTGTTTTATTCTTGTAAATATATTCAAGTTCCTTGTAGATTCTAGATATTAGACCTTTGTCAGATGGATAGATTGCAAAAATTTTCTTCCATTCTGTAGATTATCTGTTCACTCTGATGATAGTTTCTTTTGTTGTGCAGAAGCTCTTTAGTTTAATTAGATCCCATTTGTCAAATTTGGCTTCTTTTTTGCCATTGCTTTTGCTGTTTTAGTCATCAAGTCTTTGCCAGTGTCTGTGTCCTGAATGGTATTGCCTACGTTTTCTTCTAGGATTTTTATGGTTTGGGGTTTTACATTTAAGTCTTTAATTCATCTTGAGTTAATTTTTGTATAAGGTGTATAAGGTGTGAAGGGGTCCAGTTTCAGTTTTCTGCATATGGCTAGCCAGTTATCCCAGCACCTTTTACTGAATAGGAGATCCTTTCCCCATTGCTTGTTTTGTCTGGTTTGTCGAAGCTCAGAGGGTTCTAGATGTGTGGTGTTATTTCTGAGGTCTCTGTTCTCTTCCATTGGTCTATATGTCTGTTTTGGTACAAGTACCATGCTGTTTTGGTCCTTGTACAGTGATGTATGGAAAATGGAAGTGAAGTATAGAAATAGCTGTATTATTTACAGCTTGTTGTATGCCTAATTTGAACACAATTTGAACAGATGGCCTCCTTTGATTGGCCAAAACTCAGTGATTGGCACAGGAGTAGGTTAGCTTGTTTATACCTCCATTTAGGTTATAGTTCACCATGTTATACATTTATACAGCTTCTTAATTTTTACTATGGTAGATCTCCCCATAATATTAGTAACATTAATAAGAACAATAAAAATTGCAAATAAATGTTGTGATTAAAATAATCCATAAACTATGCTAAATTATTATCTAGTGCTTTATTGACCTTATAACAACCTTATTCTAAAGATAAAATACCGAGAAACAGATGGGTTAAGTGGCTTGCCTGAGATCACAGAAGTGGAAAGTCATGGGGCTAGATTACTTAGTTGCCATTAGATGAGGTACCTGATAGAAGGAAATGGAGGGACCCCATGGCAAAACAACCATCCTTCCTCACATGGCGGCAACAATGAGAAGTGCTGAGTAAAGGCGGGAAAAGCCCCTTAAAAAAACATCAGATCTCTTGAGAATTCACTCACTATCACAAGAATAGCATGGGGGAACCACCCCCATGATTCAGTCACCTATCTCCTTCAACACGTAGGGATTACAGGTCCTCCCTCAACAGGTGTGGACTACAAATCAAGATGAGATTTGGGTGGGGACACATACCCAAATCATATCACCTTCCCTGGTCACCATATAAAATCACTTCCTTCCTGCCCTGCTCCCCTATTTCTTTTGCTGCTTTAATTTCCCCTTTTAGTCTTCTTTATCATCTAACAAACTATGTTTGTTTTCGTGTGTGTGTGTGTGTGTGTGTGTGTGTGTGTGTGTGTGTGTTTTGTTATGGTCTGTATATCCCTTGCGAATGTAAATTATTTTTAAGGGTAAATTTTTGCCCATTGTTTTTTGTTCAGTGTTGCATGCGCAGTGCTTGGAATAAAGCATGGATTGTCGTATGTGAAACATAAATATTTGTTGAACAAATAAAATTAACATTTCTCTTCAATTTTTCTCTCAGACTTTCCATCAATTCAAATGCTTCTAAAACAGTGCATACTTCCTACTAGAATATTGAGATGCTTTTCCCATGTTCTCTGAATGCCTGCCTTGGACTAATCCCTAAAGGTCAGGAGCCAGTGACTTTCAGAAAGCAGAGCAAAGGGTCTAAATCTTGAAATCAGAGCTGATTTCCAGAATCTCCTATTCGCAATTTTCACTTTTATCGATTCTGTCTGAGCTCCCAGACTCTGTATTCCACATTCGTAGGCCTAAGGTAGGTTCATATTCAGTAACAAACTTCCCTCGGCTGATTGACTCACTCCTGGCTGAATGTTCTTACTCCTGCTTCTGGTTTGCTTCTCTCCTACCATCTGTCCAACAGCAACATCTCAACAGACTCAGCCCTAGATAAGATGTCAAGTTCAGGTCCCTCTTTTCCCCATGTCAGATACTGAGGAATTTCTTTAAGAAAATCCACAGCTCCAGAAGGATACGACTCTTTGTTCAAAAAATTATGAATCATGTTACATGCTATCTGCCAGGACTAAGCTATATTAGTGGCTTTGTGTATATTTGGGGAGGAATGACTGCTAATGGGTATGAAGTTTTGGGGGGAAGTAGAGAAAATGTTCTAAATTAGATTGTATTAATGGTTGAATATGCTTACAATCAGTAAATTATATACTTTAAATGTATGAATCTTATGAAATGTGAATTATATCTCAATAAAAAGATTTTTTAACTAACTTATATACGCTCTGTTTTGCCTCCTTAAGTATCTATCTACTGTTGATCTGATCTTTATACCTCAAACACTTCTTCTTTCATTCATTAAATAGTTATTGAGTGCCTGTTACTTGTCAGATACTGTACTGTTGATATAGGAAACAAGGAAGCCACAGCCCCTGCTTCTGGAGATATACAAAGAAGTGATAAATGTTTGAGGTGATGGTTATTTCAATACCCTGATCATTACACACTGTATGGAAAATATCAAAATACCACTTGTACCCATAAATATGTATTATCATGTATCAATTTAAAAAGAGATTGGATAAGTGATAATAAAATGAAATGGGTGTTTTGAGAGATGACGCACAGAGTGCCATGCCTAACACAATAGTAACTATAGTACAGCCATCGTAGTTACCATAACAGTTATTTGATAAACATTGAGAGAATATTGTCACTCATATCCACAATCCTGATTGTGTGTTTTTTTCTTTCCCTCTTCAGGTTTTAGCAATTTCCACACAGGTACCAAAATATTTGCAACTATCATAGACCTCATGTGTGTTCTCTGTGTGTCCAGAAAAGACTCAGACACAGTCTTTCCCATGACAGACACATAACTCCTGGAATTCTATGAAGTCTTAGGTTTTTTCATGCAAACCCCCATTGTTTGAGAAGAACATGTTTTCAGGAGATAATTTCCTTTCAAACTTACTTTAAAAAATCAATAGATTCCTCTTTGTTGTACAACTTGAATCCCAATGATTTGGCATGAGCTATTTCCTCCTGGCACTCTGCTTCAAAACATAACATTGACTTCTTGTTAAAGTGCTGAAAAGATATGTTCATAACACAATCATCTATGAAACAGCATCTTTCACTTCAAAGTGGAATGAGAGACCAGTGGATTCAGGGATTGTATTCTTCCAGAACAAGTGTTACACTTCTGAAATTTGAAGTATTAATAGTTTTCAAACACCAGCATCAGGGTGCCCCTAAATTATTTCGTTGCACTCCAATCTGTGAGGAAAACCATAGTGAAGTCTTGTGTTGCCTCTCTAGCTGTGTTCAGCAGTGTGACCTTATTTGTGAACCTTTATAGCAGCAGTTTGTGGCATGTCTTGTTTGTTTTCTTTTTTTTGGCTTCTTCTCAGCTGGAGGACAAAAGTCAATAAAGAGATGTTTAACAAGATCCTGAAGAAACTAATTACAATCCATCTGAGCCACCTTTGTAGTCTGATCTACCCCAAAAGGGTCTATGATTGTTTAGACATTAAAATATGTTAAAAGAGGCAGCTATGTTTTAGTGGGAAAACTGGGGTTAAAAGACCTATATCCAAGATCTGCCTTGTCAAAGCCCTGCTCCTCTCTGGGCCTCAGTGAAAATGTTTAGTAATCTGTAAGGCACTGTGGAAATGTAAGGTTTAATTCTGAAGATATTTTAATAACTCAAGGTGTTTTGATATTATTTCATGCTGATTTTCCAGTCATGATATTATATATACAGAATTATCAGTAAATATTCACATTTAAAATTATACTACTGCATCAGAAGACAAAAGCTGCACCCTCCAAGACCCTAGAACTATAGCCTACTCTGGCCCACCCTCTATTCTTGTCAGTCCAGTTTCTTCCCTGCCACCGCCTTTCCTGCTCCCTTCCTTCCACATCTCCAGTCTCTATGTTTGTACTCACGCTGTTACCCCACCAGATACGCCTTCCTCCTCCTTGTCACCTACCTTTTCCCTATTTATACCACAAAACCCAAGATAGGTCCTATTTTATCCTTGATGCCTTTTTTAGTTTCTCAAATAAGTGTGGTTCTTTTCTTTCTCTAACTTCTTTTGACAAAAGCACCACACATACACATTTGTTTTCCAAGTTACATCATGTTTCTTGAAACTATGACAGATTAGGCTCCTGCTTAGAGGGAATGGTAGAAAATCAGCTTGGAAATGTCAGTTGGGATGAGATTGTGTAAGACCTTGAATTCCAGGCCTCTAGAAGCACCTCGGAGATATTAAAATGCTTTAAGTGTAAGGGTGACACATCAGAGCTGTGTTCAAGGAAAGTTAAAGAGTTTACACGCCAGCGATAAGCCTGCTGCAATAGTCTGGGCATGAGGTGATAAAGAGAATAATGAGAACCCTGACAGTGAAAGTATTGAGAGGCTAATGGTAAGAAGAGCAGGTATGAGGCCCATGGCAATGTCCCATGTGGTCCTCATCTTCTCACCAAATCTGCTCCTGCTGGGTGCTCCCTGTCTCACACACTGTGGCCATGATCCTTGCAATCAGTGAGGACAGAAACCCAGGAGGCCTTCTGGACACCGTTTTGTCCTTCATCCCACATCCCACCAAGTTACTAAGTTATACCAATTCAGCCTTTTCGATTTCATCTACCACTTCGCTCTAATAACCTGCTATCCTCTAGGACCAGGCCTGTGGCATCTCCAACCTAGGTGATTTAAACCTGGTATCTTTCCTCCAGGCCTAACCCTCCAATCCATCTTCCAACTTTCTATCAGATGAATCTGACTCAACTGCTACTCTTATCCTTTCATTTTCATGCTTAAAACACATCAATGTTCGCTTCTTGCCTATAACATTAACTCCAATTTGATATGACTTATAATGTCCACTGTGATGTGACCCTGTGCCAATCCCCTCAGACTCTTCTCTTACCTCTCTATGTTCTAGCCATCCTCCCACCCTAAACGTCTCACATTTCTGAATGGGCTGTAATGTTGAATACCTTCATGTCTTTGTTCACTCGTTCTGTTCCCCCTTCCCTCTTTCCTCCTCTTAAAATCACACTATTCTTCAAGTCTTCAAGGAAATGTTCATCCTTGCTTGAAAATCTTCCGTGGCCCTTCCTTCCACTCCCAGAATACCATCATAATCCCTGCTCACTACACAAAACATAATAATCTGTAATTATATATACTTTGCTCTATTTTATTTAGCATTCCACGAGGAAAAAGACTGAGATTTTTATCCTATTAGCCTCATAAAATTTCAAGGCACAGACTGATGTGATAAATTTTTTAAAATATAATTTCAACTTTTATTTCAGATTCAGGGGATATATACACAGGTTTGTTACATGGGCATATTGTATGAAGCTGAGGTTTGGGGTACTATTGATCCCATTGCCCGGTGGTGTGCATATTACCCGATAGTTAGTTTTTCAAACTTGTTCCCATCATTATATCCATGAGTACCCAATGTTTGGCTCCCACTTATAAGTGAGAATATGTGGTATTTAATTTCCTATTCCTGTGTTAATATGCTTGGGGTAATGGTCTCCAGCTGCATCCTTGTTGCTGCAAAGGAAATGAATTCATTCTTTTTTATGGCTTCATAGTATTCCATTGTGTATGTGTACCACATTTTTAAAAATCTAATCCATTGTTGATGAGCACTTAGGTTGATTTATTGTCTTTGCTATTGTGGGTATTGCTGCAATGAACATACGAGTTCATTTCATGTTGAAATGAAATTGCTGCAATGAACATACGAGTTCGAGTTCCTGTTGGTGGAACATATGAGCCACCAACAGTGTATAAGTATTCCTTTTACTCCACAGTCTCACCAGCACCTGTTACATTTTGACTTTTTAACAATAGCCAGTCTGACCGGTGTGAGATGGTATCTCATTGTGGTTTTGTTTTGTTTTGTTTTGTTTTGTTTTGTTTTGTTTTGTTTTTGAGACAAAGTCTCGCTCTGTCGCCCAGGCTGGAGTGCAGTGGCGCAATCTCGGCTCACTGCAAGCTCCGCCTCCCAGGTTCACGCCATTCTCTTGCCTCAGCCTCCCCAGTAGCTGGGACTACAGGCGCACGCCGCCGCGCCTAGCTAATGTTTTTGTATTTTTTTGAGACGGGGTTTCACTGTGTTAGCAAGGATGGTCTCCATCTCCTGACCTCGTGATCCACCTGCCTCGGCCTCCCAAAGTGCTGGGATTACAGGCGTGAGTCACGGTGCCAGGCCTCATTGTGGGTTTTTTAATTATTTTTTAAAGCTACTTTATTCCAGAGCCCAGGAATCCATCTTAGGTACTGTGAAAAATGAGAAATTACAAGGAAAGTAAAGAGCCAGTCCATTCTTCATGAATTCAAAATAAAAATATGAGGGAGAGGCAGATGATACAAAAAAATTACAAAAAACAAACTAACATTCTGAAGTTTTATATTTACCATCAAGTCATCACATTAAGGTAAAATGCCTTCAAGCTTTATCAACTCCTTTGTATATTCCCAAGGTATTACTTCAAAGGAATAACTTATGTTTTCTTATATTTTAAACCTACTTCAGTTTAGCTATAAATTTTTAATACTGTAAAAATAAACAATACAAAGTTCTAGATTAAATTTTATATTTGCTAATATTTGGGTTTGAGCTCAAATTCCCGCTAACTGTAGAAAGAATTTTATAAAAACACTGTTCGTTTTTTTCTTTTCTCAAGCTATATATTTATCATTATTATCATTAATTATTATTTCAATAGTTTTGGGAAACAGGTGGTTTTTGGTTACATGGATAAGTTCTTTAGTGGTCATCGCTGAGATTATGGTGGACCCATCACCCAAGCAGTGTACAATGTACACAATATTTGTCTTTTATTCCTCAACTCCCTCTCACCCTTCCTCCTGAGTACCCAAAGTCCATTACATTATTCTTATACCTTTGCATTTTCATAGCTTAGCTCCCACTTATAAGTGAGAATATACGATATTTGGTTTTTCATTCTTGAGTTACTTCATTTAGAGTAATGGCCTTCAACTCCATCTAAGTTTCTGTAAAGGTCATTACTTCATTTTGTCTTATGGCTGAGTAGTATTCCATAGAGTATATATATATACCACATTTTATTTATCCATTCATTGGTTGATGGGCATTTATGTTGGTTCCATATTTTTGCAATTGCCAATTGTACTGCTATAAACATATGTGCACATGTGTTCTTTTCATATTTTCATATTTATTTTCCTTTGGATAGCTACCTAGTAGTGGGATTGCTGGATCGAATGGTAGTTTTACTTGATTTCCATTTCTCTAAGGATTAGTGATGTATGTTGAGCATTTTTCCATGTATTTTTTGGCCACTTGTATGCCTTATTTTGGGAAGGTCTGCTCATGTCTTTTACTCCCTTTTTAATGAAGTTATTTGTTTTTGGTTTGTTGAATTAAGTTCATTATAGTTTCTGGATATTACACCTTTGTTGGATGCATAGTTTGTAAATATTTTCTCCCATTCTGTAGATTGTCTGTTTACTCTTTTGATAATTTCTTTTGCTATGCAGAAGCTCTTTAGTTTAATTAAGACCCAGCTGTCAATTTTTGGTTTCGTTGCAATTGCTTTTGAGGACTTAATCACACATTTTTTTTTGCCAAGGTTGATGTCCAGAATGGTGTTTCCTAGGTTTACTTCTAGCATTCTTATAGCTTGAGATCTTACCTTTAAATCTTTAATCCATCTTGAGTTAATTTCTGTAGATGGTGATATGTAGTGGTCCAGTTTCATTTTTGTGCATATGGTTAGCCAGCTTTCTCAGAACCATTTATTGAATAGGGAGTCTTTTCTCCATTGCTGGGTTTTGTCAGCTCTGTCAAAGATCAGATGGCTATAGGTGTGTAGCTTTATTTCAGGGTTCACTATTCTGATCCATTGGTATACATGTCTGTTTTTGTACCAGTACCATGCTGTTCTGGTAACTATAGCCTTATAGTATAGTTCATAGTTAGGTAATGTGATG
The DNA here is from genome assembly GCF_000001405.40 of Homo sapiens. Lineage (NCBI taxonomy): Eukaryota > Metazoa > Chordata > Mammalia > Primates > Hominidae > Homo > Homo sapiens. The sequence continues at coordinate 82,490,009 of NC_000011.10, forward strand.
CCTCTGGCTTTGTTCTTTTTGCTTAGGATTTCTTTGGCTATTTGGGCTCTTTTTGGGTTCCATATGAATTTTAGGTTTTTTTTTTCTAATTCTATGAAAAATGATGTTAGTAGTTTCATAGAAATAGCATTGAATCTGTGGATTTCTTTGGGCAATATGGCTATTTTAATGATATCGATTCTTCCAAGCCCTGAGCATGGAATATTTTTCCAATTGTTTCCATCATCTCTGATTTCCTTCAACAGTATTTTGTAGTTTGCCTTCTAAAGATCTTTCATCTCCTTCGTTAGATGTATTCCTAGGTCTTTTTTTTTTTTTGTAGCTATTCTAGGTGGGATTATGTTTTTGACTGGGCTCTCAGCTTGAATGTTATTGGTGTATAGAAATGATACTGAGTTTTATACATTGATTGTGTATTCTGAAACTTTACCAAAGTCATTTATAAGTTTCAGGTGCCTTTTGATAGCGTCTTTAAGATTTTCTAGTATAGCATCTATCATTGGTGAAGAGAGATAGTTATTTTCTTATTTGAATATTTTATTTACTTATTTGAATGTCTTTTATTTCTTTCTCTTGCCTGATTGCTCTGGCTAGGACTTCCGGTACTGTTTTGAATAGGAGTGATGAGAGTAGGCATCCTTCTCTTATTCCAGTTCTCAAGAGCAATGCTTCCAGCTTGTGACCATTCAGTATGATGTTGGCTGTGAGTCTGTCATAGACAGTTGTTACTATTTTGATGTATTTTCCTTCAATGCCTAATTTGTTCAGGGTTTTTATCATGTAGAGATGTTGGATTTTATCAAAAGCTTGTTCTGAATCAATTGAGATTATCATATGATTTTGTTTTTAATTCTGTTTATGTGGTGAATCACATTTATTGATTTGCCTATGTTGACACGACCTTGCCTCCCATAAATGAAGCTCACTTGGTCATGGTGAATAACTTTTTGTTGTGCTGCTGGATTCAGTTTCCTAGTATTTTGTTGAGGGTTTTTTTTTGTGTCTATAGGCATTAGAAATATTGGCCTGTAGCTGTCTTTTTTCATTGTCTCCTTGCCAGGTTTTTGTATTAGGGCAATGCAAGCTTCCTAGAAATAGTTAGAGAGGAGGCCCTCCTCCTAGATTTTTTGGAATGGTTTAGATAGAATTGGTACCAGCTCCTCTTTGTACATGTTGTAGAATTTGGCTGTGAATCCATCTGGTTCAGGGCTTTTTGGTTGGTAGGTTGTTTTATTACTGATTCAATTTCAAAACTTGATATTGGTCTGTTTAGGGTTTCAATTTCTTCCTGATTCAATCTTGGGAGGTTATGTCTTCCCAGGAATTTATCCATTTCCTATGGATTTGTATGGATAGAGATGTTTGTATGGATAGAGATGTTCATAATAGTCTCTGAGGATCTTCTGTACTTCTGAAGGTTTGGTTGCAATGTCGTCTTTGTCATTTCTGATTTTGCTTATTTGGTTCTTCTCTTTTTTCCTTTGTTAGTGTAGCTAGCATTCTTTTGGTCTTGTTTATCCTGTCAAAGAACCAACTTTTGGTTTTGTTGATTCTTTGTATGGATTTTGGGTTCACAGTTTCATTCAGTTCTGCTCTTATTTCTTTCTTTTCTCCTGCTAGCTTTGGGGTTGGTTTGTTCTTGTTTTTCTAGCTTCGCTAGGTGATATTAATTTGAGATCCTTCTAATTTTTTGAGGTAGGCATTTAGCACTATAAATTTTTCTTGTAACACTGATTTTGCTGTATCCAAAGATCTTGGTATGTTGTGTCTTTGTTCTCATTCATTTCAAAAAAAAATTTTTAATTTCTGTGTTAATTTCATTGCTTACCCAAAAGTCATTCAGGAGCAAGTTATTCAATTTCCATGTAATTATATGGTTTTAAGGGATCTTTGTATTAATTCCTATTTTTATTCTACTGTGTTCTAAGAGTATGGTTGGTATTATTTTGATTTTTTAAATTTGTATTGAGACTCACTTTATGGCCAAGAATGTGGTTGGATTTCAGAGTATATTTAATGTGCAGATGAGAAGAATGTATATTCTGTGATTGATAGGTAGATTATTCTATAGATCAGGCATTTTCAACCCTGGGACTATAGACCACTACCCATCCTTGGCCTGTTAGGAACTAGGCTGTACAGCAGGAAGTGAGTGGCAGATGAAAGCATTATCACCTGTGCTCCACCTCCTGTCAGATCAGTGGTGCCATTAGATTCTCACAGGCGCGCAAACCGTATTGCAATCTCCGCATGCGAGGGATCTAAATTGTGTGCGAACTCCACATGTGAAGGATCTAAGTTGTGCTCCACCTCCTGTCAGATCAGTGGTGGCATTAGATTCTCATAGGTGCGCAAACCCTATTGTGAACTCCACGTGCGAGGCATCTAAGTTGTGCGTTCCTTATGAGAATCTGATGCCTGATGATCTAAGGTGGAACAGTTTCATCCTGAAACCATCACACACAGGTCCATGGAAAAATTGTCTTCCACAAAATTGATCCCTGGTGCCAAAAAGTTTGGGACCACTGCTATAGATGACTATTAGGTCCAATTTGTTAAGTGTCAAACTTAAATCCAGAATACCTTTGCTAGTTTTCTGCCTCAGTGATCTGTGTAACTCTGTCAGTGGGGTGTTGAAGTCTTCTACTACTATTGAGTGGCTGTCTAAGCCTTCTCATAGGTCTAGAAGTACTTATATTATGAAACTGGGTGCTCCATTATTGGGTGCATATATATTTAGGATAGTTAAGTCTTCTGGTTAGATTAAACCCTTTATCATTATGCAATGCCCCTGTTTTTGTTCTTTTTTACTGTTGTTGGCTTAAAGTCTGTTTTATCTGTCATAAGAATAGTGACCCCTGCTCTTTGTCTATTTGTATTATAGATCTTTCTTCAACCCTTTACATTGAGCCTATAGGTGTTATTCTATGTGAGATGCATTTCTTGAAGACAGTAGATAGATGGGTTTGGTTTTTTTTTAATCCAACTTACCACTCCGTGCTTTTTAAGTGGGATGGTTAGACTGTTTACATTCAAAGATAATATTGATATGTGAGATTTTTATCCTATCCTGAAGTTGTTAGCTGGTTTCTATTGTGTGGTTGCTTTATAGGATCTTGGGCTATGTACTTAACTGTGTTTTTGTGGTAGCAGGTATTGTTTCTTTGTTTCCATGTTTAGAACTCCCTTAAGGATCTATTGTAAGGCTGGTTTAGAGGTAACAAATTCCTTTAGTGCTTGCTTGTCTCAAAAAAAAACACATATTTTTGCTTTGCGTATGAAGCTTAGTTTGGCAGGATATTAGATTCCTGGTTGGAATTTCTTTCTTTTTTTTTTTTTTTTTCAAGAATGCCGAAAATAAGCTGCCCATCTCTCGTGGTTTGTAGATTTCTGCTAAGAAGTCCACTGTTAGCCTGTTGGGGTTTCCTTTGCATTATTTGATCCTTTCTCTTTAGCTGTCTTTAAAATTTTTCTGTAGTGTCGACTTTGGTTAAATTAGGTTTAGCCTAAAGCTGCCTTTTTATGCATTTTAAGTTCAGCCAACTACTTTTTCTGTATATAGTGAACTATAACCTAAATGGAGGTATAAACAGACTAACCTACTTTTGTGCCAATCACTGAGTTTTGGCCAATCGAAGGAGGCCATCTGTTCAAACTGTGTTCAAATAAGGCAAACAACAAGCTGTAACTAATAGGCTGTTTCTATACTTCACTTCCATTTTCCATACATCACTTTTCTTTTTCTGTCTATAAATCTTCTTCCACCATGTGGCTGTGCTGGAGTCTCTCTGAGCCTATTCTGGCTTGGGAGGCTGCCCAATTCATAAATCATTCCTTGTTCAACTAAACCCTGTTAAATTTAATTTGGCTAAGGTTTTTATTTTAACACCTTGGATAATCTGGTGGCAATATGCCTTGGTGATGTTTGTTTTGTATAATATCTTGCAGATGTCCTCTGGATCTCTTGCATCTGAATATCTACCTCTCTAGCAAGATTAGGAAAATTTTCTTGAGTTATTCCCTGAAGGATGTTTTCCATAGTGTTTACTATTCCTCCTTCTATCTCAAGAATGCCAATAATTTGTAGGTTTGGTCACTTTACATAATTCCATATTTCTCAATGACAGTTCATTTTTTAATATTCTTTTTTAAATTCTTTATTTTTGTGTCACTATGTTAGTTTGAAACAGCCATCTTCAAGTTTTGAAATTGTTTCTTCTGCTTGGTCCAGTCTATTGGTAAAGCTTTCAATTGTATTTTAAAATTCCTAAGATGAGTTTTTCAATTCCAGAAGTTCTGACTGATTTCTTTTTAAGATGTTTATCTCTTCCTTCATTTCCTGGATTGCTTTAGAAGTTCTTTCTTGATTTTAAACCTGTCTTGGATCTCATTGAGCATCTTTGCAACCATGCTTTGTATTCTTTGCCTGTTATTTCTGCATTTGCATTTTGTTTAAGAACCATTGTTGGAGAGCTAGTATGATCCTTTAGTGTTATTACTACACTCAGATTTTTCATGGTGTCATAATTCTTTCTTTTTTTTTTTTTTGAGACAGAGTCTCCCTCTGTGGCCCAGGCTGGAGTGCAGTGGCGTGATCTCGGCTCACTGCAAGCTCCGCCTCCCGGGTTCACGCCATTCTCCTGCCTCAGCCTCCCGAGTAGCTGGGACTACAGGCGCCCGCCACCATGCCTGGCTAATTTTTTTGTATTTTTAGTAGAGACGGGGTTTCACTGTGTTAACCAGGATGGTCTTGATCTCCTGACCTCGTGATCTGCCCGCCTCGGCCTCCCAAAGGTCTGGGATTACAGGCGTGAGCCACCGCGCCCGGCCTAGGGTGTCATAATTCTTATACTGGTTCCTTCTCATCTGGAAATGCTGACACCTCCAACTTTTGCAATTATTTTTTATTTTGATTTTTTGTTTTTCTTTTTTTCCTATAATATTTTTCCTTTTACCTTCCTAAGGAATTCCCCCCAATTCCTTAGGGGGTGTAACTGTAGAGAATGCTGAGTAGAATCTTTTGGCTTTGCTTTTATAGCTAACACTGCAATTTTGTTGGCAAATTTTATATTAGGCTGTGTGGTTCAACCTATGAGTCAATAGGTGGCACTCGTGGGTAAAAGCTAGGTATATACTGGATCCTTGTTTACTAGGAGAAGCTCTCTGTTGCCTCAGGCAATGGGCTGATTCTTGGGGTGAACAGTAGTCAGAGCTCCCTGCTCAGCTCTGCGGTTTGGGGGCAAGATGGGTGAAGTCAGACTGGGCATGCCCACCTGAAGTTCCCCCATTGACAGGCACAAGCACCAGCACCAAGGGAAAATCCAGTGGCTAGCCACCTAGCACCCAGAGTAGTGCGTAGGCAAGGAGATGGGAAACCTCTTTGGCCCCAAGTCCTCTGCACAGGGAAGAGGGTTGCCTAAAATCCTAAACCAGGAGAGTGGGTGCTCCAGATGCCTGGACATCTGCTAGACATGGGGCAGAGAGGGCCCTGCTGCATCAAGATCTCTTCATAGAAGGGGTGAGACAGCTCAGGCTGCTGATTCAGGTGAACAGGCATTCCAAATGCCTGGAGATCTATCTGAACATGGGGCTGAGAGGACCCCACTGCACCATGATCTCTCTGCAGGAAGGGTAGGGCAGCTCAGGCTGCCAATCAAGGTGAGCAGGTGTCTGAAAATTTGCCTGATTGTGGAGCAGAGAGGACCTGGTGCACCAGCCTCTGCACAGAATAGTGGGATGGGTCAGGCCTTGGAACCAGGCAAGTGTGTGCTTCAACTGCCTGGAGATCTGCCTAGTCATGAAGCAGAGACGGTCCCCTTGCACCCAAATTGCTGCATAGGAAGGGTGGGGCAGCTCAAGCTGCTGATCCAGGTAAGTGTGTGCTCCAAATGTCTGGAGATCTGCCTGGGTGTAAACCAGAGAGGGCCCCATTACACCTGGATCTCTGCACAGGAAGGATGGGATGGCTCAAGCTACCAATCTGGGTAAGAAAATATTCCAAATGCCTAGAGAGTTGGGCCTAAATCAAAGGTAAGGACTCCTGCTAAGATCAGTGACAGAAGCAAATTAAAGCTGGTATTTTGTCAAGCTGCATTTTTAACTCATAAATGCTGTTGATTTTGAAGGAGTAGCCAAAAGTGCTAGAGTGAGCTTGACCTATTTGTCATTGTCGTGTGGGCAGAAAACAAACAAACAAACAAACAAACACTGGGCATATTATCAGAAACCCTCAGTTAATTTTTTATTCTTGCCTCTTACTTGCCTGTAACTGAAGCTTATCCTCTCTGTGAGTTTCTAAGTTTCATCATCTGTAAATGGAGAGAATAATATCCCCACCTCTCAGAATTTATGTGTAAGTTTAAACAAAATAAGGTATATAAAGTGGCTATGATAGTGGCTGGCTCTGAGTAATAAGCAGAAACTATAATAATGACTGCTATCATGTGAGAGTTCCAGGCACAGTATACTTTACATGTGTTTGTACTTAAGGAGGGTGGACAGTCCAGCTCCAGGTTGAATTCTAGGTAAGCCTGATTCTGCAGAGGATACTAGCTCAGGGTTAACCAACTGAGAGATTCATCTCAGTTGGTTGTTGATCATGCTACAGGGCATAAAACATGTATAGAGGATAGAGGATTTCAAAAACTGAATGCTGTTCTCACCTATGCCATCACCAGTTATAGAGCAATGATTAGATGTCAGATGCCTTAAATGCATTGCTGCACTTAATCTTCTCCACAATTGTAGGAGGTAGATGTTATTGTCCCCATTTTACAGATTGAGGAAATATGTTCAAAGAAGTTAAGTAATGTGCGCAAAACCACATGAATATGGCAAAACAAAGACTTTAAACTGGTCTGTTGACTGCCAGCCCCATGCTCTTCCTGTCCTTGCTGTTTTTTTCACAGAGTGTTGCCCCACAATTTGTGGGATGCACAGCCCTTTATGTACATGATACTCTTTGATTCTGCCAAATTTCCTATGAAATAACCAAATAAAGAAACTGAGACTCTGGACATTTAAGTAGCTTTCTTAAGGTCACAAAACCAGTAAACAGCAGTTCAGGAACCCAAACTTCTGTCTTCTGACTCATATTCACTATGCTTTCCTACAAAGGAGTAACCACCCTCTGGCCAGACTAAACAGAATAGAAATATTAAGGAAAAAACTACTTCTCCAACTTAGTGTTATCAATTTATATGAAACTTCCTTCCGGTGCAGTAGTTATAGGAGCTATTCTTATGTGAGGAAAAGATTATTACATATTATATATTAATTTCTTCCCAACTTTCTCTTAGGATTAGAAGAACCTAAATAATATATGCAAAACCATGCATTTGCCAAAGAGCACACCTGTGATTGAAGGAATCTGCTAGTAAATCATGAAGCTGTAATATTTTAAGGTGATATTTTATTTATTCAGAAGATGAAACTTTGTTAAAACTATGGAGATTTGTATAAAAATGTAAATATGTGTTAAATGCAATGTTAGCCAGCTGTATTATGTCAAGTAAATTGTAAATGTCTAATATTCAAAAACAGCACCTATTCCATTTGTTTGAAAAGTCTACTGAGCATTTATTGAGATGGTCATTGTCTTAGGCAGTGGGATACAAGGGTGAATAAGTCATGGTTGCACCTTCAAGGAGTTTCTGGCCCAGTGAGGAAAAATGACTTATAAATAAATGAGTGTAATAAAGTATGTGTTTCATTTGCCTTCATTATCATACTAGAAAGAGGTACACAATGTATGAAACAGCCAGTTTTATGCAAAGATACAAGTAGACTTCAGAAAATAAGCGATGCTCAAGCTGAATCTTGAAAAGGGGATAGGTATCGCCAGGTGGACAAGGAACTACAGGTGGCTATGGGTGGGTCAAAGAGCATTATATCCTCTTTTTTCCTGAGTACTGCAAATGGTGTCATGAGAATGTAGTTTAGGAACAAAGTGAAGCATGTGTGGTAAGGTGATATAAAGTTATATTTAAAAAAACTATAGTGACAGCAATAAAGATAAACAGATGAGCATGTGTCTGTGAGAGGAAGGGGACATAAAGTTTGAGGCCTGACTATATGTGAAGGACAAAAGGGAAAGCTTTCTGCTTTGGTGGCTTGAGGATGGATATAACTGAGATAGGGAATAAAGGAGGAATATATTTATGGGATAGGGCATCAAGTTCTCTCCAGGATGATGGGCTTCAGAGGCTATGTGAAATCCATATGAGGAAGGGAAGTAGGCAGCCAGATAAATGTAACAGGATCTCAGAAGATAGGTCCAGACTGGAGATACAGCATCATATTTGATGGTTGATAAAATCTCTTGATAGATAACTTTGCCCAGAGAGGGTAGAGAGAGTGAAAAGGGAAAAAGAGCTGAGGACAGAGTACTAAGTACCAATACTAAAGAAAAGGCATAGGAGTCAGAAAGATGAAAAGAAACCCTGGAAGAAGGTGAAAAGGAAAGGTCATATAGGTAAAAGAAAACCAAAAGAAAGCAGTGTCTTAAAAGCCAACAGAGAAAAGAGTTTTAAGAAAAAAGAAGGAGCAGTCAGCAGTTCGAAATTTCAGAGCAAGCTTAAAGAAGAAAGGAACTAGGAAGAGGAAACAAGACTTGCACAGAATACAATTTAAAATTCCATGTAATAGTCAGACAAAAGATGATGAGAATCTTCACTAGGACAAGAATAAAGGAATGATGAGGATGTAAGAAATGGAAGGGAAGTTGAGGAGTAATAACATGCCTTGAATTCTTATTGGATATGAGGGTTATGTAAAGGTACAGCCAAGGATGATCCTACCAACATTTGTGGGCTATGTGACACAACTCACCAAAATAAGAAATACTGAAGGAGCTGGTCTGGTGACAAACATGAGCTGAGTGTTGGATGCTTTTTTTTTAAGTTCCTGGGGTACACCCAGGATAGCTTCTATAGAAATAAAAAGTGGAAGGGTATTGAAAAGAAAAGAAGTAGCTGTAATGATGTACCACTGGTCTAAGGTAACTAAAGAAAGAATTGAAGTCACGAAAGAAAATACTGGAGGAAAAAAAAGCAAAAGAAAGAAACTGAAACCCCAAGAGAGAATAAAAAACTAGAGTGATAAGGTAGCATCATTGCAGTTTAACATTTCAAGAGTTGTAGTTATACCTGTAATCACTGCCATATGACTTTGGGAGTGAAATAGGTGGAATAAAGGAAAAATTTATTGGGGTCCATAAGGACAGGAAGATTTGAGGCTAAAATGGATCACCCACTTGGGTATGGAAATTATGTAGGATGACAACAGGAATTGGAATAGAAGTGAAAATAATGCCTGGGAGCAAATGTTCCTGATGAATATGAGGGAGTGACTGGGATTTCAGGAAATAGGAGCCACCCAGAGACAGACAGAGAGAGAGAGAGAGAGAGATAAGATATATAGATAGATAGATAGATAGACAGACAGACAGACAGACAGACAACCACTATCATGAGCTTCATATATGGAGGTGTTTTATGAAAGGTGGGAAGTAAGAGTGGTGGTTTGTATGTGACAATGAGAAAAAGAATAATGTTGACAGAGGCTCCAAGAATTTTAGGCACATGACTTAAGAGAACAGTCTCTGCTTAAGGGAATTGGAAAAAAAAAAATTGTATCCATGCAGAAACACCAGAGTTCTGATCATAGTTTGAGAGTAAAGGTCCTATGGAAAGGACAGAGGAATAAAACCAGAAGAGAACAAGCACTAAGCAGAATAAGGATGGCAGTACTTTTAAAAGTAAGCTGAAGATGGAGGCCCTTACCTTTCACTCACATGTCTATGATGATAGGATGAAAGTCACCTTTGAAATTATTGGTGTCAGACTTCAGAATCGGAATGGAGTGTCAGAGGTCTGATGAGGCTGAATCTTTAACTTACATGAGGTATTGTTTAGGTACTTCTAAAAGGAATCTGTGGTGACAGGGAGGACACATTCTCTGGTCTCTGCCTTTAAGGAGCTCCCGATGTAGGAGGAAAGGCCATCTCAGAAGCAAATACTCATTTACATGGTAGAAAGATGTAATTTCTCTGATAGATTTAGGAATCCTGTCCTGATCTAGTTTCTGCTAGAAATGTTCTCTAGTGCAACTTTTATAGTCCTTTCCTTTTAAAGTTGTTTATGTGAGTGCTACCTTGCCTGAGCAACAAGGTAAGAAGTGGGGTGGATAAAGTAGCATGGGGCAGGGCCCTGGTGGTAAAACACAACTGGTAACTCACCAGAAGACATTCACTACCTCAGGTATGCAGTTTATCCAGAATGACAGCAAAAATTGGTACAGAGATAAAAAATATGACCAGGTGCAAAAGTCTTTGATGACCTAAAGTTCAAGGACTTTTTATTGTCTTTCCTTGGAAAAGAGTAATATCACTTAGGGTTACTTTCATGGTAGTAGAGTGGGAGGTTGCAGTTTTCTTGTTTTTATATGAATTATCTCATCTAATCTTCAAACCAGCCCTGCAATGTACGTTGGCAATAATTTTTGGAATATCAGGTTCCGCAAAAACTATTTCAAGTCATTAGCCATCTGTAGGATTAAGGTGAAGTATAGAGAGAACCCGTATAAAAATAAATGTTCCACATTGTTAGAATCAGGTATCTACCATGTACATTACAGGGCTGCTTTGAGGATTCGATGGATAATTCATATAAAAATTCTTAGCATGATGCAAGACACATGGTAGATACCTGAATCTAACAATGTGGAACATTTATTTTTATATGTGTTCTCTCTATATGTCATCTTAATCCTACAGATGGCTAATGACTTGAAATGGCTTTTGTGGAACCTGATATTCCAAAAATTATTGCCCATTCAGTTGTCTTTTAACTGGTCCCGATTAATCCTCATCTCTCTATATATTAATTTTGAAACTTTCATTCTCTGTAGGTAAGAATTGCATCATTCATTCCAAAAATTAGCATATAAATGCTAGCATATATAACACAGTGAGAGGTGACAGCGTGCTGGCAGTCCTCACAACCCTAGCTCGCTCTCGGCACTTCCTCTGCCTGGGTTCCCACTTTGGCGGCACTTGAGGAGCCCTTCGGCCCACCGCTGCACTGTGGGAGCCCCTTTCTGGGCTGGCCAAGGCCAGAGCCTGCTCCCTCAGCTTGCAGGGAGGTGTGGAGGGAGAGGCGCCAGCAGGAACTGGGGCTGCCCACAGCGCTTGCGGGCCAGCTGGAGTTCTGGGTGGGCGTGGGCTTGGCGGGCCCGCACTCGGAGCGGCCGGCCGGCCCTGCGGGCCCCGGGCAGTGAGGGCCTTAGCACCTGGGCCAGTGGCTGCGGAGGGTGTACTGGGTCCCCCAGCAGTGCCAGCCCACCGGTGCTGCACTCGATTTCTCGCCAGGCCTTAGCTGCCTTCCCACAGGGCAGGCCTCGGGACTGCAGCCGGCCATGCCTGAGCCTTCCCCCGCCTCCGTGGGTTCCTGTGCAACCCAAGCCTCTCCGACGAGCACCACCCCCTGCTCCACGGCGCCCAGTCCCACTGACCACCCAAGGGCTGAGGAATGCGAGCGCACGGTGCAGGACTGGCAGGTAGCTCCACCTGCAGACCCGGTGCGGGATCCACTAGGTGAAGCCAGCTGGCCTCCTGAGTCTGGTGGGGACATGGAGAGTCTTTATATGTAGCTCAGGGATTGTAAATACACCAATCAGCACCCTGTGTTTAGCTCAAGGTTTGTGAGTGCACCAATCGACACTCTGTATCTAGCTGCTCTGGTGAGGAGGTAGAGAACCTTTATGTCTAGCTCAGGGATTGTAAATACACCAATCGGCACTCTGGATCTAGCTCAAGGTTTGTAAACACGCCAATCAGCATCCTGCGTTTAGCTCAAGGTTTGTGAATGCACCAATCGACACTCTGTATCTAGCTGCTCTGGTGGGGCCTTGGAGAACCTGTGTGTCAAAACTCTGTATCTAACTAATCTGATGGGGACGTGGAGAACCTTTGTATCTAGCTCAGGGATTGTAAATGCACCAATTAGCACCCTGACAAAACAGGCCACTCGGCTCTACCAATCAGCAGGATGTGGGTGGGGCCAGATAAGAGAATAAAAGCAGGCTGCCCTAGCCAGCATTGACAACCCGCTCGGGTCCCCTTCCACAGTGTGGAAGCTTTGTTCTTTCGCTTTTTGCAATAAATCTTGCTACTGCTCACTCTTTGGGTCCAGACAGCTTTTATGAGCTGTAACACTCATAAAAGTGTTACAGCGAAGATCTGCAGCTTCACTCCTGAGCCCAGCGAGACCATGAGCCCACCGGGAGGAAGGAACAACTCCAGACGTGCTGCCTTAAGAGCTGTAACACTCACCGTGAAGGTCTGCAGCTTCACTCCTGAGCCAGCGAGACCACAAACCCACCAGAAGGAAGAAACTCCGAACACATCTGAACATCAGAAGGGACAGACTGCAGACGCGCCACGTTAAGAGCTGTAACACTCACTGCGAGGGTCCGCGGCTTCATTCTTTAAGTCAGTGAGACCAAGAACCCACCAATTCCGGACACAACAGCCCATATGTATATATTAAAGTATGCATGCATATCATAGTAGGAAATTAATTTCCCCTCTGTTCCCCAAAACTTATTTTGTTGCTTGTTTTCACTTTGCTTTGTTCATTGGATTTTTTAAACCAATTTGCTGATGTGTCACTATTATTCTTGAAAGTGAAAACTTCTTTCAACTATCTTTCTTTAAAATGAGAATAAAATTTACATCAAGAGAGGTTCTGTGAAGATTCAAATGTCTCATGTAACTGCCTAATTCAATGTCTATCACAAGGTTGGAACTCAATTTATTATAAAAATAGTTATTTTTTTCCTTGACATAGAGGCAGCATAGGGCAGAAGGAAGAGAATGAGCTTTGATCTCTAAAAAACATGAGTTAAGTCCGGGCGCGGTGGCTCACGCCTGTAATCCCAGCACTTTGGGAGGCCGAGGTGAGCGGATCACAAGGTCAGGAGATCGAGACCATCGTGGCTAACACGGTGAAAACCAGTCTCTACTAAAAAATACAAAAAATTAGCCAGGCGTTGTGGCGGGCGCCTATAGTCCCAGCTACTCGGGAGGCTGAGGCAGTAGAACGGCGTGAGCCCGGCAGGCGGAGCTTGCATTGAGCGGAGATTGCGCCACTGCACTCCAGCCTGGGCGACAGAGCGAGACTCTGTCTCAAAAAAAAAAAAAAAAAAAAGAGTTAAAATCAGGTCTCTATCTTTTACCAGTCATATGACCTTGGTCGGTTATTCAAATTCTTTATGTTTTAATGCCATGTCGTAACATGGGAAAAATTATATTGACTTCAAAGGCTCATTGTAGAAATGAATGAGACAAGATTTGCAAAGAGTTTGGCACAGCAAATAAGACATTATAGTTGCTCAATAAAGTTTTTTTTAACAAAAACCACATAGTTTTCTAACTGCATGTTTTTTCAAGCATTTTGAAGATTTTTATTTTTTATTTCAACCCTATATAGCAGCAAGGTAATGTTTTTGTGATTAGAAGAAACTTGCATTTCTGAGAAGTCCTTTCCCCAGTATCAGAGAAATGACAACCTTGTCAGGGTTCATATTGGTTTGGAGACTTGGACCATCTTCCCAAAACAGTCTAAAAAGGCTTTGTTTTTCCTCCTACTTCACTCCTTTTAATCAATATTGATATCTTACATCAGTATAGTCATTTTTACTCCTATAAAGTGCTTTCAAAAATTTTATTCCACGATATTCATACAAATACTCCCTCAATATAAAGTAGGACATACATTCTCATCTCCATTCTGGAGATGAGAACTGAGGAATCAAAAATGAGCTCATCAAGGTTGAACAGCTGATAAGTGACAGAACTGGGATTTGAACCTGGTATTTTCAACTCCAAAGCCTATATTCTGCACACAAAGAGTTAGGGTGGAAAGGCCAAATTGAAATTATAACTGCAAATTCTAATTTCACTGATTGTTTTATTAGATTATAGCTGCCTGTCCCATCAGCTAATAGTATCTTCAGAGTGCCATCTTTCCCTATGTGACACCACTAAAATAATCAATCTAATACATTTCTATAACATAGTCATAAAGTCACAGAACGTTAAAAGTAAAAAATCCCATAAAAACATCTAATTCAGTCTTTGGGCAAGAAATTAAGACCAAGAAATATTGGAGACTTATTCAAGATTGTACTTATTAATGGCAAGCCAGAGCCCACCATAGGTCTCTGACTTCTGATCCAGTGGCCCTTTCAAACACTCCACATTGATCTTCCAGACAAGGATAACAAGAATGACATTGAATTTCTTTTGTTTCTTCATTGAAATACTTGTTTGCTCAGAATTCCTGAGACAATTTTGTATTCTATTAACTTAAAATCAATTCTGTATTCTATTAACTTAAAACCAGAGAGGTTTCTCTAAACCAGAAGTCTCACTTAAATTTGTTCAGCACTCCTTTTAAGGATTGTTCAATCTGTGAAAGAAGGAGTATTGTTCATTCAAATATTTCACTTTTATCCCATAAACCTAGATTTAAGTAAATATCCTATTTTAATTAGAAAGAAAAAAGAGCAATTTTTTTGTCATTCTTGAGGTTTCAGTTTATTTGCTTAAATCAAAACTCACTTTAGAAGTGAAATCTGGAGTATTCTGCCTTGATTCCACAATTAATATAAATTTTTCCCAATTATTCTGCCACCGTCATGAATGTATTAATGAGACACATTTTACACTGTTATGATATAGGATGTAACTAGAACTATTAATACATCAGAACCTGTTGCAACATTCCCAGCATAGCAGTCAGTTTCTTTTCTTTTCACCTTTCTATCAAAGTAGTAGAGCATTAGCTCAGGCATAAAAACTCATTTTTTACCTTTATCTTTGAAACACTAGTTCATAGAATTGTACTTTCTTACAACAGCTATTTTCTTGTGCTTGCAGAAATCTTCTGGGAACTGACATATACCACCTCTTTTTCTTTTGGGCAATTTAAACTTTAGAATTGGATTAAGACAAAGCTAAAAGTTACAGATTGTAAATTTATTACTTGCCTAGACTATAGAAAATATGGGGAAAAGTGTGGACTTTCAAGTTACACATACTGTGGTTTAAGCCCTAAGTTTATATCTTCCACACATAAACTTTATGAACTTGTATAAGCCTTACTTTTGGCATTTTCAGACTATAGATAATAAAACATACCTTACAGAGAAGTTGCAATTATTAAAGGATGTAAGGTATGTAAATAGCCTAACACAATATTTAGTACACATTCATAGCACACATTAAAGAAATATCAAAATAAAGTAATAACAATAAAAAAACTAACATGCTAAAGTATACATTCGTTAAATTGGAAACAGAGTCAGACTATGCTGCCAGTTTTTATGGCCTTTTCCTAAGCTTGGAGCAAATCATCCAAAAGAAGTGAGTGAGTAATTGGGGCTTTAGTCCCTATTCTTTAATCATTCATTCAACAACGATTTAATGAGAGCCCACTGTGAGCCAGGCACTTTGCAAGTCACAGAAGATACAGCAGTGAGTAAGACATTGTTACTGAAACACCAGGGGTTCAGTCTATGTCTTGCTGCCTGCTGCAGGGAAAGCCAATGACTGAGACAAGTATTGTCAAGGAAGAAGGCTTTAATCGGGGGCTGCAGTCAAGGAGATGGGAGCTCAGTCTCAAATCCATCTCCCAGACTGACTACAATTCCTATATAGAAAGGAAGAAAAGTAACTATGAAGGAGAAAATAGGAATTCGGGAGGGGTAAGGAAGCAATCATGATGAATGAGGGGCCTAGAATTTCATTGTCTGGATGCAATGATCTGATGAATTTCAGTTCTTTGATACTTTTCAAGAAGCCTGGAGGTCCTTTCCTGAGTAAGGAACTCAGATAAAACAAATGTAAGTTTCAAGCTTTAAGACCAGAAGTGTCAATTTCTATGTTTATCCAAAAAAAAATCTGTCCATGGGAATATTGGGTCAGTTTCAACATTGTCCCCATGAAGCTCATAAGTACGTAAGAAAAACGAGGAATAGAAAATGACAAGTGAAGGCACCTAGTTGGGGGTTCTACCAAAAAGATACCCTAAGACAAGGATTTGAGCACATATAATTATTTGGTAGATAGTCCCAGTAAACAAAGAAGGGAATAGGGAAGTGAGAAAAACTAATAAAGAATTCCTTGTTGAGTAAGTTACCATGTGGGAAAATGGAGGTAAATCTCACTGTAGATTTTTGGAGACACTGTGTAGCACATACCTAAGAATTGTTCTATCAAGAGGTTAAGGAAGTTGAAGTGTGTATCCACCAAATCCTGTCCCTAATTGGTTGGCAGTTGCTCCTCAGGGAATTAACTCTTTAAAAAAATTTTTTTTAATTGACAGATAACATTTTAGGTATTTATCATGTACAATGTGACGTATTGAAATACATATACATTGTGAAGCAACTAAATCTAGCTAATTAACATATGCATGAGTGATCCTGGTCTCAGTGTCCCCACGTCAAGGAGAGAATGGTAATCCTTGCTCTTGGTGGTTAATGAGTATGTTGTATGAAGTGACGCCAACTTTGCTTCTTTGTGAGAAATAGAAACTAAAACTATAAGGACTCCCAAAGAAGACAACTCCTTATGTTATTCACAAAAACAAAAGGAAATTGAAAGTTTATCAGAAAATTGAAGTTTTCACTAGGTTAAAGAGTGTATGTTGCTGCTAGTAGTGTTCATATTCAGAGCAGGAATAATTGCAGCTGCCCCTCTGAACTTTAGAGATGGGAGGTAACTTTGCAATGCTATAAAGCTGTTAAGAGATGAAGCTAATACACTCTGCTGTGTTGCTTATTGTTGTTGCTGCTGCTACTATTTCAGAAGAAACAATGAGAGGAGTTAAATAGATGTATAGGCAGCCCTCCCTCTGCAAACTGTAGATGCATCTTACCATCCCCTTCCAGATTCCCATATGCAATATTTCTTGTAGCTTCCTCTCCATGGGTGAAGTTGCTAATATCTTTGTTCAAAGTTCTAGAAACCACTAAAGATCACTGTATATTAATAGAGTAGTAGTCTGGCACTGGGCTGCTTTCTACGTCTGTATAATACAGAAACACAGGCAAAGTTTGGCCTCTCAGGGGATTCTAGTTCTCTCTCACCTTCTTTATTGTTCAGTAAAGTGGATAAGTTTAGCTAGTCTGCACTATACACAGGTTTAACTAGCTCCTCCCTCTTTGCTTCTCCCATGCAGCCAGAGGGGTGAAGAGAGCCTGTTTAAGACCTAAGCCTGAGCCAAAACTCCCTACCTAATCTTTACCAGGTGTTTATATTAGGAAATCAGGTACTTGGACAGCTTGTGACAAAGTGATGCTTTGTTTTCCAATCTGCTATTGTCGCCTGCGTGTATGGCTCCCATGGGAGCCCTACGGGAGAATGAACAATTGGCAGGGCATGATTCATGACATAATGCCATCAACACCCACCCCAAATTACAAAGCCAAAGTTACAGGATGTTTTCCAAGTCACTACGAAATGCCATACGTTAGTTAGTGATAATTACTGCTATGATAACACCAATGGAAACAATAATAATTACATGGTGAAGCAACTGTGTTATCACTCATACACCCGGAGTATAACACTTGTCATCATGGTGTTGACAAGAGGGATTAGGATTTCCTCTGCTCCAATGCTTTTACAGAGATGTTTTCATCTACCAAATAAGAAGGTTTCCTTTCATTTTAATAATACAGCTTTATAGGTTTTAAGAATTCCAAAGGCTGATCCAGGACATTTTTAATATCATCTTTTTAAAGGGATGGGATGTGTTTTCCCCAAGTCAAGCATATGGATACACAAAGTTGATGACATAAGAGGATGCTTTCTGTACAGTGTCAGGTAGTGGGTAGACTGGTTATGCATGTGGGCTCTGCCCTTCAGTGAATTAGTTCAAATATGTTCTCTGTTACCAGCTTACAGCTGTTTGACTTTGGACATCCAGCTAGTGGGCCTTCTTATCTCACTTTTCTAAGTCTCATTCCTTAGTTATAAAATGGACATGATTATAACTACTTTATAGGATTGCTGTGAGGATTAAATAAGATTATGCTTCACACTGAGCCAGACACAGAGTAGTTGCTTAGAAATATTAGTGTGTTCTTATAGTGGCTTTGTTCCAGATTTCAGGGGCATTGCTTATTTCCCTTTCTGTTTCTTGATTCAGTTTTTCTCAAATGTACACAAAACCTAAGAAATCAAGAGGGGAAAGGGGACTGGACAGCCACTCTTCCTGCTTCTAGAATAGAACTTTGGTCTGCTTTAGCTGAAATGAAAGGATTCCACATGGTTCAATGTTGTTCAGCTCAGCTCACCAGGAGAAGTGTATTGGGACTTGTAATCAAACTCCAGCTAGTGATTAAAAACACCACCCCCACCATAAAGCATTCACTTGACCTTGTCCTGTATGTGCCCCCAAATAGGCCTGATCGAGGGATTTGGGATCTCTAGCAGTAGGTGTCTTAAATTACCAATTACCAATACAGTCCTTTCATTGAAACTGTATTACAACACTGACAGTTGAACATTATTATCCTCTTTTCACAGGATGAGGAACCTGAGACTTAGAAAAGTTATAAACTACCAAGGGTCATCACACCATCAGGAAGCTGAGATTTAAGCCCAGGTTTCTGTCTACCAATGCAGGAGTCCTTTCATGGCAGTTTATCTGTACAAGATTCATAACAAGGAGGCTGATGCACTAACCAAGCCAATAGGTTTAGATGATTTTCAGTCAAAGCAATTCTATTGTCACCTGGAAATCACTCTAATTCAGCATGTTTGTTTTTAATGACCATAAACAAGCCCCCCACAAAAAGCTAAGGGTTTTTTTTTTTAGTTTAAATAAAGCAGTTTTTAACACCCTTGAATTAAAACATAAAAATACCACTTAACTCAAATGTTTACATCTACACTGGTTCTAGAGAGTCTATTTATGAGCCAAATCAGAGCAACAGGGCTCAGTGACAGGAGCAGCAGTATTGGCCCCCTGTTCCCTTTTTATGGGTTTTCACTTTCCCATTATCCAGCCAGAGTCCATTTCTCCCCGTCGCCACAGAAGAAGTGAATGGTGAAGATTTCAACAAAGACCTTTCACATTTTTGCTGTGAAAAAATTTTGCTTTGGACATTTTCAGCCATTTTTGTATGATGTGCACCATTGAACTCATTAGACTCATAGGTCAAGAGAATATGTTATTTGTTCAAAAGTAGATCTGATTTATCAGGCTACTACGTATAGATGGAATTATACAATTCTGGAAATGCCTTTAGGTACAATCTGAATGGTTTTAAAAAGCAATATTATTTTCATTCCCAACTCTTTTCTAAGTGTCTCTCCTCAAGAGCCAGCTCCCTGACACCTGCTTTGTAAAGCCCCCACTGACCAGCTAGTCAAAGGAACCACCATTTTTCTGGTATACAGTCTTCCTCCTGACAATTTTACCAAGAGCTAGCCCCTCATAGTTTGCCTGCACACAGTAGTTACTCAATAAATATACACTTAAAAAATCAGATTGGTGAGCGTGTATCTGGTAAATTTATTAAAATGCTAAGACTGGGTAGCTGGGGTTCAAGCTCTGACCTTGCACTCATTGACCTACGCTTGCAAGTTTGTTTGTTTTAATGAAGTCTCACACTGTCACCCAGGCTGGAGTGCAGTGGGGCAATTTTGGCTCACTACAAACTCCATCTCCTGGGTTCAAGTAATCCTCCTGCCTCAACCTCCAAGTAGCTGGAATTACAAGCATGAGCCACCACATCCAGCTAATTTTTGTATTTTTAGTAGAGACTGGTTTTCACCAGTTAACGAGGCTGATCTCGAACACCTGACCTCAAGTGATCTGCTAGCCTAGGCCTCCCAAAGTGCTGGGATTACAGACACGAGCCACTGCGCCCAGCCTCTTGTATGTTTCTATACTATTTCACTCACCTACCATTTCAGCAAACATGTATTAATATGCAGTTTTTAACATGCTCTGTGGCAAGGCTAAAGAACACAAAGATAAAGCAATCAAAAGAACACAGTTCCTAACTTTGGTATTCACAGTTTATGGATGGTCAGAGGTAGGGGCACAATGGTGAAAAATAAATATGCACTGCAATGTGGTAAATGACATGCAGAATGATCTGGAAAGTGCATTGGGATTACAATGAAGGAAGCATTTCATACTCCCTGGGGAGGCCAAAGAGCGCCTTCACAGAGGAAGCAAACCAGGACCTAAAGGATAAATAGTGTTTTCAAAGCAGATAACAGAAGGCACTCCAGGTATAGGGTGCTACACAGGCAAAGGAGTGGTACTTCAGGCAAACAAAAGTACTGTACTTCTGTATGACTTGAGTATAATACATCAACAGAAAGGCCAAGAGAAAAACCTACAGAAAAACCTTGGGAGCAAATCACAAGAGGGCTTGTACACCATCCAGAAATTAAACCCTAATGAAGAGCCCTGACAGAGGTTAAATGGTGTTTACTAACTGCTGGGTGAGATGGTTGTGGTGTGTGGATGAATGGGTACCAGATCTTCTTCAGAAGAGAGAGCCATTTACACAAAGGCAATGAGTGAAGATAACAAAGTGTCATTGATTGGGCTTCAGGCAGCTCAAAGGAGAGCCTGGCCTTTGAGGCACGGAGTGGGTTTGGAGGCAGACCATGCAAATGAAAGAACAACTGAAGAGAACTAGAGCACTGACACCCTGGAGGTCAAGAAGAGAAGCTGTGTCTGAGGATGGTAACAGAGGAGGCACTGGAGCCAAGGATTAAAGTAACAAGTTAGTCTTCCTCTTCAAGGGCCCACCTTTGAGGGTGTCTCAGCCAAGGAAAAATCATGACCCACAAGAAGGCACTGATATCCACCACCCGGTAATTGCATATGAAACAAGAAAAAGATGTCAGAAACTGGAAAGGGACCCTTGGAGCCCATGTCCAGGATCTCTGGGGCACAGCTCAGAAGGACGGAGCTTTCTCTCTAGAGCCTCGGGAGCCCCTTTACACTCTCCTGCCCCTATGGCATGGCATTTTCTCCCCCAGGACCCTCAATGACACTTATCATAGGTTGCCTTCCATTGAAGGCATCTAACATTCAGTGTCCTCAAGCACTTACTGAATGTCAGGTTCTTGGCACATGAGAGTAAATAAAACTCTCCCAGCCTTCAGTAGAAGGAGACATAAAAGAATGCCATTATGATGCAACGCAACACATTGGGAATGTACAAAGTATACTTGGCACAAAGGAATGGAAGATACCCCTCTCTAGACTATAAGGTAACATTTGAACAAAACTTGAAATATGATAGAGTTTTAACAGGATGGAGCAGGTAGAAACCTGCAGGCATTTCAGTAATACTGAAACATTAAGTGGGAGAAATGGACCTGTACTAAGTAAGGATGGTCAAGAAGGGAATGGCCAAATCATAAGGTCCATATATGCCATGCCAAGAGGTTCAGATCTAATTCTATAGGCAAAGGAAGTTTCTAGCTTTCATTTTACCCCACCGCTACTTCTAAGTTGACAGTTTGCACAAGGCTGAAGCCTTGTTTCACCTATCTTTCTCCCAAACTATCTAATGTACCTAGTTTTTTCTCTCCCTCCATCTCTCTCTCTCTCTTTCCCTATTTTCAAATGTTATAGGAAGTACAAAATAGTAGATAAATACATCAACATTAACCCATAGACTAGTATCATATTTAAAAAAAAAACCATGTCTCAACATTTTACAAAACAAAGCCATCACATTCAGATCTCTCTAAGCGTGAATCTTGTTTCATAATTCATATCTCATTTCAAATGTCACCTCCTCACTGACACCCCAACATCTAAATTAGCCCTCCTTCTCCTACTTGACTCACTCTCTGGGGATTTGTTATTGCAGTATCTGATGTTATTTTGTGTGTTTGTTTGTTTATTTACTTCTATATTTTCTGTCTCTTTCCACTAGAATGGGAACCACAACTGTTTAAGATCCCCAGGACCTAGAAAACTTCCTGGCATGTGAAGAGCAGTCAATTAATATTTAATTGTTAATTAAGAGTTCAGAAGCACCTTCATTCTGCAGTTATGCTTCCAATGAAGCAAACCCATGGACAGGCACTTGGCAATATCCAATTTTTTGTTCTTTTTGAAGAAAAATTACTTCCATTGGATTTCTCAAGTTGTAGATACAACACTGTCTACTTGTACAACCTCTGTTGCTTTTTAAATTAAGCATCGGTTAAGGAGAACTGCAGCTTTGGAAAATCTGTTGAAACTCTAAGGGCACTGAGTTTCTACAAATACTTAGCAAGATTCATTCATTCATTAACTTCAGAAATGATGAGCACCTAGTATGTGCTAGCCTCTGGTATGCACTAGCACCTTTGTCCACAGAGAACAAGGATGAGTAAATAACTACTATGCAAGAACAAAATATGACAAGTGCCAAGGGGATATGGAGATGAGGGAAGTCACTTCCAGCCACTGGGAAGAAGACTCAAAAAGGTGACATTCAAGCTTAACATTGAAAAATAAGAAAGATTTCAGCAGATACAGATACAGACATGTTTCTTTTTTTTTTTTTTGAGACAGAGTCTTACTCTGTTGCCAAGGCTGGAGTGCAGTGGGGTGATCTTGGCTCACTGCAACCTCCGCCTCCCCGGTTCAAGTGATTCTCCTACCTCAGCCTCCCAAGTAACTGGGACTACAGGTGTGTGCCACCACGCCCAACTAATTTTTATATTTTTAGTAGAGGCAGGATTTCACCATGCTGGTGAGGCTGGTCTGGAACTCTTGACCTCAGGTGATCCGCCCACCTCGGCCTCCCAAAGTGCTGGGATTACAGGCATAAGCCACTTTGCCCAGCCATATTTTCTTTCTTTAAATGAGCATTTATTAACACCTTTCTGTATGTCAGACACTGGTTAGATACTGAAAATAAAATCAGTTCAAATTTAATGAAGGAAGAGAAACAGGAAAAAAAATTTAAATAGAATAAGATCAAAAATAAAGTAAAGAGAAACACAGTATATCATGGAAACACACACACACACACATACACACACACAAAACAGGGTAAATGAGGAGATGATGCTTGATTTTTTTTCAGTGACTTTCTATGTGACTGCAAGAGTGAGGAGGAGTTCACCTTACAGAGATCTGATCAAGAGAATCTCAAGCAGAAGATGAAGGCTGCATCAAGAACTGTGACATGGCTCTGTGCATTCAGGGTGCTGTAGGAGTTCAGAGTATCTGGAACCAAATTCACAAGATGTACCAAAGGGTGAGGCTGGAGAGGTAGGCGGGCCAGATTAGAAAGGATATTTATGTTATAAAGTAGTTCCCCATTTATCCAGTTTTGCTTTCCACGGTTTCAGTTACCTGTAGTATAGCACAAATAAGACATTTTGAGAGAGAGAAAGACCACAGTCACATAGCTTTTATTGGATTATTATATTGTTCTATTTTATTATTGTTGTTGTTAATCTCTTTGTGTGCCTAACTTATAAATTAAACTTTATCATAGGCATGTATAGGAAAAAAACATGGTATATGTAAGGTTTGGTACTATCCGTAGTTTCAGGCAACCACTGGGGGTTTTGGAATATATCTCCCATGAATAAGTGGGGACTGGAGTGTGAAGAAGAGAGAACAGCAAGAGGAAAAATGCAGAATCAGGAAAAGGCCATAAGAATTCAGGAGGAAGAGTGGAACCGAGTCTAGTGGAAGCAACCTGCTGTTACAGAGGTTATGCATCTGGAAGGAAGGTGGAGGCTGAATCATGCAGGATCCCAGGCTGCAGAGTGCAGACCTTCTCTAAGTAATGTTGAGGAAGCTAGTGCAAGGGTTTTCTGCTTTCTTTTTGCCCCTGTAGCTACATGATAGTATATGTTTGACATTTTAATGACATTAGACAACTGAATCATTTTGCTTTTGATGTTAGTGTGAGGAAAAACATAGTTATGACATTTTCATACCCATTAATTTTTGTCCATTAAAATTATTCTCCTTGAGTATTTTTTCAAGAGGTGGAAAAAGTTTAAATAATTTTATAGCCAGGCAAGGCGGCTTATGCCTGTAATCCCAGCACTTGGTGAGGCCGAGGAGGGCAGATCACTTGAGGTCAGGAGTTCGAGACCAGATGGGCCAACATGGTGAAACACCATCTCTACTAAAAATACAAAAATTAGCTGGGCTTGGTGACATGTGCCTATAGTCCCAGCTACTCCAGGAGGCTGAGGCACAAGAATTGCTTGAACCCAGGAGGTGTAGGTTGCAGTGAGCAGAGATCGCACCATTGCACTCCAGCCTGGGTGACAGAGTGAGACTTCCTCTAAAAAATCTTAATAGTCTTATGGCTCTTCTGACATATAATTGTCTTGTGCTCCAGATGAAAAAGACAACTTTTTTGTGCCCTTAGCAAAAGTGTACTTATTTTCTGTACCTTGATAGAATTGAGATTTACCATTTATATTTATCTTCTTAAATTGAAACACCTACTTTAATGATATTTAACTATGATGTTAAGAAAGTAGATTGTTAAATGTTATGGTATTTTCTACTATTTGAACTGAAGCATCTTAGTGCTAAAGAAAGATCATGACCAGTATTTCAGGAAAGGGTCTGTGAAGATCAGGCATACAGGGCACTACTGTACACAACTCTGGTCAGGGCCCATACATAGGCATTCATTTAATACATGTCAAATTAATAAATGAATAAGTGAACAAAAGGAATTTGTAGTTAAAAGACCTAGAAATCTAATTCCAATCTTTTCTGTGACTCTGACATCTTTAACAAATTACTAAACCTTCTTATGCCTCAGTTTCCTCAATGGGTAATTTAGAACAGAGTTTCTCACACTTAAATGTGTATATGAATCACCTGGAGAGCTTGTTACAATTCAGATCCTGACTCAGTAGTTCTGAGGCTGGGCCTGGGATTCTGCATGTCTAGTAAGATCCAGGTGATGCCAGCACTGATGAACTGAGGAGCACACTTACAGCAGAAAAATTTTAGAAAATCGAATGAAGTATATAAACACTTCATAAGTTGTTAGATATTACTGAAAAGTTAGTCCTTCTTATATATTCAGTTTGGAAGTTTTTATCAGTTATGATTGCCATACATTCAATCTCTTATCTTTTAGTTTCTTTTAAGTATTTCTTCTATTACATTTTGGTTTGTAAAAATATATCTTGCATCCAAAGAGCATAAATTTACTGTATGATTTCATTTCATTCTAGATTTCTACAGATTCTAGAGGAAATGTTTAACTCTTTGACCCCTCTGAAAATTGTCAGAGCATAGAATACAGAATAAGAATAAATAGTGCACACCATAAGAAATTAATTCAAGTTAATATATTTTATACTGGTATTCAGCTGCCCCATAGGACATTCAATATTCATTAATTTTCTCATTATTATAATATTTTTGTTAAATCTTGAGGCCTGAGATATATTGAATCTCTCTTTAACAAATATTTTTAGACATCTACTTTAGTAATTTAAATGTATTTCTGAATTTATCTAGTTTTCAGCTCCGTATCATGTAGTTTTGATTTTCATTTTAAAAATCTTATATAGCAATGACACTGCTATTGCCTTTAAAAAAAATTTCCGGCACTCTTGCCCACTCTTCCATAAAGATTTATATTTCAAAAAATTTAATGTCTGAGAAATATTCTGCAAAGACTCCAATATTGTACCAGATATAAATATGAACTAGGGAATATTACTATCTTCATATCAATTAGTATTTCCTCCCAGGAATAAGACATAGGTATCCTATTATTTGTATCTTCCTTTGCTTTTCCCATTGAGTCTACATAATTTGTTTCTATGAGAAAAAAAAAAAACCTTTGTGTTTAGGAAAAAACATAAAGTATACATGTAGAAATATCAGGTGATGTACAGGCTAGGGGCATTGGCCAGTTTCATGAAATATATTTTTTGGCAATTTCCAAGCTCTATATTAATAGGATATGAGTAAGAATTCAATTGATTTTTATAGATTCGTGTATATATATAAATATCCTGTCTTATTGCTATCAATAATTTTTGTTATATATTTAGTTGTACAGCCAAGATATATGCAAAAATGACTCATTTATTACCTATAGTCATTTCTTTTTTGAGACAGAATCTTGCTCTTTCCCTGCAACCTCTGCCTCCTGGGTTCAAGCGACTCTCCTGCCTCAGCCTCCCAAGTACGTGGAACTACAGTTGCGTGCCATCAGGCCTGGCAAATTTTTGTATTTTATGTAGAGATGGGGTTTCACCATGTTGGTCAGGCTGGCCTTGAACTCCTGACCTCAGGTGATCTACCCTCCTCGGCCTCCCAAAGTGATGGGATTATAGGTGTGAGCCACCGCTCCTGGCCCAGTCATTTCTTTTAATCACTGCAAACACTTTACTGAGTGCCAAATGTAAGCTGAGCACATTGGACATACACTATGTTCTACTAAACACAAAAGATTCAGAAACAAATAACAAAACAACAACAAAAAGCAACCCTTCAAATGGCCCAAAACCTGAAAAGAAAAACACACAAGCAAGCCAGGGATTGAAAACACAGAATGGTAAGGAGAGTTTATTAAGTATAAAATATTGTGTATTTTCTGAAGAAAAGAGTCTACCAGCACCTTGGACCAGCGCATGTGGGAAAGAGACCACCAGTTCTAATATTGGGTTAGCTTACTACACAAAGCAAGTGGCTCTGAGGGGCTCCATGGGCAGGGATCTTTTTTTTTTTAATTATACTTTAAGTTCTAGGGTACATGTGCACACATGCAGGTTTGTTACATATGTATATATGTGCCATGCTGGTGTGCTGCACCCATTAACTCATCATTTAGCATTAGGTATATCTCCTAATGCTATCCCTCCCCTCTCCCCCCATCCCACAACAGTCCCCAGAGTGTGATGTTCCCCTTCCTGTGTCCATGTGTTCACATTGTTCAATTCCACCTATGAGTGAGAATATGCGGTATTTGGTTTTTTGTTCTTGTGATAGTTTACTGAGAATGATGATTTCCAATTTCATCCATGTCCCTACAAAGGACATGAACTCATCATTTCTTATGGCTGCATAGTATTCCATGGTGTATATGTGCCACATTTTCTTAATCCAGTCTATCATTGTTGGACATTTGGGTTGGTTCCAAGTCTTTGCTATTGTGAATAGTGCCGCAATAAACATACGTGTGCATGTGTCTTTGTAGCAGCATGATTTATAGTCCTTTGGGTATATACCCAGTAATGGGATTGCTGGGTCAAATGGTATTTCTAGTTCTAG
This sequence comes from Homo sapiens, assembly GCF_000001405.40. Lineage (NCBI taxonomy): Eukaryota > Metazoa > Chordata > Mammalia > Primates > Hominidae > Homo > Homo sapiens. The sequence goes on from NC_000011.10 coordinate 82,517,329, forward strand.
ATCCTTGAGGAATCACCACACTGACTTCCACAATGGTTGAACTAGTTGACAGTCCCACCAACAGTGTAAAAGTGTTCCTATTTCTCCATGTCCTCTCCAGCACCTGTTGTTTCCTGACTTTTGAATGATCGCCAATCTAACTGGTGCGAGATGGTATCTCATTGTGGTTTTGATTTGCATTTCTCTTATGGCCAGTGAGGATGAGCATTTTTTCATGTGTCTGTTGGCTGCATAAATGTCTTCTTTTGAGAAGTGTCTGTTCATATCCCTTGCCCACTTGTCGATGGGGTTGTTTTTTTTCTTGTAAATTTGTTTGAGTTCTTTGTAGATTCTGGATATTAACCCTTTGTCAGATAAGTAGATTGCAAAAATTTTTTCCCATTCTGTAGGTTGCCTGTTCACTCTGATGGTAGTTTCTTTTGCTGTGCAGAAGCTCTTTAGTTTAATTAGATCCCATTTGTCAATTTTGGCTGTTGTTGCCATTGCTTTTGGTGTTTTAGACATGAAGTCCTTGCCCATGCCTATGTCCTGAATGGTATTGCCTAGGTTTTCTTCTAGGGTTTTTATGGTTTTAGGTCTAACATTTAAGTCTTTAATCCATCTTGAATTAATTTTTGTATAAGGGGTAAAGAAGGGATCCAGTTTCAGCTGTCTACATATGGCTAGCCAGTTTTCCCAGCACCATTTATTAAATAGGGAATCCTTTCCCCATTGCTTGTTTTTCTCAGGTTTGTGAAAGATCAGATAGTTGTAGATAGGTGGCATTATTTCTGAGGGCTCTGTTCTGTTCCATTGGTCTATATCTCTGTTTTGGTACCAGTACCATGCTGTTTTGGTTACTGTAGCTTTGTAGTATAGTTTGAAGTCAGGTAGCATGATGCCTCCAGCTTTGTTCTTTTGGCTTAGGATTGTCTTGGCAATGCGGGCTCTTTGTTGGTTCCATATGAACTTTAAAGTAGTTTTTTCCAATTCTGTGAAGAAAGTCATTGGTAGCTTGATGGGGATGGCATTGAATCTATAAATTACCTTGGGCAGTATGGCCATTTTCACAATATTGATTCTTCCTATCCATGAGCATGGAATATTCTTCCATTTGTTTGTGTTCTCTTTTATTTTGTTGAGCAGTGGTTTGTAGTTCTCCTTGAAGAGGTCCTTCACGTTCCTTGTAAGTTGGATTCCTAGGTATTTTATTCTCTTTGAAGCAATTGTGAATGGGAGTTCACTCATGATTTGGCTGTCTGTTTGTCTGTCATTGGTGTGTAAGAATGCTTGTGATTTTTGCATATTGATTTTGTATCCTGAGACTTGCTGAAGTTGCTTATCCGTTTAAGGAAATTTTGGGCTGAGATGATGGGCTTTTCTAAATATACAATCATGTCATCTGCAAACAGGGACAATTTGACTCCCTGTTTTCTAATTGAATACCCCTTATTTCTTTCTCCTGCCTGATTGCCCTGGCCAGAACTTCCACACGATGTTGAATAGGAGTGGTGAGAGAGGGCATCCTTGTCTTGTACCAGTTTTCAAAGGGAATGCTTCCAGTTTTTGCCCATGCAGTATGATATTGGCTGTGGGTTTGTCATAAATAGCTCTTATTATTTTGAGATACGTCCCATCAATACCAAATTTATTGAGAGTTTTTAGCATGAAGGGCTGTTGAATTTTGTCAGAGGCCTTTTCTGCATCTATTGAGATAATCATGTGGTTTTTGTCTTTGGTTCTGTTTATATGCTGGATTACATTTATCGATTTGCGTATGATGAACCAGCCTTGCATTCCAGGGATGAAGCCCACTTGATCATTGTGGATAACCTTTTTGATGTGCTGCTGGATTCGGTTTGCCAGTATTTTACTGAGGATTTTTCCATCAATGTTCATCAGGGATATTGGTCTAAAATTCTCTTTTTTTGTTGTGTCTCTGCCAGGCTTTGGTATCAGGACGATGTTGGCCTCATAAAATGAGTTAGGGAGGATCCCCTCTTTTTCTATTGATTGGAATAGTTTCAGAAGGAATGGTACCAGCTCCTCTTTGTACCTCTGATAGAAATTCGGCTGTGAACCCGTCTGGTCCTGGACTTTTTTTGGTTGGTAGGCTATTAATTATTGCCTCAATTTCACCAGCCTGTTATTGGTCTATTCAGGGATTCAACTTCTTCCTGGTTTAGTCTTGGGAGGGTGTTATGTGTCGAGGAATTTATCCATTTCTTCTAGATTTTCTAGTTTATTTGTGTAGAGGTGTTTATAGTATTCTCTGATGGTAGTTTGTATTTCTGTGGGATTGGTGGTGATATCCCCTTTATCATTTTTTATTGCATCTATTTGATTCCTCTCTCTTTTCTTCTTTATTAGTCTTGCTAGCGGTCTATCAATTCTGTTGATCTTTTCAAAAAATCAGCTTCTGGATTCATTGATTTTTTGAAGGGTTTTTTGTGTCTCTATCGCCTTCATTTCTGCATTGATCTTAGTTATTTCTTGCCTTCTGCTAGCTTTTGAAATGTGTTTGCTCTTGCTTCTCTAGTTCTTTTAATTGTGATGTTAGGGTGTCAGTTTTAGATCTTTTCTGCTTTCTCTTGTGGGCATTTAGTGCTATAAATTTCCCTCTACATACTGCTTTAAATGTGTCCCAGAGATTCTGGTATGTTGTGTCTTTGTTCTCATTGGTTTCAAAGAACATCTTTATTTCTGCCTTCATTTCTTTATGTACCCAGTAGTCACTCAGGAGCAGGTTGTTCAGTTTCCATGTAGTTGAGTGGTTTTGAGTGAGTTTCTTAATCCTGAGTTATAGTTTGATTGCACTGTGGTCTGAGAGACAGTTTGTTATCATTTCTGTTCTTTCACAATTTGCTGAGGAGTGCTTTACTTCCAACTATGTGGTCAATTTTGGAATAAGTGCGATGTGGTGCTGAGAAAACTGTATATTCTGTTGATTTGGGGTGAAGAGTTCTGTAGATGTCTATTAGGTCCACTTGGTGCAGAGCTGAGTTCAATTCCTGGATATCCTTGTTAACTTTCTGTCTCGTTGATCTGTCTAATGTTGACAGTGGGGTGTTAAAGTCTCCCATTATTATTGTGAGGGATGGGAGTCTAAGTCTCTTTGTAAGTCTCTAAGGACGTGCTTTATGCATCTGGGTGCTCCTGTATTGGGTGCATATATATTTAAGATAGTTAGCTCTTCTTGTTGAATTCATCCCTTTACCATTATGTAATAGCCTTCTTTGTGTCTTTTGATCTTTGTTTGTTTAAAGTCTGTTTTATCAGAGACTAGGATTGCAACCCCGAGGCAGGGATCTTTGCTGTCACTATACTTCTGTATCCCCAACAACTAAAATAGTACTTGCCATGAAAGTGGTGCTCGATAAACACTTCCCCAGTAAACAAATAGAATTGAGACCCTCCTTGTCTTTCTAATTACAGCAAAGGCTGGAGCCCGGCTGCAGAACCTCAGAAGGCAGCTAAGAGTCACTACCTACCAGACCTCCTGGATCTGACTGACTATCTCCCTGTGCAGGTCTCTGAACTGGTCCTGGATTCCCACGATTTGAGATATTCCTTTGCTTGAAAAACCTTCATTACTTCCTGTTTGACCTCCCTGCTGCTGATATATACCTGTTCCTGAAATTGGTGCCCTTCCCTTTAATTCTCTCTTTTCCTTCTTACTTATACATTGCCCCATCACCTAGAATTTATTTTCTCCCAACTTACACCTACCACCAGGGAGTGTCTGAGACAAGATTCAGACCCAAAGATAGCTGATTTCAAAATTATGTTCCATCTACTTTATCATGCTGCCACTCAAGACATAGCAATCACAGCTATGCTTATGACAAATGTTTGAATGCCCCTTTTACAGTTTCCAAAGCATGTTGATATCTTATAGTATCTTATAGCCAGGCCAATGCTTAGGAACATTAATTGCATGGTATATGACCTTTGCTGTGGATGTCACCACCTCTACCCCTCCTGGAAATACCTGAAACATCAGAAATATCTTCTAACCACAAATTTACCTCAAGACAAATATAAAGTTCAGAAATCATATAAAACAATGGTCAAGTTGGTAGTGTTGCACAGATTCCCAAAATCCCCCAAGCTGCCTAAACTTCCATCTATGTCCTTCACTTCACTCAGAAGGCTGAGGAAAGAGGCAGCTTCTTGTGTCTTTTTTCCCAGAGCCTCAGTTTTAGGCACTGTCTGGATTTCTCCTCCCACAGCTCTCCCTGATTACTGTCTGTGGCATGGTGTCAGTTGTGCACATGATTCCCTGGGTCATTTTAGAAGATGTTGTTCTTCTTTCATTTCCTCCTTGTGAAAGGAACACAGAGTAATCACAGGTTTTTTCCCCCTTCTGGATGCCATCCAGTTGTTCTTAGCTCATAAGCGTCTTTTTCCTGTGCAGCTGTTCCTCTTTTTAAGACAGTCACCTCAGGCTTCCTTTGACATGGCTTCTCCTAATAAGATTTTCAGCGCATCCGTCCACATCTCTGAATTACAGCTACATTAGGCTATAGCCAATGCTCAGGAAAATCCTCTGAGGGGGCTGGTGTAGGGATTATTACCATGATGATAAGCATTTGATCAAAGAAAAAACCAAGTCAATGATTTTTCCAGATTCACATTGTCATTAAGTGACCAGAACAAAAACTGGATCCTAGATTTTCTAGCAACAGATCTTTCGGCTTATCCACTGCAACATCCTCATGTATAACAGCAAAAACATCAAAAAGAACTGCTTACCATTTGCTTAACACTGGCCTAAGTTGCTATTACATACTAGCTTGTTTAACCCTCAAGACAATCCTTTTCTCATGGAATAGGAAAATAATGATGCCATCTACATTTTACATATGTGGAAACTGAGGTTCAGAGAGGTTATGTGCAACCTGCCCCAAGTTGCATAATTAGGAACTAGTGGAGCTGAGATATGACCCAGTCATAAGTGATTGCTCTACCATGGTGCAAAATTAACTGTTATTCTAAGAAGACATTCCCAGTCCTTGGTCTTATTTGTGATATTATGTTGGCAGAATTTACTTTCCAGACCCACATGACTCATATGGCACTTGTCTTCCATGTTCATCTGCCATTGTATAAAATTTTAATTACCTTCTGGAAACATAGTTACTTCTCTATCCTTTTCTTCTCAAGTAATATCCAAACATTTATTTCAGGCAAATTCTCACTTGAAAACTGTCTCACAGATATTATGAATATAGGTAATCTGCAATATCTTCAGGCCAGCAACATGTTTATAAAAAGGAATAGATTTAGTATCTATTGAATGTTCACCCTGCACCATCTAGTTTATATGACTCACATGGTGTGCACAACCACTCTATAAACTAGGTATCATAAACCCATTTTGCACATGAAGAAACTAAGTTTCAGGAAATTTAAGTAACTCACCTAGAATCACACAACTTCCAAATGGCAAAAAAAAAAAAAAAAAAAATCAGATTCAGATTCAGATTTGCCTGACTCTAAAGCAGAATACTCTTTCCGCCACACTGCATATGAACTGACTACAACAATGAACGTGAAAAGAGCTGAAAATTAGCTTTTAAGCAACAATACAAAATTTCCAGACTGAGTCTTTTGCATTTCATCAGGATTTTAATTTTTTGTCCCTCTCCTCCCAAGACTTCACAAGCCCACTTAGACATTCTTCTCTGTAAAGCAGGGATATTTTTAATATTAATAACAAAAAAGAAGCCAAATACCCATAACTACAAAGTACCAGAAAACAGACATCAGAATTCATCTAATTTGTTAGAAGGACTATTTATTACCTTGTACTGAGAAAATCAGGTTTCCTGTGTATATTGCTGGGGGCAAACTAAGAAGATTTCAAAGTTAATTTCCCTTCATAAATAATACATTGCCAAGCCTGAAACACACAGGCTTTTGCCTCCAGACTTCATCTTTGGGCTACTGACGCCATCTGTGGGGCCCTGTGCTGCCTACAGCAGTGACTGGAGTTGTGAAAGTTGCATCCCGCACACACCCAGCCTGTGTGATTGTGGCTCTCTCGACCAGAAAGGAATGAAGCTTAATGTCACACCAGATGTCCTTTAAAGGGATTCATTTCAAAAGACTGCTCTTGTTTTTCTTCAAAAAGGATGACTTGTTCCTAACAGACTGTGCATAAGGCAGGGAGATCTCCCTGCGGAGAATTCAGTGAAGAAAATGTGTTGCTACCACAAAAATAAGGCAGGAAAAAACCAGGAGCCAGAAAAGAATACTTTGTCCGAGACAGTCTATGAAATTAATGAGAAAGAGAATGTAGCACTCTGCAACGCAGCCAGTACAAACTCAGTACATCCCAATTGAAAGCCTCATCCCTCAGGCAATATGGGAGGCATTTTCACTTCTTCAGGGCTTTCACCCTGGTTCATAGATAGGCTTCAGGGGCTCTGTATTAGTCTGTTCTGGCAATGGGTAATACTATAAAGAAATAGCTGAGACTTGGTAATTAATAAAGACAAGACGTTTAATTGGCTCATGGTTCTGCAGGCTGCACAGGAAGCATGGCTGGGGAGGCCTCAGGAAACTTACAATAATGGTGGAAGTCAAAGGGGAATCTGGGGCATCTTTACATGTCCTGAGCAGGAGGAAGAGAGAAGAGGGGGAAGGTGCTACACACTTTTAAGCAAACAGATCTCAAAATAACTCACTCACTATCATGAGAATAGCACCAAAGGTGGAAATCCACCCCCATGATCCAATCACCTCCCACCAGGCCCCACTTCCAACACTGGGGATTATAATTTGACATCAGATTTGGGCAGAGACACAGACCCACACCATATCGGCTCTGTAAACCCCCTGAAATTTTATGTAAAATGGCTTTCCATGTGCTTTATTATTCTTCATGGCAGATTTGTGGAGTTCACTAACTTGTCAAAGTTTCAACACACTAAAGGGTTAATAACCACTGACATTATTGCCTAAGAAGACAAAATCATATAGGCAAATAGTATGGATTTTGGAGTTATACAGGGTAAGGATGAGCCTCCCTGCCAGTGTTTAGTTGTGTGACCTTGAACTTACACACACAGACACACTTAGATTTTCTGCCTTAGATTCCCCATTTTAGAGAGGCAGATTAACTGTACCAGGAGAAGAGAAATGGCTTGTCAGAGGTTAGCTACCAGGAGATGAGGGAGCCAGAGCTCTAGCGAGGTGTGTTTCCCAAAGCCTAACAACTGCTTCTCTAGCTTCCACATTCCCCCCCTGAAAACTCCATGCTGCCTGGTTCATCAGCAACAACGAAGAATAGTTCTTTAAACAGAGCCTGTTTCTTGGGTTTGCAACCTGTGCAGTCCTGCAGGGCTCCATGCTCATAAGGGCCCATGCACTTGGGGTTTAATGCTCTACAGCAATTGTCTTGAAATTTTTAATAATTTTGTCTTTGAATTGGCTTTTTAAAGTAAAGCATGATGGGACAATGGAGCATGGGCTGGTGGGAGCTTGATGCATCAGCTCACACAGGGTCCTCCCTCCTGCCACTTCCTCACTTCCTCAACATATTCTCAGGCTTCCTCTTCAGTCCCTTTGTCCCTATCCCACATCATCCCTGATCCTTCTTTTCCCACCCCAGCCTGCTGTTGACCTCCAACAAAAGGTCTCAAGGCCCAGTTCTCTCCACCCCCCTCCACCTCCTTCAGGGGCCTTGGTACAGGCAAGGTGAAGGTCTGCATTGTGGGGTGGTGTCTGGTAGTAGAGTAAGTCAGCAACCATCTCTGCTCTGGGCTAGCAACACCACAGGGAGTTTAGAGGTAATTTGGAGATGGTCCCCCACCCATCCCCAATCCTGGTACCAGGCAAGTTCCTGAAAGGAGGTTGAAAACCTTTAGCGGTTGCCCTTCACTACTGATTAGGGCAGAAGACACAGGAGAAGAAGAGATTGACTACTATGCCCTGCTAGGGCTTCACATGTTTATTTTGCATTGGGCCCCAAAAATTACATAGCTGTCACTGTCCTTAAAGGAGTGTATATTTTTAACATGGAAGAATAAATGCTAATAAGCTGCTATTACCTGAACTAATGCTTTAAACTTCTTCCAGATAAATTCTCTAGCTGCTGGCATTACATTCTGGCCTCACATTCATACATCATTAACTATTTGGGGATGAAAGTGTAAACAAATAAAAAAATCAGTCATATCAACAAAGAGACTATATATAACACTACACTAAAGATATTCTATCATATTGATCCATATGGTATTTCTATTTTAAAAATTGAGGGAGAGAAATGGGCCAGTTGGAATAATTCTAATATTGTCCTTGTCCTTACTTTCTCTTCTATACTAAAGCTCTGTTCTGGTATTTAGCACTGACAGGAAAGTCTGTTGGAGATTAGTTTATTTTACAGACTAAACAGCCTAAAACTTTCTTTCTTCCCACTATTATTCCTTGAGGAAATAGGCTGCAAGCTGTATTTTCTGGTCTCAGCAAGAGTGCTCAATCCACGATATTTAAGAAATAGCACACATCTTTTCATATCTCAGAGGAAACTCAAAGATTCACCTGCTTTCTCTATTCTTTCTTCCTTTTCCCCACTGCTTAGCTGGATGGACTTGTTCAGGCAAAATTAGAAGTAGTAGGGGAAGTTGTTTTGATGACCCCATTCATCTAGTTCCCAAATCTGTCTTTTCTACCTCAACTTCTCATCCACACTACTACCTGGGTGACAATTTTAAAGACAAATATAATCCTCTCACTCCTGTAATTATAAACCTAGTGAGTCCCTAATGCTTAAAAGAATCTGTTACTGCTAACAGAACCCATCCTTCCCCTGCATTTGGGAGTCCTGGAGCAACTTGCTATAAAGCAAGCAGAGCATAGAAGATTGTATTCATTGCATTATCTCTCTCTCTCTCTCTCTTTCTCTCTCTCTCTCTCTCTCACACACACACACACACACACACACACACACACTGCATAGGAGTTAGGCAAGGTCACAGTTCAAATCTAACTCAAAGAGAAAAGCTTTCACAAAAACATCACAAACAATCTACCCAATTTTGTACTCCTCCAAAATCCATGGAACAAAAGGGTCAAAGGAGAGATTTCTAACTATCCTTTCAATATCAGGGAACTTTCAACTTTAAGCATATACTTTAGTGGAACCCAGTCCCTTAGTAGGAATACTAGAAATAACATAGGCCAGTTAGCTGGAGACAGGAGACAGGACACAGAGAAGCTTCTGGGTAAGGGTCTGGAAGTCAGGTATCCAGCCTGTAGTAGGACATAGAGAGTGTAAGATGCAGAGAGGACAATAAGGGTATCAGCAGCCATCATAGTCTGCTAGGGACACCCCAAGGGAAATCTCCTTGGTAGCTCCATCATAACAGCCATCACACTCCATTATACTCACATGCTTAATTGTCTTTCCTCCTTACTAGGCTCTGAATGCCTTCAGGGCAAGGACCCTCTTTACCTCTTTCTGCTCTAATGCCTGCCTGTGATAAGTATAAAGCCTCCACCCCCAACCGTAGTAGAGGGGCTTGAGAACATGCATCTTCAACTGAAATCTGGACCATTGCCTTTTTTAAAGGCTGGTCCCCAACCCAGAGAATCAAAAACATATTAACAGTGCCCTTTCCTTTTCAGTTTCTCAACTGCCTGTCCTAAAAGCGCAACAGTTTATCCCTGGTACCTAGAAAAAGGCATGGGCATGAGCATCATCCATATAGGTTAGCCGTACTCCCCTTCTCAGAAGGGAATCACCCAGCAGGTAGAAGAAACATTAACTTCTCTTAATTAGGACTACCCCTCTAAATTACCAAATTGTAGCACCCTCCAGTCAGGAGAGATGGAGGCTTGTGGTCTCTAAGTGGAACTCAGTAGCCTCAGCCAATTCGATAGCCCCACTGCCATGCATGATCTCTCACCTGGAGCCTTGTCAGTCCCTGATGAACGAGCTGACATATTTCATTGTCAGTCAGTCTCCAACTGCCTCACCCCACCTGAGACAGCTGACTCTGAAGACTAAGATGAATGGGGCTTCAGTGTGTAACTCCCACTTCCTTGTGATTTCTGCCACAAATACCCACATAGACCAACTGTCCAATTTTCCATGATCCACATCACAACAGGGGAACATTCTAGCTGCCATCTGTCACCTCCTTTCTGTCAGATTTCTCACAAGGTGAAGGGAACTGATTGTGTTTTTACATATAAATTACACTGATATCGGTAATAAAACACCTGACTGAGTGGCGTGACTTAATAAATGCAGCCTGTTCACGATAACCATGTTGCACAAGATAGAGTGGGAGTAATCTATCAGGAATCGTGGGCCCCGCCTGCCTGTCTGACTGCCTGCTCCCAACATGGAGCCGATCTCAGTGGCCCTTGCAGTAGTGACTTTTGTTTCTATCCCACACACCTGTTTCCTTGGGAGTATGAATGTCATGGGGGTGGCAAAGGCTAAGCCGTGATGTGCAGTGGGAAGCGCATCTACTATGGAGCCAGGTAGACTTGGGTAAAGATCCCCACTCTGATTCCCGATTGCAGGGTGCACTTAGGCAATTCACTGGCCCTTTCTAAGCCTCAGTTTCTTCAATGTGTAATATGAATTTTACAATAACTACTTTTGATGTTTCTTACGGGGTTAGAAATGAGGTATGCTAAGCATTGGGCTTGCTACTGATCATCCATAAGAAGCAGTCAGTAGAAGAACATGAGTAGTCATGTATACCGTCCCTCTTTCCATTTCCTCCAACAAAAGACTACAACTGTATTATTATTGTTGTTGCTGTTGTTTTTTAAATAATTTTAGTGGATTATTTGGGAGTGTAGCAGGTTTTACCAGAGTGAGTTAAGAAGGATTAAAATGGAGGGGTAATATCTACTTGTGGAATAAAATTCCCTTTACTTTAGCTCATTCAGATTACCTTTTCTACAAATAGAAATAAGGAAAATGGGAACTTTAACAGTAGAACGCAGTTCTCACATAGATAAGGATATTGCTAAAAGCCTGGAAGATCATTAAGATTTAACAGAACCTTAGCAACCAAGTTTTCCTGTCACTCTGTCAGCAGTCAGCTTCATTGGCTCTAGTACACTGCCATTAGTGACTCAACACTGTCCTTCTCCACTTCATCTGCTCTTGTTGTTATAATTGCCACTGTTATGATGTCCCCCTCCTAGATATCTCGAGCTTTCTGCCTATACTGAGCTTCTGCTTACTCAAGGCTCCTACAGCTTCGTGACTTCTACTGTTTAATGAAACCCATTTACGTCTCTCATGATGTCCTCTTTGTGTTCTCTGCCTCCACTGACAGTTGTTGACTCTACATTTCTTATTCAAATGCCCCAGTGGAGAAAGACTTTATAGTTCAGTTTATCAGTGTCAAAACTGATCAGAGTTAGGAATAGCTCTTACACCAGGCCACCACATAGGCTGCTGACCAGCCTCAAGTCAAATACCGACCCTTTTCCAATCAATTATGGCCAGGACCTCAGAATCAAAATTCTACATATGCTGTACATGGGAACCCCCTAGGGCTGCTTCCAACCACAGCAGCCTGCAGGCTTGGTGAGCAGTCAACACAACAGATTCCTCTTCAAAACATCTCTTTCCTTGGGCATTTTCATTCCAGAATGAAACAGAGAATTAATTACTGCTCCAGAGATGGTACTTATTATACAGGATTTCTTGTTTCAGAAATTTCAGAGTAATCAGAATAACAAAACACCATACCTAAACCATGTCCTTTGGAACAGAAAGATTTTCTATCACAGAAAACTTTGTATTTATTTCCAAATGCAACCAAGCTAATACAGAATTCATTTTGAGAGTTTGGATAGAATGTTAATAATATTCACAAGTTAACTGGGAAAATTTCAAGACACCCCCTGAAAGAATAGTTTGGTTATAAAAGCAGGGTGTGGCACCTCCCTTATTCTGATTTTTGATCCTGTATTTGGTAGCTTCTCCATTTAATAAGTACTTATGGGTCATAAACTAACAAAGAGCGACTGCTTGCTGGTTGTTTTAATACCCATGGATGATGAAAGACAGTCTCAAAATAGCTTTGGTGAGTACCAGGTGGTGATCCCTGTGAAAACTGGTAAAACAATTACATTTCATGTCTGAAATTCACACCTCTAATTGTGATGTTCCACTGTTTTGTTTCTTGGTAACATACCCTTAACCCATTCCCTTATAGCAGTAAAGACTAACAATTCAATAAAGCCAACTCTCCTTGCTTGTATGGATGAATTTCTCTTCTATTCTATCAAGAAAGAGGTGTTGGGGGGGAAAAAGTGTGGCTAAATCAGGAGTCTCTTTTTTAAATGTTTGGGAGCATAATGCCATACTTTATGGCAGTTTAAAGCAATTTGTATGACTTATTAAATGACAAAAAGCAAAGTAACATTGTTTCATGAATGATCATGAGGTCAGAGGACTCAAGGGTGGTATAGCAGCGCTAACAATCTCGCCTATGAAATGCTATTGTGGGCAGTTACCCAGATGTCATTCCCGCAAAGGAATCAGTCCAACAATTTCATGTCTCACATCAACTGGACCACCTATATCTGAGCAGCCCCAGTGTAGCACTTTTGTAATGTATAATGTGTTGAGTCAAAGGAGTTGTTTTTTTAAAAGCATCATTTAGTGAAGAGGCTTAGTAGGTACCACCATGATTCCTCAGGCCAAAAAAAAAAAAAAAAATTCTTTTGTTTAGAAGAACATGCTGAAATGATCTATTTAAGGGACTGTCTCTCCAGTTAAAAGGAGATGGCCCTTCATTTTTATTGCCTCAGCACTTAGCATAAACCAGATGGTCAGTGACAGCTTGTTGAATTAAACAGGGTGGGGTTCACCCAGCTTAGATATTTCTTATGAAGGATTGTTAATGATATTTTGAAAACAAACAGTGAGGGTTAGCTACGTATGGCTTACTGAGATGAAAGTGTACAACTTTTTATCATTAATATATACTCCGTGTGTGTTTATTTGAGTGTGTGTGTGTGTATGTGTAGCATGCTGACTGAGAACCACTGCAACTAAATGCTTAGGATTGGTAGGCTGCTCAAACTATGTTCGTGCATCTTTGCTCCCAATGGTTAGGATGTAAATTTGCCAAGCATCAGTGATGTTTGTTCCAAAATTTCTTTTTGCTTGTTATATGTGTTATTGTAATCATGTCATTTAATTAACTATGATTATAAACCCATTAAATATGGGTGCAAAAAGATGCTATACACACACACAAAAATAAAATACCTAGGAACACATCTAACCAAAGCAGTAAAAGATCTCTACAAGGACAACTACAAAACACTGCTGAAAGAAATTAGAGATGACACAGGTGGAAAAAACATTCCAGGCTCATGGATTAGAAAAATTATTATTATTAAAATGACCATACTGCCCAAAGCAACCTACAGATTCAACACTATTTCTATCAAAATACCAACATAATTTTGCACAGAATTACAAAAAAAAAATTTTAATTCATCTGTAACCAAAAAGAGCCTGAATAGCCAAAACAATCCTAAGCAAAAAGAACAAAGCCAAAGGTAGTGCATTACCTGACTTCAAACTATACTATAAGGCTATAGTAACCCAAACAGCATAGTACTGGTACAAAAACAGGTACATAAATCAGTGGAAGAGAACAGAGGACCCAGAAATAAAGCTGCACACCTATAACCATCTGATCTTCTACAAAGCAGACAAAAATAAATAATGTGGCAAGGACTCCCTGTGTGCTAAATGATACGGGAATAACTGGCTAGTCATATGCAGAAGAATGAACTAGACCCCTACCTTTTACCATATACAAAAATTAACTCAAATGAACACTTAACACTTAAATGTAAGACCTCAAGCTATAAAAAAATCCTAGAAGAAAACCTAGGGAATACCATTTTGGACATTGGCCTTGGCAGAGAATTTATGACTAAGTCCTCAAAAGCAATTGCAACAAAAGCAAAAATTGATGAGTGTGACCTAATTAAACTAAAGAGCTTCTGCACAACAAAAGAAACTATCAACAGAATAAATAGCCCACAGAATCTATTTGCAATATTGTGGAGAAAGTATATGCAAATCATGCATCTGACAAATGACTAATATCTAGAATCTATAAGGAACTTAACCCAACAAACAAAAAACAAATAACCTGATTAAAAAGTGGCCAGAGGACCTGAACATACACTTCACAAAATAAGACATACAAGCAGCCAACAAATATAGGAAAAAATGCTCGACATCACAAATCATCAGAAGAATGCAAATCTAAACCACAATGAAATACCATCTCACACTAATCAGAATGGTTATTGTTATAAAGTCAAAGAACGTCAGATGCTGGCAAGACTGCGAAGAAAAGGGAACACTTATATATTGTTGATGGCAGTGTAAATTAGTTCAGCCACTGTGGAAAGCAATTTGGAGATTTCTCAAAGAACTAAAATAGAACTATTATTTGACCCAGCAATCTCATTACCAGGTATATACCCAAAGGAATATAAAGCATTCTATCATAAAGACACATGCATTCATATGTTCACTGCAGCACTATTCACAATAGCAAATACATGGATTCAATCTAGGTGTCCATCAACAATTGACAAGATTTTTAAAAAATGTGGTACATATACACCATGGAATACTATGCAGCCATAAAAAGTGAATGGAATGAAATCACGTTCTTTGCAGCAACACTGATGCAGCTAAAGACCATCATCCTAAGAATATTAGCAAAGAAACAAAACCAAATACTGCATGTTCTCACTTATAAGCGGGAGCTAAACATTGGATACATGTGGACATAAATATGGGAACAATAGAGACTGAGGACTACTCATGGGGGGAGGACTGAAAAACTAATTATTGGGTACTATGCTCACCACCTGGGTAATGGGATCATTATGCCATATGCCCATGGTGCATCACGCCATATGCCCATGCAACACACCTGCAAATGTACCCCCAAATCTAAAATAAAAGTGGAAATTATTTAAAACATAAATGTGTTAGTGAGTTTAAAAAAGAAAAAATATTGTAGCATTTTTTATATTTTATTAATAAAAAATAAGAGAAAGGGAATTGGACATGGTGCAAGGATACAAAATGTAATCAGTCAAGGCAATTGTGCTGCTCCCATATAGAAAACTTTTGCAACTATTAAAAATTACTTCTAAAAAAAGAGCTGCTATACTAGTAAAAAGAAATGGAATGCCTTGGAAAAACTCAGTGAAGGTAAGCTACTTTTAAAAGGCTACTAAATTAGCAATGAGAAAAAAATGGTTTCAAAAGATTGAGAAGAAAAAAATGGTTTCAAAAGATTGAGAAGAAAAAAATAAAAATTGTAAAAGATTTTATGTTTAGTTTGCTTGTCATGTACCTAAGTTTTAGCTCCACTTTAAAGAAATGGAAACTAGAAATTGTAAACAATGTGATGTGGGTGGGGTTTATTCAAGTAGGATAACTGCAACCTCCTATCAGCAGACTCATAATCAAAGAAAAAAACATAACTTTGCATTAAAAAATATGCCCTTCTCTGTTATAAGTTAAAATAAAATGTTTAATGTATGTATTCATCATTTTAATGATATTTTGAAAAATTTTGTTAATTAACCAAACAACCAATATAAATAACATGGTCTCACATTGCATTGGTTATACAATGTATCCAGGTTTATCATAGTGATTAAAACATAGCACACCATTAGTAAAGGCTTGCAGAATGAAAGAAAGAATGTGGGGTGGGAGAAAAGAAGGCATAAATGACTGCGTATTAAATGAGTTGCTTTGAGGGGTTCAAGTGAAAATACTGTTCTTAGGCTGCCAAGGTTGTAGTTCAGGAAGTTGCAACACCTTAAAATTGCAACGCAAGGTATGAAGAATGGTATAATTTGCTCCCTACACCACCTCCCCATAAAAAGGTTTCAAGTCAAAACTTTGTTTTTCCTACCACCAGTAGGTTCGTTATCTAAACCAAACTTCTAAGAAATGTGAGAAGATTCACTTAGCCTACTGCTTCTGCTGCATTTAATATTTATGCTCTTCCTCCAAATTTTTGCAAATTAGTCCATTGACTATGCAGGGAGAGTTGGATTGTTACACATTTCCACAGCCAGCAGAAGAGAGAACAATCTAATAACTAGCAGGAGAAGGTTATTCAGACTTGACAACTTACAGTTCCAGGTGTGTCTAAGGTTAGGAAGTTTCTATTTTATGCATAATTTGTTGGGATGACTATCCTACAAGAGAACAGGAAACCAAGGAAAAATAACACTGATTAAGCCCTACCGTGCCCCAAGAACTGTGCTAGTCCTTTACCTATTTAATCCTCACGGCAATCCCATGAGGTAGGCATTGTTATCTTCATTTTACAGATGCGAAAACAGTCTCATAGAAGTTAAGCCATTTGCTGAGGATCACACAGCTAGTAAAAGGAAGGAAGTCCCTACACCTTACCCCGCCCCACCTTCCTCCCCCACCTAATCCCTTGTATATTTGTGCAAGTTGGAATTGGTTTGCATAATTAAGTGCTAAGCCCACAGGAATGTCCAGAGGTTTAGAGTTTCACCTAGTCATAACTGAGAGTAGAAACCTAAAGAAAGATAATATTAACTATACCCACTGTCTCTATTCTCATCATAATGCAAGCAGCATAACTGTCTGCCACTCCAAATTATGCGAGGCGCGGAGGAGCACTTGAGTATACTGGAGGGTCCTTGTACACATTTGGGTAATTAGGACTGGGATTCCTCTAACCACTCATTGACCAAAGCAATTCCTCTCACAGAAGCTTCTGCTCACTTTTATTTTTTTAAGGCTGCATGAAAATCATTTCCCAGGGTAAGAGTTCCACCTGGAGGATGATAAAGAATCTAGGCCACCCTCCACACAATTATAAAGGAGATAAACTATACATGGCTGAATGCAGAACAAATGCTCGGAAAAAATGCAGAAATATAAAGATATTAAAGCATATAACAACCATTTTTAATCAAAATGGTCATAAAAAATAACCATATTTAACCATTTTTAGCCATTTTTATCAAAATGGTTATAAAAATGATAACCATATTTAACCATTTTTAACCATTTAAACCATTTTTAACCATTGTTAAATGGTTATCATTTTTGAGTACTTACTACTGGCATCAGAAACTGCTAGGTACAAACTTTATAGAATTATATTTAATCCCCAATAACTCTTTGAAAGGGATGCTACTATTCCCATTTTGGCGATAAGGTAACTGAGGTTTCAAAGCCAATAATTTTTCTGAATTCATTCAGCTATTAAATATTGAAGGGGTGATTAAAACTCAGGTTTTTTTGTTTGTTTGGTTTTTGTTTTCTTAAGACAGAGTCTTGCTCTGTCACCCAGGCTGGAGTGCAGTAGCACGATGCTAGCTAACTGCAAACTCCACCTCCCAGGTTCAAGCAATTCTCCTGCCTCAGACTCCCAAGTAGCTGGGATTACAGGCACCCGCCACCACGCCCAGCTAATTTTGTATTTTTAGTAGAGACAGGGTTTCGCCATGTTGGCCAGGCTGGTCTCAAACTCCTGACCTCAAGTGATCTGCCCACCTCAGCCTCCCAAAGTGCCGGTATTACAGGCATGAGCCACAGCACATAGCCTAAAACTCAGGTTTCTATGAACACATTTTAGACTCTTAAATAGTGTTATATATTGCATCTCTAAGCAATGAGAATATTAAAAGACTGACTAATAGGCTCAGAAACCAAAACATTATCTTTTTCCTCTTGCCCCAATTCCAGAAAACTCCCCAGCTTGGATTCTTCCTTCACCCCTTTGTGCTACTATGCTCTACCTAGAAACTATCAAGTTCCTGTCACAAGAAATCTGACATAACCCCATTCACATTCACGTGTAAATAAAGCTTAATCAATAAGGCTTAAGCTTTATTTATTTATTCAAATTGATTATTTAAGCTTAACAAATAAGACCTAAGCAAAAATTCATTATGTCTTTACCATGTAATTAATTATTCACATCTAAATTGAGATAAACAAGGCTTAGTATATCAATCATTGATAGAAAACTCCCATCAGATCTGAACTGGTTCTGGGTTCTCCTTCCTTCTCTGTGCCCCACACCCCAGTACTCAACTTTCTTTTTCTTTCTTCTATGCTGTCACCACTTATTCCATCCTTCACGAGTCTTCTCCCCTAAACCCATCTTCAGAATAAAACACAATCTCCCTGGCAACCCCAGTTCTCACAAACTTTGAAAACAAACTCATGGATGGCTTGTGTTTTAAGGGTTTCCTTATGGAGTACGGTGGACAAGTAAACAGAAGGTAACAGGAGTAGAAAAGTAGTTTGTATTTTTCAAGATGGCCACAGTAATATCTCTCATCCACGTGCTCTTGTTCAAATGTGACCTTGGCACTGGCACTCTTTTCATTAAGTGATAGAGACTAGGTCTACTTATCTAAACATGAGTGGATTTTATGAATGTGTGCCAATAGGGAATGGTGGAAGGGATATTCTGTGACTTTGCATGAAAAGGAAATGCCATAACCTTTCTCCTTGCCTTCTTAGGACAAGAAGAAACCAGCCACCATGCCGCAAATAATCTCAAACTACCCATGGGGGAAGATCATATTGGAGAAGCCACAGACCAACTATGCTTTGGCTTTCTTCACACTCCTGTAGCACTTTATCTAAATACAGTAACAGTTAACAGCATATTATCTGTTCCTTTCTTGTCTCCCAATAGAACTGAGCTTATTGAGAATAATCCATTTTGGACCTCAGCTCATTGCCTGGTACAGAGTGGCACTTTTAAAAGATGTGTTTTGTCATTCAAATCAAATGTCATTATTTAAAATGTGCTTATTTATTCAAAACTAAATGAAATATTAATTTGTATTGATTGGATTAAGGAAGGCTACCTCGAAAAGGTAACATTTGAACTGAGTATAGAAGAACGGGTTGAACTGGAACATTCTAAGTGGGGATTCTGTTTCAGTAAATATTCAGGGATAGTAAAGTGATGGGAATTATAGGTCAGCAAAATACACGGAGAAGTAGAAGTATAGAGCACATAAGAAATAATGAGAGACGACTTTGGTAAGGTAGGGTATGATGACTCATGTAGAAATTTAAACAAGTCTTTGGAATTTTGACTTTATTTACTGGCATTTGGAAAATACTGAAAGGTTTTAAGAAGGAGAATGTTGATATATTTTCTGTAAGCCAGACTTCCTTTTAAATCCCTGGTTCATAACATATTTATTTTACATAAATGTTTGGACATTCTTCTTCCATACCTAATATTCAGTGATGTTAAGATTCCTGGTCAAAATCAGGTTCTCAGGTAGAGAAGTGCTAACTCCTTGACCTTCTTCTCTGGGTGGTGCATGGAGATAACTGGCAGCTTATGACAAGTTCCCCATGTCCCAGTGCAATGGAGCTCCAGATGCAGTCACCAGCCAGCCCTCGTGTAGCTCTCTCAGCAAAACTAATGTGATGAAAGAATCATTATCCAGAGAGAAGTAGGAGAATTATTAATTCCAGCAGCACCTCAAACAGTGCTTTACAAAGAATCCTTGCCAAACAGCCTGAAGCGGATGTTTCTTTGACAAGTGCACGTTTGGATCTGCTTCCTTTACTTGTGGCTCTAAAGGTAAACATTGTGTAACATTTAGCATAATTTCTAAACAATATAATAGGATAACTACTAAAAACATATCCCTCTACTAGGTCAACTCATGCATAATTCATCAAACATGTAGTGAAGACCTATGTGCCACCCATTTTATAAACACTATTTCATTTAATTATATCTTTATAATCAGGAGAAATGAGTCAATATACTAACTGTTTTATAGATGATGAAGCTTAAGAACATTTAGTAATTAGGCCAAAGCTAGTTTCAAACACTATCTGACTAATTTTTTTCTCCATTACCCAGTTCTCTATATAAATGATAGAAACTGGCTTGGTATTGGGAGTAAAAAATTGAGTAAGATGCCATCCCTGCTCTCAAGGGCCTTATAAAATATGTGGGAGATGATATATAAATCAAGAAGAACGAATTAAAGGCCAAATAGAAATACCTATAAAATAGAATAGAAACATAAAAAGGAAGCAATTACTTCTAGTCACAGGAATCTGGGAAGGCCTTACAAAGGAGAAAAACTGGAATAGGTTTTCATGAATGAACAAGATTTTGATTGATGGTAACAAGAGACACTAAGAACACCGTCACATGAATTACTAGCTGGGACTGGGAGTTAGAGAGACCTGAGTCCAACAAAAATCTAAGAATCAATTCTAGATATTGATGTTATTGGATAGATAGCTAAAGAGATATATTTACTATATATAAAATACAGAGTGAAATATTAAATTAAAACTAAGAAAAAGGTACCATTGGCATGGAGTAGCAAATTAAGAAAATCAAACTTAGCAAACCCAAAGCATCAATTTGTAATAACAAGTTTTAAAGAAAATGACATGACTAAGTTTCCTTTGTTCTGGGAATGCAAAAATCACTTAATGTAATTCACCAAGTAAAATATTCCAGGAGAAAAACCTAAGCCATCTAAATATATACAGGAAATTTTAATTAAATTCAATATTCCTTCTTCAGTATAACTCTCAGCAAATTAGGATTTTCCCTAAGGTAATAAAGAATGCTATCAAAAAAGATAAAAATAAAAAAATAAAAAGCCCACAGCAAACAAACTCAATGTTAAAGTAAATTAAAATGGAGAATGGGCCTGAAGAAGCCCTGAGCCAAAGTCAGTTAGGCCTCACAAATACCTGAACCTTGCTTAAATTGCAAATATAAGTGAAAGCCAACTTGGGCCATTGCTTATAAATGCCTTTGTTAAAGAAAAAACAAACTTAAGCTCATTCAGTCAGAAGCATCCAACAAACTTATAATTACTTAAGTAAGGACTTTCCAATGGGATAGACCAAATAAGGCAACTGTATAACTGTAGCTTAACCAATCAAATATTTGCTCTGCTTTACTTCTGTTTTTGTTCTATAAAAGCCTCCCCCTTGTATTCCTTAGAGGAGCTACCAAACCACTTCTGGTTTGGAGCTGCCAGATTCATGAATAACTATTTGATTAAATAAACTCTTTAAAATGGTATTGTCCCTCAGTTTATTTTCAACAATGGTAAAATGTTAAATGCATACCCATTTAATATTAAGGATATAACAAGGATGCCCATTATTTCTGCTTCTCTTTTGGATTGCACTTGAAGTACTATCCAGCATAATGAAACAAGAAAAAATAAATAGATAAAATGTGTTCAGAATTGCATTGAAATGAAAGAAACAAAAGTATCATGTTTTTGTAGTGGATATGATTACCCACTTAGAAAACCCAAAAGAATCTTCAGACAGATTAGCAGATTAAATATTCTACTAATTCTAGAAAAACGGAACTACGCCAAACTCTTTTAATTAAAATCAATACTGTAAACTCAATTTTCTCCAAAATTAAAAGCCAAATTTCAATCAAGTCTCAACAGATTTTTTATGTAATTTTGACAATGTAATTCTTAAAAGTACTTGGAAAAACAAAGGCATTTGTTCCAAAAGTACTTGGAAAAACAAAGAATTCTTATTCAAGAATACTATATGAAAACACATAACAGAGTTAATATTGCAGACCAGTGAGAAAGCGTGGGCACTAATTCCTTAAACAAGACATATGAACTACAGATCATATAGGCTATTATTAATAAATTTGATTACATTATAATTTAAAACTTTTTCATCAAAAAATTATATGAAGAGAATAGAAGAAAAACCATAATCTGGAAGAAAAATTTATAAAAATAAAAAACAAAAAAGAGACATTTATTCAAAATATAGTAGGTTGAACCATACAAAACTGTCATTCTTATAGGTCAACAGAATACCAAATATTGATAATTCATTTGGTCTAAACTGATCTAAATAATTTTATAGATCACTAAGAAAAAACTAAGCAGCTCCATAGAAAAATGAATAACAGGCATAAACTAACATTTCATAGAAGTGGAAAAACTGGCCAATCAAAATTGTACAAGCAATAACCATTAGAATCAGGAAAGTATAAATTAAAGTCAGAATAATACACAGTTTCATATCCATTAGATTGGCAGAAATTATAAATTCTGACAATACCCAGAAAGCCAGGGTGGTCCAGTAATTGCTGAAGATATGGAGCAAAGAAACCTTTTATTCAGGATTTTATTCCATCTTGGAATCAATTGCCATTAGCGCTCCTTACCCATCTTAATACTTGCTACATCAAGGCAATAGCAAGAAGAGAAGGCATTCCTGGGCATTACTCTGCAGAGCTGGACTCCTGCAACCTGTGCAATGTTCAGATTTGCTCATAGACCCTAGGAACAACAGAAGCAAATTTGTTGGGACACTAGTTTAAACAGGAAGCCTACATTTTAGGGCAGTGGTCCTCAAACTTTAGCATGAACCAGAACCACCTGCAGGACTTCACATATTACTCAGCCCCACCCTCAGAATTTCTGATACAAGAAGTCTGTGGTGAGGCCAAGAATTTGCATTTCTAACAAGTCCCCAGGTGATGATGATGTGACTGGTCTGGGAACCACCCTTTGAGAGCTATTGCTTTAGATAATAAACTTTTATCTATTGTAAGCTCAGAAGAAAGGAAGCAGTGATGTGATGGAAGGGAAGTTGGCATTTATTTAAGGTTCACTATATACCAGGTAGTATGCTTTTAAATATATTACTTCTGTTAATAATTACAACACTATAGCCAGGACACGGAATCAATCTAAGAATTCCTTAACAGAGGAATGAATAAAGAAAATGATAAATGATATGTATACACATGTATATATACGTACAATGTGTGTATATATATATATACACATACTATATATATAGTGTGTGTGTATATATATATATTTACTATATATATATATAGTGTGTGTGTGTGTATCTACATATATAAAAATAAACACAATGGAATACTATTTGGCCTTTAACAAGAAGGAAATCCTGTCATTTTTGAAAGCTTTCCTGAACCTGAAGGACATTATGTTGTTAAGTGAAATGAGCCAGGCACAGAAAGACAAATACGTGATTTCACTTATGTGTGGAATCTTTAAAAGTGGAGCTCACAGAAGTACAGAATAGAATGGTGGTTACCAAGGGCTGTTGGGGACCTGGGCAGGGTTGGAGAGATGATGGTCAAAGAATACAGAAGTTCAGTTAGATAGAAGGAATATGTTTAAGAGACCTGTAGTACAACATGATGACCAGAGTTAATAACAATGTATTGTATTTTCAAAATCAGTAAAACAGTAGATTCTAAGTGTTCTTGCTACAAAAAATAAGTGAGATAATGCATACGTTAATTAGCTCTATGGAGCCATGCCACAATGTATACATATTTCAAAACATCATGTTGTACATAATAAATACATAAATTTTATCAATTAAAAATAATAAAATATTAAAGAAAATAGTCACAGCAAATCCATGAAGTAGGTGTTATTATTCCCATTTCACAGATAAGAGAACTAAGGCTCTCAAAAGTAAAGAATTTTGCCCAGTATTCCCCAGGTAATATATGACAGAGGGGAGATTAAAATGCAGTTCAGTCTAATTACAATCTTGATACTCTTCAATGAGATAAAACATCTTCTGCTATTGGTTTCATTGATATAAGACCTGAGTGGACCATAGTTGCCTGGCAGTCAACACGCATATAAGTTGGATGTGTACAACAAATATAAGAAAGATAGAGGTGCCATACCAGGCCTAAAAAGCCTTCTTAATAGCCTAATGAAGAGTGAGAAAGAACACTGTAGATACTCTTATATTTTTTCAGTTTTATAGACAACTATTAACATACAAGTATGCTTACTTAAGCTATACACATATTGAGTACAATTCATTTCAGTATATGTTAACTTCTTTGCAAATTTTTATGCTGTTCCTATAATGTTGAAAATAAAGAATTGTAACAGAAGTTATTAAGAAGATATCCTCAGCAGAGTAGACTGAGCATCTTTACCCAGTCCCTCTCCGGTTGGACCACTGTCTCTTCAGAAAGTTAAAACAACAGGCTGGGTGTGGTGTCTCACGCCTGTAATCCCAGCACTTTGGGAGGCCGAGGCAGGTGAATCACCTGAGGTCAGGAGTTTGAGACCAGCCTGACCAACATGGTGAAACCCTGTCTCTACTAAAAATACAAAAATTAGCTGGGCATGGTGGCGCATGCCTGTAGTCCCAGCTACTCCGGAGGCTGAGGCAGGAGAATCGCTTGAACCCAGGAGGCAGAGGTTGCAGTGAGCTGAGATTGTCACCGCACTCCAGCCTGGGTGGGCAGAGCGAGACTCCATCTCAAAAAAAAAGAAAAATTAAAACAACACTTGCTTTTAATCTCTAATGTTTCTGTGACCATGGTACTATAGAATACAACAAGAAGTGGCTGCTTTGCCATATTCCTCAGACTCTTAAAGCTCAAGAAGAAAAACTTTCCTGGATTTTTGAAGTTATAACTGACCACCAAAGTTCTTTAAGGTGCCTACCATTTCTAAATAGGATTATCAGTATGCACTGTAGTGTGACTATCATTTCAGAACAGGCAAGGCATGAAACAATGTAAACATTTATTGCTATTTAAGCTTTATGTTAACATTGCTTACATCTCTGTAACTCTACAAAACCTCAAAGGACCACAAAAGCTCTGCTGAGTTTGGCCTGCTGGCTAGCATGAATAACTGTCTACCTCTATTACTCTTTAAAGTAGCAAAAAAAGGCCAGGCGCGGTGGCTCAAGCCTGTAATCCCAGCACTTTGGGAGGCCGAGGCGGGCGGATCACGAGGTCAGGAGATCGAGACCATCTTGGCTAACATGGTGAAACCCTGTCTCTACTAAAAATACAAAAAATTAGCCGGGCGAGGTGGCAGGCGCCTGTAGTCCCAGCTACTCGGGAGGCTGAGGCAGGAGAACGGCATGAACCCGGAAGGCAGAGCTTGCAGTGAGCCGAGATCACGCCACTGCACTCCAGCCTGGGCGACAGAGCGAGACTCCGTCTCAAAAAAAAAAAAAAAAAATACCACGCCTTCCTCTGTGGACAAAACCCAGACTTATAATGAAGCAGAAATCAACAAATTGCTACTCTGTGCAATTTGTCTAGACTGCCATAAGAGTTCAAGTATAGATGCTAATATAATTAGCCAATTACACTGCCACCCTTCTTTTTAGGTCATAATATATTGTCCATCATAAGCCACATCAGTTTATTACAGCTTTGTTGGGGGAAGAAGCGGAGAATCACATATTCACATTTTAGATTTAGCAATCATCTACATTTATCCATACTTCTTTCTTCAGTGGCCTAATCAAGTTTGGAGCATAAGGTGTAGACTTGGCATAACCTATGCTTAAGATAGTGGGCTTTTCATACCTTTCGGATTAACAGTATTGTTTTCTGGCATACGGAAGAATATTGGTGTTTCATCTACATAGCCTCACAGCTTTATTCTTTCTCTTTACAAAAGGAAGTATCCTGAAAGTTAGCCAACTTCTCTTGAAAGTCAGCCAACAGCTTTTGAGAAAGAGCTATTTGGTACCTAAATGACAACTTTTTTTTTTCTTTTTCTTTTTTTAGACAGAGCCTCGCTCTGTCGCCAGGCTGGAGTGCAGTGGCGTGATCTCGGCTCACTGTAACCTTGGCCTCCCAGGTTCAAGCAATTATCCTGCCTCAGCCTCCCGAGTAGCTGGGACTACAGGCATGTGCCACCACGCCCAGCTAATTTTTGTATTTTTAGTAGAGACAGGGTTTCACCATGTTGGCCAGGATGGTCTTGATCTCTTGACCCCATGATCCACCCGCCTCAGCCTCCCAAAGTGCTGGGATTATAGGCGTGAGCCACCACACCTGGCCCCTTAAATGACAACTCATTAAACCCATAAATTGGTCACTGCTAATTCCCACTTTATGATTTCTATTATCTATTTTAGCAGTTTCTATTTCCTTTCATTGCATTGCCTGGTATGTGTCAATCATTCTTCTGGAAACATGATTTTTTTCATTTCAATTAAATAAATTATTATTTTATTTGAGTGCCTAATTATTTATTTAGATGCCTTCAAAATACTGGATGGCAATGCAATATTCTAAAGGCATCTAAATAAATAATTAGGATCCTAATTTAAATAATTAGGAATTCAAAAGTAAGCTAAAATTCAACCACCCAGTAGTGATATTGATACAAATAATTCAACAGAGTTAACAATTAAGTGATTAAATAACCACTATATGGACAAGTTTATACATCTTCAGGCAATATAACAGTCCAGTAACTAACTATCCTGCTTGGCAGCTGACATAATTGTTTATCTTAATTTTGAGATGCATCTCAACCACAGAGACATTAATGAGTAGGAAGAAGCATCTTGGTGTCAAGAGAATACTATAATAATAACGGCTGCCATTTATTGATCACTACATGAAAGACAATTTATAACCTTATAATAGAAGTATTATACCTTTATTGAAGATGATAAAACTGAGGTCCAGAAAGGTTAGGGAATTTTTCTGAGTTCAACAAAGAAAGAACAGGGCTTTAAAACACGGTGTGAACAAAATATCTATGATTCTTTTTTCACTACATCTGTGTTTCACTAATCTGAGAGCCTGCACGTGAGGATTACTTAAGAATATGGGTGTTTTCCAGATGGGAAGGCCTGGTCATCCTTCCTACTCAGTTAGCCAACAGCAAATCAGGGTTTAGGATCCACTAGATTGAATTATACTGATAGTCGTCTGTTTATACTTTCTCACACATTTGCTATAATCCAGAAGTCTCATTGCACTAACTTTGAAAGGTTGGTTATTTAAAACATAGGATAACAAAGAAAAATCACAATCTTGAGTATGGTATGGATGTACATGAATTTACAATAACTTTGGCCCATGCAATGAGTCCTTCAAATTACCTTTCAGATTTTGAATATAATATTCAAATTACCTTTCAGAATTGAATGCTTAATCATAGGTAAACACCATATCCCTTGAGTGCTGTTTTCAAAATATATGACCAAATAAAAATAAAATGAAATAACATATAAAAAGGAAGCCTAAGTTATTTGTTCCAGGTCATGTACCAGGAAGTGGAGGATCCAAAAACAGATCTGTCTAACAAGGCAGCCAAGAGCTTTCAAGGAGAACAGGCTGCCTTGTTATATCTGCTTAAGTCAATCATACTGATGAACATAGAGATAAAATTGTAGCAATTGTAGAACATAAAATTGTAGCAATGACATTTAGAATACATTAGGATGAAGTACAGTCTATATGAGAAATGCAAGGATGGTTGAAAATCAGGAAATTCATTAAAGTAATTCACTGTAATACAAGATTAAAAGAAATACGCCAGTAGAGAGATGTCAAAGACTTGATGAAATGTAACAATATTCACAGCAACAAGCTAAATACTCAATGGTAGGAAAAAGGTTGTAAATTATAATCTATCCACTTAACAAGTATAGGATATCATGAAAAATTAGCTTTATGTAAACTATATATAGAAAACCCTTATTATATATATAATTGTACATAAAATTACAATTATACAAGAGGTCCAGCATAGAAGAGATTGAAAAATGCAAACAAAAATGATAAAAGTGATATAATGTGCAAGCATTGTGGGTATTTTTTCTTCTTTTCAAGATTTTGTTTCCAATATTTCTTTTTTTCTTTTTCTTTTGAGATGGAGTCTTGCTCTGTCACCCAGGCTGGAGTGCAGTGGTGCTCTTGGCTCACTGCAACCTCCGCCTCCCAGGTTCAAGCAATTCTCCTGTCTCAGCCTCCCGAGTGGCTGGGATTACAGGCATGCACCATCACGCCCCGCTAACTTATTTTTTATTTTTATTTTTTTAGTAGGGATGGGGTTTTACCATGTTGGCCAGGCTGGTCTTGAACTCCTGACCTAAAGTGATCCACCTGCCTTGGCCTCCCAAAGTGCTGGGATTACAGGCATGAGCCACCACTCCTGGCCCAGTATTTCAAAATGAAAAATATAGTCTAATATAAACAAAAGTTTTTTCATCATAACATAAATAATGTGTTGAAGCTACTTTCATCTTTTTTTCTAACTACTTGTTTTTATTTTCTTCTTCATCATCAGGGCAATTTGGCATATCAAAGATCCATGTTTCCCAAGAATTGTAAATATTTCATTTCTCACATTGCCTGTTTCATACCTCATCAAGGGATGGCATGAGGTGTACCAATTGTTTACACGTACTCAGTTTTTAATAGTGGTCACATAGAGAACAGCATTTTATCTACCATCATACTAAATCTATTCGAGAAATAAAATTACATTCTGAATGTAAGATTTGTCAACTTTCTCTTGGATGGGAAAAGATTTTAATTAGAAGAAATTAAATTGATTTCCTTTTCTCATTTTAAAGCTCAAACCTTCCAAGACCTCATGACCTGTAGAATACAAGCTAACATATTATATGTTTCTACATGCATCACTCAGCCTGCCTTTTCTCTTGCAAAAACTACAGAAATTTTTTTTCAATTTTTTTTCTAATTTAAACTTGAAACAAAGGATATCACCCATGGATTATACATTTATGCCCTCACACTAAGGAATCCCAGTTACTTATTCCATCTGGCTGGCAGGGACTCCAAGGGCCATTTGCAGTCATCACGTCCCAGCCTTCATTATTTTACTTTATTCCAGCTTTCTACTGTCCAGCTCCATCTAGTTTCTCTCCTTTCTCTCTAATTTTTATCCATAATCCTAATTGACACCAAAAACCAACTTTCAGAGGTAGCATCATATCTTGGAAAGTATGAGAATTCTCTAGCCACACAGACAGAAGTTTGGCTGCTTACTAGCTGTGTGAGCTGGGCAAGTTGTGTAATCTCTCACAATACCATCAAGGATACCAATGTCTGCTCACACAACTGTTGTAAGAATTATAGAAATTGGTCTGCATGAGCCTGGCACATAATGAGACTCAAATTATATACACTGAATAGTAAAATATTATTTAAACAAATAACTGCACAACAGACAAAGAACTCAAATGGAAAGGGAACCAGATAGAAGGGGACGATGGAAAAAAATATTCGCCTATTTGTCTAGATTTTTATTCTAAATCCTTCCTGCCACTAAGTAGCTGTGTGACTTTGGAGAAAAACATTTTTCTCTATGGGCACCAGTCTGGTTGTAAATTGAGGAATCAGATTACATGATGTCTTTGGCTCCTTCCTGCCTTAATTTGCTCTATTCTTTTGTTTTCTTTTTTTAATCATACCAAGTACACAGCTTTCAAATCTTGCTCAATTCTTTGAGAGAAATCCTTGGCTTTTATCTTTTCACCTGATATTTCTCAACAGCTGTCACTTCCTACACAGAGCTACAGAAAGGGCTTGTCATAGCCTCGAGCAAGCATGGGTGTTTGGCAGCCAAAGTGCAGAGCTGAGGGAACAGGGCAGATTCTCCAACCTTCCCCCCTTGAATGGGGCAGCAACACAAGGTGTTTGATCAGACACGGCTTTCTACAGTCTTTCTGTCTGGGCTCTCCCTCTGTGTTCAGCCAGTCACTCACATTCTCATTACAATTTCCCCATGAGCCAGCTGCAAATTGGAGCCAAAGGGTCTGAGTGCTTTGTGCATGTGGGAGCCTTAGCTGCCTGGCTATCCCCAGCTGTCCTGCCACATTTCATCTAAACCAATAAATGTGCCTCGTCAATGCTCACTTGGGAAGCAGAAGCCAGCAGTAAATCTGGAAAAGAGAAAAGAGAGACCTCTGCTCACTGAAGCAAAGGCCATTTCCACAAATGGTCCAAAAGGCTGTTCCAAAAGGAGAGTCCCTGGCAAAGAGAGCCCATAGGCACAACCCCAGGAGGAGGGCAGCCACTGCTGCACTGTGGACATTTCCTGAGTTTGCACACTGTGACTGTGAGGATGCAGACAGGAATGAGACATGCTGGAGGAACTTGCAGACCCTGGAGGGGATTCCTTATGTTTGCACAGCTGCAACCATCACCAAAGCACTTGGGTACTCCCTTTGATCCTGAAAGTAGTCACATGCAGTAGTTGGGCAAGCAACATTATCCTCATTGCACAGCTGAGAAAACTGAGTCTGGAAAAGTTACACAATAAAGAGTAGAGGAAGTAGGAGTTATACAATAAAGAGTAAATGAGCTAAAGGAGGAAGCCCTTCATTGTCTTCTCCATCTTGAAATCTGGCCTATCTATGAAATTCCAGGGTGCAGTGTAATATCACTCGGTTTTTCCTGTTCAGAATTCTTTATTCATCTCTTGATAACAGCACCCAATTTCTCTTTGACAAAAATCGCTCTCCCACTACATACAATCTTAATGAGAGGGGACCATTAGTCGGGGAGGCACTTTCACTGCCACAACATTGGGCTTCTGACCAAAGTCATCCTTAAAACCATCAGGAGAGACTACCTGAAAATGAAGCAAATACCAAAAAAAAAAAAAAATTAGATAAAGAAATGAGGGATGGAACAATGGAAGGATAAAAGAACAGTAGGATGGAGGGAAAAGAGAAAAAAGAAAGAGGAGGGAGGGAGAAAGAGACAGACAAAGAGAAAGAGAGGGATAGAGAAAATTCTTCAAACCACCAATCTAGCTAAGGCTAAAGGAAAACACTAACCACCTTATATTTCTTAGTTACATAAAACATTGCATTATCTTGGTTTTTAACAAATTTAGTTTCAGTTCCTGTCACTTTCAACCAAAAGAGTTCTTATAAATACCATACTATGTAATTTTCAGACATACATAGATATATCATCTACATAGTAATAAATTCCAATAAATGTTTTTTAGAAAACTGCTTTTTTTTTCTTTTTTTTTTAAGTTCCATGATATATGTGCAGAATGTGCAGGTTTATTACATAGGTATACATGTGCCATGGTGGTTTGCTGCACCTATCAACCCATCATCTAGGATTTAAGCCCCATATGCATTAGGTATTTGTCCTAGTGCTCTCCCTCCCCTTGCCCCCAACCCCCTGTGTTGTTCCCCTCCCTGTGTCCACATGTTCTCATTGAAGAACCGCTTCTTTGAACCGCATGGTGAATAGTGATTCTGAGAAACTACTGACCAAATGCAATTGTAAAAGTGCTAGACATGAACTCCAAAAACAGGATCCCAATTTCAACTCCCTAAACAGAGAACTTCGTTGCAAGAGCCAGCACAATCACATACAATTTCTGCCACACTGAACAAATCTTTTAATTTCTATGAGAGTCAATCTCCTTGTCTGCAAAATAAGAACATCTGTTTGCCTCTCTTACACACTAGTTGTGAGAATTATTAGGGAAAAATGTGAAGTGCTACATGAACTAAAATATTCTGTACAGATATAAGGGACTTATTACTGAATGATATGGTTTTCTATGTCCCCACCCAAATCTCATCTTGAACTGTAGGTCCCATAATCCCCAAGTGTCATGGGAGGGACCTGGTGGGAGGTAATTGAATCATAGGGACAGTTGCCCTGTGTATTAGTCCATTTTCACACTGCTGATAAAGACATACCCAAGACTGGGCAAATTTACAAAAGAAAGAGGTTTATTGGACTTACAGCTCCATGTGGCTGGGGAGGCCTCACAATCATGGTGGACGGTGAAAAGCATGTCTCACATGGTGGCAGACAAGAGAAGAGAGTTTGTGCAGGGAATCTCCCCTTTTTAAAACTGTCAGATCCCATGTGACTTATTCACCATCATGAGAA
This sequence comes from Homo sapiens, assembly GCF_000001405.40. NCBI lineage: Eukaryota > Metazoa > Chordata > Mammalia > Primates > Hominidae > Homo > Homo sapiens. The sequence continues at coordinate 82,549,077 of NC_000011.10, forward strand.
CAGCATAGGAAAGACCCGCCCCCATGATTCGGTCTCCTCCCACCAGGTCCCTCCCACAACATGTGGAAATTCAAGATGAGATTTGAGTGTGGACAAAGCCAAGCCATGTTACCCTTTTGCTGTTTCTTGCTGTTCTCATGATAGTGAGTGAGTTCTCACGAGATCTGATGGTTTTATAAGGGGCTTTTCCCTCTTTTGCTCAGAACTTCTCCTTGCTGCCACCATGTGAAGAAGGACGTGTTTGCTTCCTCTTATGCCATGATTGTAAGTTTTCTGAGGCCTCCCCAGCCATGCTGAACTGTAAATCAATTAAAGCTCCTTCATTTATAAATTACCCAGTCTCAGGTGTGTCTTTATTAGCAGCATGAGAATGTACTGATACAGCAAATTGCAAATTGGTACCAGGGGTGGGGTCCAGAACAGAAGTGCAAGACTATGGACCCTGCTGAGCTACTAACACTTTGCTAAAGTGTGTGTGTGTGGAGGCATACACACACATATATATGTGTATTCTGCGGTTGTAAATACAGAATGAAATCATATTTCAACGACTGGTCACTCTTTAGCTTTGATGGGATAAGTATTTTGAGGTGTTTGTTGGTTTGCAGTGTGCTTCCTAGATGATTTCTCCCACCAAATATCATAGCAGTAAAACTATAATGAACTTTGACAGACTGAGTTGAAGCTGTCTGGACTGTTCAATACAAAATTCAGTTCTATATGTACTGTTTCATCCTCGAATGCAAATGCTCCTGACAACATGTCCTAGTGGCTTTTAAAGGTTCTGTAAAATGCATGAGGTCTGTTAGACTCTGCCTCTTTGAAATTCAGATTACTGAGATCAGCAATCCAGGAGTCATCCTCTCTTCCTCAACTTCACATCCTATCTATCCATCAGCCTTCCCAGACCCCCTTCATCCCTTCTGACCCATTGATGTTGCCATTTCAGTCCCTCATCACCTCACAGCCCAAACACCAGAATGATTTGTTTATTTGTTTCTAAAACAAACACCTGACTGTGATACTCCCCATCTAAAAACCCTTTAATAACTCCCTATGACCTACCAAATCACATATTAATTCCTTCAGTAAATAAACAACCATTCATGAGTTTACCCCCACTGTTATCCCTTCATCCTTTCCTCTTGCTTCCACACCATGTGCACCTTATTTTCTAGCCACACCAAAATATTACTGAAAACTTCTCAAACTGCCAAGCTCTCTCACATTTTTCCGCCCTTGTATTTGCTGTTTCTTTTGCCTAGAATCCTTACACCCTTCTCAAGCATACCTTCTTTGCCTGGAAAAATTCAAATCATCCAAAGAGGATGAACTTGAGTGTCAGCTCCTTTGTGAAGCTTTTCCTGAACACAATTTCTCTACTCCAGCCTTTTGGAGCTCAACTCCCTGCATTATAATCACCATAGCTAACACTTATGAAAGGCTTACAATGCTCCAGCTACAATACTAAGCACTTTACATAAACTAACTCATTCGATCTTTCCAACAACACTAGGAAGTATCTATTATTTTTATTTTCATTTTACAAATGGAGAAAATAAAGCTTGAACATTGTTTAATTACTCCAAAATCACAAAGGTAATTAGTGATAAAACCAGGACTGGAATTCAAGCAGTCAGACTCCAGAACTCTTGTGCATAATGCCCAACATATCACATTGCACTGTCTTTATATTTCTATGCTAGTGTTTATCACATTATGCTAAATTATTTTTTGTTTTTTTTCCCCACAAGGAGATATTTTTAGGAGAAGATTCCCTAGCATTTCAGGAGAAATTGCTAGCATGTCTGTTTAACTTGGAAAGAGCCTTGAGCTGACTATGAATCCTAAAGGTCAAGATGTATCTTCATTTAATCAATCACTCAGGTGTTGAGGGCAAAACCTGAAAGTGACAAATACAATACCAAATGGTAAGGGTGGTGTGATGATTGGGGTAAGAAGAGGATGCTGTGAGGACACAAAACAGCAGGATCTTAGAAGAAAGGGAAATAAGTTTGATGGAAAAATGACATGAGCAAAGGCTTGGTGACTGGGAAATTATAGAAATTTTCAGGAGTTCTTTCCTGAATTTGCCCTGTAGTTTGGCCTGTAGCCTTCCATTCCCAGGGATAGGAACCACACTCTCTGTGGGAAGAGAAGAAAGCTCTCTGAAATGCATAAGCATGGAAGGAAGTTTGCTGTTAGAGCTCCTCCTCAAGCTAGACTGTGCTTCCAGTGTGTTTATTTCCCCCAAATAGATCTAAGTCCAATGAGACCAGTGACCACGTTTGCTGATGCTTCACTCTATGCTCAGCATCTTGAACTGTATCTAGAACTGTAGCTGGCATATAGTAGATACTCATAAGTAATCATGGGAAGAAGGCATGAATCTTCAAATTGAGCTTTGATATGAGATACTTCATCTACTAGCTCCTGACAACTTCCAAACGACAGAGATCTTTTGCCATCACTTTGCTAAGAGACCTTTTGCCATCACGTTGCTATCTTTTTAAAAAAAACTGACTTCACCCTCCATCCTCATAGTAACCTGACTATTTTGTCTGGTTTAACCAGATGTGCCTACAGGCAGTTATCAGGAGCTCAGTATCTCTTTTCTCTCAGGCTTTAATGTGATTCACATCGATAAAAGTCTTGTCTTTAGTTCTATTTATTTCAACAATGAAGGAAGAAGCTACCCTTGCACTCAAGAAACTCACATTCAATTTACAGAGACAGACACACACCTAGAAAACCCTTACAGAGGGCAGTGTAGGTTATATGGCCTGATAGAGGTAAAAAAAAAATCATGATCTTCATAGGAATGTGAGTGCAAGTATTAATAGTAACTTAAGAGAAAGTGGGAACATAAAAGGAAAATGGCACGGAGTTGGATGTAGGGTGGTAGACAGAGGAGACAGTATTATAAGCACAGTTACAGATTAAAACAAGCCACTTTGATGAAGGAATATCTGGAGTCTTCAAGGGCAAGGAGTAGTGGTCTATGGCTAGAGCTCTGAGTACACAGGAAGGAGGGAGGTCAAGAGATAGGTGGATTACAGAGTGGCATACTTTCTGCACCAAAAGTCAAGATGCATGGGAACTAATAAAGCCTAATAGACAAAAGCATGAACGTGGCCATCAGAAAACCTGGGTTACCGTTCTAGCTCTATCATGTCCTACTCTTGTTACCCTGAAAAAGTAAATCAACCTAATTAAACTAAGTTATATCCAAAATAAAAATGATAATAATATCTGGCTCACAGGACCATTTGGAAGGGCTGAATGAGATAATAAATATAAGGCTTCTGGAACATGTAAAGGGTTTTTTAAAGGGTTGGATATTTTTTAATGTTATTATTGTCTAGAAAAATTATTTCTCCAGGTTTTAAATTTGCTTAATACCTTTGGAAGAGTATAGAAATTAAATTCTTTCTGTAGCTTGTTTAATAAACCATCTTTATGGAAAGTGTAAGTTGAAATTAAATCCAAATTCATGTAGAAAATACTATATTTAGTGTGCAAGAAAGGAGTGTCAAATGCATTGAAAGGTAAGAATAGTGAAAAGCTGACAGCAACCAAAATTTACTGAGCACTTATGATGGCTTGAATTGTATGCCAAGCACAAGTACTTTCTAGTTCTTAGTTGTTCCATGTCCTCAAGTCAAGAATCAAGCTGAATAAACTCAGATCATATTTTTTTTCATAATGTGAAGAATATATCTTCCCACTTATAAAACCCAGGGTAAAAGGAAGCCAGAACCTCAAAGGAGTTTCCTCCGGCATAAAACCAAAATGAAAAGCTTTCTCCTTCTAGTATAGAAGAATGTGGGGAATGTCTATTTAAAATGAATTTTTACTTAAAAAGAAGAGAAGAAAGTAGATACATCAAAAAGTCAAACTCTCAGGGGCAGGAGATATGAGTTGTACTCTACTCTCCATTTGGAACTAGAGACCAGCAAAGTAGTCCCTTAGCAACATGGAGTAAAAATAATCACAGAGTCATTTTAGGAGAGTCTGAATTAGCATTTCACATGCTCCTCAACACCAGTGTTGCAAGGAATCCAGAAGTCCCCCTTGGACTATGGAGTTTGCTGTATCTGGAGTAAAGTGACCTTATAAATAAAGGCTACACGAAGGGCTGTTTCAACAAAGAGCTAACAAGGACCACTCTCAGCACGAGTGAAATAGGGTAGGGTTAGCAATGGGGTAAAAGAATCCCACAAGACCCTGTTGGAGGCCAGAGAATAAACCATGGGTTCACTAATCATGAACTTCAGCCGCTAAGCCAATGTCAATGACCAGGCGAAAAAAGACATTGCCATGGAGACTCAAAGAGCCAGAGGGAGGTAAAAGGGCCTGCATGTGGGGAGCCAGGCCCCCTCCTCCCTGCTGCCATAGGCAGCATCAGCCATCAGCCGTAATGTCATACACTTAGAGATGAGCAAGGAAGAAGTAGGATTTAAAAGAAAAGCATTACCCAAAGGGATTGAAACACCCAAAAAGCTATTATCTAAACTGGAAATGACTGAGATATCAGTAATTGGAAACTTTGGGTCCCCCACCCTCAACCTTCTTTCTAGCTTCCAAATGACGTGGAACTTTTGAGCATGATTAAATCTGCTATAAAAAATAAAATTGGCCAGGCGCGGTGGCTCACACCTGTAATCCCAGCACTTTGGGAGGCCGAGGCGGGCAGATCACCTGAGGCCAGGAGTTCGAGACCAGCCTGACGAACATGGAGAAACCGCGTCTCTACTAAAAGTACAAAATTAGCCAGTTGTGGTGGCAGGCGCCTGCAATCCCAGCTATTCAGGAGGCTGAGGCAGGAGAATCTCTTGAACCACTCCAGCCTGGGCAACAAGATGGAGCAGAACTCCATCTCAAAAAAATAAAGATAAAAATAAAATAATAAAATCATATGTTCTTTGAGTAATAGTGAGAATACAATCTTGACCCAAGAATATATGTAATGTAACATCTGTTCTTTACAACAGATCTGTGAGCTTGACACTATTACTATCTCTATTTTACAGGTGAGGAAATTGAAGCATAATGAGGTTAAATAAGTTTCCCAAGTCAACAGCTAGGATTCCAACCCATACCTGATTGAGGCCAAAGCCACTCTTGTAACCACTACACCTAACCAAAGTTTAAAGTCAAATCATGGAAGATATTAAATGTCAGCATGTAAACTTCAAGCTTCACTTTATAGAAATTGGAATAAATAAAAAGTTTTCAACAGGGAGAAAGATTATTATTATACTTGAAGTTTAGAAGAATCACTGTCATGATGATGTGTGGAACAGACCAAACAGATCAGGACTGATACACTGAGTTCATGTAAAAGATTTACAAAAAAAAAAAAAAAAAATAGAGTGAAGATTCAAACTCAGGTATATTTCATATAAATGTCATCGAATTTTCCTCTGGGCAAACTGTCTCCCCCACATGACCTCCAAATTTGAAGACAGAAGGAATGCAAGTATGGTTGTACCATCTACTGAGTGATGAGAGTTTTGTCAGTATAGAAAAAAATATCAAAATTGGTTTTGGATACATGCCTTCCTTAAATATTAATCTTCTTGAAAATAAATGGGACTCCATAAAATTTCAAGAAAACATTTCCAAAACTCTTGATATGGAAAAAGAGCATCATCATTATTATGCTACATGTCTTAATTAATATTTTCTCAGAATGACTCAGTGTTGATATTGCCTCATTTACTTTTAAACTTTAACACATGAAAGTCCTATTTAAAACAACCCATAAATTAAACTGAAAGTTTTCGAAAAATTCTTATAATCACTTTGGAAAGGTAGATAAATATTTTTAACAGATATGTGACCTGATTTCAGATATGTCCTGGGAAATTAGCATTTGTAGTTAAAGTCGAGGCATATACAACTGGAATTATAAATAGAAAAGCAAAGGATGGTGATGAAATAATCATTTGGTTCAATTCAAACCAATTAAATAAACTGTTATTGAACGTCTGCTTCATGCAGGGCACTTTGCTAGGTAATGGGATTACAAGAAGGCTTGAGAGAAAGTTTCTGTCCCCAAGGACTCAGAATCTGTGTTGCTGCAGAAAGAGCATGGCTTTTATAGCCACACTAACCTGGCTTTGAATCCTGACTCTGTCTTGTAGTAGTGCATGTCCTAGGGCAAATCACTCAAACTCCAAGCCCCCATTTCTTCCCTGTAAAGCAGTGAAAGTAATATACTACACCTAACTTGCAAGGTCACTATGAGAATTAGTAATGAAGTAGGTAAATCCTAAAAACTGTGAACTATCAGCCTCATTAGGGAACACTAGTTTACAAACAGTTATAACAAATGACACTCTAGTGTAAAAGTTATATTATTGAGACAGAGTCATGCTGCTTTTGTTCTAAGAGGTGGTCTGGGGTTCTAGGTTTTTTGTTTGTTTGTGTTTTACAGAGATGTATTTCTACAAGAAGAAAGAGGGCAGACATTGAAAACAGTTTTCTTCAGTCATCTAATAAATGTTGTTAGATAGCAGACAGTCCAACTAGGAAAGGCAACTAGCCATTTATCAAATCAACCACATTCAATCACATTCTCATGTTATATTATTTAATCCTAACCACATCCCTGTGATGATGTATTGTCTTGTTTTGTTTATTTTAAAGATAAGGAAACAGAATTTTGGGAGAGATTAAATTATCTCCAAGATCACACAACCAGCAAGTAGCAGGACTAGAATCCAAACCACTATGTACCCTGTGCCTTGCATCCCATGTGCTACCTCTCAGCCTATCTGGAGACATCTATACAAAGAATCTTGTGAAGGCGTTCCATGAACTTGAATCAGTGAAGTTGAAGGACCAGGTTGGATGTATCTGGAGTACGGAGAATCTGTCTCACTGGAGAGATTGGGAATTTAGCAGGATTTGGAGATCCTTGGGATAAGGAAGGCAGAAAGTTGCAAGGAACTGAGGTGGTTATGAATGGAACCCACCCACCTACAAGCTCGTTTTGGAATGCTGGAGGATTGATGCCTCTGCAAATCATCTTTCAAAGGCAGGAAAGAGAGGAAGTTTTTTAGTATACAAGTCTAGTTTCTTCAAGAGTTTCCAGATGGCCTTCTGAGCATTCCCACTATCCTGATCTGCCTCTGAAGCTATATCCTTCTTGAAATTGTAGTTCCTAGAGATCAATGCAATGATCCAAGTTGTTTTCATATTTACATGAATCAAAAGCACTATCACCTCCTTCACTTTGAACACTATTAAAATTAATGCAACCTAAGATGACACTGGTGTTCTGTTTTGTCTTGTTTTTATCAGTCATGCACCATTTAGTGACCCATGTGGCCTGCACAGGTTTTATTTAAGAGACACATGTTTTTAATTGACAAAACAATGCAATCCTGGTGTTTTCCAAAGCCTTTAAGAGATGCCCATAAAGAAGACTTTATATTTCAGACTGTGACCAGGTTAAGGAGGTTTTAGAATCACAGCATTGTTTCCTAAACAGGAATGACAGCTAAAATGTTTTCTTTTAAATGATTCAAGAGGTATTGAGCCACTGTCTGAAGAACAAATCCATCCTCAGTGTGGCAGCTTTTTTCTCCCTCATTTGTTTTCATTCTGTCTGCATCACAAATTGTACACAACTTTTAGGGGCAAGTTTCTCTAGGAAAGAAAACTGATTAAAATGGAAAGGCCTCCCAAGAAAGAAATGCTTATTTTGGGATCACAATTTTTTAAATGAATAAATCACGCCATGGGGCTGTGCTTCTAGCTTTATATTTCTAAACTGAAGCTTTCTGAGAAGATTTTTCCAAGGTTTGTTAAAAAAGGCTTTGATATATGAGAAAGATTCAACCCAATTGGACTGTGGCTCCTTCTCAGAATATTGCCTTAGTAACAGAGTGAAGAGGGTGGTCCTTGTCTGTTGCTGAAGTCTCTGCAAGAAAAACACTATGAACCAGTACTGCACAGAACAATAGCCTCATGACTAAATAGTTGTGTGAGATAATTAGTTGCAAATCATTAATAATAGGCAGGGGTACGAATAAGAAAAAAACAATACTTAGAACCAAAAGATCTTTTCCATTTATATTCAGAATTAAAATATAGGTTAGGAATATTCTTTAACTAGACCAATCATGCGCTAATTTTTCCTCAAACCCAGTTTTCAAGAATTAAGCATTTATTGAGCACTTACTCATGGCCAGGAAAAGCCAAGTATTGGGAATACAAAGAAAAATAAGACCAGTTTTTTGCTCTCTAGTAGCTCTAGTTCAAGAGTGATATAAATCGACAAATTATAATGTAGCATATAAGAGTAATGGTAAGGAAGTAGGCACTGTGTTGTTAAACACAGAGGGGGATGCCCAAAACCCTGGGCTGTCAGCCAAACGAAAGCCTCACGAGGAAATGAAACTGAAGTAGGCTTTACAGTTGGGTGACAGCTATTCTGAGAATGGAGGCAAGGCATTGTAGGTACGATAAACAATGTATATACAAGGAGTTATGAAAGTTTGATATAGTTTGCATAATTAACAAATGGGGACAAATTCAATGTCCAGACTGTAGAGTAGGTGGAAGTAATGTAGGTGGCAGACAAGAATACAAAGAAATCTTGGGGCCAGAGGAGAGAAGTCCTCTCTGGCCAACACAAGATGGCAAGTTATGCATCTGTCCATGGTGGTCTTTTCGCAATGACTGTAATGATTCCTGCTGTATTAGAGTCCTTCTGAATTGGAATTTCTTGCATGGCTTTTTTCTCTTCCACCCTATTGAGAGATATCTGGAAACATTTCAGTTTTTGTAAAAGTCCTGTAAGAGTATCTTAAGTGTTCTGTGCATGCCTTCCTCAAAAATCTCAAGACATAAGGTAGGGCCAGTCCTGAACAAAAACATGAAGCAGGGAAAGGAATAAGCATTTATTGATCACATTCTCTTTCTCAGACATTTTTTACATCCTATATCATTTAATCTTTACAATAATCCTAAAAGGGTAAATATCATTGTGCTACAAAACAGATAAAAAAGCTCAATATATATTTGCTTCATTAATGAGTGTGCTCAAAAAGAGAAAGCATTTTGTCAAAAGCCACACAGCCAATAGGTGTGTCTGGCTTCAAAGCCTTTTTCCATGATATTAACCTGTGCAGCTTAGCTTCAGGGTTGTCCGCCTTTCCATTTCTGTAATATTTGCCTCTTCTCAAACATCACCATTACTATAGACTTCCAAGTATCTTATTGCTGATGTGAATGAATTTGAACCCCAGGTGACAAGTAGATCTTAAGTGTGCAGTCACAATTCCCAGAATGTAAGCCTGGATTTGCCATTAGTAAGCTGTGTGATTCTAAGTGAGTAATTTTGTCTCTCAGTTTTCTCACTTTTAAAATAGAGAGATCTGAAGAGTCTTCAGGGGCCCTTTAAGGTCTAACATTCTGTGGTACACTCTATACCTATGAGGAGCATTTGAAGAGAAATAGCAATGCTTGACCAAAAGGAATCAACTCTCTAATGATGGAATTTCAGATATTGTGCCATAACTTGGGGAAATAGAGATCTGAGGCTGAAGAAGGTAGGTCTACCTGATACCAATCAATTCAACAGGCATTTAAAGAGAGCCTACTATAGGCCAGATAAATAAAATAGCTTCTGATTTCAAGGAGTTTTTGTTTCAGTGGCAAAAATAAACTTGTAAGAAAACAATGACTGTACGGGAGAATGAGGCACTGCAAGAGAAGAAAACACAGGCAGTGAGTGAATACAGAGAAGAGGCACCTGAAACACTTTAGAGTTTCATGGAAGGTTTCCCAAAGGAGGTGAAAATTAGGCTGAAGCATGAAGGACAAGTACTTCTTAAAGGCCTCATAGGAGAAAAGGGGTAAATGTGAATGTCTTTCATACAGAAGAAGCAGTAGGTGAAATGCTAAGAGGTGTGAATTAGCAGGATGCCTGTAGAAATTACAAGTTGTGCACTGTTGTGAAAGCCAAAACTCCATATTGCAAAGAAGCAGGACATAAGCTGAAGATGGAAAAGTAAGCAGGAGCCAGAAAACTGAGGGCCTTGCACTCCATGCTAAGGAGTTTTGACATTATCTCATGGATCTCAAGAGATAGTGAAAAGCTTTAAGCAGAGATAGTTATTCAAAAGTAACTTCCCTCTTCATCCACACCTTGAACCAGCTTGCCTCTTTCAGATAAGCCTACAAGTTGGGGTCAAACTGCATGGCCTTTCCAGTCCTTTCTTGAAAATCTTCTAAGTTGAACCTTCCATAACCATATACCTATGATCTTATGCTCTGAAGACCCCAGAAGAATTAATTCTGTACATGCTAAGCATTTCTGCATGGGCTGCTTCCCAAGCAAGACAGACAAAAGCCACAGCACAAGCTCTGAACAAACTCTGCAGCTCCTGAATTATTCAGGGTACTATTAAAATGAGGCTCACGACTCACAGGGCAAATTAATTTTAATTTTTAAACAGGCAACATTTTAAACTGTTCATTTCCTTGAAATGTATCCGTCCTGGCATTTTTATCATCAGAAGAGTAAGTAAAGCTCACAATGGAAAGAGAAAAAACAGTTGGCATGTCCCTAAACTGGGACTCTTTAGTGTCTGGGAAGAGTCTGTCTAGAATGAGTAAGAGTCACATCATATATCCTTGGAGAGTATGTATCTTGAAACTTTAGTGTGAGTCCAAGAAATTCAGGGCTAGAAAATTCATTTTCCTTCTGCTTTTGTCATAGTGACGTGTGGTCAGCAGTCTGAAACTCCAGCACTTCAGCCAGAGTGCTTTAACTCTGCAGCCTATTTCCACACAAAGGCAAGAGCACAGTAAATGGCCTATGCTACGGAAGCCTAAGAACATCTCTCTGAACTGTAAACTTCTCTCTAGGACAGGGACATGTTTTTCCTTTCCTTTTATACTATCTCAGCATTCTATGGCTAGCAACTGAAGTGTCCTTGCCATGCCCAGTAGCCCCAGGAACAAAATAAGATGTCACCACTGCTGCCTAAACTTTGCCTCCAAATGACTCCAGATTCTAACTCTCTTGTCACTCAGACATTCAGATCAAGTTGGCTTCTGTGTATGAACTGAAAGTGAGGACGTTAAGTTAGGGTAGAGCCAGACCAGTACTCAGGCTTTCTCCCTTCCTATCCGGGCTTCAACCACTACACTTGTTAGCCCATTAGAATCAGGAAGTCTCTCAGACGCTCACCTGACTTCCCTCCCTACTCCTTGTCTTCGTGATCACTGGCAGTCACACACACACACAAAGAAAATAAGTGAATATTTTTGAGGACCTCCCCCCATTGTAGAGCCACCACTCAGATAGTCAATTTACAGACATCACAATACTATTTAATCCTTTCAATAAGTCTGTGAGAAAGAATGCTTTAGGCCAGGTGTGGTGGCTCACTCCAGTAATCCCAGCACTTTGGGAGGCTGAGGCGGGCGGATCACTAGGTCAGGAGATCGAGACCATCCTGGCTAACACAATGAAACCCTGTCTCTACTAAAAATACAAAAAAAATTAGCTGGGCCTGGCGGTGGGCGCCTGTAGTCCCAGCTACTCAGGAGGCTGAGGCAGGAGAATGGCATGAACCCGGTAGGCAGAGCTTGCAGTGAGCCAAGATCGTGCCACTGCACTCCAGCCTGGGTGACAGAGTGAGACTCCGTCTCAAAAAAAAAAAAAAAAAAAAAAAAAAAAGAATGCTTTAGACCTATTTTGTATTTGAAAAAAATTGAGGCACACAGATTACACAGAAAACCAGTTGTAGTACTAACATTTTAACCCATGTCTGTCTGACTGTAAAGTTTTTGGTCTTTCTATTTCACTGAGGAGAACTTGAGGGAGTTAGGGTGAACTCTCTGATCGAGGAAAGAGTCTTCTATTTCACAGCTTGACTCAGGCCTTCAGCCCGTGTGATATTTCTTAACCCTTGTGGTTCCCTCATCCCTATACAGACAGGAGTTCGCATTTCCTGCCCATCTGTGTCTCATCACAACTTCTTAGACTCACCAAAGGTCCTCGCTGTGTCACCACAGGACTAATATTCACGGCCATTTTGGAAAAAGCCCCAGTGGCCAGAAAGGCAGCTTTGTTCAGTTACAGTCTACCCACTCTTGCTTAGCTATGCTCCAATTTCCAGACACAAAGCACAATCTTAACTCAGGTCCATCAGCTCTCTTGCTTGACACCTTTCTGTCCAAAGTGGTCTCTTTGCTTCCAGTCTTTCCCTCATCCAATCCACACTCTACACTAATGTCAAAAATGCAGCTCCAAAAGGTATATATAAACATGGCTCTATTTGCTGAAAACTCCTTGCCTAATTTAATAAGGGTGTGTGAGGCCCTTCATGTTCTAGCCTCTCACTTCAGCCTTATTCCTTGCTGCTCTTCCTGTCCCCATCCTTAAACCCTATGCTTCAACCATATCAAAATACTGCCATTGCCCATGCTACAGCACTTTTGTGAGTTTTGCATATACTGCAACACATATACATGTCCACTTGGTGAACTCCTAATCATTCTTCAAAGCCCAGATCAAGTGTAGCACTTTCATGAAGCCTCCATGTCCATTGCAGAAGAAATTTATCACTCATTTTGGGGCTCTCACTGTTTTTTGAACATTCTTAAGTTACAACACCTACCTTATATCAGTCTGTCATTTTAGAACTCTCTTTTCTTTAGTATACCGTGTGTTCCTTAAGGAAAGAGAAACCATATCTGATTCATCTTGGAAACCCAGTTTGCATAAAACAAGCATTCAACAAACTTTTGAGGAATGAATTACGGTCATCTTTCAATATATATTGGGGAATGGTTTCAGGATCCTCTCGTATACCAAAATCCCAGTATACTCAAGTCATTCACAGTCATCCTTGCAGTATCTGCCTACAGGAAAAGTTAGTTTTCCAATGCATGAGTTTCACATCCCTTAAATATTGTATTTTCCATTCACATTTGGTTTTTTAAAAATCTGCATAAAAGTGGACCCACACAGTTCAAATTCTTGCTGGTAAAGGGTCAACTATAGTTGAAAATAAATAGTTTAATAATTCATATATCAAGAAATTAAATCAGAGTAGCTCAGTTTTACTCGGGTCTCTCAATAGCGTTTTGTTAGAAATCGGTCTTCTAAATATTATTTTCATGTCTCATGTAAACAGTTTTCTGTATGGAAAAACATTCTAATCAGCTAATAATACTTAGTTTCAAACATGTGGCAGTTATATTTCTTATAAATTAATAATTGAGCATTCTAATTTATACATAAGTCGTCTATAAATTTGGTTAGTGCAAGTCAGTCCTCATGAGACTGATAACCTCCAGCTACATTGGGAAAATTGTCTTTCAGATCAGATTGTAGTAACCTAAGAGCCAGCTTTCCTAAGAGCCAGAGTTCCATGAAAGCAGCCAGTCAACTTCTATCTTTATGGAATTGCTCTTTAAAATTAAACTGTGAGACCTTAACCCTGAGCCTTAATTTTTTAATTTCAAAATAAGGGGTTGGATTCGGTCTTGAGTCACAAACTCAAATGCTTGCTGTTAACCTAGTGAGTGAACTCAACTGGGTGTCGACCAAAAGAGCTTGATTGCATGTGTAACTATCATAATCAGTCACAACTTCTACCTAGTTGCATTGTTCATCAATGTATAAGACACCAAACACAGCACAGACATAGGCCTTGTATGCCCATCAGTCACCTGATGTGGAAGCTCTCCTTACTCACAGAACTCGAATACACTTTAAGACTGTGATATTGTGACTGCCATTTCTATGACCTCCATGCTTGCTTTCATTTATTCATTCAATAATAAGTATTGCAGGCACTCAAGTAGTGGCTGACAGCACTAGGGTAAATAAACATGACCCTACCTTCAATGGACACTAGAGTCTGGTGGAAAAGTTGGATAACTAATTAAAGACTTGTGGTATTAAAGAGAGTTTACAAAGAGCTGTGGGAGTACAGGAAAAAATATTGTCTATGCACAGAGTTGTTGCCCTGGGAAGGTCAGAAAGGTTTCACAGAGAAAATGATATGCGAGCTGAGCCTAGAAAGATAAATAAGAGGTTTTCAGACAGTGAAGAACATTTAGGTAAGGTGAATAGTATGGGTAAAGGCATAAAAATAGGCGTTCAAAATGGAAAGCGGAAGGGTATAAAATGCAGTTATCTCTTCTTCATCCAAAAACTGCAGAAGGTGAGAGAGCATAAAAGAAAAGAAAAACACCACTTTCTAGTTCCACTGAGACTTGTCCCCACTTAAACACAGCAACCCCACCACAAGCATTAAGCCATTCATTCAACATTTGCACTGCTAACCTAGCCCAGGTTTTTTGAGCAAAGATGTGAGCAAGACATCTCTCATACCCAATGTACTGTATTCATGCAGTCAGCTTCCTTTCTTATGAGGAATTTCTCAACCAAGTAAACAAGACCCTCCTTCTCAGAGGCCCCAGCAGCCCACAGGAACTCTTCACTGAAAAACAATTTGAATAATGCTAATTTTTTAGAGTGATGGATAGACACTAAACAGTTGATTTAACATATTCCTTAAATTGCCTCTGTACAGAGTAGAGGGAACAACCACTTAAGATACAGGTTGTTAAACTTTTTATTAATGCTTCATCTGAAATAGGGAGCAGAGGAAGGAATTAACAACAATAAGAGCCACTACTTATGTAGCACTCACTATGCTCTGATTATCACTGTAACTGCCTCACAAACATTAATTTACTTAATCCTCACTATAGCCCAATGAAGAAAGCCCTATTATCATCTTATTTTACAAAGGGAGAAACTGAGGCTCAAGGAGATTGTTTCTCACTCTTTGCTGATAAGTGGCAAAAAACTGACATTTGAACTCTGGCAGAAGAACCCTCAGACGTTGCTCTTAAGAATTATAATACAGACTCATAATATAGAAGATACAAACCCTCTGTCATATTATATGCCAAATGCTCTGGATAAACTGTATCATTTAATCTTCATGACATCCAATATTATGAATTAAGAGCTGAGGCCTGGAGAGGGTAACTGGCCCGATATTACACAGCTGGTAAGTGAAATAGGCTGAATTTGATTTCAAGTTTATCTGATTTAAAGCTTATGTCACAGTGTCTGTCTCTGTAAGTGACACATAAGGAAGACAAGTGGCTAGCAAGGCAGAAGTTCTGACTTCCCTGGATGACATTATTTTAACTTTAATGCCAATATCTGGTAGATTTGAAAATACCTGTAACTGAGGATCTTCATTAAACAGTGAAGAGTTTTGCCGGGTCAGTAGTTTTCAGACAATGTTCCTTGAAGCCCCAGGGGATTCTTCAAAGGGGAAAGTCCAAGTCCAAGCTTTTGCTGGGTTTTTAATAAGAAAGGTTTACATCTCACTCACCTTACATATAGTCAGGACCATGACATTGCCAGAAACAGCATCACCTCTAGAATTAACTCAGTCTCCTACTAAGCAATCACAAACTCCTATTCTTTCAGCTTATTTTCTCTAGTACTCTCATGTCAATAATTATCCAAACTCATCGAAATCCCTGACCCCCTCCACTTCCCCTGATCCCCTCCACTTTCTCTCTAATTGCCAACCTTCTATCATTCAGACCCTAGCCCAGATTCATGGCCCATGATACTATCATGGTAATATCCCTAAGTTTCTTGCCTGTGTGTGCTTTAATTGTGCTCATCCCAACCCTGAATGAATCTAAGCCTTTGCCTTCTCATTTCGTCATTCACACAGCTTAATCTGCTGAAGACCATCACATAACTGGAAAAATTGCTTTCACCATATAGCCATGATCACCAACCCCAAACTCAATACTGTCTAGCTCCTTTGGTCTGATACCCAGTTGAGTTCACTCACTAGGTTAACAGCAGGCATTATTCTAATAAGCTCAGTCTCCCACTCTTTGCAAAATTCTCCAATTTCTCAAAGATCCCAAACTTCAGCTCTATTTATAGTAGTCTGGCTTACCTTGTGTCTTGTTAAAGAGAGAGGAGGAGGGGGGACAGGAGGAAGGGAAGAAGGAGGAGGAGGAACAAGGAAAGGAGAAGAAGGAAAAGGAGATAGAGAAGAAAAAGTGGAAGCCACCTAATAGTATCTCCCATACCTTCCTACCTTCAAATGTACAAAAATACCTAATCTGCAGTCATTTCTCTTTCTTTCCTTTTATAACCATGAAACATACCTTGCTAGCAATGATCACGCCCTCTACCCTTTCCATACGCTTTGGATTTCATTCTCTCTCATGTTCTCAGTTATCCTACTCTCTCTTGCATCTTCTGTCTCTCCTTCTATAACAGATTTTTACATCATCATTAAATATTATCACAATTCCCATATTGTTTTTTTAAATCCTCTTTTAGTCTCATATTCCCCTCTAGCTACTTCCCCATTTTTCTGTACAGCGAAACTCCACCAAAAAGTTAAAAATAATATCTGACATACTTAAATGAAGAGGCATAAACTAACATATTTAATGTACCTTTCACCAGGTCTGATCTATGCCAGATGCTCAATAAGTGATAGCACTGGTAGTAAAAACAGGAATAAAAATAATAATTGCAACAAACATAGAAATTTTCTTATATGCGAGCACAACCCTTAGCATTATGAGTAGATTATCAAAGGTTGTCCCTTCAACAACCCTATGAAGCAGGTATTAATTTTATCCTAGTTTTATAGATGATATATTTGAAGCTTAGAAAGCTTAATTTGCCCAAGGTCACACATCTAGTAGAAGACATGACCAGGATTTCCTTCCAAATCTCTCTGACTGCATAGACAATGACTGTCACCCTCTAAGTCACCTCTTCCTCTCTTGCTCCAGTGCTCTTTTTATACTTCTACCTCACAAGACCAGAGTAGCACAGTAACAATTAGGAAGGATTTCTGTGAAGTTGGATAACGCTGGCTTAAACTCCAGCTCCCTTAGGGTGTCAGTCCATAGGCAGATCCACTAGGAAAATTCTAAGGAAAGTGTTTTTATGGAGGGGAAACAAGTTTTACTCACAACAAATGACTGAAGAAATATTCTGTGAATAAAGACGATAAAAGACGTTCTCATAAGGATAACATGAAGCTTGGGAGAGAGGTGATCTCTGTGGGTTTAGACAGCATAGGAGTGGACAGATGATGATGATCTTTTGGTGAATATACCAAATATAAACTAACTATGGAAACACGTTTTGGTAACCAGTTACAGAAGGAATGGTGGACTCAAATTTATAGGACCTCAGACATTAAGTGATTTATACTCAGCCAACTGTATCCTTGATTCAGAGTCTTAAACAGCTCATACAAATTCATTTAGGTAATGCACCTAGCACAGCCTCTGGTATATAACAGGAGATCAGCAATGGTACCTATTATTATTCAGGTTCTGTGGTTATTGAATAAATGGCAACTCCTCTTTCCATAGCATATTTTGAAATTGCATATTAATATAATTCTACATGCGCCAGAGATGCATAAAAACGGATAATGCTTTTTTAGGCATTCCATTTGACAGGCTATTAAATTAACTCTTTTAATCTTTTCAATAACCCATTAGAGAAGATACTATTATTATCCCCATTTTACAGAGAAGCTAAGTAGGTTATATAACACTTGCGGTAAATAGGAGTTAGAGGCAGAATGGAACACATGCATTTAACCAACACTTTAAAATGATCAATATAGGTATTAGGTATTATGCAACTGATTTCTCCAATGCATATAATACTGGCTTAGAGACATAAAGGGTGTGTGTGTATGTTTCAAGTGAATCATCATCTATTTCCAACAAATAGAATTGTTGGTTAACATGAGGAAAGAGAGAGAGAAGAAAAAGAAAAGAAAGAAGGAAAAGAGGAAGGGAGTAAAGATGAAAGGGAGGGAGGGAGGAAGGGAGAGAGGGAGGGAGGAAGGGAGGGAGGAAGGAAGGAAAGAAGGAAAGAAGGAAGGAAGGAAGGAAGGGAGGGAGGGAGGGAGGGAAAGAACTAGAGAAAGAGCCAGGCATGGTGTCTCACGCCTGTAATCCTGACACTTTGGGAGGGTGAAGCAGGTGAATTACTTGAGGTTAGGAGTTCGAAACCAGCCTGGGCAACATGGCAAAACCCCATCTGTACTAAAAATACAAAAATTAGCTGGGTATGGTGTTGCATGCCTGTAGTCCCAGCTATGCAGGACGCTGAGGAATGAGAATTGGTTGAACCCAAGAAGTGGAGGTTGAAATGAGCCAAGATGACACTCCATCCTAGGAGAGTGAGAGAGAGAGAGAGAGAAGCCTGTATTAAATACAGTTCAACACAAATGGAAGGAACTGTAAGAAGCAGAAAGTATTCAACGAATGAGGTGATGACCCACTCTACATATTAAATATGAGGGATGACTGGCAAAGTTGGAATGTCCTCAAAGATGTTCTCACTCAATAGGGAAATGTCAGACCAGAGGGAAAAGCTGAATGTAAACAGATGCATCAAAATGCTTACAATTAGATAACAAAAAGTCAGGTAGGAAACATTGGAGGTTAAAACACATTGATTGCAAAATCAGTCACAATATGAAAAGTGTACCCTTGAATAGAGGCCAGATACAATTAAAGAAAGTGTGGAAACTAAGTATACCTAGAGAAGGAAAAAGGAAAAATAAATTGTAATGGTTGAGGGGAGGGTTGCCTAAACTGCTATATACCAAACAGTTAATTTTTATATGCACCCCTTGAAATATGTTGAATATTTCTATTTTATATGAGAATATTGAGGATTAAAGAGGCAAAGTGAATTTTCCAGGGTCACTTAACTATTATGGTGAATTTCAAGCACAGCCACTAAGAATCAGAATTTGCACTATATTGACTTATAAATCCACGATTTTTTTCATTCCCAGAAATTGCCTCTGAGGAAATAACTATATAGTTATTAGCAAGCATGTCCAAGAGGTTTAACTAAGAGAAGAAAATGGCATGGAATCCCAAGCCTTTTCTTTCCAGACAGCCAACTTGGGATTTCTCATGCTTCAGAAGCACCGTTGCATTTTGACAGCACCATTTATGGGTTGCTCAGCCTATTATAGCTTTGCATTAGTTTCTTGTGGATCCTTCTCATGTTCTCTGTCTTTTTTCTTTTTTTTTTTTTTAATTTTTCATGGCACCAAGTATAAGACAGATGAGCTAGGTATTGGTGGAAAATAAAATCCACAGGCTGGGTGCAGTGGCTCATGCCTGTAATCCCAGCACTTTGGGACGCCAAGGCGGGCGGATCGCGAGGTCAGGAGTTCAAGACCAGCCTGGCCAAGATAGTGAAACCCCATCTCTACTAAAAATACAAAAATTAGCTGGGCGTGGTGGTGGGTGCCTGTAATACCAGCTACTCGGGAGGCTGAGGCAGAGAATTGCTTGAACCCAGGAGGTGGAGGTTGCAGTGAGCCAAGATCACACCACTGCACTCTAGCCTAGGTGACAGAGTAAGACTCCATCTCAAAAAAAAAGAAAAAAAGAAAAGAAAAGAAAAATCCATGAACATGAACACACACACACCTCTCTCTCTCTCTCTCTCTCATTTAACAAAGGATGCCAAAACAAGGCCACATAGGGCATGAGCAGTTAGAGCTTGCCTTACCATCACTTGTATCTTTTTTTAGTGTTTTTAGGGGGTTGTTTTGTTTTGTTTTGTTTTTATTTCAATAGTTTTAGGGGTACAAGTAGTTTTTGGTTACATGGATGGATTCTATAGTTGTTAAGTCTGAAATTTCAGTTTGCCTGTCACACAGTGTATTAGTCAGGGTTCCCTAGAGGGGCAGAGCTAATAGGATAGATATATGTATATATATAAAGGGGAGTTTATTAAGCATTAACTAACATAATCACAAGGTCCCACAATAGGCTGTCTGTAAACTGAGGAGCAAGGAGAGCCAGTGCAAGTCTCAAAACTGAAGAACTTGGAGTCCGATGGTTGAGGGCAGGAAGCATCCAGCATGAGAGAAAGATGTAGGCTGGGAGGCTAGGCCAGTCTCTCCTTTTCACATTGTTCTGCCTGCTTATATTCTACCCATGCTGGCAGCTGATTAGACTGTGACCACCCAAATTAAGGGTGGGTCTGTCTCTCCCAGCCCATTGACTCAAATGTTAATCTCTTTTGGCAACACCCTCACAGACACACCTAGGATCAATACTTTGCATCCTTCAATCCAATCAAGTTGACACTTATTATTAACCACCACACCTAACTAATGTACTTTGTACCCACTATGTAGTTTTTTATCCTCCATCCCCCTTCTGAGCTTCCATAGCCCATTACAGTACTCTGCATGCCTTTGTGTACCCATAGATTAGGTCCCACTTATAAGTGAGAACATACGGTATTTGGTTGTCCATTCCTGAGTTACTTCACTTAGAATAATGGCCTCTAGCTCCTCCAAGTTGCTGCAAAATACACTATTTTGTTCTTTTTTATGGCTGAGTAGTATTCCATTGTGTATATATACTGCACTTTTTTCACTCTTGGGTTGATGGGCACTTAGATTGGTTCCATATCTTTACAACTGTGAATTGTGCTGTGATGAACATATGCACGTAGATGTCTTTTTGATATAATAACTTCTTTTCCTTTGGGTAGATATTCAATAGTGGGATTGCTGGGTCAAATGGTAGATCTATTTTTAGTTTTTGAGAAAACTCCATACTCTTTTCCACAAAGGTTTTACTAATTTACTTTCCCACCGGCAGTGTATAAGAATTCCCTTTTCACCACATCTACACCAACATCTGTTATTTTTTTATTTTTTAATAATGGCCATTCTGGCTGGGGTAAAGTGGTATCTCACTGTAGTTTTAATTTGCATTTCCTAGTGATTAGCAATGTTGAACATTTTTTCATGCATTTGTTGGCCATATATATTTACATATATTTGTGTATCTTCCTTCAAGAAGTGTCTATTCATGACATTTACCTATTTTGATGAGATTATTTTTTCTTGCTGATTTCTTTGGTTCCTTGAAGATTCTGGATATTATTCCTTTGTCTGATGCATAGTTTGCAAATATTTTCTCCCATTCTGTAGGTTTCTGCTGTTTCTCCCATTCTGTCTGTTTATGTCTTTTGCTGATTATTACGTCTTTTCCTGTGTGGAAGCTTTGTAGTTTAATTAGGTCACATTTATTTTAGTTTTTGTTGTGTTTCCTTTTCAGGTCTTAGTCATAAATTCTTTGCCTAGGTCAACATCCAGTAGAGTTTTTCCTAGGTTTTCTTCTAGAATTTTTATGATTTCAGGTCTTAGATTTAAGTCATTAATCCATCTGAATTGATTAATCCATCTGAATTGATATGGTGAGAGATAGGGATCCAGTTTCATTCTTCTTCATACGGCTATTCAGTTTTCCTGACACCATTTATTGAATAGGGAGTCCTTTCCCCAACTTATGTTTTTGTATGCTTTGTCAAAGATCAACTGGTTGTAAGTATTTGTCTTTGCTTCTAGATTCCCTATTCTGTTCCGTTGGTCTATGTCTCTACTTTTATACTAATATCATGTTGTTTCAGTTACTACAGGCTTGTAGTATAATTTGAAATTGGGTAATTTGATGCCTCCAGATTTCTTTTTGTTTAGGATTGCATTAGCTATTTGAGCTTTTTTGGTTCCATATGAACTTTAGGATTATTTTTTCTAATTCTGTGGAAAATGATATTGGTATGTTGATGAATTGCAATTAATCTGTAGATTGCTTTGGGCAGTATGGTCATTTTCATGATATTGATTCTTCCAGTCCATGAGCATGGAAAGTATTTCTATTTGTGTCATCTATGATTTATTTCAGCAGTGTTTTATAGTTCTCCTTGTAGAGATTTTTCACTTCCTTGGTTAAATATATTCCTAGGTATTTCGATTTTTTTTCATCTATTTTAAAAAGGATTGAGTTCTGTATTTGATTCTCAGCTTGGTCATTGTTGGTGTACAGCAGTGCTATTGATTTGTGTACATTGATTTTGTAACCTGATATTTTACTGAATTCATTTATCAAATCTAGAAATCTTTTGGAGGAGTCTTTAGGGTTTTCTAGGTATACAATTATATCATTGGCAAACAGAAATAGTTTTACCTCATCTTTTCCAATTTGGGTGCCCTTTATTTCTTTCTCTTGCCTGATTGCTTTTGCTAGGACTTCCTACCATAACTTTTGTAACATGGATCTATTGTTGGCAATTATGTTGTCCATGCAAAGCAGGGTCTTTATACTTGGAGTTTATATCACTATTCAGGAAGAACTTACTTAATTCTTTTAAGGGAATATTGATAGAATTGGAAATGTCATGATTCTCTCGCTCTCTCTGACAATTCCAAAACTTTAGGGTATGTTTCTTGCAATATTTCACTCCTGGTACCAAATTATTTTTCATCTAGTCTTCTTTGGATTGAAAGTAAAAGGAAGTCCAACAAAGGAAAATTTACCATCTCCTGGAACCATTAAAGTAAATCCTAAATAATGTGACTCCAGGATTGGTTAATCCAGTTACTTCCCATTATTAAGGACCCAAGTTCTTTCAACCATTGATGTGTCACCTTTGTCCAACTGAAAGATGCTGCCACATTTTCTAACTTCCTATCTAAACACAACAACATCCCTCTTGTGTGTTATTTTTAAAACGAAAACAAGCTTTTCCAGAATCTCCTTATTAGGCATCTTATTTTGTCTCAGTGGCTAGGATTGCATTACATGCAATTCAAAAAAATCTAAGCTCAATGAGAGAATCAATGTTGCCCATATTGTTCACTTCTGTCTCCCTAGAATTCAGAACGATATCTGGTACTTATATTTAAATAAGTTATAACAACCTATTTCATTTTATAATATACTAATGATAATAAAAACAATAATAGAAATAATATAGCATATCTGTTAAGACCTGTATTCTGGAGCCAAATGGCCTGGTATTATTTTCTCTCTCTTTTTGGGTCTCAAATCAACAAAATCGGATTAATCATGATCTTTCATTCATGATACACTCTTGTTATTGCGCCATATATAGATCAGTTTATTCACTTATTTACTAACAGTGCAAGACACATTCATGAACTCATCACTCAAAACAAAAATTAGGACCTTGACAATAACATACATCTAACTTTATGATTACCATTCCCATTCCCCGCCTGACCCTACCAAAGATAAAAATTCTAATGAACTAGTCTAGTGAATCATGTTTCAATATTCCCTTGATTTTCTTGATTTGTTTTTTATAGTTCATTAAATCTACATGTATCATAAAAATATTTTATTTTGTTGTTTTCAACTTTACAAAAAGATTATAAACTTATATGTAATATTTTGGGATTTTTTCAGTTAATATTACATTTGCTGATTTTCACTCATATCTTTGCATGTCATCATAGTCTATTCACTTTAACTGCTATATAATAGTCCATTATGTGAATATTCTGCCATGTGTTCTCCTGCTTTCCTGTTGATTATCACTTGATTTATTTCATATATTTACTATTTTTTAAAGACCTGTTGTAAATATGCTGGCATAGCTCCCCACTGTACACATACAAGAGCTTCTCTTTGATTTTTATACATCCATGTGGATTTGCTGGATCATGAGGTACATGAGTATTCAAACCTAGTGGGTAAAAAAAAAACAAAAAAACTGTTTTCCAAAGTGGTTGAACCAATTTACAAATCCAGTAGTAATGTCTACAATAGCTTGTGGCTCTACTTCCACTTTGATAATGTGATACTATCCTCTCCCTGATTCCACTTTTTTCTATTGAGTTATCTGTGCTTTCTTTATAGATATGTAGATTACACACACACACACACACACACACACACACACACACCCCTCGTATTTTTGATCCAACCCGTTTCTTGTTTTTCTGCTAGATTTAGGGTAAGCAATTTATCTGTGCCTTTGTTTTTCACCTATAAAATGAGGGGAAAGATGCTACCTACCTCATAGAGTTGTCTTGAGGAATAAATTAGTTAATATAGAGATAGCAATTCAAAGAGTACCTGAAGTGCCACTAAAGGGTTAATTTTTATTTATTACATGGAAATTCCTATCAACTAGGCATTATTATACTGGATCTTATTCAATCTCACAAAATCCTAGGTGATATCAAGTTTGTCATTCCCACTTTACAAATAAACAAGTTAAGTCTTTAAAAAGTTAAATAACTTGCCCCAGATCATACAGCTAGAATATGGTAGGGCTAGATTGTGCCCCCAGATAGTCTCATACTGAACTTCAGAGTGTTTTTTAATCACTCTACCTCACTGCCTCTTTTTTCATCATGAAAATGAAAAACTCTTGTGAAATTTTGCAAAGAGGAAAATACCACAGAAAGTAACATTTTGATTACCATGCTTATTACATATGTGGAAAATATAGTTTCTACCTTGCAGAATTGTTATTTAAATTGATCTGATTTTTGAGTAGGAGCAAAAATTTACAGTAAAATGTTCTAGGTAGATCAATTTGCCTAAAATTGATCAATATAATATATATGGTATACAACTAGCACATGATAGGTGGTCATTTAGCAAATGCTAGTTACGATTATTATTTTCTCATATCTCACAAATCCAATGAGACAGATCTGCTACCCATCTTATCAATGGGAAAGTGAAGCTCCAAGAAGATAAGTAACTTGCTCAAAGTTACGCATTATCAGAGTAGTTGTAGATCCATAAGCCTGACTTATTGCCTACATACATCTGCAAAATGCTATATTTTACTATAGAAATTGCTAAATTTCTCTAGTCCAAAGAACAAGGATTACATATCCCAGATAGGAAAAAACAAATATGAACAACTGTCATTATTAACAAATGGCCTAACAATGACAGAAAATGATTCATTCAAATTTTAGGCAAATTGATCTACCTAGAACATTTTGCTGTAAATTTTTACTCCTATTCAAAACTCAGGTCACTGTTTTTATGATGCACACAAAAAAGAAGTTAACATATATGTAGGGCTCTTTAATAAATATATATACACCATAATGACTGCGATAAATATCAAGAATGGGAAATATGGTGTTAGAATACCAAATCCCATGGTATAACATTCATTTTTTTAACCATTTAAGGGCAATTTACATATATTATAGTTATTTATCCTTAAATAGTTCAGAGCATATTCTTAGTACAGGATATTTTCTTACATAATCACAATGCAACTATTAGCCTCAGGAAATTTAACATTGCCACAGTACTTTTTGTCTAGGTTAGTGTCCATATTTTAATTTTGTTAATTGGCTCAATAGAGGCCTTTATAACATTTTGCCCCCTCGATACAGTATCTAGTCTAGGGTCAGGTATTGCAATTAGTTATGTCTCTTTAGCCTTCTTTATTTACTCTGGAGATGGTTTATAGGTCTTTTAAAATTTTTTATTGATACATAGTATTGTACATTTTTATAGGGTACATATTTGAGATCTAAAAAAGTTAATCTCATGGAGGTAGACATTAGAATGATAGTTATCTTCTTTTTAGTGATCTACTTTATCTTCTTTACCTCTCTGTCTACTTAAATTATGTGATAATCATCTTCAAATATTTAAAAGGCTTTGTGTTGAAAAACGAATTAGGTTTGTTCCATATGGCTCTGTAGAAGAGATCTAAGACCAATGGCAGACTGTATAGGGAGATAATAATATTATTAGCAATAATAATAAGCTAATATTTATTAAGCATTTATTATCCATTAAGCACTGTGACAAGTACTTCAGGTGAATCATCTCATTTAATTCTGACAATGATGCAAGTGGTAGGTTTCACTCTGTGAGAGAGAAAACAGGGGGCTGGAGAAGTTAAATAATTTGTTAAATAATTTATGACTGACGAGCAGTGGATAGTAACCCAGGACTGCTGAAGTCTAAAATGCATATTCTCTACCACAGTGGAATATGCTTTAAAAGAAGAAAAGCTTTGAAACTGAACTGTCCAAAGAGCCATTTCCCCATCATTAGTGACATAAAAGAAAGGGTGACTTAAAAGAAACAATTTGACTGGGATCTTACTGAAAAGGTTTATATATTTATTTATTTAAGCCAGATTTATTAAGTGACTACTATATAGGAGTCACATAATTTTACAAGTTAATGATTAAATGAAAGTCAACATTGTTTCAAGAAAGTAAATTTAAATGTAAGGTAAAAAATTGAACTGAATGATTTTTTTAGTTTCTCTAGCCTTGTAATTCTGTGACTCATTATTTCCCTATGCCAAATAATGCCAGTAGTTACTAAAACAATTAAAACTAAAGGAAATTGTCAATTCCGCTAGCCAATTTCTCTCTTTCCCAATATTTTACCCACTCTCCGAGTCAATATGCTGATTAATTATGTTCAACGCCATCCAAAATTGAGAAGTGAAATCCAGGCATTCCTACTGAGTTTGAAACTGATGCTGAAACTTCAAGCTGTGATGTAGCTGTGAACTGCCTATCTCCTAAATATTTCATATACTTTCACTGCCATTTCATCAGGGATGGAAGATAATCCATTTTTCTGCATGAAATCATCATTTCATTTCCTGTTGTCAGGCTAGATAGCTTATCTATTTTGATAACAAAATATGTAGATAACACTTTTGTTTCCTCCATTTACCAAACATTATGAGACATTTCCCTACTAATTACTGAGCAAATTGAAAAGAGTAAGACAAGTGCCAACCTTCCCTAATTTGTTCATAAAAAACCTTTCGAATACTTTGTGCACTTTGGGAAGATTTTATAACAAAAGTAGTTTTGAGAAAAAATCATTTGTGGTCATTTTTGTATTTTGTAGTTTCTGACAAGAATATATCCACAATGGAGGATGGTTCCACAGTAATCAGATTCTATTTATTCTTTGCATTTGATTGGAAAGTGGCAATCAATTATTACAAGGTTGAACAGTAAACACTATGATCAACTTGTGCTTTATGAGATGGCTGTAGGTCACACCACAACAATAGAAAAGCAAGAAAACACTTTATGTGCCATTAAAAAAAAGGCTTGAAACTTACAATGGTTCCACCATTGCCTACAGTGGCTTTGCATCAGATTGGTCCATAAGGCTTTGAAAATAACATACACCGCAAGCTCGCTTTTGTGCTTTCTAATTCAAGAGGGCTGGGGTAAGCCAAGACCTCAGAAATGTATTTGAAGTCTTCAGAAGAGTCCGATGAACTCTCCCAGTGGAGAACTGTTGATTTGCCTGATAAAGTACAAAATCCTGCATGCCTACATCAAAACATCTGATGTATCCCATAAATATATATACTTACCATGTACACACCAAAATTAAAAATTAAATAAATTTAAAAAAAAAACAAAATTCTTAGCATGGTCACTAGACTCATGATGCTTAGCATCACATACCAGCCCCATTTCCAAACTACTTCAAGACTTATGCTTAAGTCATACTGAATTACTTGTGGTTTCTTGAAAGCATCGTGCTGTTTTTCATGATGCTCCTTTCCCTGGATTAAACTTTTCCCCTTGCATTCTATTCTGTTTTTTCCCCCATTGTACACTTGGAGCTTGCTTTCTTTCTTCTTTCTTTCTTTCTTTCCTTTCTTTCTTTCTCTTTCTCTCTCTCTCTCTCTCCCTCTCTCTCTCTTTCGTTCCTTCTTCTCTCACTCTGTCACCCAGGCTGGAGCACAGCTCACTTGCTGCCTCAACTTCCTAGGCTCAAATGATGCTCCCATCTCAACCTCCCTGAGCATTCTATTCTTATTTTAAGACCTAGTCCAGGGGGAGGGACGAGACGGCTGATTAGAAGCAGCTGAGGTCCACAGCACTCACAAGTGAAATGAAAAGGGGCGAGTGAATTCAACACCTTTAACTGAAATATCCAGGTTCTCGCATTGTAACTGAATAGGCAAGCAGCTTGGACCCACCGAGGTAACAGCCCACCCAGGAGTGGCCTGGAGGCAAAGGAACCCGCACCCCAGCCAGGGGATGCTGTGAGTGATTCTGTGAGCCACCAGCGAAGCCACGCTTCTCCTATGGATCTTTGCAACCTGAAGAACAGGATGCATGAGCCCACACCACCAGGATCCAATACACAGAGCTGAGTCTCTGCAAAACAACGGCTCAAGCGCACACAGAGACCCAGGAGCTTTGCGTACTGAGGCCCTGGATTCCTGCCAAAGCGGAAAATCCATCCATACACATCCCTAGGAAGGGGGCTGAATACAGGGAGCCAAGTAGTGTTGTTCTACGGACCCCAATTCCACGGCAGCTCACAAGTTAAGACCCACTGGCTTGGAATCCCAGCCAGCCAAGGCAGAGGGCTGAAGTCCATCCGAGTCAGGGACTGTGTTCCCGGAAGGAGGGCCAGCTGCCATCTCTGTGGTTTGAGGGAAACAGCCATTCTAGCTTGCCTGCTGTGGAGAGTCCAGATGGCCCAGAGAAGGAGGGGCACCCCATGGAACAGTGCAGTGGCCTTGCCAGATTGGGGCCAGACTGCTTCTCTAACTGGACCCAACTCACTCCTCCTTACTGGGGAAGCGGGGCTGGAGGGGAGGGGGTTGGGGGAGGGCTGGGAGGGTCTTCAGTTCTGCAGACAAGAGATCTGATCTCTCCCTGGGAGGGAGCTCCCAAGGGGAGGGATGGTCTCTATCTCTGCAGTTCCCTAACCTCAGCCATTCCATCCTGCTGGCTGTGAAGAAAACAGGCAGTCCAGATGAAGAAGGGTCACTCCCAGCTCAACACACCTGCTCTATTAAGAAGCAACCGGACTGCTTCATTGGGTGGGTTCCTGAACCCATCCCTCCTGACAGGGTGAGATCTTCCAGCAGGGGATCCCGACCACCTCTACAGAAGAAGCCAAGGAGACTGGGGTCTGGAGCGGACCCCCAGAAAACAGCAGGAGTCCTACAGTAGAGTGGCCTGACTATTAAAACAAACAAACAGAAAACAGTATCAACAAGTGAAAGACCCCAGAAAAACCCCACTCAAAGATCAGCAACCTCAAAGATCAAAGGTAGATAAGCCCACAAAGAGAGAAAGAATAAACACAAAAATGCTGAAAACTCCAAAAGCCAGAGTGCCCCTCCTCCTACAAACGACCACAACACCTCTCCAGCAAGGGCACAGAACTGGGATGGGGCTGACATGGATGAATTGACAGAAATGGGCTTCAGAAGGTGGGTAATAACAAGTTGTACTGAGCTAAAGGAACATGTTTTAACCCAAAATTGATCAGTTAGTAGAAAGTAAAACACTCCTCAGCAAATGCAAAATAACTGAAATCATAACAGTCTCTTAGACCACAATGCAATCAAATTGGAACCAAGATTAAGAAATTTATTCAAAACCACACATCTACCTGGAAATTGAACAACCAGCTTCTGAATGACTCTTGGGTAAATAATGAAATTAAGGCAGAAATCAAGAAGTTCTTTGAAACTAATGAGAATAAAAGACAACATACAAGAATCTCTGGGATGAAGATAAATCAGTGTTAAGAGGGAAGTTTATAGCACTAAATGCCCACATCAAAAAGCTAGAAAGATCTCAAGTTGACAAACTAACATCTCAACTAAAAGAAACTAGAGAACCAAGAGCAAACAAACCCCAAAGCTAGCCTGTTTTGACAAGATATAACCAAGATCAGAGCCGAGCTGAATGAGATAGAGACACAGAAAACCCTTCCAGAAATCAATGAATCCAGGAGCTGGTTTTTTGGAAAAATAAAATAAAATAAAATAGACAGACTGCTAGCTAGGCTAAGAGAGAAGAATCAAATAAACACAATTGGAAATGATAAGGGGGATATCACCACTGACCCCACAGAAATACAAACAAATATCAGAGATACTATAAACACCTCTATGTACCTAAACTAGAAAAATCTAGAAGAAACCAACAATTTCCTAGATAAAGGCACCCTCCAAAAACCAGGAAAAAATTAAATTCCTGAATAGACAAATAATGTGTTCTGAAATTGAGGCAGTAATAAATAGCCTACCAACCAAAAAAAGCCCAGGACCAGACAGAATCACAGTTGAATTCTACCAGAGGTACAAGGAACAGTTGGTATGATTTCTACTAAAACTATTCCAAAAAATTGAAGAATGACTCCTCCCTAACTCATTATATGAGGCCAGCATCATCCTGATACCAAAACCTGGCAGAGACACAACAAAAAAAGAAAACTTCAGGCCAATGTCCTTAATGAACATTGATGTAAAAATCCTCAATAAAATACTGGCAAACCAAATCCAGCAGCACATCAAAAGTTTATCCATCGTGATCAAGCTGGCTTCATCCCCAGGATGCGAGTTTGGTTCGCCATATGCGGATCAATAAATGTGATTCATCACATAAACAGAACTAAAGACAAAAAACGCATAATTATCTCAATAGAGGCAGAAAAGGCCTTCAGTAAAATTCAACATCTCTTCATGTTTAAAAACTCTCAATAAACTAGATATTGAAGGGACATACCTAAAAATAATAAGAGCTATATATGACAAACCCACAATCAATATCATATTGAATGGGAAAAAGCTGGAAGCATTCACCTTGAAAGCCAGCACAAGAGAAGGATGCCCTCTCTCACCACTCCTATTCAACATAGTAATGGAAGTCCTGGCCAGGGCAATCAGATAAGAGGTAAAACGTATTCCAACAGGAAGATAGGAAGCCAAATTATCTTTGTTTGCAGATGACATGATCCTATATCCAGAAAACCCCATCATCTCAGCCCAAAAGCTTAAGCTGATAAGCAAGTTCATCACAGTCTTGGGATATATAATCAATGTGCAAAAATTGCTAGCATTCCTATAAACCAACAACAGGCAAGCAGAGAGCCAAATCATGAATGAACTCCTATTCACAATTACCACAAGAAGAATAAAATACCTAGGAATATGGCTAACAAGGGAAGTGAAGGACCTCTTCAACTAGAACCACAAACCACTGCTCAAAGAAATCAGACATTACAAACAAATGGAAAAACATTCCATACTCACGGATAGGAAGAATTAATATTTTGAAAATGGGCATACTGCCCAAAGCAATTTATAGATTCAATGCTATTCCCATTAAACTACCATTGACCTTCTTCACAGTATTAGAAAAACCTATTTTAAAATTCATATGGAACGAAAAAAGAGCTTGAATACCCAAGGCAATCCTAAGCAAAAGGAACAAAGCTGGAGGCATCACACTACCCAACTTCAAACTACACTACAAGGCTACAGTAACCAAAACAGCATTGTACTTGTACAAGAACAGACACATAGACCAATGGAACACAATACGGAACCCAGAAATAAGACTGCACACCTACAACCATCTGATCTTAGACTCACCTGACAGAAACAAGCAATGGGGAAAGGATTCCTTCTTTAATAAATGGTGCTGGGAGAACTGGCTAGAACTGGCTGCCTTCCTTATGCCATATACAAAAATGAAATCAAGATGGATTAAAGACTTAAATGTATACCCAAAACAATAAAAACTCTAGAAGAAAATCTAGGCAGTACCATTCAGAACATAGGCATGGGCAGCAGTTTCATGACAAAGACTCCAAAAGCAATAGCAACAAAAGCAAAAATTGACAAATGGGATCTAACTAAACTAAAGAGCTTCTGCACAGCAAAAGAAACTAGCAACAGAGTAAACAGACTACCTACAAAATGGAGGAAAATTTTTGCAATCTACCCATATGACAAAGGTCTAATATCCAGCATCTACAAGGAACTTAAACATATTTACAGGAAAACAACAAACAACCCCATTTAAAAAGTGGGCAAAGGACACGAAGAGACACTTCTCAAAAGAAGACATACATGTGACCAACAAACATATGAAAAAAGTTCAACATCACTGATCATTAGAGAAATGCAAATGAAAACCACAATTAGATACCACCTCATACCAATCAGAATTGCTATTATTAAACTAACAAATTATTAAATGTTGGTGGGAGTGTACATTAGTTCAACCATTGTGGAAGACAGTGTAGTGATTCCTCAAAGACCTAGAGGCATAAATACCATTTGACCCAGCAATCCCATTACTGGTTATATACCCAGAGGAATATAAATCATTCTATTATAAGGATACAGCCAGGTGTTGTGGCTCACACCTGTAATCCCAGCACTTTGGGAGGCCGAGGTGGGTGGATCACCTGAGGTCAGGAGTTCGAGAGCAGCCTGGCCAACATGGAGAAACCCCGTCTCTACTAAAAATACAAAAGAATTAACTGGGTGTGGTGGCAAGCACCTGTAATCCCAGCTACTCAGGAAGCTGAGGCAGGAGAATCGCTTGAACCTGGGAGGCAGAGGTTGCAGTGAGCCTAGTTCCCACCACTGCACTCCAGCCTAGGGGATGGAGCGAGACTGTGTCTCAAAAAGAAAAAAAATCTTTTTTTTCATGTTTGTTTGGCTGTATAAATGTCTTCTTTTGAGAAGTGTTGAGTTCATATCCTTTGCAGGGACATGGATGAAGCTTGAAACCATCACTCTCAGCAAACTAACACAATAACAGAAAACCAAACACTGCATGTTATCCCTCATAAGTGGAGTTGAACAATGAGAACACCGGGACACAGGGAGGGGAACATCACACACCGGGGCCTGCCGGGGGGTGGGAGGTTAGGGGAAGGATAGCATTAGGAAAAACACCTAATGTAGATGATGGGTTGACAGGTGCAGGAAACCACCATGGCATGTGTGTACCTATGTAACAAGCCTGCAGGTTCTGCATATGTATCCCAGAACTTAAAGTATAATAAAAGAAAAAAAAAGATACATGCACACATATGTTCCTTGCAGCACTATTTACAGTAGGAAAGTCATGGAATCAACCTAAATGCCCATCAACAATAGACTGGATAAAGAAAATGTGGTACATGCAATACTATGTTGCCATAAAAAGGAATGAGATCACATCCTTTGCAAGGACATGGATGGAGTTGGAAGCCACTATTCCCAGCAAACTAATGCAGGAACAGAAAACCAAACACCACATGTTCTCACTTATAAGTAGGAACTGATTAATGAGAACACATGGACACAGGGAGGAGAATAACACACACTGGGGCTTGTTGGGGGTTGGTGATGGTAAGGGTAGAGAGAGCATAAGAAAGAATAGCTGATGGATACTGGGCTTAATACCTGGGTGATGGGTTGATCTGTGCAGTAAACCACCATGGCACATGTTTGCCTATGTAACAAACCTGCACATCCTGCACATGTACCCCGGAACTTAAAATAAAAGTTGAGAAAAAGAAAAGGAAATTCAAGCTGAAAAAAAAATGTCTAGGGAAAGCAAAACAGCCAACTAAGGTAGTAAATGCCTCAGCAAAGCTTGATAATAGTAATACGAAAAATCTTGCATGTGTAATTTCATTTCATAAACCCCATCAGTAATGGCATGAATAAAGATTTCTTACCTGGAAAGAAAAAAAAAGACCTAGCCCAAGAATCATCACCTCTCTCACACTTTCCTATTCACTCCCAAGAAAAATTAATTATACCCTGTTCTAAGTCTTATTCTACCTTATAACTTTAAAACATCATTGTAATTAACACACTGTATTGTCACTATTTATCTACATCTCTGCCTTCTCCGCTAGGCTCTGAGCTCCTAGAAATCAAAGCCCATAACCTGTTCATCTTTTTCTTTATTGTAAATAAAACAATTCTCTGCTAATGGTAGGTATTAAATAATATTTATTGAATGAACAAATGAATGAATGAGTGAATGGAATTAGCATTCATCTAGTCTTTCAAGACAGAAATATGAATCTTAGATTCCTCTCTGCTATTCAGTTGCCACAGTAATAAAGTTCTACAGATTCCACCACTGTAGTATTTGTTTTAATAGTTTATTCCTCTCCTTCCCCATTGCAAACACATAAATTTGCTTCCACAGACTAGTGCCACCTTAACACCTTCTATGATACCACACAGTCTTCAGCAAAAAGGCTCAACACTCTATGATGCTACACAAAGCCGTTTCCACTCTGTCTACATGTTTCTAGGCCTCAGTTCTTATCATCACTACAAATACAGCCTAGAATACACCCACATGGAACTGCTCAGGCCTCCAAAATGGGTCATTACCTCTATCTTACCTCTGTGTTTTTGGATATATTTCTTCTTCCCTTCTTAGATATTTTTTCTTCTTCTCTGCCTAAATAGGTTCTACCTGCCATTAAAAAAAAAAAATCAGCTCAACTGTTTAGAGTCCCTGGAAAGGCTCAGCAAATTATCATCCTTCTGGCTTGGGCTAGGAGCATGGTCGTCTTCTGGCTTCCTATAACTCCCAGTGCGTCCTTCTAGGCTCAGGCCATTGCATCACTGATTTAT
Organism: Homo sapiens; assembly: GCF_000001405.40. Classification (NCBI taxonomy): domain Eukaryota; kingdom Metazoa; phylum Chordata; class Mammalia; order Primates; family Hominidae; genus Homo; species Homo sapiens. Next base: position 82,583,383 of record NC_000011.10, read on the forward strand.
CTGTCTGTCTTTCCCAGAAGACTAAGGAATTTTCCAAAGAAGAGATTCTAGAAGAGGTATACTAACACCTAGTATAAGCACACTGCATGTGATTCAACAACTCTATCAGTTGTATTGGTAATGTAACTTAAGACTTATCTTACATCAGTTTTTTAAAATTGTATTTAGTTTGAAGGATGTAAATATAGTTTTTCTTAATATTACCTGGAAAACATTTTAATGAAGGATACTTACATTGTAATGAAAGATGAAATTTGAGAATTAAAAATCAAGAGACATTTTATCATGAAAACATCTTGCAAGGGGATTTTTGCAGAATATACCTACAGAACTGAAGGCCTTTCATAATCAAAACACAGTGCCAGACACAGGGGATCCAAAGATTATTTCTACCCTCAAGCAGTTGGCAGCTGAGTTTAATAATTAATTAAGAAATGAAATCATCAGTATTAATCAATAGTGTTTAGGCACAAACATGATCAGTAGCAATTTTGCACTGCGACACAGAAGTTCAAACTCATGTGTTCTCCCTGCTTTTTTTCTAATTGTGAATTTTGCTTGATTAAAAAGATGACTCTGTAAGAGTCTTCAATTCACTTATTCATTCATTTAATAAATATTTCCTGACCATGTTCTACATAAGGCGCTTTGCCAAGCACAGATGGTATAAAAGAGAAATAAGACAAATACTTTTCCTTGGAGGCACTTTTAAGGAGAACAGATAAATATAATAAATGTGGTAAGCCTAAAAACAACATTAACTCTCCATGAAAATTATGAAAAGCTTCTCAGCTTCTCAGCATAACATTTAACTTGAGTTTTGAGGAAGAAGTTAGAGTTTACCAGAAATGTTATTATTAGAGGAAAGGATAGTGTTTAACATGGAATTTGTTTTTACTGTGCACACTAATCAATATAAGCCTCTAGCCATGCATGCACAATTAACAACCAATTAAAGTGACAACTTTAGGGTGTTCTGGCATTTTCCTGAGTAGTATCTCTCAGATTATTTTCCCAGGCACTTGGATTTCTTTTAGTTTTCTTTTTTTTTTTAGTTGACAAATAATAATTGTATATATTTATAGGGAACAATGTGATGTTTTGATATATGTATACATTGTATGAAGATTAAATGAAGTTAATTAACATCCATAACCTCACCTACTTGCCTTTTTAATTTATTTTAATTGACAAAAATCATATATATTTATCACGTATGTTTTGAAATATGTATACATAGAGGAAAGGCTAAATCGAGCTAATTAATGTGTGCGTTACCTATTTTCAGGAATACAATATGTTATTAACTATATTCACCATGTTGTGCAATAGATCTCTTAAACTGATTCCTTTGATTTAACTGAAATTTTGTATGCTTTAACCGACATCTCCTCAACCACCCTCTCATTCCCCCAGTAACCACCATTCTACTCTCTACTTCTATGAGTTCAAATTTTTTAGATTTCACACACAAGCAAAATCATGCAGCATTTGTCATTCTGTAAGGCACTTGAATTTAAAGAAAAGTTCTCTCAATATAGACTCCTCAGGAGTGCTAAATGACAAATTATTCATTTTCTCTATTTTACATATATTAACTAAAGGATTTTTAACAAACCATTTATAAGTACATGTGTAGAAAACACTCAACAAACTATATTTTTCTATGCCATAAAGTCTTTGACTTGAGAACAATTCTACTGTCGCCAGATTTTGCAAACATGGGCTTTCCAATGCCTTTAAAACATTCATGAAGGAGAAAAAGTTTTGCAACACTTTCAAAAAGTAGAAGACGTTTTGGTGAAGAGTTGGTCAATGCATTTTAAATTCCTAGCTAGGATGAAGGAGGAAGACTCATGTAATATACCAATTTTGGTTATTTTTTTCTTCTTAAATTTGATTTTTCTAATTATAAATATAGCAGTCACATTGTGGAAAATTGGGAAAATACAGAAAAATAATGATCATAATGGCTGTAATTTACTGAACACTTTCCCTGTGCCCAGCATTATGCTTTACATACATTATCTCATATAATATTCATCACCACCCAGTTAGATGTGTATTATAATTATCTTCATTTTTACAGAAAAGGAAAAAGGACTTAAAGTGACGTACAGACACCAGTGAAGGATGGAGCATCTTAATGGCAGAACTGATCAAGTTGAAGAAATAACCAGTAAGCTCAAAAACATTACTAAAAAATACACAGAGGAGAAAAAAGAAAATGAAAAGGAGCAAAGGACACTTTCTTCCTTGGTACAGCTTCAAAAGAGCAAATGAAAGAGTTATTGGCCTTCAAGAGAGAGTAAAGAAAGAGAGAGGAATACAAAGGCTATTCAAAGAAATAACAGACCACTTTCGAAACATAGAGAAAGACATAAATATCCAGGTACAAGAAGGTCAAAGATCACCAAGAAGATTTAACCCAAGTGAGACTACCTTAAGGCATATAATAACCAAAATCTCAAAGGTGAAGGGCAAAGAGAGTGTCTAAAAACAGCAAGAGAAAAGAAGCAAATAACATATAAAGCAGCTCCAATACATCTAGCTGCAGACTTCTCATTGGAAACCTTATAGGACAGAAGGGAGTGGGATGACATATTCAAAGTGCTGAAGAAAAAACTGTTCACCAGGAATACTGTGTACAACAAATCTATCCTTTAATAATGAAAGAGAAATACAGACAAATAAAAGCTGAGACATTTATCACCATTTTATAAAATGGGTCACCAGACCCATCTTACGAGAAATGCTGAAGGGAGTTCTTCCATCTGAAAGAAAAGGATGTTCACATGCAACAAGAAAACTTCTGAAGATACAAAACTCACTGATTAAAGTATATAGTATAAAGTATATAGACAAATTCAGAATACTCTAATACTGTAAGTGTGGTGTGCAAACTGCTTATATCTTTAGTATGCAGACTAGAAGACAAAACTATTTAAAATAATAATAACTACAACAATTTGTTGAGATAGGCAATATAAAAATATATAAATTGAGACATCCAAAAGTAAAAATGTAGGGAATCTGGAGTTAAAGTGTAGGGTTTTTTAGAGTTTGTTTCTTTCTTTTATTCTTTGTGGTCAAAGTTAAGTTGTCCTTGGTTTAAAATAACTTGTAACTATAAAAAGTTTTTGTAAGCTTCATGAGACAACAGAGAAGGGTAACACAAGATTTCGAACAGAATGTCTGATTCCAAAGACTTCAAACTTAATCATCTTCCACAAGGCTACCACCACTCCATCTAATTGCATATTTTCTTTCTTTGCTTAATCAATTTATTAGCTTAATCGTTTAAATGTTTCACTGTGAATTTGTGCTAGGCACTATACTAGGTGCTGGGGAATACAGGGTTAAGTAAAACGACCCAGTCTCTGCCATCCCATCTGCATTCTAATGGAAATAGTAGATGTTGCACAACTAATTACGAATGTGATGAGTATAACAAAGGAAAAGTGTGAAGTGGTTTGGGAGCTTATAATAAAGGGGCCAAATCTAATCTGGTGGATTACAGGCTTCCCCAAGCCACCTATCTATGCATTGTTTACACATAATTAAGTCACACTGTTTTTGTAATTTTATATGTTGCTTTGGTCATATAACTCTATATCCTGAGCATTTACTGAGTAATTAAATGTTATTTGTTTCAACTGCCTACATAATATTTAGACATGGGAATGCATTCATTTATTTCACCATTTTATATTATTAGATATTTTACTACTTTCCCATTTTTCTTTATTATAGTCAACAATACAGTCAATATTATTGTGCATAAATCTCTTTATATATGTTAAATAATTTTTCATGGGGAAAGTATCCCCAAATTTGAAGGTTTCGGATACTTAGAGTATTGTAGAATTTTAAATGTACATTTGCTAAATGGATGAATGTATAAATGAATGGGGAAAAAAAGCATATTATCACCATTTCAATTTGAAAGAGATTTGTGGCCATTCTGAGGAAGGGAAATGTATCTCTATATAGTTCTTGTTATGACTCAAGTCCGAAGTGTCATTATTGACAGCAAAAAATTAAAAAGCGTTGGCACCTTCACCAATTACACTTCTATGTGTAGTTTTGTACAGAATCACATTTCATTATTAGCATAAAACAAGACCGTCTTCCTCAATGCCTACCACCAAAACTCTGAGTGCCACCCAGTCACCAATAGGGGATTCTACTTGTGAATTTCATGCATGCTGTCTGTTATCCCCACTAAGGGATAAGAGCTCTGGAGACCAGCTATGTGACCATGTACACTTTTCTTAACTCCTTAGGTTCTAACTTCCTTATTTAGAAAATTAGGAATAAAATCTCTGGCTTTGTGACTATTAAGAATATTAAAAGATAAAAGAGGGATGATATACATGTGCTGCACACCAACAGTGTATGAACTGTGTAAGGGCCTTCATTATATATAATGCCTACCAGTGGTGACTCAAGTAGCATTCAGACTATTTGTTAAGAAAGAAAAAATGTGGGGAGAAGGGATCAGGGAATAAGTGGATGATAGCTAAAGAAAATAGGTCTTCTTTTTGAGGTGATAAGAATGTTATGAAATTGACTATGGTGATGGTTCCACATATCTACGAATACACTAAAAACCTAGTAATTGTGCGGTTTACATGAGTAAATTTGATGGTATATGAAATACATCTCAATAAAGCTATTTTGTAAAAGTAAGTTATTAAGCAGCAATATAGCCCTAGTCAGACAGATTCTGGCCTAAGAAAAACTATGTTTTAATTAAATTGATAATGTTTATTAAGCGTGTGCTGTGTGTCAGGAACTATACTAGATGGCAAGAAGATGGTGACAGATAAGCCAAACAAATCAATGCCCTAAGGGAGCTTAAAAAGGGAGTATATATATGAATATATAATATTCAGGCATGATGATAAGTACTATAAAAATAAAGAAAAAGATTAAAGACTATTTTAAGGAAGGTGATTTGGGAAGATAGCTCTTCAGAGCTACCATGTAAACAGAAAACTGAATTAAATAAAAAAGCAGTTGAGGCAAAGGAAGTGGAAAATATATTGGGCCTGGGATTTTAAAATGAGCATGGCTCATTCAAGAAATAAAAATGCTGGCCGGGCGTGGTGGCTCACGCCTGTAATCCCAGCACTTTGGGAGGCCGAGGTGGGCAGATCAGGAGGTCAGGAAATCAAGACCATGCTGGCTAACACGGTGAAACCCCGTCTCTATTAAAAATACAAAAAATGAGCAGTCGTGAGGACGGGCGCCTGTAGTCCCAGCTACTCGGGAGGCTGAGGAAGGAGAATGGCGTGAACCAGCAAGGCGGAGTTCGCAGTGAGCCGAGATCGCGCCATTGCACTCCAGCCTCGGCGACAGAGCAAGACTCCGTCTCAAAAAAAAAAAAAAAAACAAAAAAAAAAACAGAAAAAATAAATAATGCTGATGTGACTGGAGCATATTGAGTCAATCATCTCCAAGTTTGTGCCTCTGCCAGACTCAATACTTGCTTCTTAAATATATTCCCATTTATAATCTAAATTCTTTGCCTATGGCACAATTTCACCAAAAATAATTTAGAATCACAGTACCACTTAGGAGAATTTTTGATATAACCAGGATTCTCCATCTTGGAGGTTTTATTTTTATTATTATTTATTTATTTATTTATTTATTTATTTATTTATTTATTTAGAGACGGAGTCTCCCTTGTTGCCAGGCTGGAGTGCAGCGGGGCGATCTCGGCTCACTGCAACCTCCGCCTCCCGGGTTGAAGCGATTCTCCCGCCTGAGCCTCCCGAGTAGCTGGGACTACAGGCACATGCCACCACGCCCAGCTAATTTTTGTATTTTTAGTAGAGACGGGGTTTCACCATGTTGGCCAGGATGGTCTCGATCTCTTGACCTCATGATACGCACATCTTGGAGACATCTTAGAGCAAAAGGCAGCAAAATCTCTAATGATTAATGGTCTTCCTTTTTCTATTGGAATAAAGAAATCTCTAAACAAAATTCTTCACTGAAGTTTATTATTATGTTCATGAAAAACCTCTTTGCCCAAAGCTAATAAAATTTGTGAACATTTCAGAAAATTTCACTTTTGAATCATCAAAAACTTGTTTCTCTTGTCATTGCCTATACCCAACAGTACCATTTCTTACTTTTAATCCTTTTCTAAAGCGAGAAGGATTATCTTTCAGATCCTCTTCCCTTTTCCTCCAATTCCCCTAGTCTTAAACCATCTTTCCCCCAACTGATTTCATCCTAAAAGTCACAGTTCCATTAAAGACAAGATTACTACCCACCTGAGCAACATAGCAAGACCCTGTTTCTACAAAAAATAAAAATAATTAACTAGGCATGGTGGTGTGCATCTGTAGTCCCAGCTACTTGAGAGAAGAAACAGGAGGGTCATTTGTGCCCAGGAATTGGAGGCTGTAGTGAGCTATGACTGTGCTACTGTGCTCCAGCCTGGGCAACAGAATCAGACCCTGTCTCTAAATAATGATAACAATAATGTCACCAAAACAGGAATAAATACCTAGAAAGCAGGTTTTAAACTCTACCCTCAGTCTTATTTATAGGCAATCACCACATATTTTCCCAAATCCTCAGAGGAAAGAAACATTTACTGAAGAACTTTAATAATATTGGGAACTCACCATCCCAGCCTCCCTGATCTGTATATAATATATATATATATAATATATATAATAACTAATATTTTTCTTAGTATACCTATTCAATATTCAATGCTAAGTCAGGCACACACACACACACACACACCACACACCCCTTACTGGAAATACTTTTAAATGTGAAGTTATTCTTGATATCTAGCAAAGAGAACAGGGATGGAGAAAAAGCACAAAATGTGAGACAGCCCTTACCTAGGATTATCCTTGCTGTAACTCCAGCAAAGAATGAGTAGATAATAATGCAGTCTTGCAAGCAAAGAAAGGGCAAACTCAACAGAGGTTTTAGAAATCACCTTTTCAATAACTTCAGTCAATATTCAGGTAGGTCCACAGGCCAGTGTTTCTGGAGGACTATCATTATTTTGTTTAAATTTTTTAAATTATTTTTATTGATATGTAACTGGTGAACATATTTTCAAGGTTCAAGTAATAATTTGATATATTCATATAATGTGTAAAGGTCAAATCAGGATAATTAGGATTTCCATCACCTTAAATATTTATCTTTAATTTAGAAACATTCAAATTATTTTTTCTAGCTATTTTAAAATGTACAATGGGTTATTGTTAACTATAGTCACCCTACTTATCTACAGATCACTAGGATCACTAGGTCTTAGTTCTTCTAACTTTATATTGCAGCCATTAATCGACCTCTTTTCATAACCCCCACTCCCACCACTATCCTCATTTTTTATGAATGGTCTTAAGCCAGAAATATAGGACTTGGTGTATAAACAAATACTAAATAGAAAATAATTCTAACAGACCTTTAGCAGTTGCCCAAACCTATTGAGAGGATCTTAGAGCAAAATAGAATATGGCCCAAAACAGGTTAATGGCTGTGCAAAATAAAGTAAGTGAATGGCTCCACACCATCTTGGATGCTCCCAAACGGTGAGCCCATATGCAGATAGAATCATAGACTTTTGGGATTGTTCATGATTTGTGGTGCTTTGAAAAGAGTAATTGTTTCTTTTTTATATATATTTTTATAGATTTAGGGACTACAAGTATAGTTTTGCTACAGGGATATATTGCATAGTGGTGAAGTCTGGGCTTTTAGTTTTACCATCGCCCAAATAGTGTACAATGTACCTGTTAAGTAATTTATCATACCTTACACCCCTCCCACCCTCCCACCATTCTGAATCACCAGTGTCTATCATTCTACTCTTTATGTCCATGTGTACACATTATTTAGCTTCTACTTATAAGTGAGAGCATGTGGTATTCAATTTTCTGAGTTATTTTACTTCAGATAATAGCTTCCAGTTCCCTCTATGTTGTTGAAAATACATTATTTTATTTTTTTTGGCTAAGTAGTATTCCATGGTGTGTGTGTGTGTGTGTGCGCGCACGTGCGCAACACACTATATTTTCCTTATCCAGTTATCCATTGGTAGGCACTTAAGTTGATTCTATATCTGGGCTACTGTGAATAGTGCTGTGATAAACATACAAGTACAGGTATCTTTTTGATATAATGATGTCTAGAAAAGAGTAATTGTTTCTAAATAGAAAATGGAAACTTACCAAAACTGTTTAAGTAGTCAAGGAACTTCTAGATGTCCTAATGCTGACAAAGAAAGTAGCTACTCTAAAAGCAATAATGCTTTTATATATAAATGTTCTGGAGGCTAAAGGACACAATCTAGCCCATTATTATGCCAAGGAAATCGTCCTTATAAAGGTACTGACTTGTGATACTCCCCCAAATATGTGGATTTGGGAAGTGTTCAAATAAGCCATCATGGAAGGTCAAAATTCAGCCCCAACATCAAAAAACAAATACTGAAAACTATATAACTTGTATGCTAAGATCCTGCATGAAATAAACATCACAGCAAGAACAAACTGGCCACCATTATAAACCAGCACCGTTAGGGGAATTTGGGAAAAGTCATCAGGATTTCTCGACTACATGTCTTACCTGCCAAAACATAATCCTGGCAAAATTGTAAGGGTGAGCCATAAATGGAGAAAAACTTCAGGTGTATTTGACCCTCGAGATGGAATTTTACTTTCTTATTCTCATTATTTATCCTTGTTTTCGGGGTTGTTAAAGCTTTTCCCTGCCAAAGAACAACAACTTCAAAATCATCGCAATGCTGTTTAATGTTGTGTTTCTTACTTGACGAATCTCTACTACCTTTCTGGTAATAACTGTGCTCATTATACTGGGACAGTCATCAAAGAGCTTTGCAAGCCATTACCCTCACTTGAGACATTATATCTACTTTTCAGGTAAAATAAAAAGGGCCAATGAAATTCTCAAATTAAAGTTAGCCAGACTTTGAGAAATACTTGAACTTTATTAGCCAAGGTCCTGTCCCTAGCCTAAAGAAAATAATATCAACACTCTTTAAAGTTCATCAATCTCTTTTTTTGTCATTTAACAACAAGCCACCATGCATCTAACAATATAACTTACAGTCTTAGACTTTGTCCTAATGCAAGTAAATATGGTCAAAATACAATAAGGGACTCATGCAGTACACTCAATCTTATCAACAGACATGGGCAGCCCTCCTGAGAGTTCATTTAGAAATCCTTGCACAATCTAAAACCTAAAAAATTGGCCTGCTGAAAGAGATATCACAGAAAGATATCCTTTGAATGCAGTGGAAAGGGATTTATATCAGTTAACAATTAGCAAATCATTAAAATTCCAGGTGTAGATCTTTAGATTCATGCCTCACTGTTTAAAAGTTACAAGTGATCCTCAGAACACAGGTAGACCATTCCAGCTATAGATCTCAGGCTAAGAATTCTTAAGAATTGATGATCTTCAGAAGGAGAATGCTAACCTAAGATATTCAGCTCAAGCAAACCGCAACATAACGGAGATAGCCACCACCCAAGATCTTTAGAACTAGATCATCCAGCTGCCCAGAAGCACAGAGTAACATACTATCATTTGTTTAGCACCCTTGCTTTAATGTTTGCCTACTTCTTGCCACTTTGCTGATTTTCACTCATACATTGCTGATAAAAGAGCACTGCATCATAACCAGGTTGAAGAGATTATCTTTAACCATACTCATACCCACTTTGTTCTAAATAGAATTATCCAACGCTATTGTAAGATTTTTACAGACTTTGGCTATAGCCCTAAATGATACTGACTCAAGTTTGCCATACACCACCCAGCACTTCAGATAAAAATCTAATCATCATTTACCTAAACTTCCAGGGAGTCATTCCACTACACTGTTCTAGTACCTGAAATATAACCACAGTATTAACTATAACATCCAGTCATATAAAAATTGAACTTGACTGTGTAACAGCAAAATATTTCTATAAAAACGATTATAGTGTTGTCAATAGAAATCAGAAACACATTAAGAACAAGTATTGAGGCTACATTTTCTGTACTAGGTCACTTGTTCTCCTCAGAGATTCTCCAATATCCTTATAGCAGTTATTCAACTCCAGTTAGAGAAATTTTTTTCCCAAAGGAAAGAAGATAACTGGCATACTTCTATTATGATAAACATCTACTCCCCAACAAAATTTGTGTTCCAATGGATTACTATCTTTCATGTTGACAACAAGTCCTCACTTGTTTAATATAAATAAATTTTACTTGTATATATTGAGTAATTGATAGAGACTTTCAAGTATTCGTGATCTTTTTACCTCTGTGCTTCGTATTTCATTGAAGTGCATTCCCAAGAATTTCTGCAGCCACTATAGGCTACTCTGGAGAATTGCTCATAGTAATCACTGATTCACTTTTTCTATATGCCATCAATAATTTCTACAACGAAGGTTTTGCAAATTGAAAAAGTAGTCAGAAATTTGTTATTAAAGTTAGCCAAAGTTATAAATTATATTCTTCCAGTGCTTAAGCCTTAGCAGACAGGTCTAAACTCTTCAGCCCAAGTAAAATAAACAATTAAATAGCTTTCATTTTCTATTTGTTAGCCATGGCACTACCTGTGCCATTTCTAATATTTCATGTTGAATTTGGATGAACACAATTCTTCAAGTAGAATAATTTATCTCCAAACTGAAGGTCATGGCCACCTGCTTCTTCCAGGTAGACCAAAAGGGACTCTAAGGCATGCTTTTCTTCTGAGTTTGGCATGTGAGGGCCATGGCTTTAAAGCATTCAGGCTCTTATTCTTCATGAGTGTTACAGGTAGCAATTGTTGTTTCTCCTGAGTCTTACATAATGCTGCACAGTCACTGTTATGTCAGGTGATCCAACCACTCATCATTTGACAAGAGAAGCAAGAAGGCCAGATCCAGGTCTGACTCCAAACATTTTTTTACTGGGATGAATATGTCACCTAGTGAATAAGACAGTGGTGTAGATCTGCAATGAGACTGATTTTGTGGCTGACCTTTTGGCCTAGACAGGGGATTATCTAAAGTCAGAATTCTGAAAATCTGTAAAACGAACCTCATCAGTTATGTAATACTGAGAACCAGAAAAACTATCCCATCAATTATTCAACTATGCTTTATTCAGAACCTTATGTCACTTAGATTGGCCCTAAACTTAAAATTTCAAAAAATCCAAAGACCTCCCCACTCCTTCTGATATCCTGGCCTAAGAATTCCCAATTCCAACACATAAGTAATAAAAAGCACACACTCATTTTCTTAAACATGTTATTTAAGATTGTATGTGTGGTACTCTCACTTACTATGTAGTAAGTCAATAAAACTTAGTTTGTCTATAAAGGTAAAGCATCCCTAATCTGAAAATCCAAAATCCAAAATGCTCCGAAATCTGAAGCTTTTTGAGCAGCAACATGACACCACATGTGGAAAATCCCACATGAAAGTACTTAACACAAACTTTGTTTCATGCACAAAATTATTAAAAATATTGTATAAATTACCCTCAGGCCACATGCATAAGGTGCATATGAAACATAAATGAATTTTGTGGTTAGACTTCGGTCCTATCCTCAAGATATCTTACTATGTATATGCAATTATTCTAAAAATTGAAAAAATCTGGAATCCAAAACACTTCTCATCCCAAGTATTTCAAATAAGGGATACTCGACCTGTATTATAACAGGTATTTTTATTTGAGAATAAAAATGTACCACAAATAGGCAACAGAGGCAACTAGTAGACAAGTGGAGGATTTGTTGACATAGTGTAGAATCACTTCTTCGAAGATAAAAGGAAAGAAGGTAGATTGTACAGCCCAGACACACTGCCATATCATTTCTATGATTAGCCTCAAGAAGATTGGTACATGCCCCATGCCAGATCAGCCTTCCCCTTCACTGCTGTGATATGGTATTGACTCATCTGGCCTAAACTTAGCTAGTATGGAATAAAATCAAATGGTAGTTATATAGACATGTGGATCAAAGTAGATGGGATAAAGAATAGGTCTATAGTGAGCCTTGATATTCTAAGAAAACTACCTGGTTCAAAATAATAGGAGACAAGTAAATGAGTGACACACATATTTTTATTTAGATGTAATAGCAAAATCACTGACTTTACCAAGTGATTGGAGAGCTTATCTCATAGGATAAATAAGTGAGATTAACCCAAAAACTATTTGATGTAGATTAGTAATAAGTAATCAGCACATAAGTTAATTTTTTCAAAATAGCCTAAAAAAAATCTCTATTATTTACCTTATAAGGAAGGCAACATAAATAAATGAAGAAATTAAAGACTATTCAATAAGTAGTACCAAGACAACCAATTTAAAGCCTAATGAAGTTAGATCTTTATCTATTACCATATGCCAAAATAAATTCTTGGTGGATTAAAAGGTCAAATGTAAAATAAGAAATTATTTGGCCGGGCGCGGTGGCTCACGCCTGTAATCCCAGCACTTTGGGAGGCCGAGGCGGGCGGATCACGAGGTCAGGAGATCGAGACCATCCCAGCTAAAACGGTGAAACCCCGTCTCTACTAAAAATACAAAAAATTAGCCGGGCGTAGTGGCGGGCGCCTGTAGTCCCAGCTACTTGGGAGGCTGAGGCAGGAGAATGGCGTGAACCCGGGAGGCGGAGCTTGCAGTGAGCCGAGATCCCGCCACTGCACTCCAGCCTGGGCGACAGAGCGAGACTCCGTCTCAAAAAAAAAAAAAAAAAAAAAAAAAAGAAATTATTTTAAATTGTAAAACATAAAATTTAAAATCTATTTGAATTGATTTTTAAAAGAACATTAAAGCATTAAGAAAAGGAAGAAACCACAATGTTAATGAACAATAGATAGTATTAACCACACACACATTTTTAGACTTTTAACATCACAAATTGTAACAAACCAAAATAAGAGGCAAACAATAAACTAAGAAAATACATATGAATATGTATAACCTTGGAACACAAAAGTTTATACAACTTAACATGAAACTGAAACTCCAATAGTTATGAACATAGAATATAGACAAATAATTCACACAAAATAAAAAATTTAAAAGGAATAAAAATGACCTAATAATTAAATGAAAGTATGTCATTATTCCTAGTCATCATGGAAATGCAAGTTAATTATAAACTTAACATCCTCTGAAAAGCATTTTAACTGATAATACTCAAGACTGCGGTGAAACAACACTAATATCTGTTACTGGTGGGAGTGTTACCAAACATTTATGGAAATATTCTACAGTGCTACAGAAAGCTTTTAACTCAACTCCTTTTGTATAAATCTATTCCCAAGGAATATTTTTAAAGCCAATATATAACAGTCTTTAGTACAGCATCATTTAAGAGAGCAAAGACTTGAAAACAATGTTAGTAACAGTCATAGGAGAATAGATACATTAGTTATAGAAGATTGAACACCTGTCCTTTGTGTATGCCCAATATTTTTTTAGCACTTTCCTAAATTTTGGCAATTTTTTACACTAGGAATTCTACCTCCTAATGTAGAAATAGGAAAACTAACATTCTTAATATCTCTGTAACTAAGATGCAGACATGTGACTTCACACTCAGGAAGACTTGAAATAGAAAAATGTGTAACAAGAGTAGGCTGCAGTATATAGGGAAATCAATCTTGCAGGAATCTCAGTGACAGAGATACTTAATTCTTCAGCAGTGGCAGTGATGGGATATACAGAAGCAAAAGAACTGGCTGTGAATTAAAAAGTTTAATACAGTTAGGCTTCTCTAAACATCAAATTTCAGATAATCTGATTAAAAACTAGCTGAAAAGAAACCTGAATTGTTTTGAAATGATTATAACCACTTAGCATAAATACAAAAAATGGCCCATTCACTTCTTTTTAATTTCCTAGAATTTTCATAACTCTTACTCAGTCAAATATATTGCTCCCTATATATATTTTGTGCCCATTAATGCATTACTGATGGGTACAAAAACTGGAATATTTCATGAAACACTTTTACCAGAGGACATCTAGCCAACTGAAGAACTTTGACTTAATGTCAGTAATGGGAGAGAGTGGAAGGAAGTCAAATGTTTGAGCACCTACTAATTGGAATTAATAAGCATTGGGCCTATTACCTACATTTTCTCATTGAAGTCTCACAATCACCCAAAAAAGTGGTTACTAATATCTCCATTTAACAAATAAGAAAGCTGAGGGAGGCTAAACAATCCACAAACACTCACTTTCCTAGTGGAAAAGATTTTCTTATTTTATCTTTACAACAACAATTGTACCCATTTTGTAGATGAAAAAGTGGAGCCAAAATCACAAAGGTAGGATATGCTATAGCCAGGATTTCATTCCTGGTTTGGCTGATTCTAAGCAGGGACTTTTAACATTAGTGCTACCTTGTCATCACTTAGTACAACGATACATACATAGTGAACTATCAATTCCTGGTAGTTTTTATTACTATTAAGATTTAAACTAATATCTGTCTGGCTCTAAAGTCAACCTAGGTTAGACTCTACCATACTGCTTCCCAAATTTTACTGAGGTTGGTATATATATATGCATATACTCAGAAATAAAAAATATTCAGTGGATTTGATGCCCCCTGGGTATTGGCACAGCTTCAGTTCTAGATTGAAGTCATATTTACTCAAGATTACATTGAAATTACACAGGAATGGCAAAATGATACATTGCAAAGGATCTACTCTAAAATACTCTTCACCCTCCATGCTAAGTGAAATGCAAATGATTTGTAGCTGATAATTTATTATTAATTTAACTTACCAATATTTTATAAATATGTATTGAATAATCCTAAGCCAACAGTTTGCTATAAATAAAAAGATGATTGATATTCAACAAGCCACACAATTGATTTTTGATCTCCTGCCTCAAACACAATGTTACAATTAGGCTTCTCCAAACATCAGATTTCACATAATCTGATTACGTGATAAATTGATTTGAATTGACGTTCAATTTCAGTTTTATGAAGTTCCACAATAAGGCACGCAGGATAGACACCTGATTGAATAGCCCACACTTCAGTCTACTGAGAGCCAGGCACGCCTGGAAGTGTCCTAAAAAAAGCCTCCATTGACACCACTTGAGAGGCAGTAAAGCATGATGGTGATGAACCTGGAGCTAGACTACTTGAGTTCAAATCTCAGTTTCATAACATTTATTAGCTGAGTGACCTTGGACAAGTTACATAACCTCTCATCTTTAAGATAGGGTAATAATACCTTCTGCACAGGTTTATGAGGCTTGAAGAGCTAAAATTTCTTTTTTTTTAATTATTATTATTATTATTATTATTATTATTATTATTATTTTGAGACAGAGTTTCGCTCTTGCCCAGGCTGGAGTGCAATGGCGTGCTCTCGGCTCACCACAACCTCTGCCTCTCAGGTTCAAGCCTCCTGCCTCAGCCTCCTGAGTAGCTGGGATTACAGGCATGCACCACCATGCCCAGCTAACTTTTTTGTATTTTTAGTAGAGACGGAGTTTCTCTGTGTTGGTCAGGCTGGTCTCGAACTCCTGACCTCAGGTGATCTGCCTGCCTCGGCCTCCCAAAGTTCTGGGATTACAGGCGTGAGCCACTGTGCCCAGTCTTGAAGAGCTAAAATTTCTAAAGCACTCAGAAAAGAGGCTTGTAGAAAACACTATGCAAATACTACATAATACAGCTATCATTTGCCATCAAAGGACTTTGGGAGAGTGGAATTTGTACTGTTGCACATACACACATGTATTATTATTTAAGAATGTTATTAAGTTAGAATGTGTGTTAGAATGTTTATTTTAATTGCTATGAACCTTGATGCACAGAAATATTAATTTTTACAGCTGCTGGGAGTGGCAATTGCTGGCAAGCAGATTAGAGCAGTGGAGAAAGTACAAGCAAACATGGGTTTGAATTTCCATTCTACTGAAAAATTTTATGTGGCCTCATGCAAATTATTTAACCTCCCTAAGTCTCATTTTTCCCATATTTAAAACATGAATGATAATACCTAAGGTTTCAAGTAATGAGTATTAGAGAAAATGTACTCAAACCAATTAACCTAACACAAAGTGTGCATTCAATAAATGTTGATTTTCTTCATAATGAATTCATTGATTAAACATCTGTTCAGTGTTTTTGATATGCCAGATGCTGGAAATAGAAAAATAAACAAAACTGTACTCTGCCCTAAGAAGGTTACAGTGTATTGAGAAAGAAAGCTGGTCTAGTATGCACTATGATAGAGGTACGAGCATGATGTTATGGAATCACAGTTCAAAAGCACCAAAACTAGCCATGGATTCACTTACTTCACTCATTGTATCCTCACATTACCCATTATATAGATGAGTAACCAAGACTTAAAGGTGAACTAGCTTGTTCAAGGTGACAAAGCTTTGAAATAAAAAAGCACGACTTGAAATCCTGGTCTTCTAACTTCAGGTTCAAGTCTTTTTCCACCGTGCAAAACTACCTGCAACTTTGCTACATCCCTTGCTTTGGGTAGAAAAATCAATGTTACATCTCATGGTTAGAATAGGATAAATGGGTAGGAAATAGTGAAGAAGTAAAAGAACTTGCTAAAATCACTGCAAAAGCCTCACAGCTGGTAGCAATCATGTTACACATCTCTACCCACACTAGACTGTGAATTTCTTGGGGAACAAAAAAAATGCCTAGCTTATATTGTATCCTTAATGTGTATTACAGAGGCTGGCACAATAATTTATCTACTTACACCCTGTCATATTTCTGGATAGGATTTCATACTTACAAGGTACCAGAATGTGACAAAGTAAAATAACTTAAAAGTAGAGTGAAAAAGGAAAAAGAAACAAAGCTGGGGATAGCATTTCAAAAAAACCTGACCACAACATGCTGGTGAGCCACACATTTTGCTCTAGGCTATCCAAAATTAAATAAGGAAATCTTATATAACTCAAGATTTCCAGGAAATTTACAGCTATTTTAGTACTAAGCTCAGATAAAACTTTCTTTGGCAAACGGAAGGGTGGAAATTGTCTTTAAAAAATACTCTTTGTGTTATAGAGATTTACATGGTAAACATCTTACAACAGACACACAAATTGTAAGGTGTTTGTTTACAGAGTTCACCAACCTAGGCTGATGGCAAAACTCTCAAGTATACTTCAATAAAAGCAATTCTTCAGGGAATTAATATTGTGCCACCTAGTTACATAGTTCTCTGTTAAACCGGTTTGATATAGAGATAGATTTTATGATATCTAGATGTAATACAGTTTTTCAGGACTGAATTTGTTATGCATGTCCCACAGTAGGTCTTCAAAAAATATTGGATGGCTGGATGGGTGGATGGATGAATGACAAATACCAAACTTAGGTTAATGTGAAATTGTAATTCAGAAGTGTCTCTGCTTGAGACCATTTTTCCTGAACTTGAACTGCCAGAAATTTCTGCTTAAGAAGAGCTCTCTCTACTCCCAAATTTCTGGACTTTTCAGTATCCCCATGGCCTTCACAAAACAGACTCTGCCATTCTCTTGGGGCTGTCTTGCCTGCAACTTTTTCTCTTATTTCTGTGTGTGTGTTTGTGTGTGTGTGTGTGTGTGTGTGTGTGTGTGTTGTATATTATGTTATTTATATATTTTAGATTGCCTGATATTTCTTATGTTTGAATTCCTTTTCAGATCATTTTAGCTTCTTGTCTTAGTCTGCTCAGGCTGCTACAACAAAACATCATAGACCAGCCAGCTTATAAATATAAATTTATTTCCCCTAGTCCTGGAATCTGGAGTCCAAGGTCAAGGCACTCTTACGTTTGGCGTCTAGTGGGGGCCCGCTTCCTCAAAGACAGCTGTCTTCTCCCTGTGACCTCACATGGGAAGGGGCGAGGGATCTCTCTCTCTGGGTTATCTTGTATAAGGGCACCAATAGCCTAACCCTCCAAAGGTTCCATCTCCTAATACCGCCACCTTGGAGTTAGGATTTCAACATATGGATTTAGGGAGGACAGAAATCTCAGTCCATTGCATTTTTCTAATGATGTTACTTCTCTATGGAAGGCTTTTCTGACCTCAGACACCTTGGCAAGATATTCCAGCTCATGCTTCATTTGAATCATGTACTCATCTTTAAAGCTCACTCATTTAGCATTCAGTTTTTTAAGTGTTGTTTATTGGTCTCCCCAGGCAAGGTTATCTTTGCTCACTACTGTATTCAGGCACATAGCAAGTGCCTGGAACATAAATGATAATAAATGACAAATGAATGCCCCTTATCTTTTCTTGCCTTATTCTAACTTAATTACTTTAGACATCACTTTATCTTACTATTTTAAACTTTTTATTCCAACTTTAACTTTGTGTTTATTTTTCAAGTCATTTTATAATTTAAATGTTTATTTTAGCATTCCTAATCCTCATTTAGGCTCTTCAAATTCATCAAACTTGTTTCTACACTAAGGCCTTTGTTCCAGCTGTTTCCACTGCCTGGAAACCCTTCCTTTGATTTTATGTGACTGATTGCGTCTTGTCATTTAGATCTTTGCTTAACCTCTTATTTATAGTAGCATGTTTATTAGTTGGTTAGAATGTTTGTTGTTTTTGCAACTCTTACTATGTTTCCCCATTATGCATTTAATTTCTTTATTGTTTAATGTCTGCTCTTCATACTGGACTATGAGTCCCCTACAGACAGGAAACATCTTTTTGTTCACTAATCACTGCCCAGAAGAGAGCTGGGTATGAAGTTAACATTCAATAAATATTGTTAAAAAGTTGAATTTGTAACCTCCTTGACTGCTTTGTTTTCTACCCCCTGCAGTTTTATCTTTTACATATTTGTTCTTATGTTTTGTTTACTTTCGACAAAAACCTTAAAACTTTTTTAACCTTTGAATTATAGTGAGTTTTTATGTCTTACTGCTTTCATTTTGCTACCATATCAGCCATTCGTTTTTTTCATTGATTCATTTCATTAAATACACATGGTCAATTTTCTTGCCCTTTCATTTTTTTCTCAGGGAATCTTCCTGTAGCTCCTGCTTAATATAAATGGGATCATAATGACCTTCCTTCTGCCTGAGCTACAGTTAATCAAACAAGTGTGGTGGCTGGCTCAAAACTAGCCAATCCATAAACTAGCCAGCAAACTATAATACTTTCCCCATCTTGAGAATCTCAACAGAATCTATAGCTGGTCAAATGGCAGAAGACCATGTAGACTCAGCATTGACAGCCATTTTCTGCCTTGCACATGCTGGTTCCTAAGAAATGTGAGCTCCTCTTAAGAAACAAGCACAGAGACCAGGCATGGTGGCTCATGCCTGTAATTCCAACATTTTGGGAAGCCTAGGCAGGCAGATAATTTGAAGTCAGGAGTTCGAGACCAGCTCTGCCAACATGGTGAAACCCCGTCTCTATTAAAAAATACAAAAATTAGCCGGGTATGGCGGTAGGCACGTGTAATCCCAGCTACTCACGACGCTAAGGCAGGAGAATCGCTTTAACCCAGGAGGTGGAGGTTGCAATGAGATGAGATTGCACCATTGCACTCCAGCCAGGATGACAGAGTGAAACTCTGTCTTGAAAAGAAAAGAAGAGAAGAGAAAAGAAAGAAAAGAAAAGAAAAGAGAAAAGAAAAGAAAAGAAAAGAAAAGAGAAAAGAAAAAAAAGACAGAAAAAAAGAAAAAAAAGAAAAACAGGAGCAGAACAGACATACAAAAAGAAGTTGAGATTAGAAAGCAGGGAGTTCCCCATCTGCCTTTCCACAGTTGACTTCTGTGAGGTTTCCCTGAATCCTTCCAATAATTTCTCTTTTTCTTGATCTACTTTGAGTAGATTTGGGTTTCATGCACCCCAAACTGAGACAGTCACCTTGTTAGAGAACAGAGGGGGCTGTGAAGGAAGCTCTGGCCCAAACGAGTGAGGAAGGGCTCATCCATATCTTTGACTGCCCCAAAACACTTCCTTCCACCTACCACATCTCTCCCCCAGCGGATTCCCTCAATTTCCCTCAGCATTGCTATTCGAAACATCACCCCAAGTTATTCAGGAAACTCTGAGATTATAGCCCCTGTTGATGTGTAAACATCTTAAGGAGAATATGAAATAGAAGCTTGAACTAACATGTACATTAAAGTTTTTATTAATAATTAATTGAAGGTTAGGAGAAAGTGAGAAGCTATATTCCCACTTTATTCAGTTTATTGGAAAGCAAAAGTTTGTTGAGAAAATATGTTAGGCGGAATCTTTATCCCTCTAACAAGAAGAGCTGAAAGACACAGCAAGTCAGTCTCCCAGGCACCAAAGAAGTAATGAATTTCAAAAGTCCATGAATGTTTGTCTGTTCAAAGACATACCTTCTGAAGATTTTTAATTTTTTGGATTTCTTCCCTCAGCACCAAGATTTTCTATTATAGTAAAAGTTTTTTTTCAGTCATACTTATTTAAAATCCATTTCTCCCTGTCACAATATTTTCTATGGGCTTCCTCATTTAAAAACAGAAGGAGGAAGAAGAATAAGAGGAGAAGGAGGAGGGGGAAGAGAGGGAGAAAAGGGAGGAGGAGAAGAAGAAGAAGACAATGACCAAGGGAAGGTTTCAGGAGAGTTACCACATCCTTCCCTGGTATATAACACAATTCTTCCAAATGTAAACTCCAGAACAGCAGAGAACTTGTCTGATTGCATCACCAGCACCTGGAAGAGCATATACATAGCACATCATAGGCTCTCAATACATTTTCACAGTTATCGAATTCAGATTACTATTAACAATGCCAATAAAACAGTTTTCTGA
This sequence comes from Homo sapiens, assembly GCF_000001405.40. Taxonomy (NCBI): domain Eukaryota; kingdom Metazoa; phylum Chordata; class Mammalia; order Primates; family Hominidae; genus Homo; species Homo sapiens. Next base: position 82,604,202 of record NC_000011.10, read on the forward strand.
TCACCAAAGCATAAAAGTAACGAGGAAGCTTTTCAAGGTTTGCAACCAGATAGATCACATAGCTGTTTTCTCAGCTGTTGTAAACAGTAGCAATAAACATGGCTACACAGTTTGTGAACCACAACAACCTTTTCATTTATGTTTATATGAAAGTATCTTGAATTATGCATTGAATTTTTGCCATTGTTTTGGAATTTTTAGTTGTGCTTCTTAGCATTTGAATTTACTATAAAATTTAAATTTTGTGTATTTTCTAAGAAATTTGTGTTCTGAAATATGAAAGAAATGAAATAGTAGAGTCCATTAGGACACACCATCTTAAAGTAGAAAGAAAAAAATGTACAAGCTGATTCTGTGTGATAAAATCATAAGCCCAAAGAATTACAAAATCAGAAGACTGGAGGTCAAGACATCTACTTTAGTCTTCTAGCTTCTAGAGTAAGAGAAAGGATCTACAGATTTGATGATATAAAGATTGAAAATCTCTTATATGTCAATGGAAAATTTTTAAAATATTAAAAGGTAAAATAAAATTGTGGGGAATATTTGCAAGAAATGTTAGTGAAATAACTTTATTATATCTAAGGGCCTTATAAAGCAAAATAAACACAAAGACTATAACAGATTGAATAATTAGAGGACACATATTAATCAAGTTACAAACAATTAAAAGCAATTAATAACTGAATATATAAAATTTTAATAACTCCAATTATAGCAATGTAGTAATTCATTCTTTGTAGCAATAATGAAGTAATATCTTTCGTATCATATGTCTTCATGATTTTACACATTGCTAACTGGTGAGTAATAAAACAGTAACTCTTCCATGTAGTTGGTAGTATTATATACTGCTTCCAACCTTTGGGAAACTGGAAATCAAGAGCTTAAAAATAATTTTATTGACATGCATTAATCATATGTCTAGGAATTCAAAATATAAAAAATGTCAAATCCAAGCAGAAGTTAATCACAGAATTACTTATACTGATTTAAAAAATGGATATAAAGAACTTAATTACTCAGCCCTGGGAAAACAGTGAAGCAAACTCTGATATAAATTTAATGAAGTATTATACAATCATTAAAAAGTTTGGTTTTAAACACTGTTCAAAGTGCACATCAAACATTAGCTGAACAAAGCTAGATATATAAAATATCATGTGGATGTGGATGTTTATTACAATGATCTACAATAAATATACATAAAACTTTTCTGGAATGAAATACACCAAATAATAATAACAACTACAAGAACAAAAACAAGCTAAATGCATAGAGATCCATTCCATTCAAATTAACACAAGTCTATACCCAAAGAGCCAGGAAAATATTCGCCTCTACATACAAATAAGTGAAGTAAACAAATCTATCTTTAAACATTTAAATATTCAAAATATAATGAAATGATGGCTCAGTACTACCACAGGCCACAGAAACTTTCTGTGGTAAAAATAAAGAATGGGAGGGTCCTATGAAGAAGTTGATTTATGCTTTAAAAAAAGTGTAACATAGGTTGTCTTTTAAAAAGTTTTTACAAATGGTATTTTATTACAAATAACTTAAGCTCTGGCACAGTAAACCCACCCACATTTTAGAAAACCCCAGTGTCTTACAATAAAGCTAAATCCATCTTTCTACAATCTCTTACCTTTTATTATAGGCCATCGGTAAAGATGAAGTTATAATCTTTTATAAAGCTATTAATGCTATATAAATATATAGTATCATATTATAGTAGAATGTTTTGTATTATATTACCAAATCTGATTATAGATACTTTTGCCTTCTAAAAAGTTTGAATGAAGTGCATAAATTATATTCATGAGAAAAAGAAAATCTCCACCCTGAGTCCTTCTACTTACTGTGAAGGATAAAATGAAACAAAAAACTTTCCAAGATTTTACCACTTCTACATTGTTAGAGAATATGACCCAGGGTAGACAGTACTTTTTTAGAAGAGTACTTAAATTAGTTATTGGTTTTGGAAAATATTGTTGGAAGTAAACATGGAAATAAAAATTAAATTGTTCTGAATGTATATTATAAGAAATTATTATGTGATTGTGTCTTGAAGAAGCAAATAAAGGAATCAGCCTGGCAGCATGCTGGAAGATATTGAGGAATGTGGCCAAATCTCTGTGGTGGGATGGTAGAAAAACTTTTTTAAAAAGAGCTGTCTAATCTTGAATTGTATAATATGTTCAATGTCTGCAGTGCAAAAACCCTTCTGTAAATAAAGCCTACTTTGATGTAAAGGCTTTGTGAGTGGTTTGAGGAAAAAATAAGGAAAAGATGGCTCTATTCCTCATCTGAGTTGACGGTAAAAACTGGTAAATAAGAGACACAATAATATGGAATGTTTGCAGAGCTGTGAGCTCTGGGAAGGCAGAGGGCATCTGTCATATTCATCAATGCCTAGAAATTGAGCCCATAACTGAGCAGATCTCTAATAAACCTGTGCCAAAAGAATTAACAAATTCTGCCATCAACCTACAAACACCAAACACAGGAGTGTAAGAACACAGAGAAAAAAGTGCTGAATGCTTCCCAAAAATGTGGGAGAAATATTTCTAAAGAAGGTTAATTGAACAAGGTGTAATTTGTGTAAAATTTTGAGTTCCAGAAAAAAAAGTAGGATGAATGAATTCTAGCCAGTGGGGACAGTATGTACAGGAGCACAGAGGCATGAAATGAACTGGTATGTCTGGGGATCTGAAGATTGTTTGGTGTGGCTCAATCTCAGGGTATATGTGAAGGAGTGCCAGAAGAGAAACTGAAAGGCAAGCAGAGGACAAATCCTACAGGCTTTGTGTGATACGTCATGCTATAGGGTTTCAACATTTTCCTATAGGAAGATGACTCTGTATATATATTTTTAAATAGGATTATTATCTTTTGTTCAGGATGCCACACTCTGATAAATACAAATTACTAAAATAGCCTGTGTGGTAATTTCGGTTGGGATACACTTTTTTTTCCACGCTAATCGAGAAAAGCAGCAGTTTTCACCATCCTAGGCATGTCCATTTAGATGTCCAGAGGTATGGGGGCATTCCAGCTCACACAACTTCAGAACATGAGACTAAGAGACGTCCCTGCCTGTCATTGCTGTACCAGCAGAGATCAGATGATCCATGAGATAAGACTGCATTTCTTTCTATTCATAAATTGATACACATACCATCATAATTGAAATCCTAATGCATATGGGAGAAAAAACTAATTAGGATCATCAGAATGTAGCACTGAAATATAAGGAGAGCAGGGAAAGAACCTCCAGGTCTTTTGATTATCATATGCCTAAAATCTGCATACGCATGCTCATCTGGATAGCTACCATGAGCTATGTGGTCCTTATGTTCCATCTGCAGTTGCCATCTTTCTTCCCCCACCTCTTGATTCTCCCACTAAATAATTATTTAAAAAAAAAAAAAAAGCAAGGAATGGCAAGGGAAGGAAAGAAAAATTGTATTACTGTATTTTGCAGCCTGAAGCAAAATTGACAGCTCAAGCTTTCTTACTCTCATAGATGCTATGAACTTATCCTGATATTAGTGACATTCTAAGATATTTATACAAAACTGTGACAATGAGGAAGATCTGGGAAGCAGGTCACGGCGACCTAGTAAAGAGGACAGGGAGAGAGGACAACTGACAGGAAGTCCTAGCATAAGATCTTGATCTGGGATCCACAGACCACCAACAGGATTATAAAGAGATTTCTGGGATCCATGAAGTTGGATAGGAAAACATATCTGATCTAATTTTTACTTGTCTCTAACTGAAATTTAGCATTACCTTAAACTATAAATGTAAATAACAAACACACTACTGTGTGCAATACATTTCACTTTATCAGCAAGAGAAATGACAGATATTTTAATATGGCATTATAGTTATTGCAAATGTCTTGGAATATAACTTATACTCATCAATAATTTGAAGTTATAGTAGTATTTAGACGTAATCACTATCTCCATGTATACAGATGTTGACCCAACTGGTCATTGCTTTCCAGTATACTCTGTCTAAAATTGCTTATTGCTCAATACATGGAAAAGTATGAGTTATGTTAATGCTTTGATTATTTTAGTATACTTATTATCTTCTGAAATTTTACATATTTTATTTTATGCATTTAAAAGCATTCTGAGAAGTGGTCTGTAAGCTTCATTAGGCTTCCAAAAGGTCCATAAAACAAATATTTATTCCCTTCATCTAAATCATATCATCTTCTGGAAATTAGGAGGCATCAATTCTTATCCTCTTTCCTTCAGTATTCAACTTGATGTCATTAAAAGGTGGAGTCTAGGAAAGGGGAGAAGTTTGGTGGCAACCACTACTTAGAACAAAAGCAGTAGGACTTCTAGCTCTCATGTCAGAAAGAAGTCAGGTCTGGAAGCCAAACTCTCTGAGATCTTTTCAACATTCTAAAAGCTTGTTCCTTTACTTATATAATTGCTTAAAATGATTTGCCTTCTGTAGTAACCAGCAAGCCCCTAAAGCCTACAGGACCTGTAGATCTTCCTTTAGAAGTAAATAGGAAAGATAGTACTAAAACAAGTCCCAAGCAACAGAGTAGAGGGTGGAGAATATGGAAGAAGCTTCCCAAAGGGGAGATAAGCACACTGGCAACCTTGGGCTTGTCATGGGAAAGGAAGAGGGCACACACCAATAACCATTCTGTGATTAGAGAAAGGGATGCTTAAGGCTAGGGACTACTTGTTCCTCTCTCAACCTTTCTCAAGAAATTTTAAGGACATATAAAATATTCAGAGGACCTACTGTATATAACTGTTAGGAATATTTCCTTATTCTGATGCCAGCATCTGTTAAAGACTCCTGCATAAGATAACCACTGTGATCTACTTCTTATTGTGGAGTATGGCCATTGATTTTAGAGGTCCAAAGCCCCTGCATCACCCCCACCTCCACATTACTCACTTCCCACTAAGTCCTATAAAAGACACAAAGCATTTCCACCCTGGTATAAAATGTCAATTCCCCAGAAGATCAGTAGAAACTTAGTAAGTCACACTCTCAAGAATACTGGGTTTTTGGAGAGAAAGGAATAAGGGAAGAAGGAGCATTTCTTTAGTGCCAGGCATGTAACGGATGTTTATTTTATTTAATCCTTAAGGCAATAATTTAAAGTAAATGTTACTGTCCTAATTTCCCCTCAAACTAAAACTCAGAGGTATTAATTAATTTACTCAAATTATAAAATAGTCAAGGCTATTTGACTGCAAACCTAATATCCTATATCTATTACACTCTGCTATGCAGAATCATAAACAAGAGCTCAAACGACAGAAACAGATCCAAGCTTCTTCAACTTTATTGCATCATGATTTTGATCAGATCTTTTTATCTCTCTGGGTGTCAATTTCTTCATCTGTAAAACTTGGGTAACAATATTTACTTCACTTAGCACCATTCACTTGACACATAATAAGCTGACAATAACGGTTAGTTATTTTCATCACAACACAAGAGAAAAAACAAAACTCAGTAAGGGTGGGCAGCAGAAACCAAAGACAGCAAGGCATGACCAAGTGTCTCATAGCATTTGCACAGCACTTTGACCCACTCAGTTTCAACTCAGGAAACATTTATTTCACATCCAATATACAAAAGGGACTTTGAAAAACATAAAAATGACTTGGAATCAGATTCTAATTTTAAATATTTATCCTCGAGAAATTTTTGAGATGTCATCTTGGGCTAGATGGAAGAGAACTGTAAAATTAAATATAAAGCAGAAACAGGTCCTCTATCATACGGTATTGTAAATTTGGCTTGACATACCTGTCTCCATTCAGACTGAGTCCCTTAAAAGCAGAAACTCTTAATCTGCATTGTCTTCCCAGTGCCTGTCCCAGTGCCCTAAATACAGAAGTTACTTAATAAATGTTCCAGAAGGAAAGGAGGGAAAGAGGGAAGCAGGGAAGAAGAGTGAGTGGAGGACAAAGATGGAAGATCAGGAGTAGATAAGAAAGGAGATGGTCTACAAAGGAGGACAAAATTAACTGGGTAAAAACACTGTGGCATTTAAGATAACAGTTACCTTGAGGGATAGATTGGGACTTGGGTTTTATTCGTTGTGCCTGATATGTAGTACGAGTCAATGAGTGCTTGTGACTGAATAAGTGAATGAATAAATAGCACAGGGGTAGGGATGAATCTTAAGAAGCAACAGTAGGGTTACTATGGGCATGCCATTTATCTTTCCTATTCTCAGACTGTTCACCAGACAAAATAAAGGATGAAACTGTGCCTTTTAAGGTCTCTTATTAACATTTCCATTCCCAAACTAATTTTGTCAGTTTATCTTTTGAAAAATATAAAACAGAGAAACTTTATAGTCTGCTAGATGATGGCTAACCCACATTTTATAATCCTATGCTACCCTCTGGCTCCATATAGATAATTTGCAACACTGGGGCCATAAGAGTTATAGGCTCCACAACTTTTTACAATGTCTGAGACTCATCAAACATGTTAAACCAGAGAAATGTATCTAATGCCTTTTAAATGACACACTTTTATGTCCCAGGGAACTAGAAAGACCTATACAGTAAAAATCAAGAGGCTGACATGAACAACCTTCTTTGATATCTTTTCTGAACTAGCAGCTCAAATGTTCTGCCTCATTAAGTAAAACTGCTTTCTTCTCCCTGTACTTTTGAAGAGACAGGACATAATACCTTTGAACTGAAAGACATTGAGAGATCACTCTCTCCCCTACAAATGTTGAGCTGTTGGATCACAGTCTGAAACAAATATGGTGAGCAGAGGGAGAAGAAAATATAAGATAGGAAGTTATTTAAACACAGCCCTGGCAGAACATCAAGCTAATCTAACAAATGTTAAAGTTCCCAGGGAGAAAAGAAAGGAAAAAGATAGGGAGGAATTGAGGCAGGGAAGAAGAAAAGAATGAAATAATAAGGTAGGCAATAACTTGCAATTTTTGAAAAGGAGATATTTACATTTATTGAGACGCATTCTGTGTGAAACACTGTGCCAGGCATTATGGACACTGAGATGAATGGGTCACAGTCCTTGTTCATGAGCACCTCACAGTATAATGTGAAGATAGATAGGTTTGTATGCAAATGTTTTCAGTGAAATACAAGGGACATATTAGATGCACATCCACCACATGCCAAGACCCTCTTGGAGCTTTCAGTGAGTCAAAAATATAAAGAACAGAAATCTTGTGAATTCCAACACTGCCACTTATCACCCATGTGATTTTTGCACAAATTACACAATTTTACTTAGTCTCAACTTCCTACTTGATAGTAGTACCTACTTCCAAAGACTGTTGAGGATGTTAAATAAGATAACATATGTGGAATTTTTATCTCAGTGCATGTGCCATAGAAGTTGTAGTGTGTTTGCTCTATTATTTGAGAATATTCAGTTCTATTCTAGAAGGCAAGAAAAAAACAGAATAGATAAAATCCATTAGAAATGTTAAGTTTAGACAGAAAGTTAGCAAATAGTTTGTATATCTTAGGCAGAATTCACAGAGTATGTTAAATATCAATGATAAGTCAGTTACTCACAAGACATGGTAAAGATGAATCAAATAAACAGAATATAGGAGAGAATAAATGAGAGTGCAACTAATAAATAAAAAGGGATGAAAGACAAATACATAAGACATGATCATGCCACCTCTAGACTAAATAGCTATGTTATCCAAAAATCAGATACCCAATATGGACCCATTAGAGCTCAGGGTATCCTCTGCCCAAGAAACACAAATAAAAGTTACAACTGCTTGTTAAGCTAATTAGTAAGTTATAGCTATGCTATGTGTACTTATTCCTGCATTTCTATAAAAAAATCAACTGTGACTTTAGGCCCCTGGGTACTTTCTGTCTGTTGGTCCTCTTTGCTCAAATCTCAATTCTATTATTATTGAATTTTTAGGTATGATAGTGATATTATGTTGTATATGAGACTGTCCTTATTTTAGGAGATGCATGCTAAAGTATTTAGGATTTTTGTGGTGATATCAACTTAATTTTAAATAATTCAACCAAAAAATTGGTTAATTAATTAAAATAAAATTATACACATACAGAAAAAAAATCTCAATTCTAGTCCTTGTATACGCATCAGTGCAAATGGCTAATGCAGCAGAAAGACAAAACATATATCATAGCATATTTTAGGTATTGTGGTCTGTACATCCCAGTTGCATTTTATCCTAAGTGTATTAATCCACCTGATCTCTTTCCCCCTTGCTTTTCTTTTCCTTGCTTCTCACCATATGTTTTACATTGAATTAATAAGCTCTGAGGCAGGCAGATCCCTTGAGGTAAGGAGTTCGAGACCAGCCTCGCCAACACAGTGAAACCCCGTCTCTACTAAAAATACAAAAATTAGCTGGGCATGATGGTGGACGCCTGTAATCCCAGCTACTCTGGAGGCTGAGGCACAAGAATCACTTGAACCCAGGAGGTGGAGGTTGCAATGAGCCGAGATCGCACCACTGCACTCCAGCCTGGGCAACAGAGCAAGGCTCTGTCTCAAAAAAAAAAAAAAAAAAAAAAAAAAAAAAAAAAAAAACGAAAGAAAGAAAAAGAAAAGAAAAAAAAGAAAAAGGAAAAAAAGAATTAAGAAGTTATGCAATTCGAGCATCTTGTGAGCCGAGATCGTGCCACTGCACTACAGCCTGGGCAACAGAGTGAGACTCTGTTTCAAAAAAAAAAAAAAAGAAGCTATGCAATTCAAGCATCTTAATTTGGTCTACAAAACCTTCTGTTCCATGACCTCTTCTGAGATAGCTTGCCTGGTTGTATCATTGGAGGCTGCCATTGCTTCAAGGTGATTTCCTACATGTCAGAAGTTGTACATGTTAGTTCCCTTCCTTCTTCTGTCTTACTGAAGACAAATGAATCATAGTACATTTTGTAATTTATATGGGTTATGTTTTTTCTATTTGACTCTATTTGTAAAAAAATAAAATATCTATCATTACATGCTACGCTCACAACTCATACTGATACAGTAATTAAAAAGAAATTATTTAGGCAGATAATGAGGATAAGGAAGTCCTCGGTAAGGTGTTCCTTTTAATGAAAAGCAGCCCCAAAATTGTTTCTTTTCTAACAAAGAGCAGCTTGTAAAATCAAGCTGCAGACATAGACAAGCAAGCTGGAAGCTTGCACAGGTGAATGCGGGCAGCCGTGCCAATAGGAAAAGGCTACCCAGGGCTAGGCATGTTCAACATGGCGGCTCCATCTTCCCTTTTCCTTGCCAACCACGTGTACCGTAAGGAGCAGTCAACATTTCTGGCCAAGTAGAAAATCTATTTGCATAATAAAAAGATTAGTGGGGTGGCCAGCTTCTTCACACGCCATGTAAACGTCACACCTGGTCCAACCAATCTTAAAGCCCTATGTAAATCAGACACCGCTTTCTCAAGCCTGTCTAGAAAGCCCCATGCACTTCACCACAGGACTGGAAGACCCACTCGGCAGCCCCTCTCTCTCTGCAGGAGAGCGAGTTACTTTCTTTTCTCTTTCTTTCACCTATTAAACCTCCTCTCTTAAATTCACTCCTTGTGTGTGTCTGTGTCCTCAATTTTCTTGGCATGAGACAACAAATGTCGGATATTACTCCAGACAACCATGCTGCTTCATTTCTGCATACACATCAGCCCACACAATGCCACTGCTATGGCTGTAGTACACTGGACTATACGGGTGGATTGATCCAACCAGCACCAGCAAACCATTGGCTGGCCAGTAACCTAAGACTTGTGAGACCTGGCTCACAAGAAAGATCAGCTGATCAGTCATATACATAATAATGTGGAGAATATGGATCTAAGAAGTTAATGCCAATTATAAAGAGGATTTAATTAAAGTGAGTAGGCCATGCTATAGCTAAGGGCTGGAGAAGAATGCAGATGAAGAGATGAGTGAATACTGCTCTGCAGAGAGAGGCAACTGAAAAGATCCACATAAAGAAACAGAGACATCACTGAAGAGTGACCACAGATTTCCCCAGGACCAAAAGAGATGGAGAAATGTGCCTTAGTTGCAACGTTTCATTTCCAGCTTTAGTGGGGCATAGCCATTTAGAAGTTCCCATTCTGTGTCCCCCATACAAACACAGATTATGAGAAAATTTCATTTATACTGTAGTACTTCTTTCTGTTTCTATTTCTTGCAACCAAATAAAGCTTCCATTCAAATATTACTTGTTCATTTTAATGTTTCTAAATCTCATTTAGAAGTTCATTTTAACGTTTCTAAATCTCATTTACGCATCTTATTTTAAGAGTGCATATTGATGATAAAAATATATAAATCAATTGGTAGGGTATCACTCATGTATTTAAGTGTCACACTCAGTTAATATGCTATAAAAGGCACCAGCTGTGCAGACTGTAGTAAATTACAGTACTTGCTGATGACATTGAAGCAGCCAAGAGAACCTTGGGGCTCTTACACATTTTCTACCTTGAAAAATAAATCCCAACAGCTTTTCCAGTCTCATGAACTGGACGAGTTAATGATAGGGCAGAAAAGTAGCATATCCCCAAACTCAAATGCCAGCAGAAATTGTCATCAATTAGCAAACTAAGAGAGACAAGGAATGTTGCTCCTCCAGAAAACATATTCCATTTGATTGTTCAAACACATTTGGTTGAGCTATGATTATTTTTTAGAAAAAAATTAATTAGCAAAAAAAAATCAATCTGCTTATCTCTTGATTTTGTGGGAAATGGACTGTTGAAGTTTGACAAGGTCAAATAAAAATGTAATTATTCACAATCAGAAAACCTAAAAATTGATTCCCCAAGCTGGGCACAGTGGCTCACACCTGTAATCCCAGCACTTTGGGAAGCCAGGGTGGGCAGATCACTTGAGGTCAGGAGTTTGGGACCAGTCTGGGCAACATGGTAAAACCCCATCTCTATCAAAAATAAATAAATGAATAAATAAATACAAAAAGTACCTGTAGTTTCAGGTACTCGGGAGGCTGAGGTGGGAGGATGGCTTGAGCCTGGGAGGCAAAGGTTGCAGTGAGCCAACATGGTGCCACTACACTCCAGCCTCAGCAACACAGAGAAATTTTGTCTAAAAAAAAAGAAAAAAATAATTCCCAGCCAAAGTGTTAGTATACATACATCTTTCAACCACTGAACTGATTTCCAACACTAAAAATTATTTCTAACTTTAAAAATTATTTAAGTGGGGCTTTTTAAATGTTATTTAACCCCATTGTACCTCTACTACATTCTCAGCACTTTATCTGGGACTTTTAATACATAAATTGTTATCCCCATGTACAAAATAGTAAACTGAGATTGAGAGAAATTGTATTACTTATATTGTTTGCCCAAAGATGCAGAACAAGCAAATCACATAGCTCATATTCTAATTAAATTGTGTCTGGCTCCAAACCTAGTTTTCTCCATTTCAACAAGCTACTTCAACTCAATATGATGTGTTAAATTGATGCTATTTAAGCAATAAAATGTCTTTCAGCTTAATCATTTTTATGGAAACATGCTTGACTGGCTCTTGCCTTATTTAAACACAATAAGCAGTTTAGACTTTTTTCACTGACTTGGAGAAACCATTAGGATTTCTTCAGCATGCATTGTGAATATAAATTACATTTTTTAGACCTGACCAAAGGCTCAGTCACCCTGACACAGTCTCCAGTTCTACACCTCCTCCCAGCTTTTCAATGCAATTGATGTAGATATCTGCATTATACAGCTTTCTCCTGGTGACCACCTCCCTATGGGACAGCTAGATATAGCATACTCGACTGGTCCTGCTGACCGTCACACCCCACATGGACCGTGCAGATATGCCACAATGACTGCCTCTCAGTCACATTGTGGCCTCCTGAAACTCAATGCCTTCTTGCTTTCAACCCGCCAATTAAAACTCCCTGCAGAAAACCTGCTTGGACAATGCTCTGGACTCCAATAAAGGAATTGGTCAAGGGTCCCTCTCTCTTTCCACACTTTCTCTAAACTTTCCGTGTGGTCTTTGGGCACACTGTGTACCAGTCCTACCAGGAACTATAAGTAAAAGAACTTTACTTTCATCTTGCATCTCTTATAATCATTGAAGGGGTTCCTCTCCATCTTCAAGATCATAAATATAAAGACTCCTTCTGCTTCTGATCTACTGCATTCAATGTGTTATTGTGCTGGATATCTTCCATTGGCCTCTGCAGATTCACTCTCTTCCTGTCTCTGCCTTGCTCTGTGTCCCTAGAAGCTGGCCCCCTGTGAAGGGCACCAGTGGCCCTACATGCAGCCAATGCTGAGCCTCAGAAAGACATCAAAGACAGGGGAGAGAGAAGTTGGAGTAGTCATGCCCATCACTCCATCTCTACTACGACCCCGTAAGTTAGCTGTGAACCTTGAACAAACATCACAGACCTTGCCAGGCTTTCCACACTGCACTTTCTCACGAGATTCCAGTAGTTACTCTCTCTTCTTGCTATTTAAGCCCAGGGAAAGGAAATAGCTTCCCATTGTGTCAGTCTTGTTTATTGTTTTTCTGCATTCTGCCCTCACCTTTTTAAATTGTGACTTTATTAAAATTCACCTCAAAATAACTAGTTTGAGTGTGTCCTCTATTTTCTATATTCTGGTTAATACTGTAACTGAAGCTATCTTTGTACATTTTGTTGAGTCCTCCCGCTTCTCTTCAATCTCAAAGCCTTTGCTTTGGATCTTCATCCTTTATTTCCTAGATTCTGCCTTTTTGACCAGCCTCTAATCCAGGCTCTGTATTCTAATTAGTGACACCTTCTAAAAAATAAATCTTATCAATTCACGAGATCATGATCATGTTTAAAACCTCTCCTGACTGACTCCTCATTGCACCTTGTTAGTTCCGAACTCCTCAGGCTATCCTATGAGTTCCTTTGTCATCTGGACCATGTTCACTCATCTGACACATTGCTCAACATTCTTCCTCCCTACACCCTTGAACTCTATGTTTTATTCATGTGAGTTAGTAGCTCAGCAGGCCTCCATAATGCTTGACCCCCAAGCCCAGTCTGCTTTTGCACAATTCAGTTCCTTGGTTCAGTCAGCTTTCACACTCAACCTCAATTAGCTAATTCCTTCTCCCACTTCAGGATGGGCTTTAGCTTCATTGCCTCTGGGAAGCCTGCACTAAGACTGTCTCCCATCCTGGATTAGTGTCCTTTCTCTGTGGTCCCAGATGCACATCTTCGTCATAACACTGATTACACTGCTTGCCCCCACTAGACAACAATTTCCCTTAAGGCAAAACCAAGCCTACTATCTCTGTATCCATAGTTCCAGAAAAGTACTTGATGTAAAATAAATTTAAATAAAAGTTTGTTGACTAAATTAAGTAAGTACCCTGAACATTTCCCCCAGCAAAACACAAACCCTACAAAACATATTTTATTCCATATTCTCCTTATCAATGTGTCTTTGATACAGAAGTGTTTGTGATGTGCATGTTTACCTGAAATATGAGGTGATATTGATTTGTATGCATATTTATATTTCAGGCATTCACATTCTGCCATGCTTTGGTAATAGTTGCATGATTCTCCCACTGGGAGGGCAGTTTCTATAATAGCAGTTAATGATTTCTTTTTATAGACTTTATATTTTATTTGCTTTTTTTATTGTCAGAAATCAAATTAAGAAAGAGAATTCTTCTGAAATGAGAATTCTGGCCCTGAAAACTGTAAAACCAAAGGTAGGGACTTATCTATCCCAATGAAACACGAGGTAAATTACCACCAAAGATTGCAAACTGCTTGACAAAATAAAAATTTCAATTCACTGACACAGAATAGGATGTAAAATTGAAACAAAAATGATGTAGAGGGCAAGTCTCACAGAACCTAGGATCTTGAACTTTGTGAATTTAATTACTGAGATACTACAAAGAAATAACACCCTCACCTACTACGGATACCAGTGTTACAGTTAATTATTTTTCCTTCTAACCTTTTTTCGTCCATGGGCAGATTCCACTGTTGTAGATTGCAGAAAGTAAGGTATGGGATTTAGTTTTCTTTGTCTATAATAAAATACTACTTGTTATAGTATCTCTGACATATTCCCATTGCCCCTCTGTCATGGAAACCATAAACCTCTGATAGGGTTTGGCTCTGTGCCCCACCCAAATCTCATAATGAATTTTAATTCCCAATGTTGGGGAGGGACCTGATGGGAGGTGATTGGATCATGGGGGTGGATTTCCTCCTTGCTGTTCTTGTGATAATGAATGAGTTCTCACAAGATCTGATGGTTTAAAAGCGTGTGACACTTACCCCTTCACTCTCTCTCTCCTGCTGACCATGAGAAGATGTGCTTGTTTCCTCTTTGCCTTCTGCCATGATTGTAAATTCCTGAAGCCTCCCAGCCATGCTTCCTGTACAGTCTGTAGAACCATGAGCCAATTAAACCTCTTTTCTTTATAAATTGCCTAGTCTCAGGTAGTTCTTTATAGCAATGTGAGACTGGAATAATACAAACTCCTATTTCGTGGGAATGTATCTTCCCCATTTGTCAGTTATCTACTTCTGCCTAACATACTCACACAACTAAGTGGCTTAAAACTACCATTTATTTCTGTCACAATTCTTTCCGTTTGTAAGTGGGTTAAGTTCAGCTGGGTGATTTTTGCCAGACTTCCCCATGTGATCTCTGATAAACTAGTAGGTCAGCCCCACTGGGACTTGTTAGATTATGATGGTCTCATCTGAGGCAGCTGAGATGACTGGGACCTCTCTCCACGTAGTGCCTCACCCTCCAGCAGACTGCCTGCTCTTATTCACTTGGATGTCATAACATTCCAAGAGCAGAAAGACAGGACAAGCTCCAGTGTGCAAGCACTTTTTAAGCCACAGGTTTGGTGTTTGCTACTTTTCCTAGAGCCAAAACAAGGCACATATCCAAACGCAGAGTCAATCCAAAAGAAAACTAGCAAAAGTTACCAAAACAGGAAGGCATGAACAAATTGGGGCCTTTACTAAAATAATTGACCATACCAATTTCAATGGTATTCTTGCATACCTAGGACAAATTTTGATTTAAATTAAAACTGAGTTTGAATTCTGATTCACCACTTTCTGTCTACATATAGATATTCTACATATTTCCACCTATGTAGTAGAAGCTCAGTTATGAGATACTCCTGGCTTCTCTCCACTCCTTTACTCACTCATCCCCCAGCAGAGTAGAAGTGATTTTTTTTTGTCTTAGAAATTTGCTGAAGGGCCAAACACAGTGGCTCACACTTGTAATCTCAGAACTTTGGGAGGTTCAGGCAAGTGGATCACTTGAGGTCAGGAAATCGAGACCAGCCTAGCCAACATGGTGAAACCTGTCTCTACTAAAAATAAAAAAAATTAGCCAGGTGTGTTGGCACCCGCCTGTAATTCCAGCTACTCAGGATACTGAGGCACAAGAATTGCTTGAACCCGGGAGGCGGAGGTTGCAGTGATCCAAGATTGCACCACGGTACTCCAGCCTCGGTGACAGAGGGAGACTCAGTCCTCCCACCATAAAAAAAGCAAATTCTGGCCTGGCCAGGTGTGGTGGCTCAGGCCTCTAATCCCAGCACTTTGGGAGGCTGAGGCAGATAGATCACTTGAGGCCAGGAGTTCAAGACCAGCCTAGCCAACATGGCAAAACCCCATTTATACTAAAAATACAAAAAATTAGCCCAGCATGGAGGTACATACCTGTAGTCCCAGCTACTCAGAAGGCTGAGGTGGGAGGATCACCTGAGCCTGGGAAGTCCAGGCTGTAGTGAGCTGAGATCACACCAGTGCACTCACTCCAGCCTTGGTGACAGAGTGAAACTCTGTGTCAAGAAAAAAAAACTGGTGAAGAATAAAGCAAGCATGCTCAGCTAGTTCTTCTCTTTTATCCCATTTGAAGTGGGTCTACCTACAGAGAGCACACATTCTCCCTGCACCATAAAAGCTGCCTGTATTTGTTGAATTCATAGGTTCAGTAATAGAAAATCCATTTATCTGGACATAAAAGCCACATTCCCTAATTCCTAGATTTTGCCAATAAAGAAATTTTAGGCCCCATTTACTTACTTTCCTGTCTTATTTCTCAACTGGTTCAGAAATCATTCAAAAAGGACCCTACACCTTCCATTCTAATCCTCTCCAAGCACAAAAGAATACCAGCCCTTGAATGAGAAACTTCAGCTACGGAGCTAAAATAACAGTTCTCTTGACTTCAAAAAAAAAAAAAAGGAAATTGATAAGAGGAGAACTCCTTGGAATGACCATAGAATAATGATAATAGAAACTCCATTACTGGCAGTGAGAAAGTTAATGAGACAACGTCTTTGAGAAAGGTCTTCAAGCATAAGGAGAAAAGAACAAAACTCAAAGAGGTCTAATGCGATTATAGAACCCCGATAAAGATAATAAACCAGTGCACTGAGGTGGGAAAAAAGACAAACCCAAAAACTCAGTGATCGTGACTGAAACTATGTGTCAAAAGAATTGGAGTTGGAAACAAAGACAAAATTAACAAGACTGTGCTGGCAGAACCCACATGTATACATGAAGAGAGTAGTAAACTAAAGAAAGAATAGTGACTTTTTTTTACTTAAGTTCGCATACTTTATAATTAACCAGAATATAACCCTAACAGTCACATATAATTTGTTTCATTCTATATGTGAGAGAACAGTGATGGAAGAAAATTAAGGGACTTTCCCAAGGGTGCAATAAAGAATTTAGTCTCACCTAAAATGAGATCTGGACTTTCTCCTGGCCTTCCAGAAGGTAAAGTATCTGTGTTTGCTTGGGGATCTTGAGCTAGTCCAATAGTAACAATGTGATTTACAGTAGGTGCTTTGACTCACACCAATTATGTGATTTAGGGAGGGGGCTTTGGATCACAACTGGAGACTAGAAATTAAAATCAACCTCATGGACAATCAATCAATCAAGCATGCCTATGTAATAGAAGTCCAATGTAAACACCAAGGTATGGGTGAGTTTCCCTGATTAGTAATACTCCATGAATATTGTCACACATCAATCCCAGGAGAGTAACACAACCTGACTTCACAGGGAGAAGATGATAGAAGCCTCATGTTTGGAACCCTCCTAGTCTCTGCTCTATCTAGCTCTTCCTTTGATGGATCTTAATCCCTTTAATAAATCATAATCATTGAGTATTATAGCAGCTTTCAATTAGCTCTAGCAATTATCTAACCTGAGGGTTGTTTTAGGAACTCCCACTTAAACTTACAGTTAGTGTCAGAAGTGAGAGCAATCTTGCGGAGCTATGTGCTCTCTAAATGTGTAGTTGGCCTCAACCTCTCACGCCAAGGTAACCAAGTATGGCTCTGCAATTTGCATGCTGTACAACTCTAAGATGTACAACTTACACAGAGTACAACTAGTATCACCAAGTGAGATGGATGGAAATACTACTCAGTCAATCTTTTAAGTAACATATCTTCACTATTCTCACTAGAGTTGATAAAAGTAATGAAAAATTCAGTATTGTGTTGGCCATGTACAAAACTTATTGACAATAAGCACTAAGCCCAATGATATCCAAACCTATACAACCAAAACTTGGTACCACAAGATAAGTATCTTGGAGCAACTGTGCAATACGTGACAATTTCTAGAGTTGTATGCATATCCATATGTAGCCAAAAAGTGGTGAATCAGAATTCAAACTCAGTTTTAATTTGGCATCAAAATTTGTCCCTAGAAACCAAGGCAGAAATAAGTTTATATAAAGGGATTAAGCAAAATAAAACAAACAGGTGAGAGGATAGTTAAGATTCAGACACTTGGAACTTTGTAGGGCTTACCTCTAAATATTAAAACATCCTATTTTTACCAATGGTGGAAAGGACTCTGTTCCCAAGAAGAAATAATGATCTACCATTAAGACTATGACTGGAAGTTTCTTGGGGCACCTGCGTTACTGCCTAAGCAAATGTCTGGAGTGTATCTACCACTGCACAGAAAAGTTAGTAAAAGCCAATATGCTAGGCATATAACAAATAAAAATAAATTCTTTTTTTGTGTGTGACAGAGTTTTGCTCTTGTCGCCCAGGCTAGAGTGCAATGGCGCAATCTCCGCTCACTGCAACTTCCGCCTCCTGGGTTCAAGTGATTCTCTCGCCTCAGCCTCCCGAGTAGCTGGGATTACAGGCAACTGCCTGGCTAATTTTTGTATTTTCAGTAGAGACAGGGTTTCACCATGTTGGCTAGGCTAGTCTCAAACTCCTGACCTCAGGTGATCCGACCACCTCAGCCTCCCAAAATGCTGGGATTACAGGCATGAGCCACTGCACCTGGCCAAAAGTAAAGTCTAATATGTTTAGTTATTGATACTTGGGGGAAGTTTAAAGTATTATTCAAAATAGAAGCATGGTCATGCTGCACAGAAAGTATCCATTTTAAATTCCAACATTAAGAAAAGAGTAGATTTCTCTGCCAAGAGGATCTTAAACGGCAGAAACGATCTGATTATTTGTTGTGTGTCCAACTTCTAGCATAGGAATAGGTCAAAGCACTCAATAAAAGACTGTCAGATTTTTAAAATTAATGAAAACAAGTGGGAAGGAATACTCTAAGCAGAGCCCTGCTGCCTGGACAATTTTTCTTCTTTGTTCTCTACTTTTCACTGGCCAACTCTCTCTCAGTAGGGAAATGAATGGAATGGAATGGAAAGTAATAGTAATCTCTAATATTTATTCAGCTCTAGAAATACAGTCATTCTGGTTCTCTGTCTTCTTTAGTTTATATTACCAAGTGAAAAAGCTAGAAAATATGTAAAATAGACATCTTAGTGATGAGAATTTAGATCCTCATTATTTTCATTATAGATGATAATTTGGAAAAAAAGTGATTATGTGACACTGGCTAAAAACCACCTTAAACTGTTCAATATTAAAATCCAATATTAGTTGTTCTGATTACATAATAATCTTATTGGTAATAAGCACTTGAATTAAATACAATCCAGAGCAAGGAAAAGCAAAACTTTGTGCCCCACGATCAAGTCTCTTGATGCAGCCGTGCAAAACTTGACATTTAATTTAAAAAGCATGAAGGCATGATGGAAAAGCATCTCTATGTGGAGAGTGGAGAGCAGTGGCGCATTTTATTTGACATGGTGGATTTGCTTTCCTTTATTTTCATATTTTAATAAGTTCAACTCATGAAAGCATAATGAAAATAGAAAGATCAGCTATAATCAGGATGCGTGGACATTTGGGGATCTTGATTTAAAAAGCAGTTGCCTTCCTAAGTCTTTCAACAAAATGTAAATTAAACAGATGAAATTGCCTAAAACATCACTGATTCCCAAGGGAATGTAATCATGCTTAAATGCCAACACTAAATTAATCAGAGGAAAAGAATGTGGAGATGAGAAATTTCATTTTAAGCAGCTTCATGTTTCATTAAAGTAAGTGGACATGGCAGGTCAGGTTAAGACTTTGCAAAGAATCATTTGAAAAGCAAAAGGCAAAGATTTCCATCTCAAAACTATGCAGCCACAAAGCCTATTCAAATAAAGCTGAATGGTAATTCATGTGCACACTATGCTCCATAGTTGATCATTTTCTTTTTCCTCAGTTCAGAATTCCGGAATAATATGTATTAATATTTGTGTAACTATGTTCTTTTATCCCAAATAGCTTAGTTATAGTTTTATATACTGTACTTGCATTGTTTGTAAACAGTCATATTCTTCTATGTTAAACTGGTCCACAAAAATAAATTAAATTGCCAATTAAAACATGGTATGTATTTAACTTAGAATGAGCAGAGAAAAGGATGTGGACAGGATGGTGAATGGGCAAAAACTTTGTCAGAGTTCACTTATTTGTTCAACAAACGCTTTTTGACTGCCTGTTCTTTACCACACACTGTTTGAGATGCTTGGCATGTAGAGTAAACACACACACACACACACACACACACACATACACATATACACAAGGAGACAAAGATCCTCAGATTTTAAAAAGTAAGTTATGCGATATAGCAGAATATAACAAATATAATGGAAAACATGTAGTAAAAAGGAAAAGAAGTACATGAGAGAAGGAGACAAGTTATAACATAAAAGAGGGCTAGGGGGCCTCATTATGAAGAGGACTTTAAAGAGGTGAGTTATCCATAGAGAAGACTGTGAAATCATTCAAGACAGAGGGAATAGTCAATTCAATGGCCCTCAGCCAGGGGCATGCTGTGTGGGTTTGAGAAGGCAAAGGGGGCGGCAATGTGTCTGAACACACTGGTTAATGTGATGGCTAATACTGAGTGTCAACTTGATTGGATTGCAGGATACAAAGTATTGATCCTAGGTGTGTCAGTGAGGGTGTTGCCAAAGGAGATTAACATTTGAGTCGGTGAGCTGGGAAAGGCAGGCCCACCCTTAATCTGGGTGGGCACCATCTAATCAGCTGCCAGCTCAGCTAGAATATAAAGCAGGCAGAAAAACGTGACAAGACTAGACTGGCCTAGTCTCCCAGCCTACATCTTTCTCCTGTGCTGGATGCTTCCTGCCCTCGAACATCAGACTCCAAGTTCTTCAGTTGTGGGACTCAGACTGGCTCTCCTTGCTCCTCCTCAGCTTGCAGATGGCCTATTCTGGGACCTTGTGATCATGTGAGTTAATACTTAATAACTGTCCTTTATATATATATACACATATATATATGACAGTTATATATATATTATATAACTGTATATAGATGTGTATATATATGTTATATAGATACATAGATATGTATATATATGTTATATAGATACATAGATATGTATATATATGTTATATAGATACATAGATATGTATATATATGTTATATAGATACATAGATATGTATATATATGTTATATAGGTACATAGATATGTATATATGTTATATAGGTACATAGATATGTATAGGTATGTTATATAGGTACATAGATATGTATAGGTATGTTATATAGGTACATAGATATGTATAGGTATGTTATATAGGTACATAGATATGTATAGGTATGTTATATAGGTACATAGATATGTATAGGTATGTTATATAGGTACATAGATATGTATAGGTATGTTATATAGGTACATAGATATGTATAGGTATGTTATATAGGTACATAGATATGTATAGGTATGTTATATAGGTACATAGATATGTATAGGTATGTTATATAGGTACATAGATATGTATAGGTATGTTATATAGGTACATAGATATGTATAGGTATGTTATATAGGTACATAGATATGTATAGGTATGTTATATAGGTACATAGATATGTATAGGTATGTTATATAGGTACATAGATATGTATATGCATGTTATATAGGTACATAGATATGTATATGCATGTTATATAGGTACATAGATATGTATAGGTATGTTATATATATATATATATATATATATATATATAACTGTATATAGATATATACAGATCTGGGGGACTAAGACAGTTGTGGGGGTTCCTTGGGATCATCACCAGCTTTTGCCAACTATGCATCCCTGGATACAGCGAGATGGCCAGGCCACTCTATATTCTAATCAAGGAGACCCAGAGGGCAAATACTCATCTGGTAGAATGGGAACCAGAGGCAGAAACAGTCTTCAAAACCTTAAAGCAGGCCCTAGTACAAGCTCCAGCCTTAAGCCTTCCCACAGGACAAAACTTCTCTTTATATGCCACAGAGAAGGCGGGAACAGCTCTTGGAGTTCTTACTGAGACTCATGGGACAACCCTACAATGAGTGGCATACCTAAGTAAGGAAATTGATACAGTAGCGAAAGGCTGGCCTCACTGTTTACAGGTAGTTGCAGTGGTGGCCATCTTAGTATCCGAGGCTATCAAAATAATACAAGAAAAGGATCTCACTGTCTGGACTACTCATGATGTACAAATGTCATACTAGGTGCCAAAGGAAGTTTATGGCTATCAGACAGCTGCCTGCTTAAATACCAGGCGCTACTCCTTGAGGGACTGGTGCTTCAGATACACACGTGTGCAGCCCTCAACCCTGCCATTTTTCTCCCAGAGGATGGGGAACTAATCGAGCATGACTGCCATCAAATTGTAGCCCAGATTTATGCTTCCCGAGAGGACCTCTTAGAAGTCCCCTTAGCTAATCCTGACCTTAACCTATAAACCGAGGGAAGTTCATTTGTGGAAAATGGGATGAGAAGGGCAGGTTATGCCATAGTTAGTGATGTGACAGTACTTGAAAGTAAGCCTCTTCCCCCAGGGACCAATGCCCAGTTAGCAGAACAAGTGGTGCTTACCCGAGCCTTAGAACTGGGAAAGGAAAAAAGAATAAATGTGTATACAGATAGCAAGTATGCTTATCTAATCCTACATGCCCATGCTGCAATTTGGAAAGAAAGGGAGTTCCTAACCTCTGGGGGAACCCCGATTAAATACCACAAGGAAATCATAGAGTTATTGCATGCAGTGCAAAAACCCAAGGAGGTGGCAGTCTTACACTGCCGAAACCATCAAAAAGGTGAAGGAGAAAAGGCAGAAGGAAACCATCAGACAGACACTGAGGCCAAAATTGCTGCCAGGTGGAACCTCCCATTAGAAATACCTATGGAAGGATACTTGGTATGGAACAACCCTCTCCAAGAGATTAAGCCCCACTATTCCCTGACCAAAACAGAATGGGGACTTTCATGGGGACATAGTTTTCTCCCCTCAGGGTGGTTAACGACAGAAGAGGGAAAGGTACTCATACCTGAAGCCAGCCAGTGGAAAATAATTAAGACTCTTTACCAAACTTTTCATATGAGTATTGAGAACACTCATCAAATGACCAAATCCCTATTTACTGGGCCAAATCTCCTCTGGACCATCCAACAAATTGTCAAAGCCTGTGAGATGTGCCAAAGGAATAATCCCTTGGTCCATCATAAGGCCCCTCTGGGGGAACAAAGAATAGGGCACTATCCCAGAGAGGACTAGCAGTTAGACTTCCTTCCCCATCTCTGATAGGTCCAAAAATACTCTAACAGGATGCACAATCCAGCTTTTACTCTCTTACATTTCCAACCTCACCTATTACATGAGCAATGAAAAGCCTATACATGGCCCTGTAACCAATACCATCTTAACTTTCCAAGCCCCTTTATGCATCCAACGCAACCTGTTATCAGGCCTGTCCCAGGGCACCTACTATCCCATCAGTGTAATTACACCCTGCAACTTCAAGCCCCAACTGATCATAGTGACTTCCGAATCACCCAAACAGCTCCGTTCAGATGGCTTGTCCGCTTCTCAGGGCCTCCAAAAATCATCAACTCCTCCCTGCTTAACAGTCTGGGTTTTGTAATGGAAAACATACTCCCTGCATGACCATTCACCCCTGGACCGCCTGCAGCAGCGCCCCCACCAATGGTGAATGCCTTCTCATCCCCTCTTTCAATTATTCTCTTGAATGGTTCCTAGTAGATACAAAACCGTTTTTTCTCCAACGGGAAAATAGAACACAGAGAGCCACTCAGTTTTCTCCCAACACCCCTTTCCAGCTGCTCACTGGAGCTACCTTGGCAAGTACTCTAGGAGTATGGGAAAATGAAAACAAACTCACACACCTTTTAATATACACAACCAGTTCTGTCTACCCAGCCAAGGCATATTCTTCTTATGTGGAACTTCAATGTGTATCTGCCTCCCCACCAACTGGACATGCACCTGCACCTTAGTCTTCTTAAGTCCCAACATTGACATTGCCCCAGGAAATCAGACCCTATCAGTGCCCCTCAAAGCTCAAGTCCATCAGCCCAGGACCATACAACTAATACCCCTACTTATAGGGTTAGGAATGGCCACTGCTACAGGAACTGGAATAGCAGGTTTGTCCACTTCACTATTCTACTACCACACACTCTCAAAGGATTTCTGTTTGTGAGAAATAACAAAATCTATCCTTACTCTACAATCCAAAATAGACTCTTTGGCAGCAGTGACTCTCCAAAACCACCGAGGCCTAGACTTCCTCACTGTTGAGAAAGGAGGACTTTGCACCTTCTTAAGGGAAGAGTGTTGTTTCTACACTAACCAGTCAGGGATAGTAGGAGATGCTGCCCGGCATTTACAGGAAAAGGCTTCTGAAATCAGACAACACCTTTCAAACTCTTATGCCAACCTCTAGAGTTGGGCGACATGACTTCTCCCCTTTCTATGTCCCGTGACAGCCATCTTGCTATTACTTACCTTCAGGCCCTGTATTTTTAACCTCCTTGTCAAATTTGTTTCCTCCAGGATCGAGGCCATCAAGCTACAGATGGTCTTACAAATGGAACCCCAAATGAGCTCAACTCACAACTTCTACCAAGGACCCCTGGACCAACCCGCTGACCCTTTGATGGGCCTAGAGAGTTCCCCTCTGGAGGACACTACAACTGCAGGGCCACTTCTTTGCCCCTATCCAGCAGGAAGTAGTTAGAGTGGTCATCACCCAATTCCCAACAGCAGATGGAGTGTCCTGCTTAGAGGGGGAATTGAGAGGTGAAGCCAGCTGGACTACCTGGATCAAGTTGGGACTTGGAGAACTTCTCTGTCTTACAAGAGGATAGTAAAATGCACCAATCAGCACTCTGTAGCTAGGATTGTAAAATGCACCAATCGGCACTCCGTAGCTAGAAAGAGGATTGTAAAATGCACCATCAGTGCTCTGTAAAAATGCACCAATCAGTGCTCTGAAGCTCGCAAGAGGATTGTAAAATGCACCAATCAGTGCTCTACAAAAATGCACCAACCAGCACTCTGTAGCTAGCAAGAGGATCGTAAAATGCACCAATCAGTGCTCTGTAAAAAGCACCAATCAGCACTCTGTAAAACACACCAATCAGCAGAAGTCTAAAAGTAGCCAATTGTGGGAGGATTGAAAACAGGGCACTCTGACAGGAAAAAAACAGAACATGGGAGGGGACAAATAAGGGAATAAAAGCTTGCCGCCCCAGCCAGCAGTGGCAACCATTTGGGTCCCCTTCCATGCTATGGAAGCTTTGTTCTTTTGCTCGTCACAATAAATCTTGCTGCTGCTCACACTTTGGGTTCATTCCATCTTTAAGAGCTGTAACAATCACCATGAAGGTCCATGGCTTGACTTCATTCTTGAAGTCAGTGAGACCACAAACACACCAGAAGGAACCACCTTTGGACACAATAGTCTAGCCTATAATACAGCCCTTTTGTTCACATCTCTTCTCCTTGACTGTGAGAAGCTTGAAGCCTAGGGACAAAGATGTATCTTAGTCATTTTGCTATGTTTCTACTAAGTCCCTAGGGCCTAACACAATGCCTGATGTAGTAGGTGTTTTATTGAATATATTGGGTCAAATTGAATTTATTACATCTTCAGGTTAAAATAGAAAATCAGTTAAATAAAGAAAGAAGAGAAAACCCATGTTTTCAACTAGTTTGTGTGTAGCTTGAGCTAGAATTAAAATAATTACAGAGATAAAGGTCTATCACATATGAATGCATCCCTCAATTAAGGAGCACACAAAATTATTTGACATCTACTCTATATGATGCCCTTTAAATACATTATCTCATTTTATTTATTAAATAAGCTGATATGGTAGATATAACTGGTGCCATTTTACAAATGAGGAGACTGAGCAGTAAATGGAGGAATAGGAATTTTAGCTCATGTGCCTGACTCACAAGCTCATGTTCCTCCACTGCCCTAATACTGTGCCTGAGGTTATCAGAGCTCTGAGTGTTACAGAAAGACTCCACAGGCACCAGGTAACATCTTTAGATTTTTGCCAATATAAAACTAAAGCAGTTGCCCTCAATTGTTTTCAAGTTGTGTATCACCATGCTCCCCCACCTCCTACCCTCACTATTCACCTTGAAAGCTTTATAGTTTAGGAGGACAAAGGAAAATTAAAGTCAATAAAGGATGAAGGGGCCAGGCACAGTGGCTTACATCTGTAATCCCAGCACTGTAATCCCTATCTGCCCAAAGAGTGCAGATCTCTTGGGCCCAGGAGAATGAAGGGGAAACTCAGAAATCTGGACTGACCCTTGAATATCCCCTTACTTTATGATGTCCTTTGTTCATGCCTCTGTGGCCAGGCCATTGCTATCCCTTATCACCTAGGGCCCAAAGTTCTAGTTTAAGAAATGCTGGCCGGGCATGGTGGCTCACACCTGTAATCCCAGCACTTTGGGAGGCTGAGGCGGGTGAATCACGAGGTCAGGAGATCGAGACCATCCTGGCCAACACGGTGAAACCCTGTCTCTACTAAAAAATACAAAAAATTAGCCGGGCATGGTGGCAGGCACCTGTAGTCCCAGCTACTCAGGAGGCTGAGGCAGGAGAATGGTGTGAACCCGGGAGGCGGAGCTTGTAGTCAGCCGAGATCACGCCACTGCACTCTAGCCTGGGCGACAGAGCGAGACTCTGTCTCAAAAAAAAAAAAAAAAAAAAGAAAAGAAAAGAAATGCTATACTAGATTATTTATGCCCAAGAGAGGAAGGCAAGTTGGCTAACATCAGCCTGAAGCCAGCCAACCAGCTAGAGACAACGTGCAGAATAAATTAAGAGACGGATTTACCTTCAGATAACCTGGGTTCAAATCCCAACCCTATCACTCATATAGTCATGGGGACTCACAGAAATCATTTAAACTCTCTGAGCCTCAGTTTCTGCATCAGGACAAAGAGTGAAGGAGTATCTTCCCTGCCTAGATGACAGGACTGTTGTGAGGACAGAAGAGGAAATAAAAGACAAAGTGTTTTAGAATCTAAGGATGCTATTCTAGCTTAATTTACCTATCTGGGTTCGTACTGATTATTTCTGAGATCCAGTTTATATAAGTCCTCTGTACACTGTATGAGAAACATAAAGAGGAATCAGGGGTTGTTGCTGAGGCATCTAGGTATCTGAGAGAGGACCCAGGAATGAATAAGAAGCTTAATACAATTACTCCATAGGAGAGTTCCTTTAAGCACAGAATAATATAATGGATTTAAATGGTTAGAAGCAAATCCTTAAAGCAAATAAAACCACAAAGAACGTCTATCATAGGTTACAAAAACTGCCTCAATCATTTGCAGCTTCTTCCATTAACTTGTAGAATATATTTCTTCACCTTTAAATCTGCCTAGGCAGCTGGGTGCCATAGCTCATACCTGTAATCCCAGCACTTTGGGAGGCTGAGGCGGGAGAATCACTTGAGGTCAGGAGTTCAAGACCAGCCTGGCCAACGTGGTGAAACCCTGTCTCTACTAAAAGTACAAAAATTAGTCGGGCTTGGTGGTGGGTGCCTGTAATACGAGCTACTCAGGAGGCTGAGGCAGGAGAATCGCTTGAACTTGGGAGGCAGAGGTTGCAGTGAGCCAAGATGGTGCCATTGCACTCCAGCCTGGGCGACAAGAGTGAAACTGCATCTAAAAAAAAAAAAAGAAAGAAAGAAAGAAAGAAAGAAACCTGCCTGGCCTAGTGACTTGCCCTGGGTAACAGTACAAAATGAACATGACATTATGCAAGTTCTGAGCTTGAATCACAAGTGACTTTACACACTTTCACCTGCTCTCTTGGACCCTCTCCACAGCCACCATGTATAAGTCTAGGCTTGTCTGATGGATGATGAGAGACCACGTGAAGCTAGCACAAGCTGTCTCATTCAGTTATCTTGAAACAGCCAAAGCTGCTAACCACATTTGCATGACAGAGTACAGACAAGATCAGCCAAGCCTGGCCCTACCCAACCAATCCTAGACCAAATTGCTGACCTACAAACTCAGGAGTTCAATAGATAGTTATTTTTAAGTTACTGATGTTGGGAGTGATTTGTTACATAGCAACTAATGACTGATCCAACAACTGGCCATATAGGAATGGAAATTTACAGCAGTGTCTGGGTTTTTCCCACACTACCATGTTCTGTCTGGAAAGTTTAGATTTGCTAGTCACGAAAGCTGACTAGAGATGGACAAAAGAGCAGAAATCACCTTTGCCTCTAAACAAGTAAAGTTGACTTGGTATTTTGAGTAAATCTGAAATGTCCATTTACTTAGTCACAACTGAATCTCTAAGGAGGAAAAGAAATAAACAAATGAGGCAAGAAATGGGAAGCATGAGCAGTATACTTCACGTAAGCTGAAAGCCAGTGACTTCCTGGAAAGACACCCAATAATTCAGCCTTCTATGACTTACTTTGTTCACTTGGCTGGGGATTCAGCACAAACACTAATCTTACAATGTAATGAGGCAGAGCCCACTTCCTGCCTATCCAGTGGAAAGTGAAATTGCAAACCGCCTTTGTTGTAAATCAAAATGCCTTTCTAACCTCAGTTGTTAATAACAAATGTGTATTTCCCATTTCACCACCATCTCTTTAGAATTCACACATTAAGAGCTTTATTTATACAATATTCTGCTTTGCTGAAATTCATTTTCAAGGCTTTCCCAGAGGCCACTGAGCCTCTTGTATAAATAGATTTTTTATAAGTTATGAAGTTTAGATTATTAAAAAACAATCTAGAAATCTGATCCTTAAAGTACCTGACAAATCCATTTTAGTTTTTAAATATATAACATTAGTTCAAAGAACAAATGCCTAGTTTTTATTTTCTAGCAACTCTGATTCTGGTAATGGCATTTGTTTGGAGGCAGAAAAAAATAGAAAAGAAAATCAAAATAGCAACTGAAAATATCTGTACAAGAGTGTTGTCTTATTTCAGTTTACAGATATGTGGACCTTGTTCTATTGGTTAATCTTGAGGTTTAACATAATTGACCTTCAACTTGGAAGATGATATCCATCTTCCACCCCAAAATGTATTAGAAGTAACTTGACCTGTCAGTATCCCTTCATCTCCACTGCCAGGTATTTTCCCAGGATTCAGAAAAAACATCAAAGAAGTTTCCCCTCAAGAGAAGTATGGAGGCCAATATCATAAGCCCTAGTAAGTGTCACTTGATATAGAGAAGTAATTGAAGATATTGCTTCTATACTAAAGGAGCTTAGAATCTTGTTGTGGAGACAATAATAACACACATGAAAGCTCTTACAGAATAACCAAGTGCTAAGCTGTAAGATGCAGATAGAAACGCCATTAGGATGAGAAGCCACTTATTAATCTCCTCCTACTTGGTGGTGTGTTACAAATATTATCTCATCTACTCCTTCCAATAACCCCAAATGTAAAGTATTATAACCATTTAATAATAGGAAAGTTGAGGAGGGGAAAAGTAGGGAACTTCTCCAAGGTGACCCAACTAATACAGAGCAGAACCAGAATTCATACCCAAGTTTGTCTCCCCAAAGAGCCAGTGCCTTTCTTTCTACACCAAATTGCCGCTCAGAAGGTTATAGTAGAAAGAAAGCTACTTTATGCCTCTTCAAGTATTCCCTGACACTATACCTTTATGCTTCTTATGACACCTTACACTTTCTACTTTATTTATAATACTGATGAGGAGGAAGTTGGTATGTTGAAACCAGCATAAGCTTTGAAGTCAAAAAGATCTGATTTCAAAATCTCTCCTATTCTAATTAGCTGAAAGAATGTAAGCAAGTCACTTAACCTTAAATAATACATATCTCACAGCATTAATATGAGTAATAAATAGAATTAATTCATTCACTCAACAAATATTGATTGAATACCTACTATGTTGTAAGCATTAGTCTAGATTTTATTCACAACAGCGAACAAAAAGAGACAAAAATTCCTGCCATTGTGGTGCTTACATTGTCAGTGAAGATGACAGATAATAAGTAAACAAATAAATATATATATTTAAACAGTGGTTTTAACGTAGAGGGGACTGAACCTCTGAGGGTTAGGTGAGTTGCCAGTTTTCACACAGCCTCGATATTGGTATTCAAATCCAACTCTGGAGCAAAGTTCTTGATTGTTCCTCAAGATCATTTGGTTTGCCCTTCACAAAAGTTAGTATATAAATATCCAGAGGATTTTGTGTGGTGAAAACTGCCCTCAGGATCAGTTTCCACATGACCTCATTGATGTATGGAGTAATCTCATGTTTGTTCTCAAGCATTCCATTACTCTTTTTGTTCCCTGGGGCCATGGTATTCTGTAATCTTTTCCTAAGGCACTTTCCCTCAATCTTCAGGAGGAACAGAGTGTTTTCAAAACCACAAAATATTTTCATACCCTTTAGAGCATCTGGTTTTTATTGTAACTCTGCAAGGTAGGCAGGAAGGTGCCACCACACCCATTTAACAGACAAGGAAAGAGAGGTTAATGCCGGTAGGTTATTGCCTGAGAACGCACAGCTGGCAAGCGGGTTTAACAAGACTTTAAATATAAGCTGCTGGATTCACATCCATTACCCTATTCATTACACTTCACTCACATGAGGAAAGACGAGGAGGCCAAATTCAGTTAAAGAAAATTTCTAATGTTCCTTCTTAACTAGACAGAAAACAAAAACAAAAAAAAAGAAATATTGACACACAAAAAGAAATGGTACAAGATAGAAAAGGAATGTGCTGAAAGACCTCCCTATACTTCTTAGAACTTTACCAAAATCTTTCTGCTTGGTTTTCCAGGACCATTTATCCCATCACTACTCATTGCCATGGTCTAGTCCCAATATCTTGGGTATACAGGAAATATCCACTTGGGCAGAGATTCCACCTGTAGTGGTTAATACCGAGTGTCAACTTGATTGGTTTGAAGGATACAAAGTACTGATCCTGGGTGTGTCTGTGAGGGTATTGCCAAAGGAGATTAATATTTGAGTCAATGGACTAGGAAAGGCAGACCCACCCTCAATCTGAGTGGGCACAATCTAATCAGCTGCCAGCACTGTCAGAATAAAAGCAGGCAGAAGACCGTGAAAAGACTAGACTGGCTTAGCCTCCCAGCCTACATCTTTCTCCCATGCTAGATGCTTCCTGCCCTTGAACATCAGACTCCAAGTTCTTCACCTTTGGGACTCAGACTGGCTTCCTTGCTCCTCAGCCTGCAGACTGCCTGTTGTGGGACCTTGTGATCGTGTGAGTTAATACTCCTTAATAAACTCCCATTTATATATACACATCTCCTATTATTTCTGTCCCTCTAGAGAACCCTAATACACCTAATTCAGAGTAAACCTTGAGGTAAGAATAGAGTAAAAATATTGAAACATATAGAGCATGTATACAGAACTCTGTGCTGCGCTCTGGGGACAATATAAGATTTAGAGAGAGTCTCTCTGTCTGAGTAAATGAGAAGTACACTGGAAGAAGAATAACAAGCACTGTACCAGCAATAATATAAAAAAGAATGAGGTGAGGATTTGGGGAGGATATCATCCAAGATTTTCCAGTATACATAGCCTGGAGCCATCCATTCTGCTAAGTAAGACCAGTGAAAACTTGATCCCTGGATAAGAGCTTGACATGGAGGGACCTCATATGCACACCCATTTAGTATAAAAATCTAGTTGGCATCCCAACTCTGCCACTTTATTGTTTTTATTTTTTCTATTTTTGAGAGGGAGTTTTGCTCCTGTTGCCCAAGCTGGAGTGCAATGGCGCAATCTCGGCTCACCGCAACCTCCGCCTCCCAGGTTCAAGTGATTCTCCTGCCTCAGCCTCCGGAGTTGCTGGGATTATAAGTATGCACCACCATGCCCGGCTAATTTTGTATTTTTAGTAGAGACGGGATTTCTCCATGTTGGTCAGGTTGGTCTTGAACTCCTAACCTCAGGTGATCCGCCCACTTCAGCCTCCCAAAGTGATGGGATTACAGGGATGAGCCACTGCACCCAGCCTCTGCCACTTTGTAATTGTGTGAACATGAGCAAGTTCCTTGAAGTCTTCTTGTCTCAATTTTTTACTCATAAAATGGGTATAATAATACCTAATACATGCAGATGTTCAGAAGATTAAATGAAAGTAAATGATCTTATATTTAAGTAGTGTTTTAGCATGGTGTCTGGCTATGTTATATCCTCAGTAAATGAAAGCCTCTTTTTTAAGATCATTCATACAACAGTAGAGAAATTTAAGGAAAATATTCCAAAGACAGAAAAGCTGGCTACAAAACTGAAGCAAGAGACCAATGGAAAATAGCAGGACACCAAACAAGATGGTAGTTACTTCTTAACTAGCTCTGCAAGGAGACCTAGGAGAGCTATAAAGACAGTATATCCTACACTGAATTCATTGCCTCTCCCTCAAAACCTGCACTCCCTCTTGCAGTCCTTATCTTGGTGAATGGCACCCCCATGCCCCAGTCATCTAAACCAGAAACCTGGAAGTCAACTCAGACTCTGCTTGCTCATTCCCTTCCGGTCACCAAATCTTATAGAATCCACCTACCTAACATCTTCCCCTCCTTTCTAGCCCAGCCAGTGAGAATGTGTCTTTAATATGTTGGTTTAGTCTTCCATCCAAACTGGTCATCCTGGCTTCCTCCAATTCTCAGTCCTTCAAATATAATCTCTGCACCAAAGCCAGAGTAATCTTTCTAAACCATAAAATTTGGTCATTGCTTCACTCTTCTTACATATTCCAGTTGCTCTCATTGTCTAGGATAAAGGCCAAACTATTAACAGTGGTCTCTGTTATCTGATCCCTGCTTTATCCCCCTCCACACACCACAGCCATGGTGAACTACTGATTGGTCCCCAGGCATGTCAGGCAATTTCATGCCTCTGTGCATTTGCCATGCCATTTCCTCCACATTTCCCAAAGGGTGGTTTGTGAAATACCAGTTCCCCAAGATGCTCTATGAAGCAAGTGACCATTAGCCAATACGTTTTAGAAAAACTGCACATCTTTTTTTCTCCTGGAGAGTCTTTTTTGATTATATCCTATAATCAAATATCTATTTGTTTAATCCTTTCTTAAGATATTTGTGAAACATATATGTTAGAAACTTTATCACTATACATAAGTGATTTCATTTGTGATATTTAGTCAGTTCTTTATTTTGTTGGTTTCTGAGCCTGATAAATATTTAAAACTTTTATTTCCAGGAAAAATAGTTCTTAATTCCCCTTGTCATAGAGTTAGACAGATTTTCAAAAACTTAGCCAAGATAAAGCACTTCAGGTTTAAGCATTGCTTGCCATAACCTTATATTCTTAAGACTGATGCACTGATAGTTCTTTACATCAGAGAAGCAGAGAAATGTAGAGAAACATTCCTTGCTAAGTAAGTACTCAAATCCTCCACTCCAAATTGAAAATTTACCTACTGTGTCATTTGTTTGAATAACACTATTAACTTCAATAAGATATTCAAACTCAAATCAAATTAGCTATTACCTACTGCTGTTCTTTCCATCAACCATTTCAGCTTTTTCTTTGAAGAGTGGACAGGACTTTAAGAAGTACGATTGCTAACATTAGCAGAACTAAGAGAAGGCAAATGCTGAATGTTATAGCTGAATTTGAGTCCAAAAAAATGGATTGAAATATAGAACCTCTCCAATTCAGCCTAGTTCACATAGTCAGCACATCTTAGTGTGGTGGAAGCTCAAAAACAACAAATGGGGAATAAGTAAGACACCCATTCTTTCCCCCAGTGTGAAAAGTGAAAATATGAAACTATGCAGACTTCAGTTCAAAACGTAGCTTATTAGTGTGTGAACCTAAATGTTTTACTCTCTGAAATCAGTTTGCTCTTCTGTAAAAATCAGAGTAATAATATAAACTCTATCATGTTATTTCAAGATCTGGATAAGAAAATACTAACAAAACACCAAGAAAGATACCTGTAACATAATAGATGCTCAGTAAATACTAGTGTTTTTCCTAGTTTCTTCTCCAATATACCTACAAAATTCTCATTGTTATTTGCCCTGATCTTCATTCTGTTATCATAGGCATCCTTATCTTTGTCCACAAAATAAACTTCATTTTGCTTAAATCATAAATCAAAGTTTGGAAAACTATATTTCACATGCCAAATCTGCCTGACTACCCTGTTTTTGTAAATAGTTCAATAGTTTCATTTGAACACAGACACTCCTATGTCTTTACATATTGCCTATGGCTGCTTTCATCCTACAGCAAGATGTGAGCAATTGTAAAAGAGACTGTAGGTATGTAGTTGTCTATTGCTGCTGTAACAATTTGCCACAAACTTAGTGGCATAAAACAACATGTTTATCATCTTACAATTCTTCAGGCTTAAAGTTTGACACAGGTTCCACTGGGCTAAAATCAATGTATCAGAAGGTCTGCATTTCTTTCTGGATGATACAGGGAAAACTCAATCTCCTTGCCTTCTCCAGCTTTGACAGACTACATTCGCTGACTCATGACTACTTCTCCCATCTTCAAAGCCAGCAAAAGCAGGTTGAGCCTTTCCTCACATCTCACAAAATCACATCACTCTGATCTTCTGCCACCTTCTTTGACTTTTAAGGACCTTTGTGATTAAATTGATATAATCCAGATAATCCAGAATAACCTCCCTATGGTAAAGTCAGCTGATGAGCAGCCTTAATTCCACATGAAATCTTAGTTTCCCTTTACCATGTAACATAACATATTACCAGGTTCTAGTAATCAGAACATGGACATCTTTGGAGGAGGTGGAGGGTAATTATTCTACCTATAATAGCATATAATAACTCACAAAACCTAAAATGTTTGCCATCAACCCTTTAGGGAAAATGTTTCCCAACACATGTCCTAAACTTTGATTCATGCTTATGAACCTAAGTAAGCAAATACAGACCAGATGGAATTTTAGAGATGTTCATTTAATACATTACGTATAAAAACAAGAATAATTTTCATAAGCATGTATTACCAGGTGCCTGAAATAAAAAGATAAGCAAGACTTATCCTGATTCTACTGGCAGAAAAATCAATACACAAGAACCTCTCCTAAGAAGCAGAAGTACATAAAGGTTAAGAGTAAGGACTTGGGAGTGAGACAAACCTGTATTCCAATCATAGCTCTTCTACTTACTAACTGGGTGACCTTTTATAAGTTAACCTGTTTGTGCTTCAGTTTCTTTATCTGCTCAAAATAGTACCTAATTCATATGGTTGCTATAAAAATTAAATGCGTATAATGTGCTTAGTAGACTCTCTGACAGATAGTAAATTCTTAATAAATCTTAGTTGTACATTTGATAAAATAGAGGTTCCAAGTAGAATGGGAAAATTGCCCGATTGCTCAACTTAAAGAGATATTTGAAGAGATATCTTAGCAAGCTGTCTAAGCAAGATCAAAGAATATGGCTGAATTGTTTTCTTAAACTTAGCATTCTTAACTCCCTACTGGAGATGTCAAGCAACGTTGCCAGTGGCAACAGCTAATTCTCCTTCTCCATGCTGCCTGAAGTCCAGCCCACAACCGACTTTGCCACCCCATTTGTAGCTGCTTACAATTAAAGAGGCATTTGAATTACTTGCTTGGACTGACCAGTGATTAAGGTACTAAGGGCTTCTGAGTTATTCACATTCTCTAAACTGAAGTCACCGAAGGGGCTAGTGTCAGGATCTGGAGATCTATACAAATAACTACCTTTAGATCCAGGCAAGAGGACCCCTTGCTCTGGGTCCCAGGCATTGCAAATACCAAAACATAAATTTCTTTTATTTTTGATACCATAAAGAGGACATTTCTTTACACTTTAGAAACCCCTTCAGCAAACAGGAATTACAGATGAGGATCATACAAGCCAAATCCCTTCTCCCAACACCCATGAAGACCAGAAGATGTGGGGTTGAGAGTATATGCAGAAGAAAGAGAAAATCACCACCTCTTGCCTGAGAAACAAAAGAAAGAATAGCTGCTTTTGTTTAAATTTGACCACCCCAAATTCACCTAAAGTAAGTATCTAGGCAGGCCAGATACCTCTGATAACTGCCCTCCCACATCCCTTCTGCTCAGATTGTATAGTTTGGGGAAGGCTTAGAACTGCCTGTAATTGCCGGGTAGGAAAAGTAATGTGTTGAGGATAAACTGCCCACTCAACCCCTGGAGAGCTTGACCAGGTCAGTCCCCATCCTGGCTTCAAGTTGATCCAGGCACTGCCCAGGAGTCCTGAGCTCTGGGTCATGTTCACCCTGCCATCGCAGCAGATCTGAGGCTTACAGGGGACAGGTGTTGCCTGAGGGAGAATGTAGGAATTTTACTCCACAGGTCTCATGAACAATACCCAGACACATGCTGTAGGGCCCTGGGTAGCAACCTGAGCCAGGTTGCAGGCATAAATTGATTAATAGCTTTTAAATGTGTAGACATTTGGTATGAGGGCCTCCATTTGTACCCTTGCCCTGCAAACGTTAAGAAGGGTCTGTTTGCCTGTCCCATCCCAGTCAGAGCATCCACCTCTGAGTTCCCTTTCTTGGCTGCACTTCTAGGAATGAATTCTGGACCACCAATGACTAAATTTCTGAAACAAGGATGAAGCAATGTCTGCAAGGTGCTGATGGTTTTCTAAGACCAATATGAGCCATCTTTGCTGACATATATTCCCTTTGTTATGAGCATCCTATTGTTTAAGAGCAATAAATCTCTTCTTAGGTGACAGATTAGGATTATTACCTTTGCTTTTAGCAAGCCTATAAAATGAAATATGAATTCATATCATCTGGAGAGGGGAGAATAAGTCAAAAACTAAGAGAAAAATCTAATTTGTTACAGGCAGGCCATGAATGAATACTGAAAAAATATAAAAAGCTGAATTCCTACTACGAAAAATCTATTATTTTCTTTCTGAATTCAAGCAAGTTTTAGGAGGACTAAAGGATATGCATAGAAAGCATTAAAAAAATATTTATCTATATTGAAGGTGGAGAGTGAGGGAAAGGTAACAAAAATCAATATGTTTAAAATAAAAAGCTGCCTTGCAGTTTCAGGTAAGTCTTCAACTATCAATTAATTGCTTGATCAATGCAGCAAGATGCAGGCAGCTTAACTGAAGAAAATTAGTCCTTAAGAAGCTCTTATCTGCAAAGGGATCCTGCTGACAGTAAGGTTAACAACCTTTCGAGCTGCAACTGCTTCAGAGGGTTCAGGAAGGAGATCAGAATGAAATCACATATGAGTATGTCACAGAAAGTTGACATCTAGAAGATTCCAGACAGAGATAAAATAGCTCACTCATTGGTCCTAATGGTGGGTCTGCCAACAGAGATAGAGCACTTTTAGGAGGGAATGGAAACTTAAGAAATATTTTTCAAAATGCTTTCATGTTACTGAGATGCATTTAATTGACCTGTTCAAGAGATGTTTCAAAAGATTATTTTGGATCATGCTATCTATTTTGCTTTCTTTCTGTTCTATTCCACAAATATTTTTTGGAATTCCAACCCAGTGGCTGGTAAAGTGCTGAACTCCATGATTTCAAACATGAATAACATAAGCCCCTGATTGCAAGGAATTCATAGCCTATTTGGAAATGAACCAGACAAGTCCATGGAGAATTAGAGAGAAGGGACTGTTACATTCCAAAGTAAAGTCATCTAACCTAGTCTAGATTCTTGTTCAATATTATTTGTACAGCAGGATGAACTGACCAACCTTACTCTCTTCCTCCCATCCACCAGCTTTTATCAGAAGAGACTTATAATCAAAAATGTAATCAGATGCAGCAAACCCAAGCTGATATAACCCCTCTCCTTTTAGTTAGCAAAAATAACATCCACTAGCAATCAGCAGAGGGGAAAAAAGCCAAGTGACTCTCAGTCCAGTAACCAGGGAATCTATACATCATAAAGTCAAGGACAAAACCCTGCTAACAGGAGAAATATTTTTTCTTCAATAGGGAATTACGCTGCAAAATATCTAGGAAAGAATAATGCTTATATTTACAAGGCCTGCTTACTTCTCAGGTGACTTCGTAAAGAAAGTATTATCAAAGTGTTATCCTTATTTGGGAGATCAGACCTCACATCCTTTCTGTAGCCTTTTTTTTTATCATAAATATCAATATGCATTCAGCTGTAGCCTGTGGTGTTGCTCAAGTTTGCAAGCCACAAGAAAATATAAATTTGCAAGATCCAAGAGATTGCACCTCATCATTTGTATGGTGATATGGTTTGGGTCTATGTCCCTGCCCAACTCTCATGTTAAATCGAAATCCCCAGTGTTGAAGATGGGGCCTGGGAGGTAATTGGATCATGGGGGCAGATTTCCCCTTTGGTGTTGTTCTGCTGATAGTGAGTGAGTTGTCTTGAGATTGGATTGTTTAAAAGTGTGTAGCACCTCCCCTGCTCTTCTTCCCGCTTTGGCTATGTGAAGACTTGCCTGCTTCCCCTTTGCTTTCCACCATGATTGTAAGTTTCCTGGGGCCTCTCCAGCCATGCTTCCTGTACAGCCTGTGGAAATATGAGCCAATTAAATCCCTTTTCTTTATAAATCACCCACTCTCAGGGGTTTTTTATAGCAGTGCAAAAATGGACTAATACGTGTGGCATAAACAGAGGTTTCTGAGGAAGAAGAGTGAGTTCATGAGACTGAGAAACTTGAAAGAGGTCTGCATAAAAGAAGAGTGCCTAGAGAAGCAAGGCAGTTCAGGAGTATCCAGTGGGAACATGCTTACCAAGATTCACACCAAGAAGGGGTTCCCCTCGGGCAGTAGAATTGATGATTGTGTTATCAGGAATTCCAGTCTTTATCCCCACTCCCTTCACTGTGATACATTTCTGAGATCTGCTTTATTCATTACTCAAGAACTTTGTATGCCTTTAAGCTCTGGGTGTTTGGCATGGTGAAGATAGATAGGGCAAGTTAAGCTATGAAGGAGATGGGGCCCAATGTTCCCCAGTGTCTTGAGAGTTTGGTGGAGCAGGAGCTTGAGTGACATTAACCCCTTTGGCTGGATTAGGGATTGGGGTTATTTGGGTCATCACAGCAGCAAACAGACATTGATAGAATGGAAAAACTCAAGATATTCAAGACAGAAAGACAAGAATTTTTCTGAAGAATCCCCGCCCCCAACACTGAAAAAGTGAGAAAGTTGTCACTCACCACTGCTGCATTTTGTTTTACGCAAAAGTATAAATTTATCAAATACTAATGAAAATCTTTTTTTTCATACCTCAGTTGCCCAAAGTCACTGAATCCTGGGACATGAACAAGGTAGCACAGGATGCACTGGATTTTATCTCAGCAGGTCGGGTCATAATCAGAGACCAGCTGAGGGCTGGCCAATTATATCTATATATTTGTTTAGGTCATTCAAGACTCAGTCTACCCTTCACTATTTTATGAGGTCTTCCCACCCAATCCCAAACTAGGATCAATGGGCCAGTCTCTCTGTTCCCATAGAAACTTGTAACATTCTCAATTATAACATACTTCACATTGTTCTGTGGCTATTTTCTGATCTGCCCTGGACTTACGACTGATTGACTTTGGAAAATGATTTGATCTAAACCTCAGTCAGTCATATTGGTTCCAATGAATTTCAGCCAGTTTTGTTATCTTTCTAGCAGAGGGAGTTTCAGTCTTGTTTCTTTTCTTGCCTGCTATCCTGCAAACTCAATAATTTCTGTTAGTCATTGGTTTCTTTAACTCTTTGGGGCACAGTTTCACTCCTGTGAGTGAAGAATCAGTAACTTAATACATAGATTATTTTCAATTAGGAAGAATGGCAACTGCCACTTAAATGCCATTTAAAATGCTAGATTTTCCCTAACTGATAAAATGCCAGCAAACTCACTGGCTCAGAAATAATTAAACCACTTAGCGTTTAAAAGGTGTGGTAGGTCAGGGGGTAACAAAATGAGATCTGCATGTCAAAAATATTGCCATGGATGCTACATGGAGAACAACTTAGAAAGGGGTAAGAATAAATGCAGATAGTCCAGATGGAAGGTCATTGCAGTAATCCCAGTTAAAGCTGACAGCATTCTGGACTAGAGCATTAAGTTTGGATTTGGTATTTCAGCCTACATATTTTAGAGGCCATCCCTGCCCCATCCTGGGAAATGACTGACAGAAGATCCTCTATAAAAAAATCAGAAGTTCTGTCTTTCCAATATTTTCTTGAAAAAAGACTGAATAAACACATCATTCAAGGCTCTGTAGCATCAGGCCATGTTCTGGAACTCCATTTAGAAAGAAGTTTTCCAAATCATCAATCCATGGCAGCACAGAAGGACTTTGAAAAGAAATCTGCTGGGGAGGTCCTAATGGGACAATGGAAGGCAAGCAGGAGGTATCCATGGCATTAATATGCTACACAAGAGGCTAACTCTGAGGACCCAGGGAAGGAATGCAGACATCATAACACAAAAAATGGCAGGCCCTTGCCAATTGCACAGGTGAGAGCAAAGCTAATGAAACCATACACCTGGGAGCAATTCAGAGTCAGTGAGAATGAGCCTGGACAAGTGAAAACAAATAAAGTTAATGAAGAGAAGAAAAAATAATGTACTTCTAATTCCATTTTTTCAATTAATAGCTAAGAAGCAGTAATCATTGGTCACATTCATCTTATCCCAAGCTTTTACACCATAAAATGCTGTGGGAATAGTTAAGAGGAATTCCAGTTTTAAAGTTCCTTTTAAATTAAACCCCCAAATTTATGGAGAACCTACTATGTTCTTGGAAAGAAAACAAAGGCGGAAAAAATAAGTAATAAGGTCAGTGAAAAAAAAATCTGACCCTCCAAGCACTCACAAAACGGAAAGCAAAGACTTAAACTGTTAATTATGAAAATAGAAACTATAACTTTGGGGGCAGTTAACATATGTCAGACACTGTGTCATGTGCATCCACATATTATTAACTCATTTAATCCTTAAGCAACTCAAGAGGCAAACATAATTGCTCCCATTTTTTTATGATGATTGAGAAAATTTAGACTCAAAGAGATTAAATAGATTGCCCAACATCACACACTCATATGACAATGAAATCTCTCTGGCTATAAAGTTTATGTTCTTTCCATTCTACCACATAGTCTTTACAAAAATTTAGGCTAAGGAATGATATAGGCTACATACAGCAACAAGACATTCAGTGATAACTTGAGGATGTCTGGGACGCCAGCTAGCTTGGCCAAAAAACAGAATATAGATAGATAACACCTACTCCACAGCTAACAGAGACAGTGTTGCCTGATGAATATAAGTAGGTACTTTGTTGCCTTACAAAATTATATAACCTGTCTTCATTGATGGAGGTTCTTTTTGCATTATGAGAATATCTCCAATTTTATTTGTGTAACTATCAATGCGGTTGAAATAATTTAATATTCCTATTTTATGAATGAATTGCTCATGTTCTCTGCTCAGTCTTCATCTTTGTCCTGATACCTCTTAAAAGTTTCTGTTTCTTTCTTTCTTTCATTCTGTTTTTTCTTTTACTACCCTGTTTGTTGAGGTATAATTGACAAATAAAATTGTATAAGTTTAAGACATACACTATAACTTGATATACATATATATTGTAAAATAATTACCACGATAAAGTTAGTTAACTTACGTATCACCTTACATAGTTACCACTTTGTGTGTGTGTGTGTGGTGAGAACATTTAAGATCTACTATCTTAGCAAATCTCAATTATATAATAACAGCAATGTTAACTTTAGCCACCAAGTTGTTCATTAGATTCCCAGAACTTATTAATCTTATACATGAAAGTTTACACACTTTGACCAACATCTCTGATGGGTATTTTATAAAAATATCAAATTATTTTAGCCTTTTTTATCCAATCTACCATTGATAGGCACGTGGGTTGATTCTACATCATTGCTGTTGTGAATAGCACAGAGATGAATGTATAAGTGCATGTGTCTTTTGGGTAGAATGGCTTATTTTCCTTTGGATATCTACACAGTAATGGGATTGCAAGGTCAACCATGGAATACTTTGCAGCTGGAAAGGAAATCATGTCCTTTGCAGTAACAAAGATACAGTTGGAGTCCATAATCCTAAGCAAATTAATGAAAGAACAGAAAACCAAATGCTGCATGTTCCCACTTCTAAGTGGGAGCTAAACCTTGAGCACACATAGACATAAATATGGGAACAATAAACAATTCAGACTACTAGCGAGGTGAGAGATGGAGGGGGTATGGGTTAAAAAACTACCTTGGGTTGTTGAGAGAGGAAGGGGGTATGGGTTGAAAAACTATCCACATCCTAAACCTCAGCATCATGCAATATTTCCAGGTAACAAACCTGCACCCCTGTATATAAAATAAAAGTTGAAATTAAAAAAATATATCTTAGCCCTTTATATCATCATTAAGATAAAGGTCTCCAGTGGCTAGTGAAACATGGTATATGTTACACCCATTGGAATTGGGAAATCAATGCAACAGAAGTAAAAATAGCATCTGGAATGTAGGTGGAAAATGGAAAAGGTAGAGTCCTGAGGCTGGTTCCCAGTTCCCATGTCTAAAAAGCAACTATGACACCAAGATTGGAAAGCAAAGCAAAAGAAGGAAGTATCTATTAGATACCAAGACTGGAACAGAAATACAAATATTAAATATCTTCTATGCTTAGTCCTTACTTATAAAATTGAGATGACACCTCCTAATGGAGTTGCTGTGAGACTCAAACAAATTAGTGAATGTGAGCAGTCATCATAAAAAGTAAAGTTCTGCATAAACGTTAGAAATCATTATTTTCATCAGGTACTTGGTAATAGGCAGAATTCTAATGATGTGCTCCTTTCACACCCCAGTATTCCCATCCTCTGATTATTCAATCAAACACTAATCTAGATACTTCTGTGAATGGACTTTGCAGATGGAATTAAGGTTACTAATCAGCTGACAATAAGATAGCAACATTATTTTGATCATCCAGTGGGCCCAGTGTAATCACATG
The DNA here is from genome assembly GCF_000001405.40 of Homo sapiens. NCBI lineage: Eukaryota > Metazoa > Chordata > Mammalia > Primates > Hominidae > Homo > Homo sapiens. The sequence continues at coordinate 82,646,974 of NC_000011.10, forward strand.
AGCCCTTAAAAGCAGAAGAAGGCAGAGAGTGAATTGGAAAGATGCTATGGAAGAAGAAAACAGGGGAGATTAGGAAGAAGAGGAGGGCATCAGAGAGATTCAAAGTTTGAGAAACACTTAATCTACCATTTCTGGCTTTGAAGATGGAGGAGGGAGACCAAAAGCCGAAGAATACAGGTAGCCTCTAGAAGTATAGAACAACCCCTGGTCAACAGTCAGTAAGAAAATGAGGGCCTCAGTCTCCATAAAACTACATAGAACCCAATTCTACCAACAATCTGAATGAGCTTGGTAGTAGATTCAGTCTCAGAGCCTCCAGAAAGGAATGGAGCCCTACTGACACCTAGATTTTGGCCTTATGACACTAAAGAAAGCAGCAGCTAAGCTCCTTTGTACCTGAGTTTTTGACCTACAGAAACTGAGACATAAATTTGTGTTTCTTAAACTGCTATGTTTGTATCATTTTGTTATAGAAAACCAATATACCAATAATGCAACAGAAATAAAAATTTCTGGTTTTTATTATTATTTATTATTTATCCATCTAGCTATCTCCTTATCTAGACAATGTCCTGTGATCATTTTTACCCAGATTTTTTCCCTAATTAATTCTACCTTTAAGAGCCCTGAAATTGACCCTCAAAGACACTCAGAATTTATCTACCAATTTGTACAGATGTAGGTCTAGACATAAACTAGTGAAGTGTGAGATTGATTCTTCACATTGGCAAATAGGTAGACATTGAACACTAGAATTACAAACAGTCCTACTTTTTAAATATTAATAATTATATTTTCAAAAAGTTAGATTAAAATTTTCATCTTTATGTAAACTATTTTGATTAATATCCCCAAATGCTGCTCAATATTCCTGTCCAGTTCTTGTAAATAGTATGCTGATTCATGAGAACCTTTGGAACCATATATTTAAAAAAAAAGAAACATTTCCTAATGATTGCTGGGCAATACTATAAAACAGTGCATTTTAGGCAAAAAACTATTGCATTCATGCTACCTAACAAGAAAGACTTGACAAAATAGCTATTTTGCCTTTCTCTTTACTTAAAGCTTCTGCTACTCAAATCCTCTGTCCATTCAAAAGAGGCGTTTATTTTGACATGAATTGAGGCAAACTCACAAAACTTCAAGCACTCATATTCAGTTGCCTTTTGAGAATATAGGGCAAGAGATATGGAGATGCACTTCCCCGAGACTTGAATGGTGGTAATCATAAGAGCTAATCTTTAGGATAATGGGTCACAATGTGCCAGGGTGATCACTGGATTCTAAGTGAAAGAGATATCCATGTGCTCTTTAATAAATTTTATTTCAGTGGTGTTTTATCTTCTATAGAAACCTCTCTTGCCCCATTTGAAGGATGATACTCTTTCTAAGGATATTATTTTGATACTAAAGATGCTATTTCCTTTCATCATCTTCCTGAAGAGCATACCATTGTCAAGGTAAATAAGCATCTATGCAATGTGACACAATAAAAATTTAAATTTGTATTGTTAAGCCACACATATGTACACATATACACACACATACTTCTATGCAAATTCTGAAATCTGTATAAGTCTTTCTTACAATCAAAGTATGTTAATTGTTTTTCTCCTAATTAATCAAAGTTTGCATTACTTTGTGGGGTCAAGAGGTGCATGTTCTATTGATCAATAAAGGCCAATTACAATATTACTTCTAGTGCCACCACTAAGTTATTGGAATCATCGTAATTATAAATGGAAGTTGCAAGAACTGTATAGCTAGAAAATAATCTTAAATTCACAACAGAAACATAAAACATGAATAAAAAATCCATTAGAAAAATGTGCCTTCAGATTAATGATAAATGCTTCACTTATCACTTTTATTGCCAGATTCAAATGATTTCCAGATGGTTTTAGCACTTAATTTGCATTCAGCACTCAAGTATTGAGCAGTTAACATGCATTCCGTGCATATTTCCGATAGTTTCTCAATAAAACAAATGTGGATTTAAATAATCTATGTTCTGTTTTTCTTCCTAAAGATTATATCCGCAAAGACTTACTCTGTAAATTACATTTCTATTCATCATATCCTCCTCCTCCTCCTTTCTTCTGCTCCTTCTTCTCCTCCTTCTCCTCCTTCTCTTTTGAAATAATGTTTGAGATTATTTCAAAATAATCCTTCCATTCAAAATCCCTTTGCCATGTCCTCCAGCACAGAAGAATAAGGCATGAATAATTACAGCATAGTTTTTTATACATGGCGTATCAAAGTCTATGTAAATACATATATAAGTAACAATAATGCTCCTTGGATACAGACATTCAGGTTCACACTCAACTTCAAACAGCAGAAAGCATGGCACTATGAAACGAGCATGAACTTTAGATCCAGGCAACCAAGTGATGGAACCCCAGTTCTTCCACTGGCTAGTAATGTGACATTGAAAAGTCTAATTAGATTCTCTGAAACTTAAGGCTTCATTGGTAAGATGTGGATAATTGACATTTGCTTTAGGTTAATTTAAAGGATTAAAGAAGACAAAGACTATAAATCTCATGCACATTGCCTTACCCATTGTGCATGGTTAATTTTATGTGTCAACTTCACTGGTCTAAGGGATACCCAGATAGCTGGTAAAGCATTATTGCTGGATGAATCTGTGATGATGTTTCTGGAAAAGATTAGCATTTGAATTAGTAGACTGAGTAAAGAAAGTTCACCCTCACCAATGTTGGGGGGCATCATCCAATACATTGAGGGTCCAAACAGAGCAAAAAGGCAGGGCTTTCTTCTTGAGGTGTAACATCCATTTTCTCCTGCTTTCAGACATCAGGGCTTCTGATTCTCAGGTCTGTTCAGATTCTAGAACTTATACCAGCAGCCCCTCTGGTTCTCAGGTCTTTGGCTTCAGATTGAATTATACCACAGGCTTTTCTGGTTCTCCAACTTGCAGATGGCATATCATGGGACTTCTCAGCCTCAGTAATTTTGTGAGCCATTTCCCAGAAGAAATCTTCTCATATATATAAATCTTCTTATATATATGTATTAGTCAGAGTTCTCCAGAGGGACAGGACTAATAGGATAAATACATATATATATATATGTATATATATATGTCTGTGTGTGTGTATACATATATATATATATGAAGAGGAGTTTATTAAGGAGTATTAACTCACACAATCACAAGGTGAAGTCCCACAATAGGCCGTCTGCAAGCTGAGGAGCAAGGAATGGCTTCCTATATATATGTATATACACATATATATACACATATATATACACATATATATATATACACATATATATACACACATATATATACACATATATATACACATATATATACACATATATATATATCAAAAACAGGTGGAAAGGATGCAAAAATACATAGTTATAAGCTCTAATAATATAAAATAGTAAATAAAAAAATCAGAAAAGGAAAAATAGGGAATAGTGGGCTCCAACTTTCCAATTAGAGAACTCTGTTGTTATCCTCTGCATAGATCTTAGAAGAATAAAATATTCACATTTCCATTTAATAATTCCTTAAATTTTTCTCGTGATCTGGGAACTCTGTACACGTACTAAATATTAAGACTGTCTGGCTTGCAGAACTCTAGAATCCAGGCTAATACCATTGCATTGGATGATGTGGTGTGCCACCTAGATCTCCCTTCATGACTAAAAATCTTCTCTCCCAGGTGCCAGAAATTGTGTCAGCAGACAATCCTCAGCTGTCAGCCCTGCTCAAGAATGTCTCAGCTGAAGAATCCCCAAGTTCAAAGCAATAGTCTGAGCTACTACTTGTCAAAGCCCAGTGACTGATCAATGTGAAAATATAAAGGTCCAGCCCTCTTCATCTCAATGCAGAAAGCCCATTCCAGCTTCAAAACTCTCATAGGGTCAGCAGAGGTCTTCATTGACAATGCTTCATAGTCCAAATTCTCTTTGTCCAATTCTGCTTTTTCCCCTTCCTTTCCGTAAATGTCTATCCCAAGGGTTCCCTAATAAATTTCTTATCTGCTAATCTCTACTTCCTAGAGAATCCAAACTGCAACACATCTCAGGCAGCAAATGAGAAGATTCTCTTCGGCGAAATCCGACCAGCCTAAGGAAAAACCCTAAAGATAGCAGTATCAGAGACTTCCCAGTGAAACTATTTAGCCAGATCTCTCCTTGGTAAAGCCCACAGTTGACAAGAAACCCTACCAATGTACACAGAGCTCATAATTACTTTTTTATTTTCTACTCTTAAATATAAATTGTCAATAGTAATCACCAGCCATTTGAGAAAAACACTTTAAAATGAAAGACATGGGCTAAGGCAAACAGAAATTAGCAACTTGAGAAGATAAAACTATAAAGGGAGATAAAGCCAGAAAAAAATGCAGTCAAAATTTTTGAAAAAATGAGAGAAGGCACTGCATCTATAAGCCAAAAATAAAATTTTATTAAAAAATCAAAAGAAATGTTCAGAAATCATAGGAATTGGAAATTCCAGATTATGGTAATAGTAATGAAATCTTCAGTAGAGAATGGGAACACAATGTTGAGGAGCTATCCTAGAAAGCAGAATTTTTTAAAGAGAGAGAGGAAGAGAGGGGGAGGAAAATAATGTAAATTTAAAAGATTGGTTCTTTTTGTTTGACATCCAAATATTAGAAGTGCTGGAATGAAAAAACAAAGAAAACTTTTTAAAAAGAAATCACCTTAGACATAGAGAATTTTCCTGAAAAAAAAAAAAGAAGTTTTTATATGTTTAAGGGCTCACTGAAAGCCCAGAAGGATGGATAATAACAGACTATACCAAAGTATATCAACAAAAAATTTCAGAGCTATAAGAATAAGAATAAGGAAAAAAGTGCTAAAAGTTCTATACAAGTTTTATACAAGAAGATTTTAAAAGCTATATACTGGTTCTTTACAAGGGAGAATGAAACTTCTGATTCATTGGACCTCTCAGAGGAAACTAGAAAAGAGTAATGGCTTTTTTTTTTCTTTTCTTTTTTTTTTTTTTTTTGAGACAGAGTCTCACTCTGTTGCCCAGGCTGGAGTGCAGTGGCACGATCTTGGCTCACTACAAGCTACACCTCCCAGGTTCAAGCAATTCTCCAGCCTCAACTTCCCGAGTAGCTGGGATTAGAGGTGTACACCACCACATTGGGCTAATTTTTGTGTCTGTAGTAGAGACAGGGTATCACCATGTTGGCCAGGCTGATCTCGAACTCCTGACTTCAAGTGATCTACCCACCTCAGCCTCCCAAAGTGCTGGGATTATAGGTGTGAGCCATGCACCTGACAGGCTTCAAAATTTAATGGGAAATTTATTTTTAACTGATTAGTCTATACCCAATCAAGCTATCAATTATGTGTGAGGGTAGGATAAAGATATTATCTAACATGCCAGGTTTTAAAATATTTACCTCTAATGCGCTTTTCTTTACAAAGTTTTTAGAGGCTATGTGAGTGTTAAACAATAAAAGAACAAGAAACAGAATCAATATATAATGACGTGCCTCTCACATTAGCAAAAGGCAAAGGGAATGATGATACAGGAGATTCTGGGGTGACAGCTCAAAAATACAGACTTCTTTTTTTAAAAAAAAGGACTCTGAACTAAACTTCTTTAAGAAGATAAAATTAATAAAATATCTGATGTGTTTCAATATGTTATGAGGATATTTACTCAACTTTGGGTGAGTTGACAGATGAATTTATTTTAAATACCTAAAAAAGCAAATAAAAATCAAGACTTGTATTAACTACATGCAAAATAATCAGTTGAACAGGAAAAAAAAATTTACCTTATTGCTTAGCTCTGAAGAGAGTTGACATAGTCATAATAATGTAAACTCTGAATATTTACCTAAAATTATGATATATTTGGGAAGTTGGAGGATAGGGATATGGTTTGGCTGTGTCCCCACCCAAATCTCATCTTGAATTATACTCCCATAATTCCTACATGTTGTGGGAGGGACCTGGTGAGAGATAATTTGAATCATGGTGGCAGTTTCCCCCATACTGTTCTCAAGGTAGTGATTAAGTCTCATGAGATCTGATGGTTTTATCAGGGGTTTCTGCTTTTGCGTCTTCCTCATTTTCTCTTGCTGCCACCATGTAAGTACTTTTCACCTCCTGCCATGATTCTGAGGCCTCCCAGCTATGTGGAACTATAAGTCCAATTGAACCTCTTCTTTTTCCCAGTCTTGGGTATGTCTTTATCAGCAGCATGAAAATGGACTAATATAGTAAATTGGTACCAGTAGTATGGGGCATTGCTGAAAAGATACCCAAAAATGTGGAAGCAACTTTGGAACTGGGTAACAGGCAGAGGTTGGAACAGTTTGGAGGGCTCAGAAGAAGGCAGGAAAATATAGGAAAGTTTAGAACTTCCTAGAGACCTGTTGATTGGCGTTGCCCAAAATGCCGATAGCAACATAGACAATAAGGTCCCGGCTAAGGTGGTCTCAGATGGAGATGAGAAACTTGTTAGGAACTGCAGCAAAGGTGATTCTTGTTATGTTTTAGCAAAAAGACTGGTGGCATTTTGCCCTAGAGATTTGTGAAACCTTGAACTAGAGAGAGATGATTTAGGGTATCTGGCAGAAGAAATTTCTAAGCAGCAAAGCATTCAAAATGTGACCTGGGTGCTATTAAAAGCATTCAGTTTTAAAAGGTAAACAGAGCATAAAAGTTTGGAAAATTTGCAGCCTAACAATGTGATAGAAAAGAAAAACTCATTTTCTGAGAAGAAATTCAAGCCCGCAGCAGAAATTTGCATAAGTAATGAGGAGCCAAATGTTATTCCCCAAGACAATGGGGAAAATGTCTCCAGGGCATGTCAGAGGTCTTCATGGCAGCCCCTCCCATCACAGACCCAGTGGCCTAGGAGAAAATGGTTTTGTGGGCCAAGCCCAGGGTCCCCCGTGCTGTGTGCAGCCTTAGGGACTTGGTGCCCTGCATCCCAGCCGTTCCAGCTGTGGCTGAAACAGGCAAACGTAGAGCTCAGGCAGTGGCTTCAGAGGGTGCAAGCCCCAAACCTTTGCAGCTTCCATATGGCATTGAGCCCGCCAGTGCACAGAAGTCAAGAATTGGGAACCTCTGCCTAGATTTCTGAAGATGTATGGAAATGCCTGAATGCCCAGGCAAAAGCTTGCTGCAGGGGTGGAGCCGTCCTGGAGAACCTCTGCTAGAACAGTGCGGAAGGGAATGTGGGGTCAGAGCCCCCACACAGAGTCCTTTACTGGGGCACTGCCTAGTGGAGCTGTGAGAAGAGGGCCACCATCCTCCAGACCCCACAATGGTAGATCCACCAACAGCTTGCACCATGAACCCAGAAAAGCCACAGACACTCAATGCCAGCCCAAGAAAACAGCTGAGAGGGAGGCTGTACTCTGCAAAGCCACAGGGGTGGAGCTGCCCAAGACCATGGGAGCCTACCTCTTGCATCAGTGTAACCTGGATGTTAGACCTGGAGTCAAAGGAGATTATTTTGGAGCTTTAAAATTTGACTGCCCCACTGGGTTTTGGACTTCATGGGCCCTGTAAACCCTTTGTTTTGGCCAATTTCTCCCATTTGGAAAGGCTGTTTTTACCCAATACCTGTATCACCCATTGTTTCTAGGAAGTAACTGGCTTGCTTTTTATTTTACAGGCTCATAGGCGGAAGGGACTTTCCTTGTCTCAGATGAGACTTTGGACTATGGACTTTTGCGTTAATGCTGAAATGAGTTAAGATTTCGGGAGACTGCTGGGAAGCCATGATTGGTTTTGAAACGTGAGGACATGAGATTTGGAGGGGCCAGGAGGGGAATGATATGGTTTGGCAGTGTCCCCACCCAAATCTCATCTCAAATTGTACTCCTATAATTCCCACACGTTGTGGGAGGGACCTGGTGGGAGATAATTTGAATCATGAGGGCAGTTTCCCCCATACTGGTCTCATGGTAGTGAATAAGTCTCGTAAGATCTGATGGATCTTTATTAGGAGTTTCCACTTTTGCATCTTCCTCATTTTCTCTTGCTGCCACCATGTAAGAAGTGCCTTTCACCTGAGTGCCTGAGGCCTCCCCAGCCATGTGGAACTATAAGTCCAATTAAACCTCTTTTTTTCCCCCAGTCTTGCATATGTCTTTATCAGCAGCACAAAAATGGACTAATACAGATGGTAAGTGTGTATGTCTATGATGGGGCCAGGAAAGAGATGAAAAGTGAAAGAGAGCTAAATTTTCATCTTCTGTGGTGGGAAGTTGATAGATAAATGCCCAAAACTAAACAATCAATGAGTAGCAATATAGGCAAGTGATTTAGAAAATTGAAGGTAAATATGTAAAATTAGGCATAATTTAATCAAAACTGTTAAAAGTATGCATACCTCTCTAAACTGGGAAAATGGGGTAGGTCACAGAGCTGAAGACTGCCTTTTTTAAATAAAACCAGGGTCAAAAAAATTGAGTCTTTATGTGCATACACAACTGGATAAAAATAAAGGCTAAATAAAAATTACTCTCTCTCTTAAATTATATTCTAAACATAGGAAAATTATTTATAAGTCTTTCTAATCTACATTCTAATCTACTCTTTAGTCTCTTTTCTCATCTCTCTTCACCCTTATGTTCTGTTTTAACTAAACTTAATGACTCACAGTTTCTTTCAGATGAAGAAATGGTTCATGTGCCATGAAAGGACTCTTAACTTTAAGCTTTAGTCAAAAAGTGGGAGTTACTGAGGGTTTTAGACAGAGTAGTGTATAAGTGTGGAGGATAAATTAAAAGGAGACCACTCTATACACATAGAATTAATTTAGAAGGCTGTTGTGAGTCAGTGAGGAGGAAGAAGAGAAACTGAACAATGAGGAGTCCAAAAATCTAAATATTGGTCAACACTAAGTTATTATATAACCTGAAGCAACTCACCTAACTCCTCTAATCCTTGGGTTCTTCAGGTGAAATGTACAAATGGAAGATGGTTTGCACCTAATCTGGTTCTTTTTCAGGATAAATATCTTAAGGAATGTCACCATCATGCACCCAACAGTTCAGGTCAGAAATCTGTGACTGATCTTTGATATCTCCCTCTCTGTATCCATATCTCATTAGTCACCAAGTCCTTTTGGTTTATCCAGTAATATTTCTTGAGTATATTTATCTCCACGCACACTGGGATAATCCTAGTTCAAGCCACTTTTACCTCACATTAGAACTATCACAACTAGTTTCTTTTATCTACTTTTGTCTTCCTCCAATCTATTGTCAGTGTATTTGGAGTGATTTTCAAAAAGCAAATGTGATCATCTTACTACCTCCCTGAATAACACCTGTCAATGGTTTTCTTTTGCTCTTAAGATAAAGATCAAAATCCCAAACATGGATTCCCATTGATTTCAAAAAATTGAAGAGAATAATATTCTTCCAAACTATTTTTCTGGCCAGCATTATCCTGATACCAAACCAGACAAGGATATTACAGAAAAAGAAAATTACAGGCAACTATTCCTGAGAACCTAGATGCAAAATTTCTCCACAAAATACTAGAAAACCAAGTACAACAGCACATTAAAAGAACCATACACCACCATGATCAAGTATGATTTATCTCTGGGAAGTAAAGATGATTCAACCTACTCAAGTCAATAAATATGATACATAACATTAACAGAATGAACAAGAAAAATCATATACTCATCTCAATAGGTACAAAAAAGGCATTCAACAAAATTTAACATCTTTTTATAATAAAAATGCTCAACAAGTTAGTGTAAAATGAATGTACCTCAACAGAATAAAGGCCATATATGACAAACCCACAACTAACAGTGCAAAGTTCAAAGCTTTTCCTGTAGGACCAGAAATAAGACAAGATTTCCCACTCTCAACACTTCTATTTAACAGTATTGAAAGTCCTAGCCAGAGAAATTAGGCAAGAAAAAGAACTAAAAGGCATCCAAATAGAAAAGGAGTAAGTGAAATTGTCTGTTTGCAGACAACATATAGAGAAAAAACTCTAAAGGTACCACCAAAAGAAAAAAAAAAACTTTTAAGAACTAATAAAGAAATTCAGTAAAGTTGCAGGATCTAAAATTAATTCAAAAAGCAGATGCCTTTCTATGGACTAAACACAACCTATCCAAAAAAAGAAATAAGGAAATTAAGAAAACAATCACGTTTACAATAATGTCAAAAAGAATAAGATACTTGGGAATAAATTTAACCAAGAAGGTGAAAAACCTGTACACTAAAACCTATAAAACATTGATGATATAAATTGAAAATAAATGGAAAGATATCTTGTGTCAAGGACTGAAAGAATCAGTATTGTTAAAATGCCCACGCTGTCCAAAGTAAGCTACATATTCAATGTAATCCCTATCAAAATTCCAGTAACATTTTTCACAGAAGTAGAAGAAAAATCCTGAAGTTTTTATAGAACCAAGAAAGACCATGCACAGCTACAGCAATCTTGAGCAAGAACAAAGCTAGGGGTGGCACACTTACTGATTTGAAATTATATTACAAAGCTATAGTAAACAAACAGTATGCACTGGTGCAAAAACAGCCACATAGACCAATGGAACAGAATAGAAAGCCCAGAAATAAACCCATGCATATACTTCCAACTAATCTCTGACAAAAACACCAAGAATACACAATGGGGAAAGGATGGTCTCATCAATAAATGGTGTTGGGAAACTGGATATCTACATGCAAAAATATATAATTGAATCCTTCTCTTACACCACCCACAAAAATAAACACAAAATGGATTAAAGACTTAATGTAAGATATGAGACCATAAAAGTCCTAGAAAATAACACTAGGAAAAGCTCCATGACATTGGTCTTGGCAATGATTATTTTCAACATGACACCAAAAGCACAGACAACAAAACCAAAAATAAGCACGTATAACATCAAACTAAAAGTTTCTGCACAATAAAGGAAATAATTATCAAAATGAAAAGGAAACACATAGAATGAGAGAAAATATTAGAAAACATATATCCAATAAGGGGTTAATATCCAAAATATACAAGAAATGTATACACTCAATAGCAATAACAAACAAACAAAATTACTCTATAAAAAAATGGGCAAAGGACCTGTTTATTAGTTCGTTCTCATGCTGCTATAAAGACTGGGTAATTCGGCCGGACGTGGTGGCTTACACCTGTAATCCCAGCACTTTGGGAGGCCGAGGCGGGTGGATCACGAGGTCAGGAGATCGAGACCATCCTGGCTAACATGGTGAAACCCCATCTCTACTAAAAATGCAAAAAAATTAGCCAGGTCTGGTGGCGGGCACCTGTAGTCCCAGCTGCTCGGGAGGCTGAGGCAGGAGAATGGCGTGAATCCGGGAGGCAGAGCTTGCAGTGAGCCAAGATCACGCCACTGCACTCCAGCCTGGGTGACACAGCGAGACTCCGTCTCAAAAAAAAAAAAAAAAAAAGACTGGGTAATTTATAAAGGAAAGAGGTTTAATTGACTCACAGTTCTGCATGGCTGAGGAGGCCTCAGTGAACTTACAATTGTGGTGGGAAGGGAAGCAAACATGTCCTTCTTCACAAGAGAGAGCAGGAGAGAGAAGAAAGAGAGCCGCCAAGCGAAGGTGGAAACGCTTTATAAAACCATCAGATCTCATGAGAACTCACTACCATGAGAACTCACTCACTATCACCAGAACAGTATAGGGAAAACTGCCCCTCATTATTCAATTATCTCCACCTGGTCCTGCCCTTGACATGTGGGGATTATTACAATTCAAGGTGAGATTTAGGTAAGGACAAGAGCCAAATCATATCAACCTGAATTTTTTCAAAAAAGACATACAAATGGCCAAAAGGTTTATGAAAATGCACTCAACATTACTAAACTGATTTTAGAGAAATGCAAATCAAAACCACAATGACATATCACTTCATACTCCTTAGAATGGCTATTATCAAAAAGTCAGATTGTAACAATTGTTGATGAGGATGTGAAAAAGGAGTCCTTATATGTTGTTGGGGGGGAGGTAAATTGGTACAGCAGTTATTGAAAACAGTTTGGAGGTTTCCCAAAAAATAAAATAAAAATAGAACCACCATGTAATCCAGCAATCCTACTTCTGGATATATATCCAAAGAAAACAAAATCAATATGTTAAGGAGATATCTTCAGTTTCATGTTCATTGCAGCATTATTCACAAAGCTAATATATGGAAACAGCCTAAGTGTCTGTTGATGGATGAATCAAAAAATAAAATGTGAAATAGGCTGGGCGCAGTGGCTTACACCTGTAATCCCAGCACTTTGGGAGGCTGAGGAGGGCAGATCACTTGAAGTTCAGGAGTTCCAGACCAGCCTGGCCAACATGGTGAAACCCCTGTCTCTACCAAAAATACAAAAAAAAAACAAACACGATTTAACCAGGCATGGTGACAGTCACCTGTAATCCCAGCTACTTGGGAGGCTGAGGCAGGAGAATCCCTTGAACCTGCGAGGCAGATGTTTCAGTGAGCCAAGATCACGCCACTGCACTCCAGCCTGGGCAACAGAGTGAGACTCTGTCAGGAAGGAAGGTAGGAAGGAAAGAAGGAAGGAAGAAAGGAAGGAAGGAAATGTGAAATAAATAAATATGTGGATATATTTTATTGAAATAAAATTTCAATTTATTTTATTGAAATAAATTTTTATTGAAATATTTTATTTATTGAATAAATTTCATTGAAATAAATTTTATTGAAATGTGAAATAAATAAATATGTGGACATATATTACATGTGGACAATGTAATATTCGTCAAGCTTTGTTTAAAAGGAAATCTTGAAATGAAATGGGTGTATTTGGAAGACATTATGCTAAGTAAAACAAGCCAGACACAGAATGACAAATATTACATGATCTCACTTATATGTAGAATCTAAAATGTTTAAACTCATAGAAACAGAGAGTAAAATAATGGTTAGCAGGGGTCAGGAATGGGAAAATGAGGAGATGTTGGTCAAAGGGTACAAACTTGTATTTGTGAGATTTGTAAGATGGTGAATAAGTTCTGGACACAATGCACAGCATGGTGACAAATAGTTAATAATAATGTGCTGTACACTTGAAATTTCTTAAGAAAATTGTATTAGTCAGGGTTCTCTAGGGGGACAGAACTAATAGGATGGAGATATATATATATATATCTCTTTATAAACTTCATATATATATATATTCAATCCAATAAAGCTGACACTCAGTATTAACCATCACCAGAATAGATCTTGAGTTTTGTTGCAATGAAAAGATAACCATGTAAGATATTGTATATGTTAACTACCTTGATTTTGGCAATTATTTCACAATGTATATGTATATCAAAACATCATGTTGTACACCTTCAATATATATAATTTTATTCATCAATTATATATATATGGGAAGTTTAAGATATACATAAAGATATATATATTAAGTTTATTAAAGTTTATTTATATAAGGGAAGTTTATTAAGTATTAACTTACACGATCACAAGGTCCCACAATAGGCTGTCTGCAAGCTGAGGAGCAAGGAGAGCCAGTCTGAGTCCCAAAACTGAAGAACCTGAAGTCCAATGTTTGAGGTCAGGAAGCATCCAACACAGGAGAAAGATGTAGGCCGGGAGGCCAGGCCAGTCTCTCTTTTTACATTTTTCAGCCTGCTTATATTATAGCGGCGCTGGCAGCTGATTAGATTGTACCCACCCAAATTAAGAGTGGGTCTGCCTTTCCCAGCTCACTGACTCAAATGTTAATCTCCTATGGCAACACCCTCACAGACACACCCAGGATCAATACTTGTATCCTTCAATCCAATCAAGTTGACACTCAGTATTAACCACCACAGGAAGAGATCTTAAGTTTTGTTGCAATGAAAATATAACCATGTAAGATGACGGATATGTTAATTACCTTGATTTTGGCAATTATTTCACAATGTATACATATATCAAAACATCATGTTGTACACCTTCAATATATATAATTTTTATTCATCAGTTATACCTCAATAATGGTGAATAAAGAGAATGTAAAGCAAAGGTGTATGTTTGCGTATATATATATACACATATGTATATTCAGTTATCCCTTGTATCCCTTGGTATCTGTGAGGGATTGGTTCCAGGATCTCCCTTGGATACCAAAACCTGCAGGTGCTCAAGTCCCTGATATAAAATAGCAGAGTATTTGCATGTAACCTATGTACATTCTCCCATATACTTTAAATCATCTCTAGATCAATTGTAATACCTAATACAAGGTAAATGCTATGTAAATAGTCATTATACTGTATTTTTAGGTAATAATTACAAGAAAAAAATGTTTGTACATGTTCAGGACAGACACAATTTTTTTCCCCAAATATTTTTGATATGTGGTTACTTGAATCCATGGATGCAGAAACAACGGAGGCCGACTGCACACTTGAAGTATCATTCTGAGTTTTCCATGACCCTTTCCCTATTCCCCCGTGGAGTGGATTATACCCTCCTTTGTTTCTCTGCATGTTTTATCTTAGTCTCCATTATACTTACTAACCCATACTGCAAGGCTTGGCTAACATGTCTCTCTCCCTCACTCACTGGACTTTAAGCTCCTTAATAACAAGGACCTTAACTTATGCCAGAACATATTATGTGCCCAAGAAATTTCTGTACTGAACTAAATTAAGAAGAAGACTAAATATTTATCATCAGCAACCAGTATGGACTGACTCCCTCACCCAGGATAGAACCTTCTGAAAGCCCTTTTATCCTCCCAAATTTAGAACTACAGAGAATAATTGACCTAGAGCTTTCATCTGGCAAGCCAGTTCTGATTAGCTGGAAGTGGTTACTTGGTATGCTATCTTGAGAAGGATTCTGGGGCTGGATCCAGGCTCATAAGAAACCAAGTCATATTTAATTATTTATGTCTGAAAAAGCAGCAAGAGCAGGAAGTAAGAGAATATGTGCCTGTATTTTCCATCCCTGACACTGAGTTACCTCCTGTTACAACAGCTCAGGACTATCTATATGTTTTCTCTGAGAGAGAGAAAGAGAGAGAGAGAGAGAGAGAGAGAGCCTGTTTTCCCAGCATCCTCAAATCAAAACTCTCAGAAACGTTACAACATTCAGAAGCCCTTAAATACAACAAGGGAAGGAATTTTTTGTTTGTTTTGTTCATTGCTATATCACTTGGCTGGTATACAGCTAGAACAAGGTCGGATGCTCAATAAATATTTTTTGAATTAAAGAATACAGTTGAAATTGTAATTTAATATTTTAGGTGCATGATTCCAAAAATAGCATTTTTGGCTCCTCTGGAAACCTAAGCAGCATTTCTCATACTGACTCCAGGACCAAAAAATATATATATATACACATACATATATATATATATATATACACATATATATATACACACATATATATATATATACACATATACACACACACACACACACACACACACACACACACACATATATGGCCAGTGATGATGAGCATTTTTTCATGTATCTGTTGGCTGCATAAATGTCTTCTTTTGATTGCAAATCAAAACAACAATGAGATACCATCTCACACCAGTTAGAATGGTGATCATTAAAAAGTCAGGAAACAACAGGTGCTGGAGAGGATGTGGAGAAATAGGAACACTTTTACACTGTTGGTGGGACTGTAAACTAGTTCACCCATTGTGGAAGACAGTGTGGTGATTCCTCAAGGATCTAGAACTAGAAATGCCATTTGACCCAGCCATCCCATTACTGGGTATATACCCAAAGGATTATAAATCATGCTGCTATAAAGACACATGCACATGTATGTTTATTGTGGCACTATTCACAATAGCAAAGACTTGGAACCAACCCAAATGTCCACCAATGATAGACTGGATTAAGAAAATGTGGCACATATACACCATGGAATACTATGCAGCCATAAAAAGAATGAGTTCATGTCCTTTGTAAGGACATGGATGAAGCTGGAAACCATCATTCTGAGCAAACTATCGCAAGGACAGAAAACCAATCACCGCATGTTCTCACTCATAGGTGGGAATTGAACAATGAGAACACTTGGACACAGGAAGGGGAGCAACACACACCGGGGCCTGTCGTGGGGTGGGGGGAGGGGGGAGGGATAGCATTAGGAGATATACCTAATGTAAATGACGACTTAATGGGTGTAGCACACCAACATGGCTCGTGTATACCTATGTAACAAACCTGCACGTTGGGCACATATACCCTAGAACTTAAAGTATAATAAAAAAATAAAATAAAAAATAAAATAAAATAAATATATATATAGGTACAGATTTTTGGAAATGCTTTTTGTGTGTGCCTTTGTACATGGTTTTTTCCTTGTTTGGGAGGTCCTTTCCCTTTTGTTTTCATCTGGAAAACTCCTATATACTCTTTAAGGACCAGCTCAAACATCACCTCTCTGTGAAACATTCCCAAACTCCCAAAAAGAATTCCTACTAACTCTTCTATGTTCCTATAGCACAGTGTTGACTTGTATACATTATAAGGAGCCCATGTCCCCAACTCTCATTAGATAAAATCTTTTTAAATGAAGGCATTATTCTTTAAAATGGTTCTTCTTTTTTCTTTCAAAGGCACACGATGCATTAGATGCATTCCTGAACATGATTAGAAGAGAAAATCAACTAAAAGCTTTTACCAGATGCCTTTTCATCACTGTATGGCAGGGAATACAATCAGTTCTTGTTATTCCTTAGACAGACAGCCCTTTTCTGCCTCCTGAGTTCTATTGCTTTCAGTTCCTCTCATTGTTATAAACCATGACACAGCATGTTATTCACAAAAGAAAATTACTTTTTCAAAGAAGACACTGAACCTGCCCTTGCAAAGGTGATGCTTCCAGTTTGTGAAGGTCAGCCTGCTGAGGGCAAATTCATAAGGCAATCTTCTCAAGCATCTCAGGGACCATCTATCACCTATGTGTTCACACCATGCATAAAAATCTGCATTATGACTTATGTGCTTAAGAAACCGCGTATGACCAAACTCTCATCAATGACAAAGAAACAACAGAGGAAATGGTGCAGTCTTATTAAAGCCAGTCCAGTGAATGAGTTTGCAGATTTCTAAAATTCCCATAAAAGGCATGATCCTGTCCAAAATAACAATGAGAATGGCTGAGTTACTCAAAAATACTGTGTATCTCCATTCCTCAAATGGTTCAATTTCTTCTTCACTATTGTGTTGACATATCTATCTCCCTAAAGTGCATAAAGCATTACGCTTATGATCAGAATTTTTATTTGTTTTGTTTTCATCCAGATGGAGCTATTCAGGTCCTGAAAATTCACAGAAAACCTCTCCTACTTTCTCCCTGTTCCTGTGTCATAACTAAAAGACTTCGGTCACAACATAGGCTTGACCTCAATGTGATCCAGAAACAGGAATGAAGTAAGCCTTAAATAAAGAAGTCCGAGGAACTCTGTTCAAATGAACTTGGAAAATTCAGATGAGATCCAGGCTAGCATCAGCAGGAAAAGGGTCTGATTTCAAGGGATGGAACACAGCAGCAGGAGCCTGTGGCTATTCATTATATTCGTTGTCTCTACTTATCTGGTATAAATCTAGATTAAAGCTGGAGAGCAGTCAGTTTTATAAGCAGAGAATTTGAATCCAACCTCAGACCATAGGAGCTCTCAAGGGTTAGAGATCCAAGAATTTACTTTCTTGAAGGTTCAAGGAACAGCATGGACAATAATGATCTCTAAGGAAAGTTTCATGGCATAGACAGTCATAAAGCATAAGTGCACATATGTGGTCTTCAGGAAAAGGCAAATTCACAATAGACAGGCCCATTTCTAAGTCTTATTCTAAACACAACATATAACAGGATAAGGAAAATGAAATCAAGTTCAAATTCCGCTTGCATTTAGTAGAAAAAATTCAGCACTTCACCACAGTGCTCATCACCTTACACTCAAGAGGGACCGAGCCTGGAGGCTGACCACCTTCAGTACATGCATTCTAGCTGTGCCAGAGAAGCAAGAGCCTGTTCCTGAGCCCCACCCTCACTTCAATCCTCTGTGGCAGGAGAACCTATTAATCCACCAGCTGAGTCTATCAAAATAGTATCATAAATTGATTTAAGTGAATATATGTCAGTATCTTTTATTCATTCGGCAAGTATACACCAAGTGTCTACAAAGTGGTAGATGCTCTGCTAAGCCCTCAAGTTACAAACACATAATCCTTCCTTGGAAGAGTTCATAGACTAGTTAAAAACAGATGAAATAAATAATTATAATGTGATAAATTCAACATTAAGATATGGGGCATATTACAGTTGTGTGTCAGGGGTCTCTAACACAACTTGGGAATTCAAATAAATCTACATGAATTAAGTAGTTCAAGAAACTCTTTTAATTGCATTTGAAAATTTTAATTGAGTATGTTGGTTGAGTACTAGCCAGTGAGTAGAAGTGGGAGATAGAAAACCTTTTGATTCCTAGTTATTAGCATAGCTAGTCAGACTGACACTCAAATTTAAAAAAAAATAGAATACATTTCTTATTTCTCTAGAATCAGCTTTTGATACTAAATAGCTCCACCATGCAGTGTGAGATTTTAGAAAATTCAATTAACCTTTCTAAGACTCATTTTCCCTATCTCTAAAATGAGGGGTCACAATACCTTACAAAGATTTTTTGAGGATTAAATGAAATAAAACATTTAAATGTGGTGGAGTCAGAACTCAACCCAGTCTAAAATCAAGACTCTTGACAATAATGACTGCTGCCTACTCTATCAGTCTTACTACATAATAAAATAATCTTGATTTAAAAACTAAAAAGGTCATTAATGGAGAACCTCTTCTTCATCAATATAACAATATAATTCCTGTTATATTGAATTAAAAAAACTAAGGTGAGATCATCGTCCCCTATAGTTTCATCAGGACATCATCTTTATCTCCTATAGCAGGGCATCCATAAGTTGCAGTATATGGAGACTGATTGAATGAGAGGTTATATTTGACTGAGAAATCAATGACCAGGAAGAGGGCACCAAGGTCACAGAGACTGTATTACCCTGACCAATCTTGCTCCCTTGGAAAACCTGAGTCTTCCATCATATCACACCTGCCAATTCCCCAGTAGTCTTAATTATGGACACAGCTATTTGTCTTCAAATATCACAGCTCTGTGAAATCTATGCATCGATAAATACAGCTCAAAAGCTGTTTTCCACACTATTGGAGAGTTCATTGTTTCTGTGGTGAAAGCAAATGTGGTCATTCTTTACCTTTGAGGGAACTTTCAAGGTCTTCAAGTGACTGGAGGTTTCCCATAAAGTCAGAGTGAAGAACACCATAGTTTTAGGACTTACAGTTGTGCCTCAAAAAAGATCCACACATTCTGATTAGCTCTCCATGGCCAAAGAATAGAAACAAGGCTTCTAGGGTCAGAGTCAGACAACCAATTCTATTTCAAAATAGACATCTTTGTTTCGGCCATCATTCCTTTATCCATTTTCTTTAAAAATAACAAACAAACAAATATATGTACTTGATTTGACATACATGTCAGATATTCGGCAAGGGGGAGGATAGAAAAAATAAGAAAAGGCATCCACCCTCCAGAATAACAAAAGAGTGTATTTGGGCAAATACACTAAAAAAATTTCCAAGATAATGTGAGGACATTATGGAGAAATTTGCCTTTAGAGTCCAAGGGGTCTCAAAAAATTTTGGCGGGTTAATTCAGCTACAAGATGGGGGTCAGAAGAAGTATTATAGAAGAAGTGAAACTTGAACCAAATCTCCAGATTAGTATATATTTGTCTGGCAGTCAGCAATAGAAATTAAGGAGAAAAATCTTGTCATGCAAATGCAGCAGAATAAATAAAGGGACAGAAACATGTTAAAAACACATGACCATTCAAGGTGCCATCCATACATTTTGTATGGATGGCACATAGGGTGGAAATGGAGGTGGGGGGAAAGGGAGACTCGGGAAGTAGGAAGAAGCTGGATAATAGAGTGTCTTGTATGGTTTAGAATAGCTATAGGGGTCAATGATATAATTCAAATAGGAAAATGACATACTCAAACCTATTTTAGAAAAGTCATCCTGACTGCCAATGTGGATAATAAATTAGAGGGGAGAGAGACTGGAAAGAGGAAGACCAATTAGGGGACAATTGCAATTATTTAAGAAAGAAACCATGAGTACGAAACATGAGGTAGTAGCAGTAAAGTTCTAGATGAGTGAACAGGCACAAAATGAGAATGAACAGGCACAAAATGCCTTCATTCTGAAGGCAAGGCTGTGTGCAGGCAAATAATGGAATTCTTGGTTACTTCCTTCCAAGAACACGAGTACAGCCTCAGAAATCAATAAGATGGAAACTAACCAGGGCATAAAACTTGATACTGATAAAGATGGTAGAGAAATTAATGCCAATAAATTCATGTGATTTTATAGGCTATCCAGATGTTGTTGGGAACCATAATAGACCATGCTTCATGATGTGCAGGGATGAAAACGACCAATCTCTGACTCAACAAACAGCAAAAATATATTAATGGAGGGGCTGTGTAGTTACCAGAGGATCAGAAGGTAAATACAATACCCCACTTCCGTTCTTAACTTTTCTTGTCTATTTTGTTTATTTTCCATTTCTCCTTACCTTCAATTAGAATGTCAGGTCTATAAGGTAGAAGTTTTTGGCACAACAGCATTTGGCATGTAAGTGCTCATTAGGTATTTGCTGACAATTAATTAACTTATCCTGATGAGGACTTCTGTGCTCTTTCAGTTTGTAAATTCACATATTTTATTCTGGAAAATTCTCAGCCATTATTTCTTTCAATATTGTATCTATCTTATTCCCTCTATTATCTTCATCTGTTACTTCTATTATTTATTTTGGAATCTCTGGTTTCCATTCTCAATCTTTTTTATATTTTCCATATATTTGCTTCTCTGTGCTACATTCTGGATAATAAGGTATATCTTTTTAATTTTTCATTTTTATAGACTCAGTGGGTACAAGTAAATTTTTGTTGTCTGGATATATTGCTTAGTGGCAAAGTCTGGGATTTTAATGTAACCATCACCCGAATAGTGAACATTGTACCCAGTAGGTACTTTTCATCCTTCATTCCCCTCCCACCTTCCCACCTTTTAAAGTCTCCAATGCCTATTATTCCACTTTATGTGTGTGTGTACCCGTTGTTTAGCTCCCACTTATAAGTGAGAACATGAGATTTTTTGCTTTCTGTTTTTGAATTATTTTACTTAAGATAATGGCCTCTAGTTCCATCTATGTTGCTGAAAAAGACATGGTTTCATTCTTTTTATGGCTGAATAGTATTCCATGGTGTGTGCATATATACATATACATCACTTTTTTATCCAATCATCCACTGATGACTGATGGATACAATGACTTTGCTATTGTGAATAGTGTTACAATAAACATATGTGTACAGGTGTCTTTTTGATATAATGATTTCTTTTACTTTGGGTAGATACCAGTAGTGGGATTGCTGGGTCAACTGGTGGTTCTATTTTTAGTTCTTTGAGCAATATCCGTACTGTTTTCCATAAAGGTTTCACTAATTTACATTCTCACCAACAGTGCATAAGCAATTCCTTTTTTCTGCATCCTTGCTAACATCTGTTGTTTTTGACTTTTAATAATATCCATTCTGTGACCATCCAGAATGTAAGATGGTATTTTACATCCAGGTGTAAGATGGTATCTTATTGTGGCTTTAATGTGCATTTCTCTGATGATCAGTGACTTTGAGCATTTTTTTTTTCATGTTTGTTGGCTGCTTACGTGTCTTTTTTTGAAAAATTTCTGTTCATGTCCTTGGCCCACTTTTTAATGAAGTTATTTGTTTTTGTCTTTTGAGTTCTTTGTAGATTCTGGATATTAATCCATTGTTGGATGCATAATTTGCAAGTATTTTCTCCCATTCTGTAAGTTGTCTGTTTACTCTGTTGATTATTTCTTTTGCTGCGCAGAAGCTTTTTAGTTTAATTAAGTTTCATGTGTCTATTTTTGTTTTTGTTGTATTTGCTTTTGAGGTCTTGGTCCTGAATTCCTTGTCTAGGCTAGTGTCCAGAAGAGTTTTTCCTCATTTTTTTCTAGGATATTCATTTAGCATCAGTGTTCCATTTAGGTCTCCGGCCCATCTTAAGTTAATTTGTGTATGTGATGAGAGATATGGGTCCAGTTTCATTTTTCTGCATATGACTATCCAATTTTCCCAGCACCATTTATTGAATAGGGTGTTCTTTCCCCAGTGTATATTTTTGTTGGCTTTGTCAAAGATCAGTTGGTTTTAGGCATGTGGCTTTATTTCTGGGTTCTCTATTCTGTTCCATTGATCTATGTATCTATTTTTATACCCATACCATGCTGTTTTGGTTACTGTGGCCTTGTAACATAATTTAAAGTCAAGTAATATGATACCGCTAGCTTTGTTCTTTTTTCTTAGGATTGCTTTGGCTATTTGAGTCTTTTTGGGTTCCATATGAATTTTAGGCTTTTCTAATTCTGTGGAAAATACACAAACCAATAAATGTGATTCACCACATAAACAATACAAAACGAAAGTCATATGATCATCTCAATAGATGCAGAAATAAGTATTCAATAAAATTCAGTATCCTTTTATGATAAAAAAAAATCTTCAACAAACTAGGCATAGAAGGAACATACCTCAAAATAATAAAAACCATATATGACAAGCCCACAGCCATCATCATATTGAATGGGGAAAAGTGGAAAGCATTCTCCCTATGAACTGCAGTAAGACAAGGATGCCAACTTTCACCACTTTTAATCAACTTAGAAAGGAAGTCCTAGCTAGAGCAATCAGGCAAGAGAAAGAAATAAAAGGCATCCAAATTGGAAAATAGGAATTTAAATTATTTCTGTTTGCTTGTGATGTGATCTTATACTTAGAATATTCTAAAGACTCCTCCTGAAGCCTCCTAGATTTGATTCATGACCTAAAGAAAGCTTCAAGATACAAATACCAGTAACATTTCTATACACCAATAACAAGATGAGAACCAAATCAAGAATTCAAACCCATTTACAATAGCCATGTACAAATAAAATATCTAGGAATACATTTAACCAAGGAGGTGAAAGATTTCTACAAGGAGAACTACAAAATACTAATAAAATAAATCTTACACAAACAAATGGCAAAACATTTCATGCTCAGAGATTGAAAGAATGAATATCATTAAAATAACCATACTGCCCAAAGCAATTTACAGATCCAGTACAATACCTATCAAATTACCAATGTTATTTTTCACAGGTCTATCTTTAAAATCATTATTTATTTATTTATCTGTCAATTGAGTGACTTATTTTATTGACCTTTTCATTCATTTTTAGAATTCTACTTTAATTCTGTTTCAAATTTACATATTTTTAATTATTCTATTTGTGTCTTAGTTTCTATTATTCTTTAATCGGTTTAATCTATTTTGGTATCTCTTTTAGATTGTTCTATTATTTATACTTCTGGAGGTGATATTTAGTTCATTTACTGATGTTTGTTTCATTTGCTGATTTACCTTGTGCAAATTAATTATATTTATTTGCATAATTTTTAATATTTGATTGTGAGGTTATCTTCAACAGCACTTTGGGAGCCTTGCTGCTCTGGAAGTGTCTCTACAGAACATATTGTATCTGTCTCTGTTATTCTCTATGGTCTGCAGTAGTACTAGACTACTTTTTACATTAACTTTTTATTTTGATGTTCATACTCCACGGGTATTTGAAGTCATATTTCACAACTATGTGTGGTGCAGATCTAGGGTTCTGATTTTCCATTGGTGATTTATTTATTGACACAACCCCAGGTGGATTGCAAACTTCTTTGCTGTCTCCCAGGAAAGGCAGGCCAGGTTCTTCTATTCCCTATTCCAAAAACGAACAGATCATCATGGCTTCTATTATTGGGCAGGTAATTTATCTATAGTATGAGCTTGAGCTCTGATGCCTTAAATATCTTCCTGATGCCAGTATCAGAGAATCCTAGTTCCTAGTTCCCAGGCTTTAAGCTCTATGTGATATTACAGTAACTACGTAAGCATTTTCAGCTTTTGGTCCACTAACTACTCTAACTTTGTGCTACCTCTGCAGCACCAGGGAATTTCTGTTCTTAGTTTCTTTTTCAGCTATGGATGCAAATAAAATTTGTCAGATTCTATCTGATACTTTTATAAGTTTGAAATAGGAAAAGCAATTGTCAATTTCACTCAATTTGCCATATTCATGATTCCATAATTCTGAAACCAATGAATATAGCACGAAATTTTCTTTATAACAGTAAACTGTTTACAAAACTCAATCTGAATTGTGAAAGTTGCAAGAATGTATATCCACTTTCCTTAATTAAATTATTTATTTATATAACCTGGGGAAATGCATTCATTTCTGGATACCAAAGTTTGACAGGGAAATTGACAATATGGTGCACTTTTGGAAAACACTGAAGTAATGAAGAGTCTACAAACTCTACCATGATGGGAATGCTTAAACAATGAAAGTTGCTAAACCTGAAAAACAGGAGACCCAGAGGGAACATGAGCACTGTTACCAAATATTTGAAAGACTTTCATGTGGAAAGAGCATTAGTCTTTTCTCATGTAGTTCCAGAGAAGAGACCCAGGAATATCCTACAGAAAGCCAGGACTTCTGTGAGTGATCTCTGACACTGACTCATCACATAACAACTTTGGACAAACTACCTCCCCATTATGGATCCCAGGATTCGCATCTGTAAAGTGAGGAGGTTGAATCATACAACTGCCAGGTTCCTTTAGCTCTAACAGATTTTGGTTCACTTTTTACCAAAGTTAATGAGCACAATTTTTCCAACAGTGAATCACTGGGCACAGTTGATGAATGATCTTGACTTCCTTTATTTCATTCCCACTCAAAATAATCTATTGCTTGTTTCATTCCACCATGACAGTAGACCTCAAGCCAAGTCTCCATAATCTTCTTTGATCCAGAAATTATAGTTTAAGAATGCTAGAATTGGGGCTGGGAATGGTGGCTCATGCCTGTAATCCTAGCACTTTGGGAGGCCTAGGCTGGGTGGATTGCTTGAGCCCAGGGGTTCAGGACCAGCCTGGGCAGCATAATGAGACGCAATCTCTACAAATAATACAAAAATTAGGCCAGGCATAATGGCATGTGCCTGTAATCCCAGCTACTCAGGAGGCTGAGGTGGGAAGAACACTTGAGCCCCATATGTGGAGGCTGCAGTGAGCTGAGATTGCACCACTGCACTCTAGCCTGGATGACAGACAAAGTAAGATCTTGTCTCCAAAACAAAAAAAATTATATCAGGAAAAGATCATGGATTTTGATGTCATACAGACATACAGACCTGAGTATCAAGTCCAACTTTTACCTTACTAACTCTGTGTCTTTGAGCACCATTTAACTTATCTGAATATCAGTTTTCTTACCTAAAAAATGAAATAATATATATTTAATGGATTTAGTAATCATTAAAGATTTTAAAACCTATCATGTGTCCAACACATGATAGGCATTCAATAAACATTAGTAAAATCCAAAATCAAAACCAAATGTTCTGTACTGACAAGAGATAGAATCATGTCTATGACACTAGGACATATTTTAATCATTTGAACATGTTACATCATCATGTATTAACATTGCAAATTTTCTTCTACTCCCATCACAATTTGTATGCATTCGAAATTCTAGTGATTATTTTCATACTAGGTACAGTTACCTGAATTACTCCAACACCTTAAGTATCTCTCAAAAATTATCTTTCCCTTGAATTGTTAAACCATGGGGAAATCAAAGCCCAGTCTCATAAATATTTGATTTAACAACAAAAAAAAAATGCTATCCCTCTTGGTAGCCAGTTTTTCTTCCAACTTATCTCAGGCCTCCTTCATTATCTCTTGGCATGGAGGGATTCAAGCCTCTTATATTTCTGCTATCACACCAGAGCTGTATTTTATAAGCTGACATCTACACATCTATCTCCTGACATCTGAGAGGATCTTAACTTGGTAAACAATACAACCGGATTCATTAAAAGTTTCTAACTCACAGCAACTCCATGAAAACTTCCTCTAGTTTTCTGATGAATTTTGTTCCTGGGCTCCTTTGTCTTGAGTGTTTCAATCTGGTAAAGTTGTTTTAGTCTCTGGGAAAAAAAAAAAAAGAAAAGAAAACTTATCTACACTCTCCAGATATATAGGGGTGGCTGTAATAGAATCTTGATCAATGGACTGGAAATGTTGAAGACAATACAATTGAGCTAATATAGTGAATGAAAACAAATTTGAACTTGGGTTCTGAAATCAGAGTCAGTTCAATCTGAGAGTCTACCACTCACTAGTTGCATGACTATTCAACAACTTGAGAAAGCACCTAAGCTTCAATTTCCACATTTGCAAAATGGTTGGAAAACATCGCCTTAAATATGCAGCAGGAAAAAAAATGCTAGACTCCCTCCAGTAGCAGAAAACACATGAAACCCTGCTTCGGAAGACATCAAGAACAACTTGGAGAAAATAAAAGGAGTAAAGCTGGAAGTCCCTTGATAGTGGGTGGAATGAATACCAAGAAATGTTTTATTATATTTTTTAACATTATACTAAAATGGTCTGGAAAACAAAAAGCACATTACTATATGTATCACTTCATTCTCATGCTGCTATGAAGAAATACCTGACACAGGGTAATTTAAAAAGGAAAGGGATTTGACTGACTCACAGTTCTGCAGAGCTGAGGAGGTCTTAGGAAACTTAAAATCATGGTGGAAGGGGAAGCAAACACATCCTTCTTCACACGGCGGCAGCAAAGAGAAGTGCAGAGTAAAGTTGGGGAAAGCCCCTTATAAAACCATCAGATCTCCTAAGAACTCACTCACTATCATGAGAACAGCATGGAGGTAACCACCCCCATGATTCAATTATCTCTCCACCAGGTCCCTCCCACGACATGTGGGAATTATAGAAACTACAATTCAAGATGAGATTTGAATGGCGACACAGCCTAGCCATATCACTATACTAAAATTCAGCCTATAATTTCACAAATAAGATATGTGATATAGACACCAGAATTGATCATGTAAGCCCACGGTTAGAAGCAGTAGCCACATCATAATACATACTGCTTCTTGAGCACTAATTCTGTGCTAAGGACCATGCTATGTGTTTCATGTGTACATTTATGTGCATATCTCATTGATCTTTTTTATGTTGTGTGCATACATACCTCACTTAACAACACACAAGGAAAGTATTGTTATTTTGACCCCCATTTAACAGATGCTGCCTTAGCCTGGCTTCCACCTGAAAGCAGAACCTGAGCCAAGGGCTTGTGTGCAGTAATTTGAGAACCAATGGCAGGCAACAGAAGTGATGGATGGAGGAAAGAGAAAAAGCCAGTTCAAGAAGGCATTATCCACTGGCCTCCATTGTAGTGCTCATCCCCTCCCCTTTCTCTGAGGACTCCCCATTTCCATTTCCCTCTGGTTGAGGAATCCTCCTTGGGGCACTAACTATCTTATACATTCAGGTTGCCCGTGTGTGAGTGTTGAGTAGGCTCTTGCAGGCACACTGGGACAGAAAGCAGCACACACACTTAACTGAGGCACCGTCAAGAGTAAAACTGGTAGAAACTTGGGCAGAACAGTTTATACTAGTAGTGGCTGGAATAGAGAGGTCAAGAGAATGTGAGGCAATGAGTGTACAAAAAGGATCCCACACAGGTCAAACAACTAAGATCTCCAGAGATTGTCTTGCCCAAAGTAACACAAATTGAAAAATAATGTAGGCTCAAATCTGGTCTTCCATTTTAAATACTCTTCTCTTTCCATTCCCCAAATATGAAAAAGGTAAATATATAGAAGGCTGATTGTCTAGATATAACATCCATGAATAAAAATCCCTCCCTGGTGTATCTCCTGCTTGCCTGTTCAGTCTTACCTACCACCACTCTCTTCCTATTATCCAATTGTACTACAATACTTGCATGTCTTCAAAGCAAGTAAGTGGCTTGCCCAAGTGCACAAGCTGGTAACCCCAGCCTGGGTAACTCCAAAGCCCATGTTCTTAGCAGTACCCTACACTGTATCTCTACTGCTTTCATTAAAGAAATCTAAGATTGCATCAGTCAGCCCACAACTTTATGTGCTTGCTGGCTAGCATGAATCTAAAAATAAGCATTGCTCCAACTTCCCAGTTATTGGGTATAAGTGAACTGACCTAGGAGCCAGGAGCCCTGGGTTCTAGTCTGCCTCTAACTCCCAATGTGACTTGGACCTTCCTGCATTCCCTTGCTCTGGGCTTCAGTTTTCTAGTATTTTAAACTATTCAGTTGAAACAAATCCTCCCCAAGTTCCCTCCTAGCAGTAATGGTCTCTGCATTAAAGGCTATAATAAAAAGAGATCACAATTCTTCTTTCCATTTTCTCTTATCATTGTTTTCCTCAGGAATAAGAGAGAAAAACTTCTGTCTGTGTTAAACAGAGAGACAGGATCAGATCAAGCTCCAAACTTTTGGTTTACCCTGGACAGCCTTTCTCTGGGTGTTGAAAGCGAAGACTGCTGGGATGAGGCCTGTAGAGCCAGGTTACAAGATCACTCCAAACTTGAAGTTCATAAACTTCTTTCCAAATATGGACAGGTGTCGTATGAAAGCACATGCTCAGAATCTTCCTGATATGTCTTTGATAACTAGAGAAACACCAGAGTCCTTTGTCTTGCACCAGTTAGATAAATGATGGATACACGTGGAGTGGTTTAAAGGACGGGAAAGTTTAATAGGCAAGAAAGAAGAAAAAGTCTTCCCATATAGAGAGGGAGGCAGGCTCCAAACAGAGAAAAACCCCGTGTGCAGCAGAAAAGTAGCTAGTTATACTGGGAGGCTGGAGGAGGCGGTGTCTGATTTGCATGGGGCCCAGGGGATTGGTTTGACCAGGTGTGTCATTCACATAGCCCATGAAAAACCTGGCCCTCCCACCCTAGCCTTTTAATATGCAAATGCAGGTTGCCATGACGTCCTGCAAATGTGGAGTCATCTGAAGGCAGCCATGACACCTGGCACATATGGTGACAAAGAGAAGAGGGTGAGAATCACTACGTTGGATGGACCCAGTTTCTAATTGCTGGCATTTACGTATCAAAGCTTGCCAGCCTGGCTTTTCAAGACACTTTTCTATTAGAAAAGAAATGTTTCAGGAGCTGATTCTTTTCAAAGGAAAAGCCTTTCCGAGGACTCCTTACCCTCTCTATCTCCCTAAAATAATTTCTTAATAACTCCTGTATTATTCCCCCCTCAAGAGAAGTAAACCTAACTGCTGTTAGGGGGTGTTGGATGACGATTATTTCTGACTACTCCCTGCTGAAAAGTGGTGTCATCTCAGGGAGCAGCAGTTCGGCCTTCTCCTGAGGTTGATCTAAGGGTTCTCGGAAGAATGGCGTGTCCATGTGTGGCTCTGCTCACAGCACCATTTGGGGTTTGATTGCTTCTAGGTAAAAAGAGATAAGTTTTACATGAAGGTTTAAAATACAGCGTCAGAATATGAGCATTAAGATTACCACTGTTAGTGGGGGTCCTATAGACCATAACTGACAGTGAAGTTTGATACCTGTCAGTTATACCAATGGATTGTAATGCCTGCTTCCTTCCACTAGTTGTCGTTGTACATTACTAGAAACATTAATATAAAAGTAACATTCCTTTTAGGATTAGTGACATTGGATTTGGGTGGCTAGAGTAACTTTAGTGTTAGCCTTGGCTAGATTTTTCCTGAAACTTCTTTTCATAGCCAGGGTGTGACATATTACCAAACTCAATAAGAAGTTCTAGCAAACTCAGTGATAGTAAAACTCCCATGCTTCTTTTTTGTTGGTGGCTATTATCCCTGCTATAAGGATAATAATTAAGCAAAATATTACCACAATAGAAACTCTCTGTCCAATATTTTGGTTAGAAGGTGCTACCATGTATAGCTTTACTACAAATAGTAGAGAGACTATAGCAATTCCTGCAAGTGTGGTATGGTAGATAATTCGCATCTAAAATTATACTTGCTAAGATATAGAATTTCCTTTTGGGGGGTCCAGGAAGTTTCTTCATTCTACTTCCCTCAACAAAGAAACCTCCGGGTTATGGGCACCCTACTCACTTTCATTACCTTGCAGAATATACAGGATAATTGCCCAGAACTAGCTTACTGATCCAGATTTTTACATTACCCATTCCTCTTTGTTTCTTCCAAGCTGCAGAAGATCACCACTTGATTCACAGGAATAAGCAGGGTTAGTCTAAAATGTAGGTAAAAAGCTTAAAAACAATTAATAAGACTAGGATTTAATGTATGCATAATTTCTCTCTCTAGTCCTCATTGTTGGTAAAAACAAATTATGATAGGACCATGTTGTTTGTAGAATAAACTTTAGTCTTATACTTGGCCTGATTATTTTCATAAAGCACAGCAAGAATAATTATTTCTACATAGGCCTTTTGGGTTGGCTTTGATGGAACTCTGTTCCACAAGGAATCTCAGATAAGACCTGTTAAAGCTGAGTCCAGCCATGGGTTTGTACCCTCAAATACCTGTGAGTTGGGTGATCCTTTTCTCTTGAGGTCCTAAGATAAACTTTGAGCTCCTGGACCTGTTAGAAAGTGACATTCTTTACTGACCACAAGTTAGGAACCCTTTGCAGGGACTGTGTAGATCAGTTATGAGGCCAGTTCTCCCCCCAAAGGGCTTTTACTGGCTCTGCCTGTCAGGCTTTAATTCCTTAAAGGGAAACACACCCATTCCATCAAAGCCTTGGTAAAATAACCAGTTTTTCCAATTGTGTCCTCTTGAAAAAGAAAAATGGATTCTTATTGCACTGATGCAAACAACTATATTGTCATAGGTTAAGAGTACTTACAGATAGTTTCCAAATTCTAGAGGAACCAGGCAGAGAGAAACAAACATGCTCCAAATTTTGTTTGCAGGAGTATACCTTACTTAATTATTAAAGGCCATAAATAGTTCAAAATAAGTTTCCTCAACTTTGAAAAACAAAACAAGGATCACCAATGTTTTAAGCAAAAGTCCAGAAGGTTGCTCTAACTTTCTGAGTGCAGTCCATTCAGTTAACTCTTGTTTTGCTTGATATTCATGAACATGCCAGTTCTTTGTGAGTCCTGTATGTATTTCTCTATTCCAATGTTATAATCTTCAAAGCTATTGGAAACCTGCATTTGAGAACACCTGTTAAAGTCCTTAATATATCTTGATTATAAACCATCTTTTGAGAAGGAACAAACCAAGACAAAAATTGTTTGCAAATTACAAAATTTCTAGGGTAATTACACTCAAAAACATGACGACAAAGAAGTTTAGTTATCTCCATAGCTTACAATAACTTTACCCTCAATTATGATTGATAGCATATATTCAGACAATAGAATTTTAGAAATCCCATACAATTTTATAAAATATATTAGTAGTATTCACCAAAATATAACTTAAAGAAGACTGGACATTATTTTGGCAATCTCATGTGATTAAAAATGTTAAATAATTCAGTTCATCTCTTTTCTGAATGTTGCAGGGGCCCTCTGAACCATCCAGAAATCCAGGCATCAGGAAAGACAATTTTGAAACTTGGAGTTTGATTTTGAGAT
Organism: Homo sapiens; assembly: GCF_000001405.40. NCBI lineage: Eukaryota > Metazoa > Chordata > Mammalia > Primates > Hominidae > Homo > Homo sapiens. The sequence continues at coordinate 82,678,683 of NC_000011.10, forward strand.
GTCCGTTAAATGTTAGACGTTTAAAACACTTAATGTTATGAAATAGAATTCCAAATTGCCACAAATTATTTATTTTGCCAAAATAATGATTTTTTTAAAAACCCTTTTATTAGCCTTTACTATTACGTGAAAATCCTGTTCAAAGTCAAATTATACCCTTGCATTAGTTTATTAATGTTAACCCTGATTTGTTTAAATAAAACCTTATTTAAATTCCATCTAATCTTAACCAATTTGACCATGTGGTGAAATCTTTACAAACTCTATAACCCCTTTTGCTAAAGGCAGATTACCATCTTAGAACAACCTTTTTTGTGCTTTTATTTTAATGCTCAATTTATGAAAAGACCATATAATACTCCTTTGAATTTAGTTAATGTTTATATATTTTTTGTAAGATTAATTTTTACAATCTTTCCACAACTTACTTAAACGTTTGGCTTTATCTTATTAAATTTAAGATAATCCCTTATCCCTAGGCAAAATTTACATTTCCATGTTTCTTATAATCTTTTACTAAAAAACACATTTCACTGTTTTTATATGCCTTGCATGTAAAACTGTTTAATGATCTCAAATACATGCTGCACTCTTAAGTCTTAGCAACTTTTACTTTTGGTGAAAAACCTGGTTAGTAAGCAATTTTAATTTTGTACCAGCTTAAAAATTAAAGTCATGTGAACTAAAAAATATTTGATTTAAGTGCTTATTTTTCTTTAAGCCAATTAATTTGAGCTCTTTCTATATACATTACACATAACACATACATAGCACATACATAGCGACACAAACAAACTGAAGATTCAGCACTTGTAAGATTTTTCATCTGCCACTTTTTTAATTGGATTACTGGCTTCAGGGTGGAGCCCTTGGAGGAACAGGGGCAAGATAGCATGCAATTTTAGGGCCTAATAAGCAAGCATTGCTAAAGGCAAAGACAGATCCCCAAATTTAAGAACAGAGCCTTTGATTTTGAGAGGGAACTATCTGCTTTTAATTCCTGGGGTTTCATGAGAAAAACAGAGGTTTTTTTCCCAAAACGGGGTCTGCGGCAGCTCTTCTGTTTTCCCATGGAGTCCCATGCTACCAGAAGTTATCTTAGGGCCTGTCATGCATGCATTAAGAGTGACAAAACAAAAAATGGAGAAAAATAATTTGGTCAACTGAGGCCAAAAAAAAACCTTTTTCCAGAAAAACAAGATCCAAGAAGAGAAAAACATAAAGACCTTTTAAATATACCTATAACTTGAATATTCACTTTTAATTAAGCTGAGTGCTCTTTAAATCCCTTATTATTCAACTTTAGCCATGCCAAGCAGTTAAGTTTTCAGCTTTTGAACTTCATGAAAAGTAACCTCACAGGTGAAACCAACAAGCCTTAATTAGGTTATGACTTAACCATAAGTGTACAAGATATTTTCAAAGGAGGTGACAGGCAGCTTTTGAAACCATCAGTGCAAAATTGTGACTGATAGTGAAAGACTTCCAACTCAACCAACCCCATTTTGTTTCCAGCCCCCAAGCTGTCCTTGCCTATCCCTGGACGTAGACCAAACCAACTTTGGGAGGTGCCTGGTTTACAGTTTATAGTCTAAAACAAACATGATAACAGCCCTTTCTTAAGATATACTTCCCTCTTGCCTGGGGACTAGACCAAGAAACTAGCTACAAGATTAGAGTCACACAGCTGGAGGCTACAAGATTCTGACCCTCCCTTAACTGGTGTCAAGATCAGTGCTTAAGATATTTTGTAAACCCTGCCCTTGATGGATTAGCTGGCACCGCCCAGACCAATAAAATGGCTTATCTGATTTTGTGGCCCTCATCCAGGAACTGACTTAGTACAAGAAGACAACCACCACTGTAAAATGATGGAGACTAAAACAAAGTATTGCCACATAGTTACAGGTCATGTTCCCAAAGACATGAAACAAGACAGAGGCCTGTAGCCATGTTTGTTAACTGAAAATTTGTTTGACTGGCTTCAACAGTACGCTTATGGGGTCCTGGGCCTGCATTCTAATTTAAGGTATCCTTTATTTTGACAGAACCATACAGAAAGACACACAAAGCACACCAGATTAGCTACAGCTTAAGACCAACCTCACAAATCCTTTTTCATTAATTAAAACTTTACAGAGAATACAAACAATAATCCTTATTATCCCTTTTACTGGTTTGCACTGGAAGAGAGAAGCCAAACGCCCGACTGGTAAAAAATGTTTACCCTTTTGCCAGCATGTCAGGCTTCTGGTTTCCCTTCTCCCTAGCTCAACTCTAAGCCAAGCATTCTAAGGTTTGGAAAATTAACTTTTCCCAGGTTGGAAGAATATTATAAAAGAGACATTTGAAACTATGAAAGAAGGAAAAACACCACAGACATGAGTTAAATTGTGGAAAGCTTCTACACACGTATCGGGGTCTTCAGAAAATTGGCCTAAGTCTCCCTTTATTTGCTTAAGGTCCTGTAATGAGAAGGGAACTTGAACCCTCATGGGACCATTCCCATCAGGCATTTCCTGCAGAGGTAAGAGTGAAGAGGGGAGAGTAGGTAATACTGGAGATGCTGGAGCTGGAGAAGCTGACGGTATGATTGGAGGGGTACTGGAAGGGTTGAGACATTCAGTAGCAGTCTCAGATTGCACCTCTGGAATCTGCTTTAGCTCTGTGGGCTTGCCTGCCATGGGTACTAAAAGAGCTGAGTTGATTGTACAGAACTTGTAAAGGTCTGGGTTGTCTTGCAGGGCAAAGAAAGTCTGTACATAGGGGACCTCAGTCCATCTGCCCCTGCATCTGCAGAAAAGATCTAACTGTTGGATAATATTCAAAATCAAGGTTCCCCCCAGCCTTGGTAAGCCATGGTAAGAAGGCCATGCCCTTCTGCAACAGAATATAAGGTACTTTTTCTTAAAAGGCTCAGGGGCAAAAGAGTGCCAGTGCGTTAAAATACACTCCAGGGGAGTGTATGCTGAAGACAATCTGTTACCCATCTAGAAAGAGAAGTGGGAGAAGGCGTCCCTTTAGTCTCCTTCCCTTCCATATGTGACCCAGGGTGGAGAAGAAAACAGTGGGAGCATCCCCCCAACTATTTTCCCTCTCTGGTTCCTGGGTCCCAGCACCCTGTTAAATGTGCCACCCATGGCTACAGGCATGACCCTCCAAGCCATGACACCAGAGGAACTAGACTTTTGAGGCCTAGATACACTTACCCAAGTAGTCCTAGTCCTCTGACTATTATTTTCCTTTGACCTCCTAGACTTATGTGACCTGTGTGCCTCCCTCCAAAAAATGGATCTTGGGAAAGACTATATAAAAGCAAGGTTCCTTTAATGGAGGAAATTTGCTAGATTGCCTGCTATTATGGCCCATGCTAAAGCATCTACCCTTAGAAAAATGGTTCTGGTTAACTTCCAGACTTAAAATCCTCTTACTAATTAAGTACTGTCTTAATTGGAGACAGAACAGGTGCCTTAAAAGAACATAGGAACCAAACGGCTGTTTTTCTGCTGATGGGACAATATTAAAACTAAAATTTGGCTATGGAAAACACTTAACTCCTAACTGTTGAAGGCAGAGATCTCCCATTCACAGAAGTAGCATAAAGCCTAGTTTCCAGTAGAAAAGTGCAACGAGGAAAAGTTGTGAAACTACAATGTGCTGCAAAGCACCAGCAATGTGTCTTATGAAAAGGATTTCTATTTCCACTAGGTGGCACTGTTGGGTTAGAAATACCATGTGTTTGCCAGACGAGAGAGGAGAGTGAGAGGAGAGAGAGAAAGGAGAGAGAAGAGAGAGAGAGGATTGGGGGCGGGGTGGGGAGAGAGAGACAGAGAGAGAGAGAGAGAGAGAACGTTTATATGGCCTGCCACATTTGCTGATCTTTCCTGACAGACCTGATTCCCTGGACTGTAAAAATTCCTGAGACAGAGAGAGAGAGAGAAAGAGAGGAAGAGAGAGAGAGACGTTTATGCTGCCTGCCACATTTGCTGATCTTTCCTGACAGACCTGTTTCCCTGGACTGTAAAAATTCCTGCACATGGCATACACAGAGAGAATAGATATAGTGGTCACAGGTAGAAAAGAAATGAAAATCTGGTGACAGGATAGCTGGAAGAGAGCCTGGAGATTAAAAGACAGATTTGAGGTTGAGGTTCACTCCATACTCACCACTCCAATGAATGTTGTACCTTGGATTTCCGGCCAATGCACCAAAATGATATGGCTCCAATGAATGGAGAAACACCAGGGTCCTTTGTCTTGTGCCAGTTAGATAAACAACATGGACACACATGGAGTGGTTTTTAAGGAGCAGAAAGTTTAATGGGCAAGAAAGAAGAAGAAAGTCTCCCCCTGTATGGGAAGTGGGGGGTGGGCTCCAAATGGAGAAAAACCCTGTGTGCGGTGGAAAAGTAGTCGGTTACATTGGGAGGCTGCAGGAGGCAGTGTCTGATTTGCATAGGGCCCAGGGGATTGGTTTGACCAGATGTGTCATTCACGTAGCCTGCGAGAAACCTGGCCCTCCCACTCTGGCCTTTTAACAGGCCAATGCAGGTTGCCATGATGTCATGCACACATGGAGTCATCTGGAGGTGGCCATGACACCTGGCACACATGGTGACAAGGAGAAGAGGGTGGGAATCACCATACTGGATGAACCCAACTTCTAATTGCTGGCATTTGCATATCAAAGCTTGCTGGCCTGACTTTTCAAGCCGCTCTTCTATTAGAAAAGAAATGTTTCAGGAGCTGTTTATTTTAAAAGGAAAAGTCTTACCAAGGACTCCTTACCCTCCCTATCTGCCTAAAATAATTTATTAATATTCCCTGTATTATTCCCATTATAAAAGTGTATTCCATAGACACATGAACTGTCAGGGCACAGAGAGACCAAAGAGGTCATCATGCCTCATTAGCTCCAAGAGGGTGCATGACTCCCCAAAAGCCCACCATGAGCCATTCACTGAAATTAGAACCCCAGTCCCCTGATGCAAGCTGGTGCTCTTTCTACAGCATCACATCATCTCTTTGAGGAACAAGATTATTGGAAAAAAGGCACCAACTCGACTGGGAATTTAAGATCTGGGTTTGAGTACCAGTTCTCAAAAGTTCTGCTTTCCAATTACTTTTCCTTCATTAAGTGCTGAAAGTGAAGACTACATAAAAAAGTTGTGTGAAAGTGCCTCATAACCAAATTTAACACATAGTGGGTGTTTATTAATAAACGCTTTTTGAATCTGAATCCCTCAGGGGAGTAAGATTTGGCTAAGGTAATCCATGTGAACATATTATATCAAAGTGTAGTGTGATACAGAAATGGAAAGAATTGTTATATTTTTCGATAGTAAAACAAAGATTTTTTTTAGATAGGATTGCAGTGGATGAGGGAAGTTATTACTTTCCATCTCATGGACAAGTTGTGGCAGTATTTATGTTCTTAAACTACCATTGCCTACACTTCTGCATCCAAACTCTGAGCCCTGGACTTAAGCATTCATCTCGACTTGAAAATAAATCCATTCTATCTGGACCAACAGGAAAGACACAGCGTATAGCAAATATACTGAAATAAATAGCTTAAATGTTGGCTATCACTTGCTGAAAATAGCCAACCAAGCCAGCCTATCTCCAGAAATAATTCAATATGCCCTTGAAATAAGAAAATTCTGCTTAAAACACCTAAATATTTTATAGAAACCAAACTAAAACACATTGATACGATGATAAAATCTTACTGCCTTGAATCTTCTGTGAAAATACCTGTTAACATCTCTTAAAGCATTGAGGCGGAACAGACAGAAGAACTAACACTACTGGTGCCTGAATGCCAAGCACTCCACTAGATATTTGACATATACTGTCTCATTTATTTCCTCCCTTAATCCTGTTATTATCCCCATTTCAGAGAGGTGGGCAAATTTCCCCCTCTTTCATCCAGTTTGTAAATAATGGAACTAGAGTCAAATCCAGGTCTATTTTTTCCACTGTATACAATCAACTCAATAGAAGACACACAATCTCACATACACCACAAGATACACCTTTCTAGTGAGTTAGGCACAAAAGCCAAAGCAGAGATTTAAACACTTGGAAGACACTTAGGGAATTTGAGAGTCAATTTTGGAGCATTCGATTTTTGCTTCTTTCTCCACAGTAAAACGATAACAACACCTTTTGATATGGTTTGGCTCTGTGTCCCCAGCCAAATCTCCTCTCCAATTGCAATCCCTGTATGTGGAGGGAGGGACCTGGTGGGAGGTGATTGGATCATGAGGGCGAATTTCTCCCTTGCTATTCTCATGATAATAAGTTCTCATAAGATGTGATCGTTTGATAACTGTCCGGAGCTTCCCTCTTCTCTCTCTCTCTCCCTCTTTCTCCTGCTACCATGTAAGACATGGCTTGCTTCCCCTTCACCTTCCACCATGATTGTAAGTTTCCTGAGGCCTCCCAGCCATGCAGAACTGTGAGTCAATTAAACTTCTTTTCTTCATAAATTACCCAATCTCGAGGTAATATCTTTATAGCAGTATGAGAATGAACTAATATACCTTGGTACATGAAGAATTTTACAAAATGTTTTTAATAAATAGCATAGCTAAGATTTAAATCCAAGTTTTCTGACTCCAAGTCTAGCCCTCTTCCCAAGCAAAGGCTGACTAAAGGGACTCTAAACCAAACTTTGGATGTCTGAAGGAAGACAACGTAGTATTTTTGTTTATTTATTTTTGAGACAGAGTCTCGCTCTGTCACCCAAACTGGAGTTTAGTGGCGTGATCTCTGCTCACTGCAACCTCTGCCTCCTAGGTTCAAGCAATTCTCCTGCCTCAGCCTCAGGAGTAACTGGGACTACAGGCACACACCACCATATCTGGCTAATTTTTGTATTTTTAGTAGAAATGGGGTTTCACGATGATGGCCAGGCTGGTCTTGAACTCCTGACCTCAAGTGATCTGCTCATCTCAGCCTCCCAAAGTGCTGGGATTATAAGCATGAGCCACCGTGCCCTGCCTAACATAGTATTTTTGTAGTCTGGGCCATTACAACAAAATATCATAGAGTGGTTAGCTTATAAACAAAGGAAATTTATTTCTTATAGTTCTGGGGATTAGAAAGTCCCAGACCAAGGCACCAGCAATTTGGTGTCTGACGAGAGCCATCTCTTGTTTCATAGACAGCAATGCCTTCTCACTTTATTCTCATATGATTGAAGGTCCTAGCTAGCTCTCTGGCAAATCTTTTATAAGGGTATTAATCCCAGTCATGAGGACTCGTCACTCATGACCTAATTACCTCCCAAAGGCCTCCTAATACCATCACCTTGGGCATCAGGATTTCAACATCTGAATTTTCATAGGACACAAACATTCAGACAATAGTATCTCTGAAAAAAGAAACCTCCTTATTTACTGAGTAAATTCCCACTGAATAAAACAATTCCAACGGTATCATCTGAGGAATGCAGGTATCATAGATTGGTGTCTTGATGAGAAAATTAACAAGCAAGGAATAGTGATCAATTGTTTTCTAATTTCCCATCTATAAAATATATATTAGCTACTTGATAAAATCACCTAAGGCCATAAAGAGGAGCAAAAAAGGAACCATATTTATTGAGTCATAAAAGACTTTTTTGAATCTAGTAGTATCACTCTTGAGAATTGTTATAGGAAGAGGGGAAATGCCTAAAGGAAAAGCTACAAAGACATTCATTACAATGCCATTTAAACAGTGAAACGCTGAAAATAACCTACAAACCAACAATAGGGGAATTGTTAAATGAACAGTGGTATATCAACCAGATGGTATGTTACGTAACTTGTAAAATATAATATTTCTAAACACTAGATAAAGATAAAAAGTTCACAGTATACTAAATTTAGAAAGAAAAATGTCTATGCCATGCAAAAATACCATATGCATACAAGCAAAGTGTGGAAGAGAGCATTAAAATAACAACTATTGATTTGTAAGGGTGACGGGATTATAGGCAGGTTTTTCTATTCATTTTTTAAATTTCCAGTACATTTTTTGTAATATAACTTATTTTAAGTAGAGCTTGGCATTACTCTAAACCGACTGTCTTTTATCCAAACAACAGCAAGAGACAAGACATTTACAAACTCTGGGGAATCAGTATTTTTTTATCCATTGTGTGAAAGTTCTTGTAATTGATCTTGTCATTCAATTCAATGTCTCCCACATTTACAGATCTCTTTTGTTTCAAGGTAATGTAGATAAATGAGGCTCATGTTAGACTATTGACATTATCTTGGTACCTGTGCACACCAGCACTTTGGATGTTTGATTAACACATAAGCTGGACTTGAGGAAGTTAAGAACTTGGTGTTAAGAAGTCATCTCTCCTTTCTAATTTCCGTGACAGCGTAGAAAAAGCACTGGGCTCAGAATTGAGAGACCTGGAATCTATTCAGTCCTGGTTCTATAACACACTAGTTGTATGAATCACTTAGCACCTGTGAGCTTTGTTGCTTATCCTTGACAGAATACAGAGGGATCTCAGCCTCACTCACCTCACAGGGCTATGGTGAGGCATAGATTCACTGAGAGGTAAATATGTGCTATGCAGAGCTTTAGGCTGGGACACCCAAGACAGAAATATCTTTTCAGGTGTTTCAAAAATAATACAAACTACCACTTACTTAATACTGTCTATGTGTGCCAGGCACTGTGATTAGTACTTTACATGCATAATTCACTTACTTTTAAAAGATGTGTATTAAGCATCTTATGTAACAAATGCTGGTGCATGCTGATTACATGGATTATATCAGCAGAGAAAACAATTCCCTGCCCTTGGGGAGCCGACATTCTTCTGGGGCAAGACAATGAATAGCAAACGTAATTATAGTGTGTAAGAAAATTATGGGGAAAAAATAAAAGTAGAGTAAAGGAAGTTCTGAGGACAGGAATGGGACAGGAAAAATTATAAATAGGGTGGTCTGGGGGAGCAAAGTCTTAGAGGAGAAAGGAATTGGTCTTGCAGATATCTGGGGGAAGAACGCCTCAGGCAGAGGGAATGAGTCCAGGGCAAACAACTAAAAGTTGGAGTTTTCTTGAAATGTTTGTCAAAAACTTGGACACAGGAAGGGGAACCTCACACACTGGAACCTGTTGTGGGGTGGAGGGATGGGGGAGGGATAGCATTAGGAGATATACCTAATGTAAATGATGAGTTAATGGGTGCAGCACACCAACATGGCATATGTATACATATGTAAGACACCTGCACGTTGTGCACATGTACCCTAGAACTTAAAGTATAATAAAAAAAAAATTTTTAATTGATGATGTTTTTGTGTCTGGAATAGGGTGAAGAAGAGAGAGAGCAGACCGGGTGCAGTGGCTCATGCCTGTAATCCCAGCACTTTGGGAGGCCGAGGCAGGCGGATCACGAGGTCAAGAGATCAAGACCATCCTGGCTAACATGGTGAAACCCAGTCTCTGCTAAAAATAAAAAAAAAATTAGCCGGGCGTGGTGGCGCGTGCCTGTAGTCCCAGCTACTCAGGAGGCTGAGGCAGGAGAATGGCATGAACCTAGCAGGAGGAGCTTGCAGTGAGCCAAGATCGTGCCACTGCACTCCAGCCTGGGTGACAGAGCAAGACTCCATCTCAAAAAAAAAAAAAAAAGAAGAAGAAGAGAGAATAATCAGGAATGAGGTCAGAGATGTAACAGGAAATCTGATTGTACAGGACTTTGTAAACACCATTTTGGTTTTTATTCTGAGAATAAAATGGGGAGCTGTTGGAGAGTTTGAACAGAGAGGTGACATGATCTCACCTGCTTTTTAATACAATCACTCTGGTTAATGTGTTGAGAACAAACCATGGTGGGGCAAGGGTAGAAGCAGGGAAATCAGTTTGGAAGCCATGACAAAAATAACAACAATGGCTTGAATCAAGAGGGCAGCAGAGGAGTTGTAAGAAGTGGTTGGATTCTGTGTTTATTTTGAAAGTAAAGTCAACAGAATTTGCCAATGGGTTGAATGTGGGACATAAGGGAAAAAGAGGAGTCAAAGATGATTGTAAGACTTCTGGCCAGAGAAGTTGGAAAGATAGAGTTGCTGTCACTTGATGTGAGAAAGACTGAGAACAGAATTGTCTGTCTTGATAATCCTCACCATAAGCCTACGAAACAGGTAATGTTATCGGCATTTCACAGACGAGGAAACTGTTGCTTGCACAGTTAAGTGACTTATCCAAAGTCACACCTTTTCAGATGTTGAGCCAGGATGTAAGCCCTGGTCTATCTGACACCAAAGTCTAAGCACTTAAACACTGCACATAGCTGATCTATAAAGTGAAAGTCAGGAGCAGCCAAGTTTTCCTATTAGTGGCCACATGATCAAAATTTCATATATGTGTAGGCATATGAATATTTTGCACCTTCATGGTACCCATTTCGTGATGTAACTCTCAGGATTATACATGAGTCATGTTTAGCTTCAAATACTGTATAATGACTAATGGATCTCAACATGCTGGCCTGACACCTGGCCATAGTTGTTATATAGCTAGTTCCCATCACGATCATCTAGGGTGCCTTTTTAAAATGTAGATTCTAAGTCACACCCCTCACCTACAGAAATAGAATCTCCTCAGGTGGATTCAGGAATCTGTATTTTTAGAATTGATTCAGACAGAGTTAAACAACTAGTGATTGCAAACTTCTGAATTAAGCAAAAACAGTAGAAAACAGGTGGTTGGGGCCTCTTGGCCAGCTGGGTTAGACATTCTAGATACACTTAAAGAGTGTCACTACTCAGAGTATGTCCCCTGAGTGGTGGCGGCAGCAGCACCTGGGAGCTTGTTAGAAATGCTGAATCTCGCTCCGCCAGACCGCCGCCGCGCCGCCATCATGGACACCAGCCGTGTGCAGCCTATCAAGCTGGCCAGGGTCACCAAGGTCCTGGGCAGGACCGGTTCTCAGGGACAGTGCACGCAGGTGCGCGTGGAATTCATGGACGACACGAGCCGATCCATCATCCGCAATGTAAAAGGCCCCGTGCGCGAGGGCGACGTGCTCACCCTTTTGGAGTCAGAGCGAGAAGCCCGGAGGTTGCGCTGAGCTTGGCTGCTCGCTGGGTCTTGGATGTCGGGTTCGACCACTTGGCCGATGGGAATGGTCTGTCACAATCTGCTCCTTTTTTTTGTCCGCCACACGTAACTGAGATGCTCCTTTAAATAAAGCGTTTGTGTTTCAAAAAAAAAAAAAAAAAAAAAAAAAAAAAAAAAAAGAAATGCCGACTCTCAAGCCCCACCCCAGACCTACTGGATCTGGACCTGCATTTTAACAAGGACTCCAGCTGCTTTGTAGGCACGTTGAAGATTGAAAAGCACTAGAACATGCTTAACAACAAATCACAAGGGGATCCAACCCTGGGGTCAGGTGGGTTGCAAATTGCTCATTGGCCATTTGTTAGACAGTTGACACATACGTACAACTCAGTTGGTACTAGACCAGGCGCTTATATACATTATCTTACTTAATCATCCTAAAAACCCTACATGGTAGGCCCTGTTATCCTCATTTTTTAGGTGAGAAATCCAAGGCTCACAGAGTTATAGTAACTCACCAAAGGCCATTCAGCTTTTAATAAGCAGAGCTGGGATTTGAACCTGAAATTGTCTCTCCAAAGCACACGCTCATTCCACTGCAGCATATTGCTTAAAATGAAGAGCAAATCAAAGGCGCAGCCAAATTTAGGAAAACTCATATGGGCAATTAGCTGAAAAATGGAGTTTGGTGTCCAAGAATATCTGTAGTGGGATTCAGAACATGTCACTGAATCAGGTTTGTTCCTCCAAGCCTTAATCACATTAGATACCTGCCATTACATTTTTACAAGACAGCAGGTTCGGCTACTCTCTACTGCACACATAGTGTGGCATCTGGCATCTGGCTGGCTCTTGGGATGGCGTAGCCTGTGTTCTACATTAGGTGGGAGGCACCCTGTGCTATTTGTAGCAGTTACAACCCTGTAATGAGTAAAATATTCCCTTGGAGTAAACTGTTCACCCATGTGCAGTAAACAGAACCGGAACAGCTGCTGCAGGGTATGCCAAGCAGTGCCATTTATGTACCATCAGGTTCCCTAGAATTTTGCAGGTAGCAATAATAATCACAGCAAACTCTTGGAAAGTGCCTTGGGGTCTGCAAAGAACATTGACATTTGTTGTTTTATTTGATCTTTACAGAAGCCCCAAGAGTGAGATATTTTACTGATGAGAAAACAGATTCAGAAAGATTGATGGTTTATCCAAGACCACACAGCTAGCAGGTGGCCAAGCATGTACCCAAACCCAAAATCTGATTTTTAAATCCTGTGGTGTATAGCCCGACAGTGAAAATGAAATGATTTAAGAGTTGAGCTCCAAGCTGGGCGCGGTGGCTGATGCCTGTAATCTCAGCACTTTGGGGAGCCGAGGCGGGCATATCAAGAGGTCAGGAGATTGAGACCATCCTGGCTGACACAGTGAAACCCCATCTCTACTAAAAATACAAAAAATTAGCCAGGCATGGTGGCGGACACCTGTAGTCCCAGCTACTCAGGAGGCTGAGGCTGGAAAATGGCATGAACCTGGGAAGCAGAGCTTACAGTGAGCCAAGATTGTGCCACTGCTCTCCAGCCTGGGTGACAGAGAGAGACTCTATCTCAAAAAACAAAACAAGAAAAAAAGTGGAGCTCCAAAGCTGTAAGAATCAGGGATAATTTGTGGCCCAATGGAGGGAATTTAGTACTTCTGAACCAGAATATGCATATAATTTTTTGAGAGAAGACAAACCATTGGTTTCCAATGCCAGGGACAACCCTTTCCTCCTCATTCCCTGAAGTCTTTACAATAAACTAGTTCAACTAGAAAGAAGAATAATAAAGTTTCCACAGACAACAAAGTTGGTTCACAAACCCCCTAACTAAACTCAGAAGGATTCTCAAGGTTAGTTCTTCAACCAAAAGCTTCTTTGTTACATAGAAAACCAGGTTTCCCCCTCCCCCAGTCCTCTGGCTTTACCTATAAATGTGTAAAGCAGTTAACAACATCTTTCTACTGGGGCACTTTTTACTGCACTATTCAGCTCTGCAGCCCAAACACATCTCACTGTACAACTGTACAGGCTCCATGGTACTCCTATGCTTTTACGTCATTCTCAGCAAATGTTTTCATAGTTATCACCATATGCCATTAGCAGTGTTAGTTACCATGCACCATGTGAAAGTGGCATTCACTCATGAATGAAAAAGTGGTGTGGGTTCACTCATTCCAGTCTGTTTTGTGCTGCTATTACAGAATACCTGAGACTGGGTAATTTATCAAAAACAAAAATTGACTTTCTCACAGTTCTGGAGGTTGGAAAGCCCAGGATCAAGGCACTGCCATCTTGTGAGAGCCTTCTTGTTGTGTCTTCACATTGCAGAAGGGACAGATGGGTTAAAGAGGGATGAACACTGTATCCTTTCATGGCAGAAGAGAGCAAACCCATTCCTGTAAAGCCTTTTTATAACAGCATGAATCCATTCATGACAGCCGTCATGATCTAAATACCTCCCATTATGTGCCACCTCCCAAGACAGTTGGAGATTCAGTGCCCAACACATGAATTTGGGGAAACACATAAAGGCCATAGCATATGGCATATCTAACAGGGGCCTGAAGAAAACATCAGCAGGAGCAAGTGTATGAGTGCACAAAACTAGAACTGGACTGCCTCCAGGGTGGCTGTCATATGTCTCCAAGCCAGAGAAATCTTTAGATGTTTGAATGGTTAGTTTGCATTAACGGGTATGCCACCAGCACTGTCAAATGAACCTGAATGGCCTGTTATGGGGGGACTATCAAATGATTCCCACTATAGAATGAGTTATTTGGGTTGACTAAAGATAAAAAGGAAAGCCTTACTGTATTGAACTGGGTACTTGGTGGAATTGTGTATACATACCCAATCAAGGAGAGTTCCCAGAAACAGTGGAGATAACTGGAAATGCAAGGCTGTAGTCACTCAAAGGTAGCTTGCTCTCCTGGCATGGTTATGCAAGAAATGAGGGCATCAGGAAAGAACTTCAGGCAATATGCTTTGGTCCAAAGAATGTTGAATGACTGGGCAAGCCCCTCCAACTGGGCAAGTGGATCATGGCCTTGAATTTGCTCTTGTGTAGTAAAGGGATAAAGAGCCTGTTTCATCCTCAAAGAAGGATAATAGACCTATCTCCACTGGTCATTCGGGGGGTAAATAACTTCTTTCATTCTCACTATGGTTGTTTTGGTCTGCCTGTGCTGCTATAACAAAATCTAAGACTGGGTAATTTTTAAACAATAGAAATATATTTCTCACAGTTCTAGAAGCTGGAAAGTTCAAGATTAAGGCTCTGGCAGGTACTGTGTCTTGTAATAGCCTTGTCTCTGCTTCCAAAGGTGCTTTTAACACTGACTTTTCACACAGTAGAAGAGACAAAGGAGACAAAAGGGACCTAGCCAGTTCCCTCCAGCCCTTTTATTAGGTTGCTAATCCCATTTATGAGGGCTTTGTCCTCATGAATTCATCATCTCCTAAAGTTTCCACCTCTTAAGACTATCACATTGGCCATTAAGTTTCAACATACAAATTTAGGGAAGGGGGCACATTTGGACCATAGCAATGAACAAAGAGCCCCAAAAGAGTTCCTCTTGAGAGTCCTAGACAGTGGCTTGAAATGCAAACTCATCACTATATTTGATATACAACTCCTCACCAAACCCAGCCACAGGAAGCCTCATTAACACCCACCTGCTAAGCACTGCCATAGAATCTGCTGGAGGCAATGGAGAAAATGTTGTAAGCCCCCAAGGGCAGAGAATAGATAGGCCCTTCATAACCTATTAATACATCCACATACCTCTTCCCATGCTGTCTCACTCCTCTCCAACATGTACCTTCTTCAGAGTGTTCATGTCCTCTGAGTTTGTCCTACACATTTCACACCTTGCTGCAGTGACTTCCTCACCTTGAAATGCTCTCCGTCCTCACTTCTGCCTAATTAAACCCTACCTATCCTACAAAGTCTAGCGCAAGCCCATCTCTTGCCCTCGCCCCTGCCAATTAGGAAGATCATTCCCTGGCTATACAATTAGAATAACTGAATTTGCTTAACCTACTTCAAAGCACAGTTTTCCTTTTTTAAATATTCACTGAGCACCTACCATGTGCCAGGCCTTCTGTCAGGGACTAAAAATATCACCCTAAATACTTACTGTGCCCTCAAGGAGCTTATGTTGGTCATAATCCAATAAGATGAGGAACGCATCTTACAAAAAAGGCAACGGATGTTTATAAATGTTATCTTGCCTATTCAGGTTCACACAGCTAGTTAACAGGATAACCAAACTTCAAATGCCTTTCTTTTTCTAAACAAAATGCTACCTTCCCATAGCCTAAATTTTCAACTTTTCCTCGTCTACCTTTCAGCAGTATGGGGCTCATAGGCTCCTGCCTTTGCTTTAGACTTTAATGTAGCTTTATATTTCAGTATACAATCTGATTTGAGCAATAGGCTTGGTGGTGTGGCCAAAATTAGCTAAGTAATAAAGGAACAAAATGGCAGCCACTCAACGAGTGCTGGCCATATTGAATTAAATCAAATAGTTTCAATAATTTGGTTTCAGGGGACTCGGAAAGGAAAATTCAAAGAGCTGGACCACTTCAAGTCTCCAGCTGTATCTAATCAGTTCAATTCAATTTAATTCAATTCAATAAGCCTTTATTGGCTATCTATGATGGCAGGGCACTGTGCTAGGATGGATTATACAAGTACGAACCTGAAGGACTAAAGAATATTTAGATAGAACTAATCTTAAGTAAAAGTAGCTGCTTCCATACCTGGTGGTTAGATACTGCCTGCTTACATGAATGAATGAATGAATGAATGAATGAATGAGTATTTACGTTCCAATTACTACATTTGCCTTTTTGTTTGTTTGTTTGTTTTGGAGACAGTCTCACTCTGTCGCCCAGGCTGGAGTGCAGTGGCATGATCTTGGCTCACTTCCACCTCTGCCTCCCAGGTTCAAGCAATTCTCGGGCCTCATCCTCCTAAGCAGCTGGGATTACAGGCATGAACCACCATTCCCTGGCTAATTTTTTTTATTTTTAGTAGAGACAGGGTTCCACCATATTGTCCAGGCTCATCTCGATCTCCTGACCTCAAGTGATTCACCCGCCTTGGCCTCCCAAAGTGCTGGAATTACAGGCGTGAGCCACCGCGCCTGGCCTTCATTTGGATTTTTAAAAGAACAAGTGTTCTGATCACATAGATTTTTATTTGAATTCTGGCTGCCACTTACCACTGAGTGTGAGCTCGAGCAAGTTGTGTAACCCCTCTGTTTCCTAAACTATAACAAGGTGATAATACTGCCTACGCCTCTTTTACAAAGAGTCTCTCAAACACTTTAAAGAACCAAAGTTTTGAGAAAGTAAGGGAAAGGTTCGTGCTAGCTACAGAATTAAATGACAGATTTTAAATCTCTACTTACCCCTTCTTTCCAGGTCTTTGAGATCTGGTCCTGAGATCTTGGACTGGTACAGAATACTATCTCCAAAGCTAACTTGCTTTATGACTTTGGTCAAATCCTTTCATCTCTCCAAGGCTTAGTTTTTCATCTATAAAATGGGGAAAGTAATAGTAGCTAACTCACAGAATTATTGTGAGGGCTAAATAAGATAATACAGGGAAAGCTCCCCTCCCAGTGCCCAGCACAGAGTAGGCACTCAATGAATGATACTTCCCTTCTCTTATACTGTCTCCTCTTTGCTGCTCAACCCTAACACAGTAGTCTCTTAGTTTAAACTCACTCTGACCTTTCCAGTAGGACCTTCCAATCCACATCTAGTAAATGCTCCTGTCTGCACCAAAGCAACAGCAGTGGCAGAAGGCTCTCCCTGCAACTTGAAGTCCACCACCTTTTATAACTGGAGGTGCAACCACCCAATAGCACAGCAGCCGCATCCTGGGCCACCTAATTGCCAGGGAGACAGATCCTGTACCAGCTGCAGGCAGTAAAAGAAGAGGGACTACCTAGGGCCCTCTTTAACCCAAAGAGAACCAACACAGCTCTGCCCCGCCTGGCGCAGTTCAGAGTAAACACACAGGCAAACTCCATCTGCTGGGAGAGGGTGAATCTACAGCCAGGTCCCCAGAGGTGCCTGTGGGCTCCGGGTGGATGCTGCAGGGAAGGTTGACTCCATTGCTGAGCTCACAGTGCCATCTGATGGGAACTGTGTGCCAACACAGCTACTCTAATCCCAGCACCAAAGCCATAATAGTCTGGGGTTGGTGGGGGGAGCATTACCCCTTTTTTAAAATTATTGAAGAATATATTCCAGTCAGACTTACCCCACTGGTGAGTTGGAATTTGGGAAGTACAGGGCAAAAGCTATGCGGTGCAGACCTGAATTAAAATCCTAGAGTTTAAAACCTACTGACATTAGCCTGGCATGGTGGCGGGCACCTGCAGTCCCAGCTACTCGGGAGGCTGAGGCAGGAGAATGGCGGGTGAACCCAGGAGGCGGAGCTTGCAGTGAGCCGAGATCGCGCCACTGCACTCCAGCCTGGGCGACAGAGCGAGACTCCGTCTCTAAAAAAATAAGAATAATAAAATAAAACCTACTGACCCGGGTAGCCTAGGGCAAGTTATTACTTACACCTTCAGAATGGAGATAACCGTACTGATCTGGCAAGGTCTGGGACAAAATTAAATCAGTGACTGTATATAGAACATCTGAAACTCAGCAAATATTTGTTCGCTTCTTCCCTGACCAGCATGAACTATCAGTGTGAGCTCTTTGTGTAGACAGACTTCTGACTCAAAGCAAAGATGGCAATGCTGAAATTAGTCGGTGGGTCCCAATTTTCATAAAGCTTTTCAAGTGTTAAAAGAACACCTTCCATTCCTGTCTTCATAATACGCCATCCCCTCAGAGGTCCCAGAGATCCAAGTTAAGAACCACTTATTAAGACCCTTTTTGTGCCTTCTAGCTCACTGTGACAGGCCACACAAGAATTCATGTAGCTCATAAGAGAGAGCTTAAGTGTCAAGGTTTCAGCATAATGATTTTGTGAAGACAAACATAATTTTTAAAAGTGATGCAGACACAGCCCTGGAAACTGCCCCCAGGCACTGGGTGCTGGGTGAGCCCATCGTGACAATGGGTTGAAAACAACCCAAGAGGGAGGAGGATTTGAAATCACAGTGGAGTTTTGGTATCAATACACAGCGTGAAGGCTAGAAGGAAACTTCAACACCAACCCTCCCAATCCTTCATTTTACACAGGAGTAAACTAAAGCCCAGAGAGGATAGAGCTTTTCAAAGATCATATTGAAATTAGTGGCAGAGCTAGGGACAATACCCAGATCTCCCAAGAGAGTGAAACCTTTTAATACATGAAAAAAGAAGACATTTCAAGTCAACAGAGAAAAGACAAACTTAGTCAATAAATAGCGTTGGAATTACTGGTTGGCCACTTTACAAAAGGAAATTAAGCTAGATCCCTACCTCACTTTCTGTGCCAAAATAAACTCCAGATAAATTAAAAGGTGTAACTACTAATTGTTTACTGATTATCAATTTTATTTTTAATAATTATTAGTTTTATTGTTAATCATTATTAATTTTACTTTTAAGGAAAGATGTAGAGTAACAGTATAGTGTATACATTTTTTCAAAGTATGTATGCCATAAATTTAAATTTTTTTCTTTGAAAAAAATATGAGAAATCGGTGATAGGTAAACCTCTTGAGAGAGGGATGGTAGGAGAATACTGTGTGGGTGAGAAAGAGAGACATTGTTTAATATTTACATTCTATATTGTTTACTTTTTAAAATCTTATGCATGTATAATATTTTCTTAATTGTGTTAACCTCTGCTAACATAGAGATTCTCTGGGTGTTAGGCGGATTTTGTTAGTTTGTTTTCTTCCTTATTCTTTTCTGTTTTAAACAAATAAATATTATTTCAGGAATTTTTTTTAATTTGCTTTAAAAAACTAAAGAAATAAAATCACAGAAATACAAGAAAAGAATGGGTTAATAATTTTATAGTATTGGAGTGGAAAACAACTTTCTAAGCATGGTATAAACCCCAGAAGTCCTAAAGGAAATGACTGATAAATCTGATCACACAAAATGTTTATACTCCCACACAAGAAAACAAGTTAAAAGACACAAAGGACTTAGGGGAATATTGGCTATACATCTGCTAGACAAAGGGCTAATTTTCTTGCTTATCAAATGAGCTTTTCCAAATCATAAGGAAAAGCCATCCCACCCAATAGAAATGCTAATGTCTCATACACAGATTTTAATATGTTTGATTACGTTCACAATTGAGTAAATACAAATTAAATAAAAATTGGGATAGCACTTTACATCCCTATCAGTTTGGCAAAATATTTAAAGTTTAATGAAATTCACTGTTGTCAAAGATAAGGGGAAATAGGCACTTGCATACACTGTGGGAGTAAAAATTTGTCCAAGTTTTAAAAGAAGAATTTGGGAACATCTACTCCCCCAATTCAAAGTGCAAATACCAGCATCTTTTTTGTTTTTATATATACATACCGCTATGGTCTGAATGTGTTCCCCAAAATTCATACATTGAAACTTAATCACCATTGTGACAGTATTAACAGGTAGAGCCTTTAGGAAGTCATTAAGTCATGAGAGCAGAGGCCCTTGTGATGAGATCAGTCCCTTTATAAAAGGGCTTGGGGGGAATAGGTTTACTCTCTCCTGTCCTTCTACCATATGAAGGTGCAGCTTTCAAGGTGACATCTTGGAAGCAGAGACCAGGGCCCCCACTAGACATCAAACCTGCTGGTGCCTTGATCCTGGACTTCGTAGCCTCTAGAACTGTCAGGGAAATAAATTTCTGTTTTTACCAAATGACCTAGTCACAGGTATGTTGTTATAGTGTTACAGAAACACAAACGAACTAAGACACACGGTCTCATGTGGAGGTCCAGAATCTCTTTCCTGAAGCCCTGCCCCAACTTTCTAAAAGTCCAAGGGCTCCACAGTCAGAAGGTGAGGGTGGGCGCCAGCCCTGCTCACAGCTTCCAGCAAAAAGAGAACTGAAATGGGATGTCTGTTCCTCCAGTGCTTCTCATTCACTACAGCTCCAATCACTGTTGAAGGCTAGTTCTGGAGTGTTCCTCGGATGAATCTTGCCCCACTGCTCCTGTTGCCCTTATGATCCCTATTTCAGTCATTGGCATTCTTTGAGAGCATGAAATGTCCATATCCAAGAGTCAGCACAATGAAGAGGGCTTCTCATCACACTGGGTCTTTGAGGTCAAAACTTAGATTTCGTCACACAGCCACTTCACTTCTGTAGACAGGTCTGCAGGCTGCTTCACAGTGGCAGAGGTGCAGGCCCAGAGTCTGCCCTTCACAGGCTGGGAGTGGTGGGGTGGTGGGGCTTCTGGTACTTGTGGAAACATGACCCAGGAAGGCTCAGAGGTAGGGAAGGCAGTGTCCCAAGTGTGGTAACAGACCTGGTCCCTACCAGAGTGGCTGGTGTGGGACCCTTTCCAGTGACCTGTGGTTCTTTGAAAATCTATGAGTGTTACAGCCAAACCAGAGGCGTTCATCCTACTATCACAGACTCTGCTGTTCTCTCAGCTCTCTCAGAGCTACTTCCCCAGAGAGCAAGAGTGTTGTAAGAGGGCTGGGTTCTGGAAATTCATTAGGCCGTAGATAAGATAGACAAGGCCGTCAACATCCACCCCAAAACCTCTCCTTAACTCTGAATCTCAGGGAGAAAATGAGTGCAGGAAGGAAAGTTGGGAGATGTAGAACTCCCTGCCTCCAGATGAGCTTCTTACAACCATTGGCCTAACCCCTCCCCTGAACTTCCCAGTGACTCCATTACACCTTTTATCCAGGATAGGATCACAGCCTGGTACACATGTGCAGATTTAAGATGTGTCCCTCAAGATGTGCCTGTTCATGGTTGTATCAGTTGGCAGCTGCTTCCACTGAAGAAGAAAAAAATAGATACCCTATGGTAGGGCTCCCTTATACCAGCGATGTGATTTGTGCTTGAACAAGTGCACAAAGACAGCCATTGTAGCATTGTTCGTAAGAGTGAAAAATGGAAACAACCTAAGTGTCCATAAATATGAGACTGATTAAATAAATTACAGTATATGCATCCCATACAGTGCCTTGCAGCATTAAAAGCAATGAGGTAAATTTATGTTTACTGATGTGGAAAGATGTGTAAGATTCTTTAGTGTGTGAGAAAAAGCACACTGCAAAGCACTATTAAAATATGTTCCTTTATCATTTTAAGAGATTATCTACATTTTTTATTTTGACTTCCTTGTGTTATCCTAGAAAAGAGATTATCTATAAATGTAACAAAGACTATATGCCAGGCACTGTAATTCCTTTATACATAACTCATCTAATCCTCATAACAACCCTGTGGGGTAGGTGTTCACTTTACTTATAGGAAAGCCACGGTGTAGGGAGGTTATGTAACTAGGATAAGCTCATAAAGCTATAATAGCAGAGACTAAGAGTTATCATTGGAACCCAGGCAGGCTGGCTCCAGATCCTTGCATCTAAGCACCACACTGTTCTGCATTTTTCTGTGCAGGTGTGTATGCCTACATCTGTCTGGAAAGATACCCAAAAAAACTCTTAATACTAGTTACCTCCAAGGAACTGAAGGAATGAATGCAAAGAAAACGTTTACCTTCTCACTATATGGCTTTCTGTACTACTTGACTATTTTTATAATGAGCATACATTACCTTTACAATATACATTGTGTGTGTGTGTGCGTGTGTGTGCGCTTAAAGCGAGTCAGTAGACTTGGACTGATGGAATCATCCACCTTAGGCCTAATCTCACTGATACTCCCTACACTCATACACTAAAATTCTACTCAGGTTTTATTCATTCATCCATTAACATTTAAGCCCCACTGGGTACCAGGCATGGTCATTGGATGCACTACCCTGTTGAAAACCTTCAGTGACTTACTATCAGCCATGACTGTCTGTGATCCAGGCCCTCCCCACCCCAAACCCTTGCTACTTCACACTCGAACTGTATACTTTGGCAATGCCAAACTGTTAATCATTCCCTGCTCACCAGTGTCTGGTACTATCTTCCTTTCTGCACCTTCTTCATGGAGTACTCTCATCCAGCCATCCTCTCCCACCCTCCGATGCTGAACTCCTACTCATCATGTACTGACTCAGTTGAAGAAGCATCTCAGACAGGAAGCTTTCCCCAAGCTCATCACCAACACCCTTCCCCATCGAAGGTGACTTTGGTGCCCCTCCACCTGCTCCCATAAACCCTGCCTGAGTCTCAGTCCTAGGGCTTCACACATTGTTTTAATTGTCTACTCTGTGCACTTGTCCTCTTTGACTCCATGAGGGTGCTGTGTTCATCTTTGTTTTTCAGGCAACTAGCATAGGACCTAGCATAATGTATATGCCCAAAAATGTTTTGAAACTAATAATAGAGAATATTAAAAATAATAGCTAGGACTTATTAAATCCTATCATATGCAATATATTAATCTTAACCCTTTATATTTATTAGCTCTCAATTAATCCTCACAACAGCCCTGTAGTTAGGAATTAGAAAAATCCTCTTTTCCAGCTGAAGCCATTTTAAAGCACAGAGTGATTAAGTCATTTGTCTAAGTGCACACAGCTGAATAGCAGGAGTCAGAAATAGGCCCAGGGATGTGACCCCAAAACCCGGACCCAGCCCCTGTGCAACAGTCGCCTCTTGAATGGAAAGCTCAGTACCACCATTCAAAGCTTGGTTTTTAACTTCTCTCCAGCCTCCCCTGATCACTCTCTAATCTTTGACTTAGAAATGAAGCACCCATGAAACTTTTATTGTATGAGGCACATACAGGTGCCATTTCCTTGTTCCACCAAAGCTTCCTAAAGAGGACTCCAGATATTGCTCATTTCTGTTACCCTGGTGATCAGCCTAGAGCTAAAAACCCAAGAGCTGGCACTAAGGTATTTTCTGAAGCAAAGAAGAAAAGGAGTGAGAGAAGGAGCAAACAATAAGTCTTCCATCCTCCACCCCCTTTGTCACTGCCAACATGTACTCACATGTGTACATGCACATGTGTGTGTGTGCACACACACACAGCCCTTGGATCTCACCTCTTCCAAGTATTTCAGTGCCAGGGGAAAAAACCCCTTGAAAATAGCATCTCATCTTCTTTCCTATGGTTTTCTTTATAAAGAAAACCAAATGGTCCTATCATTCTGCCACAATTCCTAGCTGCAGCAAAGCACCTCAAAACTGACACTACAGCGCCACCTTTTGTTCAAAGGCCATTATGCCATCCAAATTGAACCATGCAAACAGGGTGGGAGTAAGTCTCCTTTGTCCAGTCTAATGAGTGTTAATAATCACACAAACACAAACATTGTTTTAAGAACCCCACCCCCTTACAATATCAAGGCATGGCAGGTACGGTGTGCATTGCTTGCAATTCACTTCAGTGAATGCCTTGTTGCCTGCTGCTGGGACTGTACATGTGGAAAGACTTCGGCTGTTAACAAATTGCCTCTACTACAGAGACCTGCCTCTCCCAAGGTCACGCCCTCCCCAGAGTGACCCACATAACAATGACTGACTGAGGCGGTAGTGTAGATGCTTGACCAACTTACCCCAGCTCAAGACCTCCGAAAGGCCATTCTCGCTCCAGATCTCCCCACAGGGTGGGCTGGGGCTGATATTGGGCCCATGTTGTTGGTCAGCTTCTCTCTCTGGCTAATCCTACTTCCAGTCTCTTCATTAGGTGTCAATCCTAAAGGCAGAGCTGAATAACCATCTCAGAATCTACTTCTGCAACACCACCTCTGCTAGGGAAAGCACCCCTGTCCATTCTATTGAAGGAGCATTTATTGAGCCTGCATGCATTAAAAAAGCAGACATGTAACGAACACGCACGTGTACCCCCTGAATCTAAAATAAATTTTTTTAAAAAGAGAAAAAGAAACAAAAGACCAAATTCTCTATTTCTGTAATCTAAAGCCCAAACTAGTCCATATGTAACTCTTAATCCTGTCAGATCAAGACAAGGGTGACTACAAATAAAAAAGGTAAATCAGCTAATATCCCAAAACCCTGTTTGAGTAACAACTGAACCACATAATCTTAGACTGTATCCATGTCATATGACCTACCATTCATGGGAAAAAGAGGTATGGAAGTTTCCCACTGGATTCAAAGGGTACATTTTGAACACATTTAGTTAAGGTAGAGAGGGAGAAAACTTTTCTCAAGGCAACATTTCATAACCCCTTCTTGGTTTTAGCTCCTTTTCATCACCACAGCAACTAAGGGCACTTTCAGGTAGGAATCAGCCACTATCAGCACCACTGTTTGGGAGAGACCCCAACTTACAAAAGAAGTGTGGCTTTGCCAAGCCCCCACAGAACAACCATAGCAGAGTGCATTCTAATAAGACACAGAGAAGTAAAGTAGTGGAGCGGGTTTTGTTATGCTCTAAACAGGTCACTCGCCTCTCTGGGTCTTCTTCATTTGCAGCAGGAGATATAATAGTAGCCATTTGATGGCCTGTGTGTCTCAGGTGCTGTGCTTGGGCTTTACTTTACACTTCACCTTACTTCTCTCAACTACTTAACAAGGCAGTTATCATTTATTCTCATTTTACAAATGAGGAAGTGGAGATTCAGAGAGGTTAAGTGACCTGCCCAAGGTTCCCCTGCTGGGAAGTGGCAGAGCTTGTATTTGATCCTAGGCTTATGGAACTCCATAGGCCAGCCTCTTCACACATTGCCATCTCTTAATTCCACCATACAAGTTTCCTGAAAGGGCACATGTGAAAGCCCCTCCTAGCTCAGTGTCTGCACATCGGAGACACTCAATAAATGGAAGAAGAGACTGAAGGTAAACTGGAGTCATAACTGCTCAATGCAAATTTGCCCAATGAAAACTTGAACAACCCAGTCCACTGCCATCACATAGTCATCAGTAAGAATGGTTACCCTAAACTGAATATGGAAGAGGCAGTGCATGCTCCCTTACCCAGGACACCTCTCAAAAAGATTTTATCCGGGAGGCAGTTTCAGGTGCTATATAGACCCGAGCACGGCTGGAAATTTTCCCCTGTGTCTCCAACTCTTCGATTCAATACCTTCACCCCAGGCAAGAGGTTTATAGGTCTTCATGCATTTTGTCACACCCTTTCGCTCCTGTGATTGGTGCTTTTAGAATAAATGATCTGTCTTTCAGCCATTAATTGCCTGAGTTTCAGGAACCTTTTCTGAGGTCTCAGGAAAGTCAATGAGTCATGCTTCATCCCCATGTCAATCTTTTTCCAAGGAAAACTGAAGCAGTGAAGCCCAGAACAATAGTATTTTATTGACAAGTTTATCTAACCAAGACAATGAAGCTTCTCTTACTGACCTATGAAATAAGAATAGTGAATGGAATAATATTAATAGACCATATCTAGCATATTTGACACCTGGTGGGGATCATTCTTAATACCTCCCTCCTCAATAAAATAAATTTATTTTCAGTAAAAACCATGAAATAAAGCAAATAATAAATTAAATTCTAGAGGGTATTTAATGGATAATCAGACAACATAAGCAAGCAGTGAAATTTTTAATACTGTATTATTCATGATAATAAAAATAAAAACTGAAAAAAAAGTTAAAGTAGAAAAGGAAAGAAATAATAGGTTAACATTTTATGATTACATTAACTGTCTATTTTTTAAGGAGGGGGTAGTAAACAAATTAAGAAATACTTCCAAGAGAGTAAACTCTGCAGGGTTCTAAGAATGATTTGCATAGAGAATGACAGAATTGAAATAACTCAAGTTCTGTTTTTTCATCTTTAAATCATTGTGCTATCAGTATTTATTTTGAAACTACTGTTTAAATGCATAAACATATAGTACCACAAGGACTGGGGACACAGGGAACTGTGCCCAAAAGGAGCTGGAACAATTTCACATGATTATGAATGTACCCTTCAAACACACATATGTAGCTGAGTGTATGTGTGTCAGAGGCTGCCTGAATACCTGGGAAGTCTCCAGCTTAACTTCCACGTAAATTCCAATTTTTAATAAAAGATAAATAACAAAAACATGTTAGTATAAAACAGATATTTCTGCATATATTAATGCACTCACATGTTTATTGTAGCTCACATGTTTATTGCACTCACATGTTATTGCTATTCACAATAGCAAAGATATAGATCAACCTGTGTCCCTCAGTGGATGTTTAGATAAAGAAAATGTAGTATAGATGCACAATGGAATACTGTTCAGCCATATAAAAAGAATGAAATCGTGTCTTGCAGCAACATGGATGGAACTAGACGCCATTATCTTAACAAGTCATACACAGAAAGACAAATACCACATCTACTTATTTATAAGTGGGCACTAAATAATGTGTACTCATGGATGTAGAGTGTGCAATGATAGACATTGGAGACTCAAAAGGGTGAGAGAGTGGAAGAGGAATGGAAGATGAGAAATTAATTGATGAGTGCAATGTATGTTATTGTGGTGATGGAGACACTAAAAACCCAGACTTCACCACTACATGACATATCCATATAACAAAATTACACCTGTATCTCATAAATTCACACAAGTAAAAAAAAAATTATTCAAAAGCCACAGTACCTATAGCAACTCCTTTTTTTCAGAGATAGGTATTTGTAATTGACATTGTACAGAATTGCTAGTTTACAGTGATAATAAAAGGCAGATCAATTTCTAGACAGCTTTATTACTGTTTCTAAATTCCATACAGAAAACCACTCCTTTACTACTTACACATGCAGCAGACCACTTCCAACATGCACCCTTGGTGCATCACTGTTATACTCCTATTTTCAGACTCCTGCTTTGTGCCATAGACTGCTCCAAACTTGAAATACATTATCTGATTTAACTCTCACAGCAATCCTGTTAAATGAGTGCATATACTCAGGACATTGCTGAGCACACAGTAAGGCCTCAATAAATGTTAGTTATCATTATCATCATTTTGAGGCAGGTTCTTTGTGCATTGGTTACCACTTCAGCCCACTTCATCTTGGGCTGCGCTTCTACTACTTGCCTGAGTCCAGTGAGACAAAACACTCACATCTACAAGTTACATGAGGGGACAGCAAGGGACCATAGAAGCCTAGGATTCACTTCCTAACCCTTGTCCCCCAAGGCTGCTTGGGGTGGATGGATTCTCATCTGCCTGTGCTCCACATCCACCACAGCCGAGGAAGCCCAGAAAGCACTCTGCCCTGGATTTTATACCCCAGGAATAACATGATTCTCTGGGCTAATGTGTTGAAGGACAGCCTGTTCTAGGCAGGACTAGAACATAGCCTGGGCTTTTCCAGCCAGTTTCTCCTTATTTTAGGATGTTGCATCCCCTGCACATCCACAGTTATTTTTGGGAACTTTATGCAAGAAAGGGGGTTAAACTAGGTCGGTTCAAAGCCAACCAGAGAAATGCCCTAGAGGCATCATCAATATCATCAGTCCCACTTAATCATTTAACACTGAGGCAGAGAGAGGCTAAGTTACTTACCCAATGTGATCCAACTAGTGAGAAACAGAATCAAAATTTGAATCCCAATCTACCTGACTTCAAAAGTGAGTTCCATCCACAATGCCATTTGTCTAAACATTTGCACACTGAATATTGTGTAGCAGAAAGAGAAGCTGCCTACTTGGAAGTGATTCAATAGGTCCCAAAAGCTTCTGTCTGCAATTAACTCTCTCAAGCTAGCCTTTCATAATAGCTGAAATTCAGTCATTCGCCTCTCTTCAGTTTTAAGTAACATTTACAGCATT
The DNA here is from genome assembly GCF_000001405.40 of Homo sapiens. Classification (NCBI taxonomy): domain Eukaryota; kingdom Metazoa; phylum Chordata; class Mammalia; order Primates; family Hominidae; genus Homo; species Homo sapiens. The sequence goes on from NC_000011.10 coordinate 82,706,576, forward strand.
TATTACAGATCAAAATTAAATATTTCTGTGATCATTGGATTAATGAGTGTGTCCCCCATAGGCTGACAGCTGCATGAGAGTGGGCGGGGACCACACCTGATGCTCCCAGAGCATCTCCGGGACCTTGCATAGGTACCAGAACATCACAACATCAAAAATGCATATGTGTACAAATAAAATAGTGGTGACTGAAGCAGTTACCCAGCTCCCTGCCTCCTTGACCCCTGTGAGTTTAGCTGTCTTCTTTCTGCCTATATTCCCACCATCTAAGCTGTAAGCTCTATCAAAATAGGGACTATGTTTTGAAGACTGTTGTATCCGCTAGCAAGTGGCACAATTTTGGACACATTGTAGGTATATAATAAATACTTGGATGATAAGTAGAAATATATGTATAAGAAATAAAATATTCTGAACTTGAGTCTCAATTCTTTCTTATCTAGGAGTCCTTAGACAAGTGACTTAAACTTTTGAACCCAGTTTACTCATCTATACAATAGTGATAGTAATACTTTATTGTAAAGTTGCTTTAAGAATTAAAGATACAAGAATTCCTAGAATTGGCTGGATGAGGTGGCTCATGCCTGTAATCCCAGCACTTTGGGAGGCCCAGGTGGGCAAATCATTTGAGCCCGGGAGTTCGAGACCAGCCTGAGCAACATGGCGAAACCTCATCTCTGCAAAAAATACAAAAATTAGTCAGGCATGGTGGCATGTACCTGTAGTCCCAGCAACTTGGGAAGCTGACGTGGGAGGATCACTTGTGCCCAGGAGGTCGAAGCTGCAGTGAGCTGCAGCTGTTAGACCCTGTCTTAAAAAAAAAAAAAAAAAAAAAAAATCCTAGCACCTAGTAAGAACCCAACAAATGACAAATGCTTATTTTTCTCTGCCCTGTTCAGCTGTAGTCATAGAGGACCCTCAAACAACAGGTTTAAACACTACCAGTTCCTACATTAAACCTGAGAAACTCGGCAGAATGTGACGACCCTCTTCCCTCCTGCAAGTAGGCTCTGAAATTGCTCTTGCCTCCTTATGCCTGGCACCTGGTGTGCTGGGTGAGTCCTGGACCTAGACCACTAAGGTGACAACCACCCTATGCCGTACCTCAAATCCACATTTTTTCTTGTTTTATGCACCCTTGCTGATTCCTGGTTTCTGCTGATTCTGACTAAAGTTTCTGCTCTACTCTGCCCTGTATATGTTTCCTGACACACCCGCTAAAATGAGAATCTATTTAACAAACTGTGTTCAAGTTGCCAGAGTGGGTTAGAAAGATGGATAGAGCGCACACCTGTCGTTGGGGAGCTCACAACACAGTGGAGTCGCCCACGTACACAGAAAAATTACAATTCAGAATGCTAAGGACAACAGCACAGTGATGCAAAGACTCCTGAGAAACTCGAGCACGGGGTGACCATAGCCTTCTTATGCTCTCTAACCTGTGAACTCTGTGTTGTAAGCACACTCAAGCCTTGGGAGGGGCCTTGAATTGCTTATTTTGATGAAAAAAGAAATTTTTAAATGGGGGTCCAAGCTAAAACGGGGCCTCCTAATCCCATCATGTGGAACATGGCACGATGGTTAACATACTGGCACAGCTCAGGACTTTCTTTCTGCCCACAATCCCTGCCTGTTACCCTCTCAAAGAGGAGGATAACAAAGAGCTCCCAAATGGGCACAAGGACAGAATGGAGACTTTAGGATGTAAAATTAGGCCATAAGGCTAAGAGATTGTGTCTGAAGGGACTGCATAAGTCCTTTCTTGGCCTCTTCTGCACCTCTTTATGTTCTGAGTTTTATCTATCTATCCATCTACCTCTAGTTCTATCCCTATCAGTTTCCCAGGCAGCTGGTAAGATATGAAGGCCCTGTGCCTGATATAGCTTAGGTCCTTCCAAAATGGCAACATGGCAGGGGTAAGAAGGAAGGAAACACAAGGAAAGCTGCTCAGACCGGCCTCTAGTCTGGGCTAAAAAATTGACCTCAACACTTATAGGCGTTTCAGCCCAACTACAGTAAGACCCACAAAGGAATTTATGGACAACAGCCCATGTGGTAACTAAGACTGTCCTTTGACCGTCCAGAACATAGGAGTGAATACAGTCACAGCAAGCACTGGTCTGAGATTCAAATCCTGGCCGCCTTCTCCTCAGAGGAAGAGAAATTATCTAGATCTACCAGCCCTTGGAGATCTAAGCCAATTAGTTCAAGGCCAAGAGCTGCAAAAGCACAAAGCCCTTGAGTATCAGGAAGTGAGAGGTGGATTTTTTTTTCTCCTTATCTCCTCTGTGTTCCAGATACCTGCTTTTGCACATCTCTCTCTAGTTTTCACCATTTTCTCCAGATGTGAACCTTTCCTCTCCTTTAAGCTCTACAAGAATGCCTCCCATCACGTGTGCCTATGTAAGCTGATTATCTCAGCGGAAGATTTCACACACAGAAGCAGCTTCCAGTAGGAATCATCTCTCATCCCTTCCTCAGGCTCTGCACCAGGGGCCTTCCTGACCCTTCACCTGCGTGCTTCCAGCTTCTCCAGTTCAAACCTCTCCCTCTTGTTTTCTTTGCTCCTTACCTCACCCTGCCAGTTGTTCCCACCTCCCCAATCCCAGAACTCCATATTTTTCTGACCCAGGTGTTAAGCCATTTTTGCATTGCTATAAAGAAATACTCAAGGCTGAGTAATTTACAGAAAAAAGAGGTTTAATTGGCTCATGGTTCTGTAGGCTATTCAAGCATGACACAAACATCTGCTTCAGGAAGGTTTTACTCACGGCTGATGCAGAAACAGATACATCACATGGCAAGAGCAGGAGCCAGAGAAGAGACACAGGAGGTCCTAGACTCTTTTAAACAACCAGATCTTGGGTGAAGTAACTGAGTGAGAACTCATTTATCATCAAGGAGATGGTGCTAAGCCATTCATGAGGGATCCACCCCTATGATTCAATCACCCCCCACCAGGCCCCACTTCCAACATTGGGAATCACATTTCAACATGAGATTTGGAGAGGACAAACATCCAAACCATATCACCCTATATCCAAAACTATAGCACCAAAGTCAACAAGCCACTAAAAGAACAAAGGTCTTGCCATTTAATGTGACCTGCCCTCTTTAGAGGTATATGTGAATATATACGTAGCAAAATAATTTCTGTGGGCATATTTAATAAACGGCACGCCTCCTTGGATGCAGCACTCTGAAATTCTACTTTGACACATTTCACATCACCAGTCTTGAGGCTATTGAAGCTACCCCTCCCTCCTTGCAGTGTCCAGACACTGCCATTTAAGTCTCCAATATTTATATATGATATATTCCTCATTCCTCATTCAAAGGATACAAGAGTCTCAATTAATTTCAATTCAACATTTATAGTGTCGGGTACTATAAAGGAAGAGGCAGGAAATGTTAAGCAAAATCTTTGCTCTCAAAGAACTTGCTTTCTAACAAAAGAGACAAGCAAATACCCAAATGGACGGGAAATGATTTGCTTTCATTTCCATGTGCCAGTTACTACAGTCTAGTATCTTTGCTAGACACAGTACTGAAGTCTGTCTTACGTCTTTCCTTACTGGTCCCTGTGATTCATTTTGTGTGTGTGTCTCTCTCTCTCGCTCTCTCTCTCTCTGTCTCCCAACATGAGAGTAGCTACGTTGAGGCCATCTGAAATAAAAGACTCGAGTGGGAAAATAACATCCTAATTTGGTATTTGCTTAATTCCCTTTGTTTATTGAAGAAATCTTTATGTGCCTTATAGTATTAACTTTCTCACCCATATCTTATTTTGTTGCACAGAACAGATACTCTTCCATGGACCTCTGGACTGCTATAAAGGCAAAAAATAAACTTCTATCTGTGTTGAACCATTAGATGCATGAATCCTTTTGTTACCATAATCTAGCCTACACAAACTAATTTTAAAATTGATCGTAATACAAGACAGAATGAAGTAAATGCTCGGCAGAGGTTTAGGTCATGTGCTTAGAAGACCACAGATGAAGATATTACATTTTCTACACTTCACATCTGATATTCATTATCTAGCATATCAGAATTTATCCTCACAATAACACTGTTTAGAATATTTTATCTCTCTTTTTTTTTTGAGATGCGGCCTCGCTCTGTCACCCAGGCTGGAGTGCAGTGGCACGATCTCGGCTCACTACAATCTCCACCTCCCGGGTTCAAGTGATTCTCCTGCCTCAGCCTCCCAAGTAGCTGGGACTATAGCTACAGTACAGTAGCTGGGACTACAGGGATTACACACCTGGCTAATTTTTGTATTTTTAGTAGAGATGGGGTTTCGCCATGTTGGCCAGGCTGGTCTCAAACTCCTGACCTCAGGTGATCCACCAGCCTCGGCCTCCCAAAGTGCTGGGATTACAGGTGTAAGCCACTGCACCTGGGCTGTTTTATCTCTTTTATATAGCTCAGTAGACTGAGGTTCAGAAAAGCTAAGGAACTTTCACAACACAAAGCTAACTATTGGTGGAAATGGGATATAAATTTAAGTGCCATTTTAAAACCCAGAATCTTTTCACTACACCATATTACCTCTTATAGCACACCGTATAGTGGAGGTCAAAGATGATTTGACAGGGAACTGCTATATGAATGGGGCCTGGCATAAGTAGACTTGGTGTCCCACAGACTAAGATGTCCCACAGACACCCACACTTTCATGCAAATTAAGCTTTGCATGAGTGACCCCAAGTTATATCATGATGGCTACAAATATGGTAACAAAACTCATTTAATTCATAAAGTCACTTTCAGGAGAGCTAATTAATATTCTTGCTTTTAGCAAGAATGAAGTGAATGCCAGGTAGAGCTTTAGGTCATTCTTTGAACAAGAATATTGATTCTTCCTCTTCTTCTAATTGCACAAGTTATTGAGATAATGGGTCCATCCACCATCTGTCTGGGTAAATAAAAACTGCCAAAAACCAGGGACTGAAGCTCTTAACAGAGTGAGGAAGCTCTAGTATCAGCAGTTCGCTTGAGCCTTCTCACATAGAACATGCCAATTAAAGAGGCTAATTAGGCTTCAGTTAGATCGCAGTGGGATTTATTAAAGGAAAATCTCATAAAACATTTTATCCTAGAACATGTATTTGTATAATCCAGAAGAGTGATTTAATTAGGGAATTAAAAGCCCATTGAAGTATATTCCAGAATGGAATTGTTTCTCTGAAAACTACATGGAGATCACAGTCCTGGGGCAACAATAAAGACATACTAAGCATCCTCTGTCCTACTTTTTAATGGGCAGATGGCTGCAATGATTCATTTATTAATCATTCTAGCCCAGGCACAGAGCAACTTTTATTGGGTCTTTCTGCCATGATTAAGCCATATTGATAAATATAGATCTCAATTTATCCTCCCAGTGTTGCAAAACTATATCATTGGGGACTGAATCCCCTAACATAATCCATGTTCAAGGTCAGCCTTGCACTAGAGTTCTGTGTATCCCCTTCCAGATAGTGAGAGAAGCACAAGGTCTGCCACATAATATTAACACCAACTCAGTGTCTGGTATATTGTGTGATAACCCAGAGTTTACAACTGCTCCACCCTTCTGGTTCTTTGCATGAATCTTGCATTGTCCTAAGCTTCAAATCCTGTTTGTGAGTGAGGATGGGGTCACAGTGACCGTCAAAATCCAAATTCGACACTTTCTCTCTTCCATCTATATATGCAAACTCAATTCCTGCAAAGTAACTGCAGAGTCTTTCTAAGAATCCCCAGAACATATCTCACCTGTGCTCAGGAACAAAGCCGGGCAACTAGCATGTGAGGTCCACAGCCTCTCTCCTCTTCCCACCCACTTCTTTCTTTCCAAGGAACATAGACCCAGAACCAGTGGGAACTACATGAGGAGACAAACTGAAAGAGAAGACACTACCAAGTCCTCCTTGCTGGGTCAAGTTTATTCAGCTTGGCGTCTTTTTCCCTAGGGATAGAAGCTTTTTAGGAGGTTCCTCAGACCCCCTGAGCAAACAGACTTCTGTTGAGTGAGACCCTCTATGTTAGCAGATAGCTGTGCCTCCTCAGACTAGTTTAGGCTGCTGTTCCTCGGGCTGGAAGTTCATCACAGCATTATTTGTGGAGACAGGGAGTTGGAGGCAATCTGGGTGTCCACTGGGTAAAACATAGTAGGTGTCTACCTTGGAGCAGAGCAGTCAGACGTAGTAGATAAGATGAGCACAGAACAACTCAAATGGGTCTCTAAAATACAGTGATGAGTGGCGGAAAGAATGGATGAAACAAGATATATAACACAGGACCACTTATGTGAATAAAAATACACATACACAAAACAATATGCATTTTACAAGAGTACATACCAAGAAGATACATATTAAACACACACGGTGGGGTGGAGAATGAGGAATGAAAATGGAATTAACAAATGAATGAACAGATGAATATATGTATACATATATAAAAGAAAAGAGATTTGCAGAGACCAGTGATGATGATGTACCTTCAACTGAAGAATATGATTACTTCAACCCTCTGCACTGAAGTTCCAACCTAAAAAAAGAAAAGAAGGTTTTGTGAATGGAGCATTTGAAGGAGAATGTAAGAGTGGCCAGATGGGTAAGGTGGACAGGTTATAGCATTTGATTTTTCCCAAGGGCAAGGTAGTTTAATACACTGAAGCAAGGCTGAATCCTGTGTCAATGCTGGGGTTTGCAGACTCTGAGTTCATCTGAATCACCTGGAGGGCTTGTTAGAAGACAAATTGCTGGGTCCACTGTCATAATTTCTATGTTAGATCTGGGGCAGGCTCCAAAATTTGCATTTTTATCAAATTCCTTGGTGATACTGATGCTGCCGGTCAGGGATTCTAAAGGCTTCTATTAGTCTTAGACTGGCAAAACTACTCACTTAGTGGGAACTCTCCTCATAGAGTGGGGGCTTCTCTGAATCATAAATTAGGAAAAGCAAGGGAGGTGGTAAGCTTCCTTTGTAATCTTTGAGTATTTTCTCTTCCTATCGTAATTTGCTTTAAAAGATGTACAAACATCCAGGGTGGGCCCCACCGCAGATTGCATTGGATTTAAGTAAATAAGTGTTTCTATATCCTCAAAAATAAGTAAAAACGGAAGAGTGAAAGAAATACAAAATATCTCTTTGTTATAGCAGAATTTCAGAATCTCTATATAATGATCAGAACACAGAGCAAGAACGACGAAGAGCAAACAGCTTAAAGATGAAACAGGCTAATTTTGTTTTAACCAAGCCTGGTACTGGCAAATCAGTGAGAGAGGAACTCTTCATCAAAGTAGCCCTCGATATCAAATAATACCAATAACAACAACATCATTGACTACGTGCCTGCTATGCACCAGTCACTGCGAAGTGCTTTGCATGGATTTAGTCCACCAATAAGGGAGATATCCTTAATACCCCTCTTTTTCAGATGAGGAAGCTGCAACTTATAGAGGTTAAGCATCTTGTCCAAGCCCACACAGCTGATAAATGAAGGAGTCAGGTTTTGAACATAAGAAATCTGAGCCCACACCCAGTGCTGTCTGAATCACGCTGTCTGATATAATTACCAGATTCCATTCTCAGCACCTTTGAAACAATACATTCGCACTCTCAAAGGCCATCGATGCGAAATTCCTTATTTTCCCTTGTGAGTGCCTCAGGTCTAAGATCTAACATCTTCTCAAGGGATAAAGAGAACACAAAATTATGGCTTCTTACCAAAATATATTTTCCCAGCTCTATCAGTCACAGTCTTAGCCAAAAACTGATGACATGCTCCAAGGGAGAAACCAAAGAGAGTTTCACAAAAAAAATACTACTTACAGATGTGTGGACGGAGGTAAGGGAGCCACTGAGGGATGGTGAAGACCCAGCGCCTAGAAACAGCAAGACGCCTTTACCACGCCCAGGCATGAGGAAGACAGGCAAGAAGCAGTGTTAGAGACCCTGGACGGAGCTGGAACCGCTAAGCTACCAAACAGGAAACGCAGCCTGCTGCAGGCAGAATTCCTGAGAATGTCCCCAGGAGTCCAAACCCTGTCCCCACCCTTTGAGTGTGATGAGGAATCCTTCCGTCATTGTGTTATGTTATATCTCACTAATGGCCTTTATCAATAAGGGAGATTATCCAAGTACATCACTCAAATCACACGAGCACTTAAAAGCAAATAACATTCTCCAGCTGGTAACAGAAGAGGAAAGTGGGAGGAGATGACAGAAAGATTCAAATTGTGAGACAGACTTGATGTGACGTTTCTGGTCCATTGAAGATAAAGAGAGGGCCATGTGGGAAGGAATAGAGGCAGCTTCCAGGAGCAGTGTGGAGCTTCCTTGCAGCTGACAGCCAGCCAAGAAATGCAAATCTCAGTCCGACAACCACAAGAACTGCATTCCTCCAGCCTGAATGAACTTGGAAGTAGATCCTCACCTCCACGTGAGCCTCCAGATAAGAACCAGCTCTACAAACACCTTGATTTCAGGCCTCTGAGGCCCAGAGCAGAGAAGCCAGCTGAGCCCACCAGGGCTTCTAACCTACAGAACTGCGAACTAATAAATGAGTGTTGTTTTAGGCCACTAAACGTGGTGATTTGTTAGGCAGCAATAAAACACCATTGTACAGCCAAAGAGGACACAGCTATTGCCAGAATTAGAAGCCAGTGCCGGGGAGGCAGGGAAATGGGCAAATCAAACTGTTTTCTCCTGCCCTCCATCCTCCTGCCAAGGCCGCCCATTGATCAGGCCACTGAAGTTAGTCTCCCGAGAAACTTCAGCCTCACTGCGAGCCATGGGTATGTTCCAGTCCCAAGAGCAAACTTGGATTTTGTGAACATGAAGTTTACACAGTTTTAGGGGTGAGCTCAAGAAATGACTAAAAAAGAGCACAAAATTAATTACAAAACTAAATACTAGTTTAAAATGAAAAAAGTAATAAATTATAAAATCTATCAGGTACCAAACATCCCAAAATTCAAAATACTGAAAAGTAAATACAATCACGTGTCACTTAACACAGGGATACATTTTGAGAAATGTGTCTTTAGGTGATTTTGTCATTCTGCAAACATAGAGTGTGCTACATAAACCTAGTTGGTATATCCTACTACATTCCTACGCCATATTGTCCAACCTTTTGCTCCTAGGCTACAAATCTGTACAACATGTTACTATACTGAACACTGTAGGCAATTGTAACACCATGGCATTTGTATATCTAAACATAGAAAAGTACAGTAAAAATACGATATTATAATCTTACGGGACCACTGTCCTAGATGCAGTCTGACACTAACTGAAATGCTATGCAGTGCACAATTGTATTTTTATTAATTGCTTTTTCTCCTGGACTTTTGACTATGTTGCCTGTAACTGCCCCTTCATATGATGACAATGGCTGTATAACATTTTCAATAGAGAGAATATAAAATTGTCTTACCTTTAGCATGAGTGATTGATTTTTTAAATTATTCGTCTTTCCTCTAGCATGGGTGATTAATAGTTTAAGAAAGTGTTTCTCACCTTCACAATTTGTAATTGGCTGTGCCATATAAATTTTTAGAATTGTTGTTATATGTGGGAAGAGGTCTATCAATTCTTTCATATTTGAACTGTAAGATTTCACTGTATTTCAAATTTTCTTATGTAGTGGCTAGTCTTAAATCATTCTTGAGTTGATTACACTCATTAACCAGTTTGTTGTTGATGTTCTTGCCATAGTGGCGTATTGTGAGCTTTATGGGTCTGAATTTTACACCAAATCAGCAAGAAATTGAAATCATTTCTGATGTGTGCATATGATTTACTCCTCTTCAGTAAATGGATTACCAAGTAATCCAAGAGCCTACTAACTATTTCTATTTGCAATTTATCTTTTCCTCTAATGAATTACTGTGCTGGGTACTATCTGAAGAATTTTTTGTTACAACTCACTTCTTAAAGTCAGGTCTTTTCTTATTTTTATCTCTTATTAATTGTTTTTCTTTAATATTCCATTACTTTTATCTGAATTTTCTCTCTGTTCTTTAATAGCTAAATTTAAAGTGTCAAAGAAGGTCCAAATCAAAAATCCATAATTTCTCCTTTTTCTATTAAGACATTCCAGAATATCTTTTGGAAATTCAATTTAAATGCTGTATTCAAGCTTTATCAACTAAGCTAGTCCCATGAAAAAAGGAGATAAAATATAAAGTATATTTAAAATTGTATATGGTTTTAAAAATTACCAAGTGTGTCCTGACAGGAATGAAATTCAATTTTGACAAAGCATCAATAAGAACTAAATTCTCTGCTTACAATTTTACACATCAGAATGGATTAGAAGAAATTTCTATAGACTAGTTTCTGACTCCATACATTTCAAGCCTTGTTTCTCCCCTCTGCTCACATTTTCCCTGAACCAGGCACCCTGAACAGACTCTATTATAGTACAACCTCTGACCTTGCATCATGTTTTCACAGCTGCACAGTGGGCAGAGTACTATCCCTGGAAACCATTCTTATACCAGAACAGCTAGCAATAACTCTGCATGAAAGAGACAGAAAACCACGACAATGCAACAACTACACTCAGACTAAATGTATCCCCACTCAACTTCCCTGAGCTGGGTCCCCAAAATGTCCATGCTTCCCCAACGCCATCCAACACAGAGTAAAATGTGATGGAGCGGAAGTTGACAAGGAAAGAGGCAGCACACCTAACCAATTGCATGCAGTTGAAAATATCTTACTTTTGCAAATTTCACAAAACATAACCATGAGAACACATTGCCAGGGGACCCCCCCCCCCACCCACTTCCTCACATGCACACCTTGGACCTTGGAAAGGGCCTACGCAAATGAAGATCCCTGAAGCTAGAGCTTCATTGGCTTCACGGTAAATCTGTCTCTGATTTTCATAGTTAACTTGACTAACAACAACTATATTCGTTAAGGTAACCCTAAATGGTATAACAAACAAACAAACACAAAGATGCATAATAGCTCAAAGACACTTAGAGGTTTACTTCTTGCTATGGAAAGTCCAAAAGAGGTGTTCTTCATGGACAGGTAGCTCTCCTCCAAGTGGTGACTTGAAGACCCAGATTCATTGCATCTTGTGATTCCATCTTCAACACATGAATCCCAAAACTGCCATGCTCATCTGCATCACACCACAAAAGGACAAATGACTTGGAGATTTCTATGTAGAGAGTTCTATGGACCAGACTCACAAGTGATGTGTATCACTTCCGCTCACATTCCATCACCTAAGACTCAGTCACAGGCCGGGCATGGTAATCTCAGCACTTTGGGAGGCAGAGGCGGGAGGATCACTTGAGGTCAGGAGTTTGAGACCAGCCTGGCCAACGCGGTGAAACCCTGTCTCTACTAAAAATACAAAAATTAGCCAGGCATGGTTGGGGGTGCCTCTAATCCCAGCTACTCAGGAGGCTGAAGCAGGAGAATCGCTGGAAGCTGGGAGATGGAGGTTGTAGTGAGCCGAGATCATGGCACTGCACGCCAGCCTGGGCGACAAGAGTGAGACTCCATCTCAAAACAAAAAAAAAAGACTCAGTCACATGGACACAACTAACTGCAAGCCAGGAGCTGAGAAAGGAAACCAAGGCTTTGTAGCAGCTCAAGTCTGTAGAGGTTCCCAGTTTTCCTCCAACATCACTCTGAAGTCCAGGGTTACAAGCAGGGACAGTGGACACTTACATCAATCCTTTTCTATGGTTGCCCGGGCAGGCACAAATTTAGGAGAGGAAAAAAATAAAATCCCTTTCCATTATCTCTGTTCCAGTGAAGTTACTGGCAAAAGCCAGCGTCGTTTGTATGTGCAACCACTAGATGGCTCTTTAGGCCTTTGGATTCCCCAAGTTTTTGTTAGATGCTTTTCAGCCAAGCAGTTTGAAAGGATTCTCCAGTCATCTGAGCAGAGTTATAAATGGCCCTATTCTTCCTAGCCTCACCCCAAGAATGGACCTGGGCCTGCCTCCACCTCGGGAGGATTGGCAACCAAGATAAAAGAGAAGTCAGTGCTGTTAAGCAGAGCATGGGGAAGTCCGTTGGAAGCAGAGACACTGAGCCCAGAAGGCTTGGCCAGAGGCGCAGCTCTGCTCAGAAAGCTCAGTGGAATGTGGCCTCACAGTACCTGTTTTATTGTCTGTTAAATAGAAAATACACTGCTACTTTAATTTAATACAGGTGTCCTGCTTTTCCAAGTGCCTTTACAAACACCGTCTACTTTTGTCCCCATAACATCCCAGTCAGGCCAGCATTAGGCATTATGGGTCCCACTTTGCAGATGGTGAAACTAAGGGACTAAAATGTCAAATAACTTGCCCAATGAGGTCACGAGGCAAGTTATCCTTTTCATGGTTTCGTGCTTTGCATTTTGTAAAACACTGCCAATGCTTTGGCTTCCTCATTTCTCACAACAGCATATGAAAGCAAGACAAGCATTGCCATCACTATCTTCATTCTATAGAGGGGGAAAAATGCTAAAATCTAGTGAGGTTGAAGCAATCTGTTCATCTTGGCAGCATTCATGCTATAACTCTCCTTTCCAGATCTCCCTGTTAAAATTAGATTTTCAGGCTTAACACCAATTACTTTTCTGGAACAAAAGGGCCAATTCTCTCCGCTTATGGTCACATACAAAGTATAAATATTTAAATTCTTTTTAAATTTAGAAAAGACTTCTTTTATCTCTTCTATAGTTTCTTTAAACATGAAACCATAATTTTCGCCAATGTCAAGATTAGCTCTGTCTTTTGCATGCTTTCGTTGTGCATTTTGTCAACTACGTGAATAAAGAGAACAGAAACATAAAGGCATTGACGGAGACTGAGGAGCAAGCAGGTAAGAGAATGTGTGGCCAGTCCTTGGCGCCTCTGTGAGAAGCATCTGGACAGAGCAGTGGCTTCCAACTGTGCTCACCCCAGGCCCAGCTGCATCAGTCACATCTGTGAGTCTGGGGAAGAACTGGGCTGTTTTTCAAGTCCTCCTCTTGTCCCAGGAGATTCAGAATCACAGGCAGCACTGAGGACAATTCTGTTCTCCAAAAGAAGATCCAGCACTAGAAGTCCACGGTTTGCTCTTCTGTTTGAAACTTGCCTCTTAGCCAAAGGAAGATGAAAATCTCAGAGGAAATATCAAAGTGACCTAAAAGTCAGCTACAAGTATTAAACACAGTCAAATACAGTTAAATAAATAACAGGACTTGGATCTTCCTCAGACTCCAGATGAAATGGAAATAAATTCATAGCTAAAGGGGAGATTTTATTCTCCAACCATTGGATTTTCAGATCCTACTGACATTTACTAAGGCCTTGCATTTGGCAAATGCTATGCTGGAGGCTGTTTATATTTCAGTTCATCTTCACAACCACCATGTGGAAACATCACATGTCTCCATTCTAGAGATGAGAACGAACACTGATACTCAGAAATGATGATGTGACTGTCCTATCCAGCACTAGTGAGCATCAGCATTGGTTACATCCAGGTCTTAGAAATAACAGTATCTACCAGTACCTGGGAACCTGCTATATGCCTGGCCCTCAGCAGTAGCTACCTACCTGATTTCTAATTCTCACACTAACCCTGAAAAGCAGGGAATATTGTTATTCCCACTTTCCAGATGAGAAAACTGATGCTTAGAAAGGTTCGGTAAGTCTACAAAATGGCATCAGTAAGAAAAGGCAGAGTGAAATTTAAACCGGTTCAGTCTAGGCCGGTGACCACTGCAGTGTGCCAATTCCAGGTCCAAGGCGGCTCTTGTAGCTGCTGCTGTTGTGTTGTTGTTTCACCACCTTTTACTGTCATTCAACTTGCTCTCAGCAGTTGGTGTGTAACCTGTAGAAACCTGTAGGAACAAAGGTAAGGTCCTCCCAGCTGAACGGTGGCCCTGCTCAGAGGAAGGATAATAAAGTCATGCTGCAGCGCTTCCTGTTTCCTCATGCCATTATATGGACAAGATTGGCTTTTCTTACGATGTTCTGGCAGCAACCCATGACCCAGACCTGTGCCAATGTGATTCAGATACCGTCCAAGTTCTGGGCTACTGTTCAAATATGTCCTGAGTTCCTCTGGGCCACTTTATCCCCTGCCATGTACTGAAATCCTGTTGCTATGGGCAAAATTGATTAAGAGATCAGATTCTGAGCAGCACTCTGCATCCAGATCTTGGGGGCCCTGGAACTCGCATAGCACAAAGCTGACCACCCACCACTGGGCCCTCGGAGGGAGGCCCGCTCCCCTCCAGGAGAAGAACCAGACACTCCAAACACGCTGGGAAGATGCACCATTCCTGCCAGGCTGCTGCGAGTCCTTTGTGTGGGGTATTGTTTCGTCTTCTGGGGTAAAGGCTCACTCTGCCATTGCTCCTTTACAAACCAGCTCATATGAAGGGGCCAGTTAGTCACGGATTCCGGGTCATTGTGGAGGGGTAGGATGTTTTCAATGGCAGTGGTTCCAGTACCTTTTAAATCCTGAGATGAAAATCCCAGGGCACCCAGAGCTCTTCCTCATTGGATGCAAAAGAGGGACCAGGAAGTTCAAGGCTCTTTTTCAGCTCTCTCCTGAGGCTTCTTATTCAACGAGGGTCTTTGTATAATGCTGGGGGCTTTACATATGACATCTAACACAGCCACAACCCTGTGCCATATCATTATTGCCATCTGACAGGAGAGGAAGTTAAAGCTCTGGTTTAGGGCATGTAGCTAAAAGGGAAAAGCAGCAATTAACAGTAAGCTCTGTCTAACTCCAATGACGCCAAAGATACTCCCAACCTGCAAACCTCTTTTCCAATGTAGCCAGGACCCACCAACAGCAGCCACTACTAGACAGTAGGGAGCTCTTGTTTAGTAAGAAAATTTGCCAGCTAGAATCACATAGGCAGGAACAGGAAATAAATTGTGAACACTGACAGGGCCTCCCTTAGAATCAAGGAGCCCCATAGTCAAGGGAAAGGATTTAAAAGAAAAAAACTGATGACCCAAGTATATCGCAGAAAAAGAAGAGGCGTGCTGATGGTGCTGGGTCCCAGAGGCACAGGTGCCAAAACCAGCCCTGACCCAGTGCTCCTAGGGCCTAGCCCCAAAGGAGGAGATCATCTTCCCACAATGCACATGGGGCCTCTGCAGCAAATGGGAGCTGCTGGCACCACCAAGTCTGTTCTGGGTAGGACCAGTTTTCAGTGGTGACTCAGGGCCACCACCAGCTTTATAGTGTCTTTGTGCAAATTTGTTTTCAAAAAGCCTTCCCCTTCCTTGGATGCACGGCTTGGTGACACTAGAGTAAGCATGAGCTGGACTTCAGTTTCCACTCATCTCCTTGGCCATGCTCGCTCGCACAGTGATGATCTGTACAATCCTCTGGTGCATGACAAACAATGATAGTAGCAGATTTAGCGACCCCAGTCCTAGACTCACTTGAAGAACAAAGCCAGCCTGAGTCCCCTGTTTTGACTTATCTGGTGGACTGGATAAACCTCCAGGGTTATGGCACACCCTGGGGAGAGGGGAAGACTGTAGGGAGAGATACTAAGGCTCTATACAAAAAAGGCAGGTAGGTGCTTGAGCCGTTGTGTGAACGTAAGAGAAACCTAGTCATTGCTGCCCCCAAATTGTTGAGTTGTTTGCACAAGTTATACTACCTCTCCTGTTCCAAGTCCCTGCTCACTGCATGCTATTCTCATTTGCATGCCATCTGTATAGGTAGATCCTAAGGTCTTTCCTGGTCAGGAGTAAACTGATTATGTTTCTCACTGAATGTTAGCAAGAGGACTTACAGTTTATAAACTGTAATCTCTTCTGAATTTGGACAGTGTGAGTCAATCCTCAAGCATTGGATCTGTTTTGTGGCACTGACTAAATAAATGCCAGATGGAAAATGGGCTTTAACCTAGGCATATGGTAGTAAATAGAACTGAATTCATGCTCTGAAGGCAAGAGTGCCCTGTTGAATTAACAATGTCTGGCATGACTACAGGAGTAAGGAGTAGTTCCTGCCATACATTTGCCAACCCTGGACCACATCAGATTTCTGCAAATGCCTATTAGTCCTTTCCCCATAGCACATATGCCCAGTCTCTTGTACTTTTATCACACACCATGTCCATTTCCTTGCCCATCTTTCCAATCATGATATCCCCAGCACTTAGCACCATACCTGCCCTAAGTGGGTGGCTTAATAAAAAAGTGTGAAATGAAAGAAAGATAACATCACTCATTGGAGCATCTCACAGAGTTATGAGCTTCTCCTTGTTCCCCTAGGACCTCATTTATGCCCTGGGTCCAGCACCTATCACACAGTGCTATAATTATATGTTGGTTGTCTCTCTGTCCCACAAACTTAGGTACCACTCGAAGTTAGGACCTGTATTATGTTCATCTCTGCATATTCACACCTATGCATGATGGGCACAAAAGAGAAGCTCTATAAAGTTGTTTGAATAAACAATTAAATTAATGTTTTATAAATGAATCCCCTCACCCAGGCAGTTTCCCTCACCAGAAATGTCTCCTCTGTCCAAGCTGTTCACCAAATTCTATGCATTCTTCCAGTCCTGCTCCCACCAGAGAATGCATTCTGACTTTGCATGTCATAAACCAGCAGCCTTGGCCACACAAGCTTGATGGAAATGGCATGTGAGCACATAAATTATTTAGTTTTGTTGAGAGGTCTTTCCATTAAGATAGGCTGACATTTCTTTACTACTATTTTCTATCTTGAGAAAAATAAAGTTATTTTTATACTGTTGCCAAACAAATAGAACCATGACTCATGTAGCTAATTTTGTGTGTTTTTAACAATTCCAGCAATTTCTGACTTTAACAAATACTCCTTCTGAGAAATGAAAGATGGGGTCTTTTGTGAGGTGGATGGTATAAAGAAACCCAAACAAGACTAAAGATATGATTAAGGCTGGGAACCTGAAAAGCTAATTAGTCATGAGGTCCTAGAGGCAAGTGGGACTTGGGCCTGTTTTAAGCTGGACTGGAACATGCATTTGCAAAGAGGAGGGGCAGGGGAGGCACTCAGAGTTGTTGGACTCCATGAAAGGGAGCCACATGAGAGGCAGTACTCTAGTTCCAAGGCATGTTTGATTCCCTTGAAGCAGTATCCTGAGCTCACAGTGAATCTGGCAGCAAGAAAGGATAGGATCTTGCCGATAGCAAAGACAACTGTCCATTCATATGACAAATATTTTAGTTCCTGTATGTCAGACACAAGTAGTCTCTGGGTGTACAATAGTAAACAGGAGGCACACAGTGGCTGCACTCACAAGCTTGAACCCTAGGGAAGAAGAAGGGTTCCAGGCCCCAGCTAAGTGATCCCAGCATCCCATGAGAGCTCCAAACTCAGCTGAACCTCAGTGGAAACCAGGGCAGCAGCCGTGTCATACACAGCACACATAAAGGGGACAGGGGAAAATTGCACCATCTAGAGCACACAGTTGCTTGCCAGCTTCTCCCCCGCCCGCCCACCCTCCCTCCACTGCTGGATACCAAGGTGGCCTTTAGACCCACCTCTTACTGAGGAACAGATTCCCCATGCACTGTTAGGACAGGCTCTTACTGGCCAGGTGCTGAGTATTTGCAGCTGAGTGGAGTTGGATGTGATAAGGTTCGACAGTAGCCTCAGAGAGCTTAAGAAGTAGCTACACTCAAACTCTGCCAGATATGCCTCATAATTACCTAAGCCTGGGCAGGAATGGAATTGCTCATTTGGCTCTCCAGCATTCTTGCTGCCAAGAGTCCACCCCTCAAATTACAGGCAGCTTTTAGACGTTTTGTTACATCTGTACGGAGCCCCTTTCCTGGTATTCACTAAAATAAAATAAATGTGGTTAAGGTTACATAGGTCCTTTTTAAGCACACGAAGCCTTGTGTGGCACAAAAAATAGGATTAATTTGTATTTGTGTTGATCTTCATTATTTGCTGTATTTTTAATTGCCTAGGACTGCTGTAAGAACACAAAAACTGAGTGGCTTAAAATACTATAAATTTGTTGTCTCACAGGTTTAGAGACAAGAAGTCCAAACTCAAGGTGTCAGCAGGACCAACAGTTCTCTGAGAGCTCTAGAGGCGATTCCTTCCTTGGCTTTTCCAGCATCAGGCGGTCGCCGGCAATCCTGGCCATACCTTGGCTTGTAGATGCATTGCCCTAGTCACATGGCCGTCTTCTCCCTGTGTGTCCTCACACTGTCTTCCCTTTGTGTATGTGTCTAAATTTTCCCTTTTTATAAGGATGCCAATCATATTGGATTATCCCCCACCCTAGTGACTTCATTTTAACTTGATTACCTCTGTAAAGACCCCATTTCCAAATAAGGTCATATTCTGAGATACTGGGAGTTAAGACCTCAACTATCTTTTGAGGGGGACCACAATTCAACCCACAACATTTATTAGAGGTAATAAATGGATCTTGAGCCCTGTGCTAGGAATCTAATCACATATTCATTCATTCATTCTCTCTGTCATCACATTCTATGGAAAAGTAAACATGATTTTTTTCAACTTAGAATGTTTCTAGGATCATCACCTTTTGAAAATGGAAATAAAGCTGCCTATGCCATTCATTTAGCAATTAAACTCTCTAGACTCTCTAGTGTTTTGTGACATCTCTTAGATTATTTTCTTATAGTTTCTTTTTTTTTTTTTTTTGAGACAGAGTCTCACTCTGTCACCCAGGCTGGAGTGCAGTGGCATTCACTGCAACTTCCACCTCCCAGGTTCAAGCGATTCTCATGCCTCAGCCTCCCAAGTAGCTGGAATTACAGGTACGTGCCACCATGCCCAGCTAATTTTTGTATTTTTAGTAGAGATGGGGTTTCACCATGTTGGCCAGGCTGGTCTCAAACTCCTCATCTCAAGTGATCCACCTGCCTCGGCCTCCCAAAGTGCATTATATTGTTCCTTTACTCCCATATTGATTGACACTGAACATTTCATATATCTGTATCTTAATTGCCCAACTCAATTTTAGACTCACTGAGGGAAGGGCTTCTAGTGGTTCATCTCACAGAGGAACATTCTGGTTACACTTTATGGGCAGAACAAATGATCAAAGCATGTCACCAATATCATCTATGCTTTCCATAACATGCGCTGCTTCAAGAAAAATAACTCTGCCCTTTGGCTTGATAAAAATACTGGTATGGTTATTTTTGCCATATACATAATTCCTGCTGCAATTAAGATTCCCACACAAAAGGGGGTCTCTTTGTATAATAGGTCCTTAACAAATGGGAGCATATGATTATATGACCATTTGACATTTCGGGTGAAGCTCAAGTGACAAGGTGAGTGGAAAGTCCCTTATTTAATTCTAAAGTTCCATAAAATTCATCCAGTCATCATGGGTTACACATTACTATTGCCAGATTCCAAAAAGTGATAAGAAAGCAGAGGCAAGTACCTGCCTCCAGTAAAGGAGGCAGAGGAATAACAAATGACTACTATAACAGTGTGATTAACTGCTCTCAGAACCTGGGGTCTTTTAGTGTGATAGAAGATTCCAAAGTAAAGGTGCTTAATTGATTCAGGGAGCTTAAAACAGAAGGTAACACTTGGGCTAAGAATGAGAGGCTCAGTAAAAATTAGCAAGCAGAGAAAGTCAAGGAGTGAATTTATGAAGGTAACATGGATATTGAGCATTAAAGCACCTACAATTAGTACAAAATTTCTGGAACACAGGTACTATTAGGAGAGTGGTAAATGAGAAAAGAGAGGCCGGCTGAAGCCACATTTCTAAGCAAAGTCTTTACCCTAGAAGTAACAGGGAGCCATTGAAGGATTTTAAGCAAAGAAGTGAAGACACCAGAATTGCTTTTTAGAAATATTACCTCAGCGAGCAATGGGAAGAATGGTTGAGAGGATTGTGAGCCCAGAGACAAGGAGGTCATTAGGCAATCATGGTACTAGATTAGGTGAGGGGTAATGAAGGCCCAAACTAAGGAAGTGGCATTGTAAAGGAGTAGAGGAGACAGATGAGAGTTGCTTAGAACAGTGTCTTTCAAACTGCAGACCCAACCTATCAGTGAGCCATGAAATCAGCTTAATGAATAATAGCCAGGTTTTATTAACAAATGGAAAATAAACTATCAGTGTAACATATAGCTTCTTAGAAAGAATCTGGGCTCTGTAAAAAATTTTCAATTATATATGAAAACATAATTGAGTATTAATATAGATTATAATAATATTTCCACTATTCAATATGGGGATGTTTGTCTGAATATGGATTTATATAAACATGGTTATGAATATATTGACACATAATGTCCAGTGAAGTTTTTCTGAAGGTCATGGATAAAAGTATTTAAAACACACTGGCATAGAAGGTAATATGAAATAGGTCTTGGTAACTATTTGAACAGGATGGGACAGGCTAAAAGAGTATGGCGAGGTTGACTGTGGCTAGTCAGTTTGTGCATGTGTTCGATTTTGGGCACAAAGTTTGAGGAGTTTATGAGCCCCAAGAGACTCTATCTAGGAAAGAGGCAAGTAATGGGTCTGGGACAGAAGAAAGAAGCCAAAGTTGCAGGTATAGATTTGAGGGTCACTGAAACATTAAGAATAACTAATCCCTTGGGAAAAGACACTAACACCCAGAAAGAATGTATGGAGGGCAAAGAATACAGGACAGAAGTGAGGGAACCCTGGGTCACACCAATGTATAAGGTCACATCAGTGAGGAAGAAGGCATGGCCAGGAAGTTATGAGGAAAACCAAAAGCAAATGAGATATCAAAAACCCAAAGAGGAGAGTTTTAGGGAGACAGAGCCCAACTGTTTAAATGTGGCACAGAAGTCAAAAAAACTGAAGTCTGGCCGGGGGCGGTGGCTCACGCCTGTAATCCCAGCACTTTGGGATTACAGGCCGAGGCGGGTGGATCACAAGGTCAGGAGATCATAGCCATCCTGGCTTACACAGTGAAACCCCCTCTCTACTAAAAATACAAAAAAAGAAATTAGCCGGGCGTGGTGGCGGGCGCCTGTAGTCCCAGCTACTCGGGAGGCTGAGGCAGGAGAATGGCGTGAACCCAGGAGGCAGAGCTTGCAGTGAGTCGAGATCACACCACTGCACTCCAGCCTGGGCGACAGAGCGATACTCTGTCTCAAAACAACAACAACAACAACAAAAAACCCTGAAGTCTGAAGACCCCATGTTTGGTAATTGAAGCTTCCACGAGAGAAATTCCTGGGAAATGGTAGGGCAGAAATGGCATTTGCCTAGAACTAAGGGATTTCTTGTTATGTGGAACTTCAACGCTAAAACTGAAACAGTCTCAAGCAAACTGGAATGGTTGGTCACCCTAAGACTCAAAATAGTTAAGGTTTATGTAGCAGGTGAGGTAGAAGCAAAAAGTGTAGCTTCTTTTTCAGAGAGTTGACTCTTACGAAAAGATGACGGAGAAATATCTAGGGAGGGATACAGGGCTGAGAGAGCTTTTCACTTACTTATTCCTCTTTGTTCTTTCTTTTAAAAATCATGCTAAACGTTTATTTCTAGCATGAGAGAAAAAAGTGGGGAGCAAGGATGAGGCTGAAGATATGGCCAATAAGGAGAAGATGGAGCAACAGCTTGTCCTCATGAGGCAGGAGGGGCAGGATCCTGAACCATGAGGGCAAGAGAAGGTCCTGCTTGCTGAAGAGAGAAATTGTGTGGAAAAGTGGGGTGGGAAATGGAAGGGTGTCACAACACATGGTCTCCATCTTGTCAGGACCTGGGAGTGAGAGAAGGGATAGGGTGGAGGCTTGAATGGAGATGCGCAAAGGTTTGGGACATGAGGAGGATACAGGAAGACACTAAAACACATTCCAGGTACCAAGGAACACCCAGCTGAGATGGAGGATCATGACTATGAGGCATGCAAGCATAATTATTATTACCACGTTAGGATACCCAGCCTGTTCAAAGCCATACCAGCCTGTCCAAAGCCATACAACTACACGCATATTATAGCATATTTCTAGTCTTGAAAAATACCTACCATTGCACTTAAAAAGAATTCTTGGCCAAGCGTGGTGGCTCATGCCTGCAATCCCAGCACTTTGGGAGGCTGAGGCGGGCGGATCACTTGCAGTCAGGAGTTCAAGACCAGCCAGGCCAACATGGTGAACCCCGTCTCTACTAAAAATACAAAAATTAGCCAGGTGTGGCAGTGGGTACCTGTAATTCCAGCTACTCAGGAGGCTGAGGCAGGAGAATTGCTTGAACCTGGGAGGCGGAGGTTGCAGTGAGCCGAGATCACGCCACTGCACTCCAGCCTGGGTGACAAGAGTGAGACACTGTCTTAAAAAAAAAAAAGAATTCTCTATGGGCAGGGATGTGGCTAAGCAAGAGATTTTTTTTAAAAAAAAGATTCTAACAGCTTTCAGCAGAAACTGATATAACAGAGGAAACAATAATTTCAGTCCTTGGCAAAACAATTACTAATGGGCAGTACTTACTGTACTACAGTAAGCGGCATGGTCAGACACATTATGTGCCCAGACTGGAAGGCAAGGTGGGGAGGAATAGGGCTACATAGGGACCTGAGTAACAGGATGGATTGGAACCTTGACATAATGCCAAGCCTTGGTTGTCTGCTACTAAGTACTGCCCCCTTCCTCTTAGAGGATATTTATATATACCCTATGCCAAATCACAATAACGCTTTGTGATCGATCGTTATCCAATTTTTCCAATGCATAAACCATGCTTCAATTTGGTTAAGTTACTCGTTCACTGCAGGTAAATCAGCAGAGATGAGATGCACCTAAGTTGATTTAGCCCCTCCCCTTGGCCTTTCTTATTTGTCACCTATAACAATGAAGATAATAACACCGAAGCACAGGCCTCTGTAGGGAACAAAGGAAATAATGTATATGAAAGCACCAAACACCCCACAGACACTTTCTATATACATTTCTCTAGCATAGTGGTTCTCAACTGGCAGTAATTTTTCCTCCCAGGGAGACATGAGGTAATGGGGATATTTTTCTATTGTCACAACTAAGGCAGTGCTACTGGCTTCGAATGGGTAGAGGCCAGGGGTGCTGCTAAACACTCTACAATGCACAGGATAGCTCCCACAGCAAAGAATTATGACACCCAAAATGTCAATAGTGCTGAAGTTGAAAAAACCTGCTAGTACCATAATACAGGGAACTGGAAACCACACACATGTACAAAGCACAGGAGAGCCTGGCAAGTAACAGGCAGGTCTTGGTATTAGGACACTTGTATATTTGGATCTTGGATCCACCACTTGCTGTTGACAAGCTATTTATCTTACCTGAGCCTCAGTTTTCAAATAGGGATAATGACAGTACTGTATTAGTCTGTTCTCACACTGCTATAAAGATACTACCTGAGACTGGGTAATTTATAAATGAAAGAGGTTTAATTGACTCACAGTTCCACATGGCTGGGAGGCCTCATGAAACTTACAATCATGGCAGAAGGTGAAGCAGCAGGAAGGCACGTCTTACATGGTGGCAGGAGAGAGAGATAGCAAGGAAGTGCCACACTTTATAACCATCAGATCTCATGAGAACTCCCTCACTATCACAAGAACAGCATGGAGGAAACCACCCCCATGATCCAATCACCTTCCACTAGGACCTCCCTCGACATGTGGGGATTACAATTAGAGATGACATTTGGCTAGGGACACAGATCCAAACAGTATCAAGCACCTACATCATGGCAATATTAAGAGGCTCAGTGAGTTAGCTTAAATGCCTGGGATGCGGAAACAATGTTGATATTATTATTAATTAAACGTATAGCAAGCAAAACAGTAGGAGAGAGATAACCTGTTTTACTACACTAGGTAAGAAAGGAGAGGAGAATTAAGAAACATTACAATGACACTATAGTCTTAGTAACAGTCACAGGGTTATTAATGTTTTCCTACTGTGCAAGTGTATCCTGGATTGTATTCACAACAGTTTAGACAAATTAAATCGTTATTAAGTAATATTCTGTTAGCACAATGGAATTAATCACCTTTAACCACTTTGGAAGAAATCCAATAGACATTAGCTTTCTGGAGTTGCAAAAGTTCTTTTCATCATTAACAGTACTCGTTCTATTTCCTGTGGTGCTTTCTTAAGAAAGGCTTTATTCAGAAGAAAATGACTTACTGATAGCATTTAAAGTTGCATCTACCATTGGTTAATACTCATTTTTTCCAGAAATTCTTTTATGAAAATATCACAATACTTTTGATGTGTGCAAACATGAACCTGGATTTTTACACCTCTTGCGGTAACACTCGGTTTTCAACTAACTCACATCCAGATATTCCTGCAATCAATCCTGGGTGCCTTGAAGCCAAGCAGCTCTCCTTTGCAGCATCATCAGAAGGCAGCCTCTCACTCAGATGTTCTGGGCGTTGCTCTCTTCATGCCTTTCTCCCCGCAGTTCTACAGCACCAAGGGCTCCTCTTTTCCCTCCAGCTGCTCACTTCCCACCAGTCTTTCCTCCCCTGCCCCTTAACCAACCTATTGGTGCCATGTGTCCTCTCTGCCACATTCATGGCTGGTAAAAATATTTCTTTTTCCCCAAATCTCCCTCGGACAACAGATCATACTCCTCCCTGCAGAGCCCCTTCAGATTCCATTCATCAGACCTGCTATTCAGGGAACAGAAATTCCTTTGGAAACTTCACACCTTTCTTTATGCCCTTCCGTGGGGAGAGTGTGGGTATAAGGACTGAGGAAACAAAGGGAGGCAGAAACCAACAGAGGTGGAAGGGGAGCTGTGGAAGGAGAGAAGGAGGGATGGTAAAGAGGATGTACAGCTTGTAAGGGAAAGGGCAATCACCAGGCAAGTAGATAGCCCCCCGCCAAAAAAGGCATGGGACTCACAACTCTGTTTCCGTGTGTAGAAACCATTTATATATACACAGCAGAACCAATCAAGCACTGCCACAGCCTCAAGACATTTTACTTATTTCCCTCTGAGCTACCCAACCAGTTGTGAAGTGAGTAGAAGAACATTACCGTCTTCACCCTCTCAGATCACGAAAATTGATACAAAGAGGTTACAGTTTGCCCACCCTCTCCCTCCCAAAGTGGCTGGAAAATGGGGAAAAGACAGGAGAGAAATGGAACCCAGGTTTGCCAAATTTAAGTCTCCTACAAAAGAGATGTGCAAGAAAAGCCGGCCGAAAGAAATAGAATAATGAGAGGCCAGGCAAAGAAAGAAGGAAAGTAAGCACTGGGACTGTGATAAGGGTGGAGGGAGATGGAAGCAGGAAGCGGGCAGAAAAAAGAGTTAAACCGTGACAGAAGAGAACCCTACCCAAGGACAAGCACAGGAGGTCAGCAGTGGACCACCGGCCTCCTCCCTCAGCCACAGGCTCACCTAACAAAGCTAAGCGACCAGACGGAAAACCGTCCTGTAAGAAAACACCCAAATCAGTAAGTCTCACCTCCATTCTTTTCAATATAGGCTTTAATTCAAAATGCACTCAAGGAGAGGGAAGGGAGGGACTAGGACACTGTTTAGAAGGGGTAATTACACTAAATACACTGACCTTCGCTGAAAAATAGAAGGGACAGGTGGCTACAGAAGCCAGCTCTTACCCCTTTTGCCGTCCCCACCCCATACCCCAAACCATCTTGGTTTCTTGACTCCTCTGGTCCAGTAAGAACCTACAAACGTGTTTGTTTGTTTTTGTTTTAACACTTGAGGTTGTGATTAAACAATCCCCAACTCGTCTTCATCTCTTTTTTCTGAAGTTGCTTTTATTAATTGAATTTTTAAAAATCTGGTTTCATCTCCACGTGCATTTTCCCATCGTTCTTCAGATTTAGGAGAAACCCACGGAGGCGCGGCGCTCTCCACAGCCGTCTCTAATGAAGGGAAGCGTGCCTCGAAGTCAGTCCCGGTGCGCCCCCTCCTCCCCCGGCGCCCCTTCCCAAACCCCGTCGGATCTCCAAAGGCTGGAATAGGCGGTGCGGCTGTAGCCCGCGCTGTAATCGTAGGACACCTGATGGGGCGGCGGCGGCGGGGGCAGGGCGCAGTCTGGAAAGAAGGGGGCGAAAGAGGCCAAATGGCCCCGCCCGTCCTCCCCGCCGGGAGAATCCGCAGCGGCGGGGTACAGGGGGCTCAAGGGCTCGTTCAAGGTCAAGCCGCCGCGGGGGGCAGTCAGGGGGCTCTTTTTGGTCGGGGAGCAGCCCGGGACGCTCCAGGGCTCGGGGTACAGTAGGTTTCCCACCACTGCCGGCGGCGGCTCAAAGAGGCCGGGCTCCAGCTCCGGGGGTCCCCGCAGTACGGAGGCTCCGGCGGGGAACACGTCGAGAGGCTCGGCGGCAAGCAAGACTGCCGCCTCCGTGCCGGCGCCGTAGTCGGGCCCCAGCAGCTCAAAGAACTCCACGGCCTCCGCGCCCTTCTCCAGGTCGCCCAAGCTCACGTCCGGCCCCGACGGGCCACACCCGCCGCCGCCTGCCCGGGACGGCTCCGTGAAGAAGGACGGAGGCAGATTGCGTGCCCGCAGCGGGACCTTCCTGGCCCCTGGGATCGCCGTGGCCCCCGCGGGGCCTGCCACGTCCCCTCCCGCGCCCCCAGTGCCCGCACCTCCTAGCCCGGCCGCCGGCGCAGCCACCTCACCCCCCGCCGGCTCGGCACCCCCGGGGACGTGGCGCAGCGAGTCGAAGAGCGCGGCCAGACTTCGGCTTTGCAAGCTGGCGGCCGCGGCGGCCTGCGACGCCTCCCGCCGGGGGGCAGCCTTGCCGTGGGCCGGGGCCGCGACTGTCGGGGCGCTAGGGGCGGCCAGCGGCCGTTTGGCTGGCGTGTCGGCGGCGCTCGGGGAGGGCGGGCCGGGGGGCGCGGCGCCCATGAGGCCGCTGCAGCGCTTGATCTGCTTCTGCAGGTACTTGCGGTGGTTCACCTTCCGCTTCGACTTGCCCGGCTTGTCCAGCGCCAGCTTGATGTTGCTGGACGCCGAGTCAATGAAGCTGAGTAGATCGCGGGTGGCCTCGCGCACGTCCCCTCCTTCGGCTCCCGACAGCAGCGCACCCGCCGGAGCCCCGGTCTCATCGTCCTCGAAACAGCAGCCCTTGTCCAGGGCTCCGAAGGCGCCCCCTAGCCCGTCCGGGGAGCCCCCGAAGCCGAAGGGCACGAAAGGGTGCGTGCTGAGGAGCGCCGCCTGCACCGCCATCGCCGCGGCTCCCGGGCTGTCCGCAGCGCTGCCCGTGCGCCCCCGCCAGCTCCTGCCCGCCGCCCAGACCCAGCTCCCGCCCCGGCGCGGCGCGCGCGGCGCAGCCTACTAGTTCCGGGCCTGGCTCGCTGCGCTGCCTCCCGGGGGAGCTCATTAGGTCTTGTAAGCAAGGGGCGGAGGGAGGGAGCGCGCGGCGACCGTCCCGGTGGTAGAGGGGAGGGGCTTACTTAGCCTGGCTTGGAGGAGTGGGGGGTCGCTTTAGTTTTCTGAGCTTTCTGAAGCTCAACGCCTTAACTCCTTCGTTTCCCTTTGCCCCGTGGTGTTTCTCTTGACTCCTCTAACCGCAAGGGGTGAGGAAGAGATGGCTGGTCTCAAACTCCAGTTCAGGCCCATGAGGCCGCTGCAGCGCTTGATAGGCTTCTGCAGGTACTTGCGGTGGTGCCTCTCCTGAGGCAAGAAGGCAGGAGTCTAGAGACGTGGGTTTCAGTCCAGCTGTATAACAACACCCACCAGCTTCTGGGCGCTTGCTTCTGCCAGGCGCTGTCCATCTATTATCTCATTTAATCCTTGAACAACAGCCCTGTGAATTACATGTTATCGCCATTCAACAAACGTGGACACTGCACCTCAGGGAGGTTCAGTGAGTTGGCCAAAGTCAGATCTAGCCCATTCTGACTCCAAAGCCATTCCTAAGCCCTTGACAATACTTGCGTCCTCTCTTGCCCTTGCCTTTCTCATCTATTAAGATGGGGAAGGAAAATGAGTATTTCTTAAAGCTCTAGACCTGATCCTAAGATTCTAACCTGAGTTTTCCCAGGATTCTCAAGCCCAGTGCTCTTTCTTCTTGACTGTTTGCCACTTGATTGTTACGAGTAACAATTGGCTAACAGTAAATTGAGGCCAGCAGTGGCCCATCTTTTATTAACACATAGCAGGAGGCAATGGAGAAAGGAGTCGATCTGGCTAAGCCCCCTGTTACTTGAGAACACTGTGTGTGTATAAAACTCTCAGCATGTTAGAATAAAAGATGGATTGGAACCTCTCCCCTACCTGTCATACCATTTAGGTTATCCCTGGAATTTTCATTGCATTTCAGGGATCATCATGAAGTTCACTTAAAACTAATTTCACCTGGGCAATCCTCTTTGGGATAGATAGAGAAAATGAGCAATAAGGTCATTTTCACAAGAGATTCAGAAGAGGCTTGGGTTCTGGTCTTAGCCACCACTCAATAACCTCATGACTTAGGTTGAAATCCTTGCTCTGCTGAGTGCATGGCTTTAGACAAACCAGCGTACTCTCTCTGTTTAGCTTACTCATGTTAAATGCAGGTAAAGTTGCCCTCCCCACAGGGCACTTGTGATATTTAAATGATACATTGTTCCATAGCCTGGATGAGTATTCACCCTTACTTCTCTGAAACACAAAAAGGTGACTATATCCCTTACGTGTCTTCTGGATCATAGGGTGTTCATGAGCATTAAGTGAGATCATAGATGCTTCTCAATTTGTGATAGAGCAACAACATCCTGATAAACACATTGTAAGTTGAAAATATTGTAGGTTAAAATGCATGTAATACACTGATTCAAGTTGGAAAATCATAAAGTTGAACCATCATAAGTTGGGGACTGTCTCTATATGAAAACACTGTGTGTGTGATAAAGTGTTCTCTAAATAAGTTACTCTAGTTTCGATACAGAGCTTGCATAGGAGAGACATAGACCATCTCTTTCAAAACTCTTTTTATTAAGCCTCACTTTGTAGATGTAGCGAAACCATTTTTGAACACCATGAAGGCACAGCCTTACCAAAGAAAAAAGGCCAGATGGGCCATCAGAGAAATACAAATCAAAACCGCAATGAGATACCATCTCACACCAGTTAGAATGACGATCATTAAAAAGTCAGGAAACAACAGGTGCTGGAGAGCATGTGGAGAAATAGGAACACTTTTATACTGTTGGTGGGACTGTAAACTAGTTCAACCATTGTGGAAGACAGTGTGGCGATTCCTCAAGGATCTAGAACTAGAAATACCATTTGAACCAGCCATCCCATTACTGGGTATATACCCAAAGTATTATAAATCTTGCTGCTATAAAGACACGTGCACACGTATGTTTATTGTGGCACATAGCAAAGACTATTATTCACATAGCAAAGACTTGGGACCAACCCAAATGTCTATCAGTGATACACTGGATTAAGAAAATGTGGCACATATACACCATAGAATACTATGCAGCCATAAAAAAGGATGACTTCATGTCTTTTGTAGGGACATGGATGAAGCTGGAAACCATCATTCTGAGCAAACTATCGCAAGGACAGAAAACCAAACACTGCACAGGTGGGAAATGAACAATGAGAACACTTGGACACAGGGTGGGGAACATCACACACCGGGGCCTGTCGTGGGGTGGGGGGATGGGGGAGGGATAGCGTCAGGAGATATACCTAATGTAAATGACAAGTTAATGGGTGCAGCACACCAACATGGCACATGTATACATACGTAACAAACCTGCACATTGTGCACATGTACCCTAGAACTTAAAGTATAATAAAAAAGAAAGAAAGAAAAAAGGCCAGATGAACATTTTTCATTTAGAAGATGAAGTAGCCACTTCCCAAACCCACATAGCTGAGCCAAACTTTTTATTTTAAATTCAAATTGGCTCAATTATCATGGACTTTTCATTTGAGTTACACACAGCATTTTGTCCTCCATGGCCGAACTGTCTGTTTTACTCTTGGTGGTATTCACATTCAGAAAATTGTGCAGACCTGTCACTGATTTGTGCTTCTTCCACTCCAGATGTGGATGTCAGCACTGCCCATCCCCTTTCCAACAGGGCCATTCCATAGGCTTCCAGGTCTGGCAGCCAAAAGCACTAACTTTTTTTTTTTTTCACCTTCTGTCAACTGAGCACTCTTACAAGTCCTTGGACACCAATTGCACAGTACTCTACATTTAATCGACATCTTATTCCGAAAAAACTCTTAATCCCCAGGGTTATCTAAATCCTAAAATCATATTCAAAATAAATGGAATATGAAAAGCTTCATATGTAAAAGTCTTTCTTCATTTCTATTGGAGTTCTGCACATCAAAGTTGATTTGAAGTTAGATGAGGCCAGGTTCAAATTCTGGCCCTGCCTATTGCTATTGAACTGCTTGGACAAGTCAGTTCATATTCCAAAGGCTCAAACTCCTTATCTGAAAAAAGGGAATGGTCATAATTGTTCTCAGGGTGAGAATTACATGACATAACAGGCAAGTAATGCCTCTGAATCTTACTTTTCTCACCTGCACAGTGGAGATAATCTCAACTCCTCAAGGTTGTTGTGAGATGGTATATATAAAAGCACCTCACACAAAATAGCAGTTCAACAAATGTCCATGTTCTTGATTCCTTAGGCCCCACCCATTCCTTACCAACACATTACCCTATGAAACCAGCATCATTTGTCCTTTCCCTCAGCAAAGTGAGTGACTATTTTCAAATGCAAGAGAGTAGCTATACTTGGGGGTTGTAGAAACTTACAAAAAGACAATGAAATACAGGAGAGAGAGTGCTAAAACTGGAGCCGGAGACTGACACTGGAGTCCAGTCCTGCCTTTATTATCTGACTGCCTATGGAAAAGTCACTTAACCTTCAGGACCTCGATGTTCCCATCCATAAATGGGGAATAATAACATAATCCTATTTGATAGGGCTATTGTGAAAATCAATAAGATAATGGAAATTGAAGTTTTTGTAAACCATGGAGCTGAAATTCATGGCTTAGAAGTTCTATAGCCTGATTCACAAAATTGATCCTTACAAATAAATATCCATCCAGTCACTGATTTTTTCCAACAGAAAGATATTGACACCCACAATGTGCTCAGCGCTATGCTAGTACTGGGGATACAGAGATAAGAAGCCATGATTTCTACCCTTTGGGTGGAAAGACAAATATGCAAACAAGCCATTGTAATATAATGTGATACATGTCCAATGGAAGTAAAAGGACCCTCAAGTCTGCCCACAGGAGTTGGAGAAGGCTGCATAGACATGCAGCATTTGAGCTAAGACTTAAATGATATATCTGACTGTGTAAAGCAAACACACAATATCTGTGGCAGAGAGAACAGCCTGGGCAGAGGCATGGCTAAATGAAAGCAGTGGTGTTTATGGGAAAATGTAGGCAATAGGGCAACAAAGAACAGCTTCTGCTTGAAGTAATTCTATACCTGAGACCAAAATAAATCCTTAGAGCTTCCACTGTCCAACTAAATTGTACATATAGACCCAGCCTCAAGGCCTTGGCTGCTTTTTCCCTTGATCTCCTTTCCTTTGAGGAAGAGCTCTATCTGGAATGAAATTGGTTTCAGTAAAGTTAGTAGCCAGCTCTAGCCAAGCCCATCAGTCCCTCCTCCTACTCCCTGAGTGAGCACATTCATTTGAGTGGCTTTGACATCAATACATTTCACTTCCTATGGAGCAGAGGGACCCGGCTCCAGCCTGCAGTAGGGGCTCTCTGCAGAACTCCAAACTAGAGCTCTTTCACCCCAGTGACGCTTAATGCTGTGCAAGTGGGATTAGTCTCCTTGGGAACCAAGTCCCCCAGGGGCTCAAGGGCTGAACTCGCCCCAAACCGTTTGGGAGAATTGAGATTTCATATTGTTCTTTTACACTTGGATTTCAGGACATTACTTAGACAAAAGCCCACCTGAGAGCTGCCTCCTTTCTTGTGGGTAAATATAGCAGCAGGATCAAAAGCTGACTTATTTATTTTGTTTTCGTCTTTTGTAACTTTAATCATATTCCCTGCAGGACAATCTTAGCCCTCAGAGATGTCAGGAATGTACATTCATAATGAAAGAAATAATTATGCATCTGTTTTTCTCTCCCTTCCCAAACCAATTTCCTGTCATTCATTATTTTTTAAATCTCGAATAAAGCAAATTAATTCCTGAATTTTACCACATGACTTATAAAGTATCATTATCATCATCACAATAGAGTGTTACCTTACAAATTGTGCACCCTCACAAATGTCTCTTGTTTTCTTTCTTATCGTTTTCCCCTGCAAACCAGATTCTACTAACACTAGATTTTAATTTATGTCTTAAAATATTAGATGTTATTCTGGTTATCTATAGTTATATAACAAATTACTCCAAAACTTAGTGGCTTAAATCAACAACCATTTTATTACATCTCACAATAATATGGGTAAGAAATTTGAGGAAGAGCTGGCTAGGTGATCCTCCTGGTTCATGTGACGTTGACAATGGCTGGCCTGGAGGATTCAACATGGCATCATTCACATGACTGCACCTGCACCTACACATACTGGCCTCTCCAGTATGTTGGTCTAAGAGTACTCAGACTTCTTATGTGGAGCTTCAGGAATACTGGAGGCAGCGCTGCAAGAGGCCCATGTGGCACCTGCCAGGCTTCTTATGACCTAGCCCAAGAATTCCCAGAATGTCACTTTCACAACTTCCTATCGGTCAGGCAAGTCATTAAGGCCAGCTCAGATTCAAAGGAAGGGAAATTAGAATTTACCCCTTAATGGAAGAAAAGACAAAGAATTTGTTTGGTATGTCTCTTAAATCTCTTTTAATATATAACCACATACACTTACTGTTTTGTTTTCTTTGTGATTTGTTTGTTGAAGAAACTGCATCTTTATCTTGTCAACTTTCCCACATTCTGTACTTGGTTGGTTGCATCTGTCTCTACGATGCCACCTAACATGTTTCTATGGTCCATGTGTTTCCTGTAAATGAGAAATAGTTGTAGAGGCTTGATCAGATTCATATTCTTTTTTATGCTGTTTTATATATGTGCTACAATATGTGCAATAGTTTTGGAATAACAATGCCAATATTCTTACAAACAACACAACTACTACAAACAGTTTAATTCCTTTTTCTTTGTCATTCACATTTTTTGTCTTCAAAACCTATCCCAATAGGGATGAACAGTCCAGTTACTATGTTTCAAATTCACTTTAAAAACCTGTCTCTGGTTGGCCAGGCATGGTGGCTCACGCCTGTAATCCCAGCACTTTGGGAGGCCGAGGGGGGTAGATCATGAGGTCAGGAGTTCGAGACCTGCCTGGCCAACATAGTGAAACCCTGTCTCTACTAAAAATACAAAAAATTAGCTGGGAGTGGCGGCGCACGCCTATAGTCCCAGCTACTTGGGAGGCTGAGGCAGGAGAATCGCTTGAACTCGGGAGGCAGAGGCTGCAGTGAGCCGAGATCGTGCCACTGCACTCCAGCCTGGGCAGCAGAGCAAGACTCCATCAAAAAATAAAAAACAAAACTATCTCTTGTTATGCCACCCCCTCAATGCACAATCAGATTCACTTGTTTTACTTTGCTTTGTATGAAAATAGCTTTATAAATCTTTAATTTTGTTTTATAATTTTTCTACAGTTTACATGGTTTCAAAGTCAAAACTGTGTCACAAGATATATTCAGGAAGGGCTAACCTCTATCATAGTTACCTCCACAATTTTCTCCTCACCTCCTAGAGTTAATCATTGTTGTTTTGTTTTGTTTGGGTTCAGGCCTATAATTCATTAACTCAGTCATATTTTCATTATACAAACTTTCCTCTAACTTGTTCTTTTCACTTAACGATATATCTTCCTTCCTTTTTTTTTTTTTACAGTGTGTAGTATTCCATTGAATGGATCTACTATAGTTTATTCAACTAGTCCTGTTTTGATTAACTTACTTGGAGGTTTTACAGACCTTTTATATTATAGATAGTGCTACAATGAATAATTTCAATGTAAAATCAAGATTTACTAACTCCTAGTCTGTTGCTCCTTTTATACTATTGGTGTAGTTCTGAAAATAAGGCATATACTAATTTATATTTTATTTGTCCTTTCATTTACTTAATAAACATTTATTAAGTACAGATTATGTGTCAGGAAGTGGTAATAATTTTGGGGGAACACAGAGATGCATAAAGTCAGTTCCTATCCTCAAGAAATTCATAATCTTACAGACAATGCAGACTCATCTTCAATAGAATGCAAAGCCTTAAAAAATAAGGTGTGAATGAATCATTGTGGGTTCAACAGAAAGAGAAATTCACTCAGATCAAGGAAATTGGGAAGGAGACATGGATAATGTGACATTTGAATTCAACTCTCAGGAAGAGAAGAATTTCCCAAAGTATATAACATAAATAAGACATATAGGCCACATGGAGGCTTAGAAATGATATATGTCCTTAGGATTTTTAAAAATTTCTTACAAAGAGAATCATTTCATATATTACTTATTTATATCTATCACATGTTTAGTCAAAAATGTTAATTTTTCAAAGAATATGGATGGCATTTTCAGTAATTAATAAGTACTTCTGTGTTTGTGTTTGTGTTTATGTTTATAGGAAAATAGTGGGAGACAATGCTAACTGGGCTAGAACTATTAAAGATACTGAATGCCAAGCCACAAATGTATAATCAACATTAAACTCTAAAGTATGTCTCTGCCTTTCTGTATCTCTTGAGAGATATTGGGTTTGGTTTATGCCAAAGGAAAATAAGATCTGGAGAGAAAATATCTGGGTTTAAGTTTCAGATCTACTGTTTAAAGTGAATCTTATTTATTTATTTATTTTATTCTGCTTTATTTCAGAAGGAATTTTAGGCCACTTATAAGGGTACATAAAATGCAATAAGATAACACAAATTAAAAGCAGGATGACAACCTAATGCTCAAATATTGTTTCCTAATACCATTCTCCAATAAAAAAGAGCTAGAGCTCCTAGGATAACTGGTTGATTCTGGACTGGGGCAGGGAATATACAAGATGATCCTGAAACATCTAATAGTTCAAGGAAGCAAGGAAGTGCTCAAATCAGAAAACAATGAGGGTATGTCAAAGTGATACAGGAGCCAACTAAAAGAACTCCTTAATGACCGAAACTAGGACAATTTGAGCCACAGAATAAATAATGGGCTACAGAATTATAAGCCAAAGATAAAATAAATAAATGTGTCCATACTAATACAGACAAATGATGGAATAAATACATGAGAGAAAATAGAACATCTCCCATGCAAAAAAATTTCAAGTAACTTAGATACTCTGCTCTTAAGAGGGTGAATCATACCTCCCCACTCCTTAAATGTGATCTGTGCATGATGACTTCCTTCCAAAGAGTACATTATAAAATGAGAGAAAAGAATGACTTTGCAGTAGAGAAATCTGAGAAGCACCATTCAGCCAGGTGATCAAGATTAATAGCAATAGCGATGTTATGTTGATAATATCCTTAATAGTATATGATGAAAGTGAAATTTTATTTCTCTGGCCTTTCCGAAAACCTATTACTCCCATCTAATCATAAGAACATCAGACAAATTCCAATGGAGAGGCATTCTACAAAATACCTGACCAATCCTCCTCAACACTACTAAGGTCATCAAAAACATGGAAAGTCTGAGAAACTCTCACAGCCAAGAGGAGCCTAAGACATGATGACTAAATGTAATGTGGTATCCTGAACGGGATCCTGGAGCAGAAAAAGGATGTTAGGTGAGACTAAGAAAATCCGAATGAAGTATTAAGTTGGTGCAAAAGAGATGTTCAACATTAACCTTGTAGGAATTCCAGAAAAAAAGAACAAAGTGGAGGCGAAAAACATTGTCAAAAAAATAAAGCACGGAAATTTTGTAGAACTGAAGAAAATGCATTTCCAAATTAAAAGAACCCACTGAATGCCTAGCAAACTTAATGAAAAAAAGACACCAAAGCACATTATTATAAATGTTTAGAACATCAAGGAATGAGGATAAGACCTGAAAGATTCCAGAGAGAAATAAACATCATGTACAAAAAATAAAAACAAACTAGAAAAGAATCAGAATAATACCATACCTCTCATTAACAGCACTG
Source organism: Homo sapiens (assembly GCF_000001405.40). Classification (NCBI taxonomy): domain Eukaryota; kingdom Metazoa; phylum Chordata; class Mammalia; order Primates; family Hominidae; genus Homo; species Homo sapiens. The sequence continues at coordinate 82,742,657 of NC_000011.10, forward strand.
GAACTTGGAAAACAATGAGGCAATCCCCTTAAAAATCTGAGAGAAAATTATTTCTTACTTAGAATTCTGTAGTAAACCCAATGCTCAATCAAACATGAGGATAGAATAACATTTTTGTTTGCTTGTTTATTGTTTGTTTGTTTTGAGACAGGGTCGCACTTTGTCATCCAGGCTAGAGTGCAGTGGTTGCAAACGCAATTCAGAGACTCTACTTCCTGGGCTTAATGGATCCTCCTACCTTAGCACCCCCAAGTAGCTGGGACTACAGGTGCATGCCACAATGTCTGGCTAATTTTTGTGATTTTTGTAAAGACGGGGTTTTGCTATGTTGCAGAAGCTGGTCTCGAACTCCTGAGCTCAAGTCATCCATCTGGCTCGGCCTCCCAAAGTGCTGGGATTATAGGCATAAGCCATCGCACCTGGCCCAGAATAACATTTTAAGACATGCAATATATTATGAAATTTCCTCTCAGGAAACTTTTCTCAGGGAGCCATTGAATAACGTGCTCCATGAAGAAAATAGAAGAAAAGGGTATCCAGGAAACAGGAGATCTATTGTGGAAAAGAAGCAAAGAGAATTCCCCAGACAATGATAAAGAGAAACATCAGGACAATAGCCATATGGCAAGTCTAGTGACAATCACTCCAAATTGGAACAGGAGAATGTAGTGCTTGAGGAAGGGTGACTCCAAGAAAAATAAATGGAAGTGACATATTTCCTTATGTATTTGATCATAATGATAGGAAGTGGTATATACTCTTGTTGCTTACCCACAACTATCCCATTTTTATTCTTACACAACAGAGTCCATCTCCTTCAGTGGAGGCTAAAAATGTTGGGCAATTGTACTTTCCTTTTAGCAAGACCATGGACATGAGATCCAATCTTGATCAATGGGACATTAAGTCTATCTTAGAATTTTAGGAAAGTCTCTCCTTACCTATATATAAGAAAAAAGAAATAAAGGGAGAGAAAAGGAAGAGGGACGAAGAAGTGTTCCTCTTCCTGCCTTTGGTGTATGGAAGTGATACTTGGAGCTATAATAGTCATCTTATGATCATGAGAGGTTAAGCCTGGAAACAAAAAATCAACATGCTGTGGCTGGCAAAACAGAAATGTGAAAAGCACCTGTATTCATAATGACATTGTAATTGTCACTGAAGTAACCAACCACAAAAAGCCCTAGCTACAGACTTCTTTATCAGTGAGGAAATCTTCTTTAAAAGCTATTTTGTTTAGGTTGGACCTGATGCTACCTGCAATGAAAAGCATTCTAAATTCCATAAGAAGATGCTATCCTTCTATTAAATTGTTTAGGGAAGAATTAATGAAATGTATATGGAAAACTAAGTACCCCCCAAAGAAAATTATTTATTTCAGGCAAAACAAAAAACTGTACAAAAAAATTCAGTAAAATATAGATGAACTGTGGAAAGCGTGTACAGAATAATAAAATAATCATTAAATCAACATCAATTTGATGACTGTTGAGTGTATAATCAACAAGATGCCTTGTTTGATCCAAATATCCAGAACTGTCTAACAGAACCACAAAACATTTGCTCTCATTTCCAATAACCTATAATTGAGAGTTAGGACTTCTAAGTTAATATAAATAGAGAGTGCAGAGAATAAGAAAAATTGCTCAGTTATGGAGTCTGCTTCTGAAGCATTCTGTTTTGATATGGATACACACATGGCAAGAGACTGCATATGATTTCATTACTCTGAGTGAGATAAAATTTTTAATTACTTTTTTAAAGCTGTTTTTTCTTGCTAAATTCTGATTCTTTTTTTTTTATTTTATTTCACTTTCCTAAAACTAGAGGTCTATATTAATGGATATGGGATTTCTTTTAGGGTTGATAAAAAATGTTCCAGAATTAGTGGTAATGGTTGTACAACTTCATGAATATAATTTAAAAAAAAAACACTGAATTGCACACTTGAAAAACAGTGAATTTTATGGCATGTGAATTACATCTTTTTTAAAAAATGGTGGTCCATATGTATGCTGAGTTTCCACTAAGAGGTTCCCATACAAGCCTGGGCAACTTAGCAAGATCTAGTTTCTGCTAAAAAAGAAAGAAAAAATAGCCTGGCATGGTGGTGCACACCTGCAGTCCCAACTACTTGGGAGGCTGAGCCGGGAGGATGGCTTGAAGCTGGAGGATCGAGGCTGAAGTGAGCTATGATCGCACCACTGCACTCCAGCCTGGGTGACAGAGCGAGACCTTGTCTAAAAAAAAAAAAGACTCCCACATGTAAAACTTTGACAAAGATGATCAGGGATGGACACTAGATCTCTAATGAGGTGGAAGTCAGGCAACCATTTGCACTTTTTCTTCCAGGCAATTTCATGGGCTGTGAAGAGTCCCTGGTTCATGTGGGCTGTTAAAGCTGTCCTACATAATGCTGAACAACCAATTCATTAACTCAACCAATGAAATTATCAATTTGCCATCTTAAAATCCTCTATTCACAGAGTGCAGCACTGTTCTGTTATTGCAATGGCCAAGAGAAGTTAGGCATTATCCCATTTTCAAGACCACAAAGTCCAGTCTGTAACTGAAAAAGTACAAGGGATTGTGGCAACACAGACAATAGAGGAGAATCTGGCTAAAAGATGAGAGAAAACTTCACACAGGCTTGAAGGCTGGAGAGGAAACTGCCATGGGGGAAAAAGGGGAAAGGGCATTTCAGGTGAAAATACAGCCAGGTCACAGAAGACACAGGGGTAGGAGACAGAATGCATTAGCAGAAGAGTGAGATGCTCCCCTAGAATATGGTTTGCATGGATGGAAGTGGCAGGAGAGGTGGCCAGGGTCAGATGAGAAAGGGCTTGAATGCCATACTAAAACTTTTTGGCATTCAGTATTACCGTGATACCAAAACCAGACAAAGACACATCAAAAAAAGAAAACTACAGGCCAATACTTCTGATAAATATTGATGAAAAATCCTCAATAAAATACTAACAAACTGAATTCAACAATACATTAAAAAGATCATTCATCATGACCAAGTGGGATTTATCCCTGGGATGCAAGGATGGTTCAACATATGCAAATCAATCATATTGATTGATACAGCATATCAATAGAATGAAGGGTAAAAACCATATGATCATTTCAATTCATGCTGAAAAAGCATTTGATAAAATTCAGCATCTCTTCATAATAAAAACCCTAAAACAACTGAGTATAGAAGGAACATACCTCAACATAATAAAAGCCATATATGACACACTCACAGCTAGTATCATACTGAATATGAAAATCTTTCCTCTAAGATCTGTAACATTACAAGGATGTCCACTTTCACCACTTTTATTCAACACAGTACTGGAAGTCCTGGCTACAGCAATCAGACAAGGGAGAGAAATAAAGGACATCCAAATAGGAAAGGAAGAGGTCAAATTATCCATGTTGCAGACTATATGATCTTCTATTTGGAAAAACCTGAAGACTCCACCGAAAAACTATTAGAACTCATAAACGAATTCAGTAAAGTTGCAGGATACAAAATTAACATACAAAAATCTGTAGCATTTCCATATGCCAACAGTGAAAAATGTGAAAAACAAATTTAAAAATGTAATCCTTATAAGACATGGAATCAACCTAAATGCCCACCAATGATAGACTGGATAAAGAACATGTGGTACATATACACCATGGAGTACTATGCAGCAGTAAAAAAAAAAAAAAGAGAAAGACCATGTCCTTTGCAGGGACATGGAAGGAGCTGGAGCCATTATCCTTGGCAAACTAACACAGGAACAGAAAACCAAATACAGCATGTCCTCACTTATAAGTGGGAGCTGAATGATGAGAACACACAGACACATAGAGGGGAACAACACAACTGGGGCCTGTTGGAGGGTAGAAGTGGGGAGGAGGGAGAGAATCAGGAAAATAACTAATGGGTACTAGGCTTAACACATGGGTGATGACATAATCTGTACAACAAACCCCTATGACACAAGTTTACCTATGTAACAAACCAGCACATCCTGCACATGTACCCCTGAACTTAAAATGAAAGTTAAAAAAATTATAAACACTTGCAAAACACACACACACACACACACACAAAAGTAATCCCGCTTACTGTAGCCACAAATAAAATTGAATACCTAGGAATTAACCAAAGCATTGAAAGATAACTATAATAAAAACTATAAAACACTAATGAAAGTAATTGAAGAGGACATCACAAAATGCAAAGATATTCCCTGTTCACGGATTGAAAGAATCAATAGTGTTAAAATGTCCATACTACCCAAAACAATCTACAGATTCAATGCAATCCCTATCAAAATAATAATTACACTCTTCACAGAAATAGAAAAAAATTATCCTAAAATTCATATGAAGTCACAGAAGAGTGATTCCAAAGCTATCCTAAGCAAAAAGAACAAATCTGGAGAAATCACAATACCTGACTCCACATGATACTACAGAGCTATGGTAATCAAAAGCACATGGCACTGGTATAAAAACAGACACACAGACCAATGGAACAGAATAGAGAACTCAGAAACAAATCCACACATCTACAGTGAACTCATTTTTGACAAACATTCCAAGAATATACAATGTTGAAGAGACAGTCTTTTCAATAAGTTGTGCTGGGAAAACTGGATATCCACATACAGAAGAATGAAACTAGACCCCTATCTCTTGCCACATATAAAAATCAAATTAAAATGGATTAAGGACTTAAATTTTTTTTCATTTTTCTTTTTCTTTTTTTTTTTTTTTTTTGAGACAGAGTTTCTCTTGCTCTGTCACCCAGGCTGGAGTGCAGTGGCACAATCTCAGGTCACTGCAACCTCCATCTCCCAGGTTCAAGCAATTCTTGTGTCTCAGCCTCCCACGTAGCCGGGATTACAGGCATGTGCCATCACGCCTGGCTAATTTTTGTATTACTAGTAGAGGCGGGGTTTCACTGAGTTGGCCAGGCTGGCCTCGAGCTTCTGACCTCAAGTGACCCACCCTCCTTAGCCTCCCAAAGTTCTGGTATTACAGGTATGAGCCACTACGCCCGGCCTAAAGACTTACATCTAAGACCTCAAACTATGAAACTACTACAGTGAAACATTGGGGGAAATCTCCAGGACATTGGTCTGGGCAAAAATTTCTTGAGTAATAACCCACAAGCACATGCAATCACAGCAAAACTAGACAAACGGGTTCACATTAAGTTAAAAAACTTCTGCACAACAAAGAAAACAATTTACAAAGTGAAGAGACAACCCACAGAATGGGAGAAAACATTTGCAAACTGCCCATCAGACAAGGGACTTATAACCAAAATATATAAGGCGCTCCAACAACTCTATAGAAAAAAATGTAATAATCTGATCAAAAAATGGGCAAAATATTTGAATAGACATTTCTCAAAAGAAGACATACAAATGGCAAACTGGCATCTGAAAAGGTGCTCAACATCATTGACCATCAGATAAATGCATATCAAAACTACAGTAAGATATCATTTTACCCTAGTTAAAATGGCTTTTATCCAAAAGACAGGCAATAACAAATGCTGGTGAGAATAAGAAGAAAAGGGAACCCTTGTACACTGTTGGTGGGAGTGTAAATTAGCACAACTACTATGGACAACAGTTTGGAGGTTCCTCAAAAAACTGAAAATTGAGCTACAATACGATCCAGCAATCCCATTGCTGAGTATATGCCCAAAAGAAAGGAAGTCAGTATATCGAAGTGATATCGGCACTCCTATGTTTGTTGCAGCACTGTTCACAATAGCTAATATTCGGAAACAACTTGAGTGTCCATCAACTGATGAATGGATAAACAAAATATGGTACATATACACAATGGAGTCCTATTCAGCCATAAAAAAGAATGAGATCCTGTCATTTGCAACAACATGGATGGAAGTGGAGATTATGATGTTAACTAAAATAAGTCAGGCCCAGAAAGACAAACATCACATGTTCTCACTTATTTGTGGGACCTAAAAATCACAGCAATTGAACTCAGGGAGATGGAATGAAAGGATGGTTACCAGAGGCTGGGAAGGGTAGTGGTGGGGTGGGGGAAATGTTTAATGGGCACAAAAAAAATAGCCAGAAAGAATGGTAAGACCTACTATTTGACAGCACAACAGGGTGACTATAGTCAGTAATAATTTAATTGTACATTTTAAAATAACAAAAAGAGTGTAATTGGATTGTTTTTAACACAAAGGATAAATGCTTGAGGGGATGGATACCCCATTCTCCATGATGTGATTATTACTCACTGCATGCCTGTATCAAAACATCTCATGTACTCCATAAATATATGCTGAGACCAGCTCGGTCGAGGAGACTCTAACCCAGTAGCGCTAGAGGAATTAAAGACACACACACACACAGAAATATAGAGATGTGGAGTGGCAAATCAGGGGTCTCAGCCTTCAGAGCCGAGAGTCTCGAACAGAGATTTACTCAAGTATTTATTAACAGCAAGTCAGTGATAAGCATTGTTTCTATAGATTATAGATTAACTAAAAGTATTCCTTATGGGAAACAAAGGGATCTGCCGAAATAAAGAGATGGTTATCTGCAGCAGGAGCGTGTCCTTAAGGCACAGATCGCTCATGCTATTTTTTGTGGTTTAAGAACGCCTTTAAGCAGTTTTCCGCCCTGGGTGGGCCAGGTGTTCCTTGCCCTCATTCCGGTAAACCCACAACGTTCCAGCGTGAGCATCATGGCCATCATGTCACAGTGCTGCAGAGATTTTGTTCATGGCCAGTTTTGGGGCCAGTTTATGGCCAGATTTTGGGGGGCCTATTCCCAACAAATATACACATCAACTATGTACCCACAACAAAATTAAAAATTAAAAAATAAATTTGGCATTATTATATAAACAATGGGGGAATGATGAAGGATTTTAAGCACATGGTCATTTCTTTTTTCTTTTCTTTTCTTTTTTTTTTTTTTTTTTTGAAACTGAGTTTCACTCCTGTTGCCCAAGCTATAGTGCAATAGCGCGATCTCAGCTCATTGCAACCTCCGCCTCTGGGGTCCAAGCCATTCTTCTGCCTCAGCCTCCTGAGTAGCTGGGATTACAGGTGCACACCACCATGCCCAGCTAATTTTTTGTATTTTTAGTAGAAACAGGGTTTCACCATGTTAGCCAGGCTGGTCTCGAACTCCTGACCTCAGGTGATCTGCCCACCTCGGCCTCCCAAAGTGCTGGGATTACAGGCGTGAGCCACTGCACCTGGCCTGATCATTTCTTTATTTTAGAAAGAGCATTCTATGTGGTAGATACATGGAATGGAAGAGTATTCAGTAGTAAAAAGGTACAAACTACAGATGCAAGAACATGGACAAATCTTGAAAACATAATGTTGGCCCAAATAAGCCAGATATAAAAGAGTACGTACTGCATGATCCCATTTATATGAGATTTTGAACCGGAAAACTAAATTATGATGCTGGAAATCAGAATCATGGTTGCCTACAGGGGCTGGAATTGACTGAAAGTGGGCACAGGGAGCTTTCTGTAGTGATGGAAATATCATATATCTTGACTGGGCTGTGGGGGCGTGAGCATTTGTCAAAACTCATGGAACTGTACACTTAGGATATATCATGTCTATGTCAGTAAATGCTACATAAGTAAAAGAAAAAGAAATCTCAGTTGGGGTCTGTACAGAGGGTGGATTGACAAGACAGTAAGGCCGAAGATTAACCTGTTTTTCAGTTGTTTTTTTCCCCCTCTTCTGTTAGAATATATTCAGTGCCTGCCCCATTACGTGACCAGTCTGCTGCAGGCCCAAGCACATAAGACCAAGACAGAGCTGAGGGATTCTATTTCCAAATAATGATTATGCCCCCTCCTTTTCCTGAAATGAGGAAAATTACAGAAGTCTGTCTACATGGAATCTCTTTTTCCAGACTTCATTAAAATACCTGATAGCTGACCCCTCTAAGAAACACTAGACTCAAGTTGAATGAATATGTGAATCATCAGTCCATACAGCATAAGGCTTGCACAGAGGTTTGCACCAAAATGTGACAAGTATGGACACCAGAAAAACCCAGGGCCTTAGTGAAGCTGGGTAACTTGAGCAGCCCAATATCCGGTGCACCAGACAGAAATGCTTAAAGACCTAGATCCTATTATATGAGGTTGAATTCATTCAATTAAACAGCTTAAGCAGCTCGGATCAGCCGCTGGAACACTACTCTGCGGAGTGCTAAAACAATGGCCTGAGGGGCAGCTGAAGTTTACTTTCTCTTCTGTGAGGCCAGCTGGAGTTGCCTAGCACATCGCCAAGCTAGGGAGGGCCAACACCGCATAATTGCATTAAACCTGCCTGTTCTTTCCGGAAAGTACTTCCTGACCGCATCAAGGGAGGAAATCAGTCAAAGGAGTGCTTTCAAGTCTTAGGATACCACACCTATGTTTCAATCCCCCTACTCCAGTTCCTCAAAACCGCTATTATGCAAAGAGAATCTGAAATTAGACTCCCCTGCCTATGGCTAATTTTACTATATTACACTTGATCTTTCCTCAGTGTTATTAAATTGACTTTTGTTGGGTGCAGCATTTGAGACAGCAGAAAATATGTTCGATTATATTTCTATAAGACTGAATCGGGGAGTCATTGGTTCCACTGCACTTTCTGAAGATCCTATCCTGCTTTTAAAGCCCACATTGAATATTAACCTCTTTCAAAAAGCCCTCCCAAGTCCTCATTATCACCAGTTCAGGCTGTCACATCTCTCTTCCTCAAGTTCCTTGATATTTTACCTTTATTTCTTTTATAGCACTTCTTCATTCATCCATTTATTCACTTAAGCACTTATTGAGATCCCACCTTAAATTTGAAGCAGTGCTGAGCACTTGCATACATTATTTATTTAATCCTTACAATAATCCTTTCAAGTAGGAAATATCATCCCCATTTTACTGAAGAATCCTAAACTGTCAAGAGTTTAGGTAGCTTGCCAAAGGTCAAATGGCTTTAGCTGAAAAACCAAATCCCCTATTGCCAGGCCCAGTGTGCCTTGTATCAGCTATTTGTGTACTTGTCTATCTTCGTCACTTACTAAATATCTGTTGGGGGCTTACTATGTGCTAGGCACCATTCGAAGCAACAAGGATACACACATGATTGACTCCTGGTCCTAAGAAGATAGATATATTTCCAATGGTCTATTCATCATGTTATTTATTTATTCATTCAGCAGACATTTACTGAACACCTACTATATCCCAGTTACACTGTTTACTAAACATGGAGAATAGGCATACACATATTTTCTGCCCTCAAGATAGTGTTTTACAGAGGCACAAGCAAATTGTCACTGGAGCACACAAAAAGGAATAATTCATTGTGTATGAGAAATGTCAAGAAAGCTCCATAAGAAGATGCCATTACACTGGGCCTAAAAAGATAAGGAGAGTTTTTATAGACAGAAAAAAGAAAAAGGGCATCCTAAAAAGCATCCTCATGGACCAAAATATGGAGATTTAAAATTGCAGGGTAGCAACATAATATTGGGTGAGAATAACAAGGTTGAAAAACTGACACTATCTAACTTCAAGATTTAACATGGAGCTACAGTAACTAATACAGTGTGGTATTAGCTGAAAAAAAATAGACAAAGAGATCAATGGAACTGTATAGAGAGCTCAGAAATAGATCCATGCAAATATAGGCAACTGGTCTTTGACAAAGGAGCAAAAACAATACAATGGAGAAAGACAGTCTTTTCACTGAATGGTTCTGAAACACTTAGACATCCACATGCAGAAAAATGCATATAGACAGAGACCTTACATCATTTACAAAAAATAACTCAACAATGCATCATAGAACTAAATGCAAAACTATAAGACTCCTAGAAGACAGCACAGGAAAAAATCTGGATGACCTTGGTATGAAGATGACTTTTTAGATACAAAATTAAAGGCATGATCATAAGAAAAATAATTGGTAAGCTAGACTTAGTTAAAATTAAAAACTTTTGTTTTGTGAAAGACAATGTCAAAACAATGAGAAAACAAGCCGTAGCTTGTGAGTAAACGTTTGCAAAAGACACATCTGATAAAGGACTGTTATCCAAAATACACGAAAAACTTATAAAACTCACTACCTGAAAATGAACAATCCAAATGAGCAAAATACTTGAACAAACACCTCACCAAAGAAGTTATACAGATGGCAAATAAGCACATGAAAAGATCCTTGACATCATATGTTATCAGGGAAATAGAAATTAAAACAACAATGAGGTAGCACTTACCCATCTATTACAATGGCCAAAATCCAGAACACTGACCATGCCAAATGCTAACAAGAATGTGGAGCAACTGGAATTCATTCATGGCTGGTAGGAATGCAAAATATTACAGCCACTTTGGAAGACAGTTTGGAGGTCTCTTACAAAACTAAACACACTCTTACCATACAATGGAACAATTGGTCTCCTTGATATTCACCCCAAAAAAGTTGGAAATTTATTTCCAACAAAAAACCTGCACATGGATGTTTATAGCAACTTTAATTATAATTGCCAAAACTTGGAAGAAACCAAGATGTCCCTTAGTTGGTGAATTGATAAATAAACCACAGTACAACCAGACAATGGAATATTATTTATCACTAAAAATAAATGAGCTATCAAGCCATGAAAAGACATGAAGGAACCTTAAATGCATATTACTAAGTGAAAGAAAAGAATCTGAAAAGGTTGCATACTGTGTGATTCCAACTATATGACATTCTGGAAAAGGTAAAGCTATGGAAGTAGTAAAAACCTCAGTGTTTGTTAGGTATTGGAGGGCAGGGATGGATGAAAATGTGGAGCACAGAGGTTTTTTAGGGCAGTAAAAATACTCTGTATCGTAGCATAATGATGGATACATGTCATTAATTTGTCTAAACTTATAAAATGTACAACAGCAAGAGTGAACCCTAATAAACCATGGACTTTGGACAATTATGATGTATCAATGTAGGTTCATCAATTATAGCAAATGCACCACTCTGGTGGGGGATGTTGATAATGGGGGAGACTATGTATGTGTGGGGGCTGGGAATATATGAAAAATCTCTGAACTTTTTGTCTTAATTATGCTGTAAACCTAAAACTACTTTTAAAAAAATACATTCTTGAAAAATTTCAGGGTAGCTTAAATAGTACTATATGTTTGGAATGTGAGGTGAGAGGCAGGGAGTAGAGGGGGAGAACACTGGAAAGGGTGGCTTGAATGCTTGATGGAAAGGAGCTTAGACTTGATCTTATATGGTGAGCCATTGGAGATTTCCGAGCAGAGGAGTGTATTTATCTTTCTATTCCATGGTGTGTGGCACATTGCCTTGTTCTTGGTAGCACTTTTTAGCATTTGTCACTTTCCTGGCACAAGAGGGGACTCTGGCCCCCAACCTGAAGCCATCCTCTGTTTACACAGGAAAAAATAATTCCCCATCCTCTTGCATATACCAATTTTCTTGCCAGCCTCTCTGCCAAATCCTCCCAGGTCTGTGAGCAATTTTTCTCTTTTAACTGAGGCCAAATTGCTGCCTCCATGTTGTTGTCACTGCTACAGATCCTACTAATTTCTTTTTTGAGAACAGAAGACAAATAAGTGCTGGTCCAGTGGAAGAAGCATTAGCCTGGGAGGCTTAAGGAACCAGAGTCCTAATCCCCACTCCACAAGTACCTAGAGTGTAACTTTGGACTATATTCCATCTATAAAATGAAGAGATGATCTCTACCTTTCCTTCCAACTTTCTGAGTGTCTGATTTTAAGTACAGGGTCAACCCTCTTCAGCTAGGCCAGAGATGGATATATCTGCAAAGTTCTGCTTTACCATGTGACAGAATAATTCTTTGTGATTGTAATCTGTTTTTATTCTCCCTGTACTTTGCCTCACGTCTCCACATTCCACCTCCTCCTTACCCATTCTAGGAAGATTGCCAGGAACGGTAGATCTCTGCCTAAAGGGAGTTTTGTGCTGCTAAGTTAGAAGCAGAAGTTGCTGAAGGAATTTCTCTCTGCCAGTGTTCTTTGAAATCCTAAATGCACCGAAGATACTAGGCTACTTGTTCCACTGGGATGCAGAGAAAAGAACCTCTTAGTTAGGATGTCCATAAAATCGAGCTTCTGAACAAGGAAATTTTTGAATACAAGGTAACATCATTTAGAATTACCCTGGATGGTTCACGGCAAACTGTGTGATGTAGTCACCCTTCACCACCATCAAATTCAAGAAGAAATGTAACCTCACTTTCCACTCTCTTGTATGGACATCACTTATCCATCTTCACACTCTTTCCACTGAGCCCAGATGAGCCTAGAACCCCTCTCAACATAGTGCTCCTGACATTCACTACTCATCCATTGGTGTTGACCCTTGAGTTGTTATATTTTTATTACAGATATTCTTGTAATAAAAGCCAAATGTAGTGGATACCATGAAGCTCTGCGCAGATCCCACCTAAGGGCTGATTAACCCGTCCCCTAGCTGCTGAGCTGGCTGGCTACTAATGGCTTACAGCTGGCCCCCTCACCAAGCATTGAACCTCTGCTGAAGGAAACTGGATTAGCCAAATTCATACCCCTTCCCAGGCGCACCAGAGACCAATGACTGGCTGATGCAGGGATACAAAGGCAAAACCTCTCTTTCCTCAACTTGAGTCGGGCCCCAAAGGGCATTCCAGCTCCAGAGCTTCCCATGGGATTAGCTCAGGCTGATGACAAGTCAGTTTCTCTTTTCATCCAATCTTGACTTCCTCACTTCGTACATATGCATCCTTTAAGAGTCCTTCTCAATCAACCTTCTGCATACAACTCTCCGTTTCAAGCTCTGTTTCCAGGGAGCCCTGTCTAAGCAACCAAATCACCCCTATGCTATTAGCAAGAAGTAAACTCTGAGGTTGACTTCCTAATTTCTACCTTAATGATGTGGATCAACTGGCATACTTATTAAATTTAGTTGAAACTGGTTTAAAACTGCCCTGGAAAATGCGTATCCCTTCACTCTTTACGCTCAGAAAAGTGAAACTCCTCTCACTCTTTGGTCTCTAGTGGAAACGTTAGCTTAAAGAAACAGGGTTGCTACGTGGTCTCACAGCCATGTAGAGGAGACAGCAGACCTGAGTTTTACTTCTGCCTTTGCAACTAACCCTATGATGTACACAAATTACTTCTTTTCTTTAGATGGTCCAAATTTACATATAAAATATGGGGGTTACCAGAAAAATTATCCAAAACTTGGAATGGAGGCAGAAAGTTTAGTTCCACATTCTTTCAATGTTATACAGGAAAAAAGAACAGCCAAAGATTGTCTAGAGGAATGTATTTCATTCTTCTCACTACTTGCTATTAGATTTAGTACAATTATTTTTTACTTGGTAGAGTTTTTTCTGGTAGATATGCAAATAATTTCTGTCAATGGAACAGATGACCACGATGATATATATCTCAGTTCTTTGTAACTAATGAACTTTCCTAACATTTCATATATATATGTGTGTGTGTATATATATATATATATGTATATATATATATATATGTATATATATCTGACTTCTTAAATGTTCTTTGAACCAGTCCTAACATTTCAGTGGTTCTCTTACTAATTAATGAGTTAAACAATTTTTTACATGTGGTCCATATTATATTTGCTTAAGAGTCATGATTTCACCTTTTTGAAAACGTACTTCCACAGTCTTGATCTGCCCCATGATACTGGAAGAAAACCAATACACACACCCACCTTGAGGACTCAGAATCTCATGGTACTAATGTAACACAAAGACATCTAGGACTCCCTTCTGTAGAAACCTTTTGGACCATTTTAACTTTCAAAGAGTACTTAGCAATACCAGAGTAACCGTAGCCACCATCCTTGATCTCTGTGTGGCTGGGGCAGGGTTGGGAGAAAGAATAACACAACCAAGGCTTAGTGAGAGGGACTTTCCCAAAGTTTCCCAAGGTCTGAGAGACATAAGCATTATCAGAGCTGAGATTCAAACCTGGGCCGGTCTAGCAGTAAAGGCAGTACCTTAACTACCACTCCTCATACCATCATGCTATGTCTCATGTGCTGATATTCCCAACATATCACATGTGCCCAACACATACACATTCAGTGCATACCCCGCACAATTAAGAATTTTAAAGTACAGCTATTTCTAAAGGATCACATTTATTTGATGAACCTCAGTTCAGAGCTCTGGAAAAGACAGACATCCTAGAGCCAAACAGGTCTATGCTGCATCCCATCGTTGCCATTTAGTGGCCAATTAGCAGTGTAACCTTGAACCAGAAATGAAAGCACCTGAGCTTCAGTTTCCTCCCCTGTCATATGCAAATAATCCTCATAGCTTGTTATAAGAATTAAAGTAGAAAAAGTTTGTTAAGGCACTTAGCATGGAGTTTAGCTCAAAGATGCCCCCACCCACTGTCTTTCCTTCCCCTCTCAGAGGACCTGGAGGGCTTTGAGGGCTTGGCTGTGCTGCAGCTTCGCCCAGCCCCCACTCCAGCCACTCAGTGATCAAGGGATGGGAAAATCGCTCTCTTCAAACAGGTGTCACTGTTCTAAACCTACAGTCTCATTTCCTGATCGTGTCTTAATCTGCTCGTCGGTGGTGAAAGTTGATTTCTTGCACATTCTTATATCAGTGGGAATTTCTGCCCTTGGCTGACAGGCATTATGGGCTGGCTTTGACATACAGCCCTACAGGGCCTGAACAGCCCCTATTCTTTCCCAGTCCTGAAAGGGAGCTTTGTGCCAAGGATTCATTAAACTGCACTGCACAGCCCCTTCCTAAATGGGGCTCAATAATGAACAGTCGATTTAACTGGAAAAGCTGCTGGAGCTGTTAAATTAAAGGGAAATAAAGTGCACTTTAGGCTCAGTCTGCCAGAAGAAATGGTGACCTAAAAGGAAAATCTTCATTTTTATTGAATTGCAGTTTATAAAAAAATCTAAAATGTCCAGGAAGCTTCCCTGTGACAGGCAATGAGACATAAAAGCTCAGAATTGCAGGCTTGAGGTAGTGCTTGCTTTTTGTTCACCAGAGTCATCCCAAAGTGAATCTTAGGCTCTTAGAGGATATGGACGAATGATCTAATTTTGAGAAGGAGATAGGAGGAGACTCTGTTACATGCCACAAGAAGTATTGGTTAAAAAAATTTTTTTTAATATTTTGTTTAAGACTAGGCTTTCACTTTCATTCTTTGAACATTTGAAGGACCAAAGGCCATTCTTTTCAGTTTCTCTGCTGTTTCAGTCAGGGATAAGAAATATCTCTCAGAGGAAAACCAGTTCTTTCTTCATACACTACAAATCAGAGCTATATTTGATGTGAGTATTTTGCTCTGAAATCTGACTCAGTAGCCTCTCTTTTAGATTTGAGATTTTCACAAGTAGGTGTAAATCCTCTGAAGAATTTTCTCTTCAACTTCCTCTTCTAAGTTATAACTTCTTAGCATGGTGAGATAGAACTTTCACTAGTGTATGCTGAAATGCTATGATTTCCAATAACTCGTATGTGCAAGAAGCAAAAGCCACTGTGCTTTGGCAGAAAAAATAACCATATGGTGATCTTAGCTTTTCTCCACTAAGCTGCCATGAGCTGGGAATTCTTCTTAACATGCCTTTCTGTACTTCGTCTGTCTTCAAATCTTTATATAGTCTGTTCCAGGGTGTATTACAGATTTCATTACCCTAGTCAAGGTCTTTTCTGGCTTTCATCTTTAAGAATGTTTTTAACATCAAAAATGACAGTCAGTTATCACAGAGAATTTAAGGAGAAATCTGAAAAGCAGCGTGAAAAAAATAAAGACCCACTTCCACCCTCATTGTTCAGGGTCACTGGAATCCAAATACAAATTTTCAGTTGCAAAGCTCTATCGAAAAAGCAAAACTTCCTTCCTAAGAAACTGTATGCTCTCTTTCTAGAACCCACTTCATTTTTTGAATTCTAAGCCATCGATTTAGTTTCTAGGATGCAGCATCAGGCAATTTAAAGTCACCTTGAAAATACTCTAAAATTGAAAAAATCGTACATGCATGTCTTTATTTTTAATAGTAACTATGATGATCCACTAAATAGTATTGTTTTATCCTGCATCTATCTACCATAAATGAGTCACAGTTGACCAGTATAAATCATGGGCCCTCCACAACATAAAATTCTGGATTTATAGCAAAACTGCTGCCTGTGACAACTTCTGGGATAGACTATGTCCAAATCTACCCTAATGGTTATCAGAGTCTTCCTCTTCATCAGAGCAACACATAAAGTTTTATTCATCTTACATTAAAAATTGCCAGACTATAGAATAGTTATGCCATTCTGTGTGAATTCTGTGCACTTAATTACAGTTTGACATTTAGCTGTGGGGAGAATACTCATTAGAAAATGCATATATGACCAGTCCACCTTCTGCATATGGCATCAGCCATTCAAATGCATTCTTCCAGTCATGACTTATGCCTACATAAATAATCATCAACCTATTCAAAAGACATTTAGCCTTATAAAATGGGAGATAAGAGGACTTTCCAGATCTGCACTGATTGGTCTACGGTCATACCACAAGTTAAGGAGATTGTTGGTATGTTATAGCTTGTATAGAGAAAAACGACTGGGAGAAGGAGGATGATCAAAATTAAACCATGAGAGAAAGGATGCTTCCATAAGGTTCAGAACATTCTTATAGCATAGAGTGAAAAAAAAGCCCTTTATTTTAAACAGTGTATAATCTTTCTGAGGAAAGGAAAGAAGGTATCCTGAGTGCCTGACAGATATTACAACAGGTAGAGATTTAATAAATACTTGTGACTGATGTAAAAGAAAGGAGAGAAGAAAGGGAAGATAAGAAAAGCAGCGGTGGAGGGGGAAAGGAATGAGAGACAATGGAAAGAGAATGTTAGCCCAGGGAAAATTAGAAACAACTTTCTTTGAATAATTAAAGTACTGCATTTGAGAAAGAGATTAGACTTATTATTTCAAAAAGCAAATACTTCAGCTGGAAGCCATGAATAAAAAGCTAGAAGAAAATAAATCTTAAACCAATATAATGAAGAAATTCACCACAGAACTATCTAAGCATGAGATCGGCCATCTCAGAAGGCAGTGAGTTCCCTGAACTGAAGATAATCCAACATTAATTAGGTGTTTTATCTCAGGTATTTTGTAGAGATGATTACAAACACCAGATAATAAATATTGTTTCCTTGGTGTCCAATATCTGATAGATATTTTGCAAACACATACTGTTCTCTCTACTTATTCCCTTTCATTAAATCTTCGCAACCATGCCTGCTCCTACATTTGCAGGGCCTGAGGCAAGTGTACACATGCATGAAGGCCCACATACCGAATGTCTAAATAAAGTTTTATATCACACTAACAAACTGTGAAATAAAATATATTTGAAAGTTATAGATCCGGATAAGATGGAGTAAACACACTTCACTCTGCCTCTCCCACTGAAGGTAACTATTAAACCTGGACAGAATACACAAGGCAGCAATGAGGACCCTGAAGAGAAAATAGTAGTAGGTAGATTAAGGAAGACCAGAATCTGAAATACCACCAAATGGCAGTGCGTTCACCATTTTTTACCTCCGACATTCTCCAGACTGGACTCATGGCCTGAAAATAAGAAGTACACAGTGTCATGGATGGAGAGCACTAGAAAAATTATTCTATTCTGTCTCAAGGAGCATCTTACTCAGTGAGAGTATTGAGGAATCCCTTTTTTTCTTTCCTTTTTTTTTTTTTTTAATTCTCTCATGCCCTAATCCTCAAGCAGTCTTGCAGTAGTGATGGTAGCATCAAGGTGAGTGGCAGCAGTGGTAGAGGACTTGCAGGCAAGTAAAATTTTGAAGGATGGGAGAATTTTCCTTCCCAGTCAGAGCAACTATGTTCCTAAGAGAGTGTGACAAACTCAATTGCTTTCTTTTTCCTTCTGTTCTTCTGCCACTTGAACCTGGAAGTGGGCGCAGCTATAGCAGAGCAAGATAAATAAAGCCCAGCTGGCAGAGGGATGGAAAAGAGATCCTGGAAATGGAAAAATACCAGGAACATAGATTGTGGAGACAGAGGTGCTATGGGGAAAGTAACTTACTCTAAAGAAGAAGAAAGTTCTCAAGTCAATCATCTAAGCTTCCATCTTTAAAAAAAATTAGAAAAATAGGATCAAAATAAGCCCAAAACAAGCAGAAGAAAACATATTTATAAAAACAAAATTCAACAAAATTGAAAACCAGAGAATAGAAAGTCATTGAAACCAAAAGTGGTTTCCTTGAAAATATTAATAAACTTTTTGAACCTCTAACAATAGTGACAAATTAAAATGAGGGAAGACACAAATTACTAATACAAGAAATGAAAGAGATGATATATCTACAAATTCCACAGACATTAAAAGGATAATAAGAAAACACCACAAAGAATTCTATGCACATACATTCAATAATTTAGATGAAATGGATGAAGCCCTCAAAAATCACAATCAAAACTCACTCAAGAAGAGGAAGCCCTATAGCTATTATAGAAATTAAGTCTATAACTTTAAATTGTCTGAAAAAGAAATCTCCAGAATCAGAATTTCACTGTTAAATTATATCCACCATTTAAAGAAGAAACAACATTGATTCTGTAATTGCTTTCAGAATGTAAAAGAGAAAGGATCACATCCCAAATTATTTTATGAGGCCAGAATTATCCTGATACCAAAACCAGAGAAAGACATTAGAAGAAAAGAAAATAGACCAATATCCTTCAGGAACATAGACACAAATCGAAATCAGCAATAGTTTTTTTTTTTTTTTTTCATTATACTTTAAGTTCTGGGATACATGTGCGGGACGTGCAGGTTTGTTACATAAGTACGCACATGCCATGGTGGTTTGCTGCACACATCAACCTGTCATCTACATTAGATATTTCTCCTAATGGTAGCCCTCCCCTAGCCCCCACCCCCCGACAGGCCCCGGTGTGTGATGTTCCCCTCCCTGTGTCCATGTGTTCTCATTGTTCAACTCACAATTATGAGTGAGAACTTGCGGTGTTTGATTTTGTGTTCCTGTGTTAGTTTGCTGAGAATGATGGTTTTCAGCTTCATCCATGTCCCTGCAAAGGACATAAACTCATTTCATATTTTTATGACTGCATAGTATTCCATGGTGTATATATGCCACATTTTCTTTATCCAGTCTATCACTGATGGGCATTTGGGTTGGTTCCAAGTCTTTGCTATTGTAAATAATGCTGCAGTGCACATACATGTGCATGTATCTTTATAGTAGAATGATTTATAATCCTTTGGGTATATACCCAGTAATTGGACTGCTGTGTCAAATGGTATTTCTGGTTCTAGATCCCTGAGGAATTTCCACACTGTATTCCACAATGCTTGAACTAATTTACACTTCCACCAACAGTGTAAAAAGCGTTCCTATTTCTCCACATCCTCTCCAGCACCTGTTGTTTCCTGACTTTTTAATGATCACCATTCTAACTGGTGTGAGATGGTATCTCATTGTGGTTTTGAGTTGCATTTCTCTAATGATCAGTGATGATGAGCTTTTTTTCATATGTTTGTTGGCCACATAAATGTCTTCTTTTGAGAAGTGTCTGTTCATATCCTTTGCCCACTTTTTGATGGGGTTATTTTTTTCTTGTAAATTTGTTTAAGTCCCTTGTAGATCCTGGATATTAGCCCTTTGTCAGGTGGATAGATTGAAAAAATTTTCTCCCATTCTGTAGGTTGCCTGTTCATTCTTTTGTTGTGCAGAAGCTCTTTGGTTTAATTAGATCCCATTTGTCTATTTTGGCTTTGGTTGCCATTGCTTTTGGTGTTTTAGACGTGAAGTCCTTGCCCATGCCTATGTCCTGAATGGTATTGCCTAGGTTTCCTTCTAGGGTTTTTATGGTTTTAGGTCTAACATTTAAGTCTTTAATCCATCCTGAATTAATTTTTGTATAAGGTGTAAGGAAGGGATCCAGTTTCAGCTTTCTACATATGGCTAGCCAGTTTCCCCAGCACCATTTATTAAATAGGGAATCCTTTCCCCATTTCTTGTTTTTGTCAGGTTTGTCAAAGATCAGATGGTTGTAGATATGCAGCCTGGAATACTATGCAGCCATAAAAAATGATCAGTTCATGTCTTTGTAGGGACATGGATGAAGCTGGAAACCATCATTCTCAGCAAACTATCGCAAGGACAAAAAACCAAACACCGCATGTTCTCACTCATAGGTGGGAATTGAACAATGAGAACACATGGACACAGGAAGGGGAACATCACACACTGGGGCCTGTTGTGGGGTGCGGGGAGGGTGGAGGGATAGCATTAGGACATATACCTAATGCTAAATGACGAGTTAATGGGTGCAGCACACCAACATGGCACATGTATACATATGTAACAAACCTGCATGTTTTGCACATGCACCCTAAAACTTAAAGTATAATAAAATAAAAAGTAAAAAAAAAGAATGTGTAAGCAAAAACTCAGTTGTGTGTAAGAAAACCCAATTGCCCCTAAAGAAGAGAAAGAGCTGGAGTCCTTAAAAATTAACTGCCTGTTTTTCTGTGGCTAGTAAACCTTCTCTCTCCCTTTCCCAGGCATTGTGAAGACTGTTTCTCTAGCTGTGAAGCTGCAAGGTCACTAGACAGATAATCTCAAGTCGTAAAACATGTGTTCCTTGAAAAGTAAGAAATGATGTAATGCATGTCTTAATTGAATAACTGTCTTTGTTTCTAGCTTCTGTCTCCCCCTGCCCCATGAAATGCTTAAAAGGTAGCTTGACTCTTTGTTCAAGCTCAGTCCTTTGGATGTTAATCCAACTGGGTCAGTGCACTAAATAATTAAATAATTCCTCCTAAAAATATATATATATTGTTATGTGTGAGTCTGATCCTGTCATTATGATTCCAGCTGTTTATTTTGCCTGTTAGTTGATGCAGTTTCTTCATAGTGTCGATGATCTACTATTTGGTATGTTTACAGTGGCCGTACTGGTTTTTCCTTTCCATGTTTAGTGCTTCCTTCAGGAGCTCTTGTAAGGCAGGCCTGGTGGTGACAAAATCTCTCAGCATTTGCTTGTCTGTAATGGATTTTATTTCTCCTTAGCTTATGAAGCTTAGTTTGGTTGGATATGAAATTCTGGGTTGCGAATTATTTTCTTTAAGAATGTTGAATATTGGCCCCCACTCTCTTCTGGCCTGCAGGGTTTCTGCAGAGAGATCTGCTATTAGTCTGATGGGCTTCCCTTTGTGGGTAACCCAACCTTTCTCTCTGGCTCCCCTTAACGTTTTTTCCTTCATTTCAACCATGGTGAATCTGACAATTACGTGACTTGGGGTTGCTTTCTCAAAGAGTATCTTTGTGGTGTTCTCTGTATTTCCCGAATTTGAATGTTGGCCTGTCTTTCTAGGTTGGGGAAGTTCTCCTGGGTAATATCCTGCAAAGTGTTTTCCAACTTGGTTCCATTCTCCCCGTCACTTTCAGGTACACCAATCAAACATAGGTTTGTTCTTTTCACATAGTCCCATATTTCTTGGAGGCTTTGTTTGTTCCTTTTCATTCTTTTTTCTCTAATCTTGTCTTCTCACTTTATTTCAGTAAGTTGATCTTCAATCTCTGATATCCTTTCTTCTGCTTGATCATTTTGGCTATTGATACTTGTGTAAGTTTCACAACGTTCTCGTGCTGTGTTTTTCAGCTCCATCAGGGCATTTATGTTCTTCTCTAAACTGGTTATTCTAGTTAGCAATTCATCTAACCTTTTTTCAAGGTTCTTAGTTTCCTTGCATTGGGTTAAAACATGCTCCTTTAGCTCAGAGGAGTTTGTTATTACCCACCTTCTAAAGCCTACTTCTGTCAATTCGTCAAACTTATTCTCTGCCCAGTTTTGTTCCCTTGCTGGCAAGGAGGTATGATCCTTTGAAGGAGAAGAGGCATTCTAGTTTTTGGAATTTTCAGCCTTTTTGCGCAGGTTTTTCCTCATCTTCATGGATTTATCTACCTTTGGTCTTTGATGCTGGTGATGCAGATCTCTCAGATGGGGTTTCTGTGTGGATGTCCTTTTTGTTGATGTTGATGCTATTGCTTTCTGTTTGTTAGTTTTCCTTCTAACAGGCCTCTCTGCTGCAGGTCTGCTGGAGTTTGCTGGAGGTCCACTCCAGACCCTGTTTTCCTGGGTATCACCAGCAGAGGCTGCAGAACAGCAAAAATTGCTGCCTGTTCCTTCCTCTGGAAACTTCATCCCAGAGGGGCACCTGCCAGATGCCAGCCAGAGCTCTCCTGTATGAGGTGTCTGTTGACCCCTGCTGGGAGGTGTCTCCCAGTCAGGAGGCACTGCGGTCAGGGACCCACTTGAGGAGGCAGTCTGTCTCTTAGCAGAGCTTGAGCACTGTGCTGGGAGATCCACTGCTGTCTTCAGAGTCGACAGGCAGGAACATTTAAGTCTGCTGAAGCTGTGCCCACAGCAACCCCTTCCCCCAGGTGCTCTGTCCCAGGGAGATGGGAGGTGTTTTTTTTGTTGTTGCTTTTCTTTTTGTTTGTTTGTTTTTGTTTGTTTGTTTTTTGTTTTTTGTTTTTGAAACGGAGTCTCACTCTGTCACCCAGGCTGGAGTGCAGTGGCACGATCTCGGCTCACTGCAACCTCTGCCCCTCCAGGTTTAAGCAATTCTCTGCTTCAGCCTCCAGAGTAGCTGGGATTTACAGGCGCGTGCCACCATGCCCGGCTAATTTTTTGTATTTTTAGTAGAGACGGGGTTTCACCATCTTGGCCAGGCTGGTCTTGAACTCCTGACCTCGTGATCCACCCACCTCGGGTCTTCCAGTGTGCTGGGATTACAGGTGTGAGCCACTGCGCCTGGCCGGGAGTTTTATCTATAAGCCCCTGACTGACTGGGCCTTCTGTTTTTCTTTCAGAGATGCCCTGCTCAGAGAGGAGGAATCTAGAGAGGCAGTTTGGCTACAGCGGCTTTGCTGCACTGCAGTGGGCTCCGCCCAGTTCGAACTTCCTGGTAGCTTCGTTTACACTGTGAGGGGAAAACCACCTACTGTTTCTATTGAAGCACCAGTCACAATAGCCAAAATATGGAAAAAACTTAATTGTTCATCAACGGTCAAAAGGATAAAGAAAATATGGTATATATACATGATGGAATACTATTTAGCCATAAGAAAAAATGAAATCCAGTTATTTGTGGCAACTTGGATGCACCCGGAGGACATTATGTTACTTGAAATACGTCAGGCACCTAAAGATAAATACCACATGTTCTTACCCATATGTGGGGGGTTAAAAAGTTGATCTTATAGAAGTAGACAGCAGAATATTTGTTGCTAGAAGCTGGGAAGGGTAAGGGGTAGGGACATGGGGAGAGGTTGGTTAATAGATACAAGGTTACAGTTAGAAAGAATTAGTTCTAGTGTTTTACAGCACCGTAGGGTGACTATAATAAACAATTTATTGTATATTTTTAAATAGCTAGAAGAGAGGATTTTTAATATTACCAGTACAAAGAAATAATAAAGATTTGAGAGGATGGATATACTAATTGCCCTGATTTGATCATTACACATTGTATACATGTTTGGAAATATCATGCTGTACCCCATAAATATGTACAACTATTATGTATCAAAAATAACAAAAGAACAAATAAAAAATAAATAATATATGTTTAAAATACATAAAGAGATAAACCAGATTAGGTTAAAAATAGAACTACCATCTGATCCACCAATCACACTACTGGATTGTATGGGAAATGAAATCAGTATTTCAAAGAGATATCTGCACTCCCATGTTCATTGCAGCACTGCTTACAATAGCCAAGATATAGAATCAAAATAAGTCTCCAAGAATGGATGAACAGATAAAGAAAAATCTGGTATATACACACAATGGAATGCTATTCGCCATAAAAGGATGAAATCTTATCATTTGCAATCACATAGATAGACCTAAGGACATCATGTTACGTGAAATAAGCCAGACACAGAAATACAAATACCACATGATCTAACTCATATGTGGAATATTAAAAATAAAAGTTGACATCATAGAAGCAGAGAGTGGAACAGTGTAACAGTGGATACCTGAGGCTGAGGAGGGGAGCAAAGGAGGGGAGGATGGGGAGAGGATGATCAACAGGTACAAGCTACAATTCAATAGGAGCAAGTCTATTGCTCAGTAGAGTGACTATAGTTAACAGAAAGGTATTATATATTACAAATAGCTAGAAGAGAGGCTTTTTAATGTGCTTACCACAAAGACATGATAAATGCATGAGATGATAGGTAAACTAAGTACCATGATTTAATTATTTTACAACATATATATTCATGGAAACATCAAATTGTACCACACAAATATGCACATTTAAAAATCAAATTAAAAAAATTAAAACAACGACTATGGACAAATGAGCTTATGCAGCCCCACTTGCCCTAAGAGAAATATAGATTTATGATACCCAATTATAATAAAGATAAATATGCTGATTCATGTATACTTTATGCCTGCACTTTAACTTATAAACAGAGCTTCCTACCACTTTCAGTTTTAGGTCTCCTGGTTTGTGAACTGTTCTGTTGTATGCACAATACACTTTTTAAAAATTTCTAGTTTTCAGCTGGCAGCACCCAGATCAATAAACTGACTCAGCACAAGAAGATAGCTTGGACTCCCTATGATTTCATCTCTGATCTGACCAATCAGCACTCCCGGCTCACTGGCTTTCCCCCACCCACCAAGCTGTCCTTAAAAACTCTGATCTGATCCCCAAATGCTCAAGGAGACTGACTTGAGTAATAATAAAACTCCAGTCTCCCAGAAAAAAAAAGAAAAAATTCTAGTTTCATCTAATTTTATTCTTGACAGAAGAAAGAGAAAAAAATATGAGAGGCCATTATGGAAAGTGGGTAAAGGAGCATTCTAAAGGAACCTAATATAATTGCCAGACAGTGTCTCAGGTTTAATTGAAGTTGTTAATTACTAATTTATGTGAAATAAATCTGCCTAGTTCTCTGCTCTTAGATTTATGATCTTGGCCAAGTTACTTCAGTAAAGAATGTTAGTTTCATTATGTAAAATGGTGGTGATAAAACACTTACCTCTTAATAGTGCTATGTGGAACTTAGTGCTGCCAAACAGATTTCTTTCCTAGATATGCTACATATAAAGTCCCAGCTCAAGTCTCCTTCCAACTTCACTTCAATGTGTCCTCTAATCCAGCCCACCTCAGAACTCCAAGCCCTGAGTCCCTGAAGGGAAAAGCTCTAACCAGAGGTACCACAGATCACTAAAGACCTATCCCCCAGCAAAGGCAAAGGAAGAACTCCTGGAGTCCCCATCTATAAAGGAGGTCAGTTTTAAAGTTGAGGGAGGAGGAAGTTGAAGAAAGGGCCAAGTCAGTGGATTCTAGCACACAGAGAAGCTGTGGATGGACAGCACTATGCTTCTAGACAGGTGACCTGGATGAAAGAAGGACAGAGGGGCAAGGAGTAGACTTGCAGAGGTTAGGGTAAAAAAATTATGGTAATTAGAAGGTTTGGGGGCCTGTTTTCCAGAATTCTGAGGTAGGAAGTGTCTTCCTAGGTGTTTATATTTTTCATTTACTTACTTTAGGTATCAGTGGTCTTCAAACTAGTGTGTTACATACACCTAAGGATGTGAAAAGATTCTTCAAGAGTACTCAGATACTTGTAGCTCTAACAAGATATATATCCATATCCTAAATTCCATATGGGTTCTTTCCTAAAATTGATAATAGAGGCTCATTTCCTGTCCTAGGCTCTCATGATTGTCTTCCTTTTATTTTTTAAAAAAGCAAGGCATAGCCCTTCTCTTTTTCTTTCCCCCTTTTCCTAATCCTTTTCCCTTTCTCTTTATTTCCTTTCCCTTCTCTTCCTGAACAATTCACTTCTAAAGCATTTAGGTGAGGCAGAGCAAAGTAGAAGTCTGTCTTGGCAGTGCAACAATGGGTCAGGATGAAGAAGGGGAGCTGTAGTGGTCCACGGTCAGGTGTCAGAGCCCAAGCAGGGTGAGAGGTATTAAGCCTGGGAGGCAGCCTGATGTTGGCAAGAAGGAAGTTCATTGGACTGGAGCTCACTGTGGAGTGTCAGAGCCAGAGCACAATGAGGAATGGGGAATGACATGATTTGTCCAAGCAAGTAAGGCAGGCATCCATGGAGAGGGGAGGCCCAGCATGCAGTGTTGAAGAATGTGGAAGAGGTCATTCATGTAGGAGACAGAGATGGGAAGTTGGCTTTATACAGGGAGATGGATCAAAAATTAAACATATTAAGGATAAAAAGAGCCAAGATTCTCCCTTTCAGAGAAGACAGGTATAAATATTGAAATGTAGGGGAAAGAAACTAAAATAGTCCCTGCTATATTGGATTAGAATTGGAGGCTTTGCTATGAACTTTTGGTTTTCAATACAGGCAGACATATGTAGAAATATAGACATAAATGCGTGTTCCCTGGTCCTGTCCACTAAGAGAGTCTGGAAACAGCAGTAGCCCAATAGTAGTGAGCACACCTGGCACTTAGATCTTGACTCCTTGGATAACTGGCTGATTTTAATACTGATGAGGGAAAGCACAAAATGAGCCTGGAACATCTTTTGTGCCAGAAGAGACTTGCTCAAAAAATGATGAAGATTTGTCCAAAGGACTCAGAAGCCAGCTTGAGGAGGTTGCCACTCGCTAAATAGAGAACAACTTGAGCATCAAAATAAATAATGATCATGATGTATCATAATCCATTCAATAAGGCCAAGTGTGATGGCTCATGCCTGTAATCCCAACACTTTGGGAGGCTGAGGCGGGCAGATCACCTGAGGTCAGGAGTTAGAGACCAGTCTGGCCAATATGGTGAAACCCGGTCTCTACTAAAAATACAAAAAAATTAGCCAGGTGTGGTGGCCGGCGCCTGTAATGCCAGCTACTTGCGAGGTTGAGGCAGGAGAATCGCTTGAACCCGGGAGGTGGAGGTTGCAGTGAGCCGAGATCACACCATTGCATGCCTGGGCGACAAGACCAAGACTCTGTCTCAACAACAACGACAAAAATCAAATAAAATCGGATACCATAAATCCAAACAGACACTCATAGGTATATGACTAAATTAAAGATTTGTTAAGAAATTGAATATTTACAAAGCTTTAAAATACCTTTCCACAAATATGTATTTTGTGTAGTGTAAGAGTAATTTTACAGTGGATATGTAACTTGACAGAGGGTACAACTTAAGTGATCAGTGTAAACATCAATTAAGGGAGAGATTGAAATCTTATATCATTGATATAAGAATGCATTGAGAATACAGAAACATCTCTGAAATATTTCTGCCTAAAATGCATAATCTGAATCCAACATGAGAAAATAGTAGACAAACCCAAATCAAGGAACATTCTACAAAGTAGCTGGCCTATAATCTTCAAATTGCCAAAGTCATGAAAGAAGGAAAGACTAAGGAACTGTTCTAAAATGAATAACACAAAAGAGACAGGACACCTAAATGCAAGGAGTGATAAGGAGCAAATTCTGGTGTAACTTGAATAGGATCTAAGAAATATATAGTAATAATGTACCAATGTTAATTTCCCAATATTAACTCTTGTACTGTGCTTATGTACAAGAATGGCCTTCCTCACAAGAAAGTTACACTAAAGTATTTGGGAGTGATGAGACATCATGTCATAACTTACTCTCAAATGGTTTATACCCACAAAAAAATCTTTGTATTGTATCTCAACTCTTTGATAAGTTTGTGATTATTTTGAAATAAATAATAATATAATAATAATAAAAATGGAGATGATTAATCTCAAATCTTAAGACAGTGTATTGTCATGAAGTGTAAAATGTCAAGGGCATCAAAATGAAGAGATCATGTTACAAGCCCTTCAATCAAGGCACTGTGAAGTCCACCATCCCATCCATCTCATTAAGAAATGCATTTACAAATATGACCTTATCTCTTATCTTTAATAATCATTAATTAAGTTGCTTAATATTTATGTTGATTTGATCAGTTAATAATAGAAATGATAAAGCAAAAAGAAAGGTTTTGATACTTTGAAGCTTTATCGTCATTATGGTCATAAGAAATTTTATAATATTTATACATACACATGAATATATACATTTGTTGCAAAAAACTATGATAGGATAATCTACAAAGAGACTTTCAATATTTTACTTAAGAATAAAATTATTTTAAGGCAGTGGAAAAGAAATAAGAAAAAAGATGAATACAAAATTTTCAAATATTGAAAGAGAGTTTGTTCATTTATTTTATTTTATTTTATTTTATTTATTTATTTATTTATTTTTTGAGGTGGAGTCTCACTGTCTCCCAGGCTGGAGAGCAGTGGCTGATCTCGGCTCACTGCAAGCTCCGCCTCCTGGGTTGATGCCATTCTCCTGCCTCAGCCTCCCGAGTAGCTGGGACTACAGGCGCCCGCCACCACGCCCGGCTAATTTTTTTTGTTCACAGCGTTAGCCAGGATGGTCTCGATCTCCTGACCGCGTGATTCACCCGCCTCAGCCTCCCAAAGTGCTGGGATTACAGGCCTGAGCCACCGCGCCCGGCCGTTCATTTTTTTTTTTTTACATGGATGATAAGTAAGTTTCTTTTTTCTTTTCTTTTCCTTTTTTTTTTTTTTTTTTTTTGAGACGGAGTCTTGTTCTGTCACCCAGGCTGGAGTGCAGTGGCATGGTCTCGGTTCACTGCAACCTCTGCCTCCTGGGTTCAAGTGATTCTACTGCCTTGGCCTCCTGAGTAGCTGGGATTACAGGCACCCACCACCACGCCCAGCTAATTTTTGCATTTGTAGTAGAGACTAAGTTTCACCATGTTGGCCAGGCTGATCTCGAACTCCTGACCTCAGGTGGCCCGCCTGCCTCACCCTCCTCCCAAAGTACTGGGATTATTAGCGTGAGCCACCTGTGCCCAGCCAATGCTGTTTCAAAATACATGAGTTTCATAAAAATTTGCATGGATTCATTTCAGAGTCATAAAATAGTTTCTTTTTTAAAATGTCAATATTTGTAATGTATTTTAAAAATACATTCCTTGCAATATTTAAACATATATGAAAATGGCAGATGTCAACTTGAAAATATGTGAGGGGGTATGAAGCTGTTTAAAATTCCTTTAGGGAGAGGCCAGGTGAGGTGGCTCACAGCTTATAATCCCAGCACTTTCGGAGGCCAAGGTGGGTGTGATAGCTTGAGGCCAGGAAGTAATTCAAGACAAGCCTGTACAACAAAGTGAGACCTCATCTCTACAAAAATAAATAAATAAATAAAAATTAGCCAGGCATGGTCTTGGTCATGCCACTGCATTCCAGCCTGAGCAGCAGAGCGAGTCCCTGCATGAAAATAAATAGATAAAATAAATAAAATAAAATTCCTTTAGGGATACGCAAGCAAAACGTTTGAAGATTTCTGCTCTAGACTACATATATATGATCAAACATGTTCTCACATTTAATGGAAGATAAACATATATATCGGCATTATACAACAAAAGTTATAATACAAGCCACAAATGCAAGGTGCATATGTAGTTTTAGGTTTTCTAGCCACATTTTTAAAAGGAAAAAGAAACAGAAAAAAAAATTATAAGAACATATTTTATTTAAACTAATATACCAAAAATATTATCACTGCGCAGAACGCAATCCATGTAAAAAATAGTGATTTTTACTTTTTTGTCCTAAGTTTCAAAATATAGTGTGTGTTTTACACTCAGAGTACATCTCAATTTAGACCAGCCACATTTCTTTTCTTTTCTTTTTTCTTAACTTTTAAGACCGGGGTATATGTGCGGGATTGTTACATAAGTAAACTTGGGTCATGGGGGTTTGTTGTACACATTATTTCATCACCTAGGTATTAAACCTAGTACCCATAAGCTATTTTTCCTGATCCTCTCCCTCCCTCCTCCCACCGTTCACCCTCTGATAGGTCTCGGTGTGTGTTGTTCCCCTCTGTGTCCATGTGTTTCCATCATTTAGCTCCTACTTACAAGTGAGAACATGTGGTGGTTCATTTTCTGTTCCTGCATTAGTTTGCTAAGGATAATGGCCTCCAGCTTCATCCATGTCACTGCAAAGGACATGATCTCATTCTTTTTTATGGCTTCATAGTATTCCATGACGTATATGTACCACATTTTCCTTATCCAGTCTATTATTGATGGGCATTTAGGTTGACGCCATGTCTTTGCTATTGCGGGTAGTGCTGCAATGAACATACACGTACATGTGTCTTAATAATAGAACAATTTATATTTTGGGGGTATGTACCTAGTAATGGGATTGTTGGGTCGAATGGTATTTCTGTCTTTAGGATTTTGAGGAATTGCCCCACTGTCTTCCACAATGGTTGAACTAATTTACACTGCCACCAACAATGTATAAGTGTTCCTTTTTTTCCACAACCTCACCAGCATCTGTTATTTTTTTACTTTTTCATAATGGCCATTCTGACTTGTGTGAGATAGTATCTCACTGTGGTTTTGATTTGCATTTCTCTAATGATCAGTGATGTTGAGCTTTTTTTCATATGATTTTTGGTCACGTGTATGTCTTCTTTTGAAAAGTGTCTCTTCATGTCCTTTGCCTGTGTTTTAATATAGATGATACATATTAGACATTTGTCAGATGCATAGTTTGCAAAAAATTTCCCCCATTCTGTAGGTTGTCTGTTTAATAGTTTATTTTGCTGTGCAGAAGCTCTTTAGTTTAATTAGATCCCATCTGTCAATTTTGCTTTTTTGGCAATTGCTCTTGGTGTCTTCATCATGAAAGCTTTGCCTGTGCCTGTATCCTGAATTGTATTGCCCACGTTGTCATCCAAAGTTTTTATAGGTTTGGGTTTTACATTTAAGTATTTAATCCATCTGGAGTTAATTTTGTATATGGTGTAAGGAAGGTAGACCAGCCACATTTTAAGTGCTCAAAAACCACATGTCACTACCATATTGGAGAGTACAGGTATATCTTCAAAACCTAGTAATTCTGGCACATCGAATTTTTAAATTCTTTTTTTTTTATGAATAGGAAGTAGAAAACTTTAAACTTCTATATAAGGACATGAGATGAGAATTAGCTATAATTAAAATAATTTTATGATAAAACTGGTTTTAACTACAATAATAAATGAAACATACTGAATTGGAAAGCAATCATGAAAAATTCATCCATGGATTTGATCCACTGTAGCTTGAAAATTTTGGCAGCCTCAGCACACATTCCAATTGCATTTAAAGCAATCAGCATCACCTACCTATATAATGTAATGTCTACTTCATTAGCTGTTCAGAGGAGCTTTTCTTTTCTCTAATGATACAACCCTAGGTATTAGTTTTTAGAATGGTTAAAAAGAATTTCTTACATTTAAATGTATTTTTTAAAGACTTGTTTGGCATTGGTATTTTTTACCAACCTCTCACTTTGCTTTGTTTCCAGACTCCTCTCAAAGGCAATAAACTTTTTAAATAATCAGATAAAAGGTATAATCATTAGACAAAAATTGTCTGTATTCCCACCGCCTCACTCTATGACAAAGATTCAGAGACAAATTTGAATGCTGAGAGAAGTTGCTTGCAAAGGGGCCAGCTTCCAAAAGAATGCATGCACTGAATAAAAACTATAGCAATATTTACAGACAAAAAGAACAAAGTTAGTGTTGTTTTGTCCATTATTGTCATTGAAAGAAAAACAGTAGCTTCTCATGTGATTATTGTATATGCAAGGGGTGCTACACAACTGCTAAGGTCAGCATTGCAAGCAGTGAGCCATGTAGTTGTTTTCTAAGTGGAAGTCAATAACTTAGAAGAAATAAACCAAATCCTTCATCCTTCATCTCTGATAGGAATTAATGCTAAGCAAAACTATTAATTGGTTTAAGAAAAGATAAAGTGTTGTTTCATGGTTTATCTCAAATTACAAAGTGTTTTCTGGACTGTGGGTCATTACGTAGTTGTTTGTTCTTATTTGTGAAAAGTGTTAGGGTAAGGTCAGGATATCACTTTTCTTTTCTCATCTGCCTGAATTCAGCATACCTTAACAGAATCTGTAAAGTACCAGAAGAGCAGTTGGACACACAGGCACATTCTTAAGCAGATGTATTTTAGGACTCCAAAATTTAAAATATGAAGCTAAGGATCTGAAAAATCAATTCCCTTAAAATTATCCATGATTACAAATACTTATTCTTGTTTCTAAGAGTTTTCTAGTTTTGACTCTTATATTTGGAGTTATTCTCCAGTTGAGTTAATTTTTGTATATGGTGTGAGTTCAGGGCTCAACTTCATTCTTTTGCCTGTGGATATCCAGTTATCCCACACCATTTATTTTTCTTTTTCAATTGAATTGTCTTGGCACTTTTTACAAATACCAATTGACCATAAGCATAATGGTTTATTTCTGGACTTTCAATTCTATTCTATTAATCTGTATGTCTATCTTTAGATATGACACCAAAAGCACAAGAGATAGAAAAAAATAGAAGGAGCTTCATTAAAATTTAAAACATGTTACTGCAAAGAATAGTATGAATAAAGTAGAAAGACAACCCACGAATGGGAAAAAAAATTTGAAAATCATATATCTGAAAAGATATTTGTATCCAGAATATATACTAACTCTTACAATTCAAAATAAAAAGGCAACACAGTTTTAAAATGGGCAAGTGATTTGAATAGGCAGTTCTCCAAAGAATATATACAAATGGCCAATAAGCATAGGAAAAGATATTCAACTTCATTGGTACAAATAAAACAGCAATGAGTTGTGACTTTATATTCTCTGGGATAGCTAAAATAAAAAAGACAATAACAAGTGTCAGTAAGAATGTGGAGAATTGAAACACTCACACATTTCTGGTGAGAATACAAAATGGTGCAGCCACTTCAGAAAACAGTTTGGCAGTTTCTAAAAATATTGAACATGAAAGTATTAGAAGAGCAAGATTACGGACTAGAAGTCTCCACCAATCATCCTCCCCATAAGGACACTAATTTAACAGCTATCTATACAAAACAAGCACCTTCATAAGAACCAAAAATCAGGTGGGCACTCACAGTACGTGGTTTCAACTTCATATCACTGAAAGAGGCACTGAAGAGTCAGGAAGAAAAAGAAAGTCTTGAATCATCAATACCAACCCCTCACCCATCACCCAGCAGCAGTGGTACACATCTCTGGGCACTAGGGGGAGGGAGAGAGCAGCAATTCTGAGACATTGAACTCAGAGCTGCCCTATTATAACAGAAAATAAAACCAGAACAAATTCAGCTGATGCCCACCCACAGAGGGAGCAATAAACCAGCCGTAGCCAGAGGGAAATCTTGGCTCTTCGATGGCATTTCTGGACCTGCCCTGGGCCAGAAGGGAGCCCATTGACCTGAAGAGTGAGTCCTAGGCCAGGCAGCATTCACCACAAGCTGACTGAAGCAACCTCAGGTCTTAAGAGAACATCAGTGGTAGTCTGGCAGTACTCCCCATGCACCTGTGATGGTAGTGGCTACAGGTGAGGCTCCTCTGCCTTTGGGAAGAAAAGGGAAGAGTGGGAAGGACTGTGTCTTGTAGTTTGAGTGCCAGCTCAACTGCAATACAATAAAACACCAGGTAGACTTCTAAGGTTTTTGACTCTAATCACTTCCAGACGGCACTTCTCTCTCTCACTCCCAGACATCACCTCTGGACCCACCTGGAGCCTCGCAGAGCTCACCACCCTGAAGGGAAGAACACAGGCCTGGCTGGCTTTGCCACCTGTTGATTGTAGAGCCCCAGGGCCTTGAGCAAACATAGGCCATAGCTAGGGAATGATTACAGCGGGCCTTGGGAAAGACCCAGTATTGTGCTGGCTTTAGGTCTAATCCAGCACAGTCCCATTAGTGGTGACCACAGGGGTGCTTGAGTCACTCCACTCCCATTTCCATGTGGCTCAAAATAGACAGAGAGACAGACTCTGTTTGTTTGGGGAAAGTAATAGAAGAGAACAAGAGTCTCTGTCTGGTAATCCAAAGAATTCTGGATCTTATCCAAGACCATCAAGGCAGTACTTCTACAAGTCTGCAAGAACCACAGTGTTACTGGACTTGTGGTGCCCCCTAAAGCAGTCACAGGTTGGATCACAACAACCAAATCCTTTTGAATATCTGGAAAACCTTACCAAGAAGGATGGGTACAAACAAGCCCAGACTGAGAAAACTACAATAAATACTTGACTCTTCAATGTCCAGCACAGATGAACATCTAAAGATATCAATAATTGATAAACAGAAAAACATGACCTCTCCATGTGAACTAAATAAGGCAGCAGGGATCAATCCTGGAGAAACAGAGATATGTGAACCTTCAGAAAGAGAATTCAAAATCTGTTTTGAGTAAACTCAAAAGAAATTCAAGAAAACACAGAGAAGGAATTCAGAATTCAATCAGGCAAATTTAACAGAGACTGAAGTAATTAAAAAGAATCAAGCAGATATTCTGGAGCTGAAAAATGCAATTGACATATTGAAGAATGTATGAGAGTCTTTTAATAGCAGAACTGATCAAGCAGAATTAGTGAGCTTGAAGACAGGCTATTTGAAAATACACAGTCAGAGAAGACAAAAAGAAAAAGAATAAAAACCAATGAAGCACACCTATGGGATCTAGAAAATAGTCTCAAAAGGGCAAATCTAAGAGTTATTGGCCTTAAAGAGGAGATAGAAAAAGAGTTAGTGGTAGAAAGTTATTTAAAGGGATAATAACAGAGAACTTCCCAAACCTTGAGAAAGATATTAACATCCAAATACAGGAAGGTTATAGAACACCAAGCAGATTTAACCCAAAGAAGACTACCTCAAGGCATTTAATAATCAAACTCCCAAAGGTCAAAGATAAAGAAAGAATCCTAAAAGAAGCAAGAGAAAGGAAACAAATAACATACAATAGAGTGCCAAAACATGTGGCAGCAGACTTTCAGTGGAAACTCTACAGACCAGGAGAGAGTGGCATGACATATTTAAAGTGCTGAAGGATGAAAACTTTTACCCTACAATAGTATATCCGGTGAAAATATTCTCCAAACATGAAGGAAAAATAAAGATTTTCCCAGACAAACAAAAGCTGAGGGATTTCATTAACACCAGGCCTGTCCTACAAAAAATGCTAATAAGAGTACCTCAATCAGAAAGAAAATGACATTAATGAAAAATAAGAAATCATCTGAAGATACAAAACTCACTGGTAATAGTAAGTACACAGAAACACAGAATATTATCACACTGTAGTTGTGGTGTGTAAACTAATCTTAAATAGAAGTACTAAATGATGAACCAATCAAAAATAACACAACAACTTTCAAGACATAGTACAATAAGATGTAGATAGAAACAACAAATTTTTAAAAAGTAGGGCAACAAAATTAAGACAGAATTTTTATTAGTTTCCTTTTTGCTTGTTTGTTTATGAAAATAGTATTAAGTTGTTATCAGCTTACAATAATGGGTTATGAGATAGTATTTGCAAGCCTCATGGTAATCTCAAACCAAAAAACATACAACAAATACACAAAAAATAAAAAGCAAGCAATTAAATCATATCACCAGAGAAAACTGTCCTCACTAAAAGGAAAACAGGATGGAAAGAAAGAAGGAAGAGAAGGCCACAAAACAACCAGAAAACAAATAACAAAATGACAAAAGTACATTTTTACTCATCAATAATAACATTGAATGGAATTGACTAAACTTTTCAGTCAAAAGACATAGAGAACCTGAATGGATTAAAAACAAACAAGACCCAATAATCTGTTGCCAACAAAATAAACACTTCACATATAAAGAAATACACAGACTGAAAACAAAAGGATGGAAAAGTATATTCCATGCCAATAGAAACCAAAAAAGAGCAGAAGTAGCTATACTTATATCAAACAAAATAAATTTCAAGACAAAAACTATAATAAGAGACAAAGGAGGTCACTATATAATGATAAAGGGGTCTGAATTGCTAAAAAGGATATAACAATTTTATATATATGCATCCAACACTGAAGCACCCATATATATAAAACAAATATTATTAGAGCTCAAGAGAGAGATAGACTCCAATATAATAATAGCTGGAGACTCTAACACCCCACTTTCAGCATCGGAAAGGTCTTCCAGACAGAAAATCAACAAAGAAACATTGGACTTAATCTGCACTATATACCAAATGGACCTAATAGATATTTACACAACATTTCATCCAACAGCTGCAGAATATCTTTTCCTCAGCACAAAGATTATCCTCAAGGATAGACCATATGTTAGGTCATAAAATAAGTCTTAAAACATTCAAACAATTGAAATAATATTAAACATTTTCTCTGACCATGATGGAATAAAGCTATAAAAACAAGAGGAATTTTGGAAACTATAAAAATACATGGAAATTAAACCATATGATCCTGAATGACCAGTGAGCCAATGAAGTAATAAAAAAGGAAGTGGAAAATTTTCTTGAAACAAATGATAGTGGAAACACAACAGACCAAAACCTGTGGGATACAGCAAAAGCAGTACTATAAGGGATATTTACAGCTATAAGTGCCCACATCAAAAAAGAAGAAAAACTGCAAATAAACAACCTAACAATACACCTTAAATAACTAGAAAAGCAAGAGCAAACCAAACACAAAATTAGTAGAAGAAAAGAAATAATAAAGATCAGAGAAGAAATAAGTGAAATTGAAATGAAGAAAACAATACAAAATAATCAATCAAACAAAAATGGTTTTCTTGAAAAGTTAAGCAAAATTTACAAAGCATTGGCCAGACTAAGAAGAGGGAAGGTCAAAATAAATAAAATCAGAGATGAAAAAGGAGACATTATAACTGATACTGAAGAAATTCAAAGGATCATTAGTGGTTACTATGACCAATTCTATGTCGTTACATTGGGAAATCTAGAAAAAATGGGCATATCCTAGACATATACAACACACCAAGATTAAACCATGAAGAAATCCAAAACCTGAACAGACCAATAACAAGTAATGACATCAAAGCTATAATAAGAAGTCTCCCAGTAAAGAAAAGCCCAGGACCCAGTGGTTTTACTGCTGAATTCTACCAAACATTTAAAGAAGAACTAACACCAATCCTACTCAAACTCTTCTGAAAAATAGAGGAGGAGGGATTACTTCCAAACTCATTCTGCAAGGCCAATATGACTTTGTTATTAAAGCCAAACAAAAACACATTAAAAGGCCAAGTGCAGTGGCTCACACCTGTAATCCCAGCATTTGGGGAGGCTGAAGTGGGTGGATCACCTGAGATCAGGAGTTCAAGACCAGGCTGGCCAACATGGCAAAATCCAGTCTCTACTAAAAATACAAAAATTAGCTGTCATGGTGGTGGGTGCCTGTAGTCCTGGCTACTCAGGAAGCTGAGGCAACAGAATTACTTGAACCTGGGAGATGGAGGTTGCAGTGAGCCAAGATTGTGCCACCACACTCCAGCCTGAGCAACAGAGCAAGACTCCCTCTCAAAAAATACTTAAAAAATAAAAAACACGTTAAAAAAGGAAAACTAGTGGCCAATATCTCTGATGACTTTTTGTTTGTTTGTTTGTTTTGTTTTCTGTTTTTTGTTTTGAAACTGGGTCTTCCTCTGTCACCCAGGCTGGAGTGCAGTGGCGTGATGATCTCAGCTCACTACAGCCTCGACCTCCCAGGCTCAAGCAATTCTCCCAGGAGCCTCCCAAATAGCTGGGACTACAGGCACATGCGACCAAAATGTGATTTCTCACCTGATCTCCCTAGTCCCCACTCTGACCGGTGTTCCATAATGGCATTCTTGTTCCTCATGGGGAAACATAGACTGATGGTTGCAAATCCCATGTCTGCCAGGGCCAACACATTAGCCATCACCATCATAGATGATTGGCCTCCACCTTCCAAGTCTTAAGTAAATGCATCTTATTGTCAGAACTTAAATCATACCTAGAACCCTATGGCAAGAAAGTTCAGTAAATGTATATTTTCTAGCCTCTGTAGTACAGGGAGTGAAGATGGTGCCTTGTACTCAGTTGGGAAAGACTGGAGTAAGAATGAACTTGAGGAAAATGTTCTCTTTTGGCCATGTTAATTTTAAATTTTAATTAAATTTTAAATTTAAATTTAAATTTTAAAATACCGAATTTAAGGATGATGTGTTGCACAACTCTAGGGGATTCAATGGAGTGCCATCTACATTTATATATATATTTATATATATATATATAGACATATATAGATATATCTTATATATATCTATATATATAGACTTATATATAGATACATAAATATATATATTTAAATTTTTGTACAGACAGAGTCTCACTATGTTGCCTAGGCTGGTCTTGAACTCCTGGCCTCAAGTAATCCTCCTGCTTTGGCCTCCCTAAGTTATATATATTTTTTCATGTTGAGATGTATATTGATTCTGAGACATATATATGTATATATGTGTGTAAGTATATGTGTGTGTGTGTGCACCTAAAACTATATGTGATGGACCTGCCTCTTAGAATCAAAGTGAAGATTGTTGGGTTCATGAGTTTAGAGCTCAGAGAAGAGGTCAGGGCCAGAGATAAAACCCAGGACATCAATATGTAAAAGTTATGTAAAGAAAGCCGTGATACTAAATGAGATCATATAGGGAAGGAAGAGTCTAATAGCACCTCAACATTTAGAATTCAGAATGAAGAGAAAGAGCCAGCAAAAGAAGCTGGTCATGAGTAGCCAATGAGGTAGGAGAAAATGAGAAGAATGTAGTGTCATGGAGACAAAACTGTTGCATTCTGTTGAGAGATCAAGAAAGATGCTGGCTGAGATCAACCATTCGGTTTTTGACACAGGACGGCAATTGTTACTGGTAAACAAGAGTGGTTTCATTATGATCGTGAAGAATTAGGATAGGCTAGAAGATGAGAAAGTGGAGTGGGTATAGCCAACACTTTCAGGAAATTTTACAGTAAAGAGGAGAGAAGAAATGATAGAGTAATTGTTGACTGGTGGCTAAAGATAGGTAGAATCTGTCACATTCAAAACGTAACCTTTC
Organism: Homo sapiens; assembly: GCF_000001405.40. Lineage (NCBI taxonomy): Eukaryota > Metazoa > Chordata > Mammalia > Primates > Hominidae > Homo > Homo sapiens. Next base: position 82,781,782 of record NC_000011.10, read on the forward strand.
ATTGATAAAACAAAGACACTTAAACAGGAATAGATATTGAATTTTATTAATAACGATTTTTAATAGACTTTATTTTTTAGAGTTGTTTTAGGCTTACAGAAAAATTGTACGGAAACTGAGATTTCCCATGAAAACCCTCCCCATGCACACATGGTTTCTCTTATGATTAATATCTTGCATTTGTGCTATTTGTTACAACTGATAAGCCAATATTGATTCATTATTATTAACTAAGGTTTATAGTTTACCATAGGGTTCATTTTTTGGGTTGTACAGTTTTATTAATTTTGACAAATGCTTAATGCCATGTATCCACTCTTCCAGTGTCACACAAAATAGTTTCACTGACCTAAAAATGCCCTGTGTTACAATTATTTGTCCCTTTTCTCCAAACCTCTACCAACTGAGGCAGAGAATAGGGTCTGGAGGCAGGGAACCTAAGGCCGATTCATGCTGACTGGACATCAGAGGCTACTTCCTTTTCAACCCCTCCTTTTTCTGGGTGGCAGATGAAAAATGACAATATCTCTAAATGGTCCCTTCCCATAACCAATCAGACTGGTCATGGGCCTACTCTTCACTCTGATTGGTCCCCTCCTACAACCAATCAGACTGGTGATGGGCCACTACTGCGTTTGCATAGAGTGAACCAATGGGAAACCTCTAGATGGTATTTAAATCCCAGAAAAATCTGTAACCGACACTCTTGAGCCACTTGCTTGAGCCCACTGCCACCCTGAGGAGTGTACTTTCTTTTAGAATAAATCTCTGCTTTTGCTGCCTTGCTTTGTTTGCGCATTTTGTCCAATTCTTTGTTCAAAATGCCAAGAACCTGAACAACTACCTTCAACCGGTAACACAACCATTGATCCTTTTACTGTCTCTATAATTTTGTCTTTGCCAGAATGTCAAATAGTTGGAATCATATAGTAAGTAGGTTTTCAGATTGGTTTCTTTCACTTAGCAATATACATATAAGTTTCCTCCATGTCTTTTTACAGTTTTATAGTTCATTTCTTTTATCACTGAATAATATTCCATTGTACACAGTATGTTTTTCCATTCACCCATTGAAGGATATCTTAGTTGCTTCCAATTTTTGACAATCAAGAATAAAACTGCTATAAGCATTCATGTGCAAATTTCTGTGTGGATAAATTTTCAACTCATCTGGGCAAATACCAAGAAGTGAAATTGCTGAATCATATGGTAAGCCTATGTTTAACTTTGTTAGAAACTGATAGACTATCTTCCAAAATAGCTCTACTATTTTGCATTTCCACCAGCAATGAATGAGGATTCCTGTTGTTACATATTTTCACCACTTTGTGTTGTCAGTGTTTTGGATTTTAGCCATTCTAATAGGTGTGTATTGGTGTCTTAATTTGCAATTACGTAATAACATATGATGTTGGGCATTTGTTCATATGCTTATTTGCAAACTGTATATTCTCTTTGGAGGTGCTTCAGTTCAGATCTTTTGCTCACTTTGTAATTGGGTTGTTTTAACACAATTGGGTTGGTTGTTTATTGTTAAGTTTTAAGGGTGTTTTGTATATTTTGGGTGTAAGTCCTTTATCAGATATGTGTTCTGCAAATATCTTCTCCCAGTCTGTGGCTTTTCTTTAAATTTTCTTAATATTATCTTCCACAGAGAAGTCTTTAATTTTAATGAAGTCTAAATTATCAACTTTTTCTTTCATGGATCATACTTTTGGTACTATATCTAAAAAGTCATCGTCAAACCCAAGGTCACCTAGATTTTCTCCCATGTTGTCTTCTGGAAGTTGTGTAGTTTTTTGTGTCATGTTTAGGTCTATGATTCATTTTGAGTTCATTTTGTGAAAGGTGTAAAATCTGTGTCTAAGTTTTGTTTTGTTTATTTTGGTTTTTGGCATGGTGATGTCCAGTTGTTCCAGCACTATTTATTGAAAAGCCTTTTCTCCATTGAATTGCCTTTGCTCCTTTGTCAAAGTCCTGTTGAACTATATTTGCATGGGTCTATTTCTGCGCTCTCCATTATGTTCCACTGATCTATTTGTCTATTACTTTGTCAATGTTTTCATCACTATGGCTCAATAGTAAGTCTTGAAGCCATAGAGTGCCAATCCTCTGACTTTATTTTTTTTTTCCATATTGTGTTGGATATTCTGGTTCTTTTTCCTTTCTATATAAACTTCAGAATCTGTTTACCAATATCCATGAAATAAATTACTGTGATTTTGATTGGGATTATGTTAAATCTATATGGGAAGAACTGACATTTTAATAACATTTTCTTGCTGTCCGTGAACATGGAATATCTTTTCATTTTTGTTTTCTTTGATTTTTTAACAGTTGTATAGTTTTCCTCATATAAGTATTATACATATTTTGTTAAGTTTATAACTATGTCATTTTTAGTGATAATATAAAAGAAGTCGTGTTTTTAATTTAAAATGTTAATTGTTCATTGCCATTAGATAGAAAAGCAATTGAGTTTTTTATATTAATCTTTTTTCCTACAAACTCACTATAATCACGTAGTGGTTCCAGGATTTTTTGTTGGTTCTTTAGAATTTTCCAAATAGATAATTATATCATCCACAAGCATAGTTATACTTATTCCTTTTCAATCCATATCCCTTTTAAATCCTTTTCTTATTTTATTGCATTAGCTAGGACTTCCAATGTGAAGTTGAATAGGAATGGTGAGGGAGACATCCTTATTTTGTTCTCAGACTTGAAGTTTCTGTCTATTCCTAGTTTTCTGAGAATGTATATAATGAATGGGTGTTGGATTTTGTCAAATGCTTTCTCTACATTTGAAAAATTCTATAATTTTTCTTCTCTAGTCTGTTGATGTGAAAAATTACATTAATTGATTTTTAAAATGTTGAATCAGTTTTGAATACCTGGAATAAATTCCAGTTAACCATGGTATATAATTCATTTCAAATTACTTTTTAACTTTTATCAAGATGATTTATATGTGATGATTTTATTATTATATTTACTAATATTGGATTTTCCTAGTATTTCTGCAATTGAACTACATGTTTTACGATGTATTCGCTTTTTAATATGTTCATAAATTAAACCTGTATTATTTCATTGAGGATGTTTCTACCTAGTGGTGGTAGTGTGGAAGCATTAGATGCTTCATACTGGAAAAGAGCAATGGCTTTCAAATCACATTATCCTGGATCTGAATCCTAACTCCACAACTTAGTGATGGTCTGTGCTTGGACTAGTTATTTAATTTCCCTAGGACCTTAATACTGTCCACATAAGACTGTAGGATTAAATAAATTAGTACAACCTCTATGGAAAACAATATGGAGATTTCTAAAAGAACTAAACATAGAACTACCATTTGATCTGGCAATACTACTACTGGGTATTTACCCAAGGGAAAATAAATCATTATATTAAAAAGATGCCTGCATAGGTATGTTTATCTCAGCACTATTCACAATTGCAAAGATATGGAATCAACCCAAGTATCCATCAGTGGATGATTGGATTTTTAAAATGTGGTGTATATATATATGTGCAATGGAATACTACTCAAGCATAAGAAGAACAAAATCATGTCTTTTGCAGCAACATGGATGGAACTGGAAGCAATTAAGTGAACTCAGAAACAGAAAATGAAACACTGCATGTTCTTAGTTATAAGTGGGAGTGAAATAATTCATATACGTGGGCATAGACACTGGAGTTATAAGCAGGAGTGAAATAATTCATACACATGGAATAATGGACACTGGAGACTGAGAAGAGTGGGAGGGGGGTGAGGGATGAGAAATTACTTGAGGAGTACAGTGTGCACTATTCAGGTAATGGCTATACTAAGAGCCCAGATTTCACCACTATGCAATATATCCATGTAACAAAACTGCACTTGTATCCCCAAAATCTATATACGTTTTAAAAAAAAATTATGTCTCATGGCATATGTAAGCACTCAATTAATTCGAGTTATTAATGTTAATATTTTAGGTGAGATTATATAAATACTTTTTTTGCACTCCTTTGCCACATTTTATCAGTTTTTAGCAGATAAGAATCTCAATGTATAAACAACAACAGAGAAAACAACATTCACATTTTAAAATTTATTTTTAATCATTTTCACTTCAACACTAAGATTCCCATCCAGCTCTATAGACAGGAAGTTATACCTCAACCATTCTTGGGATTACCCCTTCCCCAGGTGTTACAAGGTTCTGGGGTCTTACATGGCATCAAGACTTTGAGATATGCTCAGTCATAGGTCATTCTTGCTGATACGCAGTCTTGCATAATCTGCAGGCCAGTTCTGGCCCAGAAGTACAGAATTACAGAAAAATATGGTTAGAAAAATAGGCTCAGGGACCAAATCCAAATCCCCCAGGTTTAAATTCTGTCTCTGCCTAGCTGAACCTCAGTTTTCTAATCTATAAAATGGGGAGAATGATAATACTTAACCCATAGAGTTTATGTGAGAAATAAATGAATTAGAGCAGGTGTAAATGTTAGCTACTTTTTAAAATTAATTATAGCATGGGAACCTTGGACAGGGTTAGAGATTCCACTAAAGTTCTGCATCTTCTGGGTGGTACCGCTAAAGAGCAGAGAAAGAGTCATCATTCAAGGGACTCACAAATCTTTATCCCCTACCCAGTCTCTTGCTTGATGCTTCTCAAAGGGCGCTATCCCTCACTTCTACCCCTCAGGACATCCAGCAAGATTTCTTCAGCAGGCTTGGATTTTTGGTGGAGAAAAGTCAGGAAAGGAAGATGTGGGTAGCCCCTACTCTCTATCTTACCACAAATCCTCGGGCAAAGAAGCATAAAGACTAGCTACCTGCTCAAAGCAGGGAAGGAAATGGGGAAAATGTAGAGGAAAAAAACATAAAATAACATCTCGAATATCTATCCTGGCCTAAAAAATAAACGTAGCTTCATAAATAACTCAGAAAACTTTTTTTTCTTCCTTCTCTTAGCACCGGAAAAGTAATCATAAAAAAAATAAAGCCTCTCTTTTCCCCTCCTCCTCTACCCTCTCCACACTCCTCTCATACTCCTTTCAAAAAAAAATTGCCCATAAAATTTTCTGGATGAGAGAATTTTCTGGATGGGAGCACTTTCTGGAGGCAAATTTCTTACATTTAATAGACAAAAAACAAGCTAACATCTGCCTTTTGATCTACATCAAAAACAAACTACCCCATGTCATGGATTTCACATGTGCTGGAAGCAGTTAGTGTAAAATCCATTGATCCAGGAAGTCTGGTGCCTGAATGATACCATCTCTTCATTAATTATTAAGAAATATGAGAGAAGGAAGATTACAAAGAAACAAGAAGCAAAAATAGGCCAGGCACAGTGGCTCACACGTGTAATCCCAGCACTTTGGGAGGCCGAGGCAGGCAGATCATGAGGTCAGGAGTTCGAGGCCAGCCTGGCCAACATGGTGAAACCCCATCTCTACTAAAAATACAAAAACTTAGCCGGGTGTGGTGGTGGGCACCTGTAATTCCAGCTACTTGGGAGGCTGAGGCAGGAGAATTGTTTGAACCCAGGAGGCGAAGTTTGCAGTGAGCTGAGATCTCGCCACTGCACTCCAGCCTGGGTGACAGATCAAGACACCGTCTCAAAAAAAAAAAAAAGAAGTAAAAATAAATCCAACGAGCACTTAATACATGCCTCTTGCCTTGTTAGGCCTTTTATATATCATTTGCATGCTCGTATATGAGAAGGAAAATAGCAAGGTAAGTCTGTCGTTCCCATTTTATGGATGAGAAAACAGGGTTATTGAGGTCATACCACCAGTAGATGGTGGAGCAAATATTTAAATCTAGTTGATTGATGCCTAAACCTATCCTTTCTACTGCATCTCCACTGCTTTATAGCGAATTAATAACAAATATGAGAATCTTCCTCCCAAACTTCATTGTTGCAAAGTAAGATTTCTAATGGGTCTAGTTCTTTGATAAGCTGTAAGCTGAGAGAAGACCTGTAAAAACTAATATATATTTATTAACATCAGAGTAAATTTCACTGCAGAATACAGGCCTCCTAAACATTTCTCTTGAAAAACCTGCATCCCAGATGAAGATCTTCTACCTTATGAGGGAACCTTTTTTAAAGCCATTTTGGCAAGGGGATGGTTGGGCTGAACATTTGGGTCTTTAAGGCCTTTTTAAAAAAAGGCTCACTTATATGTAGATTTGGGATTTTTTTCCAAATCCCCTATATGTGGATAGCCCCCCAAGTAAGAGACTGAGCCTTATTAATGGGAAAGGAATATCACCCGCTTCTATTTTCATGCAAATTGTCCCAGCAGAATAAAAAGGGGGACAGTGAAAGTGATGACACTGATCTAATTATCTGCAGGCCAATATCACTAACTTCCTGAAAGGAGCCCACAGAATGGCCTGACACAGACACACAAAACACAGCCAGGAAACAATCGGGACCTTAGCAACAAGGCAAAAACTGGCTCCTCTCTGCATAAAGAGCTGTTTTATGAGCATTTCTTGTTACTTTCAATTAAGCCCCACCACCCCCCACCTTAAGAAGGTCCATTTTTAATCGATGCCCCTGTTGCCCTACAATCACTGACGTGTACCATTCCACCAGCTCTGCCTTCAAAACCAGCATCCACTCACATAGTTTCAAGCCCTGGTTCTGTGAGAGACATAGAACATAAGAATACGACTTCAGTGGTTATAAAGCCTCAGCATCCTGACAGTGTGCTACTTCACAAACTCTCTCATATGATCCTCAGAACCACAGAGTGAAGCAAGTGTCAAAATCCTCACACTTAAGATGGGGAAAATGAAATCCAGGGAGATTAAGTCACCTGAAGAAACCTTCAGAGCCAGCAACTATGGGTAAAGGTGACTGAAGTCCAAAACTCTTCATACCGCACCACACGGCAGCTATGTTGTTAATACATCGGCAAAAGGATTAAAATGAGAGCTGTCCCCTTAAAAGCAACTTTTAATTTAGTTCAGCAATGTCCTGGTTTACTTTAGTTCTTTGAACCCAGCCTGCTTGATCTGGGTCCTAAGGCCCTCCCATCTTTGCTGAGGAGTCTCTGCCCCATCCCAATTCTCTCACCACCACCTCCCAACCTGATGCTAGCTCTAATCCTACTTCAAATCCTGTCCCTGCCTTACCCCCATTCCCTATTGTCTAAGTATCATCACTGCCAAGAACCCTTGCTGGTGTATCATGAGTGGTTCTGGTTCCCAGGTAAAAATTCTGGCCACCTGATACCAGTCTGGATTAAATCAAATTCTTGGCTATCCCCCTCAGAGGTCAGAGGTCAGGTCTCCCCTACAGAGAGCTTCATTCCTCCAACCTGAGCCCTCCCTGAGTCCAGCTCCAGTCACTTCTCCAGGGCCTGACTTTAAAGTTTCATACCCCGTGGCAGAGGTAGAGTAGAGTAGGGAATGATCCTGCCTGACTCCAAGGGAATGACTTGGAGTCGGGCAGAGACTTCGGTTTGCATCCCATTATATGAGCTGGGTAAGTTATGTCAGCTGTGTAAACTTTTTCAGTCTGCATTAGAAATAGAATACTATTCCCCTTATGAGAAACCTGGCACACTATCATTCTGCAATAAAGGGTAGGTGTTTTCATTACTTGTCAGCTATTCCCTAAGGTTTGTCCATGGCCATTACTTTTTTACTTGTATTTAATCAAAATTCCCCCTATTATTATTTGAATATAACTTTATATTCAAATTAAATGATAATAAGTTGCTTACTACCTATGAATAGCTAATACTATTTAAGGAGTGAATAAATGACTAAATAAATCAATGAATAATCACAGCAATGAGTCAAACCATTTGATATACCTGGAGTAAATGAATCAATTCCATTTAACAAATACATATAAATAGCTATTACATCCCAGGCACCCTGCGATGTCCTAGGTAAATAGTAGTGAATAAGACAGACAGGATGTTTACCTTCATGAAGCTTACCGTTCAGCAATTACTCTCTCCTTCCTATGGATTTTGATATGCGATCTATTACAACACTGAGCAAACTGTATTGGAACTATTTGCTTTGGAAGTTGCCTTCTCTTCCATGAAGAGCACCTGGCCTGTGAGCACCATGAAGGCAAAGACTGGGTCTTGATCACCTCTGGGCTCCAGCACTTGGCCCAGTGCCTGCTAATAATTCTATGTATAGCCCAATCTCTCAATCCTAATAGAGATTTTACTATTTTCTCTGGGCTTTCCTTAAGTGTTCACATTCCTGTTTATCTCCTCCTAACAAGAATTCAGGCAGGAAACTTCCTAGAATTTGCCCATCAAGATCTAGCAAGGGGCCAGGCATGGTGGCTCATGCCTATAATACCACCATTTTGTGGGGCAGAGGCAAAAGGATCACTTGAGACCGGGAGTTCAAGACCAGCCTGGGCAACATCGCTAGACTCTGTGTCTGCAAATAATAAAATGCTAGCCAGGTGTAGTGGTGCAAGCCTGTAGTCCCATCTACTCAGGAGGCTGAGGCAAGAGGACATGAGACACTAGGCTGATCAAGAAAAGGCAGCTAGTTACGTTTCAGACACTGGAACACACAGGATGTGCCAGGGCTTCCTCACCTTCCTTCTTGTGTCACAGTTGGAGGGAAAAACATATGGTAAGCACCAACAATTATTTGTGCCTACTTATACAGTAAGTGGAGAGCAGGAAGCCTGAATCCACCCACCTCACTCTCTTCCCCAACCCTTTCTGTTGTAGCTAAAGATGGTGAACATCTGACAGCAGGCAGTTTTCACCTTGCCACAGAGGAAACCTTAGGAGTAAATGGTGCCCAGTAGGTCATTTCATAAAGCAGATGAGAGCAGAGCTCTTCTGATGGAAGTGAAGGTGTGAGGTCCAGAATGCCACCTGCTCAGCCCCCTCCTTGTCCCTTGCACTTGGTAGGCGTGGGGTTGCAAGCAGATGGGGAGAACTGGGAAAAGGATGAGGAGGTTATGGTTCATAAAGAGAAGCCACGATGCTGCAGAGCACTGGGGATTTTATATTCTTTAGGGTTTTATTATGCCAAAACAATGGCGGGAGAACACAGTTAGGAATGAATGATAACTGGCTTCCAGGATCCTCACTAACCATGGTGATTATCTCTCAGCCAAAGTCTACAGGCAGCAGACTGATAAGAGACACATCAGTTCTTCTGTTTACAATTCATTTAGAGCTTTTTGTTTTTTCATTTATGTGGAAGCCAGTTTATTCAGGCCTCCAAGATAGGTCTCTAGTCACCAGGGAAACATTTGTCCTTTATCCCTTAACTACCTCTTGACTCCTCAAAACCAGAGAGGAAAATATACCTAACCAGATGGTAAGACAGGTCTGAGTTCACGCAAGACCTTCTTTCAAAGGCTGTGGAGGCAGGAGCCTGTGTAACCGCATCAGCCTGTAGCCAGGCATCCTCCGGAGGCCCCTCTCCCACCACACCCCAGCTCTGGGCAGCTGCTTCCCAGCTGCAGTGCTTGCCAACCCTCAGACTGGAGGGAGGGAAATGAAACCATAGCCATTTATCACCTGTCAAAAATTCAGACTCCACTTGTCCTGAACATCACAGCCAGACACACTAAGATAAGCACCAGTCAGAGGACAAGAAGGGGAATGTGAGGGAGAGCCAAGGGGCCTGTAGCCCACTTGCAGAGAAGAAGATAGTAACATAACAGAACATTTTGCCAGTATCTTCCTGTCCTTGACCTAAATAGGGCAGCAGAGTCTGTGGATGTGCGTTTCTCTAGGAGTAAAATGATCTGGCTGAGGGTTTCTGTTCCACTCCTTCACTGTGCCTTTCAGAAACTTACCTGGGCCTCCTAAGACCTGGCTGCTTCTTCTGTGGAGAGAGAATAATAGGAACATCTGCTTCAAGATTTTCATAAAGGTCAACTAAGAAATGTGACAAGGTTTGTGAACTATAAAGCACTAAACATAAGTGAGTATTAAGAGCATCTAAAGGCTCTCTAGAGTCTGGTTTTGAGTGTATTCATCAAATTATCATCTGCCTGTTTTCTGTTTTGTCCTATGTATGACCTAGGACAAAGCAAAGGAATCAGTGACTGCCAATTGTCATGTTGCCTGGGACAATAGCCTAATTAGATCACCGAAGAAGACTGCAAGGTGGAGAGGAAATCACATAGGCCTGAAGGCAGATAAGCAATTACCAGCTACAGGGCCTTGGGCACATTACCTTATGTTTTTGTTTGTGCACTCTTATCGGTGATATCAGGCCAACGGCACATACCTTCTGAGTTGGGGTGATTGGTAAGCTGTCTAAACTTCCCAGTTGGTAGGTGGAGATAAGCATGATTATGCTTGTCCAGGTCACTAAGACAAAATATCTTGAAATTAGTACTCCTGTAACGAGGGTGCAATTTAACAAACTACTATTTCATATTTTCTTTAATTGCTCCAATTATCCTCAAAACTTACAGGAGAGAGAAGACAAATTTTTCAATTCATGGTATCTCTTTCTCTTCATGTTTAACAGTCTCTTTTGTGTATGTTGGTGTCTTTGGGGTCAATGCTCTTTTGACTTTCTCTCCCTTCCTCTGATCCACCTAGAAATGGCATTTGGGTCAGTGAGGAGGAGCTTACCTGGACTTGCCGCAGTTGAAGAGCAGGGTCCTCACATTTCTCCAGAAAGTTCCTTATATTGTACTCTCATTTGGCCTCTAGACTGGGACACGATGAGGTGTTGCTGATTCCATCATATCTTTTACGGTTATCATACTGTATCTACTGCTTTTGAAATTCTTAGTACTAGTCATTTGGCTGGGTTGCAAAACTCCTATGTGATCTTTATTTCCTTCTTTTTTTTTTTTTTTTTTGAGACAGCATCTTGCTCTGTCTCCCAGACTGGAGTGCAGTGGCGCAGTCTCAGCTCACTGCAGCCTCTGCCTCCCGGGTTCAAGTGGTACTCCTGCCTCAGCCACCCGAGTAGCTGGGATTATAGGCATGTGCCACCATGCCTGGCTAATGTTTGTATTTTTAGTAGAGACAGGGTTTTGCCATGTTGGCCAGGCTAGTCTTGAACTCCTAGCCTCAAGTGATCCACTTGCCTCTGCCTCCCAAAGTGCTGGGGTTACAGGTGTGTGCCACTGCACCTGGCCTCTATGTGATCTTTTCTTTATCTCAAGCCCAGCTCGGCTAGTCCACTAATCTCCTTGGCACATCTGAGCCCCATCACCAAACCAAGCAGAAACTTTCGAATTCCCTGTGCGTCCTGCACAGACCAGGGCAATCAGCAGTACTATCTTACACTATCTATCTAGACCACTTGTCAGCCACTGCTGCACTGTACAGCTTCTGCCTCAGCTTAGGCTCAGTGCTAACCAGAATGCACAACTTCTTCTAGAGGCTTGCTGCGTCCCTAAGCCCTGGACCCAGGCCAGTATTTCTAATGCCTTCAGTTGTCTTATGCCTCTCTGAAGACTTCCATGGTGCACACACATAAACACACACACACACACATCCCTCACACAAACACATATACACACACACCTCAAAGTTATACCCTAAAAAGAGGGGAAAATGAGGACGCTGGTGTTCGTCTGTCTTACCCTACCATGCTCTCTCTCCTCCTTCTAAGATTAACAATGCCAGAAGAGGTGGGATTTCTCTAGTTATTTCTCATGAGTCAGAGCCTTTTCCTATGTACCCTGAGCATTCCTTGTATTATGGTTTATAGTAATTTTTAAAATTATACTTTACTAATGTGTCATAAAATCAATTTAGCAGGCCAAGACCAGATTTTTAGAAATAAAATCTAAAACACAATAAAAAGTGTCAATCAGAGGGCATCTGAAATTTTTATTACAATTTTACATGAATGTGTGTATGTGTGTGTGTGTGTGTGTGTGTGTGTGTGTGTGTGTGTGTGTGTTGAGTGATAACAAAAAATATATTTGTTACCATAGATTGTAATCAAAAAGTCCAGGCCAGTGCAGTGACTCATGCCTGTAATCCCACCACTTTGGGAAGCCAAGGCAGGAGGATTGCTTGAGCCCAGGAGTTCCAGACCAGCCAGGGCAACATAGTGAGACCCTGTCTCCACAAAAAATAAAAATTAGCTGTGCGTGGTAGCACATGCCTGTAGTCCCAACTACTCGGGAGGCTGAGATAGGAGGATCTCTTGAGCCCAGGAGGTCAAGCCTGCAGGGAGCTGTGATTGCATCACTGCACTCCAGCCTGGGTGACAGAGCTAGATCCTGTCTCAAAACAAAACAAAAAAAAACAAAACAAAACAAAACAGAACAAAACAAAAACTAAAAATCACTAGCTACATTTAAATGAGCTTGTTGAAAAATTCAAAAATAAATAAATAGAAATTCAAGCAATGCTTTTGGTATGTAAAGATAGCTTAAGACTTAAAAAATCAATCCTGGCCGGGCAAAATGGTGCATCCCTGTCGCTACTTGGTAGGCTGAGGCAGGAAGACTGCTTGAATATGGGACTTTGAGACCAGCATTGGCAACAGAGCAATAACACCATCTCAAAAAAAAAATAAAAAAGGAAAAAAATCAATCTTTTCTGTCAAAAATGTCTGATCTCAAAACCGTTGTTTTACTAGAAATTCATGGAAGAATTCAGGGGTGAAGCTGAATTCTGAGTAATGGACATTTTGCTATGGTGGTATCTACTCTTGCAGTGACAGATGATGACATTGAGTCATTGAGTGAAGAGCTACAAAGCAGCAAGATTTATAATATATTAAAAATAATCTGAATAGTCCAAAAAGTATGATGCCCAATACACTTTTAGAAAGGTGTATAGTATACACCACTAGCAGACCTGGCCCAAAGAGCACACTAGGATTCAATGAGCTCTTACTCCCAGCGCTTTGCCAGACATCCCAGAATCAAGGATATCCTGACTGACTTACATCCTGCCACGAATGATCTATTAGTAATCCTGTGATTATCTTCAACCAAACTGAGTTATTCACCATTTTAAAGGCCAAATTTAGGAGTGAGCCTGCCAGGCTACTTTCCAACATCCTGGTTCATAAGGGGAGCCAAAGCAGGTCTGGAATAAATGTCAACAGATGGTTTTAAACAACTAACTGCAGCCCAGTTTCACCAGAAACATCCACCAATCGAGTCAGGAGAAAGCCTCAGAGCACCTTGTGCCATATAAGTAAGAAGAGTGCCTCAGAGTTTGGGTTGATCCAGAAAAGACCACCCCTCTTTTGAGTTCTGTGCCCCTGACAGGACCCTCACTCTCTCTCCTCCCTGTCCCTCCAGCACTCACAGCCTACACCCCTCCTGCCTGGAGACCATCAGGGTTACCTCATATGCCGTTTACATCTACTTAAGTCAGACACCAAAAAGAGTGTGGAGCTTCCTTGTCCTCTGGGCTCTTATCCCCATTTGGCTTGCTATATTCACTTTTCTGATGCCATCTACCTGGGGAGATGTCTGAGGAAACGCTTCCGCTATATCCCCCTGGAAATCAGAGCCAGTCATCAGCAAATCCCATACATCTTCAATCTTGTACTCTCCCTTGGCCTTCTTGGTCTAACAGACATCTGACTCTCCCAGGAGGACATTGCTTCTCCAGAAACCCTCTCAAGTGGTTGCTGTTTTATCTCCAAACTCCTTGTACCACACAGATCCCTGGTGGGGGTAAAAGTTTTCCTTGCCCATCTTGATGCTTGTTGACCACTTCACCCCTCTGCCTTAACACTCTGCTTTTAATCACATCACCAGGCTATACAATCCCCTATTCCCACTTCATTGCTGTCATCTACTGACCTCTAAGTCATGCTCCCTCATTTCTTGAAGATTATATCTCACTTTTGCTCTCATTTAGTTTAAATCAATAATTTCACTGAGACATAATTTAAATAATCATGCAGCTCTTCCTCCCTGTATCCTGGCTCATGTATTCATTGACCTCATCTCCTCCATTGTCTCACACCCTCGTCTAGCCATCATTCCCATGGTCATGTACTGCACCTTATTATTCCCAATACTTGCAAATTTTACCTAATTTGAGTTTCAAGCAACCCACTCTCTGATCATCCCCCCTCTTATCTTTCCAGTTTGAGTGTCCCAATTCCAGCAAGTTTTTGACCCCACAGAGACCTCCAATCTACAGATACCACTCCTTTTCACCACCCCCTCGCCCCAACTATCAGTACCTGTGGAGGCTTCACTCCCCTCCCTTCCATATCTAGCTTAGAGCATATTCTCATCATCATAATTTCTCTCTTCAACTATATTTTCCCTTTCTTGCTTTATTATACTCTTCTTGAAAAGCTCCAACCTCAGTGAGATTCACCTCTTCACTCCCAGCCTACACCTGAGCAGCTGAACCTGGCTGAAGATCAACACACAACCATGCTGACCAGTCTGATTTTAAGTCCATTACTTTAAGCTCAAGCAGGCCCTTGTAACTGCTCAGGAATCATCTTCCAGATCCATTCACTCTTCCACTTTCTTCACTGAGGAAATAGCAACAGTCACATAGAACTTTCAGAAGTTGCATCACTACATTTGACCTAATGCATTTGTCTGTGCCCACATTCGCCTCCTTCCTTCTCGTTACTGTGAATGGATTGTCTTTACTCCTACTTCAGGCCAACCTGTCCACTTGTATATGAGATGCCGTCCCCACTCCCTTAGTTAAAAAGGCATCATTCCAGAAAATCTCTTCTCCTTTTCGGTAATTCCAAAGCAGTTGCACCATCTTATTAATATATTCTCACCAGTCATGTATGAAAGTTTTGATTTTCCCCCACCTTTGCTAGCATATGCTATTTTCCACTTTTTGTCATTTTGTTATCATAGCCATCTTATGTGTTTGAAGTAGTATCATATGATTTTGATTTGCATTTTCCTAATGGCTAATGATATTGAATATCTTTTCATGCATTTGTTAACCATTTGTGTATATAGGTTTTTTCTAGAAAAATCTATTTTAGTTTTTTGTCCATTTTTTTCTTTAAGGTTTTTATGCTTTGCAAATACTTTCTAGCACCAGACATGTAGAAGAAATTTACCCACAACCTTACTACCCCCAGTAATGTAGCAAGTGTTTTTTGTGTTTCCAAGTTTATCTACACACATAATTTTTTAATTCTTTTTTTAAATTGTGATAAACTATACATAACATAAAATTTGCCTAGTATACACAGTGGCTGCCAGGTAAATGTATATTTAATGAATGAATAAAGGCACAAGTAATGAAATAAAAGTCCCACACCTTAGGCTGACTAGTCCCAGATGCCACCCCCATCTCCAGAACAGTTTCCTGTACTTTTCTGAGAGAAGACTAGAGCTGTTAACTTCTTTCAGCAGTGCTGAGTTAGCAGAGAGAAATTGCTAGCCTTGTTTCCTGGGCTCAGCTGGCTGGGCTCCAAGCTCCATGGCTGGCCCTGGGTTCTGGGGAAAAAGAGAAGGGCAGCTATAGATCACTGCTTGTGTGAAGTAAGCAACACTTGCTTCCGCAAAGAAAATGTCTTCTTTATTCACCTTCACCTCAGCCAGAAGAGCTCCGGACCAGCCAGCTTTGTCCCCAGACCCTTTCTCCTCCATCTCAGGAAGCCGAGAGTCAGAGCCCATTCCCTCAGTTCTGGTGTGTGTGGTCTGAGTCTCAATTCTGTCTAGCAGACAGCATGGAGGACCAAGGTCAGCAAGGTCATCAGAATGCTAAGAGGAAATCTGATTGATGAGCAAGTGTCAGCAGGAATGAATGGGAACCTTAATTAATGACTTCTGCCCTGTTTCAAAGAAAGGTTCTCTTATACCCAGTTCTCTCTTTTCTCTGAAAAAAAAAAATTGGGGTGGGTGAGGAACTGAGGAAAAAAAGGAGGAAAAAACACTCCTATAATCCAAAGTTTTCTAAATGACATAAAGGAGACTTCAAAGACAGGCATGGTAGGTTTTTTATGTGCAAGACTGGTTCAGTGATTCTCTCCTCTCTTTGTTTCCATGGACAGCTAGGCTCCTTTCCAAAGCTAAAAAATAAAAGGCCACTTTGTTCTGAGGGGAGCTAGCTTTTACAAGAAATTTCCTCCTCACCAGTGGGGCAAATTAACTGCCTCAGTCCTGGGTACTCTGGGAGCATCCCTCCAGAGCCAGCTCAGCAGTCCAGCTTCCCACTCCTGCCAGAAGATACATATATGCAAAATCCATATAGTCCACTCCACATAGAAAACTGACTTGATCAAAGTCAGTGTGAGAAGTGTGATAATAGAGGACTGTTCCAGGTTCGTTTGCAACAAAGAGGAGGCAATATCAGCAAAAATAGGCTACAGAGGATTCCTAGAATAGATGGTGTCTGCACTGAGGTTTACCTTCATAATATTAGTCGTAACTCAGCATTGAACATCTGCCACATGCCTGGTCCCGAGGCTGGCTGATGCAGAATATAAAGTTCGACTCACAACTCAGCAAGTCACTTCAAATCTGTGTTCTCTGAATCCTCACCTCTAAAGTGGAGATCATCATACCTGTTTCCAGATGTTGCTGAAGAAGCGATGAAATGAGATTCCTTATGTTAAATTCTTATGCAGTAACTGGGACATAGAAGATAATCAATAAATAATAGTTTAGAAAGGCAGAGGGGGGTCAGTATCCCTGCCCAGTGAAAACAACAAACATAAAAAACACTTAATCACATTGTGATGTTACAAAGCCAAAAGAGGTGTGCACAAAGTATAGGGGAAAAAAAGGATTCAACTGTGAACCTGTCTGGTCTTGGGCTTTTTTTGTTGTTGTTGGAAGATTTTTTATTCTTCCAATCAAGATTTGATTCTTCCAATTAATAGCATTAAATAGGTCAAAATTTTTAAAGGCTAACGGGAAGAATGGAGATACTCAAAATAGGAAGTTTTCTCCCCTTTTTATTCTGTCAAAAAGGAAGAAGAGAAATCGGGAAAAATAGTTTGGAGGAGATCATCCATGAGCGTGGGATGTTTTTCCATTTGTTTTTGTCACATATGATTTCTTTCATCAGTGTTTTGTAGTTCTCCTTGTACAGATCTTTCAACTCCTTGGTTAAATGTATTCCTACATATTTTTCATAGCTATTTTAAATGGGATTGCATTCTTGATTCGGTTCTCAGCTTTATCATCATTGATGTGTAGAAATGCTACTAATTTCTGTAGTTTGATTTTTGTATCCTCAAACTTCAGCGAAGTTACTTATAAAATCTAGGAATCTTTTGGAGGAGTCTTTAAGATTTTATAGGTGTAAGAGTACATCATCATGTAACAGAGATAATTTGACATCCTCTTTTCCAATTCGGATGCTTTTCATTTCTTTCTCTTGCCTGATGGCTCTAGCTAGGATTTCTAGTACTATGTTGAATACAAGTGGTGAAAGTAGGCATCTTTGTCTTGTTCCAGTTCTTAGGGGCAATGCTTTCAAGTTTTCTCTGTTCAGTAGGATGTTGCTTGTGGGTTTGTCATATATGGCCTTTATTATTTTGACATATATTTCTTCTATGCTTAGTTTGGTAATCGTTTTTATCATGAAAGGATGCTGGTTTTTTTAATGCTTTTTCTGCATCTATCAATGTGATCATATGGTTTTTGTTTTTAATTCTGTTTATGTGGTGAATCACATTTATTGATTTATGTATGTTGAACCAACCTTGCATCCCTGGAATAAAATCCACTTGACCATAGTGTATTATCTTTTTGATCTGCTGTTGGATACAATGTGCTAGTGTTTTGCTGAGGATTTTGACATCTATGTTCATCAGGGATATTGGTCTCTAGATTTCTTTTTTGATATGTCCTTGCCTGGCTTTGGTATCAGGATGATGCTAGCTTCGTATAATAAGTTAGGGAGGGTTCCCTCCTTCTTGATCTTTTTGGAACAGTTTTAGTAGGATTAGTATCAGTTCTTCCTTGTACATCTGGTGTAACTGGCCTGTGTAGACATTTGTTTGGGCCAAATAGGAAAAAAAAAAAAGGATTCAACTGTGAATCTGTCTGGTCTTGGGCCTTTTTTGTAGTTTTTGGCAGATTTTTTATTACCGATTCAATTACGCTACTCATTATTGGTGGGTTCAGGATTTCTATTTCTTCCTGGTTCAATCTTGGGAGGTTTCTGTTTCCAGGAAGGTATCCATTTCCTCTAGATTTTCCAGTTTGCACACATAGAGATGCTCAGAGTAGTCTCCCATGATCTTTTCTATTTCTATTGTACCAATTATAATGACATCTTTGTCATTTCTGATTGTGCTTATTTGAATATTCCCTTTTTTAATAAGTTAACCTAGTAGTGGTCTATCACTTTTGTTTATCTTTTGTTCTGTTTTTTTGTTTGTGTGTTTGTTTGCTTGCTTTTTAAAGACAGGGTCTTTCTCTGTCACCCAGGCTGGAGTGCGATGACACAATCATGGCTCACTGCAGCCTTAACCTCCCAGACTCAAGAGATCTTCCCACCTCATCCCCCCAAGTAGCGAGAGTCCAGGGGTGTGCCACCATATCCAACTTTTTATTTTTTAAAATTTTTTTATAGAGACAGGGTTTCAGTATGTTGCCCAGACTGGTATCAAGCTCCTGGGCTCAAGTGGATCTCCTGCCTCATCATCCCAAAGTGCTGGGATTACAGGTGTTAGCCCCCACATTCAGCCTTTCAAATAACCAAGTTTTCATTTTATTGATCCTTTGTATTATTTTTTGGTCTCAGTTACATTTAGTTCTGCTCTCATCTTTGTTATTTCTTTTCTTCTACTAAATGTGTGTGCGGTTTGTTCTTGTTTTTCTATTTCCTTGAGGTGCAATATTAAGTTGTTAATTTAAGATCTTTCTACCTTTTTGATGTAGGCATGTAATGCTATAAACTTCGCTCTTAGCACTACTTTTGCTGTATCCCAGAGGTTTTGATAGGTTGTGTCTCTATTTTGTTTCAAAAAATATTTTTATTTCTGCCTTAATTTCATCATTGACCCAACAATCAATCAGGAGCTGATTATTTAATTTCCATGTATTTTTATAGTTTTGACTGTTCCTCTTTGTGTTCATTTCTAGTTTTATTCTCCTGTGACCTGAGAAAGTACTTGATATAATTCCAATTTCTTAAAATTTGTTGAAACTAGCCTTGTGGCCTAGCATATGTTCAGTCTTTGAGAATGTTCCATGTGCAGATGAGAAGAATGTATATTCTGTGTTTGTAGGGTAGAATGTTCTACAAATGTCTGTTAAAACTGTACAGTCTAGAATCCAGTTTAAGTCCAGAGTTTCTGTATTGATTTTCTGTCTCAATGATCTGTCTAGTACTGTCAGAGGGATATTGAATCCTCCAGTATTATTGTATTGGTGTCTATATCTTTTCTTAGACCTAGTAGTATTTGTTTCTTAGATCTAGTGGTATCTGGGTACTCTGGTGTTGGGTGCACATATACTTAGAATTGTTATATATTCTTGTTGGATTGATCTTTTTGTCTTTATATAATGACCTCCTTTGTCTTTTTTATGGTTGTTGATTTAAAGTCTGTTTTATGGTTGTTGATTTAAAGTCTGTTTAATCTGATATAATTATAGCTACTTCTGCTCATTTTTTGTTTCTGTTTGCATGGAATATCTTTTTCTACCCCTTTGGTTTGAGTCTGTAAATGTCTTTACCAGTTAGGTTGGTTTCTTGTATGCAGAATATGGTTGGATTTTGCTTTTTTAAATCCATTTCCCTAGCATATATCTTTTAAGTGGAGAATTTTGTCCATTTACATTTGGGTTAGTATTGATATGTAAGGTTTTGTTCCTGTTAAGTGTTAATTGTTACTCTGTTGCTTTGCAGTCTTCATTGTGTAACTGCTTTATAAGACCTAGGAGTTTTATATTTTCCTGTGCTTTTATGATGACAAGTATCACCTTTTCATTTCTATGTTTAGAACTCCCTTGAGCATTTCTTGAAGGGTTGGTCTGGTGGTGAGAAATTCCCTTAGTGTTTGTCTGGGAAAGACTTTTTATTTCTCCTTCATTTATGAAGCTTAGTTTAGCAAGATAAAAAATTTCTTGGCTGGCATTTCTTTTCTTTACAAAGACTGAAAATAGGATTCCAGTCTCTTATAGCTGAGAAGTCCACTGTTAGTCTGATGGGATTTCCCTTATAGGTGATTAGATGTTTCTCTCTTTCCTCTTTTAGGGTTTTTTCCTTCATGTTAACTTAATAGTCTGATGAGTATGTGCTTTCGCGAGGTTCTTCTTGCAATGTATCTTCAAGAGGTTTGAGCTTCTTGTATTTGGCTCTATATATCTCTAGCAAGACCAGAGAAGTGTTCCTGAATTATTCCCTCCAATAGGCCTTCCATACTTGTAATTTTTCCCCTTCTCCTTCTGAAATATCTATAACTTGTAGGTTTGAGCCATATGCATAGTCTCATATTTCTTGAAGGCTCTGTTCATTTTGTAAAATTTGTTTTTCTTTATATTTGTCTGACTGGGTTGATTTGAAAGACCTGTCTTCCAGCTCTGAAATCCTTTCTTCTGCTTGGCCAAGCCTATTGTTGCAGCTTTCAACAGTATTTCACACAGGAAAATATAAAACTCCTAGGTTAGCCCCTGTAATCCAGAACTTCTGTTTGGTTTTCTTAATAATATCTGTCTCTTCTTTCATATTCTGAATTGTTTTTCTGATTTTGTGTGTGCGTGTGTGTGTGTTTGTGTGTGTCTCTGTGTGTGTGTGTTTTCAACTTTCTCTTCACTGGATGTTTTTAAAATCAATATTTTGAATTCTTTATCTGGCATCTCAAAAATTTTATTTTGGTTAATATCCATTGCTAAAGAGTTAGTGTGGTCCTTTGCTGGGGGTTATAACACTATCTTTAAATACTTTCAGAACTGTTCTTCTGGTTCCTTCTCATCTGGGTAAGCTATCTCTTCTGCTTATTTTTGAATTTACTTTCATTGGGATGAGATATTTTTCTCTCTCTCAAGGATTTGACTACAATTTTTATGGTATTGAGTCCTTTGGCTTTGGTTCTGGGTGCTTCCAGTGGCAAAGACTTTGTGTAGTTTCCTTAGTTACAGATAGCTTTTGTACAGTAGCTTTCTTAAATGCTGGCTGTGCTAGCAATGTACTGGGCAGATGAGCAGGCTCTCTGCCTCCTGCATGGCTCGTGTAGCAGAGGCCTCAGGAAGCTAATCTAGTTCCCCACTGCTGTGTGCTTATGTCAGCAAAGTATATTTTGGCTTGTGCAGTTCATCCTCAGTCTGTGGGTGATGCTTATGGGTAACAGCCAGGTGCAGCTGAGGTAAATGGGTATATGCTTGATCTTTGTTTGCCATAAGATGCTCCCTGTTGCCTCAGGCAATAGACCATCCTGTGGAATGCACAGTGGTCTGAGCTCCCTGCTCAGTTCCAGGAGAGACCAAGCTTGGCCTGCCAAATTGGGCAGGCCCACCTCTTCATCCCCCAGTGGCAGGTGTAAGCACTGGCTCCAAAGTAAAGTCCAGAAGGCAGCCACCAAGCACCTAGAGTTGTGCCTGAGTATGGAGTGGAGAAACTTCTGCTTCCCCAAGTTTTCCACCCAGGAAAGGAGGGGTGGCCTAAACACCTAAACAGTGGGTGTGCTGAATGCCTGGAGATAAATCCAGGCATGGAGTAGAGGGGGTGTCACTGCACCAAGATCTCTGTACCTGAAGGAAGAGGTAGCTCAGGTTCCTAATCCAGGTAAGTGAGTATACCAAATTATGCCCCAGTGTGGAGCAGAAAGGGCCCCACTGCACCAAGGGACCTCTGAACAGAAAGGAATATTTGACCCACTTGACCCAGGAGGCCAACAGGGGAAGAATGGAGCTACTCAGAATGAGAGGATTTCTCCCTTTGTATTCTGTAAGAAAGGAAGAAGAGAAATTGGAAACATTAATTTAGAGGAGATCAAACTTGTTGCCATTTCTCCTAGCCAGTGAATTCACAGGTCCTGAGCCATTTGGATGTGTCTTTGAGCCCCTTGGGGAGTGTTGATTTAATCATCAGTTCGCAGCAATTTCAGAAGAGAGGGAACATTTTAAATCACACCAAAGAGATTCAAACAGCAAAATGTGGAGTATGGGAAACTATAGGGGAAAAAATGTCAACATTTCTTCAACAAATAACTTGTAAAGGGTAGAAGTATATTTATTAAATTATACTTGCAAGACTTTGCAACCAAATCAATAAAAAGAAATCACTTGGATCGTAGTTTAGTTTTAAAAATAAACTAATTTTTAGCCAGGCGCGGTGGCTCATGTCTGTAATCCCAACACTTTGGGAGGCCAAGGTGGGTGGATCACCTGAGGTCAGGAGTTCGAGACCAGCCTGACCAACATAGTGAAACCCCATCTCTACTAAAAAATACAATAAAATTAGCTGGGTACGGTGGCACATGCCTGTAATCCCAGCTACTTGGGAGGCTGAGGCAGGAGAATTGCTTGAATCAGGAGGCAGAGGTTGCAGTGAGCCGAGATCACACCATTGCACTACAGCCTGGGCAACAAGAGTGAAACTCCATCTCAAAAAAATAACATAAAAAAAATAATTTTTTAAATTTATGAGACAACTGGGAAAATGTGGAAAATCATTCTATATTTGATGATATTGAGGAATTATGGTTACTTGCTTAGATATAATAGGAGTGTTGTGGTTGCATTGTTTTTTAAACACTCCTTATCTCTTAGAGATATATACTGAAATAGTAATAATGAAAAGTATGATATCAGAAATTTTCTTACTAATAATTCAGTTTGAATTAAGGAAAGTGGGTGAGGAGAATATATCTAACAATATTGGCCATGATAATTATCAAAGCAGAGTGATGGGTACTTGGGGGCTCATCATACTATTATATTTTTACATATGTTTGAAACTTATAAAAATTAACCTTAACCCCTACCTCACAGCACATAAATGAGTAATTAAATCTGTGTCACAGACCTAAATGTGAAAGCTAAAACTATAAAGATCCTAGAAGAAAACGTAGAGAGTATTTTCATGACCTTGGAGTGGGCAAAAGTGTTTTAGTTAAGACACAAAAGTCACTTTCTTTCTCACACAAAAAATAATAAATCCAACTTCATAAAAACTAAAAACACACGCTTTTCAAAAAAAAAATAAATAAAACCAAAATGAGATGCCATTACACACCCACCAGAATGGCCAAATTTTAAAAAAAGATTGGCCACAAAAAGTAATCAAGGAGATAGAGTAATTTGAACCTTCATGCATTGTGAGTGGAACTCTACAATTTTAAGCCAATTTTAGAAATTGGTCTAACAATTATCATAAACATAAACATATATCTACCAAGCAATTCCACTCTTAGGTATATGCCTAAAATAAACATGTACAAATATTCACAAAAAGTTTTGTAATGTAATACTCATAAGAGCTTTATTTATAATAGCCGAAACTTTAAATAACCCAGATGTCTAGCTACAGAAGAATAGACAAAGAAGAAATTGTTTTTGTTGTGCAGTAGTGCTAGCGACTTCAAGGTTCGGTCCTTGGACCGGGCAGCCACCACTGGTGCTGAGCTGCTAGGAAGCCCCTGTCTGCAAGCTTGTTGAAGCTCGAACCCATTGTTACTCCTCTGACTCACCGGCAAACAAAAACAAACAAACAAAAAATGGTTGAAGTAGATCGCCCAGGAAAGCTCTTCATTTGTGGGCTTAATACGGAAACAAGTGAGAAAAGTCTTGAAGTAGTATTTGGCAAATATGGACGAATAGTGGAAGTACTCTTGATGAAACGAACAGATAAAGAGGATTTGCTTTTGTCACCTTTGATAGCCCAGGAGACGATAAGGATGCAGCCAGAGACGTGTATGGAAAGTCACTAGATGGAAAAGCCATTAAGGTGGAACAAACCACCAAACCATCATTTGAAAGTAGTAGACGTGGACCCCTCCACCTCCAAGAAGTAGAGGCCCTCCAAGAGGTCTTAGAGGTGGAAGAGGAGGAAGTGGAGGAACCAGGAGACCTCCCTCACGGGGAGGACACATGTATGATGGTGGATAGTCCATGAATTTTAACATGAGTTCTTCCAGGGGATTACTCCCAGTAAAAAGAGGACCCCCATTAAGAAGTGCGGGTCCTCCTCCTAAGAGATCTGCACTTTCAGGACCAGTTTGCAGCAGCAGTGGAATGGGAGGAAGAGCTCCTGTATCACGTGGAAGAGATAGTTACGGAGGTCCACCTCGAAGGGAACCGCTGCCCTCTCACAGAGATATTTATTTGTCCCCAAGAGATGATGTGTATTCTACTAAAGACAGCTATTCCAGCAAAGATTACCCAAGTTCTCGTGATACAAGAGATTATACACCACCACCACAAGATTATACTTACCGTGACTATGGTCATTCCAGTTCACGTGATGACTATCCATCAAGAGGCTATGGCGATAGAGAGGGATATGGTCGTGATCTTGACTATTCAGATCATCCAAATGGAGGTTCCTACAGAGATTCATATGAGAGTTATGGTAACTCAAGTAGTGCTGGACATACACGAGGGCCCCTGCCAGCTTACGGCGGAAGCAGTCGCTATGATGATTACAGCAGCTCACGTGATGGATATGGTGGAAGTCAGACAGTTACTCAGCAGCTGAAGTGATCTCTACTCAAGTGGTCGTGATCGGGTTGGCAGATAAGAAAGAGGGCTTCCTCCTTCTATGGAAAGGGGGCACCCTCCTCCACGTGATTCCTACAGCAGTTCAAGCCACAGAGCACCAAGGTGGTGGCCATGGAGGAAGCCAGTCTGATAGAGGGGGAGGCAGAAGCAGATACTAGAAACAAGCAAAACTTTGGAACAAAATCCCAGTTCAAAGAAACAAACAAAAAGTGGAAACTATTCTGTCATAACTACCCAAGGACTACTAAAAGGAAAAATTGTGTTACCTTTTTTAAATTCCCTGTTAAGTTTCCTTCCATAATTTTTATGTTCTTGTGAGGAAAAAAGTAAAACATTGTTTAATTTTATTTGACTTTATGACGTTGCTTTTCAACAAGCAAATGTTAAATGTGTTAAGACTTGTTGTACTAGTGTTGTAACTTTCCAAGTAAAAGTGTCCCTAAAGGCCACTTCTTATCGGATTTTTCCCAGTAAACGAGGCAAGCAATTCTTAAGATCTCCACAAGACATCTAGCCATCTAAAATATGGAGAGATGAATCGTTCTGCCCATACAAACAAGCTAGCTATTAGAGGGTGGTTGGGGTATGCTACTTATAATATATGATATATATTTCCAACTGAAATCTCAATGTTCTCAATATAAAAAACCTGAAATCAGGTGCCTATTACGGAAAGTGCTGTTCACCCAGTAAACCCAAAAAAGCAAATGGATAATGCTGGCCGTTTTACCTTTCTGACGTTTCCTTGGGTATCTGCAAGAACCTCCCCTTTTGCCTCCCCCAAATAAGATCTTTTAAGTGTGTGTTAAACAACTACGGAATACTAAAAAAAAGTTTGGCAAACCAAAAAGGAAGAAGAAGAAGAGAAGAAGAGGAAGAGGAAGCAGAAGCAGAAGAAGGAGAAGAAGAAGGAGGAGGAGGAGGAGAAGGAGGAGAAGGAGAAGGAGGAGGAGAAGGAGGAGAAGGAGGAGGAAATTGTTTTGTGTTTATACAATGAATTATACCTACTCAATAATATGAACTACTAACAAGTGAAAACAAGAATGGATCTCAAAACTGTTTTGTTGAGCAAAATAAACTAGAAACAAAAGTGCATTCTGTATAATTCCATTTATGTGAAGTTCAATAACAGGCAAAACAGATCTATGGTAATGGAAATCAATATAGTGGTTACCTCTGGAAGGGGGTGGCATCACCCAGAAAGAGACATAAGGAAACTTTCTGGAGTGATGAAAATGTTCTAATCTTTTTCTGGATGATGGTCACGTAAGTTTTTATCTATGTAAAAAAATGTACTGATCTATTCCCTTCAGATTGTGCATTTTACTGACTGTAATGCGTAACTCCATAAAGCAATATTGTAAGAACATAAGAGACAAAAACAGAGACATAAATTACTGACAGCATGATAGACTATGTACTTTAAGAAATATCTAGATGCTGAATAAACTACAACAATTACACATTTAAATGCAAGTCATGGCAGAAAGGAGAACGTAAAAATACAGAGAGAATTGAATAACTGTGTATAAGTAGCAGGAATGTACAAGAAGGAGGCTAGAAGCTAGGAGGATAGGGGGAAAGTTGAAGAGAAATGATGCCAGAAAGCATGACAGTGAGCTGGAAAATATTTCTAGCCAGAAATCCATAGAGCAAGAAATGGTCCGTTGATATTTACATCAATGAAAGCTGTCAGTTGTTACACGCACATGCTGTAACCCCTTTTGTTACACAAACCTTTATGAAAGTATGCCAGACATAACTTTTATTAATGATGATTTGAGGGAAATTAAAGGGAAAACTAAATATGTAGCACACCTAGGATGATATAGGCAAGAAGGAAGGAAAGCAACCATAAGGTCTGTGTGATAGTAGGGAAAGAAGAAAACAACCATCCATCTTATACCATCTGAGGACACAGACAAAAGGCACCATTTATTAATGAAAAGGCTGGGTCCTGACCAGTCACTGGATTTTTCAGTCACTAGTACTGTGTGAAATAAATTTTTGTTGTTTATTAGCTACTCAGTCTATGCATTTTGTTACAGCAGCCCAAACAGATTAAGACAGGAGGCTTCCACCCAAGTAGAGTGAGAAGTAATACATGCT
Source organism: Homo sapiens (assembly GCF_000001405.40). Taxonomy (NCBI): domain Eukaryota; kingdom Metazoa; phylum Chordata; class Mammalia; order Primates; family Hominidae; genus Homo; species Homo sapiens. Next base: position 82,808,466 of record NC_000011.10, read on the forward strand.
AAGAAAGGTTGGTGTCATTGATGGAAGACTGGTTACATGTGGGGAGATTGATCAAATAAGTAAATATATTAAGTATATTGAGAGCTGGTTCCTCATTGTTAGAAAAGAGAATTATAATTATGGAAAGGAATAAAACTAGCAGGAACCCTGTGATACTGGACTGAAATTGGAAGCATCATGGTTTTCAATATATAATGATAGATGTAGAAATAAATATATATGTATAATTATGGAAAGATATATATCATTCCTAACTCTATCCCCTGAGAGGGTCTGAGATCAGCAACACTTCACTAGCTATGAGTACAATTTGTACCAATGTGTGGTTTCTAAAATACCACTCTCTAATGAAAGAAACCAGGGCTCCTTGGAGAAATGGCTGATTTCAGGGCTGGGGTAGAGAAATTACAAGATAAGCCTAGAATATCGTGCTAAAAGACACAGGAGGACTCAGAGAACGATGGGACCACGTCAAAAGGACAGAGAATTCAGCTTAAAGGGGTTCCTACTGACCAAATCAAAGAAAATTTGAGCAGCAAAATAAAAATAGTAACAAAGTATAATCCATTGAATAAAATAAATAAATGAATAAATGAGAAGTTCAAAGGGAAACACATTATTTACATATTTTCAAAGTCCCTACCCATAAAATACTTATTTATTACAAAGTTAAAAATGAGTAAATTTAACTGGACAATCCTGGCAGAGATAATCAAATGATTAAAGTAAACATCATCGGTAGCAGGACAAATTGAAATCATGCATCATCTAATAAGATGCTGTGAAAACACAGCATCATTCCTGCTAGATATGCATAACCTGAATCTAACCGTGAGGAAACTTGATGCAGACCCAAACAGAAAGATATTCTACAAAATAACTGGCCAGTAATTATCAAGAGTTTCAAGGTCATGAAAATTAAGGAAAGTCTGAGAAACTGGTCCACATTGAAGAAGTGATAACAACTAAATTCGAAGCTTGATTCTGAATTATAACTTCTGGCTATAAAGCATATTATTGGAGCAACTGGGGTAACTAATGGGATCTGAGGATTGGATGGTAATAATATGCCAATATTAATTTCCTGATTTTGATGATATATTGTTGTTATGGAGAATTGTCAGAATTGGCACTAAAGTATTTGGAGGCAACGGGACATTATGTCAGCAACTTACTCTCAAGTGTTTAAGTTTAAAAAATCTGCATATGGAACTTTTTTGGAAGTTTGCAGGTGTTTCAAACTTTTTTAATGAAGCTTTACAGTGAGCCGTAATGGTACCACTGCACTCCAGCCTGGGCTACAGAGTGAGACCTTGTCTCAAAACAAATGGCAATCATGAGGGATTGTTATTTAAAAAGAAAAGAAAAGAGATATTTTAAAGATAATAATGTTAAGAGTTCAATTAAAACACAAGCCATAGAGACACAATGTTTGGCAGTCTTTCTCAGTAATGGTCTCTTGAGAAAATTAAATTCTATAAAAAATATCATGAATGACTTCTTAAAAAATTCTCATAACAATGTTATATAGCTAATACCATTTCTAGATGCAATGGTGAGATGTTAATCCATTACACACACAATGGTGTAAAGTAATGGTAACTTTACACCATTGGGTATATTTTACACAATGGATACTTCACACCATTGGATACTTCACACCATTGGATACTTTTACACAACGGATGCTTTACACCATTGGGGCATAATTCCTTTGTGGTATTCAGAATAGAAAGCTTAGGAAAGAGAAAAGGGTTAAGAAGAAAGCATGGGTTCCTGGCTTGGAAACTGTGAAGCTGGGAGTTCTATTTACTGAAATTAGAAACACACATATTCCCCCTCTTTTTGGTGTAGAAAGTTCTTCCACATCTAATGTACTGGTTCTTGTCCTTTCTGCCCAATCTACCTGAATGGCCCACCACCAAACTAGCTCCTCATGTCCTAAAACAAAGTTCTTATTTTTCATTCTTCTATACCCCATCTCTACCCTCAGTTGATTGGACTTTACCCTGGAGATGACAGGAAGCCAGTGTTTTGTAACCATCTCTTCAAGGTCGGGGTCTATATAGATGTACTTGTGCAATCTCACACCATAACACAGTGCCTGCCACAGAACAGGTGCTCTGTATTGAGTAAATAATTTGGAATGCATTATTTATGATAACTAAACCACTGGGGTTTTTTTAAGCAAGCAAATGACAAGATTTGTATTTACAGGGATTACTCAGGCTACAATGTACAGAATCTTCTAGAGTAGGATTTCTCAACCTCAGCACTATTGATATTTGGACTTGATAATTCTTTGTTGTGGAGGGTTGTTCTGTGCATTGCAGGATTTTTAGCAGCATCCCTGGCCTCTTCCACCAAATGCCAGCAACGTCCCACTGCCCCCAGTTGTGACAATGAAAATAGTCTCCAGTCATTGCAATGTCACCTATGAAGCAAAATTGCTCCTGGTTGAGAACTACTGCCCTAGAGGGAAAAGATGAAAGATCAGTCAGATAGAGGTCGTTTACTGGAAAATGTTATAGGGGAAAGAGGGCAGTGCACTTACATTGATTGAAAATGTCTACTATGAGCTGGGGACTTTACATATGTTTTCGTATTTTAAAGTGGGGTATGAGACAAGAGAACCCCACCTCCATCCCCACTGGCCCCTGAAATCCCTTCAGGGTAACCTAAGGTCAATCTCCTAAATTATTAAACCCTAAAACAAACACCATAACCTTCCCTGGCCCCATTTGAGTGCAGTGAAGTCTAATTCCCACGCCATGTCAAAGAGGAGTGTTTGACATTACTCCATGGGTATTAAGTTATTCTGGGTAGGCTTCAAAATCACTTTCCAGTCAGCTCCAAGGGGGAAACAGGCAGAGGTTCTTTGACACAAGCTGGTCAAACTCCATGACTTGGGTGACTTCTTCCTCTGCCCAAGCTCTCGGCCATCCTTGGAGAGCCTCTCCCTGGGGCCCATGCAGTGGCTGAGCCGAGAGCTGAATGCTGGCGCTGGGTCAGTTTTCCTGGTGAGGTCCAACTCAGAGGGACCAGGCAGATGCCTCTGCATTCGCTCAGCAGTCTAACAACTCGGTCTGCTCCTCTGCTCCCACCAACGCCCGCTGGTTGCTGCTGGTATTAATAACATGAGCAGCAGGAGGCTTCGCACCAGGATCAGGGCTGTCTGGATAATTAGCCAGTGGCCTAGGACCAGTGAGTAAATTACTCTGTGACCTGAGAATCCAGCTGGCTACCACCATCACTCAGGCCTGCTCACTTTATTGCTCTCCCCTCCTGCTGCACTCTGTCTAGTTTACATTCAGAGCATTGATTTCATGCCTTTTTGTTTTCCATCTTAGGGTGAGAAGTAGTCACTTTGGGGAGACTGGTTCTCAGGTCAGTGGGATGGCTGTAGTGACATGGGAAAGAGGAATATTGGAGTTTTTGTTTTGTGCAATCATTTAGTGAGTCCCAGCATGTCAGCACCTGCTCTCTGTGGCATTCCCAAATGCATTTCAATCTTTTTTATCAGAGTTGTGACGTTCTCTAATAAACTGCATATATATATTTGCATATTGGAGAAGGAAAGGGTAGAGAAAAAACTCTCACGTCACTCCCAACTTACACACTCCATGCCAAGACTATCAAATGGGAAAGTGCATTCAAGTTAATTTTCCCAAATGCTGTGGTCTTCTTGGAGCATTTGCACAAACTGTTTCCTTTGCCTAGAGCACTATTTGTTCTCCCTTTTACCCCACTTTCACTCACCTTTCAAGTCTTTCTTAGACATTACTCTCCCCAGGAAGCTTTTCCTAACCCATTTGGTTGCTCACTCCTCTGGGCTCCCAAAGCATCCTATTCCATATTACATGACTAATCCCAGTTTGTGGCAATTACCTGTTTTCTTGTCTGTTACGTCTTTCAGATCATGAGCTTGGTGAGAACAAGAACCAGGCCACATCTGTACCAGGCCCCCATTTAAGTAGCCAATGAAAATTAATAAACTGACATAGAAAGATATCAATAAATTCTACTTTCCAGGCAGACCTGATTCCCAGCTTTAACCCAGCCAAGGCACCCACTTAGACACCCAGCAGCGTTCTCCACAGAGTTGTCACAAGCATTCTCAATGGGAAACCTACAGCTTCAGCAGAACTTCCTTCTCATTTCATGGAATTACCAACTGCATCTCTCCCTCTTTTCAACTCACCAATTTCTATAAATGCATCTGAAGATAATTCTGTAATTCTCATTTAATGTTTACTTTAACTCCATAATTCATCTAAAAAACGCAAATATTCTGGTTTGGCTGGTTAAACTCCTTTGTAACCTTGATTGAGACATTTACGTGCATTCAGTTTTGATTTCCTCTTGCGTAGAATGAATTTGATCTTTTAAGTGCCTTCCATCCTTAAAGTTTTCTGATTCTAAAATTTGAAGTATATTTTGTAACCCTGTACCATTACAACAGTTCCCACTTTGCTGCAAAATCTTTTTGACAAACGGGATATATAAACAAAATAATTAATTAAAATAGAAATACTTTTTTTTTTCACAAAGGGGCCATAAAGGAGATCATAGTTGGGCCCCTGCTTATTCCTCTAACCTGTCCCCACTCCACTGCTAACTACAAACTGCTTCCAGTTCCTCTCTGCACAAATGCTTTCCTGGCCAAAATGCTTTTACCTGTGCCATTCCCTCTGCTCAGAATGCCCTTTCTCCTCTGTGTACCTAGCAAACTTCCAATTCTGCGTTGAAACCCACCTGTGGCCACATCTTTTAGGATGTCTCTTTTAACTTGGGATAGAGCACCAAGCAATGGGGAAGAGTTTGGACTGGGAAGTCAAGCAGACCCAGGACTCTAATTTGGCCCACCAAGTGCCAGCTGTGATACTATGGGAACGTGACTTACTTGATCTGACTGAGCCTCAGCCTCCTCATCTGTGAATGGGATGATAGCAGTTCCTACCTCCTGGGGCTGTTGGGATTGAATGAGGTAACTCAAGCAAAGCATTTGGCTCACCTCCAAGCAAATAATATGCACAATATGAGTCTTAGCTATTATTATTAATTTTCCCAAGTTAGAATTAATCATTTCTAATACACATTTTTAGCTGCACCTTACATTTCTGCCTCCCTATAACTTGTGACCTTCTTAGAAGTCAGAGACTGACTTACTCCTATCTGTATCTCCAGAACTGTGCATAACGCCCAGCATGTAAGTAGTCAATTATACATCTAGAAGAGTATTCTTCAAAGAACAAGATTTAGAACTTTAAAATAAAAATAAAAAGTGTGCAACTTGTTATGTGATAATATTCCAGATTGGCTGGGGCACTTTTGTATTCATGTTCCCATTTTTATTTTGATTCTCACATGAATTAATATGTCAAGTATTATTATCTCTAGTTCACAAATGAGAGAGCAGAGGACCAGAAGAATTTGGTTTTGGGCCAGAGTTACAGAGGAGGTTGCAGAACTCAAACCTGTATCACTTTTATCCCCTCTTATGTTTCTCTTGCCCCCAAAGAGGAATAGCTAAACCACTCTTTTTTTTTTTTTTTTTTTTTTTTTTTGAGATGGACTTTCGCTCTTGTTGCCCAGGCTGGAGTGCAATGGCACGATCTCGGCTCACTGCAACCTCCACCTCCCAGGTTCAAGCAATTCTCCTGCCTCAGCCTCCCAAGTAGCTGGGATTATAGGCATGCACCACCATGCCCAGATAATTTTGTATTTTTTAGTAGAGACAGGGTTTCACCATGTTGATCAGGCTGGTCACTCTTAAATCTCAGGTGTAAGATTTTAAACATCGATAAGTGATCTGACACCCAGCACCTAATGAAAGCAGGTGCCGGGAAGGGGGACCCTTCTCTGAGATGCCATGCCCAATGGTGACCACAGTCCTCGCTTCTCAGGATGCCCTGGAGATAGCATGCCATGTGCTGTACATTTAGCCCTCAGCATTCAGAGGGGACATTGCTTTCTGTCAGTGCTTCAGACTCCTTCAGCTTTTCCTGTGCTTTTGTGCAGCTGAGAAGGTGAAGCATACGGGTATCAAAAGCTGCAAACAGTCCCTACCTCTGGAGGCAGGCATTTACTAGGAGAAAGAACGGACCAATGGCTTCCCAGAGCATTGTTCAGCCACATTAGAGAAAGGATTAAGCAGATACATTCAGCTATTCTAACAGATTTTCTTTAAGCCTTGAATACGCCTCTCACACTCACTCAGATAATCACATTAGTTTTGTCATTAAAAGATCCCTTTTATAGAAAGTACCTAAACCGCTTAAACCACCCAGAGAGGTTGCATACATTATCAAACACCAAGACAAACAAAAGGGATTTTCTGTCCCACATCTCAGTTTTCCTTTTTCCTCAAAAAATTTGGGAAATTAAGGTAGAAATGATTTTGCCAAATGGTCAGTGGCTGCAGAGCAACCCTCACTCCTTCCTTCCCTGGATAGTCCCTCTGCAATCAGAACTGGGAAGACTGGAAAACAACTTCAGCATTGAGGCTGGCAGAAAACAGTTTAGAATGAGATGAAGACAGCAAGGGCAAGGAGGGGGTAGAAAGGAGCGTGCTTGCCTCTCTGCCACAGGAAATTGCATTTGGAACTGAAAAAGAGTAGAAAAGCACAGGACTTGGAATCAGGCAACTACCACTTACTAGATCTGTGGTCATGGTTGGGGAGAGAAGGGAGTCACTTCATTTATCTTGCCTCACGGTCCTCATTTATAAAATTGAGACAATACGTATTTCTCCTCTCACTCAGGGTGTTTGTGGGACTAAAATGAGAAAAGGTAAGCAGAAGAGTTCTGAGGTCTATAAAGTATGATTCAAGCATTAAAGGGGAGATTTTATTTGTTTCTTTTTTAAATAGGCCTCATGATAGAAGCTACGTGTTTTGGGGTTTGTTTTGCTTTGATTTTTCACAGTAATGTGTGGTGCCTAACTACTGGCATATAATGAGTGCTTAGCAACTTTTTCTCAATGAATAGTGCTTTTACTGTCTTTCCCTCAAGTCCCCAACCATACTGCAAACTCTCATCCCTCAAATCGCAGTTTGAATGTTGCTTCTCCTTTAAAGCCTTCCTCAGAACTTTAGGAGGAGTTCATCACATCTGCATTCACACTCCCACAGCATCCTGAATGCAACACAGATTCTTAGCCCAATGTGTGTAATCATCTGACATTGTGACTGTCTTTCCCCATGAGCCTTGAGCTCCTTGAGAACACTGAGCTTTACCTTTAAACAGTTAAACTCCTTAACACTATACCTTCACAAAGTTGCCGTTGAATAAATGTTTGAGTGAATGAATGATAAGTAAACAAACAATCCAAAGAATTGGGGTTATTTGGCCTAGAAAAGAGGAAGTATCTCAAGAATCAGTCCCCAAAATTAAGTTTATTAAATTTGCAGATTAATGTCTATACTAGACGTTGTGCTATTGCGCTGTGTAGAGGATAAAGTGTAAGGCTATTGAGTTAACAATCAGTTTTTCATTTCGTATGCAGGGTAAAACTTGAGGAAAGGGTCTTAAATTATGATGGGAAAAATTTAGATTCGACCTAGTTAACATCGACACTATTGCCACTTGGGGCCAGTTAATTCTTTGTTACGGGGGAGCTGTCCTGTGCATTGTAAGATGTTTAGCATCATCCTTGGTCTGTATCAGGGATGTCGCTGGCACGCCCCCACCCCAGCTGTGACAACTAAAACCATCTCCAGCATTGCCAGCTGTCCTCTAGGAGGCAAAATTGCTACAAATTGAGAACCACTGTTTTAGATCTAAAGAACAAACTCAGGTGAGGGTTCTGTGGCATCAGAAAAGGAGACGGAAGAGATGGTAGATCTGAATGTAAGCTCGTTGAAGATAAAGCAGATGGGTGTTTTACTGATTTATATTTTACCTTTGAAGGGAGGTAGATTGACCAAATGAACTGACATCATATGGTAACATATGAAATGTCTTCTGTTAACCATAAAAGAGACTTCTGAAATAGGAATAATCTGATAGTTCTTTGATGATGAGAGGCCATTTATCAAATCATCTGGCTTCTTCCACTTCTGTAAATTTATTCAAGGACACTTACTGTACATTATCAGTGTCATGGCACTTCCTATTTTTTATTTTTTATTATACTTTAAGTTCTAGGGTACATGTGCACAACATGCAGGTTTGTTACATATGTATACATGTGCGTGTCATGGCACTTTCTATATCTCCTTAGCACACAGCTTCATTTAGAGTTTAGTATCTTGGAGTTATTGATTGACAGTTTTTTTTTTAACTTTCTTTCTTTAGCTGTGCATCCCTACATTTTAGGAGTTACAAAACAAAGAAAAACAGTTAACACCACTCCACCAAATGAATAGAGGAAATTTAGTAAAGATGTCAACCTCTCTGTATTGGAAGAAGCTCCTTGTTGCTTGTCTTGACCCTGCCTCCCATCGCTGAGGAGTCTAGTTCACCTCTAAGCCAAGTAGGATGAGAGTATATTTGGTGTCTGAGCTCATTTTTGAATCTACTTCATTTGTGTTACCACACATTATTCATTCCCCCTGTTCAACTATCTACTAAGACATTTAAACTGGCCAAGAAACATCTATCTAGCAAAATTTTGGCTGAGAGTGTTCCTCCAAATAGAATAATCTATTTCTAAATTAAACCAGATTAGCAAAAATGTGTACACCTGTAATATAGTTCCTTTGTTCACTGTAAAATCATTGTTATACTCTGGTGTTATGACTTTCGTTTATACTGAAAGAATGTACAAGTATGAATACAATGAAATCTATAAATATGTGAAGAGAGATTAGAGCTCCCACTCATACTTTTCCCATTTCTGAGGTTCTTCCAGTAAGTTCCCGCGTGGGCTTCTCCAGATTAATTGGTCTGTTTTTATCTGCTGCACAGAGTAAACTGTTTAACTGCTTTTATTTTTGTTTTCTGCTAGAAAGCTTAGAGCCAGATTTTCTTAGCCCTCATCTTCAGAAAATATGTAGACTTCTATGGCAGTATTTCCCAACAGGTGCTCAGCAGAGCACTAGTTTCTCAAATGTTGCATTTAAAGAGTTTCAGATCAAATAAATTTGAGAAATGTCACATTCTTGTTAATTCACAATGAGTGAAATGTTACATGAAAAAGGGTTCTGGATCAAATAAGTTTTGGGGAAAAAAACCTTAGTTTTGGAAAGTTTTTTTATTGTTTCACAATGTTTATAGCATATTAAAGGTTTGAGAGATTTGGTAATAAAGATAATCTGTTTAAACTTGTTTCAACCATTGCCCATGTTCAAATACTTTTGCTCATGGTATCCCTTTTTTATGTAACACCTGCTAACATCTGGCCTTAACAGCATTCTGCAGAATCCAGTTGATAAATCCCGCCTTATGGTTTCCATTCCTAGATCCATTTTACATCTCTAACCCTTTTAAATCTCTTATGTCCCACTTGTGCTGTGTTCAGTGTATATCTGTTTTGTGTGTGTGTGTGTGTGTGTGTGTGTGTGTGTGTGTGTTTTGAGATGGAGTCTTGCTCTGTCACCGAGGCTGGAGTGCAGTGGCGTGATCTCGGCTCACTGCAACCTCTGCCTCCGAGGTTCAAGCAATTCTCCTGCCTCAGCCTCCTGAGTAGCTGGGACTACAGGCGCGTGCCACCATGCCTGGTTAATTTTTTGTATTTTTAGTAGAGATGAGGCTTCACCATGTTAGCCAGAATGGTCTCGATCTCCTGACCTCGTGATCCTCCAGCCTCAGCCTCCCAAAGTGCTGGGATTACAGGCATGAGCCACCACGCTCAGCCTCAGTGTGTATCTTTAGATCATCTGAAATCCTTTCAGAACAAAGTGTGACAAAAATACATGAATAACTAATAAACATGTTGAGCTGTATGACTTTGTGTTGGGATTCACTCAGGATGGTGGCAGAAATATTAAAGGGAAATATTAGGGAAAGTTATAGGGAATAGTCACGAACCTTTTTGGAAGGCCGAAAGGTTACATAGCTTCTAATAGTTGAACAGGCTGAAGGCAGCCAGTTCTTACCTTACAGCATTAGGTCATAGGGTAAATAGTAGGGACAATAGAGGCTTCCCCATTTAAGTCTGTTTACCTTACCTCCATTAACTAACCTTTGAACCAGATGGCCCTCTCCAAGGCGGTGTGGAGGTCTACCAGGAATATTGCCCCCTAATGGTATTTATTTTAAACCGCAGTACCTGAGCTTTAATCATTCGTGGAACTACTCTGTTAACCACGTTAATTATCCACAAGTGTGTGGACTCAAAGCTTCTGTTGTTAATTGTATACTAAATAAATGCCTGAAGTGCGAGCTGCTCAGGGCCGGCCACAGTAACAAACCTCTCTTGGTGTGCAGGCAGTCGGGCACTCAGCAGGACTGGCAAAACAGAATATCTGTGTGTCAGTGTACGTTTTATTCATCTGTCCTTTAGGCCAGGGTCTGCAGGCAGAACCCCACAGCTAATGACCTCTTGTGAGAAGCAATACCTCAACCTTAGGCAAGTAACTTTCACATTTGAGTTTCTTGTTAAAGATGTTAGCCACATTAAACAAACACAAAGAGATAAATGATCCCAAGATTGCTTTCCAGGTCTGCTGTTGGAAGATTCTATCTTTCCATTCCCATTACTAAAGATAGCAAAGTTTATTGGCACCAACCCCACACCCCACCACATCCCTTTTTTTTTCTTTTTTTTTTTTTTTTAAGACAGGGTCTCTCTCTGTTGCCCGGGCTGGAGTGCAGTGGCATGATCATGGGCCACAGCAGCCTTGACCTCCCAGGTTCAAGTGATCCTCCCACTTCAGCCTCTTGGGTAGCTGGGACTACAGGCATGCACCACCATGCTCAACTAATTTTTTTAAAGAAATTTTTTGCAAGGCAATACATGATATGGCCCAGGCTGGTTTGGAACTCCTGGGCTCAAGTGATCCTCCTGCCTTGGCCTTCCAAAGTGCTGGGGTTATAGGTGTACGCTACCACACCCAGCCCCAACCCATTCTTTGACTCCTTGAATGGCTGTGTTCAATGTTCTGTTCCCACCTAACATCAAGGCAAAATTACATTCAACTACCTTGACAGAGAGTTCCAGCCTGATAGAGTGGAAGAGGGAGCCCGGCACATGCAGTTCAAGTGAGGGTAAATCAGAAAGTCCAAGTTTCAGAGGTACTGAGTACTGGAGATCCCCTTTCCAAAATCCAGGGAAGCCAAGGGCACAAGGTTACATGGGCACATCAGAGCTCCGAAAGGTACATGGCTATAGAAAGAGATCAATAGAAATCCTGATCTTTCTGCCCTAAAATGTATTCATTAAATATAAATGTATGGAGGGCCTACTGTGTCCTGCCTGCCAGGACCTGTGCTAGATTGCTGATCATTAGAAGGAATAAGATATAGTCCTTGTCTTCAGAGAGCTTGGTTTTCCTAAAAACAGGATGAGAACACTAAGCAAAATATTATAACTTAGGATATGTATACCAACTTAGAGGTGGTCAGGTACTGTTTACAGTGCTAGAAAAGAAGACAGACAATCCCCACCTTGGTGGAGTTTACATTCTAGCAGACACACTAAGTGTAAGCCTGGTTCTGTGAGAGCACAGACAAGGAATTACTTCCTTTAGGAAAGCTGGGAGAGACTTCAGAGGGAAGGTAGTCAAATTGTTCCAGGCTTTAAATGATGCACAGCAGTTTACCAGTAAAAAAAATATTGGAGGTTGGTGCTGAGAAAGGAATTTTAGACAGAAGAGCAGTATTTCAGAATTATGAGAAGTTTGGTATACCTGAAGTGCAGGGTTATTAGGAAAGTGAAGGGTGGCAGTAAAAATGGGAAATGAGTCCAGAGAGGTAATTTAAGGAAAGGCTGTAGTGGGGCTCAAGTGGTGTCTTGGATCAGTGGAGTCCTATGCAGAGGAATTAGGATGTTTGGGTATTTCTTTAAAAAGTATCAGGTTAAAGACAGTACACTATAGCTCCTGAAGTATGTTTCTCAAACACTAGCTCCTTGAGCTCATGCTCTGATTGCCATCTACTCACCATGACTCTCCAGCACACACTGAGTCAAATTCCATTGACTTTCCTTACTAAATCTTTCTCCAATTTTCCCACTTCTCCTCATCTCCATCTCTACCACTCTAGTCAAACCTACCTTCTTCTCTTAACTTGACAACTGTGACTGGGGTCTCCTACCTTACTTGCTTGTCCCCTACAATGCCTACTCTACTCTATAGCCAGAGTAGTCCTTTTAAATGAAAATCTGTTCGTGTCACTCCCCCGATTAAAGCCCATCAAAGGTTTTTCATCCGCATAATTCTACTTGAATGAGCATTCCCCCTGCCCATGTCTCCATATTCACCTTATGTCACATTCTCTGTGGTTGTTTGCCTTCCCATTGCAGGGGCCTTCTTTCAGTTCCTTGAATATGCTACACTCAGGGCTTTTGCATGTGTCATTTACTCCACTCCTCTTCCTAGTATAGTTCCCATTCATCGTTTAGATCACAGCTAAAATGTAACATCTCAAAAAGGCACTGCTATTCCCCCAGACTACCTTACATTGTCTAAATGCTAAACATTTAACATTTAGTGTTATGAAGAGTTGGGGCCATTAGATTAGAACATTTAGCAATTAATCTCTATTTTCCTATTAGATTGCAATTAATGTCCTAATAAGCTCAACTCTTCGTAACATTTATAATTGTACCAATTCATTGTATAACTTGACATTTCGTGTCTTTCTCCCAGCAGAACACAAACCTTATTAAATTAGGTGCTGTGTTTGCTTTTTCGCCATTGCATTTTTTAGGTTTTAGACCAATGCCTTATGCCTAGGAGATGCTCTGTTAAGAATAGAAAAAGCTGGCCAGGCGCGGTGGCTCACGCCTGTAATTCCAACACTTTGGGAGGCCGAGGCGGGCAGATCACGAGGTCAGGAAATCGAGATCATCCTTGCTAACACGGTGAAACCCCGTCTCTACTAAAAAAAAAAAAAAAAAAAAAAAAAAAAAAAAAATTAGCCGGGTGTGGTGGTGGGCACCTGTAGTCCCAGCTACTCCGGGGGCTGAGGCAGGAGAATGGCGTGAACCTGGGAGGCGGAGCTTGCAGTGAGCCGAGATCGCGCCACTGCACTCCAGCCTGGGCAACAGAGCGAGACTCCGTCTCCAAAAAAAAAGTTGTATTCTCAATCACCATTTTGGAGAGTCACATACTATTTACAGATAAACGAAGCAACTATTTAACTTCATTTGTCCCATTATTTTCCACACTTGCTCAACTATAGGTATAAGTCTTTCTACTACACAAGTTATTGGCATTTTGTTGGATACCTGTGCTCCAAGAAACACTGTGTGATAGATGTCGTGTGATTGAGTTGCCTGAACTGCTTCCCCAATCCTAAGAAGTACACCTTTGTAACCATGTTTTCATGGCCCTGTTCTTTCCTAACCACCTGAGAGTTGTGCATTTGTGAGGTATTGCTCCCTCAGAGGGTCGAGGACACCATTCTAAGAAGTCATTATGGGCATTGTGCGAGTAGAGAAAAGTAAGCTGGTCTGTAGAGGGAGAATAAAGCAGTCATGGGAAGAGAAGCATTAGGCAGGGCTCCCACACTCAAATGAGTCAGGCAGGATGACAGAAGTAAGATAACTGAATTCAAATTCAAATTCCAGATTCTTTCAACTAGGGGCTCTCAAAAGTGTGATGCTCCAGCATCACCTGGGAACTTGTTAGAAATGCACCTTCCCAAGATCCACCCCAAGACATGTTAGAAACTCTGGGATGGGGCTCAGCAATCAGCATTTTTACAAGCCCTTTTGGGTAATTCTGATGCACGCTTTAGACTGCCTATCGAACTGTAGACATCTGACGAACAAATCCAAACCACAGTCTGACAATGGGTCACCTCTGTTGAAAGTGAAACAGAACACAGCAGTACTGATTTTTAATGACTTTCCAGACCCTAGTTCTAGTTCCCCATGATTCCTGGTAACCCAAGTCCTGGAGCTGATCTGGCAGTTTCAAAACATTTCTTTTCCTTAAGCTGGTTTTGTGGGCTTTTGTTGCTTGAATCCAAACAAAAATAAAACTGTACCAGTAAAATGAAGCAAACAAAATTTGCCAAAAAGGAGCCCCAGTTCTGCCCCAGTTTTGCCAAAAAGGAGCTGTGAGGCCGTAGATAAGTTCCTTCTCTCTAAGCTACAATTCTATCCCTTACAAAATGATGCAGTTGAACTGGATATCTCAGGGGCCTTCACCCTCTACTATGCTGGCTTAGACACTGGCTCCTCTGGATAACCTCTTGGCGCTACAGATTCCTTATGAAGGTTCTCCTAAGTTACTTTAGTTCTACCCATTGACTCCAGGCAGTTAAAGTAACAAAAACAGAAAATAAAAAGCACCCAATTCTTTCTAAGCTCTTGGGAGCTGAAAAAAATAAAAATAGAAAGCACTCAAGTCTCCATGTCTCTCTTTCCCTGTCAGTAAAAAGTGCAGTTTTATTAGAGGGATGCTTTAAATAATAAGGCTTATCTGACACTCCAATTCTTTTTCATGTTAAAATTAAACCTTAGCATATTATAATTATACTCACTTCAATTAAGGCTGCTATCTATATTCCTAAAATGCATACAGTAATAGGATACAATTATGCTTGCCAAAAAATTCTATTTTTTGCAGTTTGTTTCTTCAGAATAATGTAACTCATCCAAATAATCAACATCAAATAAAATGGCAAAGTATTTTAAAGATTCTACACAAGGGAAAAACCCTAAAATCGTAAAATAAATTGTAAGAATATCCTCTATTGAGCCCATAAACCCTGCATTATTTAATTTCTTAGTTGACAAAGAATAAAAACTAGTATTGTTTTGGCCCTTAAATTCCCACCCAAATCGATTGTTCTGTGATGCTGAAACAAAATAGTTACCAAATGCTTTGATAGACAACTCATTACAATGAGAACTGAAGGCTCCCAAAATAAGACAAAGATTTTCCTGTATCTCCCAGATGCCAGGGAAAGTAAAGGAAATATTTCAGCTTTCCATCCCAAGAATGAACTCTATATATGCCCTTAAAAAAAAAAAATGCCATAAAAATGATCAAGCTCAAGGTACAGTTTTTTAAAAGCAGAAAATGTTCCCAAGGCAGGGTGAAGAAAAAAAAATTATTGAGAGAAAATGAAAAGAAACAAGGAGGAAGAAATCTTTCAACAGAGTAGAAACTGTTAGTCTCTCTCTCTCTGTCTCTCTGTGTCCCTGAAAGGTTTTGATCCAACCCTATTTGTTATCCTAGAAAAGCTCTCTGAAGAAAGGTCTCAGTGTAAGAACTGCTTGAAAGAAGCCAACCCCTTGGAAATAGGAATGGCTTGGCCATTTATTAATGTCAAATATGCTGCCTGCATGAATTAGTCAGCTTGTCTTTTGGAAGTCATACAGAAAAGTTCTTGTGCACCTGCCTGTTAGTGTCTAACACTTCTGGTTTTAATGACAGCAGTAACAACTATCAGAAAATAAAATTTTAAAAATTTAAAAGCTGAATATTACTATATTCTACTTTTGGAATAGCTGATTCATCAATTTTTAAAGGCTTCTTACTGAAATATAATTAGTGACTACAGCATAAAGCTTGCTCAGATTTAAAAAGACAAAACAGAGTCATTTTCCTAAACTGGCAGAATTCAAACAAATTAAAACTGACCTTAGAAACAAAGAGAAATGGAGCAGAAAAAGGCCAGATTTCTTACTGGCAGTACCACAGTGGCCAACATCCCAGAACTAAGAAAAGCTGCCAAGTGGAAGAGAAAAAATTAAAGGACTTTCCAAAAACAGCTAAGCCCAGTGCACACAGCATTTCCATCAGCCGGAGTTGAAGTGAGCTTCAGAA
Organism: Homo sapiens; assembly: GCF_000001405.40. Lineage (NCBI taxonomy): Eukaryota > Metazoa > Chordata > Mammalia > Primates > Hominidae > Homo > Homo sapiens. The sequence continues at coordinate 82,824,353 of NC_000011.10, forward strand.
GCAACACACAGGTATAAGGTCCAGCTGTATTATTTATTTACAGCACAGTTCAAAGTCATTAAATCCGGTACAAAAGAAATGGCTCTCACTTCCTGGATTGGCACCAGACATCCTACCAGCTGCAATTACATCATTTTTTATCTATCTTCTGCTTTTACTTTGTGTAGGGTAGGGATGGGGACTTACAAATGGGCCAAAGACACTTCAACCTCAAAACCAAAGAGAAATCTCTGCTTGCAGAGATACAAAGAAAGTAACTCTCCCTCTTATGAAAAGCAACCAGGAACTCTACTCCAGTTATGAGGGCCACTGATGGTGTGGGAGAGCTATCAAGAAGATTCTTCCTAGACGTGGTGCAAAGACAGTGAGAACCCAGGAAATCACATTCATGGGACACTTGCTCTTACCGTCATCACCCTCTATTCTATCTCAACTTTGGCCCCATCAAATCTAATGATAAACAAAAGAAGGTAATTACATGTAGAAAATCAAAGTGAATGGGAATGTGGTGGTGTGAACATAAAAGAAGAAATTGAAAACAATCAAAAGTTTCTCAGTGCTGCTTTCCCGCACTGTCATAGAAATCTCTGATCCAATTCTTCATATGTCTAACTTCCAAGGAGCGGGCTAACAGCACAGACATAGGATCCAAGGCATTCTTGGTGCGGAGATCTAAGTGGTGGGCCCCCTCTGAGATGGTGACTGCAACCAGAGTGTCTGTGATATCCTTAGTTACTCCACCTCCTGACCAGGGGTCTAGTTCACCATTGCTGCAAGTGAAAAAAAGAAGAAAAAATAAAGTTGTTAGTTTTTCATGTTAACACTCAGATAAGCTAGAAGAAACCTATTACATGTTTAACACCTAAAATTATAAACTTGTAACCTGGGGGATTTGATCTGAGGATCTAATTTATCATATGGATAGATACTTCATACTGGAGTTTTGCAATATTCATGCAACCAGGTGCAAAAAAAGAACCAGAGATAATTGAAGGAGGCGTTCCCACAAATCAACCTAGACTGTACTGGGATATGAAATTTAGAAACCTGAATTTCAATCCTGATTTCATTATTCAAAAGTTATATAATGCAAGTTACCTGACTCAGTTTCCTCATCTGTAAAATGGAGATAACATGCCAGGCGCAGTGGCTCATGCCTGTAATCTTTGCTCTTTGGGAGGCCAAGATGGTGAATCGCTTAAGCCCAGGAGTTCAAAACAAGCCTGGGCAACATGGTGAAACTCCGTCTTCTCGAGGGAGGGAAGAAGGGGGAAAGGGAGGAAAGAAGAAAGGGAGGGAGGGAGGGAGGAAAGGAGAAGGCTGCATTTTTTATCTAATATAGTACAGTACTTTGGGAAACAGGATGGTAGATCTAAAAAATGTCACCAGGATCTGGAATCCGAAAATTTGGGCATTACACGAAAATCTTCATTTTACATTAGCTTTAAAGTTAAGGAAATGCTACTAGGTTTTTAGTCTCAGCTGGTTCACACAACACAATTCAGAATAATGTAAAGAGAATCAGTCACTGAAACTGAGTATCTACTTTCACTGAGTAAAAAATCCAATACAACCACAGACAGCATCCCTAATAATATTTCTGAACAGTTTTGTTGAGATATAATTCATCTACCACAGAATTTGTCCATCTAAAACACATAATTCGATGGTTTTTAGTATACTCAGAGTTGTGCAACCAGCACCACAATCCATTTTAGAACACTTTCGTCACCCCAAATAGAAACCCATACTCATTAGCAGTCACTCCCCATCTTCCTGCCTTGCTCTCAGCCTCAGGAAACCATGAATCTATTTTCTGAATCTATAGATTTGCCTATTCTGGACATTTCATACAAATGGAATTAAATAGTAGGCGGTCTTTTGTAACTGGTCTCTTTCACTCAGCGTAATGTTTTCAAGTTTCACCCATGTTGTGGCATGAATCAGTACATGTTCCTTTTTATTGCCAAATAATATTTCATTTATGGATACATCATGTTTTATTTATCTCTTCATCATTTGATGCACGTTTGTATTGTTTCCACTTTTTGGCTAATGAGTACTGCTCCTTTGAACATTCACATACAAGTTTTTGTGTGGATGCATGATTTCACTTCTCTTAGGCATATACTTAGGAATTTCTAGGATATATAGTAACAACCTATTAATTAGCTACCAGACTACTTTCCAAAGGGACTACACCATTTTATATTCCCAGTAGCAACATTTGAGGGTTCCACTTTCTCTACATCTTCAACACTTATTATTATCTGTCTATTTTAGACATCCTAAGCTAGTAAGTATTAAATGGTATTTCACTGTGGTTTTAATTTGCATTTCCCAAGAGACTGATGGTATTTAAACATCTTATGTGCTGATTGGCCATTTTTATATCTTCTTTGGGAAAATGCCTAGTCATATCTTTGTTCATTTTTTAACTAGGGTTATATATCTTTCTATTTTTGAGTGAGAGCTCACACTCTCTTAACTTGTGTGTTGTAGAGTAACAAAAGCATGAGCTTTGGGATCAGACACACTTTGGTTCCAATTTCAGGTCTGCCTCTCATCTGCCTAATCTCATGGAAACAGATTCCTTAGGCAAAAAACTGGCACTGAAATACCTGGATCTAAGTACTCAGCCCATTGCAAGCATTAGATCATTTTCCCCTTGCATGGCACTCTTGGCATATCTTTACCCACATACCACTGGAAATTACTTATAGAACATTTTTATGGGTGTCCTAATATTTGTTTAATGCAAACTCCGTTTTGCTGGTATTGTTTACAAAGCCTTATCTATTCTAGATACAAGTCCCTTATCAAATATATGACTTGCAAATATTTTCTCCCATCCTGTAGACTATCTTCTAACTTTCTTGATAGTATCATTTGCAGCACAAGTTTTTCATTTTCATGAAGTCGATTTATCTATTTTTTCTCATTGTTTATGTTTATGGTATGGTATCCAAGAAACTGGTGTCTAACCCACGGTCATGAAGATTTGTTCCTATGTTTTCCTCTATGAGATTTATCATTTTAGCTCTTATATTTAAGCCTTTGACCTATTCTGAGTTGATTTTTTTGTTATAGTATGAAATAGGGAGCCAACCTCATTCTTCTGCATGCGGATCTCCAGTTTTCCCAGCATCATTTGTTGAAAAAACTATTCTTTTCTCAATGAATTGTCTTGCCACTTTTGTTAAAAATCAATATGCCATACATATAAGGTTTGACTTCTGGACACTCGATTCTCTTCCACTTGTCTATATGTCTATCCTTATGCCAGTATCACACTGTATTGACTGTAGCTTTGTAATAAGTTTGAAATCAGGAAGTGTGAGTTCTTCAAGTTCGTTCTTCCTTTTCAAGATTGTTTTGGCTATTCTGGGTCCCATATATTCCTATATGAATTTCAGGATCAGTTTGTCAATTTCTATTTTTTTAAAAAAAAGTCCAGCTGGAAATTTGACAGAGATCACGTTGAATCTGTGGATCAACTTGAGGAGTATAGTCATCTTAATAGTATTAATTCTTCTAATACATAAATATGAGATGTCTTTCCATTTAAAGGAAGCAATTTTTAATGTCTTTGTTTCCAATGTATATATCTTGCACTTCTTTTGTTAAATTTATTCCAAAGCATTTTATTCTTGATGCTATTTAAATCAAATTTTTCCCTAGTATAACATATTATGCATAGATTGCATTCGTGTTTACAAAGCCTTTCACATTTGTTCATTGTAACAACCCTATGAAGTAGGTTTAATTACAATTCTTTTATAAAAGAGAAAACTAATGCCCAAAGAGGTTAAAAGGCTTGCCAAAATCATTTGATTTGGCAAATCTGAGATTCAAACACAGTTCTAAAAACCCTAGTCCAATGCTTAATTTTACACTATGTTGCATTTCAGCGGAACCATGACTGCTGTTGGAAGTCGACAGCTTACACTCTCTTGTGTGCTGCAAAGTAAGAAAAGCATAAGCTTTGGGATCAGACACACTTTGGTTCCAGTCCCAGGTCTGCCTCTCATCTACCTAATCTCATTGAAACAGATTCCTTAGGAAAAAAACTGTCACTGAAATACCTGGATCTGAGTATTCCACCCATGGCATGTATTAGATCACTTTCCCCTTGAATGGTACCTCTCGGCATATCTATACCCACCACTTGAAATCACTTCTAGAACATTTTATGTGTGTCCTGATATTTGTTTAATGCAAACTCCATTTTGCTGGTATTGGTTACAAAGCCTGAAATAAAAAGTCTTCAAGCCCACATTATCAAATACATGAAAATAATTCCCATAATTTGCAAAATCATCAAAAAATTTCTCAGCTATAAGTACAACCTATATACAGATGACTACCAAATAATGTATCTAGCCAGGATTGTTCCCCTAAACTTCAGAACCAAAGTTCAATGGTGTACTTGACATTTTTACATGGAAGTCAAATTAGACACTTGGCAGTTCCTGATGCTCCCCAAATGCCAACCAGCTCCTCCTGCCATCTTCTCCAATCTCTGTCAGTGGGAAGTCTATCCTTTCCATTGTTCAGGCCAAAAAGTTTGATGTCACTCTTTAATCTTTTTGGTCTCACTCTTTAATTTTCTCATTGTTTAACACACAATCTGTCAACAAATCCTGTCATCTATATCTTCAAATATATCCATAATCTGACCATTTTGTATTACCTCCACTGCACAACCCTGATCCAAGTCACCATTATCTCTAGCCTGAGTTACTATAATAGCCTTTTAACTGATCTTCCTGCCTCTACTCTTGTCTCCCTACAATTTAATATCAATAGAGCAGGCAACTTGATCCTGTTAAAACCTGAACCAGATAATGTCATTCCTTTTCTCAAAATGCTCCAAGTTTTCCCATCTCATTCACAGTAAAAACCTAAGTCCTTACTAGAACCAACAAGTTTCTACATGATTCAGGCCCTCTGCTCCCTCCCTGATTTCACCTTCTATTACTCTCTCACTTACTAACTCCACTCCAGCCACACTGACCTTACTCCACGTGAAGAAGAACATGCTGGGGCTCTTTCAAGGCCTTTGCCTTTGGTTAATCCTCTTACCCCACCAACCTCATGGCTAGCTCCTTTACTTCCTCTATATCATTTTTTAAAAGTCACCCCTTGATGAAGTCTTCCCTGGTCACTCTAATAAAAAATTTCAACTGTTTTCCCTCCCTATGACATTTTATAGTCCCCTTCCCCGGTTTACTTTTTTCTCCTTGTCACTCACATCCTTCTAACATATTTATAAGTTCTATCTTGTTTCATTTCCTATCTCTCAAATTAGAACTCCATGAGAGCCGAGATTTTTGTCCATATTGTTTATTTCTACATCTCCAAGTTCCTAGAAGCAGACCTGGCTTAGAAAAGGAGGCCCAAAAAATTTACTGAATGAACTTAAAAAGTGTCTAGTTGTCTGTGGCCTCATACTGGATGCCCATCATAGACATCTATAAATACACGTATGCAAGTTCATAAACATGTTGTAAATCACTTTGGTACTTTTTACGTGGGAAAGAAAAGTTGATATAAATGATTAATAGAAATATAAAGAGATTAACCTTCAGCTGTGTGTTAATAGTGGAAAGAACAATGAATTAATTCAGTAGATCTACGTTGTACATTTTTACTAGCTGAATGACTTTGGGTAAGTTACTGACCCCTGTGAACCTCAATTCTCACTGGATTATAGAAAAAAATGTTTTTTAAGAAAGATAGTACCCTTCTCTCAGAGAACTACTGTGAGACCCAAGTCAAATAATATATGTGAAAATAAATAAACTATAAATACTATACAAATGTGCGATGTCATTATAGTTATTACCATACTCTGTAAGCATAATAAGTATTACCACCACCAAGAGGTAAATGAATCATGAAAATGTAAATGTACAAATTATATGAGAAAAAAACATTTAGGTACATTAAGTATATGTGTGTTTGTAATACAATCTAAAATTGCCTGCGCTGGCCAGGCACGGTGGCTCACACCTATAATCCCAGCACTTTGGGAGGCCGAGGTGGATGGGTCACTTGAGGTAAGGAGTTCGAGACCAGCCTGCCCAATATGGTGAAACCCTGCCTCTACTAAAAATACAACAATTAGCCGGGCGTGGTGGGGCATGCATGTAGTCCCAGCTACTTGGGAGGCTAAGGCAGGAGAATGGCTTGAACCCGGGAGGCAGAGGTTGCAGTGAGCCCAGATCATGCCACTGCAATCCAGCCTGGGTGACAGAGCAAGACTCCATCTCAAAAAAAAAAAAAAAAAAAAAAAAAAAACTACACTCCAGAAGTGTACTTTTTTGGTTTTGTTAAAAACAAAAAGGAACACTCATGTAAAATAGAAGCCTTAGTTTTCAACTACCAGGTAAACTTTTAAAGTAAACTACATAAGGAGTTGGATTCTCTTAAATTAACAAATCGCCTTTATCATTATTCCAAATTGACAAGCCCAACCCAGATAGGAAACTCTCCATTATTTGCAAAACAAAGAAGCTATCCCAACAGCCACATAATAAGCAAACTGCATTTGATTTAAAAGGTCATCTGAAATAGCCTAGTGGCTTAGCAACAGTGTTTGGAGTTGCTGAGAGACCTAAGATGCACATGGACTTGAATTTCTTGGTCCTAGACATGTGAAAGCTAAACCAGTCATTGGAAAATCTACAAAAAAAAAAAAAAAAAAAAAAAAAAATCCTGGCTTTCATGAGAGGATCTAGATGCCTGGGTAAAATTCCCCCAACAGGGAGCTTCACTTAGTCACTGGCAACAATTAATTTGCCTGAGAAATTATGTTAAACTAACCAGCTCCTCAGGGACTCCCTTTTGGATTTATACTAAAATAACTGAAAATGACTATTGGTAAAATAATGCCTACAAGTTGGGAAAGACAATAAAACTCCCCCCAAAAAGCAACTGTGGAATAAAAAAAGAATTGCTGTAATGAGACTATTAACAGGTAAACAAATGTTTACTGATTGCCTATTATATATCAGGCACTGATTGGGCACGGGACTCCACAGTCAACAAAACAGACAAAATCTCTGTTGCTTACTTCCACAATAATTTGTTCCTTGAAATAACCCTGTTAGGTACTCATTATTATTCCTAACTAATATGAATTGGCAATTTGCCCAAGGCCACGCAGCTAATTCAGGGAAGAAGAAAAATGGCATCAAGGTCTACCTGACTTCAAAGCCTTAACAGAAAAATCTCCAATCCAACAGTTAAAGATTAAACTTCCCAACCGGAAAAGCAATCACACTTGGATTCATGTGAGGCAGCCTAAGGAGAGGCCTGGAAACAAAGATTAAGATACTTTCCACAGGGCTCCTTGGACACTTTCTTTTTTTTTTTAATTATACTTTAAGTTCTGAGATACATGTGCAGAATGTGCAAGTTTGTTACATAGGTATACACATGTCATGGTGGTTTGCTGCAGGCATCAACCTGTCATCTACATTAGGTATTTCTCCTAATGCTATCCCTCCCCAACCCTCACCCCCCGACAGGCCCCAGTGTGTTATGTTCCCCTCCCTGAGTCCATGTGTTCTCATTGTTCAACTCACACTTATGAGTGAGAACATATGGTGTCTGATTTTCTGTTCCTGTGTTAGTTTGCTGAGAATGATGGTTTCCAGCTTCATCCATGGCCATGCAAAGGACATGAACTCATCCTTTTTATGGCTACATAGTATTCCATGGTGTATATGTGTCACATTTTCTTTATCTAGTCAATCATTGATGGGTATTTGGGTTAGTTCCAAGTCTCTGCTATTGTGAATAGTGCTGCAATAAACATACATGTGCATGTGTCTTTTTAGAATGATTTTTAATCCTTTGAATATATACCTAGGAATGGGATTGCTGGGTCAAATGGCTCTAGATCCTGGAGGAATTGCCACAGTCTTCCACAATAGTTGAACTAATTTACACTCCCACCAACAGTATAAAAATCTTCCTATTTCCCCACACCCTCTCCAGTATCTGTTGTTTCCTGACTTTTTAATAATCGCCATTCTAACTGGCGTGAAATGGTGTCTCATTGTGGTTTTGAGTTGCATTTCTCTAATGATCAGTGATGATGAGCTTTTTTTCATAAGTTTGTTGGCCGCATAAATATCTTCTTTTGAGAAGTGTCTGTTCATATCCTTTGCCCACTTTCTGATGGGGTTATTTGTTTTTCTCTTGTACATTTGTTTAAGTTCCTTGTAGATTCTAGATATTAGCCCTTTGTTAGATGGACAGATTGCAAAAATTTTCTCCTATTCTGTAGGTTGCCTGTTCACTCTGATGATAATTTATTTTGCTGTGCAGAAGTCTTTAGTTTAATTAGATCCCATTTGTCAATTTTGGCTTTTGTTGCCATTGCTTTTGGTGTTTTAGTCATGAAGTCTTTGCCCATGTCTATGCTTGGACACCTTCTTACTCAGCAACCAGAAATGTTTCACAGCTAGTGGTCATGAAGTACACAGAACAGACACACCTATGGCTGTTCTTTTACTTTGGGAGTGCTGTTTCTTCAGAAAAGTAGGAGAATTTTGAATTTTTTAATTACTTAATTTTTGCATTGTATTTCTCATACCTACCAAACTATAGAAAAAGATTTCTTTGTAGAAGTAGACTTGCCACTGCTAAAAGATAAACCAGCATCTTTACACAGTCTTGCCTTTAAATTTTCACATGCTTCTGAAGCCTTCCTGAGCTGTGTATTTCATTCATCATCCTTATCAACAACCGGCACATTTACTGAGCATTCATTATGCGCCAGTCACTGTAGCAGATGCTAAAGATACAGAGATGATTAAGATGAAGTCCCTGCCAGTGATAAATTCACAATCTCATGGGGCAGATAGAAACGCAAACAGGTAACTACCACATGGAGTGATAAGCGGTATTTACAGGTGCTAGTAGAAGTAAGGGGGAAGTGGAAACCTATCCTCCCTTATGGAATATTTCTTGGAGAAGGTATGAATCTTAAGGAAAATGGAAAAAGAGGATGAGAAAGGACATTCAGGGACCATTTCATGCCAGTTAGAATGGCGATTATTAAAAAGTCAGGAAACAACAGATACTGGAGAGGGTGTGAGGAAATAGGAACATTTTTACACTGTTGGTGGGAGTGTAAATTAGTTCAATCATTGTGGAAGATAGTGTGGCAATTCCTCCAGGATCTAGAGCCATTTGACCCAGCAATCCCATTCCTGGGTATATACTCCCTTTATGTTCTGTGGCTAGAACATAAAGGGCAAGGTGAAGAGTGTACTTTCATTTATTCATTCAACAAATATTTTTTGAGCATAGATATTTGCCAGATCTGGGCCAAGTACTTTGATGGGCTAACTCTTTTAATGCATCACAACAACTTTATGGGGTGAGTGGTATTATTATTCTCACTTCACAAAGGATAAGACTGAGAATCAAAAAAGCTTAAGTAATTTTACTCAAGACAGCTCATTCTACCTTTGTATAGCTCTTCTTGAAAGTCCTTTCTTACACTGAGCTAAAAGTTTCTTACATGGAGCTCTAATTCCTACCCACTTACTTTTCTCACAAAATATGCCCCCTTCTCCAATGATGATGATAATAGTAATGATGATGATGATCATCATCATCGCTTTGACAATCTGAGAAAGATAACATAAAAAAGCAAATGGATAACTAATATACTTGTAAAAGGACTGGAGGAAACGAGCTTCTTGCCCTTCCACCTCCAGCCATGTAAGGGTGCTGCCTTAAGGTGCCATCTTGAAAGCAGAGACTGGGCCGTCACCAGACACCAAACCTGCCAGCATCCTCATCTTGGGCTTCCCAGCCTCCGTAACTGTGAGCGATACATTTGTGCTGTTTATATATTACCCAGTCTCAGGTGTTTTGCTATAGCAGTGCTAGTGGACTAAGACAAACCCAAAGGCTTATATTTAGGTCTTTTTCAACCCTCTCAGTTCTTTCAAGTTTTCCTATTTCAAATACCATAAATTTGGCACAATTTCCTTAAACATCCTAAGCAGACGTATTTGCTTAACTGTCACTTTATAAGACTGAGCTGAAGAGTATAGTTTTGAAGAATCCTGTTGAGAACAAGGAATACAACGTAAGGAAATTAAACAAAAAGCAGTTTTACGTTTTCCATTAAAGTGTCTGGCCTTTTATTTGGGGACAGGTATCCTGCTGGATGGAATACTATGCAGCCATAAAAAGGAATGAGATCATGTCCTTTGTAGGGACATGGATGGAGCTGGAAGCCATTATCCTCAGCAAACTAATGCAGGAACAGAAAACCAAACACTGCATGTTCTCATTTATAAGTGGGAGCTGAACAATGAGAACACATGGATACAGGGAGGGGAACAACACACACTGGGGCCTGTCAGTGGGTGGAGTAGGGGGAAAGAGAGCATTAAGAAAAACAGCTAAGGCCAGGCACAGTGGCTCATGCCTGTAATCCCAGCACTTTGGGAGGCCGAGGCAGGCGGATCACCTGAGGTCAGGAGTTTGGGACCAGCCTGGCCAGCGTGGTGAAACCCCATCTCTACTAAAAATGCAAAAATTAGCCAGGTGAGCTGTAGTCCCAGCTACTTGGGAAGCTGAGGCAAGAGAATGGCTTGAATCCAGGAGACAGAGGTTGCAGTGAGCCAAGATCATGCCATTGCACTTCAGCCTGGGCGACAAGAGCAAAACTCTATCTCAAAAGAAAAAGAAAAACAGCTAATGCGTGCTGGATTTAACATCTAGGTGATGGGTTGATAGGTGCAGCAAACCACCATGGTGCACGTTTACCTATGTAACAAACCTGCACATCCTACACATGTACCCCAGAATTTAAAAATTAAAATTAAAAATTAAAAAAGAAAATAGAATGAGTCTAATAAGTCTAATAAGAGTCTAATAAGAGGCCTTTTTTTGCAAAGTGGGCAGTGCCACTAGCCTAAACTCAGAGTCAACTTCCAGGCAAACAGCTCTCCTCATCCCTAAAAGCTTTTGGCTATGTACCAAAGGCCAAATTTGACTTATTTAAAATAATCTGTAGAGCACAGTGGTCAGAGAGGTACTTGCAGGAGCAGCAATGCTGCCAGGGGCCTGGGGCTGGGCTGTCCGAGTTCCCATGTGCTAAGCCCACTTGAGCCACAGCCACGTCCGGGGATGAGACAGTTTTTGGTCCTACTATGAGCAAGAAGAAAAAGAAGAATCCCTTTATGTTAGATGAGGAAGGGGATACACAAACAGAGAAAAACCAGCCGAAGAAGTGGAACCAGAACCAGCTGAGGACAACGATGTAGAAGCTGATGAAGACGACGGTAGGAAAAAAGACATTTCTGATGTTCTAGATGACTTGAACTTCTTTAATCAGAAGAAAAAGGAGAAAAAAAAGACATTTGATGCTGATAAAGCTGAAGAAGTTGTAAAGGATCTTAAGATTGAAAGTGATGTTCAAGAACCAGATGAACCAGAGGAGGACCTTGACATTATGCTTGGCAATAAAAAGAAGAATGTCAAGATCCCAGATGAGGATGGAATACTAAAGACACAGCTCTAGCCGGGCGTGGTGGCTCATGCCTGTAGTCCCAGCAATTTGGGAGGCCGAGTCAGGTGGATCACAAGGTCAGGAAATCAAGACCATCCTGGCTAACATGGTTGAAACCCCATCTCTGCTAAAAATACAAAAAATTAGCTGGGCGTGGTGGTGGGAGCCTGTAGTCCCAGCTACTTGGGAGGCTGAGGCAGGAGAATGGTGTGAACCCAGGAGGCGGAGGTTGCAGTGAGCAGAGATTGTGCCACTGCACTCCAGCCTGGGTGACAGAGTGAGACTCCATCTCGAGGAAAAAAAAAAAAAAAAAAAAGACACAGCTCTAGAAGATGAAGACAGCAAAAAAGACGATGCTGTCTCATTCAGCAATCAGATAGGCCCTGATAGGTAGGTCAGAAAGAGACTGCACATATAAGGAGCTACTGGATCATATGTTCAACATTATAAGGGGAAAGAATCCAGACACAGTTGCTTGAAAGAAAAGGAAATTCACCATGAAACCTCTACAGGTCGTCCAAGTAGGAACCAAGAAAACTCCTTTCATCAACTTTATGGATATCTGTAAACTATTACATCAACAGCCCAAATGTCTCCTTGCATTTCTTTCATTTTTTTTTGTTTTGTTTTTATGGTTTTTGGGGAGTTTTTGTTTGTTTGTTTTTTGAGACAAGATCTGGCTCTATTGCCCAGGCTAGAGTGTAGTGGTGCAATCTCAGCTCACTATAACCTCCACCTCCTGGGCTCAAGCCGTCCTGCCACCTCAGCCTCCTGAGTAGCTGAGACTGCAGGTACATGCCACCATGCCAACTAATTTTTATATATTTTGTAGAGATGGGGTTTCACCATGTTTCCCAGAATGGTCTCAAACTCCTGGGCTCAAGCAAGCCATTTGCCCTGGCCTCCCAAAGTGCTGGGATTACAGGAGTGAGCCACTGCATCCAGCCTCCTTGCATTTTTGTTGGCTGAATTGGGTACAAGTGGTTCTACAGACGGTAATAACCAACTTGTAATCAAAGGAAGATTCCCATAGAAACAGAAAATGTCTTGAGGAGATATATCAAGGAATATGTCATTTAAGTTATGGGGCTCCACCCTTATGAACAGAGTAGTGCCTCATAAAAGGGCTGGAGGAAACTAGCCCTTGATACATCAAGGAATTGTCAAGGTGATGTCACACATGCCAATCACCAGACACAATCCTGCAGAAGGGCATCCGACTCTATTTCTTACAGTGTGAAAGTTGTCCTTCTCAATGTTCTGTTGCCAGTATCAACACCAGGCTGTCACGGGCAAATAAGCACAGCTCCATGCCAAAGCTAACCAATTTGCTAATCACTAATTTTGCAAATTGTGTTGTGGAGATTTGGCTGGATAAGTTTGCCATCAGAGTGGATCTACCATTGTATTAAAAACGAGATTAAAAAGCTGCCAAGTTCTTTGGTGAGTAGTTGGTTGGTCTGAAATCCTTGCAAGATGGCAATGCTCAAGCTGGTGATATATCCATTGCCTACTTTAACAACTGTCAGAGAAATGCGACATGGGGTAAGGAGATGCCTTTTAAAAATCATTCATAGACTTCTGTAAAATGCAAGATAAAGTTTTAACAGATTTTTTCAAAAAATAAAAACTAAAACAAATAAAAGAACTTCTAAAAGAATGACATTTACAATTTTAAAAATAGCTCTGGTTAACAGGTATGTAGTGGCATCTCCTATTTCTATATAGACTTGGGGAAATTCTTGATTAACTTGTTGCTATTTTAATAGCTGACAACCTAATGTTCAACTCAAAACATGGAAATTTTGAAGTCCCAGTCAGATACACATGGAGTCTGCTCAATTAACTCTAATGTGAACCAGTGGCAACTGTGTGACTTCTTAAGGAACAGTGTAATGTAGAAAAACAAACATGGGATTTGTAGTCAGGCCATGATAGAAAGCTGGCTTTATCACTTAGTAACTAAAACAAAGCTGGATGAGCTTTGGCAAGTGATTGAACACAGTGACCTTCAGTTTCCTTCACAGTAAAAAAGGGGCTATAAAAACTACTTCACAGGGTTGTTGTGAGGATTTAACCAGGTAATTTATTTAAAGTGCCTCATTTAGTACTTGGAACAGAATGAAGTGGGCACTTCAAAAGTGATGAATACTGAAAATTTTTTATTACCATCAACAACAACATAACAATAATAAGACAAATTAAGAACAACAGATGATGCTTTATTTTGTGCTGGAGAGTTTTTTTAATATTTAAAAAATTTTGTTGCTGTTGATTTTTAAGACTTTCATAAAGCACATTGGTAATAGAGCAAAAAATCCTATCTCTTCTCAGCATCCTATCTTTCAAGGCATAGGAAAACATGACAGGTAGCACTGTTGTATTCTATGTTGTTATATTGTCCAGCATTTCCCTGGTTCTGTTTTTTCAGATATTCTACAAATGTTCCACCAACTGAAGTTTATCTTTGGACAGCAAAAACTCACCTGAAAACAATGTTTGTGTGTGAACTAATGTTTTTGCCTCCATACATAGTAGTGATCCAGGAGGGCCTTGGTCTCACACCCCACTGTTGAAAACAGTCATCAGAAAGTTCCTTTAAGTTCCATGAGTGAGGTTCAAACATGTCATCGACACCATTAGTACAAAAGGGCATGACTACTTCTGTGCAGGCCTAAGAAGCAAACCAAGAGAGAATCCAATTAGAAAAATGAGGCAAAAAGAGGTTAAATAAATTACACAAAGTCATAATGCTGGTAAGTAGTGAAGGCAGGGTTTGAACTCAGGCAAGGCAGCTTCAACGCCCTGTTCTTTACTTCTGCGCCATATAATCTCTCATTATTCTTAAAAAGACTTGGCCAAGAAGTCACGGAAGTCAGGATTATGTCCCTTCATAGCAAACTGCTTGATTTCACATTTATTATCACATTTAACCCTCAAAACAACTCTGCAAGGAAAGTTTATTATTATTAGTCTCATTGTGCAGATGAAGGACAAATTAGACTCCCTTTCTTTTATATGTCTATAAAATGCTTCCTTTGTAGGACTTATCAAGATCTATTGAAATACTACTTACTTACTTTTTTACTACACTAGATTTGATCATGTACCATTTATCTTTGTATCTTTGAAACCTAGAGGAGTGCCTGACACATGTAAGAACTCAATATCTATTTGGTGATTATTAAATGAACAAATGAATGAACAAGAAAACTTGTCCATAGTATCACAGCATAAGGTAACAGAGCCCAAAACTGGATCCAGGTTAGGTGACAAAATCTTGTGTACCCTGATTTTTTTTTACAGCACAACTGTGTCAGTGAAAAGTAAGTTCCACTTGGGGAAATTATACATATTTACCTGATAGCTCCAACCCAGTGTTCCCAGACTGCTAGTTGCTGTCTCTGAAATATTCAGGCATTTCACCTGGCCCGAATAATTGTAATATACATTCAGAGCTTGGAAAATATTCTGCAGCAGCAGTGAATCAGATACATTGGGATTTTTCAAATACTGGCACACTACCTGTCATTTTAGAAAGATAAATGGGGAAAGAGTCAGAATATGAATATAAAATGACAGTTTAATAACACAAAGAAGAAATATGATTTTGATCTGATCATAAAATATTCTTAAGCTACTAACTGCAGTGTTTAATTTCTCTCTTGGGTTTAATCCCCTCCATAAATGAATAAACCTCTTCAATTACTCCTTAGGCTATAGAAATAAACCGAAGTCATTTGCATGGTATGCAAAGTCCTCTCCATCTACCATCTTAGCTTCCTCTTTGCTGCCTTTGCTCCAGCCTAGGAAAACCATTCCCCACCACACCAGGCTCCTTCCCCTTTGCCCTTTCTCACCCTGAAACACTGTTTTCCAACTCCTCTCCCACTCCACTAATGCCTTTGAACACCAACTCATCTTTTACAACACTCAACTCAAATATTACCTCCTCTTCAAGGCCATCCTTGCCTATGTTTCCAAGTTGGGAAGAATTAAACCTCTCCCTTCTTGGTGCCTCCATTATACCCTGTACCTATTTTTATCACAGCCCCTGTAATGCTCTACTTCACTCACTTGATTTCAGAATGTCTCCCTCAGTACTTAGCAAGGTATCTGGTAAGTAAATGTTTGCTGAATGAATTACTATACTTTTATAAAAATGCAAAATTTATAAAATCTCGTATGGAAAAACTATACCAAGTTCCAGCATCTGTCGTGTGATAAAAAGCATATGCTGCAACTCCCCAGCTCCCAAATATTCCTATCACTATCCTATAAAAAATGCCTGGAATCCTAGCTATAAAAATCAGACAATATTCAGGGTTAGGAGTAAAGGTGAGGACTGACTAAACAGAGCCAGTGCAAACTTTCTTGGGTACAGAAATATTCTATATCTTAATAGGGTTACATGAAAAATGATATAATTTGTGTATTTCATGGTATCTAGATTTCACCCCTCCACCACCAGAAGAAGAACCATACACAAATATTGAACTCTTGTTAATGATAATAAAGCTGAAGTATTTAAGAGGAAGATGTCTGCAATTTACTTTAAAATTCATTTTAAAATAGGATAAATTAAAAGATAGATGAAGTGATGGATAGGTGAATATATATGTGACAAATCAAATATAATAAAATATTATTTATTGAATTTAGATGTTAGGTTCATGAGTGTTCATTGTCCAATTATTTTAACTTTTCCATATGTTTCAAACTTTTCATAATAAAATGTTGGAGAAAAATAACAGGCAATGGAATCATAGCTGAATAATACTAACAACAACAACAGCTAGTAATTATTAAGCCTTGGGTTTCCAACCAATACACCATGTAATCTTCAAAGAACCCTATCAGATAGATGATTGTCCATTATTTTACATGAAAAAAAAAACCTGATTCTTAGGTTAAGTCATCTTCAAGGTCACTCAGTTGGTAAATAATAGGGCCTAGATTTGTTCCCAGCTGTCTCTGGTTATGAAATATACATCTTATCCATTATGACACACAGCTTAGGAAGTGTCCACCTGTAAAACTACAAATAGTCCCAGTGGCAAGGCAAACCCAGTAAGCTTGAATCTCTATTGACTCTGACATGAATTCAGTAATCTGGTCCTTTTCCATTTCATACGGAAAAGATTATATATATAATAGACTAGTCCTGACAAAAAAAAGACTAGTCCAGAGAAGAAGCCAGGAAAGGAGCCCAGTCACCCCACCTCAGGGAGAGAGATTCTGGGCAGCAGGAATAACAGGGCCTGGGCTGGGGACATGCTCCCAGTCAGGAAAGGAGGGTACTGAGAAAGGATGCAACCAAACCCAGCCCCTCATCACAGTTCTGCCTGGCACCAGCTGCCAGCGGGGGAAAAAAAAAAAAAGGAAAACTGTAAAAGAGAAAATGAATTTTCAGGAAAATTCAATGCCTCTCCCCAAATATATTCTGCACCACAATATTTCCATGGAATGTTTATTGGTACTTTGTGGAAAAATGTTTCCTAGCCAGATAGTTTTGAGAAACTGTATATTAGCAAATGTGAACAGTTTTCCTGACTGGTTGTTATTATTATATAATCTCAGATGATTTCTCAGAACCTTTAACATGCTCAAATGTAATATGACTTTCCAAAGGAAGATGGAGTGTGCATCATTGCCAAAAGTTTTCAGAACTGCTGAATGTGAGAAAAGTCAGAAATTAAGATGTTCAAATAATTGGATATATCTTTCAAAAGTAACTGTGAGGTCATAAGAATAAGGAATACCAGGGTTTAGGATGTACATGAAGAGAGAATTGAGCTAAACTGAGAGCTAATTAAAAGTCAAAATAGTGTTTATTTTGGCAACTCTCGATTTTTCATGGTAAGTCAAAAAAATACCTAACATTTGCATGGCACTTTTCTCAGAAAACATTCCTAGGAAATATGTCAATAAGAAATAACTCAAGACAATATGGAAATCAAGAAACAATCATAAGATATATTAAACCATCTATTGCCAACAGTTGATCAGCATTCTTTCCTGAACCTGGACATAGATTCAGCTCTTTCAAAATGCAGCACATAACTACAAAGTAGACACATGGAATGCAGAGAAGCGCCTTATGTTCAAGGACAGCATGGTAGATGGGGAAGGGCGACAATGCAAGCTGGGCAGGGGGAGAGGAGGTAGTGATGTGCAGCAACAAGTGGCCCAAAACTCTGGAAAAGAACAGTAGCAAGTGAGTGTGACTCACATGCTGGCATCAGAGCCCCTCTTAGAGCTTAGAACACTGGGCCTCTGTCAGGCAAAGAAAAGGAGTCCCTATGAATAGCCATCTCCACAAATAGCAGTTACTGTCACTTCTTAAAAGACACAAGCATGGCTGGAGACCGGCACTGGCTGACAATACTTGGGTTTCAGCAGCCCCAGTTACACAGAGAGAACATCATGGTCAGAGACTTGGCCTCTGTATGATGGAATTCCAAGTCCAGATTAAGGGCACTCCCCAGGCACTGTGCTCTGTGAGGTCAGATCACCCTTGGAGTACTGGATCCAGCTTTGTACACAACTTACGAAGGGCACCGACCAACATTAGAAAATCTAGAAGAGAGCAATCGGGATGGGGAGCTGAAAAACAGCTGAAGCAACCCTAAAATTGGGTCATTCCCCACCTTTCATCATTACAAATAAGGCTACAATAAATACCCTTGGGGCTAAATCTTTCTTATATTCTTAATTGTTTTCTTGGGATAAATTCTTAAATTACTGGCTCAAAAGAGATCAACATGTTTAAGGCCCTTGGTACATCCTGTCAAACTGCCTTATAGAAAGGAAGTGCTGATTTTTAATTCTACTACTATGCTAGATAGAAAGCCTGAAAAAATGTCACTTAAAATTTTTTTGCAAAATATTTGCAAATTTAATATGGAAATTTTATTTTAGGTAAGTCTAAATTTCCTTTCTAACTCAAAGATTTTGTGAGTCCAAGCATCATCCTCTACCATTAAAAAACAGAATCTCTAATATCTCTTTGCACTTCCTTAACAATTTTGGTAGCAGAGTGAATGAAGTTTCAAAAAAATACTGAAGTCATATTAGCCAGACCTCAGCACTATTCCTATGCTTATTTAAAGACTAGAGTAACTCAATGCCAGGCACAGTGGTTCATGCCTGTAATCCCAGCACTTTGGGAGGCCCAGGCAGTAGGACCACTTGAGGCCAGGAGTGCAAGACCAGCCTGGGCAATATATCAAGTCCTCATCTTTACAAAACATTAAAACTTAACCAGGTGTGATGGCACGTGCCTATAGTCTCAGCTACTCAGGAAGCTGAGGTGGGAGGATTGCTTCAGTCAGGAGTTCCAGGCTCCAGTGCTATGATCACACCACTGCACTCTAGCTTGGGTGACAGAGTGAGACTCCATCTCTTAAAAAAAAAAAAAAAGACGAGTAGTTTAAAAGGAGATATTCACATACTTTTATCAAATAACTGTAGGATGCATAAAATACATAAATATTAAATTGAACCATATGAAATTCTCACATTTATAAGTCAAAAACAGTCAAATATCAACAATTTTGTCTTAACCTCATATAATACTTTAGCTTAACCCTGATAATGTGCAGATATTACTGACGTGACAAAAGCAAGCACTTGGCCTGTTGATTGTTTACATAGAGGCTGTGATATAATCAGACAACCATCTCTGTCCAAAATACTCAACACCCAGGTATCCCTGAACTTACTTTCTATTTATTTTGTGAGCCCTAGCAAACGGCTTCTTCTAAACAATTTCTACATAAGGCGTGTCATTCCTACACATACTGTAAATGCGCTGAAATGTGAATAGCTGGGACTGAGGTTGCTAGTACAACTACTGAATATTCTTTGATGGCAGGGCAGGTTCTTTCCTCACAATAACCAAGAGAGCACCATATAATGATCATTCCCATTTCACAGAAGAGAAAACAAGCTCAGAGGTCTGGCTACAGATACACAATTTAAAAACCATGAATGCAAGAAGCGTATGATTGGGTTTTCATGCTCACGTGTGAAATGGACCACCCTCAAACCTGGTTATGCTATCAGCACATTACCTGTCTGATGTGGGAAAAAAAAAAAAAAAAAGCACTATGAATATAGGTCTCAACCCAGACGTCAACCACAAAGTCCTGGTATAATCATCTGGTTTCCCAATATTACATAATAATAATAGCTATTATTATTTATAACTAGCATCAATTTAGTGCTTTTACTTTATACCAGATGCTATGAAATACTCATAACAACCCTAATAAGCATTACAATTGTTATTATACACATTTTGCAAATGAGGAAACTACAGCACAGAGAGGTTAAGAAACTTGCCCAAAACCACACAGCAAGGAAGTGGCAGAACTGGGATTCAAATACAGACTCTAGTAATCCCAGTTACTCAGGAGGCTTAAGCAGGAGGATCCCTTGAGCCCAGGAGTTCAAGGCTGCAGTGAGCTAAAATCATGCCATTGCACTCCAGCCTGGGTAACAGAATGAGACCTTCTCTCTTAAAAAAATAAATAAAAGAAAGAAAGAAAGAGGCCGGGCGCGGTGGCTCACGCCTGTAATCCCAGCACTTTGGGAGGCTGAGGCGGGTGGATCACCTGAGATCAGGAGTTCGAAACCAGCCTGGCCAACATGGTGAAACCCCGTCTCTACTAAAAATACAAAAATCAGGCACAGTGGTGGGTGCCTGTGATCCCAGCTACTTGGGAGGCTAAGGCAGGAGAATCGCTTGAACCCGGGAGGCAGAGGTTGCAGTGAGCCGAGATCATGCCATTGCACTCCAGCCTGGGAGACAGAGCGAGGCTCCGTCTCAAAAAAAAAAAAAAAAAAGAAAGAAAGAAAGAAAGAAAAGAAAAGAAAAAAACACAAATGCAGACTCTCTGGAGCTTCCAACCACTGTAACTATATTGCATGTATTCAACTAAAAGCTAAAAGAAAAATAACAACACAAACAATGCTTAAATACACCTGCTGTCTCATGCTTAATTTTTTAAAACAATTTTCCTAATTCTTAGATCATCTTTATATTTTTCTAGGTTTATTTGTTTTGGCAAAAACTTAGAATGAATTTTGTGGCAATATGAAATCATAAAACATTAAAAGTATGTAATAGTAAAAAAAAAAAAAACAACTGTAAAATAGTAGAGTGATACGGCATTTCCTAGAATAAAGATGAACATTCAGGAAACAGAAAGAGCATTAGAAAGTCCATTTTACTCATTCCAGTTTTAAAGTGTATAGAAATAGTTGAGAAAATAGAACATTCATGCAACCTTACTACCAAACTAATCAGATCTGCAACCAAGTATTTCAGTTCTGCCCTTTAATCCCACATGCACCAGACAAAGTAAAGATAATGATTTGTTTAAAAGTTTTAAGTGTTCCTACCTATGAGAGTACACATTTAAATAAGAGAAGGAAAAGGGGGTCAAAGAAAATTTTTTAACAGAGGAAGGAAAGAAGATATGTTGGGGGAAAAAAAAAAGACCAATCTCCTCTCAGAGCATGGTCCATCCACATTAGAGAAAGGATTAAGCAGATACATTCAGCTTTTCTAACAGATTTTCTTTCTCTAAGGCTTCAATACCCCTCTCACACTCACTCAGATAATCACATTAGTTTTGTCATTAAAAGCTCCCTTTTCATAGAATGCACCTAAACCGCTTAAACCACCCAGAGAGGTCGCATACATTACCAAACACCAAGACAAACGGAAGAGATTTTTCCATCTTATGTCATTATTTCACTATATCTATCTACATGCACAGCAGCCTATGCTGAAATATTTGAGAAGTTATCAGCTGAAATGTGATTCCAAAATTAACAAATTACAGCATCCTTTAAAGTTGCTCTTTAAGCTGGGAAGAAACCTAGTAGTTTTCATGCTGACAGAACAGTCAAATGACAGAGGGGTTTTCTGTTTCCCTTTTCTCTTCTTCCTTGTGTTCTACCAGCCAAGTCCATGATTATTTCTGCATGAATGTTGCAGCTTCTGTTAACAGTAAACAAAAGCAAATGGAGTCTGAGTGTGCAAAGCCCAAAGACAAATTAAAAGGAACGATACTTGAATTGACACGGAAAATGGCATTTAGTCGCTGCCCATGGATCCTTCAGAACTGTACAAGGTCCCAGACAGAATTGGAAATCACCTGCTTTTTTTCATAACCTAACTGTTACATATTATCTCACCATCCTAAGCCTGAGTTACAGACTCAGAAAAGGACGCCTGTTTGTCAGCCCTTTAAAAAGGAGGAAGTGTATCAGAGGGAGGAGGAGTTCTGGTTAAATGGAACTATCCAAGTGAAAGAGCAGTCCCCAACTGGGTAGTGTTCCAGGGATTAGTGGGTTGGGAGAACACAGAGGGGGGTCAAAAAAAGGAGAAATAGAATGAACAGTGAAAGAAAGTGATCTGAAGCTACAAGTTTGGGAGGGAGACGTAGTGGAAAAATTCTGAAAATCAGATGGGTAACTAACTATAGGATGAAATTGGAAACAGAGGCAATGGAATTTCTCAAGCAGGGGGCAAGAGATAAGATTACTTCTGGTGGGGTGCAGGCTGGAAACAGAATCATAAATACCAGCAATCAAGAATTCCTTGATCTGTCAAAAGAAAGGATAATGTCAGTAAGAAATAACTGAAGAGAATGACAAGAATTAATCCTGGATAAAAGAAGTAAAGGGTGACTGTGAGGGAAAGACCTAAAGATATCTTACCTTAAAAATAAACTTTTATAATGCATATATATAAAGCATAAAAGGATTGCAGTAAATCAAAACTAGATGACAAAATATTTGAGGTATACTCTGCTGGTTTTGAGTAATTATTTAGAAGAACAAAGGATAAAATATTTATTCACATGTAAGACTGAACAGCAAAATATCCCAAAATGAACATTAAAGAGGTAGGGAGAAAACCAGTTAGACTGCTCACTATTCCAAATTGTGGTACACCAACTAACATTCAACAGCTATATTTCTCCAGCCTTTTTCTAGATAAGTGGTTAGCAAAGTACAAACCCCAGGCCAAATCCAGCCCACTGCCTATTTTTACAAATAAGTTATTATTGGAGACAGCCATCCTCAATTGTTTATGTATTACCTATGGCTACTTTCATGCTACAACTGCAGAGTTGAGTAATTGTGACAGAAACTATATGGCTCGCAAAGCCTAAAAATATAGCCCTTTGAATGCAGAAAGTTTCTCAACCTCTGTTCTAAATAATGAGAGAATTCCCCATATGTTTTTATCATCTGACAACTCATTCATTCTTCAAGTGAGAATAAAGATACAAATGTAATTCTCACCTTGTACACAGATAGATATAGAGTTAAATCTGATAGATGTCACCCTGTGAGCAATGGTCCCCTCAATCCTCAGTCAAGTTTCCTCCTAACCCAGTGCAATGCAGTAGATGATCAGAGGCTCTGAACAGTGAAGACCCAAGTTCAAATCCTACTTCTACCACCTCTTAGTTGAGCTTTAATTTCTTCTCCATAAATCTTGGATTATACCTCTTTTTCTACACAGTACTTTTAAAAGAATTTAGTGAGACAGCATACATGAAAGCGCTTTGTAAATAGTAAAGTAATATGGACAGATAAAGCATTATTAGCACATAGATGTTTATGGAGATGAACTAGTTTAGATTTAGTTTTTCCCTATCATTTTGATCCAGGTTTTCTTTTCTTTACTTTTCTTTTTTTGACGCAGGATCTAGCTCTGTTGCCCAGGCTGGAGTACAGTGGCATGATCACAGCTTACTGCAGCCCCAAGCAATCATCCCGCCTTAGCCTCCCAAGCAGCTGGAACTACAGGCAGGCACCCCTATGCCCTGCTAATTTTTTTGATTTTTAGTAGAGATGAGGTCTCACTATGTTGCCCAGGTGGGTCTCAAACTTCTAGCCTCAAGCAATCCTCCCACCTCGGCCTCCCAAAGTGCAGGGATTACAGGGATGAGCGACCATGCCAGGCCTATTGATTTAGGTTTTCTAACATAAAACATGATCTGCTCTTTTCAACAACTTTGTATTGTTGAAATTCATTCTAATTCAATATATACTTACCTCTGGCCTGCTATATGCAATACACTCACTGGTCATTCTACTTTTTAAATGAAGAAAAATAATAGCAAATGAACTTGTTTAAGTTACAAATTTTTAAGCAAGGTATACATGTAATAATTCAAAGGGGTGGTTAAATTAAAAGTGCATTTGAAACCCGGCTCTATATCGCCAATTCTATTTTCACTTCCAACACTCATTCTAGCTGAAGAGTTGGTTATATTCTCTAAATTTAACCATCAAGTTGGCCAGCCTTTGTTTTTAAAACTAAAAGGAAAGCTCTTTACAAAGAAATGCTTAAAATGAACATACACAATAAATAATTTTGACATGAAAAGAACCTTAAAATTTATACTGTAATGTGTCCTTATACTTTCCAAAGTGTTTCACATCCAACATTTTATTAGATCCTCAGCACAACCCTATTTGGTATGTAAGTACTGTTATTCCCTTCTACAGAGGAAGACGGGATGGGGAAAGAAAAGCACCTTGCCTAAGATCACACAGTTGGTAAGTGAAGCAGCAGTTCTGGACCAAAACCTCACTTTCAGAATCTAATTTGATGTTCTTTCCACTCTACTGTGCTGCATGGGGTCACTCTTCACACTGAGGGTAGCACCTACAATGCTTTCGCAGCTGACTAGATCATGGTGCTATGATAATGACTGCCATTTATTAAGCATCAACCATGTATTACATAGATGGAAGTTACACATATATCACAAAGATTAAATACATTATACATGCAAAGTACACAGCCCAGGATTTGGCACATAGTAATTATTCCATTAACAGCAACTTTAGGTATTATTTCTAATTCGTACAACTCTATAATCAATGAATTCTATCTCCATTTTTCAAATGAGGAAACTGAGGCTCAGAAAAGCTAGGTAACATGTCCAAGCCCACATAATCAGAAAGTAGCAGAACCCAGGATTCCAGCTCAAGTTTGACAAACTCTGGAGCCCCTTTGTCACTGGGACTTTCTCTGAGGCAGAAAGTCAGAGTATGCACATTAAAAAAAAAGTGTGTTATTAAAAAATGATGACAGGACATTTTCCTATTACCTTGATAGGCCAAGCAGGCAAAGGCTGTAAAAAGTTAGAGGCATAAGGATAGTCCACCATTGCCAGATTCACCCAGGTTTCAGAGATCCAGTCTTTCAAATGTTGGATGTCCTGAGAAGTTAATGGGCTGCATAAGTGAAGGGCTCCAGTAAGCCACTGCAAACCACTGCCTGGGAATAGAATCACACTGTTGGAATCTAAAAAGTACTGGTCAACAGATGTCTTTACAGATCATTTATTCTTCACATAGTATTTTAGAAAACTCAATCTTTTATACCCCTTCTCCCAGGATATTTTCAGAGCAACTGGAGAATCCCATGACAGACAAGTTGCCTATCCTCATAGAGTTTACCATAATTAGTATTCAGAATTATTCTCCCTTTTTAATATACTATTAAAATGAATAAATAGGAACACTATAGAACAACAAGAATACATAAACTACAACTTAGTAAAACAAATGGATGTATCTATCAAACAGTGCTAAGCAAAAGACAGTAGACACAAAAAAGACATGCTATGTAATTCCAATTACTAAAACATTTAAGAACAAGTAAAAATTAATCTATGGTTCTAGAAGTGAGGATGTTTTTGCTGGGTAGGTATAGAGGTAGTGACTGAAAAGGCACGAGGAGATTTCTGAGATGCTGACAACGCCCTTTACTGATTTAAATGCTAATTATACTGTGTCCTTGCTTTGTGAAAATTCATCAAGCTACGCATTTTGATTTGATTTTGATTTGTATAATTTTCTGTATGTACATTATACTTTAACAAAATGTTTACTTAAAAAGCGACAACTACTGAATTTAACAAATGAAAGGTTAAAAAAACACACAATTCCATTCTCTTAATTAAAGCTTACCAGTATTTGAGAGTCGATTAATGGCATCCCAGGACCTGTGGATGCTCTCTGAACAATGTGGACCGCTTTTCCTAAAATCTGTAGTTACGATCTTCATAAATACACCACAAGGTACTAAATCCTCAAACTGCCAGATAGGGGCAGAAGCTGCAAGAGCTCTAAATGGCAAGAAAATCAAAGAAAGAAAAAAGAAAAGAAAAAATATATATATATATTATATATATGTCATCTAAATCAAGTTTTAAAGTTGAAACATAATAAAAATATTGAGAAAAATAACACAGCTGTTAATGAGACAGAAGCCAGAAACCTCAGGGTAATGGCATGGAACATGTTTTACCCAAAATGAATCTCTAAGTTTCCCTTGATAATCATTAAGAAACGTTCATGTCCAGTACAAATGCACTTACCCAACTACCATATGAGGATATTTCATCCTAAACCAGGCGGCAAGCATGCCACCATAGGAGCCTCCTATGGCAATGACAGGTTGATTTTCAGCTCCTGGGATTGTTCTTTTCAAGTGTTTGATTAACTCTGCAAAATCAGCCAGAGCTTGTTCTGATGTCAGGAAATTCAAGTGTCTGGAATCCTAAAGAAATATAACAAAGAACACGGGTATAAATGTGCACATAACAGCAGCTTAGGAATAGCATGGATCCAGAAGAGAGCCAGTGTCAGATAAGCTTTTCTCTAAATAGAATTTCTAGGCAATTGAGCTAAAATGCCTAGTCAAAGCAATAACTGTGTGGATTCAAACTCATGAAAATGATTTTAAGTTTGTGGAAGAACATAATGTATTTTGTATGCAAGTAGATTGTAGAAACAACAGAAACAAATTGTAGGTAAAATTTAATAGCAAATGTGATCGAATATAAACTAAGCTTAATAGATAACTGTTATAACTTTTGTTTTAAATCTTGGCACATTTAAAATGTCTGCCACACAGGCAAATATAAACTAAATCTAGTGGACAATTGAGGTAAGAATCACCAGTAAAAATAAAACTCACCCTTCTTCATCGGAAAGATTATATATGACCTCGGCCATATCAACAACTGAAACAAAGTAGCCTGCCTATTTTAAACAATTATAAAATTGGAAAGAAAAAAAAACTATTTTCAGGTATTGGAAAACAGGCAACATGAGACATTGATCTTTGAGAAAAGGAAAACTCATAATGTTAAGTTTCATAAACATCCTGCTCTCTACATGAAGACAATTTCCCTACTGCAGAAGGTGAAGCCCAGTGTCCTGCTGAGCTGAGAAGGCTAAGAAGGTCTTTTAAAATATGTCTGCAAATTCTTGACACTCATTCCTTTAAAAGGTGAAGCTTAATTCCACTCCCTTTGAACTTGGATGGGATTTAATGACTTGGTTCTAATGAATAGAATGGGGCAGAAATAATGATATGTGACTACCAAGGTTAGGTCATTAAAAAAACACTGCAGCTTCCACCTTGCTCTCCCGCACTGCCAACTTTGAGGGAAATTAGCTGCCTTGTAATGAACTCAAGTAGACCCTTAACTGCAGCCTCTTGTCAACATCCAGCACCAGTTTTATCTCGTATGTGAGTAATCCTCCATATGAGAGGCTCTCCAGCCCCAGTCAAGACTTCAGATGCCTGCAGCACCAGCTGACATCCTAACCTCATGAGACCCCCTGAAACAGAACCACCTAGCTAAACCACTCCTAATTCTTCACCCATGGAAACTATAAAGTAATAGATGTTTATTGCTGTTTTAAGCCATAAGGTTTGAAGTACATCTTTACTAGACAACGAATACAGCTACATACCTCTATTAGGCTACCCTGTTTGACTTTCATGCTTTGGTCTCACCATCCTGATTTCTTCCATCATCTGGCATATTACTGAATCACATAGATCCCATCTTTCCTATCTCCTATATATGCCACCTACTCCTTTAGCTTTCCCCCCTCTTCCAAGATGTATGCCTTCTTACCTCCTCTCTCCCTGTCTGTCACTATCCTTTACTTCCAGTTTTTATGGCACTCTGTACAGTTGAGTGCATTTTTTTTCTAATCCTTGCATAATATCTATAATATCCTTCATGCTACTGACATATTCTGTGAGCACACAAAGGGAAAGAAGTATATCAAAAAGAGCCCCTGGCTCCATTTTGCTAACACAGTATCATTTATAGAAACCTAGGAGAGGAAGTTATGTTCTATCTACAACAAGCTAACTGCTTCCCAGTGGTTTCAGGACTTGTCAAGTCCCTTAATCAGATATTTACGCAAAATACCAAGCTAAAGAATAGAATTTCCCATACAGCTCAACAAATATCAGCAAATCATCCCACTTTATATTTATAACACAACATTTTTACTTATTTTTACTATTGTATTTATTTATAATATGAGATAGTAAAATATCCTTTTTAAAAATAAAAACTCCTTTCAAAATAGGCAGCCTAGTAAAGGACTGGCCCCAAGTCCTTCTAGCTGAGAGTTCCCAAAAGCATATGTATACACTGATGGTATTAGGAAGCACACAAACATTTTTAATGGAACATTTATTGCTTCATTTTAGTGTAATTTGTAAAGAATAACCAGTACACAGAGCCCTTGGTTAAGATAATGCTAAGTTTAAAAAGTGAGCTGATTAAAGAAAAATATTAGGTAAATAATAGTACACGTGGCAAATTAATATAGCCAAAGTCACAAGTGTAGTAGTACATGAATGACTCAGTTGAAGAAAAAGTGTCCTGGTTTATTAGGTAGAGTCTGTGACAAAGGCCAAAGCTCCTGTGAGAACAGGAAAGGCTGAAAGGGAATCCAAGGGGCCAGTTGGCCTTAATGCATCATACAGCTTATTTGTCCTTATTTTATTGATTTTATTTTATTAAAAACATCTTATCAGATAAATTTGTTATGCTCATTATATTTTTTCCAGTGGCAGGCTCAATAATTTAAGTGTACGATTTATAAAGCGGAATTGTTTACTGATATTTTTGAAATAATAAAAAGCTCCCTGTGCTGTCTCTGCAGCCACAGAGTAAAATTTAACTTTCTGAGGCACACAGAGTTAAAAACTGATTAACATTAAGAATTATAATAAAATGGCTTAAAAAAAACCCTCAGTCTGTTCAAATTGTATCTAAAAAGAAACTATTAAATATAAACTATTGAGCTTTTAGGCATTTCAAATTTAAGTTATCTCACAGTGGGGCATATAATTTAGAAACTATTCTAAATTGAAAAGAAAAAGCTTGTAACTTTTAAGTAAAAAGTATCTTTACCTTGAATGAGTTGTCACCAAAGGGGAGAGACTCTCCATAGTATCGATGTTCAGCAAACACCAACATAGCTTTCAGTTCCTCAGCCACATCCCACATGAACCCCTAAGAAGAGTTTACAAAATCACAGGATAAAATCAGAATGTGAAAAAAAGTCACTGAACCTTTTGGCAAACCATATGGAATAGATGTTAAGCCAGAACAAAAAGAGCACTCTACAAAGTTGCACAATTTGTGTTTGTTCCACAAATAAATGACATAATTGATGTCTTATTGTTGCATATCAATCTCACACTTTATGAGTGAAACAATTAAAAATAATCCCAGGTTGCTCATCCACTAGTCATCCACGTCTTTTTATCCTGACACTCTAGCCCTAGCATCAACATTATGTCTAAAATGGTCTTCATGTACAAAGAGCCAGTACAAATCCTACTGAAATTATTTTTAAATAAGGACGAGGGCCTCTTCCCTAACTCATTCTATGAAGCTAGCATCATTATGATACAACACCTGGCAGGGACACAATGAAACAAGAAAACTTCGGGCCAATATCCCTGACGAAAATAGATGCAAAAACCCTTAACAAAGCTAGCAAACCAAAATCCAGCAGCATCAAGAAGTTAATTTACCAGAATCATATAGGCTTTATTCCTGGATGCAAGGATGGTTCAACATACACAAATCAATAAACAGAATTCACCACATAAACAGAACTAAAAAATAAAACCACATGATCATCTCAATAGATGCAGAAAATGTATTCGACAAAATTCAACATCCCTTCATGGTAAAAATTCTCAAAAAAGTAGGTATTGAAGGAACATACCGCAACATAATAAAAGCCATCTATGACAAACCCATAGCCAACATCGTACTGAATGGGCAAAAGCTGTAAGCATTCCCCTTGAGAACTAAGACAAGGCAAGCATGCTCTGTCTCAGCACTCTTATCCAACACGGCACTGGAAGTTATAGCCAGTGCAATCAGGCAAGAGAAAGAAATAAAAGGCATCCAAACAGGAAGAGAGGATGTCAAACTGTCTCTTTTCACAAATGATATGATGCTATACCTAGAAACCCCACAGACTCCACCAAAAGACTTCTAGAAGTGACAAAACAACTTCAGTAAAGTTTCATTATCAAATTTAATGTATAAAAATCAGTAGCATGTCTATATACCAATAACAATCAAGCTAACAGCCAAATCAAAAACACAATCCCATTTACAATAGCCACAAAAAGAATGAAATATCCAGGAATACAGCTAACCAAGGAAGTGAATCATCTCTACAATGAGAATTACAAACCACTGCTGAAAGGCATCAGAAACAACACAAAGAAATGGAAAGACATTCCATGTTCATACATAGGAAGAATCAATATTGTTAAAATGGCCATACTCCCCAAAGCAATTTACAGATTCAATACTATTGCTATCAAATTACCAACATCATTTTTCACAGAGTTAGGAAAAAAAAACTATTTTGAAATCCATATAAAACAACAACAAACAAACAAACAAAAAACTTGAATCACCAAAGCAATCCTAAGCAAGAAAAACAAAGCCAGAGGCATCACACTACCTGACTTCAAACTATACTGCAAGGCTACAATAACCAAAACATCAGGTACTGGTACAAAAATAGGCATGCAGACCAATGTAACAGGATAGAGAATCCAAAAATCAAGCCACATGCTTGCAACAACCTGATCTTAAATAAAGTCAACAATAACAAGCAATGGGAAAAGGACTCCGTATTCAATAAATGGTGCTGGGATAACTGGCTAGCCATATGCAGAAGATTGAAACTGGACCCCTTCCTTTCACCATATACAAAAATCAACTCAAAATGGATAAAAGACTTAAATGTAAAACTGAAAACTATAAAAAGCCCAAAAACCCCAGAAGAAAACTGAGGAAATACCATTCTGGACATCAGCCTTGGCAAAGAATTTATGACTAAGTCCCAAAAAGCAATTGCAACAAAAACAAAAGCTGACAAGTGGGACCTAATTAAACTAAAGAGCTTCTGCACAGCAAAAGAAACTATCAACAGAGTAAACAGACCACCTACAGAATGAGAGAAAATATTTGCAAACTATGCATCTGACAAAGGTCTAATATCTAGAATCTATAAGGAACTTAAATTTACAAGAAAAGGGCCGGGCATGGTGGCTCACGCCTGTAATCCCAGCACTTTGGGAGGCTGAGGTGGGCGGATCACAAGGTCAGGAGATCGAGACCATCCTGGCTAACACGGTGAAACCCCGTCTCTACTAAAAATGCAAAAAACTTAGCCGGGCGTGGTGGCGGGCACCTGTAGTCCCAGCTACTCGGGAGACTGAGGCAGTAGAATGGCGTGAACCCGGGAGGCGGAGCTTGCAGCGAGCCCAGATCACGCCACTGCACTCGAGCCTGGGCAACAGAGCGAGACTCTGTTCAAAAAATAATAACAATAAAATAAATAAGTAAATAAATTTACAAGAAAAAACAACCCCATTAAAAAGTGGGCAAAAGACATGAACAGATACTTTTCAAAAGAAGACATACACAAGGCCAACAAACATGAACAAAGGCTCAACATCATTATCATCAGAGAAATGCAAATGAAAACCACAATGAGATACCATCTCATACCAGTTAGGATGGCTATTATTAAAAAACAGTAAAAAAATAACAGATGTTGGTGAGGTTGTGGAGAAAGGGGAATGCTTATAAACTGTTAGTACGATATAAATTAGTTCAGCCACTACGGAAAGCAGTTTGGAGATTTCCCAAAGAACTTGAAATAGAACTACCATTCAACCCACCAATCCTCACTACTGGGTATATACCTAAAGAAAAATAGGCCAGGTGTGGCGGCTCATGCCTGTAATCCCAGCACTTTGGGCGGCCAAGACAGGTTGATTACTTGAGTCCAGGAGTTTGAGACCAGCCTGGGCAACATAGTGAAACCCTTTTCTCTACAAAAAATAAAATTAAAAACTAAATAAAAATTTAAAATAAAAATAAACCATTCTACCAAAAAGACACATGCACTTGTATGTTCATCTTAGCACTGTTTGCAATATCAAAGACACAGAATCAACCTAGATACCCTTCAAGAGTGGACTGGATAAAGACAATGTGGTCTATATACACCATAGAATACTACGTAGCCATTAAAAAGAACAAAATAATATCCTTTGCAGTAACATGGATGTAGCTGGAGGCCATTATCCTAAGTGACCTAATAGAGCAACAGGAAACCAAACACTGCATGTTCTCACTTATAAGCAGGAGCTAAACACTGAATACACATGGACACAAAGAGGGGAACAATAGACACTGCATGACTACTAGAGGGGCTAATAGTGCAGGGAGTGTGGGTGTGGGGCATGAGTTCAACAACTACGTATCAGGTACTATGCTTACTACCTAGGTGATGGGATCATTCATACACCAAATCTGAGCAACACACAATTTACCCAAGTTAACAAACCTGCACATGTACCCCCTGAACCTAAAATAAAAGTCAAGAAAAAAAAACACGATGGAGAGAAAACAAATTAAATAAAAATAAAAGGTAATTTCAACTTTAAAAAAAAATGGGCCAGGCGCAGTCGCTCACGCCTGTAATCCCAACACTTTGGGAGGCCGAGGCGGGCGGATCACGAGGTCAGGAGATCGAGATCACGGTGAAACCCTGTCTCTACTAAAAATACAAAAAATTAGCCGGGCGTGGTGGCAGGCGCCTGTAGTCCCAGCTACTCGGGAGGCTGAGGCAGGAAAATGGCGTGAACCTGGGAGGCGAAGCTTGCAGTAGCCGAGATAGCGCCACTGCACTCCAGCCTGGGCGACAGAGCGAGCCTCTGTCTCAAAAAAAAAAAAAAAAAAGTCTACAAATTGCACTGTTTGCCAAATCTTCTAGGAAAGAGCTAAAGATATCTAAAGAAGCTGTCTACTCATAGGCATTGACAACATAAAAGAGAAAGCAAAACAAACAAGCATACTAAACTCCCTAGGGGGTTTCAATTAATCTTCTTTATTGGAAAATAAATAGTAGCACACAATGGCTAATAATAACTGAGTGTTTATAATGTGTCAGGCACTGTTCTAAGCATTTCATATGAATTAATTCACTTAATTATCACAGCAATCTATGAAATAGGCACTTTGATTACCCCCATTTTATAGACAAGAACATTGAGGCACAAGAGTTTAAATAACTTTCAACATTCACACAGCTAGTAAGCGGCATTGCCAAGATTCAAACAGGTGTCTGGCTCCAGAGCACCATCATCAAGAGCTGTTAGATCTCCTTGCTAGAACCATCTATATCTGGTCATTAGCCAATCACTTCATTTTTTCGCTTACTCAGTTGTGGCCTCAGAATCTGTTCTCAACGAAGCATTCTAGGTAGTCAACATCAATCGATTAGATTTAGATTTAGCACAGATTAAAACTACTTGTCATTCCTAGTGCACATTGTTGCTTTTTAGTGAGTTCCTGCTCCCTAACAAAGACTAAGAACCTCAAGTGTTTTTGTTTTGATCGATAAATGAACAATTAGAAGAGTTATATGCATGTAAGGATAGAGAATTTAACCAGATATTTGTGATGGTTTCAATAACCCCCACTTTCTCTCTTAAGGATCTACTCATTCCCTGCCATTTATCTACAGATCTTGCAAACACCCAGCTCAAGCATGCCCACCTCTGCCTGCCCCACCTTGGCAGTGCTGATCACTCCCCCTTCTCAACACCACTGTGCTAGGTATAGGTCCCTGGTACTGTGCCGCAAAATTTGCTTACATGTATGTCACACACCAGACCGTGAGTATCTTAAGAGTAAAGATCATCCATTACAATGTCCAGACCTCTGTGCAGTTGATTTCAGGCTTTGAGAGGAGGCAATTTCATTGAACTAGTTCACAAAGTAATAAGTGATGTATTTCAGGAGTATTCTTATTTTTCAAAAGAGGTCAATGTAATATATCAACATCTTTTAACATTATGTGCTTGCAAGTCCCCTAATCTTCTTTAATTCTTTACACAACTCTATGAACCATTATTACTGTATCCATTTAACAGATGAGAAAACTGAGGCACAGAACAAGAAACTTACCTAAAGTCACACAGCAAAGTGGCAAAATCAGCATTCAAACCTTGTCTATCTGACTGAAGCCTTCACTCTCGACCACTGTGTGATGCTGCCTCTCAACAAATTAATGTCCAGCAGTGAATGTGCACTGGAACATTTTGGTATGTAAAGGAAGGTCTCTGGGGCTGCGGATGGGCCAGGATCTGCTCTTCTATGATCTGCCTCTAGTCAGTTCTTCAGAACTGTTCCTACACTGAATATCTCTTCCTTTCCACCACTTTCGAGAACAGAGATACCCCAGCAAACCTTAAGTTCTGCCACAGTGCCTGTCAGAGTAGTGCCTAGTGGAGGCAGGAACAGCTACCTGCCTATAATACAAGAGAATGGAAACTGGAAAAATCACTGGACAGGGTAAGTTACCCTGTGGCCTTCACATAAAATGAAAGTCACACCAAAAGGAGAAAAGAGACAAGGCAGCCTCTGTGGTTTCACAGAATAACAGAACGGGAATCTGATGGAAAGGAGATTTCTCTTGTCTCCTTTCCAGAAATCAGAGAAAGAATCTGATTTCTCTTGTCACTGACCTAAAAGAAATAGGCATCCTAGGATCTCATTTCTCTGGGAAGTATTTTATTTCAACTAAATTACTTAGATTCTTAACATTCCTAAGGAAATAATCAGAAATGAGAAATGCAATAACAATGTAATTGGGTTCATATCTTTACTTTAAATTCATATACCAGTTAAACAAACATTTACTGAGACCTCCTGACTACCAGGCATTGTGCCAGACACTGGCATTAGGGATAATACATAATTCATTCCCCACTTTAAGGTAGTTCACAACTAGCTTTTTGGTAGAAAGTTGACATTTCCTAGTCACAGCACTGACACATTGAAAAGGAGCATTTCTTCCTTTCACATATCTTTCCAAATTAAGTTTTGTTAATGGATTTCGGCATTATAAAAGGTGATAGAAAATATAGTCAGGGAAGCAAGCTAACAGGCTATATACTACTTTTAACCCTCACAAATAAAAGAAAATGGTAGAACAGGAAAGCTAAACTAAAATGTAACTACAACTTTACCTTTTCCCATTCCTATTTGTATATTTTTTTCTCATTTGCACTGGCTTTGTTTAGGTTTTATTCATTCATTCATTTAACAGACATATATCACCTTCTATATGTCCTGGACACTGACAATATAACACTAAACATACAAAAATTCCCACCCTTGTTTTTACCTTCTAGAGACCATAATCAAAATAAACTATACACAGTAACATTCTTATCCGTTTCCCTTATATGCTTGTTCACTCTAGAAACAAGCTGAGATTTTATAAACAAAACAAAGCAAAACAAAAACAAAAAACTTGCAAAATTCAATTCTCTGGGATGTTCAGGCAGTCCATGAAAAATACAATAAAATAAAATAATTCAATTCTCCAAAAATTGTACATTATTCTTTTCATTTGTAATTCTTTAAAGCTGAATATGCAGACTTATTGGATATCTGTATTTAATTCTTTTATGAACTTCCTATTCATGTGCTTTTGCTATTTTTCTATTATTAGTGTGTTAATTTTTTTGTTATTTTTTACAGAACTTTACAATTAAGAACAGCAATGTTTGGTCATACATATTGCAAAACATTTCTTCCAAGTTATCATAATAAAAGTCAAATTGAGCACTGGAATTTCATGAATCTGCACATACCGTGTTATTACAAAACCAGATAATGTCCCCTTCATTACCAGTGTAGAAAAGTATTGATCCACCATTTTTCTTCCAGTATTTATCAGCTACTAGGTACCGCTGATTAAAAGTTTTCACAGTATTAAATCCAAAATGATCAACCTGTGATAAAAACAAAACAAAACATATTTCAAAGGAAAGTAATAAAATGAGATCAACATAAAGGTAATTAATTCTTCCATTAAAATCAATCTCTACTACAAAAATAATCACAAGAAATTTTAAACTTCACTGTTTTATTATTAATAGTAATATCGATATTATTATTTTGAAATCATTTCCTTATATTATAAAATAAAGTAATATTTGCTATTGGTGATCAAGATTTTCAATGTAAAAGAAAAAATACAATTATAAAATCAAATAGCTACTTAAAAACATAATGTTAAAATTGAATTGTAAATACAATGTGAACCCTTTTTTAATTTTTAATGCATTTTTAATTGGCAAATAAAATTTTACGTATGGTGTATATAACATGATGTTCTGAAATACGTATATGCTGTAGAATGGCTAAATTGAGCTAATTAACATAAGCATTACCTCATATATTTATCATTTTTTGTGATAAGACCACTTAAAATCTACTCCCTTAGCAATTTTTAAGTATATAATACATCCCATTATTTTTCAAAATACAGTTTTCCATTACTATCTGAATTTTCATTGTACAAACTTTCAATATTAAAAATTCATGAACTAAATAGACTACTGAAAAGGTCCATAAACCTTGTCACCCCAGCACACCATAGATATTCTAAGTTACAAGAATTTCATGTCTATATCATTCCCACCAAAAGAAATTAGGGCTTATTAGTGAAGTGGCTGATTGACATTTGGGACAAGGAAGCTGCAAGATAAGCTTATGCATTTTGCTGTGCAAGGAAGCAAGAAAGTGCTCACAATTAATGGAGAGTTATATTTAAAGAAGATAGGAACCAACCACAAGGAACTATCACTGGCAATCATTTTAATAAATTGAACGTAAAACAAAAACAAATTAAACATAAAAAGAATAATGACTGTAGTTAATTGAAACATTCAATTCATGAAACTCCATTAGTCCACAAAAATATTTCTAAAAAGGAAAGAAAGGAAAAGGTTCATTTGCCACCATTTGTTTATTAAATCAACTCTTACTCTGAAATTGGGAATTAAAAAGTAAAAAATTCAACATTTAACCTGCCTGTCCAACAGAACTGTGTTTGATGGCTACGAATAGTCCCAGTTAATAAAGAAGAGCTGTGTTTAGTCAAATGTCAGCTAATGTGGAAGGAATGACAGAATTAGAATATGACAGTTCTGTAAAGTTACTGATTCAGGCAAGAATTATCAATTGGTGTTAAAAGCATTAGGAAAATGAATAATATGAAAATGAACATTCATATAGTATCAAAGTAATACAATAGAGAATACTCGCTTGTCACAAGGGGAAAACATAACTACAATGGAAGGATCAGGCTGCTATCACTTTAATCTAGTAATTAATTTTGTTAGTATCATCAATGGTAGAGCACGCAGGGATTATGTATCTCCTCATGTGGCACAACATGAAGCACATATCACCTATGACGTATTCCTGCCGAAAATGTTTCATTTCATCTTAATCCAGCCTTTAGATCTAATTTCCAGGTTCCAGGAAATATAAAGGTAAAAGAGCAAGTTGAAGATATTTCAAAGGGACAACAGATACTGAAGGTAGAACATTTTACAAGACAATTGACAAGGCAATATCATGAGAAAGGACTATTTTAGATTAAATGAATTTTAAGGAACATAATAACCAGACATAATACATGACCCTGGATTGGATCCTAGTTTGAACAAACAAGATATACACAATGATGTAGGGACAAATGTGTAATTTTAATATGGACTAGTTATTAAATGATACAGGTTGAGCATCCCTAATCCAAAAATCCAAAATCCAAATGCTCCAAATCTGAAACTTTTGAGCACCAACATGATACTCAAGGGAAAGGCTCATTAGAGTATTTCAAATTTTGGATTTTCAGATTAGGTATATTCAGTCAGTAACCATAATATGACTATTACAAAATCAAAAAAAAAAATCCAAAAAAAAATCCAAAATCTGAAATGCTTCTGGTCCTAAGCATTTCAGAAAAGGAATACTCAATTTGACCTAAAGACTTGTTCATTTTGTCAAAAGTGTTCATATTGTTTTGGCTACATAAGAAAATGATTTCTTAAACGGAATTTTAAATATATTTTTGAGATTTCTTTTTACCCTTTGAGATTTTTTAACTTACTATTTAAAATGTAATTATCAAATACTATAACATGGTAAGATTCATGTACAACAATCTGAATTTACAGATTTACCCTGCAGCACAGAGTCTCACTGAGCCTTTAGCATCATGGGGGCTAAATTCCTCAGTGCTTTGGAAAGACAGAAATGAGAATGCAGCACCCAGTCTGGGTCAGACATAGGCTGTTCCAGCGCTGCTCCAGTCTCCCAGGAACAGTGCTTAGTTTTGACCTAAACCAGACCCTGTAAGACTTGCCTAGGTCATTCTAAAACAGATGGGACTTCCTGCACCCAGCTCTATCTACACACACAGTTCCCATTCATACCACTGGTCCCAAAACACAAGTGTCTCAAAACTTTACCTAACTGCAAACTTCCTGGTATCTATGATCATCACCATATGTAGTCCTAAAATATGATATTCTAATCTAAAGACTGTCTACTTTTCAGGAAAATAAGCAGTTTTTATGGACGAGGTATGTAATAATGATGTCCATGTGCTATAAACCCTTCCATTATACATGTTAATTTACTCAATCATTCACTCAACAAGAATCTATTGAATTCCTATTTTGGGCCAAGTACTAAGCTAAGCAATGGGATAAAGAGTTGGCTGAGCTGCAATCCCTGAATTTAACTTAAGCTAATTCAACTATATCCACTCAGCCTAAAAATGAAAGGGCAAGAAAGGCAGACAGACAGTGAAAGGAAGACGGATAAGTGATTCCACCTGCTTCCATTCAATTAGTACAGTGGTTCTCCAGGTGAGGTCCCCAGACCAGCAGTATCAGCTTCACCTGAGAACTTGCTGAAAATGCAATCCCCTTGGCTGAATCCCAGACCTACAGAATCAGAAACCATGAGGGTAAAACCCAGTAAACTGTGCTTTAACAAGCCGTACAGGTGATTCTGTAAAGTTTTGAAAACCACTGAGTTAGAATAAGCACCAAAATAGACATTAATTTGTTATTCCTTCTCTTGTTCTAGGTTTCAGAGTACCTGAAATACTGTAAGTATCTCATCATGCTGAATGAGACTCTGGTGTCTAAAGATTTGAATTACCACTGAACATACCCCCAAATATAAGCTAACTGTATCATTTGAAACTCAACATGAGAAACCACCACAGGAACACCTTTCGAAACTCAGCAGGTTTCAACAAGGGAGGAAAGACTGACTGTGTTGGACTTAAAGAAAGGAAGCTCATGGCTCTCTAACAAGATGCCTTCCCATGAGATTCTTGAAGATAATTTTGCCCTAATGATTTTCACCTCACCCACTGACTACAGAACTGAGTCTTCATGTAAACTGAGATATTGCCGTAGCCTTTAAAAGCATCCCACAAAGAAAAACATTAATAATCCAGTCTAAAATTTTCAGATTTGAAAACATGGGTATGTGTTTGTATATGTCATGCTAAATATAACTGATATAAAGTTCTTGCCAGAGAAACACTTCCATCTAGAATCACAAGGGCCACAAGAACTTCAGAACCAGAGAAAGCCAAATTCCCTTGTGTGGCCATGCCCAAGGTACTCCTGCTCCCAGCAATCAGCCTTGATTGTTAAGATTGGGGAAAAGAGAGAGGAACCCTGGCAAGAAAGCAGACTTCGGAGTTAAAAGACCTGAACTTGAATCTCTTCTAACTGTGAAGCCTCGGGCAAATTACTTAACCTCTCTGAACCTTAGTATCTTCCTGTATAAAATAAGGATAACCACATACAATTCAAAGGATTTCTGTGAGGATAGGGAAAATGCACCTAATGTACCAGGCATAGTTCCAGATATATACGTGCTTAAAAGATGTTAGTTCTCCTCTCTATCCCATTTGCACACCAATCCTAAGCACGGAGTACTTAGATGGGAGACAGATTAAGTTCTTCACAGAATTACAGGACCTTAGAATGTCAAAATCTCCTATTTTCTGAGTGCTTCACCTAGGTGCTAAACAACTGGAAATACGTAGTGAAATGTTCTTTGCACAACATGAATTTACAGAATTTCCTTGGCTCCTTCCTATCATCAAGGATATCAACTTCTGGCTAGATAACTAGATAGTTTTCAACACCTAATGGCCAGGCACACTAGGGGCAGCATGCCCTCTGCTGTTGAGAAGTGGGACCCACGTGCCACTCCCTGTTCTGGGCTCCTGAATAAAGATTTTATGAATTACAACACGGAAAGGTCACAAGGGCCTTAGAAACCATTCCGTCTGTGTTGCTCAACTGAAGAAATTAGGCTCGAAGAGGTCACATGACTTAGCCATGGTCACAAGGCAGAGGCAGAGCTAGAACTTTATTTTTGCAGTTTGGTTTATTGAACCAATTAAAATAAATAATAGCATGGTAAAGACAACACCGTATGACCTTGGAAAGGAAACAAACCTCTCTAGTCATGCACAGCAGTTCTTTCTAGCACGTGGTCCTAGAAATTTCATTTTTTCTTTTTTATAATTTTTTTTATGGCCCAAGAAATTTCAAAACATGCTTCCCCACTTTACCATGTGGAGGAGAAATAGATCTGTGAGAATGGGTAGGCAAGAAGAAAAGAGACCATCCTTTAAATGATGTTTATTGTATAAAAGTAATTATTTGGACTTTAAAACCACTCAAGAATAAAGTTCGCATCCAGAAAAATCAGTAGCAACATTACATCTGTTAGTTTTGATGGCAACTTGGGGACAGCGGGGGTGGGAGAGGTGGGGATGGGAGGGAATAACACAGAGCACCTACCACGTGTCTGCCACAGTGCTGTTGCTCTACACAGATCCCTTCACCATCTCGGCAGTTACCCTCTGGGGCCACTTTCATCACCCAGTTTTAAAATAAGAAGGCTGATGCTCAGAGAGGTCAGAGAGCTTGCCCAAGGTAATGTAACTAATAATTAGGAATCAAATGTAATTCTTTTCATGTGCTTTTAACCCCTACCCAATCCCGCCTCCAAGAAAACCCAGATCTTTATACTCCTTGCATTATAACACGCTCATGCAGATAAAGCTGACTATAAACTTCAACCCTCGGTAGGCGACACTTAAGAGTGAGTATCTTTCTCCTAAATTTGCAAAATGAAGGACAAATCTCCCAGCCATTTACTAACAGTTACATTGCAGAATATGTGGAATGTTGGTCTTTTCACTGACCTGACAATAATTGTTACTACACTACTATTGCTAACTCCATTAGGCCACTGATAAAACCAAAATCACATTGGCTCCTTCTTGGCAGCCTTCGGTTTTAGAAAATTCAGTATGCAGTTGGATTTATTCAGGCACCCAGACATCTAATAACAGTTAACTAAAATTTTACTAAAGATACAAAAAGTATACCCAGAGATATACATGACCAAAAAAATTAACTTACGCCTCCAATAAATCAAAGCACCTTAAAGGAGTTTTTCATGTGCTCTGGTTTCCAACTCTAATGCAGAGATCTAAAATAAAATAAGACCCTCTTTCTCCCATTTGATGTGTGTGTCTTATATTAATTTGGGGATTGTGGGGTTACATTCCATTAGAGTTCTTAAATGGAGACTGACAGCTTTCTGGGCAAGCTTGATATGCCCTGAAAGGATGGACACTTTTATGTTAGAAGAACACGGGTTCCCAAAGAAGGACTAAAACATGGAAGGAAGGTGGAGTTTAGACAAGCCCTAGATCTACAGTTGGAGAAGGATGGATGTCTAGGAGTGGATTCCTACTAAGTTGTCCCTCACACATGGGCACCCTAGAGGTAGGACAAGATCAGAGAGCAAGCCACATCTTATGAGTCAGATCTCTGGCTCTTGGATGACTCCTGGTTTATTTCTTCTTTATTATGTCAAGGCCTTTCAAAAACCCTGCTTAAATGTTCTACCTTTACTCATCCATACAATGAAGATACCAGAAAGTATTGGAGATTAAATTTGACTTAAAGAATTAAAGAGGAAACGGTATCCCCCAGTGAGTGTAGTGGTAGCAAAGGAAATGTTTACAAGTCCCTCCAAGAGGAAGGTGAGTCCAAGAAGATACTGTCCTCCCTTCCCACGAAGATGCTCTCGTCATTGCCAACCTTAGAGGGTCGAGCTTCCATCTTAACAAAAAGGGTGGAAGTCCTCTCAGAGATATGCTTCAAAGGCAATCATCTTCGTATGTAATAAGACACTGCTCCTCTTTACACATACTTCTATAAGTGTTAACCAGGAGACAGAACTGCATTCCCTGACTCCTATGCTTTTTTTTTCCTAACATGCCCCTAATCTTAAAAATGAGACTCTTAGAAATAAATTTATTTAAAGAGAAAATGGTAAATGAGAAAGGGAAGCAAATAAGTGATAATGGGAGAGTCCATCATGGGGAAAATTTAGTGCCCCAGCCTCCTATACTCAGATGGTTTGAAAGGCAAGAACACAATAGCTACCACAGTGCCCTTGTACATGGCAGATACTTTATAGATAATTGTTTTTAATTTTTTTTTTTTTGAGCCGGAGTCTTGCTCTGTCACCCAGGCTGGAGTGCAGGGGCGTGATCTCGGCTCACTGCAACCTCCACCTCCCGAGTTCAAGCAATTCTCCTGCCTCAGCCTCCCAAGTGGCTGGGATTACAGGTGCCCACCACCACACCCGGATAATTTTTGTATTTTTAGTAGAGACAGGGTTTCACCATGTTGGCCAGGCTGGTCTCAAACTCCTGACCTCAAGTGATCCACCTGCCTCAGCCTCCCAAAGTGCTGGGATTACAGGCATGAGCCACCGCGCCCGGCCATAGATAATTGCTCAACTGATGCAGTTTAAATCTTCTAAGTAAGTGGTTCTTGTGTTTCTGATTATGAGGTTCCCTTCTTAATGTTAAAATTATCACAGATGTGTTATATATTAGTAGCCAGTGCTTGAGAAAATATGAGAAGCTATTATAAATTCAATAATGGTATAAATAAATATCACAACAGCATCTATCTATGTGGAAAAAAAAATTGTGCTTAGTAACCAAATGGGGAGAGAAAACACCCTCTCGAAAAATTCTGCAGTGCTTAATAACCTTTCTTTCCTCAAACCAAGAACTCCTGGGCCCAGAGGGGGAATTGCTAAGTTATCAAAATGCTGTGAAACCAAAACACTCTTTGCTTTACTGCTAAAACAGAGGTGAAAATATCCTGCCGTTGAGAATACCTAAAATGCTCCAGTAAATCAAGAAATAACATGTTTTGACAAATAACAGTTAAGTGTTTCATTAGAGGGAGATTCTATCTGTTGGTCAAACAGCTCTGTGAAAGCACCACATAATCAATGCCTTCCCACGGCTTCAGGAAGCTTTGTACTAGAAGAATTACCGGGCCACAGCTCAAGCTCCCAAATTAGAGATAAAGTGCTGCTGTAATCAAGCACTGCATATAAATTTTAGGAAATGACACACCACCAGAGGGCGCCCTTATATAAGTAGTAAAGTCGGAAAGACCATTACTTTTTTTTTGTTTGTTCTCTAAGAGACGGGGTCTCCCCTCTGTAGCCCAGGCAAAGTAGAGTGGCCAGATCATAGCTCACTGCAGCCTCGAACTCCTGGGCTCAGGCGATCCTCCTTCCTAAGCTCGAGAGTAGCTGTAACTAAAGGCGCACACCACCACACCCGGTTTGTTAAGTTTTAAATTAAGTTTCAGAAAATCTTAGGACAGAAAGGGAACTTAGATCTCAAGTCCAAACTCTTGGATAAAAAACAGACACAGAGGCCAATTATTTTAAATCTTTCTTTTCTAAATAAATATATTATATGTTCACATGATTGAAACAACAATCATCCCCCTTCTTTTTAAAGTCAGGATTCAAAATCTGTGCTGTCAGAAACCAGGATATTGGTTACCAGTGCAGGGGAAAACTGACTGTAAAAGAGAATGAGGGGATTCTGGAGTTAGGATAATGCATTGTTCTGTATGTATAATAAGATAATTCAAAAGCAGATTGATAAACATTTAAAATCTCATTGAAGATATATATTATTTTACAAGATACATGTTTATATTTCTATT
This sequence comes from Homo sapiens, assembly GCF_000001405.40. Classification (NCBI taxonomy): domain Eukaryota; kingdom Metazoa; phylum Chordata; class Mammalia; order Primates; family Hominidae; genus Homo; species Homo sapiens. The sequence continues at coordinate 82,868,278 of NC_000011.10, forward strand.
TCACTATACAGGCATATGTAAATTATATTGCACTAAATCACATTAATATTAAATTTTTCTTTCATTTAAAAATACTTATTGAGTGCTCACTAAAAGGCAGGTATTAAGAAAAAAACTAAGATACAATTCCATTTCTCAAGTTCTGGAGAATCTAACAGAAATGATTAATGTGCTAGTAAACAACCAAGCAGTGGTGTGGTTAAGTTCTGTATACAAAGCACTGTGGGAGCTCAGAAGCCAAAGTCACCACCCTGCCTGAGGAAATTACAGAGGGCTGCACCAAGGAGGTAATATCTGAGCTGAAACACAGAGAAGAATTTTTTTTTTTCAGGTACAAAAGAGCATTTCAAGCAAAGGAAGAAAAACATGTGCAAGGCTATGATGAGCTATACAGAATGAGCATAAATTCAGGAACTGTTGTTTTACGGCAAGAGGTTTATGAGGGGAAGACATGGGAGATGAGATTAGACTCACTGGGCTGCCACAATGGCTCACACCTTTAATCCCAGCGCTTTGGGAGGCTGAGGCGGGAGGATCAAATTGAGGCCAGGAGTTCGAGACCAGCCTGCCCAACATGGCAAAACCTCTTCTCTACAAAAATACAAAAAATTAGCCAGGCATGGTGATACACGCCTATAATCTCAGCTACTTGGGAGGCTGAGGCCCGAGAATCACTTGAACCTGGGAGGCAGAGGTTGCGGTAAGCCAAGATCACACCACTGCATTCCCACCTGGGTGACAGAGCAAGACTCTGTCTCAAAAAATAAATAAATAAATAAGGAAAAAGAAAAACCTAGGCCAGGTGCACTGGCTCACACCTGTAATTCCAACACTTCAGGAGGCCAAGGTGGTAGGATCACTTGAGCCCAGGAGTTCAAGACCAGCCTGGGCAACATAGCAAGACCCTGTCTCTACAAAAAATAAAAATATTAGCCGGGTGTGGTGGTACATGCCTATAGTCCTAGCTACTCAGGACGCTGAGATCAGAGGATCCCTTGAGCCCAGAAGTTCAAGGTTACAGTGAACTATGATCATGCCACTGCACTCCAGCCTGGGCGACAGAGTGAGACTCCATCTCAAAAAAAAAAAAAAAGAAGAAGAAAAGAAGAAAAGAAAGAAGGAAGAAAGGAAGGAAGGAAAGAAAGAAAGCGGTATAGAGAGACAGAAGAAAGAGAAGGAAGGGAAGGGAAAGGAGGAAGGAAAGAAGGAAGAGAGGGAGAAAGGGAGGAAAGAAACCTAGCTGAAATCCAAGATTGTTTCTCTAAACCAACAGTGAATGAAAAACATCCACTGGAAATAGACTCAAATAGGCAGGGACTTTTTTCTGTTTTGTCCACTTCTGAGTACACAGTGACTGGAATAAGGCCTGGCATGTAGTAGAAGACCAATGAATATATAGAGAGTAAATGAATGCATGCATGCATCATGGCTCTGCAGTTGGTATAAAAACAAAAATGAGAATGGAAAGCAAAGTTCCCAAGAAGGTCAAGTTTGTGCAGGTTCATTTATTGGGTGGGTCTGTTCCCAGCTTTGGAAGAGTTGCACAACACTGTAGTTGGATGTGCCTTTTGCCCAGTGACAAATCACATGCCTAATGGAGAACCCAAGCCTTAAATCTAAGAGCACCACATAACATTTGGACTGCTGAGGAAGCAGGAAATGCATGCCTTCTGCTGGGTGAAGAAACAGTTCTATATAACTACAAATAATATGGACAGAAGGCCAACATTGCAGGGAGTGCAGGAGAAGGACTAATCAGCATTTTACCAAAGCATATTACCTAAAATATAATTGATCTTGGTGACAAGGTTATAAGTCAAAGTTTTTAAGACTGGAAAGGACTTTAAAGTCATGGCTGTCAGCCAGGACACAATAACTTTACCTGAGAAACAGCTTTCTGTAAAATGTACAACATAGCAGCTCGTTCAGCAGCATACTAGTGTTTGGTGAATCCACATGTGCTGCAAAATGTTGATTTGATCAATGTGTAAAATTTGTGTTTCCAACAACAGAGTTTTAAGAAGGAAGAAACAGGGAAGAGGTATAATACCCTAGGACAAAAAGTAATTGGAGGGAATAGTTGAGACTCTAGGTAAGTGAGGGATATGTGATGCTGCGAGATCCTGGGAAGGAAGGAGGGAATGGGGTCAATAGCACCAACAGAAGGATCTGACTTGGGAACCCCTTCTCCACTGGGAAACAGATGGATGCAAGAGTTATCTTTCTAATTACCGAGGGAGGAAACTAAAAGGATTCTAGTTAAAATGCCTCTCATATAACACCTTAGTTTTTAGTCAATGAAGTAAAGGGACAAAGTAATCTATTAAAAGAGATAGTAAAAGAGAGCCTAGGATGGCAATGATTTAAAGACAGAGGTAAAAGTTCAGCATGGAAGAAAAAACTGATGCCTAGGCCTCCATAAAGCTCCTGAGGTTGGAGACTGAATTGGTATGCACAATAATCTGCCGCTTAGCAGATATTTACAACCCAGGAGCAGGAGCAGAGAAGTTTAATGGTTGGATAAAACTAGGATGAGAATGTCATAAAGGGGTTGTGAGAGGACAGGGGGCAAGAGAATTAAGGTCATTCCTATCTTCATGCAGCCTGAATATGCCCAGAGCTATGAGGTCCTGTCCACCACAGACAAATGCTGCCATAATCTGTTTGCTGATTTGCAAGGTAATCTAAACTATGCTGTATTTATTCTATTTTAAGGAGTAAATAATCTTGCCAGAACTCATATATATGATATATAAGCATTTCAATAATAATCTCATAAAAATAATGTAAGGCTGCATATCATCAAGGCCTTGAAAGTTTATATTCTTCTGCTTTGTTAAACATAAGATGATGTGTTACTGATTTTCTTCCTTTATAGTCTATTGTTCTAAATGTTTCTCTTTTTTTTTTTTTTTTTTTTTGAAACAGAATCTGACTCTGTCGCCCAGGCTGGAGTGCAGTGGCATGATCTTGGCTCGTGCAAACTTCGTCTCCTGGGTTCAAGCAATTCTCCTGCCTCAGCCTCTGAGTAGCTGCGACTATGGGCGTGCCCCACCATTCCCTGCTACTTTTTGTATTTTTAGTAGAGACGGGGTTTTGCCATGTTGCCCAGGCTGGTCTCGAACTCCTGAACTCAAGTGATCCACCCGCCTTGCCCTCCCAAAGTGCTGGGATTATAGGCATAAGCCATTGCACCTGGACTGTTCTGAATGTTTCTTCTATACATGCAAAATATTCTCCTGACACCACTGTTATAACTACATCACATCTTCTGAGAGATAGAGGCTGGTATCTGCTGGTATAATGTAAAAGGACAAAGACCCCTCAACCTCCAAAAAAGGCAAAAACCACGTTTCTCACGAACAGGAGTTCAGACCTGTGATCTATGTAACTCACAATCCAATCTTGCATACTACCACTCCTCCTGCAAAGAACTGTGATGACCTCATAAATCTTCTGTTCTCCAACTGAGCAACCCCAGTTCTTACTATTTCCCATATAACACTATATTCTAAAGTCCTCCTAACCCTGCTCACACTGGATTAATTAACATTCCCTCTTACAGATGGTGTGCCCAGAGCTGAGTACAATATGTAACGTGGTCTAATAAAGTGCCTTGCTCATCACTGGCCAGGAATAAATAACCGATGAGTGTGCTTATAGACCTTATCCATGGTTTTGCTTTCTGCAGTTTCAGTTACCCATGGTCAACCATGGTCAGAAAATAGGTGAGTACAGTACAACAAGATATTTTGAGAGAGAGAAAGAGACTACGCGTTCACATAATGTGTCATAGTTGTTTATTATTCATTATTGTTGTTAATCTCTTATTGTGCCTAATTTATAAATAAAACTTTATCACAGGTATGTATGTATAGGAAAAAACATACTATATATAGGGTTCAGTACTAACCGACATCTCTGGCATCTACTGGGGGTCTTGAAACGTATCCCCCGCGAAGAAGGGAGGACTACTGTATAGCTCCAATAACACAGCCTACTTTAAATTGAAAGTCATGTAGGTATACTGGGTTGCATAGCATCCCCCCAAAATTTATGTCCTTCCTAGAACCTCAGAATGTGACTTTATTTAGAAATAGGATCATTGCAGATGTCATTAGTTAAGATGAGGGCATGCTGGAGAGGGGTGGGCCCTTAATCCAATATGACTGGTGTTCTTATAAGAAAAGAAGAGACAAAGAGGCACAGAGAGAAGAATGCCATGTTAAGACACAGATGCACAAAAGCAAAATGGCCATGTGACAATGGAAGCAGAGACTGGAGTCAAGCAGCTTCCAGCAAAAGAACGCCAAGGACTGCCAACAGCCAGCAGAAGCTTAGCGAGGGACACAGACCAGACTCTTCCCCGGAGCCCGGACCAGGCTCTCCCCAGGAGTCCCCAAGAAGTAACCAATCCTGCTGACACCCTGACTTTGGACTTCTGGCCTCGGGAAGTGAGAGGATAAACTTCTATTGTTTTAAGCCTCCTAGTTTGTGATACTCTGCAGCCCTAAGAAACTAATACAGAAGGCCTCTCTATGGAGGTGGCAATGGAACCGAAGCCTGAAGGAGCCAGACAAAGAAAGAACTCTAGAAAGAAGAAACAGAAAATACAAAGAGCCAGAGGCCAGAAAGAGTTTAATGTAGAAAGAGAGATAAGATCAGTGGTGAACAAGAGAGAGAATGGTACTGGATGAGGCTTAGCGCTAAGTGGGCTATGATAGGGAGACTGAACTTAATTTAAAGGCAATAGGAAGCCTTCAAGAGTTTTAAAACTTATTCTGATCTGTTTTTTTTTTTTTAAAAAAAAAGAAAGTAAGAAGAATAAGTAGAAGGCTATTGAAAGGTTCACATGGCACATGATTATGAGAACAAGCCAGGCTTCAAGCCAAGGTATGTCTCTCTTAAATTGCTACATATTTAACATATATGACAATGTTTAATCTCCAAAGTCATAATACACCCCAGAAAGATCTCAATGAAGAAGGACTCAATATATGACATCAGCAGTATTCGTTTAACAACAATCAACAAAAGGAAGTCTTTTGAACAGCTGTAGTCACCACTATAGCCCACTTATAACAGATTCTGCAGTGGCCCTGACTGTGGGCATTTTAAACACGAAATGCCCCACTAAATTGGCAAAAGAGTTCCAAGGCCATCAGGCTCCCCCCAGCATTTAATAGAAGTCAGTAAAGCATATTCTATTGCTACCCTTTTCTCCAAAACCTATTCAAGAAATTGATAGAAGGTAATAAAACTAATTGTTCTCAAATGTTTAGGTCCCGTTCCACCCTGGTGAGATAAAAGACATCAGCAGCCACAATCTTCACTGGTTACCTCTGATGAATTAATAAACTACATGTTTAAAAAAGAAAAAGTACATACAAACATAGTATTACAACATAATGCTAAAATACAACTCTTCTTCTTCCATGGAGAATCTTCTGTGAATGATACCATGAGAACCACTGAAACAGAAAACCTACAACCTCTTTTCAGAGACTGCTTTAAAATAAATTTTTTTATCACATTGAAAAATACATGATGTTAAAGCACTCTGGAAAATTAAACTTTACAAAATCCCCACATGAATAGCATCCACCAAAGGAAGCAGCTGAGGAAAGTAATGTCTAAGTTTTTTCCTCCCTGGAAACTCCAACTCAAATTCGCAGTCCTGATTTCACTATAAAATGTCCTCCAGGGACTTTTTATCATTATCTTAAAGATACACTCTACAGACTATTCATTGTTTTGCACATTCATCCGGTCTAAATGATAATGGCGCTGTAAAAAAGATAAAGGAAGGGAAAAGGATATCCTCAGCAGAAACCAAAAAGCTCAGAACAATAACAACAAGTTCAAATGTAACCAAGTGGCTTCCTTTGATTACTTTCAGGTGGTTTTGCCACCACGACACCAGATAATCAACAACTTCCCAGAGTTAGTGGGATGTGTAAGTATTTCTTGAGTGCCTACCATGGGATAAGTACTAGAGTATAACAACAGTGAACAAGCTAGATATGGTCACTGCCCGCACAGGGCTTATAGTCTGGTGACAGACAACAGGAAACAAAAAACAAACAAGCAAATACACAAATAAGAACTTAGAAACTAATTGTACAAGTTTTACCTGGGTGCGGTGGCTCACACCCGTGATCCCAGGACTTTGGGAGGCCAAGGCTGGCAGATCACTTGAGCCAAGGAGTTCGAGACCAGCCTGGGCAACATGGCAAAACCCCGTCTCTTCAAAAAATACAAAAATTAGCATGGCATAATGGCATGCACCTGTAGTACCAGCCACTCAGGAGGATGAAGTGGGAGGATCACCTGAGCCCAGGAGTTCAAGGCTGCAATGAACTGTGATCACACCACTGGACTCCAGCCTGGGCAACAAAGTGAGACCCTGTCTCAAAAAAAAAAAAAAAAAAAGAAAAAAAAGAAAACTAGTTGTACAGGTTTTATTCTGATAGAGAATAAAAGAGGCAGATCGACTTCTAACAGGGTGGTCAGAAAAGAAGTCCTGGAGCAGGCAATAGTTAAGCCTTTAATCCACACAGCCGTCTACCCTGTGAAATGTCCTGGGGGTTCTATTCAACGCCACTCCCTTCATGAAGCATTCCTGCCTTCTTTGTGCTTTCATGGTATTTTAGCTATATTATAATCTTTTCAAATGTATCCTTGCACAGTAGTTATTTATACATACATGTCTTATAACCACCATACTGTTATAAACTGTAAAACTGTAAAAAAAAAAAACCTGTATAAAAAAAGTTAGAATCTGTTGAACACACCATGTGTGTTATTTCTTCCTGCCCCTGTGAATAGTGTAAGGGCTGAACTAGGACTACATGTAAATAATCTCAATTGTTCTTCAGAGGAACCCTATGGAGTAGAGAGGCTGTGTTTTCCCCACCATGCCTTACTGCCTCTCCCTTTCTGGCTAATCTCTGTATCCACAAAGTGCAAAACACAATGTGCACAGGCCTTACTACATCAATGACTCCTGAGTTGAACTGGAAGAACTGAGAAGTATGATGTGACATCTGAAGACCAAGTGACCTCACCCGAACTTAGACTACACCAGTTAACTCTGCTTTAGGCCTGTGGGGCTACCAGCAAGACTGTTTTCTTTCTATCAGAGGTGTGTTAGCCTCAGGAAATGTGAACAGATCCTACAATTACTCAGTTAAAATCCAACTCAACCTTGAAAGGTAGAAAAGCTGTAAACACATAGGTGACTATAATTAATACTGAGCCTCCTCAGCAAAGACAAGGCTCTTTCATCGTTCCACCATTTCCTGAGTACTTACTCTGTGTGCCGGGCTATACTGGATACAAGGATAAAAAGCCTTATTTTTTGCTCTGAAAGAGGCCACAGTCTACCAGAGGAGACAAGCAAGCAAAGAAATTATTTCTATATAAGGAATGCACATTATGAATGTGGGTGAGAACAGGGTGATTGTTATGGCAGCAAAGAGGAGGCACAACCCAACTAACCAGTGGTACACAAGGCCGTAGCGAAGGCAAACTCAAGAGAAGCTGATAATGTCTGTCCTGGCACCCTGCTCACCTCTTTTCCAGCCTCGTCTTCTACCACATGGCCCTCTCCCACTTCATATTCCAGAAATGCTCTGGACATACGCTTTCTGAAGTCTCCAGGCTTCTCTACATGGATTTCCTCCTGCCTGGAATGCATTCCTCTCTCGCATCATTACAAAAAAAAATTACTACCTCATCCTCAAAATGTTCATTCAAGTGCTGTCCCCTCTACAAAGTTTTCTAGGACAACCCCAGGCCCAAAGGAGAATGCTCCTTCTCTGATCCTATGACAGCTTCCAGAACAGTCACCACCACACTGTGCTGTCACTGTTTTGAAGGTTGGCTCAGCACAGTGAAAAGAGCCCAGCTCTGTAGCCTGAAAGTCCCACGTTGAAATGCTGATTGTGCCACTTTCTAGCTAGGTGTACCTCAGTTACTTCATCTATAAAAGGGAAAACTAACTTCCTTACAAGGTTGCAAGGATTCAAAGTGGTGTGTGTACAAGTCCCTGACCACAGCAAAGGCTCAAAAAGTACTCCCAGTGACTGATAACCATCAATAACTTTATACTGTGGTATTAAACAAAACACACACAAAAGTACATTACAACCATATGTGTATTTTTGCATTTGGCACGTGATATAGTTTTGCTGTGTCCCCACCCAAATCTCAACTTGAATTGTATCTCCCAGAACTCCCACGTGTTGTGGGAGAGACCGGGGGGAGGTTACTGAATCATGGGGGCCAGTCTTTCTTGTGCAAGTCTCGTGATAGTGAATAAGTCTTACAAGATCTGATAGGTTTATCAGGGGTTTCCGCTTTTGCTTCTTCCTCATTTTCTCTTGCCGCCACCATGTAAGAAGCGCCTTTCACCTCCTGCCATGATTCTGAGGCCTCCCCAGCCCTGTGGAACTGTAAGTCAAATTAAACCTCTTTTTCTTCCCAGTCCCGGGTATGTCTTTGTCAGCTGCATGAAAACGAACTAATACAGTAAATTGGTACCAGTAGAGTGGGGCATTGCTGAAAGGATACCCGAAAATGTGGAAGCAAATTTGGAACTGGATAACAGGCAGAGGTTGGAACAGTTTGGAGGGCTGAGAATAAGATAGGAAAATGTGGGAAAGTTTGGAACCTCCTAGAGACTTGTTGAATGGCTTTGACAAAAATGCTGATAGTGATATGAACAACAAGGTCCAGGCTGAGGTGGTCTCAGACGGAGATGAGGAACTTGTTGGGAACTGAAACAAAGGTGACTCTTGTTATGTTTTAGTAAAGAGACTGGTGGCATTTTGCCCCACCCTAGAGATTTGTGGAGCTTTGAACTTGAAAGAGATGATTTAGGGTATCTGGCAGAAGAAATTTCTAAGCAGCAAAGCATTCAAAATGTGACTTGGGTGCTGTTAAAAGCATTCCATTTTAAAAGGGAAACAGCATAAAAGTTCAGAAAATTTGTAGCCTGACGATGCAGTAGAAAAGAAAAACCTATTTTCTGAGGAGAAATTCAAACCAGCTGCAGAAATTGCATAAGTAGCAAGGAGCCCAATGTTAATCCCCAAGACCATGGGGAAAATGTCTCCAGGCCATGTCAGAGACCACACGGCAGCCCCTCCTATCACAGGCCTGGAGCCCCAGGAGGAAAAAGTGGTTACGTGGGCTGAGCCCAGGGTCCCCATGCTGTGTGCAGCCTAGGGACTGGGTGCCCTGTGTCCTAGCCACTCCATCCATGGCTTAAAGGGGCCAACATAGAGCTTAGGCTGTGACTTCAGAGGGTGGGAGCCCTAAGCCTTAGCAGCTTCCACATGGTGTTGAGCCTGCAGGTGCACAGAAGTCAAGAATTGAGGTTTGGGATCCTCTGCCTAGATTTCAGAAGATGCATGGAAATGCCTGGATGCCCAGGCAAAAGTTTGCTGCAGGGGTGGAGCCCTCATGGAGAACCTCTGCTAGGACAGGGTAGAAGGGAATGTGGAGTCAGAGCCCCCACACAGAGTCTCTACTGGGGCAATGCCTAGTGGAGCTATGAGAAGAGGGCCACCATCCTCCAGATCCCAGAATGGTAGACCCACTGACAGCTTGTACCGTGAGCCTGGAAAAGCCACAGACACTCAATGCCAGCCAGTGAAAGCAACTGAGAGGGAGGCTGTACCCTGCAAAGCCACAGGGGTGGAGCTGCCCAAGACCATGGGAACCCACCTCTTGCATCAGTGTGACCTGGATGTGAGACCTGGAGTCAAAGGAGATCATTCTGGAGCTTTAAAATTTGACTGCCCACTGGATTTCGGACTTGCATGGGGCCTGTAACCCCTTTGTTTTGGCCAATCTCTCCCATTTGGAATGGCTGTATTTACCCAATACCTGTACCCACATTGTATCTAGGAAGTAACTAACTTGCTTTTGATTTTCTAGGCTCATAAGCAGAAGGGACTTGCCTTGTCTCAGGTGAGACTTTGGACTGTGGACTTTTGGGTTAATGCTGAAATGAGTTAAGACTTTGGGGGATTGCTAGGAAGGCATGATTGGTTTTGAAATGTGAGGACATGAAATTTGGTGGGGCCAGGAGTGGTATGATATGGTTTGGCTGTGTCCCCACCCAAATCTCAACTTGAATTGTATCTCCCAGAATTCCTACATGTTGTGGGAGGGACAAATGGGGAGGTAATTGAATCATGGGGGTCGTTCCCATGCTATTCTCATGATAGTGAATAAGTCTCATGAGATCTGATGGGTTTATCAGGGTTTCCACTTTTGCTTCTTCCCCATTGTCATTATGATGTTAGCTGGTTATTTTGCTCATTAGTTGATGCAGTTTCTTCCTAGCACTGAGGGTCTTTATAATTCAGCATGTTTTTGCAGTGGCTAGTACCGGTTGTTCCTTTCCAAGTTTAGTGCTTCCTTCAGGAACGCTTGTAGGGCAGGCCTGGTGGTGACAAAATCTCTCAGCATTTGCTTGTCTATAAAGGATTTTATTTCTCCTTCACTTATGAAGTTTAGTTTGGCTGGATATGAAATTCTGGGTTGAAAATTCTTTTCTTTAAGAAGGTTGAGTGTTGGCCCCCACTCTTGTAGAGTTTCTGCCAAGAGATCCACTGTTAGTCTGATGGGCCTCCCTTTATGGGTTACCCAACCTTTCTCTCCGGCTACCCTTAATATTTTTTCCTTCATTTCAACTTTGGTGAATCTGACAATTATGTGTCTTGGAGTTGCTCTTCTCGAGGAGTATCTTTGTGGTGTTCTCTGTATTTCCTGAATTTGAATGTTGGCCTGCCTTGCTAGGTTTGGGAAGTTCTCCTGGATAATATCCTGCAGAGTGTTTTCCAACTTGGTTCCATTCTCCCCGTCACTTTCAGGTACACCAATCAGACATAGATTTGGTCTTTTCACATAGTCCCATATTTCTTGAAGGCTTTGTTTGTTTCTTTTTACTCTTTTTTCTCTAAACTTCTCACTTCATTTCATTCATTTGATCTTCAATCACTGATACCCTTTCTTCCACTTGATTGAATCAGCTGCTGAAGCTTGTGCATGCATCACGTAGTTCTCGTGCCATGGTTTTCAGCTCCATCACGTCATTTAAGGTCTTCTCTATGCTGTTTATTCTAGTTAGCCATTCGTCTAATCTTTTTTCCAGGTTGTTAGCTTCTTTGCGATGGGTTCAAACATCCTCCTTTAGCTCAGAGAAGTTTGTTATTGCCAATCATCTGAAGCCTTCTTCTCTCAACTCATCAAAATCATTCTCCATCCAACTTTGTTCTGTTGCTGGTGAGGAGCTGCATTCCTTTGGAGGAGAAGAGGCACTCTGATTTTTAGAATTTTCAGCTTTTCTGCTCTGGTTTCTCCCCATCTTTGTGGTTTTATCTACCTTTGGTCTTTGATGATGGTGACGTACAGATGGGGTTTTGGTGTGGATGTCCTTTCTGTTTGTTAGTTTTCCTTCTAACAGTCGGGATCCTCAGCTGCAGGTCTGCTGGAGTTTGCTGGAGGTCCCTTCCAGACCCTGTTTGCCTGGTATCACCAGCGGAGGCTGCAAAACAGCAAATATTGCAGAATGGCAAATGTTGCTGCCTGATCCTTCCTCTGGAAGCTTTGTCTCAGAGGGGCACCCAGTTGTATGAGATGTCAGTCGACCCTTACTGGGAAGTGTCTCCCAGTTAGGCTACTCAGGGGTCAGGGACCCACTTAAGGAGGCAGTCTGTCCATTCTCAGATCTCAAACTCCATGCTGGGAGAACCACTACTCTCTTCAAAGCTGTCAGACAGGGAACAATTAAGTCTGCAGAAGTTTCTGCTGCCTTTTGTTCAGCTATGCCCTGCCCCCAGAGGTGGAGTCTACAGAGGCAGGCAGGCAGGCCTCCTTGAGCTGCAGTGGGCTCCACCCAGTTCGAGCTTCCCGGCCACTTTGTTTACCTACTCAAGCCTCAGCAATGGCAGATGCCCCTCCCCCAGCCTCTTTGCCACCTTGCAGTTGGATCTCAGACTGCTGTGCTAGCAGTGAGCGAGGCTCTGTGGGTGTGGGACCCTCTGAGCCAGGCACAGGATATAATCTCCTGGTGTGCCATTTGCTAAGACCATTGGAAAAGCACAGTATTAGGGTGGGAGTGTCCCAATTTTCCAGGTACCGTCTGTCATGGCTTTCCTTGGCTAGGAAAGGGAATTCCCTGACCCCTTGCACTTCCCAGGTGAGGCAATGGCCTGCCCTGCTCCATGGGCTGCAACCACTGTCTGACAAGCTCCAGTGAGAAGAACCCAGTACCTCAGTTGGAAATGCAGAAATCACCCATCTTCTGCATCATTCATGCTGGGAGCTGTAGACTGGAGCTGTTCCTATTCGGCCATCTTGGAACCTCCTCACTTTGCTCATTTTAGTGTTTAGAAACACAGTCCAAATCAGAAAAGCTCAACAAGCCCTGCTATTATGCAAGAGCAAAAATATTGAGAAGGAAAACAAAATGGTGAATAAATAAAAGCCTAAAGAAAACTAGAGAGGAGGAAATGTGTGTTTTTCCCATCTGCCCTTATGGAGGAAAAAAAAAAAAAAAACCCTCTGCAAGGAAGGACTTAATTTTCAAGGGAAAACCTATAAACTGCTAAGCCACTGCCAAGTGCCTGCTCCCACAAACAGAATCATCTTCCTACAATAGGAAGTCATTTTCACTGTGCAATTTTCCCTCTTCTAGACTTGCATGCTTTATGCCTCTCTTGCAACACTTTATACTCATAGTAAAGGCTTTTGCTTCCAGGTCTTACCTTTCCATTATGAGAGAAACATTCTTCTTTTTAAGGCCTTTGTGGTCTAGATCAGGGTTATATAAAATGGAGGTTGTGATCCATTTGTAGGTTAGGAATTCATTTAGTGGGTCATAGTGTTTTTCTTTAACAAAATTTCATGCTATTCAGCAACCAAGTTACAGAATTTGAAATTATTTCTATTAAGAAATCTTAAAAATCTAAGTGACCTGAACCATTATGCCCCGGTGAGTGTATTAATTCTCACTTAATGGCTGTGTGTGCTCTCTACTTGAGGGACAACCACCCGTTCAACGTCATCTGAAGATGTAATTACAGTTCAGGCAGCCTCACAAAGTAGAGCACAGGTAACATCCAAATGCTACAGACAGTAAGGACTAGGGCACCTGGGGGTAGGACAGCCCCCGCTGGGCTGAGTCAGCGGGGAAGGTTTCTCTGAAGATGTGGGGTTTAAGCAGGGCCCTATAAAGCCTGGATTGGACAAAAGGAGAGGAGAAAAAAAACATGGTGCCAGCTGGCCTGGGCTGAATCTAAAAGAACAGAGGGACTGAAGGGGGTATTATAATAAGTTAGCCTGGAATTATATGGTACAAACTGGTAACCCTGGGAAAGCAAAGAAGGGGCAGAAACGAGGATGGAATCTTGGAAATGTCTTGGTGATTGACTGGATTTTGGTTTGGATGTGAAGGTGAGAGAATCAGAAAATTCCAAAGTTTTCTATCCCATGTGAACAGGAGAGTGCAACTGACCCTTGAACAACAGGGTGATTAGGGGCACCAACCCACCCTCCACAACCCACAAATGGTCAAAAATCTGCCTATAACCTTTGACTCCCAAAAACTTAATAGAACATACTATTGACCAGAAGCCTTACTGATAACATAAAGTCAATTAACACATATTTTGTATATGTATTATATTCTGTACTCCTACAATAAAATAAGCTAGGTAAAAATGTTATTAAGTAAATCTTAAGGAAGAGAAAATATATTTATTATTCATTAAGTGAAAGTGGATCATCACAAAGGTCTTTATCCTCATCTTCACTTTGAGAAGGCTGAACAGGAGGAGGAGAAAGAGGAGGGGTTGGTCTTGCTGTCTCAGGGGTGGCAGAGGCAGAAGAAGTGGAGGAGGTGAAAGGGGAGACAGAAGAGATGTATTGAAAAAAAACGTTTATAAGTGGACACGTGCAGTTCAAACCCATGTTGTTCTAGGGTCAACTGCAGTAGTATTCATAGTAATGTGAAAAATTCAGAGAAGTTTTAAAAAGAAGTGTTATGTAATAACATTAACATTTGCTATAGAAGTTAAACCTGTTTTGGACACCTGAGTTGTGCTGAGATATCCATATTAGGGACACTAAGCAGTACAGACAGAATCCCATTCTGTAGGCACTCACTACCTGGGAGGACCAAAGCTGATACTGAGCCAGTTCTTTTTTTTTTTTTTTTTTTGAGACGGAGTCTCGCTCTGTCGCCCAGGCTGGAGTGCAGTGGCGCAATCTCGGCTCACTGCAAGCTCCGCCTCCCGGGTTCACGCCATTCTCCTGCCTCAGCCTCCCAAGTAGCTGGGACTACAGGCGCCCGCCACTACGCCCGGCTAATTTTTTGTATTTTTAGTAGAGACGGGGTTTCACCGTTTTAGCCGGGATGGTCTCGATCTCCTGACCTCGTGATCCGCCCGCCTCGGCCTCCCAAAGTGCTGGGATTACAGGCGTGAGCCACCGCGCCCGGCCGAGCCAGTTCTTAAAATACTGAAATATTTCCATATGAGTTGGAGAAAAACTACCTGTGCAACACACACACACACACACACAGCCCTACTGCCACAGACCCTTTTTTAGATCTCCAGACCTAAAGAACGATGATACTTCAAAAGGCCTCAACTCCATGACTAGCTTCTGTTCCCACTGGCCAGTGTCTATGCCATATTGGTAGTACAATACTGGCAGACTGTTGACAAAACCAAGTACTAATGGTAGAAGAATAACTTCAGCTTGAGCCAGTTATTTGTCTGAAGAGCTGATGAAGGCACACACTGAGATACACTGATGGGTGGAGTCCTAGCACTCAGGCTGCTCACAGTCTAACAGGATACCAACATATAAATAAATAAAGCAATGCGATCCAGAGTAGCAGCATCGAAGTAGCTATAAAGTGCAATAAGAGGCACAAAGAGGATAGTAGTCAGTTACCCAGCCCATGGCAGGGAGGCAAAGCAGTTCCTAACAAGAGGTGATACAAGACCTGAGCAGTGAAAGATGAACAGGAGTTTGCTAGGGAGAGAAAGGAGGAAGACAAACCATTCCAAGCTGATAGACAGCAGCACTATGTAAGCCACAACCCAATATACTGTGTACAAAATAATGAAATGAAAAATGTGTAATGTCTGGCACACAGTGTCAATAATAAATAACAATAAATAATAAATATTAGAGTTTTTCTGGCAGATTTATTTCTCTGATTATGTTTTTAAAGGTTGATCCTAAAATATATTTGCATTGTCTAAGCCTACACTAGCTAAGCAAGGGATGGGCATTCAAGATATCCCGGAAGGCAGGGGTCAGTCAGTTTGGAATTTAAAAATAAAGCACGTAAAAATAAATTCACAACATCAATTAGTGTTGACTGCACTTGTTAGATGTGTGTAAGCAAAGATGAGACTTGGTGCTGCTGCAGGCCTCTCAGATGCACAGATGAGTGTGACCCAAGGTTGCTTAATGAAATCACAGAAGGGTGGTTGGTAAGTGTAAATTCCCATCTCTTTTAAAGGGTTGTTGTTTTTTTAGAAATTAGACTACATAAAAAGGCAAACCACAGCCTGTTTTAGTCTGCACTGGTCACTGTCATCTAGAGCCAATTGTTCAAGAGGAAGGAAACACTCAACGCCAAGGAGAAGAGAGTCATCACCGCTGCTTTCCAAAATTGTTGTATGAGCTGCTCCCTCAAAGGAAGAGGCCATCAGTGCTCAGGAAGAGGCAGAGATTTCCGACAGTTTTAAAGGACAGTGTCTGCAGTGTGACCCACAGTTCAAGCTGCATAAAAATATAAATTCACTGACAAATGATAACAAGTACTTCCTTACTTTCCTATCTGCTGAATCACAGCCATTGTTTGGGTTGTAGTTCCTGGTTTAAATTAGATTATTCAATCACAATGATGCTGGCCAAACATGCTGGTCATATGCCATCAGGAAAACTTATCAAAAATATCATTTGTGCTGGGCACAGTGGTTCAGGCCTGTAATCCCAGAACTTTGGGAGGCTGAGTAGGAGGATCACTTGAGCCCAGGAATTCGAGACCAACCTGGGCAACCTGTAGAAACCCCATCTCTACAAAAAAATACAAAAATTAGCCAGGCATAATGGTCATACCTGTAGTCAAGCTCCTCAGGAAGCTGAGATGGGAGAACTGATTGAGCCCGGGATGTCGAGGCTGCAGTGAGCCATGATCACACCAGTGCACTCCCACCTGGGAGTGAGACCCTGTCTCAACAACTACAAAAAATCCAGTTGTGTCAAGTCTTAAACATATAAACACACATACTTTTGCACTAATAAAATTTAATCTGTACCAAGGCACCTTTTAACACCCTTTTTTCCCTCCTTCTGAAGACCACAAATGTTCTGATGTAGTGGAAAAAGAAGAGAATTTGCAGACAGACCTGACTTTCAGTGCCATCTTGGCCATTTATTAGCTACTTAACCAAGTTCATGGCTTTCAGCTTGTTTTCTCAAATGCAGAATGAAAAAAATAACACCTACCAGAGGAGTCTTGTAATGATTTAGTTGGATAATACATATGTGCAACTGCCCAGCAGCAAGGGCCTGCAGGAAGTAAAGGCTTGATTTATTACTAATATATTTTGAAAGGTTTTACTAGCACACACCTCCCAGCTCAAACAATATATGCCATCAGTGCTCAATATTGTCATGTGAAAGAAAAAATATGATATAAAACTTCAGCAATTTGTTCTGAGTGGTCACTTAAGAAACCATGACTTGCAAAGTAAAATTACTTTTTTAATGGCAGCTATCTTGGAACAGATAACAGAAACAGGGTAGTGTCTTCGTGACAGTAAGAACCTCTTATACACCAAATATGATGTGGCCTGGTATATGACATGTTTTTCTTTTTCCTTTCTGTTCAGTTATAGTCACCAATGCTGTGACATGTGTAATATATATTTAATATACATTCCTCATTGTATAAATAACTGAGCTATGAGGAATGGTACATATTGCAGAAATATAACATGAGTGCTTTGGATATTTTATTTTTTAAATAACCTGTGACATCACTTTCATTGTTCCACATACTGAAGATTATAAACCCACATCTCAAGGGACTATTTATTTCCCCTTAGATGGCAGAATAATACAACTACAATCATGGTCCAAACAGCCAGGCTTCTCATAAATGTGGTTAAGGAGACTAGCTTAAATTTTCAGTCTAATATCCTTTTAAATTATACACTTTATTAAATAGAAGAACGCATTTTTATTCTAAACAACATGTTAAAAATAAGACCAGTCTCCAGGCTTTTAAAGAAAACAAAATACTTAGGTATAGTTCATCAGATTTGACTCCCTAGTCTAAGAGCTGGTAGACTTTCAAAAGCAGAATGCAAGATAGGGACATGCAAGGACCTTTCACTCTTCCAAGAGTGAAAGATGAATACATGGCAGTGACCAGTCCATGCAGCATGGATTAGAGACTTTTACACAAACTCTATAACTTATTCCAAGCCAAATTTTATACTCAAGTTGTTGGGAAAGCTTAAAATGGATAATTTGCTCATGGACTGAGCACCAAGCTTCAGGAGAGAAAGTTCTATAGTAGTGACTTCACTCCTGCCTCACCAAAGATGTATCTTCCTTTATTCCCTTGGATAGGACCTTTTTGTGATAGTCAATGGAGGTCTCTTAACATCCTTCACTCAATGAATATATAGAGCTATCCAAAATAACTCATAGAGTTATTTTAGAAGTTTTCATAGTCCCCTTCTGATGCTAACATAGTTCCCATTAATTTAAATCTCTTCTTTCTGTAACACAAAGTCAAAGTCAGAAGAAAGTTCTGTATAATTGAAATCTCCATTATATTTTTGCTGTCCAAAATTACCCAACCTGGTGTTAGGAGAACTAAAATTCTGCTTATTCTTCAACTTTATTACTGTCTAATATGGGTTAATATCTCTAAATCAGCCATGAACTTCCTGAATTTTTTTAATTCTTAAATTTTTTGACAGGGTGTCATTCTGTCGCCCATGCTGGAGTACAGTGGTTCAATCATAGCTCTCTGCAGCCTTGACCTCCTAGGCTCAAGTGATCCTCCTGCCTCAGC
Source organism: Homo sapiens (assembly GCF_000001405.40). NCBI lineage: Eukaryota > Metazoa > Chordata > Mammalia > Primates > Hominidae > Homo > Homo sapiens. The sequence goes on from NC_000011.10 coordinate 82,886,405, forward strand.
CTCCCAAGTAGCTGAGACCACAGGTGCACACCACCATGCCTGGCTAATTTTTGTATTTTTTTAAAGACAGGGTCTTGCTTTCTTGCTCATGCTAGTCTCAAACTCCTGGTCTCAAGTGATCCTCCTACCTCAGCCTCTCAAAGTGCTGGAATTACAGGTGTGAACCAACATGTTTGGTTGAACTACATGAATTAAATATAAGCCATGAATTGTAAAACCTTCTGTCTATTTCTGAAATATGAGGCAACATGGTACAAGGGCTGTGATGCTGACAGAGCCAGGTTTAAATCCTGGCTCTATCACTTATCAGCTGTGCAATCATGCATAAATCACTTCAGCCTCTGAGCCCTTTTTCCTCTATAAAATTGTAGTAACTCCCTACAGGGTAAAAGATAAATATGCATTTATTCAGTGCCATCACAAGATGAATACAAAACAACCATACTCTGATCAACTGTGTTCTGTCCCACACCATCTCAACACCAAGCTATGCTCTTAAAGTCAATGAAAGCTACAGAGAAGGAATATCCACACCGTGTGTATGTAAATGGAAATAATGACAATACTGACCTCACAGTGTTGGAAGCCCACCTCCAAGGTCATCATCTTTGACCCTCCCATCTCAGTCTTACTGACCTCTTTTCAGTTCCTCCAACACAGCCTGGTCTTTCCTACCTTAGGATCTTGTACATGATATACCTTCTACCTTGACAGAAATCTTTATCATCTCCCTTCTTCTAGTTCACTCCTAATCATCTTTCTGGTCTCTCCTTTAACATCATTACCATCTATAGGATTCCCTAATACTCCAGACTTAGGATCCCATTATAGACATCTCATACTTCCTTAAAGCATACATCACACCTTTAATTACTTGTGACTATCTTCTTTCTCACTAAACTGTAAGCTGCATGAGGCCTATGTTTGCTCTCCATTTATCCCTAGCTATTAACTCGGAGTATGGCACAAAGGAAGAGTTCAACAAATATTTTTAAATGAATGTATGACTGTGCTGTTTTACTGTGTAACTGTTAGGTATTATATCAACTATCATAGAGTGATACTTCATTGTTATCTGTTGGAGCTCAGAAAACAATACCCCAAAGTATTGATACTATGTCAACTATCATAGAGTGATACTTACTGTTATCAAAGTATTGTTCCTTGGGAGTACTTTGAACTGAAGAACACTGGAAGAGTCTCAGAAGCAAAGTCTCTTTCCCTCTTCTGTCTTTCTCTCTCCTACTCCTCTTTCTCCCCCAAGGCAGGTCATAGAAACTAGGACCCTTCTTCCTGAAAGCCAGCCATGAAGCCTAAAAATACTAAATCTAACCTTCCCCTTCCTTTCTGTATAGGAGCTGGTTACAAAGAAATTATCTGACCTACCTTGTCCCATAGTTGATCTTAAGACCGTCATTCCAAAAGGGGTCTGACACTACATCCAGGAGGAAAGAATGCCACACAGAGACCAAGAAGAATCAGAACAGATAGACCTTGCTGAGTTTCCCCATTCAGACTATTACCACTAGGATCTTTCCCTTTTTGTTCCATCACTTTTCTACAGGACTGTCCATTCTTCATCAAACGTAAGCCTAAAAATGAAGAGTTTCCCCTGAGTTTTTTGGGTCTTCATTTCTGAAGACTCCCATATCACATAAAACTGTGCTTAAATACACTTGTTATGCTTTTCTCTTGTTAAACTGTATTTTATTATAGGGGCATTGACCATGACCCTTATGATGGGTGAGAAAAAGTATCGCACCTTTCTGCCCATACATACCGTACAACCAAATTGCAGGGCTGCTCAGAGAAAGCTTCTAAGAAAATCTGCCTTTAACAAATCTGTTTCTCCTAACCTGTGTGGTCAATCTGCACCATATGAGCAGCAGGAAAGACAGCATCATGGGCTTGACAGAGACACAGCTGCTGCTTCTCTCCAGCCGCAGCACCACAGGGCAACCTGAACTAACATGTATGCCATAGAAAGTAAGGATTTACAAATATACACAGTTAACTGGCTTCCACTTGCAAATGAAAAACCGAAATCATAAAAAGTTTACTTTAACACTCCAATAATAAATACAGGTGGTACACAATTACCACAGAAGTAGCCTGTAAGGAGACATTCCTCTTGTGTTCATTCTCCATCCCAGCCCTCGCCCATACACAAAACAAAGAAAAAACAAGAAATGCAGCATTCCCTCCCTTAATCCTTTCTCTGTAGATATGTTGGGAGAAGGAAAAGCACAAACTTCTAGCCACAGCTTCCAGACCCCAAAATAAGAAAATTAAAACAGGTAGGTCTGTCTTTATCTGACATTCTATCATGCTCTCCAAAGGATGTGAGACAGCTAGGATCCAAGTTTCCTTAACCTTCCCCTCCTCCATATACACACACCTTCCTTACCTCAGTGTGTAGAAAAATGGGAGAGAAGGAGGGGGAAAGATAGAGATTCATCAGATTTGTGAAAATAATACTCTAGGAAAAACAATGTCACATGTGCTATGGAGGAGTATGGATGTTTACAAGACAGGATTCCTGCTTTAAATGTAGAATAAGAGAGGAGTATAAAAGATTATATATAACACAAGGCTAGAATAAGACATGTGCCATAAAAGTACAAAAAAAGATTTGACCAATCACACACTGTCCAGGAGATTTAAAAATGGGCTGGGTGCAGTGGCTCCCACCTGTAATCCCAACACTTTGTGAGGTACAGGTGGAAGGAAAGATCACTTGAGGCCAGAAGTTCAAGACCAGCCTGGGCAACATAGCAAGACCCCATTTCTTTTTTTTAAAAAAAATATCCAGGCATGGTGGCACAAGCCTTTAGTCTCAGCTACTCAAGAGCCTGAGGCAGGAGGTTCACCTGAGCCCGGGAGTTTGAGGCCAAGTCTGCAGTGGGCTATGATCACAACACTGCACTCCAGCCTGGGTGACAGAGCAAGACTCTGTCTCAAAAAAAAAACCAACAAAATAAAAAAGAGGAAGAAGAAGAAGGAGAAGGAGGAGGGATGGAGGAAGGAGGGGGAGGAAGAGAAAGAAAGAAGAGGAAGAGGAAGCGAGAAGAAGGAGAAGGATGACAGCTCCTGGAGGAGGCAGAGGCAGAAGCAGCAGAGGAAGCTGCAGAAGCAGCAGCAGAAGACGCAGCAGCAGGAGCAGCAGAAGCAGAAGAAAAAAAACAGCTCCTGGAGGAGGCAGTGTTAGAGGTAGGGGTTAAAAAATGGAATGGGATTGATAAAAGAGGTAAGGCCCATGGGAGAGAGAGATTCCAGGCAAAGGGAACAATGTGGATTAACACATAGACAGGAAAGGAATGGGCATATGTGGTGAATAGATAAGCAAAATGGAAAGGCAGTTAGGGCCATAGATTGAAAGGCCTTAAATGCTACAGGATTTTGTTCTTAATAAAGCAAACAATAAAGAGTCGCAGTTTCTGAAAAGAACAGTGATTCAACTGGAGGAGAGGTGATTTATGTGACAACCCATGGGAGCTGTACCGGAGGGGGAAACTGCAGGAAGCTAGGAAGACCAACTGGTTTACTCTTCTAGTAGTCAGGGGAGGCGGTAATAGGGGCTGCAAAAAGGGGCTGTAATCACTCCCTTGCATGCAATTCTCACTACCCAGGCCTCTCTCACCTTTTTGTTCTCACTTGGCAAAAGTGCAATTCACCAACTCCACAGCCATACCCAAGAAACTGAATGTAGCTAGAGAAACATACAGCCACATCAAATGGCCTTACTAACTTACATAACAGTTACATCAAATGGCCTTACAAAGTTAGAAAAGCTGCCCTGCAATCAAACCATATGCCCCTAGTGCATTTACTTTCCTTCTCTGCTAGAGGAGCATTTCTGTTCTCTCCCTTTCTCACTCTCAGCTGATGACCTTCCATCTTATTTTGCTGGGAAAAGGGAAGCGTTCTGAGAAACAGCACACAAGTTCTCACTACCATACCACCTTCTTACCTTCATCTGTGCCTATATGATGTGCCTAACCCAGTTTGACTATGGTCAAACTGTTCATGCTCTTGTTTTTTCATTAGATCCCATTTCCTCTTGCCTAAGATATCCCACTACCAATTCTATTTCTTTCTTGTTCCGTCACTTTCTCACTCTCTCGGCTCATTTCCCTTAGCATACATTCGATTATTTCTCCCATCTTAAAAATGGGAACCCTCTCCCCCTCCATCTACCACACCATATTTCTGCTCCCCTTCACAGCAAAATTCCCCAAAAGATTACCACACTCGTGGTCTCAATTCAGCTTCTCCCATTCTCTCTTGCATCCACTCCAATGAGGCTTTCGCCTCCACTCACCCTCTGAGGAAATTGCTGTCAAGGTCACCATAACCTCCACATTGCTAAATCAAGTGGCCAATTCCCAGTCATTTATTTAGGCACTACTGGTTACCTTCTTACGGAAATGCTTTTTTCATTAAGTAATCAGGGTATCACACCCTCCTGGTTTTCCTCCTCCAACTGTTCCTTCTCAGTCTCCTTAACTGGTTCCCCATTTCCCTGACTTCTAAATATGCAGTGTTGAGAAGATCATCTTTAAAAGAAAAGATCATCTTCACTAACTCCTTTGTTGCTCTCTTCCAATCTCATGGTTTTACATACCATCTGTATACTAACAGCTTCAAATTTGTATTACTTGCCCCACCTTTCTTCTAAATTCTTGACACAATACCATTTCTGAAACCAAGTTCCTCTTCTCCTTCCTTCCCCAAACCTACTCCTTCTGCAGCTTTCCCCTTCTTGGTAAATGACAACTCCTACCTTCTAACTGCTCAGGCCAAAAACCTTGGAGTCATCTTCAATTCTTTATCTCACAACCTACATCTAATTCATCAACTATACCTCTCAGCTACACCTTCAAAAATATCCAGAATCTGAGCACTTCTCAGCCTCCACCACTACCACACTAATCCAAGCCACCATCGTCTCTAATCTGAAATTTTGCAACAACCTGGTCTTTCTGTTTACCCCCTTTCCCCTACATAGTCTATTCTCAACACAATAGCCAAAGTGTTTCTTAAGATTTATTAATCAGAGTCATTCTTCTACCCCTAAAGCTCCAAAGGCTTCTCATCTCATTCTGATTTACGGCCAAATTCCTTACAATGGCCCAGATGTCCCCGCATTATCTGGCTCCCTGAACCTCCTTTCTGTCCTCCTCTAGTACTCTCTCCCTGGGGCATGTCCCTCCAGACATACCATCCTCCCTACAGTTCCTCCCACTGAGCACACACCTACCTCAGGGTTTTTGCACTTGACCTTCCCTGCCTAGACATTCCCTGTGCCTAGAATGTTTTTCCCCATGCCTAGAATGCTCTTTCCCCAGTGCCTCGAATATAGTAGGCACCTAATAAAAAATTAGGTAAATGAATTTAGACAGACATTGAACATTCATTTTCCATTTTGCTTTTTTCATTTATTATTAACGCATAAACATTTTATCACATTGTCAGAATACTTTAAGACCATAATTTTTTGGGCTAACAATATTCCATTTTATAGACATACCACAAGTTATTTACAATTTGGGACTGAAAAACCAGGATATTTACAAATGGGATATTTTGGATGTTTCTTCCTTTGATATTTGTGAACTTCACTTCACTTTTAGAAGTGAATCTACTAGTGAGAATATGTACCTCACAGGATTGTTGTAAAGCTGAATATGAACTAATAAGTGGACACAGAGACATCAGTTTTGTTACTACTGCTTAGATTACAGAGACATCATGATGTCAATGAAAGATCATAGATCTTGAAAGAAACAGATAAAAAACATGACTCACAATATTGTCCTTTAATAGCTTAAGACACTTAACCTCTATGAGTTTCAATTAAACCATCTATTTCAAAAAGCGATTATATTAATAATAATTAAAAAGAGATGTAAAAGAGTTTAGCATAATATTGAGCTCAGAGTAGATAATCAATAAATGTTCATTCATTCACTTCTCATAAACAATACCTAGGGTTTTTAAAATTGTGAACCAGAAAGAAAAAAATATTTTTATAAATTATCCCATTACATACATATTGTTAAATAGATAATAAAAATTTTCAGTACAGAATTATTCTTTTTAATTAACAATTACTCAACACTTACCAAAGCACACTTAAGATTACAAAAATCTATATATCAATTTTGTTTCTTTTATTATAATAAAGCTAGGCAAAACAATTATTTTTAATTACTGAATGATGGTATCAATAAATAAGTTCCTTTTTATCATGTGCTTTAATGTACACACACAACAGGTCAGTAAACTATTATAATGATGACAAGTTAAGCAAGAAAACATTTTAAAAATTCGCCTCACTTCAGGGCTATTTCTTGAAGCAATCTGTGTGTTGGAGTCAGATGAATGCCAAGACATTACAAAATTTTCAGTGTTTTCCATGTTGTTTCGATATAAGTTTGAGTATATGCAGTTGGAATGGTCAACAAGTACAATTTGAACTCCTTCAGGGTATAGTCATCTATGCCTGGCCAGGACCTAGCCCAGTGCCTGACATACAAAAGACACCAGATCAGCACTGAGTAGGTAGGTAGGTGGGTGGGTAAGTGACTGATTGAGTATGGTAGTCATTAGTGCTGTCTGTCTAGGCACTACAAAGCCAATACTTTTTGTCTCCCTACCCTGTGATTGGGTACAGTCATTTAACCAGTTCTAGCCAAGGAATTGTGAGAAGAAGTGACATAAGTAATTTCCATTTTGGAGCATTCATATGAGATCTTCCATGTTCTTTTTCCACTGCTAAGTGTTCATGAAAGCATATGCTAAAAAGGAAACCCCGATCAGCCACTTAGTCTCTGAGTGAAAGCAGGAGCACAGCCCCCTGCTCATTCAATTGGAAGTTTATGACAGTAAGGGTCATACATTTTGTTAGGTTAAGTGACCGAAATTCATAAATTTTACTATAGCAGCAAAACCTAACTTATCCTGGATAATACAAGCAAGCTAATGGCATTCATTTCAGCACTAGAAATTAATCAGAGTTTAATTTCAGAAAAACAAAATGGTACAGATAAGTAGTATAGCTCAGTATAATAATTTAACCTCTCTATATGATAGTTCTCTTGCTCGCCGAGTTTGATGGCTCCTGCCTGTAATCCTAGCACTTTGGGAGACCAAGGTAAGAGAATTGCTTGAGGACAAGAGTTCAAGACCAGCCTGGGCAACATAACGAGATCCCATCTCTACAAAAAGATTAAAAAATTAGCCAGGCATTGTGGTGTACACCTGTAGTCCCAGCTACCCGGGATGCTGAGGTGGGAGGATCACTTGAGCCCATAGGTTCAAGGCTCTAGTGAGCTATGATCACATGGCTTCACTCCAGCCTGAGTGACAGAGCAAGATCCTGTCTAAAAATAAACAAACAAAAAGGATAGTTCTCTTGCCTACAAAATGGAATAATAGCATCTACCTCATAGAACAGTAATAGGGATTAATTAAGTGAATGTCTATTAAGTACTTAGGATAATATTTACGGTATTTGAAGCTTTCAATAAATGGTAGTAAATTACTATCATTAATAATGCATTAGACACATTTACACTACATATGTAATTTTACTTTCATCTCTTACTCCTTATTCATTTTAATTTATGGTCAATTTTTTCAATTCATAATATCTTTATTAAGAAGTACCATATCCTGTCAGAACCATATAAAAAAATAAAAAGAAGTACCATCCAAGGCACTAGAAATGAAGACAAATAAGATCTACCATCAAGGTATTCTCCTTACCTATGATTCTCCTTTCTTCTGCAATAGACCCACAACCAAGCAAACTTTAAAATCATAAACACAATGTTTTATTATATTATAATATAAATCAACTATGCAATATTATAAATATTGTACCAATTGAAGAGGTGATTACTTTTTAATTTAAAAACACTTTATATGTTATGGGTCTGTGTCTTATTCAAAGTCAAGATAGTAAAGTTGTTTAGGTCCAATTCATCAAAGGCAATTAATGTTATGGCAAAAAACAAAACTTGTACCCACATTCCCACTGTTCCTAACGCAGTGCCCTATAAACAGGAGGCACTCAGTGAACAAAATTATAGGTAAATCAGAGATCAGCAGATCCAATCCATTTATCTTACAAATTAGTACAATGAGATCTAGAGGGTTAGGCAACTTGCCCAAAAGTATGATGTGATTTAGTGGCAGGGCTGATCCTAGAACCCAAACTTTGAAAATGTTTTAAAAGTCTAAATTCTCTAAAGCACAAAGTTCCTGCAGTATGCTGACAGAGGAATATAAACAAGTCAGTGAAAAACCTAAAGTTAATTTTTATTGAAATTAGATTTTAGCATTAGCTAGTAAGAAATTTAAAACTCAGCTATCAGAAAGACAGTGTTAGATTTACTATTGTTATCAAGAGAAGAAGGTACTTCCAAAAACCTAAAAGGGTAAATTCATTACCATATTTCCCCCCAACACTTTATCAACACTTAAAATAGCATAGAAAGAAAAATAGAAATAGTTTCATATGCTTCTTTTTATGTACAGAATCTTGTGTGAAAAGAATGATTTTAAGCAAGAAAAAAGGTTAATTCCTAGGCCACAAATCTATTAAAGTATTGATTATTTTAATCCTATTGATTTTAAAAAAGTGAAGGGGTTAATTAAAGCCATGTACATTAGGAAACTGCAAGATAAAAATAATGTTTATCATTTATTGTTTACTAACTGTTATGCACTGTGCTAAATATGCACTTTACACATACCACCTCTTTTTACAACAAACTTATGGTATAGGTAATATAATTATCTCCATTTTGCTGATTATGAAAATAGGGGCTGCCTCTGAGTAACTTACTCAGGTAGTGGCAGAAACAGAACTTGCTCTCAAACCTGTTTGCCTCTAAATGGTATGCTTTAGGTTTTGTTGTAGTTGTTTTTTGTTTTTTGTAGAGACAGGGTCTCACTATGTTGCCCAACCTGGTCTCTAGCTCCTGCCCTCAAGTGATCCTCCTAGCCTCTCAAAATGCTAGGATTACAGGTGTGAGCCACCACACCCAGCACTAAAAGCTGTGCTTTTAACCACCCTCCTGTTCAAGCTCTATCAAGTTTCTGACCCTCTATAATTTAGATCAAGGTCAATCCATCATATCTAAGGGGAAGGCTACATGATCTCTAAGGCCCCTTCTAAAAATGATTCTGTGTCACCAAACACATAAATCAGTTCTGAATTCACACAATATTTCTGACAGGACACTCCAGGCCTAAGGGAAAGTCCATCAATAGATGAACAGATAAGAAGAGGAGAAAGGGGAAGAAAAATTTAAAGGAGGAGGAGAAAGATCTTTATCAACATGCCCTACAAGGTGCCTAACATAGCTAGACATAACATTTTACTAGACATCAGGGCCACTGTGACAAAGGTGGGAAAGGGGAACCTAGAACAGCAATTGAAAGTGGAACTATAAAGGATGTACATAAATTTAAATAGCTTAGCCCACTGATGTGATCCCCTCACAGCAAATGAGGAAGGAGCTGCAGAAGTCAGTGACCATGAGCTCAATGCTGGGCCAACACACAGACTTGTAACAGAAACAATGATCAGCAGTTAAATAGGAATAGCTGGGTACTAAGTTTTCAGAAGAGGCATTACCACTATTGTCATGCATTTGGATGAGAGTGTATTTTCAGGACAGAGTTGTGAAGGAACTAGCACTTGTTCCATCAAGTTGTTTAAACTCCTACCATGTTTTATGCACCATCCATGTGGCTTTCATTTGTTACGACACTGAACTCTGACAACAACCTTGGTGGATGTGATGATTAATTTTATATGCCAACTTTATAGGCCATGGTGCCCGGCTATTTAGTCAAATATCATTCTAGATGTTTTTGTGAAGGTATTTTTTGGATGAGATTAACATTTATATCAGCGGACTTTAAATCAGTGGACTTTACCCTCCATAATTTGGGTGGGCCTTATCTAATCAGTTTAAGGCCTTAATAGAACAAAGTTTGACTTCCCCTCACTTTGGGAGGCCAAGGTGGGTGGATCACTTGAGGTCAGGAATTCAAGACCAGCCTGGCCAACATGGTAAAACCCTGTCTGTATTTTAAAAACTGCAAAAATTAGCCAGGCGTGGTGGCGGGCACCTGTAATCCTAGCTACTCGGGAGGCTAAGGCAGGGGAATCACTTGAACCCAGGAGGCAGATGTTGCAGTGAGCCGAGATCTCACCACTGCACCCCAGCCTGGGCAACAGAGCGAGACTCCAACTCAAAAAAAAAAAAAAAAAAAAAAAAGACTGACTTCCCCTAAGCAAGAAGAAATTCTGCCAGCAGAATGCCTGGGCATCCAAACTGCAACTCTTCCCTGGGTTTCCAGCCTCCAACCTACCCTGAAGATTTTGGACTTACTAAGCCTCCACAATTGCATGAGCCAATTCCTTAATAAAAATCTCTCTCATAGAGAGAGAAACACACAGACACACACCCTAATACAATAGATATTGCTCCCAATTTTACCACTGAGAAAAATGATGGCCTGACAGGACCCATTCTCCCTCTTCACTACATCACACACTAAAATGTGTGATTTGGGACTCACATTCTAGCCTGAGGGGCTCAGGTGGGAGGTACAAGGTAATAAGCATGCAACATTGTAACCACAAGCCACATATTCCAGAGAGCCCTTTATGACACTGATACCACACATACTACACATGTACCCAGAGCCTCGATGTGCCCAAGTGATGTACTATCCTCTCTCTGGTCTCCTAATTCAGTTATTTCAGGTAAAAGAAATCAAATAGTCCTACCTAACTCAATATTTGAAGACCTTGAAAAAGGAGGAAAAAATAATTAGTAAAGAATTAAAGTAAAAGATAAAAAGAAAAATAAAAAATGATTTGTGACAATTAAATGATGGTAGCCTTTGCTTTGTTTAGGTTCTTTTTGAATAATCATGCATTCACTCTTTCAACAACTATTTATTTTGTGCTTTATACTTTTTTATAGGCTCTTCTAGGTATTGTAGAGTACTAACGAGCTGGAGGGACACATACAATATAGTAAATGTGCAGGATGAAAAAAGACCAACTAAATTTCCTTAAAGAAGTCAAAGATTCGCAGAAGAGGTGAGACATTTCTGCTGGAATAGAATTATGAGTTTAAATAGTGGGGAAGAGGGATGGTATTCCAGACAGAATTTCTGACACAGTAAAAGTCACTTGAGTCTGTTAGGTTGCTAAAAGTGGGAGCTGGGATGGGGAATTATGGCAGAATATAAAGTTGGAACGACCAGCTAGGGTTACATAGTAAGGAACAATGGATTCCCATGCCAAGGTGTTTGGCCTTTATCCTGCAATCAGAGTTATGAAGAATTTCTAAGCAGGGGAGGGATAAGACCATGGGCTAAGCCTTCTTAGAGACCACTCCATAAAACCACATCCTTTATATACATAGAAGGACAGCTGGGTCCAGCTTGGTCACTGGGGCAGATATAACCACAGGTAAATCATTATAAAGTTTAATAAAAATTAAACCTTGAATAAAAAACTAAGCCTTACAGTTTTAATAATAAGTTTATTACTAGAAGGCATCAAAGTATTTCATGTGCTCTAACTTAAAAACTTAAAGTTGAGTTCACACATAGTCCTAACTAAAAATCAATGGTTCAGAAATTGGCAACTAGTATAATTATAATTATGCAATAAATACATATGTAAAAGTTTTCCTCAGAAAATGAAATAAAACTCAATTGGAATAGACAGAAGAAAAATTATTATTATGGTAATAAATACATACGTGGAATCTGTATCCTAAAATATAAATTAAATATAAGCCAGTGGACAAAATGTGGCTGAGTAAAGCTGGACTTTGCATATCATCAAAAATGGAAAAAGAAACAGTGTTGAATTATATTTCTAAGGAGTGTAGTGGCCAAGAAAAGAATCTACAATAAAGGAACATAAATTAGGAACTAAGGTACTAACAACTCATTTGTTCCCTTCCTCTTTTCTGCTGATAGTTCTCTTTTTCATCAATCCCAATGGGATTTTAGAGATCTCCCAATCCAATAGTCCTCCCCACCGTTTTACTTTAGCAGTTGAGTTCTGCAAATAGTTGTATATAAAATCCCAGCATATAAAACAGGTAAAAGCTGAAAGAGATCCAAGAGAGGGTACTAGAGCACCTAATTTGGCCTCCACTTCAGCCTTCATCCACTTTCCCTCTGAAACAGCTCCCCAAAGAGCCCTTAATTTTCCTCAGTAAAGTGTAAAACACATTGGTCCTTGTCCCAACCCTCCTAATTTACAAATGAGGGAATTATGCCCTAGAGAATTAATTTAAGGGAGTTGCCTGAGAAAAAAGATTATTTCCTAGTACCCCTGCTAAAATTAAAATGTTTTCTCTTCCTCATAAACTTGAACTCAAATGTCTGGGTTAAAAATTGTTTCTTGGCTGGGGACACAGTGGCACACGCCTGCAATCCCAGCCCTTTGGGAGGCCAAGACAGGGGCATCGCTTGAGCCCAGGAGTTCAAGACCAGCCTAGGCAAGATGACAAAATCCCATCTCTATTTTTAAAAATAAAAAAATTTTTAAATTATTTCTAAGTTATTCTGGAAGTCTATGACATCCCTCTACCACAAATTCCCATTCCAAATTCACATAAGGGCTGGGCTCAGTGGCTCACACCTGTAATCCCAACACTTTGGGAGGCTGATGCAGAAGGATTATTGAGCCCACAAGTTCAAGACTAGCCTGGGCAACATAGTGAGCCTTGTCTCTGCACAATTAACAACAACAAAATTTCACATAGGTCTATAACCACATATTATATGAGTGCCTACTTGAAGCCAGATACTCTGCTAAGAGTACGTTATCTGCTCTCATTCAACCATCACCACAAACCCCAAGAGATCAAGGAACTAGGCTCACAGAAGTACTGTAACCTGCCCAAGGTCACAGAGCTAGCAGGGTGGAATCCGGTTCTATCTGACTCCTAAAGCCAAGCTTCAGACCCTTGCACTCTTTCTAATCCCAACCTTTTCCAAATCTTTTCCTATTTTTACACAGGCTTTCAGAAATGCTGAACTGTAAGGATTACTTGTCATTTCACAGAGGATGTACTTTTCCATCAAGACCTGTGGGGGAATGCCTCATGCTGCAGCCAAGCACAAAGGCATCAAGCCCAAAAACCTCTAATTTCACGTTACAGACCATAGAAAGGCTAATCCCCACCCCCACCACAAACTCCTACAACTCCTTTTACAAGCATAGGCTACATACATTCAGTCTTATGGGGAATAGGGACTGTCAACAATTCTTAATAATAGGGCTACAAAATCAGCTCTGAGCTGACCCCTTCTGAGAGGCTGGCTTTTAGGATGGATAACTATCCAATATTTTCTAATAGGTAAAGATATTAAAATTTGTATTTAGGGCTGCCTTGGGGCAAAGGATGACTATCACCGCAGACTAGGTACCAGAGCTGGCATTTAATAATTTGAATTTGAGGGAAGGTCAAGGGAGTTCGGATTGGGGCACCCTCTGGGAGCAGAGGGAGTTGAAGTGACTGTCGTGTCCAATTACAGAAAAGCCTGAATCAAGAGTATGCAGCCAAAACTACTACCAAATTATTGGTAATGGGAGGAGAAAATTTAAACAGAACTGGGATTTGGGACCACCTTCTGGAAGATGTTAGCCAAAAACCGAACAGATCCTAGGCATCAAGGGGTGTGAATTTCGAGGTAGGCTCCGTTGCCCGGGCTCTGAGGGTCAGGGTTCCCGGCGGTTGGGCCTGGGACGGCGAAGCCCCCGCTCCCCCTTACCTTCTGTTGGAAGTAGAGAACCGAATAGTTCTTGGCTACAGCCGGGAGGGATGTGGGGTTGGTTGGCAAGTGTAGGCTGCCGAGGGCCCTTAAGGCCGGCCGGAGGGCTATGGTGGCCCAGGGCGCCAGAAAAGACAGAAGCAGGAGCAGGAGGGCTCGGCGGCCCATGGCTCAGGCTGGAGACTGCAGTGCGGGTGGGAGGGCGAAAAGGAGGCCAGCAGAAGCGCACAGGCTAAGCCCTGCCCAGCCTGCAGCTCCGCCCGCCGCAAAACAGCTCCTCCCAGGGGAAACCCAAAGCCAGCCAGCTCCTCAGAGACGCCGCCCAAGCCAGGTCACCACAGCCACTCCGCCCCCATCCCCGAGGACACCGCCTCCACTCCACTTTCCTCTCGTGCCATCTGCTCCTTAGCACTCACCTTCATTGCGGTCACACCCCAAGTCTGCCCTTATCATGCTAGGGCCTCTTCCTAACTCATCGCTGTAGCCCATGCTTTATCTATAGCGCCCCCGAAGCCCACCTGTCCTTCAGGTCACCCAATATCCCTACCATTATCATCACCACCAAACCCTGCCCTGGCCACCGCAATTCCATTGCGACACCTCCTGCCTTCCGCAAATCCTACGTAACGGCAATAACAGCTACCATGACAATTTATTGAAGGTTCACTACAGGCCAGTGTATCACGAGGCAGGGAGGCACACGCATCATCTCCTCTAACTAAATCGTCACAGCAATCTTGTGCGTCGTATATGATTGTTATTCCCATCTACAGATGTGGAAACTGAGGCTCAGAGAGGTGCGGGAACTTGCACTAGATCACTCAGCAGTGAGCGGAGCACGTCGTCGCAGACCGCTGGGTCCAGGTCCAAAGACTGTGCTCCTTGCACCCACCTCCATCTGGAGCCTAACCACTCCCTATGATACTCCGTTCTTGGGTCACCCCAAAACTGTGTTGCTCGCACAACCCATCCATTACACAGGTCGCCCCGGGTCCACATCGCCCCTAAATCCCGCCAGGTCCCGGTCCCTTCTTTCAAATAACGCCCCCTTTCTTCTCCGGCACCCGAAAACCCACTCCGCGCTCCACCCCCCTCCTGCCTCCTGCCACCGCCCCCTTCCTCCCTCCGCCCGTGGGTAGTGCTAGCCCCTAGGACAGCGCCGGGTCTGGCTTCCAAAGCTCCCTCAACCCTCTTCATCCAGCTTCCATTCCCTCTTTCAGTCACCCCGCCAGACCCCAGGGCGCTGCGGCTCACTCCACACTTTCCCGGGAACCCTACGCCCAGGAGGCTCAGCGAAGCTCCAAAACCAATTTTACGGACTGTACTACTGATCCACCTGTCGGGGAGAAAGACTCTACCCGCAGTTTGACGAAAATGGTCGTTTCCAGATGCTTGTAGGATTTCCTCGCTAAGCTCCACCCTCTGCGGCGCCTTCTTCTGATTGGCTCTGAGTAATCAGAGCCAAAGCGTTACTTCCGGCGGAAAAGGACGCGGGAGATTCGATTGGAAGGCTGCCGGCGTGCTACTGAGTTCGGCCGGTCCGAGTCACTGTGCGTCGCCTGGGCCCGTTCCTGGTCTTCTCCCCCAGGTGAGCTGGGTAAAGGGGTTCTCGGGAAGCCGAAGAGCCGGAGACTCCTAAGGAGGCTCTTAACTTCATTATGAATGAGACCCACCCAGAGCCCGGCGCTTGTTTTTTCACAAGTGGTTCTCTGTAAACGGGCAGCCATGAGGGTAACAGAATATAAACGTCAGTTATTTTATTTTAGACTCAGTGCTTTTGCAATCACCTAACGAACGTTTATTGAACACTTACAGTGCCATCGAGCTAGACTCGGAGTGAGCTTTTAGAATCGGAAATAGAGAGGAAAAGGCGCGACTCTTGCTTCTGTAATGTGCAAATACGTATTCAGTGGGCCACTGTGCAGAGTAGTACGTGCTGAAAGGGGATCTTCCAAAATGCTATGATGGCTTAGAAGGAACATATTTTAACTGAGCCATGTGCTTAAACCAGAGCTTGAAAGTTTTCTTCCTTTTCACATCCAGCCAGTCCCTACCAGCCTCTTGAATATCTCAGATCTGTTCACTTCTCTCCGTTTTTTACTGACATTATTTTGGTTCGACCCTATGACTGCTACATAGCTGTGACAGTAACCCCCCCCTCCCCCGCCGCCCCAGCTGGTTCTCCTGCTTTCAATCTTGCTACCTTCCAGTCCAGTCTCCACATTGCTGGGCTGATAAAGTTCATATTTGACCGAGGCACTCCCCATTGAAAACCTTTCAGTCGCTCCTATTTGCCCTCAGGTTTAAGCCCAAACTCTTTAACATGACTTACAGACTCTTTCCTATCTGACTTTTGCCTGGCTCTTCAGCCCTAGTGGTTTTCCACCGCTCCAGCCATATAGAATGTCTTTTGTGTTCCTGAAGTGCACTATCCTCCTTCTCACCCCAAACCGTCTTCTGACCCTGTCCCTGACCTGGCTAATTCTTAGTCAGTTTGCAAAGCCTTTTAAATCAGAAACCCTTTCCTGACCCCACAGGACTGGATCACAGAGCACCAAGTAATTATTTGTTTATTCTGCAGATAGTTAAATGCTTCTTTCGTCTGTGCCAAGAATTGCTAGGTACTGAGATCCAATGATGAACAAGGTAGATTCCTGTTCTAATGGAACTTACCTTTTATGGATGGAATTAAGGAGAATTTACAAGGAAACTATGTGAATTAGACTGGTCTAAGAAGACCTTTCCAAGGAGTTGATACTGATGCCTAAAAGATGAGCGTGATCCAACCATGCAAAAGAGGGAAAGAAAAACATTCTAAACAGAGTGAACAGGTTGTGCAAACGTCCTGAGGCAGGAAAGAGCTTGACATGTTAATGTTCAAGAATCTAAGGAAAGACCAGTATAGCTGGAATATATTTAGAAAGGACAGTTGTATGAGATGAGTCTGGAAAGATGGGCAGAGACCGGATCATGGTTAGGAGGTTAATCCAGCACCATAAACAGGAGATAATGGTGATTTGGATTAAGATGATGGCAGAATATATGAGGGAAAAGTGAATGATGGTTTCTAAGTATGGAAGTAGATTCAAGTACCTTCTGATGAGTGTGATGTGGGATATGAAGGAAAGGGAGGAATGACAAATGACTCCTAGGTATCTGGTTTGAGTTACTGGTTAGTGAGTAGTACCATTTACTGAGATGTGACCTTCTCCATCCCTGTAATAAATGTCTCATAAATGATATCAATGGAAAAACTGTATCGTACTAAGATTTTCCTGGTTCATGTTTTTAAAGCATTTTTCATCAGTATTTCTCCTTTCACTGAAGATTTTGTCTCTTTGTTTTTTTGCTTACTTAATTTTCACTCTCCTGCCTGCCTCTCTTACTTTTCTAGAATTTTCGTGTCAATGTTACTAAATTATTTTTTAGGGACTTATTATGACTGCCTTTAGAAAAATTAAACAAGTATGTGCCATTGGAGGAGACCATTAGACAGTGTTAAGAAAACAATTCAAAACAGCCACCCTTCCCATAGCTGAGGCCTCTTGGCCTGTAAAATATGAAACAGAAAATTGGAGAATTACAAGGTGACAAAGATTTTCATGCAAGGCAAGAAGGGTTTGGAGAGGAACGAAGAAAGGGAGAAAAATTAGTCATACTTTCTTTTCTTTATGCCATTAGAAGTGGAACTAGTTTTTTAAAGGAGTAATTTCATCCTTTGGGCACAGTCTTGAAGCAAATACACATAGTTTCTTTCAAGTGTGAAGCTTGAGCAAAGAGAGTAATGGACTAGAAAGACTGGTAAGCTACTCATCAGAAGGCATGAGTTCCAGACCTGATTAACTTCTCTGAGTGGATCAGATAATGTTGCAAAAGCACTTTGCAAACTGTAAAGCAGTCAAATGAACTCAAACTGGATTATGAACTTTAAGATAGGATTCACATCTTATACTTTTATGTTCTCTTCAGCCCCATCCCCAGATGCCAGTTTACACTAAATACTTAATTGAACTTTTTCTCTAGGATCTAACATAGAATAAGAATTAGTTTAGATTTTCTAATCTAACCCAGTTTTTCTAGATCTTCTAGTCTAGCCGGAAGAAGAAAAAAAGATGTGTTGGTATGTGCATGTATGGGCACGGTTTTTCATAAATGATTAAGTTGCCTTCTGAGAACTTGATTATGAGGTAGTTAAGCTGAAAGATCACCAAATAATGGATTAGAGTAAAGAATTGCAAAATCATCCAAATGAGACTAAGATGCTGTCAGGCCTTGGGGATTTAACTATAACCATGTTTATCACAAGTGTTACACACCATGAGATAGTCTCAATGACTAGGCTACTGGTTTTCAAGTGTGGGCAATTTGGCCATTACCTGGGAACTTAAAATGCAGATTCTCAGGCCCTTATCCCAGACTTACTGAATCAAACTCTGGAGTTGGAGCCCAGCAATCTGTTTTATCAAGCCTTCTGGGTGATTTTGATATATGATAAAGTTTGAGAAATACTTGTCTAGTATGAAAATGGGATGCAGAGGTTGTAATCAATGAGTTTATATATCTGGTACCACTGACAAAACCATCTCTAGAATGAAAAATGCATCAGGCATTAGCTTGATTCCATTAAATAGTTGATTCACCAAACAGCTCTTCTTCAAGCAACTTTCTGTTTATAATTTTAGTATAATATGAGGTTATACCAAATATACAAATATGGGCTTCTGATATGTCCCTTCCCTGTGATGGTAATTTTTCGTGGTAAATTAGTAGAACATCTTTGGATTACAGTTCAGCTCCCCATATGGCTTGTCTAAAAGGAGAGAAAGCAAGTATTCCAGAATATCCCATGGTAAATTAGATATGTACTATAGTGTGTCCACATGGACCCCACATATTTTAATAAGCATAAGTCTATTGGAGCCTTCATTCCTGGACATTGACCTAGGTAATCCCTGGTATGTGCCCTTTGAAAAATCAAAGGCCAACTGAGGCCTTAATTAGTTCTGCCCCAACACTTACACTTTTGTCCCTCTTTCTACCCTCATTTCTACTTTTATGTGTGAGAGATTTAAAGAAAGCAAGATTTTCTTTGTATATTATTGCTAATGTCCCTATCCAGCATTTTTATAGTATTTATTGATTTTTTTCTAATTATAAAAGCAATACACTTAGATTGTATTTATTGATTTTTTCTAATTATAAAAGCAATACACTTAGAAAATATCTTAAATATATAAAGAAAATAAAAATCGCCCTTAACACTACCACCCTGAGAAAATACTTTTTAAAAATAAGATTATATACTTTCCTAACTATCCTCTTCTCTTTCCCCATTCCTCCCATCAAAAACTAAATTAGTCCCCCTGTTATATTTTCTCATGGCACTATGCATTTCCAAAATAGAATTTGCCAGAATTGCAGTTAAATTTTTTGTGTGATTATTTTAATGTCTGTCTCTTACACTAGACTGTAAGTCTAGTGACTAGGTAGGGACCTTGTCTGTTTGTCCATCAATCACACTATCCCCACCTAGCATTTAGCAGCTGCACAACTAATAACTGATGAATAAATAAATATGTTCGCATATTAAATTGGGATATGGTTTGCTGTGATGGAGCTGAAAGAAATGTAATACTATATCATCATCCTTCCCAATAAATGTGAAAAGAAAGATAAACTGCAAAAGATACCACATATGAAATTGTTCCCAAGTGTATCATCATATCTTCCTAATTTTAGTATTTACTTATTCCTGATGTTTCATTCAATTATTCATCAGACATGCATCCACTATACTGCAAGTCAAGCAGTAGAGAGAGACAGAGAAATAAAACAAAGTATAAAAACACCCCCAGAGCCTAGGTAAATAAATAAATAAATACAAAAATAAACTAGGTGGCAAGTATGAAGGAAATATTATGAAAACACCAAAGGAAATTAATTAACAGTAACTGTCTGAAACGATCTTATTCTATTATTGTCCAACAGACAATAAATGGGAAGCCTTTTTGCCATTTTCTGGGGTTCACCAGGTGAAATACAAATAGTAAAAATACTAATGATCCCTTTCATTACAGTTCTCAAATTTGCTGTTTTTATAGATTTTTAGACTTACTTATTTGATCCACTAGAGGGCAGTAAACCCTTAAATAAAGACAATGTAACCAACCTTCCTTTAAAAGTATAGTAATAAGTGCTGGCACAATTAATTTAGAAATGAACCCAAAATTTCCTGCTTATTTAAGTTTTTCATTTATTAGTGAGTTGTCTGCCCAATTAGCAATTTTTTTTAGGACAGACAGTATCTTATTTTCACTTAGCCCAGTGTACGAGTCATGTTACAAGTTTATTACATTTCCTAAAGTTTGAATAACAATTGTGTAAAGAACATGATTTGATGAATGCCCATATTGTTGTGGTACAGTATAAAATTCTGTTTTAGAGCCCTAAAGAAAATAGTCTCTGCTCACAATATGAACAGAAGTAAAAAAATTAGAAGTGAGGATAAGATGTAAGTAATGATTAAAATAAGTATGAAATAAGGTACTATATATGAAACTAGGCTGTGTACTTCGTATACAAATAGAAGATAATTTTATGATTTGGTAAAATTGTGTTTTATATTTAACGCTATGTGACAAAATTGTGGCTTGGGAAGAGGAAATGCAAATCATGAAGATTAATATCTGAAGTTCAGATTGACAATTTCTGAGCTTGGCACTGAAGATATAAACAGATAGTCCTTCTACGATCTTACTTTGAGTCCAGGAAAAACAAGCCATATTGAACAGATAAATTTAATATAATGTGGCATGTGATGAATTAAAGAGTAATTTAACTTCTGGGAAAACGTCCTAGAAAAGAAGACTTCTAAGAAGGATCTTAAAGAATAATAAGCATTACCAAGAGAATGAAAGCATTTTAGAGAGAAGAATGGAAAAAAGCAAAGGCATAGAAATGTGAAACATATTGTGGGGGTGGGGAAGCAAGGAACACAACTCAGATTGTTTCTCTTGGCATAAATTACTAGCACATAAAGAGCAAAAAGAAAGTTAAGAGAATAGGCATTAGGGAGAATAAAACCAAATAGACAATACACTACAATAGACAAAACAAATGGTAGGACTACAGAGGTACAATAGTATATGGTGTAGAAAAAAAGAAAAGCCATTCCCTTTGTTAATAAAGAAAGACTTTTTAGGGGAACTTCAAATGAAATAGGAAGAAAATTCTGGTTATCGTATGGCGTCTGCCTACTCTGTTGTAAAAATTTTCTTGAATTGCAAAATTCTGCTTATAGTTCTTCATTCATGCAATAAATTTTGTTTTGAGACTAGTCTTTGTTGCCCAGGCTGGAGTGCAGTGGCGCAATACCGCGCACTGCAGCCTCAATCTCCCAGACTCAAGTGACCTTCCCACCTCAGCCTCCTGAGTAGCTGGAACTACAAGCATGCACCACCATGCCCAGCTAATATTTTTTATTATTTGTAGAGATGAGTTCTTGCTGTGTTGCCCATGCTGGTCTCAAACTGGTGGGCTCAAGCAATCCTCCCACCTTGGCCTCCCAAAGTGCTGGGATTATAGGCCTGATCCACCACACCTGGCCCCATTCAATAAATATTTATTGTGAACTTACTGTGTACTGAGCACTGTTCTAAGCACTGGGGTTACAGTAGAGAACAGGGTGGACTAGGTCCCCGTCTTTATGAAACTTAGGCTAGTGATGGGTAGATGAACAAAAATAAGTAAGCAAAGACATACATAGGATGACTATCCAGCAGGGTTAGTACCATGAAGGATAAAACAGGTGATGCCATAGAAACTAAGAGGAAGGAGGATTCTACTTGAGCTAAAGTGGGGCTCTCTGAAGGGATAACATTAGAGTTACAGATTGAAGGACAATAAAGAACCGACTATTCCAAGACCTAAGGGAAGAATATCGTAGCCAAAGAGAATAGTAAGCACAAAAGCCTGAGAAGGGAAATCGTTTGGTGTGCTTGAGGAGCAGAAAGAAGGCCAGCATGGCTTGAAATACAGTGATTGAGGAGGAGAGTGGTACAAAGTGAGGTCAGGGATTGGCAAGATCTACATGACCCAGGGCTGCACAGACCATTGTGAGATATTGAGGCTTCATTCTAAATAGCAGGATTTTAAGCAGGTAAGAGACAGCATGTTCAGGAGTGAGCTTTATGCTCTTTTAGCTCCCCTAACTCACAGGTAGATGTACCTCCATACTAAACCCTACACTAAATTGGATTTTAGAATGTGGAGGACAATGCCTTTGTTGACATAACATCATTTGTTATGTTAACTAAAAGTTATAGGAGGCCTTTGTTTTGGACTAAGCTCCTGCACTAGGCCCCAGTGGACCAGACTAAAAATCAAAATAGAGTCATTTATACTTAAAGTTCCACCTCACCAAATCAAAACTACATTGTTATCTGACCTTCCTAGAACTCAGAAGAGAGAAATAACCAAATTTCCCACATGTGCCAGTTTCAATTGTCATAACAACGAACTTCGCTCTGCCTTTGATGCTTACAACAAAAAGTAGCCTTATGTTAACCAGTTATTCCTGTATTTTTCTGTTCCTCTGTTCCCACTTTAGGAGGAAAGTAACTTTGAAATGACCAAGCTGCTTTTTGTTCTTTGTTTCTACTTTCTTTAGCCCTTCTCTTTCTGTAAAACTGAACTTCTCTGCTCAGCCCCTTGGGTCACTTACTCTATTTTATGGAATAAAGTATTTCCCGATTCTAGAATTGTTACAGGAAAGTAGTCCCAATTCAGACCCCCAGAGAGGCTTCTTTGATCTCGCACAAGAAAGAATTCAGGGCAAGTCCATAAAGTGAGAGCAAGTTTATTAGGGAAGTAAAGGAATAAAAGACATAGAACAGCCCCGAGGGCTGCTGGCTGCCCATTTTTATGGTTATTTCTTGATGATGTGCTAAACAAGGGGTGGATTATTTGTGCCTCCCCCTTTTAGACCATATAGGGTAACTTCCTGACGTTGCCATGGCATTTGTAAACTGTCATGGCGCTGGTGGCAGTGTAGCAGTGAGGACAACCAGAGGTCACTCTCATCACCATCTTAGTTTTGGTGGGTTTTAGCAGGCTTCTTTACTGCAACCTGTTTTATCAGCGAGGCCTTTATAACCTGTATTTTGTGCCGACCTCATATCTTATCCTATGACTTAGAATGCCTTAACCGTCTGGGAATTCAGCCCAGTATGTCTCAGCTTCATTTTACCCAGCCTCTAGACAAGATGGAGTTGCTTTTTTATTCAAACACATCTGACAGAATCATAAATAAAGCCAATTAAGATCTTTCACAAAATTGTTGTAATTTTGTCTTTTGACAGTTGCAATGGCAAGGAATTTGAGGTTTTAGCACTTACAATGGCAATTTTCTTTGACCCTTCTTTCTGCCTTTCCTTTGTATCCTGTATTACCTACCCTACCATGTCCTTTGAGATTGCCATGTAGCCTAAGGTGACAACCAAATCTAGGAATACATAATCGGCTTTGGCAGAACCTTACTAATGTATATATAAGAGTCCCAACAAGGATAGCAAAAAATTAGGATTAGCGTTCTCTTTTCTGTGCTCCCTTCAGTAATACAGATTAGTGATTTATTTAAATTATTTATCTTTCATCTGTAAATTTCCATCTTATTACCTTGAGTGGCAAGATTTTATTTTTATAGAAATGTTATTTTGATTGACTATCAGAATTAGTATCACTTTAACATCTCCCTTCCATAGTCACCACATTTCTATGTTTGTCATCATCTTTAGAGTACTATACCGAAAAGATTTTATTATTTTAAAACCAGTGACCTCCACTTTGTCAGTTTGCTGATGCCAGTGTCAAAAACAGCATCACCCATTTCAGAATTGAAAGTTTTTGCCATGTGTTTAAAAATGAAAGTTTCTTAATACAGCTTTATCTCAAACAGTTACAAAGACCTTTGTTGTAAGGCATGTATTTTATGTTATATGTTTTATGTTATGCTAATCCATTTAAAAAATTAGTAAACAAACCAACCTTTTTTTTTTTTTTTTTTTGAGACAGAGTTTCACTCTGTGGCCCAGGCTGGAGTGCAGTGGCATGATCTCGGCTCACTGCAACCTCCGCCTCCCAGGTTCAAGCAATTCTGCCTCAGTATCCTGAGTAGCTGGGATTACAGGTGCACACCAGGCTAATTTTGTATATTTTTGATAGAGATGGGGTTTCACCATTTTGGTGAGACTGATCTCAAACTCTTGACCTCAGATGATGTGCCTACCTCGGCCTCCCAAAGTGCTGGGATTATAGGCGTGAGCTACCACACCCTGCCACAGATCAAGCTTTTAATTTTTTCTCTCTCTCTCTCTTTTTTTTTTTTTTTTTTTTTTTTTTTGAGAACAAGTCTCACTCTTTCACCCAGGCTGGAGTGCAGTGCCATGAATACAGCTCACTTCAGTCTTTACCTCCTGGGCTCAGGTGATCCTCCCACCTCAGCCTCCCAAGTAGCTGGGACCACAAGCTCATACTACCACGCCTGACTAATTTTTTTTGTTTTTTGGAGAGATGAGGTCTCACCGTGTTGCCCAGGCTGAATTTTTAAAAAGAAAGTATAAAGAGGAGAACATTGCTACAGGCATACCTTGGAGATATTGTGGGTTGTGTTTCTGACCACTGCAATAAAGCAAATATTGCAGTAAAGCAAGTCACACAAATTTTTTGGTTTCCCAGTGCATATATTAATAAAATGTTTACACTATACTGTAGTCTAAGTATGCAATAGCATTATGTCTAAAAAATACATCTTAATTAAAAAACACTTTATTATTAAAAAATGTTAATGATCATCTGAGCCTTCAATGAGTCATAATTTTTTGTGGTGGAGGGTCTTGCCTCAGTGTTGATGGTTGCTGACTGCTTGGGGTGGTGGTTGCTGAAGGTTGGGGTTGCAGTGGCAATTTCTTAAAATAAGACAACATTGAAGTTTGCTGCATTGATTATTCCTTTCACAAAAGATTTTTCTGTACCATGTAATGCTGTTTGATAGCGTTTTACTCACAGTAGAACTTCTTTCAGAATTGGAGTCAATCTTCTCAAACCCTGCCACTGCTTATCAACTAAGCTTATGGAATATTCTAAATTCTTTGTTGTAATTTCAACAATGTTCACAGCATCCTCACCAGGAGTAGATTCCGTATCAAGAAACTACTCTCTTTGTTTATCCATAAAAAGCAACTCGTCATAAGTTCATGCCTTATCATGAGATTGCAGCAATTGAGTCACATCTTCAGGCTCCACTTTTTAATTCTAGATCTCTTGCTATTCCACCACATCTGCAGTCACTTCCTCCACTGAAGGCTTGAACCCCTCAAAGTCATCCATGAGGACTGGAATCAGCTTCTTCCAAACTCCAATTAGTGTGGATATTTTGACTTCCTCCCATAAATCATGAATGTTCTTATTAGCTTCTAGCATGGTGAAACCTTTTCAGAAGATTTTCAACTTACTTTGCCCAGATCCATCAGAATAAGCATTATCTATGGCAGCTATGGCCTTAGGAAATGTGTTTCTGAAATAATAAGACTTGAAAGTCAAAGTGACTCATTGATCCATGAGTAGAGAATGGATGTGTTAACAGGTATGAAAACAATATCAATCTCCTTGTGCATCTCATCAGAGCTCTTGGGTGACCAGGTGCGTTGTCAATGAGCATTAATATGTTGAAAGGAATCTTTTTTTCTGAGCAGTAGGTCTCAACAGTGGGCTTAAAATATTCAGTAAATCATGCCATAAACAGATGTGCTGTCATCCAGGCTTTCTTCTTCCATTTCTAGAGCACAAGCAGAGTAGATTCAGCATAATCCTTAAGGGCCACAGGATTTTTGGAATGGCAAATGAGCACTGGTGTCAGTATCAAGACACCAGCTGCATTCACCCCTAACAAGAGAGTTAGCCTGTTCTTTGAAGCCTTGAAGCCAGGCACTGACTTCTCTAGCTATGAAAGTCCTAGATGTCATTTTCCTCCCATATAAGTCTGTTGTGTCTACATTTAAAATCTGTTGTTTAGTGTAGCCACCATCATCAACTAGTTAAGATCTACTTATCTTAACTAGATCTTTTGGATAACTTTCTGCAGCTTCTACATCAGCGCTTGCTGCTTTACCTTGCAGCAAGTTATGTTTTATGTTTTGGAGGTGGCTTCTTTTCCTAAACTTCAAGAACCAGCCTCTGCTAGCTTCAAGCATTTTTTTCTGCAGCTTCCTCAACTCTCTCAGCCTTCATAGAATTGAAGAGCATTAGGGTATTACTCTGGATTAGGCTTCGATTTAAGGGAATGTTGTGGCTCGTTTGATCTTCTATCCAGACCACTAAAATTTTCTCCATATCAACAAAAAGGCTGTTTTACATTCTTACTTATGTGTTCACTGGAGTAGCACTTTTAATTTCCTTCAATAACATTTCCTTTACATTCACAACTTGGCTATTTAGCACAAGAAACCTAACTTTTGGTCTGTCTCGGCTATCAACATGCTTTCCTCACTAACCTTAATTTTTGTTTCTGTCTTTTATTTTAAAGTGAGAGATATGTGACTCTTCCTTTCACCTGAACACCTAGAGGTCATTGTAGGGTTAATAACTGGCCTAATTTCAATATTGTTGTGTCTCAGAATAGGGAGACCCAACAAGAGGGAGAGAGATGGTGGGGCAGTCAGACACACATTTATAGATTAAATTCATCTTATATAGGTACAGTTTGTGGCACCCCAAAACAATTACAATAGTAACATCAAACATCACTGATCACAAGTCACCATCAGATATAATAAAAATGAAAACTTTTGAAATATTGTGAGAATTACCAAAATGTGAGATGGAAGGTGAGCACATGCCACTGAAAAAGTGGACTTGCTTGAGACAGGGTTGCTATAAACCTTCAATTTGTAAAAAAAATGTAATATCTGTGAAGCATAATAAAGTGAAGCATAATAAAATGAGGTGTGTCTGTATTTTATTATTTGACTTCTCTGATTTTGTTTATTTGGAGATAGGGTCTTGCTCTGTCACCCAGGCTGGAGTGCCATGGCATCATCATAGCTCACTATGGCCTTGATCCTCCTGCCTTAGCCTCCCAAGCAGCTGGTATTACAGGTACGTGCCACCACACTCAGCTAATTCTCTTATATTTTTGTAGAGACAGTGTCTCCCTGTGTTTCCCAGGCTGGTCTTGAACTCCTGGGCTCAAGCAATCCCCCCACCTCAGTCTCTGAAAGTGCTGAGATTACAGACATAAGCCACCACACTTGGCCTTCCTGATGTGTTTTATACAAGGATATTAAAACACTTTGAGCTATCATTTGACATGTAACATTTTGCTTTTTCTGTTTACAAAATCTGAAGTCTTTTTTTTCTCTTCAAGATGTATCAAATGAGCACACTGAAATCTAATAAAGTGATATTTCAGCTAAAAAAGAACAATTTCCACCAATTTAGGTTCTTTAAAAGATTCATGTAAGTTCATGTACACATTGAATATACCTTATCTGAAATGTTTGGGTCCAGAAGTCTTGTGAATTTTGGATTTTTGAATATTTGCACATAATTAATGAGATGCAGGAATGGGACCCAAGTCTAAACATAAAATTTGTTTATGTTTTATATACATCTTATACACATAGTCTGAAGGTAATTTTATACAATACTTTTTTTTTTCTTTTTTAGATGGAGTTTTGCTCTTGTTGCCCAGGCTGAAGTGCCATGGTGCAATCTCGGCTCACTGCAACCTCCGCATCCTAGGTTCAAGCAATTCTCCTGCCGCAGCCTCCTGAGTAGCTGGGATTACAGGCACCCCCCACCATGCTCAGCTACTTTTTGTATTTAGTGGAGATGGGGTTTCACCATGTTGGCCAGGCTGGTCTCAAACTCCCTACCTCAGGTGATCCGCCTGCCTCGGCCTCCCAAAGTGCTGGGATTACAGGCATGAGCCACCACGCCCGGCCACAATACTTTTAATAATTTAGTGCATGAAACAAAGTTTGTGTTAAGTACTTATGTGTGGAATTTTGATTTGTGCCATCATGGTGGCACTCAAAACATTTCAGATTTTGGGTTTTGGACTTTCAGATTCAAGATGCTCAACCGGTAGTTTCCTTTGTATTGATGGCAGACACAAGTTGTGTATCTTCTTGTAAAGGTGTGAAGAAGCTAAATGACATCTTTCCTGAATTACTGGGATAGAGCATTTATTAAGAAACAGGATACAAGAATTTTCTTAAACTACTCTGTTTTAAATGTGATTTTCTTCCTATTAATATTTTAAGGAGAAAAAGAATTAATTTTCCAATACATTGATACCACCTTCACTTTGAAAGTGAAACAAATGACATCTATTAGCTTTGCAGTAGAGGTTAAGTGGTTTTCCTAAGAAAAGAATATGCACTGCAATGAAAGATTTGCCAGTCATCCCAATGGCTATTTTGTTTTGCAGACCACGGTGTGAACACATGAACAGAAGACGAAAATTTCTTCTAGCCTCAGTACTTGCTCTCCAGAATTCAAGTTTTATATATCCATCATGTCAGAAGTGCTTCTCTAGGATAATCCTGGTCTCCAAAAGGTAAAAGTAAAGTCTGTAAGTGTGAGAGAGGAAATACAAATGCACACTGTAGATTTCCTATGGCTCAAGGGCAAGGACCAGATTTACCAAACAAGGACATTAGATTCTCTCAGGGGTTGGTTCTTCTGTAAATCCCAGAACAGATTTCACTGCTAATCCTCTATTACTAGAGAAAAGTTTTAAGTTACTGTCAAGTCCTTTGCTAAATACTTGCCTCATTGAAGAAAAATAACTTCTCAGAGAGTAAGTTCCAATACTGGGTACAAAACTTAGCCCATTTCTGGGATATCCCTGGGAATAATATAGGAGACTTGTGTTTATTCTTTGTTTATTTTTGCATGATCAGTAGAATAGTTGTTAATATAAATAAATAAATTCCTTGAGACCAGGGACTATGTTATAGTAATTTCTATCCTTTAGCAACTAGAAAGGTGTTTGGCGTATAATTCTTTATCATGGTGCTCAGATGCAAGCCAACTATACCTGAGAGCCTAAGGTCTTCCTCTGATCTTTATAGAGTAGAAACGAGAGGTTAGGTTTGAAGTTTCTCCAGAACACTGTCTCTCTGCATCGAAGAGAGGACAAGAATACCTAGTAAGTAACTAGAACTATGTAAGAAAGAGTAGTGTGCCAGCAATATTCTTAACTAGTCTTTTTGTCTAGTTAGCATTGAATGGGGAGGCAGAAAAGGATTGGCAGTTCTAACTCATATCTAGACTCTAAGTAATCCTTGAAGTAGTTATCACACTGTTCCTTTATTAAGCCACTCTCTCAAGCACTCATTTGTTAGCTCTAAGAGAAAGACCCTGTTTGTGTTATTCATCATTAAATCCTTGGCTAGGGCTTAGTTCATAGAAAGTGTTCAACAAATGTTGGTTAAATGAATGAATAAGTGATAGCATGATAGTGTTTAGATTGTCTTAGGTTCACCCCTTTTCAGGTTCTTGCCTGTCATCTGAAACAACTAAAACCCATGGGCTATTTGCCTTTCATCAAAATCTGTACTTAGAAGCAGTGTGGTATACAGTCCTTACTTAATGTTGTTGGATTCTTAGACACCGCAACTTTACGCAAAATGATGTATAATGAAACAAATTTTTTTCTCATCAACGTTATAATGATGTTGTTTGAGAATCTGCTATAAGTAGTTTTGCTTAAAGTCACAGTATCCAAGAACCTATCACTAACATTAAATGAGGACTTACTGTAATGGAACAATTTCAAGCTTCAGAGAACACAACAGAGTTTCATGTAGGCTCTGGCTCTCATTAACTATGTGACCTAGGGCAAGATAGTTAACTTCTGTGAGTCTAATTACTCATTTGTAAGGTGGGATCATGGTACCCACAATATGGGATCATTGTAAAGTTAGAGATAATGCACAGAAATGTTCTAGTAGAATACATAACATATATTAGGATTTCCAAAGTGGTAGCTATTATTATTATAATCTATTATAAGTATACTTTACCTTATTGCAGTATGTTATCATGATTAAAAGCATAATTCTCTGGAGCTGACTGCCTGGATTCAAATTGCAACCCTGCCATTATAGCTGTGTGGCCTTGGGCAAGTCACTTTAATTATCTGAGCCTCAAAATGGGGAAAGTAATATCTGCCTAATAAGGTTCTTGTAAGGATCAAATAGGTTAATATACATAACATGCCTAGAACATTGTCTGATACATTATCAGTAATATATAGATATAAAATATTTTTAAAACTCTTTCTTTCCAGTCATTTATTTTAAAGATAATCTGCAACAAAAATTTAGGTTGAACAATAATGCCATTGTTACTTATTTAGACGGGTAATACCAGTAGATAACATTAGTGAGTGTTTGCTGTACAGTAGGCACTGTGCTAGGAACTTTGTGGGCATTATATCTTTTAATACAATAGCCCTATGAAGTGAATGCTATTGTTAATGCCAACCTTTAAAGGAGACAACTGAAGCTTGGGAAAGTTAAGTAACTTACCGCAAATCATCACACAGCCAGCTAGTTAGGGGCAGAAACATATTCAAGCCTAAACAATCTGAATTCTGTCTACCTTCATAGTCACCATATTACTTCCAAATTAGCAGCGAAGTTTGTATTCAGAATGACATCTTCCCCTCTCTTTCTTAGAACTTAAAGTGACCTCGGAAAGGACTTGTGACTGGACCCTTTTGGAATATAAAACCCATGGCACATAGTCCTTGCCTATGGAAACATAGTCCATGGAAATATAACCTGTTTTCTGCATATACTACATTGACACAAAAATTTTTTAAAACTATTTCCATAATTTCTGGTGCTTACCTTTTTTTCCCATAGGTTATTGGGGTACAGGTGGTATTTGGCTACATGAGTAAGTTCTTCAGTGGTGCTTTGTGAGATTTTGCTGCACCCATCACCCGAGCAGTATACACTGCACCCTATTTGTAGTCTTTTATCTCTCACCCCCTCCCACCCTTCCCCCCAAGTCCCCAAAGTCCATTGTATCATTCTTATGCTTTTGCATCCTCATAGCTTAGCTCCCACATATCACTGAGAACATATGGTGTTTGATTTTCCATTCCTGAGTTACTTCACTTAGAATAACAGTCTCCAGTCTCATCCAGGAGACTGCAATGCCATTAATTCATTCCTTTTTATGGCTGAGTAGTAGTTCATCGTGTATATATACCACAGTTTCTTTATCCACTCATTGATTGATGGACATTTGGGTTGGTTCCACGATTTTGCAATTGTGAACTGGGCTGCTATAAACATGAGTGTGCAAGTATCTTTTGCATATAATGACTTATTTTCCTCTGAGTAGATACCCAGCAGTGGGATTGCTGGATCAAATAGTAGTTCTACTTTTAGTTCTTTAAGGAATCTCCACACTGTTTTCCATAGTGGCTGTACTAGTTCACATTTCTACCAGCAATGTAGAAGTGTTCTCTGATTGCTGCATCCACACCAACATCTACTGGTTTTTGATTTTTTGATTATGGCCATTCTTGCAGGAAGAAGGTAGTATCGCATTGTGATTTTGATTTGTATTTCCCTGGTCATTAGTGATGTTGAGCATTTTTTCATGTGTTTTCTTGGCCATTTGAGAATTGTCTATTTATGTCCTTAGCCTACTGTTTGATGGGATTGCTTGTTTTTTTCTTACTGATTTGTTTGAGTTCGTTGTAGATTCTGGATGTTAGTCCTTTGTCAGATGTATAGATTGTGAAGATTTTCTTCCACTCTGTGGGTTGTCTGTTCACTCTGCTGACTGTTCTTTGGCCATGCAAAAGCTCTTTAGTTTAATTAAGTCCCAGCTATTTGTTTTTATTGCATTTGCTTTTGGGTACGCCAATGTCTAGAAGGGTTTTTCCAATGTTATCTTCTAGAATTTTTATAGTTTCAGGTCTTAGATTTAAGTCCTTAATCCATCTTGAGTTGCTTTTATATAAGATTCATTCTCCTACATGTGGCTAGCCAATGATCCCAGCACCATTTGTTGAAAAGGGTGTCCTTTCCCCACTATTGTTCACTTTGTCAAAGATCAGTTGGCTGTAAGTATTTGAGTTTATTTCTGGGTTCTCTATTCTGTTCCATTGGCCTATGTGCCTATTTTTATACCAGTACCATGGTGTTTTGGTGACGATGGCCTTATAGTACAGTTTGAAATCAGGTAATGCGATGCCTCCAGGTTTGTTCTTTTTGCTTAGTCTTGCTTTGGCTGTGCAGGCCATGTTTTGGTTCCATATGCATTTTAAAATTGTTTTTTCTAATTCTGTGAAGAATGATGGTGGTAGGGATTGCACTGAATTTGTAGATTGCTTTTGGCAGCATGGTCATTTTCACAATATTGATTCTACCTATCCACGAGCATGGGATGTGTTTCCATTCATTGTGTTGTCTATGATTTCTTTCAGCAATGTTTTGTAGTTTTTCTTGTAGAGGTCTTTTGCCTCCTTGGTTAGGTATCTTCCTAAATTTGTTTTTTTTGTGTGGTTTTTTTTTGTGTGTGTGTTTTTGTAGCTGTTGTAAAAGGAGTTAAATTCTTGATTTGACTCTCCACTTGGTTGCTGTTAGTGTATAGAAGAGCTACTGATTTGTGTACATTAATCTTGTATCCAGAAACTTGGCTGAATTCTTTTATCAGTTCTAGCAGCTTTCTGGAGGAGTCTTTAGGGTTTTCGAGGTAAACAATCATATTGTCAGCAAACAGTGACAGTTTGACTTCCTCTTTACTGATTTAGATGCCCTTTCTTTCTTTCTCTTGTCTGATTGCATTGTCTAGGACTTCCAGTAGTATGTTGAAGAAGAATGGTGAGAGTGGGCATCCTTGTCTTGTTCCAATTCTCAGAGGGAATGCTTTCAACTTTTCTCCATTCATTGTTATGTTGGCTGTGGGTTTGTCATAGATGGCTTTTATTACATTGAGGTATGTCCCTTGTATGCCACTTTCGCTGAGAGTTTTAATCATAAATGGATGCTGGATTTTGTTGAATGTTTTTTCTGCATCCATTGAGATGATCATGTGATTTTTGGTTTTAAAATTCTGTTTATGTGGTATATCACACTTATTGACTTATGTATGTTAAACTGTCCCTACATCCCTGGTATGAAACCCACTTAATCATGGTGGATTATCTTTTTGATATGTTGTTGGATTCAGTTAGCTAGTATTTTGTTAAGGATTTTAGCATCTATGTTCATCAAGGATATCGGGCAGTAGTTTTCTTTTTTGCTTATGTCCTTTCCTGATTTGGGTATTAGGGTGATGTCGCCTTCATAGAATGAATTAGGGAGGGTTCCCTCTTTATCTCATAGAATAGCGTCAGAAGGATTGGTACCAATTCTTCTTTGAATGTCTGGTAGAATTCTGCTGTGAATCCATCTGGTCCCAGACTTTTTTTCGTTGGTTTTTTTTGAGACGGAGTCTCACTCTGTCGCCCAGGCTGGAGTGCAGTGGCGTGATCTCAGCGCACTGCAAGCTCTACCTCTCTTCACGCCATTCTGCCTCAGCCTCCTGAGTAGCTGGGACTACTGGTGCCCACCACCATGCCCAGCTAATCTTTTGTATTTTTAGTAGACAGGGTTTCACGGTGTTAGCCAGGATGGTCTCGATCTCCTAACCTCATGATCCGCCCACCTCAGCCTCCCAAAGCGCTGGGATTACAGGCGTGAGGCACCACGCCCGGCCTTTTGTTGGTAATTTTTTAATTCCCATTTCAATCTTGCTGCTTATTATTGGTCTGTTCAGGGTATCTAATTCTTCCTGATTTAAGCTAGGAGGGTTGTATTTTTCCAGGAATTTATCCATCTCTTCTAGGTTTTCTAGCTTGTGTAAAGGTGTTTGTAGTAGTCTTGAATGATCTTTTGTGTCTCAGTGGTGTCAGTTGTAATATGTCCCGTTTTGTTTCTTAATGAGGTTATTTGGATTTTCTCTCTTCTTGGTTAATCTTGCTAACGGTCTATCAATTTTATTTATCTTTTCAAAGAGCCAGCTTTTGGTTTCATGTATCTTTTGTATTTGTTTTTGTTTCAATTACATTTAGTTCTGCTTTGATCTTGGTTATTTCCTTTCTTCTGCTGGGTTTCGGTTTGGTTTGTTCTTGTTTCTCTAGTTCCTTGAGGTGTGACCTTAGAATGTCAGTTTGTGTTCTTTCAGTCTTTTTGATGTAGGCATTTAGGACTATGACCTTTCCTTTTAGCACTGCCTTTGCTGCAGCCCAGAGGTTTTGATAGGTTGTGTCATTATTGCCATTCAGTTTGAAGAATTTTTAAATTTCCATCTTGATTTCATTTTTGATCCAAGGATCATTCAGGAGCAGCTTATTTAATTTCCATGTATTGGCATGGTTTTGAAGGTTCCTTTTGGAGTTGATTTCCAGTTTATTCCACTATGGCCTGAGAGAGTGCTTGATATGATTTCAATTTTCTTAAATTTATTAAGGCTTGTTTTCTGGCTTATCACATGGTCTATCTTGGAGAAAGTTCCATGTGCTGTTGAATAGAATGTGTAATCTGCGGTTGTTGGATGAAATGCTCTGTATATTATCTGTTAAGTTCATTTGTTCCAAGGCATAGTTTAAATCCATTTTTTCTTTGTTGACTTTCTGTCTTGATGACCTGTCTAGTGCTGTCAGTGTAGTATTGAAGTCCTCCACTATTATTGTGTTGCTGTCTATCTCATTTCTTAGGTCTATTAGTAATTGTTTTATAAATTTGGGAGCTCCAGTGTTAGGTGCATAAATGTTTAGGATTGTGATATTTCTCGTTGGACAAGGCCTTTTATCATTATATAATGTCCTTTGTCTCTTTTAACTGCTTTTGCTTTAAAGTTTGTTTTTGTCTAATATAAAAATAGCTACCCCTGCTTGGTGTCCATTTGCACAAACTGCCTTTTTCCACTCCTTTACTTGATGTTTATGTGAGTCCTTATGTGTTAGGTGAGTCTCCTGAAGGCAGCAGATGGTTGGTGAGTTCTTATCCATTCTGCTATTCTGTATCTTTTAAGTGGAACATTTATGCCATTTACATTCGATGTTAGTATTGAGATTTGAGGTACCATTGCATTCATTGTGGTATTTGTTGCCTGTGTACCTTGTTTTTTTTGTTTTTGCTTTTTAAATTGTTTTTGTTTTATAGGTCCTTCATGATTTATGCTTTTAAGAGATTCTGTTTTTGATGTGTTTCCAGGATTTGTTTCAAGATTTAGAGCTCCTTTTCACAGTTTTTTTCTTTCTTTCTTTTTTTTTTTTTTTTTTTTTTTTGAGACGGAGTTTCGCTTTTTCGCCCAGGCTGGAGTGAAGTGGTGCAATCTCGTCTCACTGCACCCTCCGCCCCCCCAGGTTCAAGCAATTCTCCTGCCTCAGCCTCCCGAGTAGCTGGGATTACAGGCACCCACCACCACGTCCAGCTAATTTTTGTATTTTTAGTAGAGACAGGGTTTCACCATGTTGGCCAGGCTAGTCTCAAACTCCTGACCTCAGGTGATCCACCCGCCTCAGCCTCCCAAAGGGCTAGGATTACAGGCATGAGCCACTGCGCCCAGCCTAGCAGTTCTTGTAATGGTGGTTTGGTAGTAGCAGATTCTCTCAGCATTTGTTTGTCTGAGAAAGACTGTATCTTTCCTTCATATATGATGTTTAGTTTCACTGGGTACAAAATTCTTGGCTGATAATTGCTTTGCATGAGGAGGCTTAAGATAGGGCCCTAATCCCTTCTAGCTTGTAGGGTTTCTGCAAAGAAATCTGCTGTTAATCGGATAGGTTTTCCTTTATAGATTACCTGGTGCTTCTGTCTCACAACTCTTAAGATTCTTTCCTTTGTCTTAACTTTAGATAACCTGATGACAGTGTGCCTAGGTGATGATCTTTTTGTGATGAATTTCCCAGATGCTCTTTATGCTTCTTGTATTTAGATGCCTAGGTCTCTAGCAAGGCCGGGGAAGGTTTCCTCAATTATTCACCCAAATATGTTTTCCAAACTTTTAGATTTCTCTTATTCCTCAGGAACACCGATTATTCTTAGGTTTGGCTGTTTAACATAATCCCAGACTTTTTGGATGCTTGGTTCATAATTTCTTATTCTTTTTTCTTTGTGTTTGTTGGATTGGGTTAATTTGAAGACCTTGTCTTCAAGCTGTGAATTTCTTTCTTCTATTTGTTCATTTCTATTGCTGGGACTTTCCAGAGCATTTTGCATTTTTGTAAGTGTGTCCAGTGTTTCCTGAAGTTTTGATTGTTTTTCTTTATGCTATTTCCTTGAATGTTTCTCCCTTCACTTCTCGTATTGTTTTTTGGATTTCCTTGCGTCAGGCTTCGCTTTTCTCTGGTGCCTCGCTGAATTCTTTTTCAGGTAAATCAGGGATTTCTTATTGGTTTGAATCCATTGCTGGTGAGCTAGTGTGATTTTTTTTGGAGGTGTTAAAGAGCCTTGTTTTGTCATATTACCAGAGTTGGTTTTCTGGTTCCTTCTTATTTGGGTAGGCTCTGTCAGAGAGGCAAGGTCTAGGGCTGAAGGCTGTTGTTCAGATTCTTTTGTCCCACAGGATGTTCCCTTGATGTGATACTCTCCCCCCTTTTCCTATGGATGTAGCTTCCTATGAGCCGAGCTGCAGTGATTGTTATCTCTCTTCTGGGTCTAGCCATCCAGCCAGTCTGTCTGGCTCCGGGGTGGTATTCAGGGTTTGTCTGCACAGAGTCCTGTGATGTGAATCGTTTATGGGTGTCTCGGCCCTGAATACCACACAGTATTTGGGGTGTCTCCCAGGTCCTGCAGGAGCAGTCCACTTCCTTCAGAGGGTCTGTGGGTCCTCTTGGGATTCCTGGTTTGTTCTTGCAGTTGTTCTGGAGCTAAAATTCATAGTGCGAGCCCCAACATGCTGCTTTGTCCGAGTTGGAGCTGCAATCTAATCCTGCCTCCCATCCGCCATGATGATCTAAATCCTGGTGCTTATCTTTTCTACTGTTGTTTTTGCTTTCCCTTTTTCTTACTTGGAATCAGTTGTAAGCCAACACAGGAAACAGAAATTCCTCATGTTCATTTCCCCATTGCTATAGCACTGCAAGCTTATGACAGAGGAGTTCCATGCTCTTGCCTTTGCAGAAGATCTTAGAGATGCTGAAGAACAGAGAGACGTCCCTAAATATTTTCTTTGAACCTGAAATTTTTAGTGACTATAATCATAATAAGTATTTTGTGCTTTATGGAATTAACTTTCTTACCTCCAAGATCAGATCAGTAGATTGAATGTAGTTTTCAATCTATAGGTATTCTGCAGAGCCTTGGGGCTCCATGGAAGTGCTTATGGAGGGAGATGGGATTAGAGTAGTAATAGTACCTAGTGCTGAGTAGTAGGTAAGACTCTAGGGCCCCCACGTTAGTTTCAACAAGATCTCTATTCTCATCCTTATATTAGTGTTCCAAGTTAAATTTCATTTGAAAGGGGGTTTCATTATGTAAATATACAAACATAGACATACATCTATAAAAAAAAATGTGTACAAAGTTAGTTCGGTCCTTCATATGAAGCAGTAACTACACATACACACACAATAGTGTATGTCTGTACTCTCCCCAGATTATAAGCTGGAGAAGGGATTTATTTATCCAGACAAGCTATCTACATAGAAATTGCCCTTCTGGGTGACTAATGGGACCCATAATTCCTTTTAGCCTAGAAATCCATTTCTAACACTAATAACTTTCTTTTCCTATCTTAAAATAGGACTCATCGCTCAGAGGCTACCTATCCTCTCCCCCATTCCCAACTACCCAAAAAGTTTATATCATTTACTTAAGCAAGTCAAATTTAATTTCACACATATAGATCATAGTTTTCTTACTTTGTGGGGGAAGTGATATGTGGAAGCATTAAGAGATATGTTTTTTAAAATATGTCTCATTACTTTGTGTGTATTTAATCTGGGTCTATAAACTTGGAAAGGGATGTTATATAATCATATAGTCAGGATATTCTTAAGCTGGAATCTGTGGATACATTATAGGTATGTATGACTCCTCCAGTCCCTAAGATATGTAGAATATCGTGTTCATATCTGTTTTTTGTGGGGAGAGAGTGAGTCCATTGCTTTCATCAGATTTTTTAAGGTTTTCAAGACTAAGAAAACATTAAGGATTACTTATCTCACCAGTTCTTCTACATCTGGGCTAAATATAAGTACGCTAGAAAAATAAACAAATGAGGCTGGGCATAGTAGCTCATGCCTGCAATCCCAGCATTTGGGAGGCCAAGATGGGAGGATTGCTTGAGTCCAGGATTTTGAGACCAGCCTGGGCAACATGGTGAAACCTATCCTCTACCAAAAATAAACAAAATTAGGCAGGCATCGTGGCATGTGCCTGTAGTCCCAGCTGCTCAGGAGTCTGAGGTGGGAGGATCGCTTGAGCCTGAGCGGTCAAGGCTTCAGTGAGCCAAGATCATACCGTTGCACTCCAGCCTGGGCAACAAAGCAAGACCTTGTCTCAAAAAAATAAATGAATAAAAATAAAAAAAAAACAAATGAAACTTGGTATTTTTTTAACTGGGATCAAACAAAAAAGATAGCAAATTACAGCTATTATTTCAGATAGATCCTTTCAGAGGCTCCTTGAACTCAAATCTATTTTCATAATTCTAAGGCATTATTTGCCTTTTCACTTTCAGTCTCTCATGAGTGCATAATGGAGTTTCCCAGAGGCTACATAACACGTACTATCACAACAGATTGAGCAGAGAAGCAGATATGAGAATCCAGCTGTCTTTTTATGAAACCAGACATTAAAGAGATTTGCAAAATGTAAAACAATGCTGGTCTCTTCTTACTAATTTTTAAAATTTGAAAAACATAACTATTTTTCATAAAAGTATGTTTTTTGTGTTAACCATGTAAAGGGTCTGTTTTTAATGAATTAATATTTTTTTGATTTCTCAGTTTTAATTTCTCACTTTCATTTAATTTCTCGTTTTATGAGAAATGTAGATAGAAGCCAGGTGTGATGGCTCACGCCTGTAATCCCAACACTCTGGGAGGCCGAAACAAGAGAATCACTTAAGCCTAAGAGTTCAAGCCTAGTCAGGGCAACACAGTGAGACCCCCATCTCTACAAAAAAATTTAAAATTAGCCACATATGGTGGCATGTGCCTGTGGTCCCAGCTACTCAGAAGGCTGAGGCAGGAGGATCTCTTGAGCCCAGGAGTTTGAAGTTACAGTAAGCTATGATAGCACCACTGTCCTCCAGCCTGGGCAGCAGAATGAGACCCTGTCTGAAAACAAACCAAAAAAGAAATATAGACAGATATAAGATAAACAAGTTCTATGGATCTAATGTACAGCTTGAGTGGTAATGGATGATGTGTTAAATAATTCGACTATGGTAGCCAGGTGCGGTGGCTCACACCTGTAATCCCAGCACTTTGGGAGGCCGAGGTGGGCGGATCATGAGGTCAGGAGATCGAGACCATCCTGGCTAACACGGTGAAACCCTGCCTCTACTAAAAATACAAAAAATTAGCTGGGTGTGGTGGCGGGCACCTGTAGTCCCAGCTAATCGGGAGGCTGAGGCAGGAGAATCGCCTGAACCCAAGAGGTGGAGGTTGCAGTGAGCCAAGATTGCACCACTGCACTCCAGCCTGGCCAATAGCGAGACACTGTCTCAAAAAAAAAAAAAAATTTTGACTATGGTAATCATTATACAGTGTAGACGTATTTCAAATCACCATGTTGTATACCTTGAATATATTCAATCTTTGGCAAGTAATTTTTTTTTTTTTTTTTGAGACAGGGTCTGGCTCTGTCACCTCCAGACTGGAGTTCAATGGCACAATCTCAGCTCACCACAACCTCTGCCGCCTGAGCTCAAGCAATCCTCCCATCTCAGCTTCCTAAGTAGCTGGGACTACAGGCGCATGCCACCACGTTCGTTAATTTTTGTATTTTTTGTAGAGACACAGTTTTGCCATGTTTCCCAGGCTGGACTCGAACTCCTGAGCTTGAGTGGTCTGCCCGCCACAGCCTCCCAAAGTGCTGGGATTACAGGTGTGAGCCATCACGCCTGGCCCAAGTAAATATTTTTGAATAAAAAAAATAGATACTATTCACATAAACAAAACTCTTTGATATTCTCAATAATTTTTTAAGAGTATTAAAGGAGTGTGAAACCAAAAAGTTTGAAAACTGCTATTCTGTAACAAATGACATTTTAGAAATATGGGTGCCTCTAGAAGTTAAATCGGGACGGTGATGTGAATATGTTGTCTATATCCTTGTTTCTCAAAGTATGGCCTAAGGTACATCTGCATCAGTATTACCTGGGAGCTTATTAAAAATGCAGGATCTTGGGCCTCATCCCAGACTTCCTGAATCAGAATCTTCATTTTAACAAGATCTCTGGATGATTTGTATACATATTAATGTTTGAGAAGCTCTAATCTGTATTACACCACACTAACATTTATTTTAATCCAGCATCGTTCCTAAAAGGATTAAAGAAAACTATATAAATAAATATCTTCATTATACATATGTACTTTATAAAAATATATATAGTTTAATATGTAAATGCATGAACACTAATAGACATAGTTTTTTGAGGCTATTATTGATACTGTCATTGCAAGCAGTTCTTTATTTTAACCATTTGGTCCCACTGTTATCATATCATAATATCAGAACTTCATGATACGAGTTCACAGTCTTGGGTTTGGGTCATATATTTACCAACTTTGTCATCTCAGATAAAAATTCAAACTAATTTCCCCATTTGTAAATTTTACCTATAAAAATGAAATAATGTATGTTGAAAACATTTGTAAACTGAATGCTAATGCATATTAGTCTAAGTTTTGCTAGGAATTTTACATTAAACCTGTATGCATTATTGCATAGCCTTTAAAGAAATTCCAATATATATTTTAAACAGTTCATTTCCCTAGAGTTTGGTACTAATGGAGTTTTATCCCCTAGTGAGTCAATTACCTTTAATTCATTCTATGGCTAACCTACAGCACAAACTCTAGCAGATTTGTATAGGATTATATGAATGGGTTGGTATAGATCTATCCTCAGTATGGCAGAAGAATAACAGCACAGATCTAATAAAGGTGAGTCACTTTCAGAGCTACAGATTTTAGACTCCCCCTAGTGGCCATCTGGCAACAATCAAATTTATACAACCATCTTTCACCTTGCTTTCTGTTTGCCTTTTGCCACTCTTTTTTAAGATCTTTAGCAATCTGAAGAAAAAACAAAATTCTAGTATTAGCCATTACCATAAAATGTTTTTAGGTGCTTGTTGTATTTCAAAAAAATTTTTTAAACTATTCTGTCTGTTAAATAAAGTTAACCTAACTGAGGGGTGGACATTAAGAACCTGAAAGATAGAAATCAGAGTTATAATACATTGCAAACTAGAAGAGAAGTTAACAGTACAAGTGACAGTAATTATCACAATACTTGATATAATTATGAGGGAGAAGCAGACTAACACTAATTTCACAGTATTTGCACTAGACCCTTTATTTGTCTATTTTAATCCTTCTTCAGCCCTGGACTTCATAGATGAGGAACTCAAGAATTTAGTAACTGTCAGACAATGAGTACATGGCAATAGAGTTACACTGCCATGTAGATGTGTACTTTTTGACTAGAAAGCCTTTAGCCACCATTACATACTGTCTTAAAAAAACAAGTTAAATTGCATGGTTTTCATATCAAATTTTATAATCTGATAAGTTATCAACATAGTCTAATGAATTAAAGAAAGTAATTTTCATTATGGTGAGAAAAATGCAATTAAGTGCTTTGTGTATAAATAGGTATTAAATATTTTGAGATTATTTTTTGTCCTCTTTTTTTTTTTTTTTTTTTTTTTTTTTTTTTTTTTTTTTGAGACGGAATGTCACTCTGCCCCCCAGGCTGTAGTGCAGTGGTGCGATCTTGGCTGACTGCAAGATCCACCTCCCGGGTTCACATCATTCTGCTGCCTCAGCCTCCCAAGTAGCTGGGATTACAGGTGCCCATCACCACACCCATCTAATTTTTATGTATTTTTAGTAGAGACAGGGTTTTACCGTGTTAGCTAGGATGGTCTCAATCTCCTGACCTGGTGACCCACCCGCCTCGGCCTCCCAAAGTGCTGGGATTACAGGTGTGAACCACCGCGCCCGGCCTTTTCGTCCTCTCTTTCATGCACAGTTCTCCTTTAGTTTTCCATCAATTTGGTATGTATTTCTATCAACTTGGGGCTGTTTAATTTAAATCAGTAACGCTAACTATTCTGACTAGAGAAATTTAAAATAAGTTGATCTGAAAGAGTTTAAGAAGAATTTGAGTTGTGTAGGAGCATTTATACACAAAATGTTATTTTAAATTTTTACTGTTCTGGATTTTTCATCATATGAAAAACATTTAATGAACATCTCCACACTTTTTTCCACCACTTTTCTAGGTCTAATTGTCCAAAATGTGGCTCTACTGGTGAATCTGGAAATGCCAATTACAGATACAAACTTTCCTTAAAAGTTGCAGAATCAAACAAATTGTTTGTTATTACTGTATTTGGAAGTTGCTTAGATACATTTTTTGGTCTTACTGCCACTGGTTTGCACAGGTAAGAATACTTAAAACATCCTTTTTCCTGACTGCCCTTAGAATTTGAAGATACAAGTTTATAAGGCAATATGCATTTTTGTAGAAAGATAATCATTCAACCCCAGATTGTCAATTCCTTTAAAAGACAAGCAAGTAAGAAAGATGTTTATTTCCTGAATACATATTATGATGATATTAAAACAGTCTCCTTTTATTTAGGGTAATTAATCTGTAATTAGAATATTAAGTTATAAATCTCTAATCCAAGTTACAGAAATAGAGGCTAAGAAAGTAACATCATTTCAAATTGAAGAATTATCCAAATTGAGGTTAGCATTGAAACAGTTAGGTTCCCCTGAGGCAGAAGAATCTATTTGAGGGAATATTTGCATTTCAGAAATTGAAATTTTATTTTTTATCTGTATTGCAATTTAATTTGCATAGTTTGACCTTTTACGACATTGTCCTGAGAATATAAGAATAAGCAATTAAAGCTTTTCTTGGCCGGGCGCGGTAGCTCACGCCTGTAATCCCAGCGCTTTGGGAGGCCGAGGCGGGCGGATCACAAGGTCAGGAGATGGAGACCATCCTGGCTAACACGGTGAAACCCCATCTCTACTAAAAATACAAAAAATTAGCTGGGCATGGTGGTGGGCGCCTGTAGTCCCAGCTACGCCGGGAGGCTGAGGCAGGAGAATGGCATGAACCCAGGAGGCAGAGCTTGTAGTGAGCCAAGATTGCACCACTGCACTCCAGCCTGGGAGACAGAGCGAGACTCTGTCTCAAAAAAAAAAAAAAAAGCTTTTCTTCCCCCTCAGTCTTCTGCCCTCCTCCCCTAATCACATGCAAGAAATCTATGTCCACATTTTTGTGCTTGAGACAATAAAGGGACCACAACCAGGCTTATCAGAGAAAAGGGATGACTTTTTCCTGCTTTCAAGTGAAGAGCTAGAGATGCCACCACTATTCCCACTGCCACTTTTATTTTTCCTTATAATCATTGCCGGGCCTGATGGTTAGGCAGGTAACTACTTTACTCCCACTTGATCAATTGGTTTTGTTGATTTTTCTGTGCTATGAGAAACTAGAGAGAACAAACTGCCTGGCTCTTAAAGTCACTTTTTTTCCTCTATAAAAGGTTCATGCTGCATTTTCAAATTAATTGTGTCTCTGACTTTATGGCAAGTAAAATTTCAAAGTTCATTGCTTCACATTTTTTACTTTTTTTCCAATCAAGGTACATTCAGGATCCTAATAAAATTCCAGAAACACTGGACAATGATACAACTCAGAATCTATTAACTAAAGCAGTTGAAACTTGCTTTGTTGGACAAAGCTTTATTTTTGGAGTGACGGTAATTGAGACTAGCTTTCTTTTTAATAATCTGTTAACATTTCCATTGTAATGAATTATGTGAATTTTCTAAATAGTTGTTAGGAGTTCTGTACATGTGAAGGCCTGTAGAAACACTTTAAACTATGTAAAAATAGCCTATAGGTGGTCTGTTAAAACACCATGTGTGACAACTTCCTCTTTCGAAAGTCAGGGGAGCCTACTTCAAATGCTTTCAGAGCTTAAAAATATAAATTTATTATATATTTAGAAATGTTAGATATTTGTTTTTGGTATTTAGTATTTATTTTGCCCTCCGGATTTTGTTCAAATTCTATAGTAAAACTTCCACCAATTCTCTAGCTTTTTAATTCTGTCTTCTATAAAAGAGAATAATGGAACACTGAAGGCAAAGTATCTTGAGTATTGATAAGAATACTAAAACTAGATTAAGAAAGATGGTCTTAAATATAAAAGTGACTGTAGAAGAAGTTAAAAAAAAAAGAAGTTACTCCTTTGACTTTGAAGGAGTAATAGTTTTCTGTCTCATCTATGCTAAAGGGAACAAAGAGACATTTTTTTCCACACTGGAATCAGGGTTTTAAAAGAGGACTCCACAACAGAAGAGTGAGAAAAATCCAAAGGGAAGGTAGAATCAACGGCTACAGAGCTTTACTTGTTAAAATCGTAGACAGTCCTTTTCTCTCCTCTCTTCTTTTTCCTCCTCCCCTTTTTCCCCTCCCCTCCCCTCCTCTCTTTCCTTAGCTAAAGAG
The DNA here is from genome assembly GCF_000001405.40 of Homo sapiens. Lineage (NCBI taxonomy): Eukaryota > Metazoa > Chordata > Mammalia > Primates > Hominidae > Homo > Homo sapiens. The sequence continues at coordinate 82,931,026 of NC_000011.10, forward strand.
AACTATGATAGTTGCCATTTATTGAGCCACTGCTATTTTCTAAGCACTGTGCAGTTTTCCATTTTATTACTAAACAGTAATCCTGCATTTTTATTTTTATTTTTATTTTATAAAGGAGAAGACTCAGGTTAAATAAATTGTCCAAAGTCTCAACACTATTAATAAATGCGGGAACTAGGATTTCTTCAAATCAGTTTAAACAAGCTCTTTACTCTAAGGTTTATATTCTCTTACATATGCTACTTTGCCTATAAAACTAACAGAATCGAAATTGGAATTGGGGGATGGAGGTAATAGTTGTATCTGTTTTAACCTTTTAAATCTGTTTATTTTATTTTATTTTTGAGACAGAATCTCACTCTGTCACCCAGGCTGGACTGCAGTACCAAGATCATGGCTCACTGCAGCCTTGACCTCCCTAGGCTCTGGTGATCTCCCACCCCAGCCTCCTGAGTAGCTGAGACTACAGGCACACGCCACCATGCCCAGCTAATTTTTGTGGGGGTATTTTTTTTAGAGGAGAGGTTTTACCATGTTGCCCAGTCTGGTCTCAAACTCTTGAGGCTCAAGTGATCTGCCTGCCTCGGCCTCTCAAAGTGCTGGGATTACAGGCATGAGCCACTGTGCCTGGCTAAATTTCTGTTTCATGTTTAAGTAAATGGAAGACAATTTTATTCTTACTTAAATTTCTTTGCTTCTTTCACAGAATTTTGAAAACCAACCTGGACAAGGTTCAGATGCCAGTAACTTCTTACAGCAATGCTCTGACCACAAAAGAAAAGCCAAAGCACTAGTGGCTTGCCAGATTGTTCTACCAGACCCAGGTATTGCAGGCTTTACTGTCATTGACTACTTCCATCAACTTTTGCAGACTTTTAATTTCAGGAAACTTCAGTGTGACTCTCAGGCACCTAACAATCACTTACTTGCTTTAGATCACTCAAATAGTGATCTCAGCAGCATATATACTTCTGACAGCACTTCTGATTTTTTCAAGTCCTGCAGCAAGGATACTTTTTCAAAATTCTGGCAGCCATCACTTGAATTCACTTGCATTGTTTCACAACTAACAGATAATGATGATTTTTCAGCTTCAGAACAAAGTAAGGCCTTTGGTACTCTTCAGCAGAACAGAAAGTCCATCTCCATTGCAGAGGCCACTGGTTCCAGTAGCTGCCATGATCCCATTCAGGATTCATGGAGCCTTGTTTCATATATGGATAAAAAGAGTACAGCAGAAAAGTTGGGTAAAGAACTTGGCTTACAAGCTAAGGAGCTGAGTGCAGTTCACAGCAGTCATCATGAAATTGGAGTTAATGACTCTAATTTATTCTCTTTGGAAATGCGAGAGCCCCTTGAGTCAAGTAATACAAAATCCTTCCACAGTGCAGTGGAAATTAAAAATAGGTCCCAGCATGAGCTACCATGTTTTCAGCATCATGGTATAGATACCCCAACTAGCCTTCAGAAGAGATCTGCATGTTGTCCACCTTCGTTACTCAGACTTGAAGAGACAGCCAGCAGTTCCCAGGATGGTGACCCTCAAATTTGGGATGATCTGCCATTCTCTGAAAGCCTGAACAAGTTTCTGGCAGTTCTTGAAAGTGAGATTGCTGTAACCCAGGCAGATGTCAGTAGTAGGAAACATCATGTAGATAATGACATTGATAAATTTCATGCAGACCACAGCAGGTTATCTGTGACTCCCCAGAGAACTACTGGAGCCCTGCATACACCACCTATAGCTTTAAGATCATCACAAGTAATAGTCAAAGCAAACTGTAGCAAAGATGACTTCCTTTTCAACTGTAAAGGAAATCTAAGTCCTAGTGTTGAAAAGGAGTCACAACCAGATAACAAAGTAGAGGCTGTCTCTGTAAATCATAATGGAAGAGATATGTCAGAATATTTTTTACCGAATCCTTACCTGTCAGCTCTGTCTTCATCTTCAAAAGATTTAGAAACAATAGTTACTCTTAAGAAGACTATCAGAATCTCACCACACAGGGAGAGTGACCATTCTAGTCTAAATAACAAATATTTGAATGGATGTGGAGAAATATCAGTTTCAGAAATGAATGAAAAGTTGACAACTCTGTGTTATAGGAAGTATAATGATGTCTCTGATCTTTGCAAATTAGAAAATAAACAATATTGTAGGTGGTCCAAGAACCAAGATGACAGTTTTACAATTTGCAGGAAACTTACATATCCTTTAGAAACTCTTTGCAATAGTCCAAATAGAAGTACAAATACATTGAAAGAAATGCCTTGGGGACATATCAATAACAACGTAACACAGAGCTATTCTATTGGTTATGAAGGTAGCTATGATGCCTCTGCTGATCTCTTTGATGATATTGCTAAAGAAATGGACATTGCAACTGAGATTACCAAAAAATCACAGGATATTTTGTTAAAATGGGGAACATCTTTGGCAGAAAGTCACCCTTCAGAGTCTGATTTTTCACTGAGATCACTTTCTGAAGACTTCATCCAGCCTTCACAAAAATTATCCTTGCAAAGCCTATCTGACTCTAGGCATTCAAGAACATGCTCTCCAACACCTCATTTTCAATCAGATTCAGAATATAATTTTGAAAATAGTCAAGACTTTGTTCCATGTTCACAGTCAACTCCAATTTCAGGGTTCCACCAAACAAGAATTCATGGGATAAACAGAGCTTTCAAAAAACCTGTATTTTATTCAGATCTTGATGGTAACTATGAAAAAATAAGGATTTTCCCTGAAAATGACAAACAGCAAGCCAGCCCAAGCTGTCCAAAAAATATAAAAACACCTAGCCAGAAAATCAGAAGCCCTATTGTATCTGGTGTTTCACAACCAGACGTTTTCAATCACTACCCTTTTGCTGAGTGCCATGAAACTGATAGTGATGAATGGGTCCCTCCTACCACACAAAAAATATTTCCTTCAGATATGCTTGGATTCCAAGGCATAGGTCTAGGGAAATGCCTTGCTGCCTATCATTTCCCTGATCAACAAGAGTTACCAAGAAAGAAACTGAAACATATTAGACAAGGAACCAATAAAGGTTTAATTAAGAAGAAATTAAAGAATATGCTTGCAGCAGTTGTTACGAAAAAGAAAACTCATAAATATAACTGTAAAAGTTCAGGCTGGATTTCCAAATGTCCAGACATTCAAGTCTTAGCAGCACCTCAGCTGCACCCTATTCTTGGACCTGATTCTTGTTCAGAAGTCAAATGTTGCCTTCCATTTTCAGAAAAAGGCCCACCTTCAGTGTGTGAAACTCGAAGTGCTTGGTCACCTGAATTGTTTTCATAAAAAGTCACCTGAACCCAATTCCTGAACTTTTAAATCTGTTTGGAAATGTTTGCCTTCAGGGGTACGGAAAGCATTCTTTACATTTTGAACACTTGGAGAGAAGCAAATTGAAAACAGGACTCTGCTGGGAGCTACTGTGCCTTTTAAAATATAAAGCCATTGTTTTCCCCAGGGTTTTATCTAGAATACTATGATTAGGTAGTTGAGCACTTTATCTTATACTGTTTATTGTACTTTAATAATATTGTTAAGATTGTTTTTGAAAGTATTAATGTTTGTTAAAATCACATATACATCCAGAAATAAAGACTTTGCAAACCAAAACTTAGTCTTTTTTAATTGTTCAGCTCAGACCAGAAAATGCCAGCTATATTATAGGCCAATGAGTGTGCTGAGTTTGGGATAGAAAGCTACAAGATCACTGATCTTAAAATATGTTAGTCTGCTGGATAAGACAGATAAACAGGTAACTTCAATACAGTGCAGAAGATGCAATGATATGGGTTTGTAATGGGCATGACAAACATTTACGTTGCTATGAGAGCATGGAAGAAAAGCAGCTAACTCATCAGTGAGCTGAGGGTAAGAAGAAACGTTTTAAGAAAAAAAGCTATTTAGAAGTTGTATGTGAAACTGTTGCTATTTTATTTAATACGTATACACTGAATGCCTACTCTACATGCCAAGGGCCGTGCTTAGTGCTGGAAACTGAAGATAAAAATCAAGCTCCTTCCCTCAAACTCATGAGCTATTGGAATAATCAGGTAATTAGAATCTGGTAGGTTCTATGATAGGAGGTAAGCTTGGGGTGCTAACAGGAACAAAAATGAAAAGCAATTTTCAGACACTCAAGTCTTAGCAGCAGCTCTGCTGCACCCTGTGAAATCTTTCACATATACCTGGCCAGGTTCCTTTGCCATTCCCCACAGCAACCATTCCAAAACAATACTTTCTTCATGCCACAAAGCAACTGCTACTCTCCTTGCCTCCTACTTCATGGACAATATTGAGATCACTTGATATTTTCTCAACTTCTCGCACCCATACCTACCCACATGTCTATCTGTACTCACCCACAGCTGCTTTCCTCTAGTCTCAGAAAATACCATCTAAGTGCTAATCTTTCCATTTAGACTATTGATCTATTACACCCATCTTTGAGGTCTTATACCAAATATTCCCCCTATATTTTCACCTTCTTGCCCTACTGTGTCTCTCCCTCTCCACAATTTTTTATTTTGAAAATTTGCAAACAGAAAAGTTGAAAGCGGCCGGACGCAGTGGCTCATGCCTGTAATCCCAACACTTTGGGAGGCCGAGGTGGGCAAATCACCTAAGGTCAGTAGTTCGAGATCAGCCTGGCCAACACGGTGAAACCCTGTCTCTACTAAAAATACAAAAATTAGCCAGGCATGGTGATGCATGCCTGTAATCCCAGCTACTCAGGAGGCTGAGACACGAGAATCACTTGAACCTGGGAGGCGGAGGTTGCAGTGAGTCAAGATCTTGCCACTGCACTCCAGCCTGGGCAACAGAGTGAGGCTCTGTCTCAAAAAAAAAAAGTTGAAAGAATAGCACAATGATACGGAATGATACGGTATCTGTACATACCATTTAGATTCAATCATTTTAAACATTTTGCCTTTGTGTGTGTGTGTTTGGTTTCTGTGTGTCTAAATAGATACAGTTTTGCTTTGCTAAACCATTTAAAGGTAAGCTGCAGACAGGACATTTCACCCCTAAATTCTTCAGTGCAAATTTTCTTAAAGGCTTCTCTCTACATAGCCACAGTATCATTATCACACCAAGGAAAGATAACAGTAATCCCCAATATCTAATATTCAGCCCATAATCAAATTTTTCTACTTGTCCCCAAATTATAATTGTTATTTAACCAGAATTTCATCAAGGTTCATCCATAGTGTTTGCTTGTCTCTTTTTCTAGAACCTCACCTCTTATTTCACATAATAGTAACTTTATGGAAAAAAAACCTCAAACCACTGTTCTGTAGAATGTCCCACATTCTCGACTGGTATGTTTGCTTCCTTATACTATCAGTACATTGTTTCTCTACCCCACCCCAGTCCCCACATTTCCTGAAAATTAGGCCTAAAGACTAGATGTGATTCAGGTTTTGGCAGGGATATTCCATGGCTCATGTTGTGTACTTTATGTTGTAACACATGAGGAGACACAATATCAAGTTGTTCCACTATTAGTAATGCTAAGTTAGATTGCTTGGTTAAAATGTTGCCCACCGGATCTCGATGTTAAATATACTTTATTTTTCCTTTTTAAGAGTAAAGAGTCAGTGGTGGTAAATTAGTTTGCTTTTCCTTCTATCACTACAGACTCAAGAATTTTTATTTTTCCTATGGAAAGAAAAACAAGCCACGTCTGGTAGCTTATGCCTGTAATCCCAGCACTTTGGGAGGCCGAGGCAGGAGGCTTGCTTGAGTCTAGGAATTCAAGACCAGCCTGGGCAACATGGCAAAACCTCATCTCTACAAAAAATTAGCCAGGTGTGGTGGCACACGCCTGTAGTCCCAGCTACTTGGGAGGCTAAGGTGCACCCAAGAGGTGCAGCTTGCAGTGAACTGAGATTGCGCCACTGCATTCCAGCCTGGGCGACCCTGTCTCAAAAAAACTGGTGCATATTTATTGTCCAATCATTTCATACAAAGATTCTTAATTCTTTCTAGACTGTTTCCTAGTCTTTGGGACTAGGAAATAGTCTGTGTTCTTTTTGTCAGATGTTCTATTCCTGGCTAATTTCATACCTCCCTCTGTGATAAAAGAGTAACGATGCTGTTAGTATTTACAATGTCATGACTTCAGAAACTGTTTTTGTTGAGCTATATAGATCTTGCCTTAGCAGTTACCTAATGTCATTTGTTTAATGCTAGTTCCTCTGTGATGCAGCATCCGTTGTGCTACTGTGAATACTGGTTTCCAATGATCTCTCAAAGGTTGTTACTATACTTTGCTGGTGACTACCGAAAAGCAAGTCCTACCCAGAGTGTGCAGGAAAATAAATAATAATCCATTTTTTGGTCCTATTTACCATTTGTACTAAATATTGCTTCCCAACCATGCAGTCTTTTGAACATTTTAGGCTGCAATTACTGCACTCCTATACTGTGATCTCTTTCAATGTTGGCTGCACCCTGGAAGGATAGGCAAGAGCCTATCCTTGCTCTGTGGTTGGAGCAACAAGAGCGGTTCCATTTGTGCAAAGAATATCTATTCCTCCATCAGCATGGCTTAACGCCTAATCTGGAAATCACAGTGTCACTATCAACTGGAAATGAGAGGACATTGATTGGAAGTGCCCACTGGCATTGTGGACCAACAGTCTTAAAAGGCCTCAGAGAAGATAGGCATGGCCTGCAGAAGGGGGAAGGGTGACCTTCCTGGTGTCAGTGGCTGGAGGCAGACAGGGTAAATAACAGCTGCCACTACCCTCACAGACCAGGGAGAGCCAATGCACAGGCCTACACACAGAACTCAATCCCAAGGACCAGTGGTGACCTTTGGTAGCCACAACCCTGAACTTGTGAGAGTCACCTAAATGAATTTGAGAGTCACCTAAAAATATGTCAGCACCATTCTGGCAGCCCAATCTTGTACTATTTTATGAAAGCACTATTGCCTCAGCCAATGGGAATGACCCAGGTTTGATTTCATAGGCGCAAGTCCCAAGCTCCTCAGGACATTTGGTACACACCAAACATGATGTAGAGGGTTGGAGAATACCTCAAATGGGATAAATGGCACTGTCACAAGCACAAAAGTGAGACTTAGAAAATTTCGAGGGAGGCACTTCTGGCAACTAGCTCCCACGTGGGACCAGGTCCAGGCTCAGGGTGGACTTCTACCAGGCGCTAGAGGAGAATTTAGAAGGAAACTTGAGGAAGGCATTCCAAAGCCTTAGTCTCCCTGAAGCGTAGAGGGCTGTGACAGGATCCCCTCTCACCCAGGCCTCAGAGGTACTTTCTTATCATCCCTCCTTATTGTCCTTTTGTGCCTCCTTATTTGCCTGTTTTAAAAAGATAGTGCCTTTTTTTGTTTTGTTTTTTGTGTTTTGGCAGGATCTCACTCTGTTATCCAGGCTGGAGTGCAGTGGCACAGTCCTGGCTTACTGCAACCTCCACCTCCCGGGCTCAAGCAATCTTCCCACCTCAGCCTCTTGAGTAGCTGGGACTACAAGCGTGCACCACCATGCCCAGCTAATTTTTTTTATTATTATTTGTAGAGACAGAGTCTTGCTGTGTTGCCCAGGCTGGTCTCGAACTCCTGAGCTCAAGTGATCTGCCTGCCTCGGCCACCCAAAATGCTGAAATTACAGGCATGAGCCACCTTTCCTGGCCAATTTTTTAAATATTTTGTGGAAGACAGAGTCTCCCTGTGTTGTCCAGGCTGCTCTCGAACTACTGGGCTCAAGTAATCCTCCCACCTCAACCTCCCAACATGCCGGGATTACAGGGTTGAGCTGCCATGCTCAGCCCAATGATGGTGCCTCTTATAGAGTGTCTGAATGGATAGAGAAACAAGGGCTAACTACAGGAAACCCACTTCACCTATAAAGACATATGTAGATTAAAAGTGAATGGGCGGAAAAAGATATTCCATGCAACTGAAAGCCAAAAAAAGAACAAGAGTAGCTATACTTAGATAAAATAGAAGACAAATCAAGGAACGTTAAAAGAGACCAAAAAAAATCACTACATAATGATGAATAGGTCAATTCAGCAAGAGGGTATAACCTTTAAAAATATCTATGCACCCAACATCAGAACTTTCAAGTATGTAAAGCAAACATTAATAGAGCTAAAGGAAAGATAAACAGTAATGCAATAATAGTAAGGGGCTGGGCACAGTGGCTTATGCCTACAATCTCAGTGCTTTGGGAGGCTGAAGTAGAGGATCACCTGAAGCCAGGAGTTCATGACCAACCTGGTCAACCCCATCTCCAAAACCCCATCTCCAAAAAAGAAGACCCCATCTCCACAAAAAATTGTAAAAGTTAGCTGGGCATGGTGGTGTGCACCTGTAGCCCCAGCTTCTTGGGAGGCTTAGGTAGGAGGATCACTTGAGCCCAGGAGTTCATGGTTACAATGAGCCACTACTGGAGTTCACGGTTACTGTGAGCTACCACACCACTGCACTCCAGCCTAGGCAACGGAGTGAGACACTGTCTCTAAAAATAATAGTAGAGGACTTTAATACCCCATTCTCAGGAATGAACAGATCATCTAGATGGAAAACACCTAATAAGGCCTATCTGACACATACTGAACATTTCACCCAGGTGCTGCAGAATACACATACTTTTCAACATCACATAACACTCTCAAGAATAGACCATGTCTTAAGCCACCAAACAAGTCTGAACAAATTCAAAAAAAGGTAAAAACCATATTAAGTATCTTTTCTCACCACAATGGAATAAAACAAGAGATCAATATCAAAAGGAACCTCAGAAACTTTACAAAATTAATTTCCATGGAAATTAAACATTCTCCTGAACAACCAACAGGTCAATAAAGAAATTAAGAAAGAAATTTTAGGCCAGGCACGGTGGTTCATGCCTGTAATCCCAGCACTTGGGGAGACCAAGGTGGGCAGATCACGAGGTCAGGAGTTCAAGACCAGCCTGGCCAACATGGTCAAACCTTGTCTCTATTGAAAATACAAAAATTAGCCAGGTGTGGTGGCGCATGCCTATAATCCCAGCTACTCAGGAGGCTGAGGCAGGAGAATTGCTTGAACCCGGGAGGCAGAGGTTGCAGCGAGCCGAGATCACGCCATTGCACTCCAGCCTGGGCAATAGAGTGAGACTCCGTCTCAAAAAAAAAGAAACTTAAAATGATGGTGGGTATACAAATGAAAGTGGGTATACAATATATGAAAATCTATGGGACATAGCAAAAGCAGTACTAAGAAGTTTATAGCAATAAACACCTGTATGAAAAAAAGTCAAAAGATTCAAATAAATGACTTAATGATGTACCTAAAGGAATTAGGAAAGCAAGAACAAACCTAAAATTAGTAGAAGGAAAGAAATAATAAAGATCAGAGCAGAAATAAATGAAATTGAGACTTAAAGAAAGCCCAAAAGATCAATGAAAAAAAAAATGGTTTTTTGAAAAGAAACAAAACCAACAAACCTTTAGCTAGACTAATTGTATTAGTCCATTCTCACACTGCTATAAAGAAATATGTGAGCCTGGGTAATCTGTAAGAAAAGAGGCTTAATTGGCCCACCGTTCTCAGACTTTACAGGAAGCATGACAGCATCTGCTTCTGGGGAGGCCTCAGGGAGCTTTTGCTTAAGGCAGAAGGCAAACATGGTGGGAGCAGGAGCAAGAGTAGGGGGCAGGAGTGCTACACACTTTTAAACAACCAGATCTCATGATAACTCACCATCACGAGAACAGCACCAAGTGGATGGTGGTAAACCACTCATGAAAGATCCACCCCCATGATCCAGTCACCTCCCACCAGTCCCTACCTCCAATACTGGAGATTACAATTCAACATGAGATTTGGTGGGGACACAGATTCATGCCATATCACTAACAACAAAAAAGAGAGAGAAAGAAGAACCAGACGAATAATATTAGAAACAAGACAACAGAGACCACAGAAATACAGAGAATCAGACTATTATGAACAACTACACACCAACAAACTGGAAAACCAAGAAGAAATGGGTAAATTCCTGGACATATACAACCTACCAAGACTGAATCATGAAAAATATAGAAAACCTCAACAAACCAATAAAAAGTAGTGAGATCAAAGCTGTAATAAAAAGTCTACCATCAAAGAAAAGCCCAGAACCAAGAGCTTCATTGCTGAATTCTACCAAGCATTTTAAAAAGAACAACTACAAATTCTACTCAAACTCTTCAAAAAATAAAAATTGAAGAAGAGGGAATACTTCCAAATTCATTCTACAAGGCCAGTGTTATGCTGATACCAAACCAGATAAGGACACAAAGATAAAACTCCAGGCCAATATCACTGATGAACATAGATGCAAAAATCCTCAACAAAATACTAGCAAACCTGATTTAAGAACACATTTAAAAGATCATTCACCATGATCAAGTAGAATTTATCACAGGGATTCAAGGATGGCTCAATATACACAAATCAATAAACATGACACATCACATTAATAGAACCAAGAACAAAAACTGTGATTATTTCAATAGATGCCAAAAAGCATTTGATAAAATTCATGTCCTTTATATAAAAAAACCTCATCAAACTGAGTATAGAAGGAACATACCTCAAAATAAAGGCCACATATGACAAACCCACAGCTAACATTGTACTAAAAGGGGAAAAATTAAAGGCCTTTCCTCTAAAGTCTGTAACAAGAAGAGGATGCCCATTTTCACCATTTCCACTCAACATAGTACTGGAAGTCCTGACCACAACACTAAGGCAAGAGAAAGAAATAAAACCTAAAGACTTAAAAAAAAAAACTACTAGAACTCATAAACATTCAGTAAAGTTGCAAGATACAAAATCAACATACAAAAATCAATAGGATTTATATATGCCACGAGCAAACAATCTGAAATAGGAATCAAGAAAGCAATCTCTTTTACAATAGCTACAAAGAATAGAAAATACCTAGGAATCAATTTAAACAAAGAAGCTAACAATCCATGCAAGGAAAACTATAAAACATTGATGAAAAAAATTGAAGAGACCACAAAAAAAGGAAAGCCATTCCATGCTCATGGGTTGGAAGAATTAATGTTGTTAAACTGACAGTACCACCCAATGCAATTTACAGATTCAATACAATCCCTATCAAAATACCAATGACATTCTTCAAAGAAATAGAAAAAAAATCCTAAAGTTTATATGGAACCATGGAAGACCCCAAATAGCCAAAGCAATCCTGAACAACAACAACAAAAAAACCTTTCAGCTCATCACACTTCCTGACTTCAAAATTTACTGCAGAGCTAGAGTAGCCAAATCAGCATGGTACTCTTATGGGATCCTTGGGGTGTTGCTTCACCAACCAGAAACCTCTGTGGCCAATGGTGCCTTTGCCAGAGTTTTTCTCAGGCCCACTGGGCCCATTCAGCTTGGCAGACTGCACTTGGTTCATGCTACCAGCTTGGATCCCATGCCTGTCAAGGGTGAAAGGAGCAGCAGGGGGTGTGTGAGTGAGCGAGTGAGCTTGAGGTCCAGCCACTGCGCACAGCCAGGCATGCTAACTGCAGCAGGATGGGCAGCTCCAGGAACCAGCACAAGCACCAGCTCTCTGCAAGGCTGTGGCTGGACCAGTCATCCCACAAGCTACTTCCACAGCTGACATTGGGGAATGTGGTGGGGCCCAGAAGCTTGGAGATGCCAGGAACTGCAGAGCCCCAAAGAGGATGTCACAGCCCTGGCTTAAGGAGCTACTAGGTCTGGGATCCCCAAAGGGCTGCAGCTTTTCTTTCTTTTTTCTCCCTGCAATATGGTGAGCAAGGGGCATGTATCAGCCCTGTTTGTGTTAGAGCTCTTTCATCCCCGCCATTTGGTGGGTCCTGAGTTCTTGTCCTGCGCCCTGGAAGAATAAGGTACACAGACAAGTGGAGGGTGGGCAAGGCGAATAGGAGCTTTACTGAGTGATAGAACAGCCCAGAGGAGACTCACAGTAGATAACTTCTCTCCACAGCCATGGTGTCCTGATGAGTGTTCAGCTCTCAGCAGAGAGGAGACCCTGTAATGGGTAGTTCCTCTCTGCAGTTGGTTGCCCCAACATCTGCTCAGCTCTCAGCAGAGAGGAGATCCTGGAGTGGCAGCTATATTAGTCTGTTCTCACACTGCTGATAAAGACATACCCAAGACTGGGTAATTTATACAGAAAAAGAGATTTAATGGAATCACAGTTCCACATGGCTGGGGAGGCCTCACAATCATGGTGGAAGGCTAAAGGCATGTCTTACTTGGCAGCAGCAAGAGAGAATGAGAGCCAAGTGAAAGGGATTTTCCCTTATAAAACCATGAGAGAATAGTATGGAGGAAACTGCCCCCATTATTTAATTATCTCTCACCAAGTCCCTCCTGCAATATGTGGGAATTCTGGGAGATACAATTCAAGATGAGATTTGGGTGGGGACACACCCAAACCATATCATTCCACACCTGGCCCCTCCCAAATCTCATGTTATCACATTTCAAAACCAATCATACCTTCCCAACAGTCCCCCAGTCTTAACTCATTTCAGCGTTAATCTAAAAGTCCATAGTCCAAAGTCTCATCTGAGACAAGGCAAGTCCCTTCCACCTATGAGCCTATAAAATCCCAAAGCATGTTACTTCCTAGATGCAATGAGAGTACAGGCATTGGGTAAATACAGCCATTCCAAATGGGAGAAATTGGCAAAGACAAAGGGCTACAGGCCCCATGCAAGTCCAAAATTCAGTGGGGCAGTCAAATCTTAAAGCTCTAAAATGATCTCCTTTGACTCCATGTTTCATATTCAGGTCATGCTGATACAAGAGGTGGGTTCCATGGTCTTGAGCAGCTCCACCCCTGTGGCTTTGCAGGGTACAGCAGCCCTCCTGGCTGCTTTCACAGGCTTGTGTTTAGTGTCTGTGGCTTTTCCAGGCACACAGTGCAAGCTGTTGGTGGATCTACCATTCTGGGGTCTGGAGGATGGTAGCCCTCTTCTCACAGTTCCACTAGGCAGTGCCCCAGTGAAGACTCTGTGTGGGGGCTTCAACCCCACATTTCCCTTCTGCACTGCCCTAGCAGAGGTTCCCCATTAGGGCTCCACCCTGCAGCACACCCCTGGCCTGGACATACAAGCATTTCCATACATCCTCTGAAATCTAAGTGGAAGTTCTCAAACCATTATTATGACTTCTGTGCACCCACAGGTTCAACACCACATGGAAGCTGCCAAGGTTTGGGGTTTGCACTGTCTGAAGCCATGGCCCAAGCTGTACCTTCATCCCTTTTAGTCATGGCCAGAGTAGCTGGAACACACAGCACTAAGTTCCTAGGCTGCACACAGCAGGGATACCCTGGGTCCTGTCCACAAAACCATTTTTTTTCCTCCTAGGCCTCCAAGACTGTGATGGGAGGGGCTGCCGTGAAGACCTCTGACATGCCTTAGAGACATTTTTCCCATTGTCTTGGGGATTAACATTTGGCTCCTTGTTACTTATGCAAATTTCTGGAGGCAGCTTGACTTTATCCTCGGAAAATGGGTTTTTCTTTTCTGTTGCATGGTCAGGCTGCAAATTTTCTGAACTTTTATGCTTTGTTTCTCTTTTAAAACTGAATGCTTTTAACAGCACCCAAATCACCTCTTGAGTGCTTTGCTGCTTAGAAATTTATTCTTCCAGATACCCTAAATCATCTCTCTCAAGTTCAAAGTTCCAGAAATCTCTAGGGCAGGGGCAAATGCTGCCAGTCTCTTTGCTAAAACACAACAAGAGTCACCTCTACTCCAATTGCCAACAAGTTCCTCATCTCCATCTGAGACCACCTCAGCCTGGATTTCATTGTCTATATCATTATCAGCATTTTGGGCAAAGCCATTCAACAAGTCTCTAGGAGGTTCCAAACTTTCCCACATTTTCCTGTCTTCTTCTGAGCCTTCCAAACTGTTCCAACCTCTGCCTGTTACCCAGTTCCAAAGTCGCTTCCACATTTTGGGGTATCTTTACAGCAGCGCCCCACTCCCAGTACCAACTTACTGTATTCATCTGTTCTCACATTACTGATAAAGACATACCCAAGACTGGGTAATTTATAAAGAAAAATAGGTTTAATGGACTCATAGTTCCATGTGGCTGGGGAGGCCTCACAATCATGGTGGAAGCTGAAAGACACCTCTTACAAGGTGGTAGCAAGACAGAATGAGAGCCAAGTGAAAGGGGTTTCCCCTTATAAAACCATCAGATCTCATCAGACTTATTCACTACCATGAAAACAGTATGGGGGAAACCACCCCCATGAATTAATTATCTCCCACTGGGTCCCTGCCCCAATATATGGGAATTATGAGAGCTACAATTCAAGATGAGATTTGGGTGGGGGCACAGCCAAACCGTATCAGTAGCTCCTTTCTACTGCTGGTTGTCCTGACGTCTCTTCAGCTCTCAGCAGAGAGGAGACCCTGGGGTGAGGAGCTCCTCTCTACGACTAGTCATCCTGTCGTCTCCCTGAGCCTGGCTGAGTACGGGGTTTTTATGGACTTCAGAGAGGAGAAAATGCATGCTGAATGGTCCATAGGCAGCCATGGGAGGACCTGGAAAAAGCACTATAAGTTCCCACTTTGGTATGTGGGACTGGCAGCCCAACCCCCAGGCTTCAGGCCTTCCCCAGCTTGAAAGTGAGGCTTCACTGGGGACCTGCCCCTTTCTGCCCCAGATCCTGTCTGCCTTCTGCCACTGTTCATGGCACCCAGGCTGTTCATGCCAGATGGGACCCTGCAAGTCAGTACTGAGCTGCCCTCCCCTCCCCCTCAGCCTCCCTCCCATGCTCTGGCCCAAAGTCCAGAGGTGGCCAAGGTGGCAGGGAGCTAGCATGTCAGCACAGCCCCAAGCATGCACATACCCAGGTGGGTTATGACAGCCCCTGGGCTCAGTCTTGTCTTTGTTCCAAGATTTGAGCAGGCACCAGGAGCAGGGAGAGGCCAGGCAGCAGGAGCAGGCATTTCTGAGTTTGCAGGAGCAGGGGGACTTTCCTGGGCCCCAAGAGCACAGGGATGTCCAGGTCCACAGCTGCAGTTTGGGTGGCTGCAGCTGCACCTGGGAGGGCAGGGTTCCTGCCTGCTCCCAGCCCCCAAAAGCACAGGGATGCCTGGGTACATAACTACGGCTGGGCAACTGCAGCTGCACCCTGGGAGCACGAAGCTCCTGCCCTGTCAACTCACAAGGGAGTGAGGCTTCTGCCTGTTCCCAGCTCCTGCAGCTCCATGGAGCATGCAGTCCCAGCCGTAGACTGATAGAACAGAATAGAGAACCCAGATATAAATCTATGCATTTACAGTAGCTCATTTTCCACAAAGACACCAAGAACATACAATTGGAAAAGGGCAGTCTCATCAATATATGGTGCTGGGAAAACTGGATAACAGATGCAGAACAATGAAACTAGACACCTAATTTCTCACCATACCACCAAAAAAAATGGATTAAAGACGTAAACTTAAGACCACAAACTATGAAAATAGTAGAAGAAAACATTGGAGAAATGCTCCAGAAGATTGGTCTTGGCAAAGATTTTTGGGGTAAGACCTCAAAATCACCGGCAACCAAAGCAAAAATAGATAAATGGGATTACATCAAGCTGAAAAGCTTCCATAGAGAAAAACAAAAACAAAAAACAATTAACAAAGTGAAGAGACAATCCACAGAATAGGAAAAAATTTTTGCAAACTACCCATCTGGACAAGGGATTAATAATCAGATTATATAAGGAGCTCAAACATCTCAGCAAAAAAATAAAAGGCAAAAGATCTGAGTAGACTGCTCAAAAGAAGACCTATAAATGGCTAACAGGTATATGAAAACATGCTCAACATCACTAATCTTAGAGAAATGCAAATTAAAACTATAAGGAGATAGCTCACCCCAGTTAAAATGGCTTTTATCTAAAAGACAGGCAATAACAGACGCCAGCAAGGATCTGGAGAAAGGGGAACCCTCATACACTGTTGGTGGGAGGTACCTCAAAAAACTGAAAATACAACTACCATATGATCCAGCAATTCCACTACTTGGTATATAGCCAAAAAAAAAAAAAAAAAAAAAAGAAATCAATGTGTCCAAAAGACATCTGCACTCCCATGTTTATTGCAGCACTATTCACAATAGCCAAAATATGGAATCAACCTAAGGGCCCAGCAATGGATGAATGGATAAAGAAAATGTGGTACATATACATAATGGACTACTATTCAGCTATAAAAAAAAGAATGAAATGATGTCATTTGCAGCAACATGGATGGAATTGAAGGCCATTATGTTCAGTAAAATAACCCAAGCACAGAAAGGCAAATATCTCATCCATATGTAATAGCTTAAAAAGTGGATCTCATGAAAATGGAGAATAGATTGGTGGTTACCAGAGGCTGAGAGGGGAAAGGGGGAAGGAGGATGAACAGAAGTTGGTTAATGGGTGCAAATATACAGCTTGATAGAAGAAATAAGACCTAGTGTTAGACAGATCAGCAGAGTGACTATAGTTTATAGTAATCCATTGTATATTTCAAAACAGCTAGAAGAGAATTGAAATTGTTCTAGCATAAAGAAAAGACAAATATTTAAGGTGACGGATATCCCAATTATATTGATTTGATCTTTACAAAATATGTGAATGTATTAAATTGCCACATGTTGCCCAAAAAAAGTACATCTATTATGCATCAATTTTAAAGAAAGAAGTAAAAGATTTTAATGTTCTAGAATTGGCCTTTTTCTACATGTACTCGCTGGTTGAATTCATCTGCTTATCTACAGTTACCACTTATAGGCTGTTTAATCCAAAGTCTATCTTCTGTCTAAATTTCTTCCTGAGACCAAACTTGTATGTTAATGTTTATTTTCATTCAGTTCAAAATGTTTTATAATTTTCAGGTGGTTTCTTTGATGCATGAATTATTTTAAAATGTGTTTCTTAATTTCTAAACAGAAAGGGTTTTTTTCTAGTTATGTCTTTGGGAATGCTTTGTACCTAAATTACATTATGGTCAGAGTATTTTTTGTGCATATGTTAGATATATTAATTATACTGTTTGAATCATCTATATCTGTACTGATTTTTCCCCTTATTCTATCAATTACTGAAAGAGAGATGTTAAAATCTCCATCTCTAGGCAACAATTGTTCTGCAAACACACACACACACATCAAATAAACTCTCCCTCTATGACTGTCAATGTGTTTATTTCTCCTTTTAGTTCTGTCCATTTTAATTTATTTTGAGGTTATGTTATTAGGCACAAATTCAATCTTACGTCTTCCTGATTTCATCATAAAAGTTCCTTTACATCACTACTAATGCTTTTTGTCCTAAAATCTAATTATTATGACTATACTACATTAGCTTTATTTTAGTTAGTGTTTGTGAGAGGTCCCACTATTCTTTTTTCAATCTTTCTATATCTTTGTCTTCGATGTTTATTTTGTAAACCTGTAGTTGGGCTTTGTTTTATTGTCCAGTATGACAATCTTTGTCCTCTAACTGGAACATTTAGTCCATTAATAATGTAATAATTAAAATATATTTATGTTTATTATCTTATTTCATATTTTCTATTTGTCCTGCCTATTCAATGTTTCTTCTCCTTCTTTTCTTTTTCTGTTACTTTTATTATTTGTTGTTGGTTTTTCTCCTAGGTTTGAAAGTCAAATGCTATTTCTTTTGTTTTTACCTTAGGAATTACAACATGCAAACTTAGCTTATCAAAGTATAAAGCTAATCAATACTTACAGTCTTTTCCCAAAGACCTTAAATTATTTTATTCCATTTACTCTTCTCTTGAATTATGTTTGTCATGTAATTCTACATTTTTTAACTCCAAAGAATACCAATTTCTACCATTTTTCTTTTTCTTTCTTTCAGATTTACTCACATATTTACTATTTTCTTTACTCTTTGATGTATCTTTCATCTCAGACTTTATATCATTTTCCTTTGGCCTGAAATATATCTTTTAGAATTTCTTTTGTTGAAGTTCTCTTAGTGACAAACTCAATTTTTTATAGTGATTACTGAGTTATATTAGCTTATTTAAGATAGTATCTTTTTTTTGCTATATATATATATATTTTTTTTTTTTACTTTAAGTTCTAGGGTACATGTGCACAACGTGCAGGTTTGTTACATATGTATACATGTGCCATGTTGTGCAAACTCAATTTTTGTTTCTTTGCTTGCTTACTTATTCATTTGTCTGAAAATGTTTTTATTTGGGCTTCAATCTTAAAAGATATTTTATCTCGATGCAGAAGTCTAGGTTGGGAGTTATTTTCTTTCCAACCACAATGCCAATCCCCTGTCCTCTGACTCTCATTGCTGTTAGGAAGCCAGCTTTCTATCTAACTGCCTTTTGCTTTTGAAAGTGAGCTGAATTTTTTTTAGTGTTACTTAGTTCTACTAATCATGTGTTGTGATATGGATTTCTTTTTATTCATCTTTCTTGAAATTCATTGTTTATTGAATTTGTAGATTAGTGCCTTTCATCAATTCTGAAAAATTCTTAGCCATAATCTTGTAAAATATTGCATCTACCCCATTCTCTCTTTTCTCTCATTCTAGAATTACAAGTAAATATTATATGTTTTCACTCTATCTTCCATGTCTCTTTAGCATTTCCTTGATATTTTTCATCTTTATATCTGTTTATGCTTCATTCTATGTGATTTCTTTTCATCTCTTCATGTATGTCTAATTTACTTTTCTACCTATCCATTGAGTTTTTGTTTTAAATATTTTCTTGTATTTTTTATTTTATATATAAAATTACATATCTTAGGTCAGGTGCGTTGGTTCATCCTGTAATCTCAGCACTTTGGGAGGCTGAGGCAGGTGGATTGCTTGAGCCCAGGAGCTTCAGACCAGCCTGGGCAAAATGGTGAAACCCAGTCTCTACAAAAAGTACAAAAATTAGCTGGGCATGGTGACGCATGCCTGTGATCCCAACTACATGAGAGGCTGAGGTGGGAGGATGGCTTGAGCCCAGTAGGTGGAAGTTGCAGTGAGTTAAGATTGTGCCACTGTCCTCCAGCCTAGGCGACAGAGCAAAACTCTTTTTCAAAAGAAATTATATATATTTAATTTCTATATATTTGATTGTTCATTGTGTACATTTAAAAATTATATATTTTATTTCTAAAAGTTGGATATAGTCTTTTTCAAATCTGCTCTGTCTTAAGGTTTTCTATTTCCTGCAGACATTTTCAAGTTTATCTGTTACTGCTTTAAGCAAAGTAAACATAGCTGTTTTATACTTGTGTATGACAATTCTAGTAACTAAAGTCTTGATAGGTTTCTTTTTTCTTTTTTTAATTTTTATACTTTAAGTTCTAAGGTACATGTGCACAATGTGCAGGTTTGTTACATAGATATACATGAGCCATGTTGGTTTGCTGCACCCATCAACTCGTCATTTACATTAGGTATTTCTCCTAATGCTATTCCTCCCCCAGACCCCCACCCCCAACAGGCCTTGGTGTGTGATGTTCCACTCTGTGTGTCCATGTGTTCTCATTGTTGAACTCCAACTTATGAGTGAGAACATGTGGTGTTTGGTTTTCTGTTTTTGTGGTATTTTGCTGAGAATGATGGTTTCCAGCTTCATCCATGTCCCTACAAAGGACATGACCTCATCCTTTTTTATGGCTGCATAATATTCCATGGGTGTATATGTGCCACATTTTCTTTATCCAGTCTATTATTGATGGACATTTGAGTTGGTTCCAAGTCTTTGCTATTGTGAGTAGTGCCGCAATAAACATACGTGTGCATGTGTCTTTATAGTAGAATGATTTATAATTCTTCAGGTATATACCCAGTAATGGGATTGCTGGGTCAAATGGTATTTCTAGTTCTAGATCCTTGAGGAATCACCACACTGACTTCCACAGTGGTTGAACTAATGTACACTCCCACCAACAGTGTAAAAGCATTCCTATTTCTCCATATCCTCTCCAGCATCTGTTGTTTCCTGACTTTTTAGTGATCACCATTCTAACTGGTGTGAGATGGTATCTCATTGTGGTTTTGATTTGCATTTCTCTGATAACCAGTGATGATGACCATTTTTTCATATGTCTGTTGGCTGAATAAATGTCTTCTTTTGAGAAGTGTCTATTCATATCCTTCACGCACTTTTTGATGGGGTTGTTTGTTTTTTTTCTTGTAAATTTGTTTAAGTTCCTTGTAGATTCTGGATATTAGCCCTTTGTCAGATGGATAGATTGCACAAATTTTATCCCATTCTGTAGGTTGCCTGTTCACTCTGATGATAATTTCTTTTGCTGTGCAGAAGCTCTTTAGTTTAATTAGATCCCATTTGTCAATTTTGGCTTTTGTTGCCATTGCTTTTGGTGTTTTAGTCATGAAGTGTTTCCCCATGCCTATGTCCTGAATGGTATTGCCTAGGTTTTCTTCTAGGCTTTTTATGGTTTTAGGTCTAACGTTTAAGTCTTTAACCCATCTTGAGTTAATTTTTGTATAAGGTGTAAGGAAGGGATCCAGTTTCAGCTTTCTACATATGGCTAGCCAGTTTTCCCAGCACCATTTATTAAATAGGGAATCCTTTCCCCATTTCTTGTTTTTGTCAGCTTTGTCAAAGAGCAGATGGTTGTAGAGGTGTGGTGTTATTTCTGAGGCCTCTGTTCTGTTCCATTGGTCTATATCTCTGTTTTTGGTACCAGTACCATGCTGCTTTGGTTACTGTAGCCTTGTAGTCTAGTTTGAAATCGAGTAGTGTGATGCCTCCAGCTTTGTTCTTCTTGCTTAGGATTGTCTTGGCTATGCAGGCTCTTTTTTGGTTCCATATGAAATTTAAAGTAGTTTTTTCCAATTCTGTGAAGAAAGTCAGTGGTATTTAAAGGGAATAGCATTGAATCTATAAATTACCTTGGGCAGCATGGCCATTTTTACGATATTGATTCTTCCTAACCATGAGCATGGAATGTTCTTCCAGTTGTTTGTGTCCTCTTTTATTTCACTGAGCAGTGGTCTGTAGTTCTCCTTGAAGAGGTCCTTCACATGCCTTGTCAGTTGGATTCCTAGGTATTTTATTCTCTTTGAAGCAATTGTGATGGGAGTTCACTCATGATTTGGCTCTGCGTTATTGGTGTATAGGAATGCTTGTGATTTTTGCACATTGATTTTGTATCCTGAGACTTTGCTGAAGTTACTTATCAGCTTAAGAAGATTTTGGGCTGAGACGATGGGGTTTTCTAAATATACAATCATGTCATTTGCAAACAGAGACAATTTGACTTCCTCTTTTCCTAATTGGATATGCTTATTTCTTTCTCCTGCCTGATTGTCCTGGCCAGAACTTCCAACACTATGTTGAATAGGAGTGGTGAGAGAGGGCATCCCTGTCTTGTGCTGGTTTTCAAAGGGAATACTTCCAGTGTTTGCACATTCAGTATGATATTGGCTGTGGGTTTGTCATAAATAGCTCTTATTATTATGAGACACGTTCCATCAATACCTAGTTTATTGAGAGTTTTTTGCATGAAGGGCTGTTGAATTTTGTCAAAGGTCTTTTCTGCATCTGTTGAGATAATCATGTGGTTTTGTCATTGGTTCTGTTTATGTGATGCATTATGTTTATTGATTTGCATATGTTGAACCAGCCTTGCATCCCAGGGATGAAAACAACTTGATTGTAGTGGATAAGCTTTTTGATGTGCTGCTGGATTCAGTTCACCAGTATTTTATTCAGGATTTTCTAATCCATGTTCATTCATGGATATTGGCCTAAAATTCTCTTTTTTTGTTGTGTCTCTGCCAGGCTTTGATATCAGGATGATGCTGGCCTCATAAAATGAGTTAGGGAGGATTCCCTTTTTTTCTATTGATTGGAATAGTTTCAGAAGGAATAGTACCAGCTCCTCTTTGTACCTCTGGTGGGATTCAGCTGTGAATTCGTCTGGTCCTGGACCTTTTTTGACTGGTAAGCTATTAATTACTGCCTCAATTTCAGAACCTGTTATTGGTCTATTCAGAGATTCAACTTCTTCCTGGTTTAGTCTTGGGAGGATGTATGTGTCCAGGAATGTATCCGTTTCTTCTAGATTTTCTAGTTTATTTGCATAGAGGTGTTTATAGTATTCCCTGATGGTAGCTGTATTTCTGTGGGATCAGTGGTGAGATCCCCTTTATCATTTTTTATTGCATCTATTTGATTCTTCTCTCTTTTCTTCTTTATTAGTTTTGCTAATAGTCTGTTTTCTTGATTTTTTCAAAAAACCAGCGCCTGGATTCACTGATTTTTTTGAAGGGTTTTTTGTTTCTCTGTCTCCTTCAGTTCTGCTCTGATCTTAGTTATTTCTTGTCTTCTGCTAGCTTTTGAATTTGTTTGCTGTTGCTTCTCTAGTTCTTTTAATTGTGATGTTAGGGTGTTGATTTTAGATCTTTCCTGCTTTCTCTTGTGGCCATTTAGTTCTATAAATTTCCCTCTACACACTGCTTTAAATGCATCCCAGAGATTCTGGTACGTTGTGTATTTGTTCTCATTGGTTTCAAAGAACATCTTTATTTCTGCCTTCATTTCTTTATTTACCCAGTAGTCATTCAGGAGCAGGTTGTTCAGTTTCCATGTAGTTGTGCAATTTTGAGTGAGTTTCTCAATCTTGAGTTCTAGTTTGATTGCACTGTGGTCTGAGAGACAGTTTGTTGTGATTTCTGTTCTTTTATATTTGCTGAGGAGTGTTTTATTTCCAATTATGTAGTCAATTTTAGAATAAGTGTGATGTGCTGAGAAGAATGGATATTCTTTTGATATGGGGTGGAGAGTTCTGTAGATGTCTATTATGTCTGCTTGGTCCAGAGCTGAGTTCAAGTCCTAGATATCTTTGTTAAGTTTCTGTCTTATTGATCTGTCTAATATTGACAGTGGAGTGTTAAAGTCTGCCATTATTATTCTTGTGTGGGAGTCTAAGTCTCTTTGTATGTCTCTAAGAACTTGCTTTATGAATCTAGGTGCTCATGTATTGGGTGCATATATATTTAGGAGTTAGCTCTTCTTGTTGAATTGATCCCTATACCATTATGTAATGGCCTTCTTTCTCTCTTTTGATCTTTGTTGGTTTAAAGTCTGTTTTATAAGAGACCAGGATTTCAACCCCTGCTTTTTTTTGCTTTCCATTTGCTTGGTAGATCTTCCTCCATCCCTTTATTTTGAGTCTATGTGTGTTTTGCATGTGAGATGGGTCTCCTGAATGCAGCATACCAATGGGTCTTGACTCTTTATCCAATTTGCCAGTCTGTGTCCTTTAATTGGGGCATTTAGCCCATTTACATTTAAGGTTAATATTGTAATATGTGAATTTGATCCTGTCATTCTGATTCTAGATGATTATTTTGCCCATTAGTTGATGCAGTTTCTTCATAGTGTCGATGGTCTTTACAATTTGGTATGTTTTTGCAGTGGCTGGTACTGGTTTTTCCTTTTCATATTTAGTGCTTCCTTCAGGAGCTCTTGTAAGGTAGGCCTGGTGGTGATAAAATCTCTCAGCATTTGTTTGTCTGTAAAGGATTTTATTTCTCTTTCACTTATAAAGTTTAGTTTGGCTGGATATGAAATTCTGGGTTAGAAATTCTTTTCTTTAAGAATGTTGAATATTGGCCCCCACTCTCTTCTGGCTTGTAGGGTTTCTGCTGAGAGATCCACTGTTAGTCTGATGGGCTTCCCTTTGTGGGTTACCCAACCTTTCTCTCTGGCTTCCCTTAACAATTTTTTCCTTCATTTCAACCTTGGTGAATCTGATGATTATGTGTCTTGGGGTTGCTCTTCTTGAGGAGTATCTTTGTGGTGTTCTCTGTATTTCCTGAATTTGAACGTTGGCCTGCCTTGCTAGGTTTGGGAAGTTCTCCTGGATAATATCCTGAAGAGTGTTTTCCAACTTGGTTCCATTCTCCCTGTTACTTTCAGATATAACAATCAAACGTAGATTTGGTCTTTTCACATAGTCCCATATTTCCTAGAGGCTTTGTTGATCTCTTTTCACCCTTTTTTCTCTAATCTTATCTTCTTGCTTTATTTCATCGAATTGATCTTCATTCTCTGATATCCTTTCTTCCACTTGATTGATTCAGCTATTGATACTTTCATATGCTTCACAAAGTTCTCGTGCTGTGTTTTTCAGCTCCATCAGATCATTTATGTTCTTCTCTAAACTGGTTATTCTAGTTAGCAATTTTTCTAACCTTTTTTCAAGGTTCTTAGCTTCCTTGCATTGAGTTAGAACATGCTCCTTCAGCTTGGAGGAGTTTGTTATTACCCACCTTCTGAAGCCTACTTCTGTCAATTCTTCAAACTCATTCTCCGTCCAGTTTTGTTCTGGATGGTTTTGTTCTCTTTGCTGGCAAGGAGTTGTGATCCTTTGGAGAAGAGGCACTCTGATTTTTGTAATTTTCAGTCTTTTTATGCTGTTTTTTCCCCATCTTCATTGATTTATCTAACTTTGGTCTTTGATGTTGGTGACCTTTGCATGGGTTCTCTGAGTGGACATCCTTTTTTCTGATGTTGATACTATTCCTTTCTGTTTGTTAGTTCTCCTTCTAACAGTCAGGACCCTCTGCTGCAGGTCTGCTGGAGTTTGCTGGAGGTCCACTCTAGACCCTATTTGTCTGGGTATTACCAGTGGAGGCTGCAGAACAACAAAGATTGCTGCCTGTTCCTTCCTCTGGAAGCTTTGTCCCAGAGAGACACCCGCCAGATGCCAGCAAGAGCTCTCCCGTATGAGGTGTCTGTCAGCCCCTACTGGGAGGTGTCTCCCAAACAGGATACACAGAGCTCAAGGACCCACTTGAGGAGGCAGTCTGTCCCTTTTCAAAGCTTGAACGCTGTGCTGGGAGATCTGCTGCTCTCTTTAGAGCTGCCAGGCAGGGACGTTTAAGTCTGCTGAAGCTGTGCCCACAGCCATCCTTTCCCCCAGGTGCTCTTTCCCAGGGAGATGGGGGTTTTATCTATAAGTCCCTGAGTGGGTCTGCTGCCTTTTTTTCAGAGATGCCCTGCCCAGAGAGGAGGAATCTAGAGAGGCAGTTTGGCCCCAGCAGCCTTGCTGAGCTGTGGTGGGCTCCGCCCAGTTTGAACTTCCTGGAGGCTTTGTTTACACTGTGAGGGTAAAACCACCTACTCAAGCCTCAGCAATGGTGGGCGCCCCTCCCCCAACCAAGCTCAAGCATCTCTGGGCGACCTCAGACTGCTGTGCTAGCAGCGAGAATTTCAAGCCAGTGGATCTTAGCTTGCTGGGCTCCATGGGCATGCGACCTGCCAAGCCAGACTACTTGGATCCCTGGCTTCAGCCCCCTTTCCAGGGAAGTGAATGGTTCCATCTCACTGGTGTTCCAGGTGCCACTGGTGTATGAAAAAAAGAAACTCCTGCAGCTAGTTCAGTGTCTGCCCAAACAGCTGTCCAGTTTTGTGTTTGAAATCTAGGGCCCTGGTGGCGTAGGCACCTGAGGGAATCTCTGGTCTGCTGGTTGTGAAGGCCATGGGAAAAGTGCAGTATCTGGGCCAGAGTGCACCGTTCCTCCTGGTACAGTCTCTCACGGCTTCCCTTGACTGGGGGAGAGAAATCCCCTGACCCCTTTTGCTTCCTGGGTGAGGCAATGCCCCACGCTGCTTCAGCTCACCCTCCATGGGCTGCACCCACTGTCCAACCAGTCCCAATGAGATGAACATGGTACCTCAGTTGGAAATGCAGAAATCACCCACCTTCTGTGTTGATCTCCCTGGGAGCTGCAGACCAGAGCTGTTCCTATTTGGCCATCTTGCCAGCCACCCCACTTTCTGCTAATCTTTAGAGTCAATAACCATTCATTGTTGAGCACATACTTATGTGGTAGGCCCTGTGCCAGGTTCTTTCATTTATTAAAAATATTCAGCAAATTGCAGTTCCAGATTGTACCTGGCACTGTACTAGGTTGAAGATAATTATGCCTTCAAGAATCTCATATGCTATTAGGTGGTATCACATACATTACATCATTTAACTCACATAAAATCCCGTGAAGTAGATATTGTATCTCCATGGCCTCTACTTTCTTATCTGCAAAAAAAAGAAACAATATCTCTTAAGGCTACTATGAGAATTAAATAAGATAATGACTGTGAACATGGTACTTGCTCTCAAGTTCAGTGCTCCTCCCACAGTACCACACCTGCCAGTACCAGCATTTTCTGTTTGCTTCCTTCTGCCCCTTCATTATTCATATACCATTTTGAATTTCCACCTGCTTTATAGTTGTAATATCTTTACTCAATTTCAATTCCTCACTTTCACCATGACCTTTCCCCTGTCTTTCTCCCTCTGTTAAAATTTGAGCTTTCTGTTGTCTCTTCTCTAGCCACCCAAGATGCTAAAACAAAATAAGACCAAGGGGAAGAAGATGGCTGGGGCCCCTGCTGTCATGAAGAAGCAAGAAGCCAAGAAAGTGGTGAATCTCCCCTGTTTGAGAAAAGGCCTAAGAATTTTAGCACTGGACAGGACATCCACCCCAAAGGGATCTCACTCACTTTGTCAAATGGCCTCATTATATTAGGTTGCAGCAGCAAAGAACTATCCTCTGTAGGTCACTGGAAGTGCCTCTTGTGATTAACCAGTTTACCCAGGCCTTGGACCTCCTAACAGCTGCTCAGCTTCTTAAGCTGGCCCACGAGTACAGACCAGTGACAAAGCAAGAGAAGAAGCAGGAATTGTTGGCCCATGCTGACAGGAATGCTGCCAGCAATGGAGACATCCCCACTAAGAGTTCACCTGTCCTTCAAGCAGGGGTTAATACTGTCACCAACTCAATGGTGAACAAGAAGTCTCAGCTGGTGCTGACTGCACAAGATATGGATCCCATCAAGCTGGTTGTCTTCCTGCCAGCCCTGTGTTGTAAAATGGGGGTCCCTTACTGTGTTATCAAAGAGAAGGCAAGGCCGGGAAGTTTAGTCCACAGGAGGACCTGCATCATTGTCACCTTCACACAGGTTAAATGGAAAAAACAAGGAGCTTTAGCTAAACTTTGGGAGCTTCAGGATCAATTACAATGACAGATATAATGAGATCCACCATCAATGGGGAGGCAACATCCTGGGTCCAAAATCTGTGGCTTACAATGCCAAGCCAGAAAAGACAAAGGCTAAAAAACATGCCACTAAGCTTAGTTAAATGCACACTGTTGAGTTTTCTGTACAGAAAGATAATAAAAAATTCTCCTTCAGCCAAAAAGAATTCAAGCTTTCTTTTCTGACCTCTTATGCCCTACATCCCCACCCAATTGAAAGTATTTTTTTGAAAGAATGCCTTACTACTGATACAGTGTCAATTGGTGCTATGATTTGAATGTGTTTCCTCCAAAATTCAGGTGTTGCCAATGTGATAGTATTAAGAGGTGGGATCTGTAGGAGGTGATTAGGCCATGGGGTTCCTCCCTCATCAATAGAATTAAGGCACATATAAAAGAGGCTTCACGTAGCATTTAGCTAGCTTTCCAACTTGTCCTTTCATCATGTGAGGATGCAGCAAAAAGGCCCTCACCAGAAACCAGATGTGAGCACCTTGATCTTGGACTTACCAGCCTCCAGAAGTATGAGAAATGTATTTTATTTTATTTATCATAGATATAAATTACCTAGTCTCAGATTTTTTTTGTTACGGCAGCCCAAAATGGATTAAGACAATGAGAATGTAATTGGTATTAATTATGTGGAAAATAAATTGGCATTATTTATGAAAATTTTAAATTGATGTGCTCTTTTAAAAGCAGCAATCCCACTTCCAGGAATTTATCTCACAAATACACTCATATATGAGAAAGTATAAAAGAAAAATATTCCATAAAGCATTGTTTGCAATAGCAAAATAGTAAAACAAATATCTGTCAAGATACACAAATAATTTAGTATGCATAGAATATTACTGGAAGAATATAAAAAATGATTTAAAAATTAGAGATAGTGTATATAGTATTTTTATAAATACATAAGTATATTTCATAAGTTTATAATATTTTAAAAACTAGTCACCTTCAAAGCCAAATGTGGTGGAATGCACCCATAATCCCAGCTACCTGGGAGGCTGAGGCAAGAGGATCACTTGAGCTCAGGAGTTTGGAGGCTTGGGCACATAGCAAGACCCTGTCTCCAAAAAAAAAGAAAAAAAAAAACTGAGCCCAGGAGTTCAAGACTGGCCTGGACAAGATGGCAAGACCCCATCTCTACAAAAAATGAAAATGAAAATGTTAGCCAGGCACAATTGCACAAGTCTTTAATCTCAGCTACTTGAGAGGCTGAGGCAGGAGGATCCCTTGAGCCCAAGAGTTCGATATGGCAGTGAGCTATGATCATGCCACTGCACTTCTGCCTGGGTGACAAAATAAGACCTCATCTCTTAAAAAAAACAAGGCAAAACAAAAACCTGACATTTAATATTTTTCACGGTTTTGAACAATTAAAAAAACACTAATCACCTTCAGATAATGATAGAGAACCAATTTATTATGTTGATAACTGGTAAAAAGGGAAAAAAATTAAAAATTTATCTTGCTTTTCTCTCATGAATTGTACCATTGGATAACCAAATAGGTGAAGGGAAGCTCTCTTTATAAAAATATTTTAATTAATGCATTTATTAAATGGTAGAAATGGAATATTACCATTTTGTAACCCCCAACAAATAATGGATGCACTCAATGAGCGTCGATGGTTGCTAACATTCCAAAGAGAGACAAGAAGATATCTGCTTTCTGATGGAAGAAGATACCACTTCCTATAATCTTCCCAAAGGGATTAAACATGAGTATACTCCCTCTGCATCCAGCTGTCAATATGAAAAATATACAACTGACAGAACATGCAGACCTCCACCATAAATATAAAATCAGCAAAATCCAGACTGTGAGAAACTGCAGGTCAAACAGTTCACATTCTTCCACAGATTACTGTAAGGGAGAGAAAGAGATATATACTAAAATTATTTAAAATGTATATTAGTTGTTTTTTTTTTTTGAATGGGCAAGATTAAACTTAAGTGCCTTGAGATACACATTTGGGTGCATCACTTCCTTGATGACTACGAAAGTGAAAATAGCGGTTACTTTGAGGTGGAAAGAAGAGATTCTGGGGTGGCTGGCAAAGTTCTATTTCCTGACACAAATACAAGGGTGTTTATAATAGTTCCATTACATAATACACTTTTTCCGTATTCATGTTTTAGTTCATATTAAAGATGTTTAAAGATCAATTTTTTGAAAAAAAGGAATATGTGCATTATACAGAGGGAAGCAAAAGACTCTAATATGTGGAGCCTCTCCCTCTGAGCCATCTCTTAGATATTTTACATACTTGCTCATTTATTCCTTATAAGTAACCTATGAGGATTGAGGAAAATATTTTTGTAAACTTTGTAAACTGAGTTTACAGAGGTCGAGTAACTTTCTCAAGGCTAAGACCATGTCACTAATAAGTGGCAGAACCAGAGCTCTAATTTTTCCAGTACTCTGCACTGCCACTCATGAGGCTAAAGGAGAATGCTGCATGAACCCTCATCTCTCAAGCTAGACATTTCTCGGTGAAACACCTTCCTTCCTGTTGATCAATGTCTGCCACTACTTGAATAACTTAAGGTCAAGCATAGGTTAGGTATCCTGCAGTGGTTTTCTCTGATCTATCACTTGTTTTTCAGCCTAATTTGTGATGTGATTAGAGAAAGTTGCCTCCAAGGGAGAAACATAAATTCACCTGTAAAAAAAAAAAATCACACCTTTCCTCTAATAAGATCCCTTTATGTGCCAAGCCAAAGTGCATGACCACTTGGCCCTTCCGTACAGCTCCTTCACAGTCTGAAGCATTTTCTGCTAACTAGAGGCACCAGCTGTGCCAAGACAAGCTGTTTGTCCACCCCTTGCCTGCCTTGAGTGGGAAATAATAACATGACATTGTAAAACACAGGGGTGCCCAGCAGCCTTTCATTTGGTGAAAGTAACTGCAAGGGCTCAGAGCTGGGTTAATGGATACAACAGTGCCTGTAATCAGATCCAGGTGCTGTATATACTTGTTATTGATTACGACTTCAATAATTGCAAAATCAACCAACCAAAAGAATCATGAAAAAAATATTATGCAAGATGTCTAAACAGAGGCCCCAAAACCAGCAGTTGCTGGAGAAGTATTTATCACCTTTTTCAAGATCCAAGCTTAGGGTATTGTATGTTTGGCAAAATAGCTATATTTCAGCAGGGCTTAAAGAGATTACTTGTCTCAGGGCTTTCAGTTTGGCCGGTAACAGATGAAGACAGATTGATTGAAAGCATTTGAACAAATATAAACTTGAACAAGCTGAATGGACGTGATTAAGTTAATTAGGGTCGATAAATGCCATTGACAATATCTTACAACTCTTCCTTTATCTTGGAGTATTTCTTTCTTATATAACACAGGCAAGTGGATATGGTGACTCTAATATTAAACCTGTAACTGAGTAGCCATTCAGCCTAATTAACTAGACACCATCTCTCAATGGCCTGCTAGATAATTAACGTTTTATTTTATACATGTAATATTACTCATCATTTACTGTATGCCTATTATGTACCAGACACTATGGCATTTACCCTGTATTTTTTGTTTTTTTAATTTATTTAACTTTTATTTTAAGTTCAGGGGTACTTGTGCAGGTTCTTTACATAGGTAAACTTGTGTCATGGGGGGTTTTTGTACAGATTATTTTGTCACCCAGGTATTAAGCATAGTACCCATTAGTTATTTTTCCTGATCCTCTCCCTCCTCCCACCTTCCACCCCCCAATAGGCCACAGTGTGTGTTGTTCCCCTCTGTGTGTCCATGTGTTCTTATCACTTAGCTCCCACTTATAAGTGGGAACATGCCATATTTGGTTTTCTGTTCCTGCATTAGTTTGTTAAGGATAATGGCCTCCAGCTCCATCCATGTTCCTGCAAAGGACATGACACAATCTCATTCTTTTTTATTTTAAGACAGGGTCTGGCTCTGTCACCCAGGATGGAGTATAGTGGTGCAATCTCAGCTCACTGCAACCTCTGTCTCCTGGATTCAAGTCATCCTCCCACCTCAGCCTCCCAAATAGCTGAAACTACAGGCACATACCACCATGCCCAGCTAGTTGAGCTCATTCTTTTTTATGGCTGCATAGTATTCCTTGGTATACATATACCACATTTTCTTTATGCAGTCTATCATTGATGGGCATTTAGGTTGATTCCATGTCTTTGGTATTGTGAATAGTGTTGCAATGAACATATGCCTGTGTCTTCATAATAGAATGATTTATATTCCTTTGGGTGTATACCCACTAATGGGATTGCTGAGTTGAATAGTATTTCTGTCTTCAGATATTTGAGGACTTGCCACACTATTTTCCACAATCATTGAACTAATTTACACTCCCAACAGTGTATAAGTGTTCCTTTTCTCTGCACCCTCACCAGCATCTGTTATTTTTTGACTTTTTAATTGCCATTCTGACTGGTGTAAGATGGTATCTCATTGTGGTTTTGATTTGCATTTCTCTAATGATCAGTGGTGATGAGCTTTTTTCATATGATCGTTGGCCACATGTATGTCTTCTTTTGGAATATGTCTGGTCATGTCCTTTGCCCACTTTTTCATGGGGTTGTCTTTTTCTTGTGAATTTGCTTAAGTTCCTCATAGATGCTGAATATTAGGCCTTTGTCGGATACATAGTTTGCAAAAATTTTCTCCCACTCAGTAGGTTGTCTGTGCACTGTTGATAGTTTCCTTTGCTGTGCAGAAGCTCTTTAGTTTAATTAGATCCCATTTGTCAATTTTGCTTTTGTTGCAATTGTTTTTGGTGTTTTCACCATGAGATCTTTGCTCATTCCTACGTTCAGAAAGGTATTGCTTACATTGTCTTCCAGGGTTTTTATAGTTTTTGGTTTTACATTTAATTCTTTAATCCATCTTGAGTTAATTTTTGTACATGGTATAAGGAAGGGGTCCAGTTTCAATCATCTGCATATAGCTGGCCAGTTATCCAGCACCACTTATTCAATAGGGAATCCTTTCCCCAGTGCTTGTTTTTGTTAGCTTTGTCAAAGATCAGATATTTGTAGGTGAGCAGCCTTACTTCTGGGTTTTCTATTCTGTTTCATTGGTTTATGTGTCTGTTTCTTGTACCAGCACCATGCTGTTTTGATTACTGTAGCCCTATAGTTTAGTTTGAAGTCAGTTATTAATAGCATGATGCTTCCAGCTTTGTTCTTTTTGCTTAGTATTGCCTTGGCTATTCAAGCTCTCTCTCTCTCTTTTTTTTTTTTTCTTGAGACAGTCTCACTCTGTCACCCAGACTGGAATGCAGTGGCGTGATCTTAGCTCACTACAACCTCTGCCTCCTGGGTTCAAGTGATTCTCCTGCCTCAGCCTCCCAAGTAGCTGGAATTACAGGTGCACACCACCATGCCCGGCTATTTTGTATTTTTAGTAGAGATGGAGTTTCACAATGTTGGCCAGGCTGGTCTCAAACTCCTGACCTCAAGAGATCCACCCACCTTGGCCTCCTAAAGTACTGGGATTACAGGCATGAGCCACTGCACCCGGCCTTTTTTTTTTTTTCCAGCTTTGTCACCAGGCTGGCGTGCAATGGCATGATCTCAGCTCTCTGCAACCTCTGCCTCCTGGGTTCAAGTGATTCTCCTGCCTCCGCCTCCCAAGTAGCTGGGATTACAGGCATCAGAGCTTTTTTAAATTCCATATGAATTTTGAAATAGTTTTTCCTAGTTCGTGAAGAATGTTAGTGGTAGTTTAATAGGAATAGCCTTGAGTCTATAAATTGCTTTGGGTAGTATGGCCATTTTAACAATATTGATTCTTCCTATCCATGAACATGGAATGTTTTTCCATTTGTTTGTGCCATCTCTGATTTCTTTGAGCAGTGTTTTGTAGTTCTCCTTGTAGAGATCTTTCACCTCCCTGTTTAGCTGTATTCCTAGGTATTTATTTTATTTTATTTTTGTGGCAGTTGTGAATGGGATTGCATTCCTGATTTGGATCTCGGCTTGACTGTTTTTGGTATGTAAGAATGTAAGTGGTTTTTGCACCATCATTTTGTATCCTGAGACTTTGTTGAAGTTAATGAGCTTTTGGGTGGAGACTATGGGGTTTTCTAGATTAGAATCATGTCATCTGCAAACAGGGATAGTTTGACTTCCTCTCTTCCTATTTGGATGCCCTTTCTTTCTTTCTCTTGCCTGATTGCCGTGGCCAGGACTTCCAATACTGTGTTGAATAAGAGTGGTGAGAGAGGGCATCCTTGTCTTCTGCCAGTTTTCAAGGGGAATGCTTCCAGTTTTTGCCCATTCAGTATGATATTGGCTGTGGGTTTTTCATAGATGGCATTTATTATTTTGAGGAATGTTCCTTGGATACCTAGTTTATTGAGATAATCATGCAGCTTTTGTCTTCTGTTTATATGATGAATCATATTTATTAATTTGTGTATGTTAAACTAAACTTGCATCCAGGGATAAAGCCTACTGGATCGTTGTGGATAAGCTTTTTGGTGTGCTGCTGGATTCAATTTACCAGTATTTTGTTGAGGATTTTTGCATCGATGTTCATCAAGGATGTTGGCCTGAAGCTTTCCTTTTTGTTGTTGTGTCTCTGCCAGGTTTTGGTGTCAGGATGATGCTGGCCTTGTAGAATGAGTTAAAGAGGAGTCCCTTCTCCTCAATTTTTGGAGTAGTTTCAGCAGGAATGGTACTAGCTCTTCTTTGTATATCTGGTAGATTTCAGCTGTGAATCCATCTGATCCTGGGGTTTTTTTGTTGGTAGGCTATTTATTACTGAATCAATTTCAGAGCTCATTATTGGTCTGTTCAGGAATTCAATTTCTTCCTGGTTCAGTCTTGGGAGGGTGTATGTATTCAGGAGTTTACTCATTTCTTCTAGATTTTCTAGTTTATGTACATAAAGGTGTTCATAATATTCTCTGATGATTGTATTTCTGTGGGGTCAGTGGTAATATCCCCCTTGTTATTTCCAATTGTGTTTAGTTGAATCTTCTCTCTTTTATTCTTTATTAGTCTAGTTAGTGGTATATATATTTTTTTTTTTTCAAAAAAAAATCTACTGGATTCATTGATCTTTTGAATGTTTTTTTATGTCTCAATCCCCTTCAATTCAGCTCTGATTTTGGTTATTTCTTTTCTTCTGCTAGCTTTGTTCTTGGTTCTCTAATTCTTTTAGTTGTGATGTTAGGTTGTTAACTTAAGATCTTTCTAAGTTTTTGATGTGGGCATTTAGTGCTATAAATTTCCCTTTTAACACTGCGTGTCCCAGTGTCCCAGGGATTCTGGTATGTTGTATCTTTGTTCTCATTAGCTTCAAAGAACTTCCTGATTTCTGCCTTAATTTTGTTATTTACCCAAAAGTCATTCAGGAGCAGGTATTCAATTTCCATGTAATTGGATGGTTTTGAGTAAATTTCTTAGTCTTTGTTTCTAATTTGATTGTGCTGTGGTCTGAGAGATTGTTTGTTATGATTTCAATTCTTTTGCATTTGCCAACTCAAGTGTCCATGGTGGTTGAGGGGTCTCCTGCCAGGGTTCCAGAGGCCTGTGGTTTCTCCTTGTCAATTCAACTCACCCATTCCTCTGGAGCCATTGTGGGCCAGGAACAAGGTCCAGTGCACAGTAGACCATGCAGGGTTCCCAGCTTTCTCCTCCTTCAGCTCAGCTTCTGGGTCTTCCCTCTGTTCACTCTTGGTGCCTTCCCTCTGAAGATCTATTAGGAGCATGCCAGTCATCTCAGTCCCTCGGTGGGAGCTGTTCCACTTAGCTGTGTCTAGTCAGCCTTCTTGCCCACCCCTAAAGATGATTTTGCACGTACAAATATTGACACTCAGTGGCTGGGCAGAAGTTCTCTCATTTTAAATATCAATTTGAATTGGTAGCCGAAGTTTAAGAATTTACTTCAGAACTGTTCCCTGGTCCTGCTTGCCTCTGTGCAGCACAGCTGGACCATACCCTACAGGTTTCCCACTTCCACTGCAAACACCTGGGAATGCCCTGTATCATTTCATTTAATCCTCTGAACACTGCATGGTCAGTGGTATTAGCTCAATCTTACACAAGAAAAAACTGAGGTTGGCCAGGCGCGGTGGCTCACGCCTGTAATTCCAGCACTTTGGGAGGCCGAGGCAGGCGGATCACAAGGTCAGGAGATTGAGACCATCTTGGCTAACACGGTGAAACGCCGTCTCTACTAAAAATACAAAAAATTAGCCGGGCGCGGTGGCGGGCGCCTGTAGTCCCAGCTACTCGGGAGGCTGAGGCAGGAGAATGGTGTGAACCTGGGAGGCGGAGCTTGCAGTGAGCCGAGATTGTGCCACTGCAGTCCGGCCTGGGCTAAAGAGCGGGACTCCGTCTCAAGAAAAAAAAAAAAAGAAAAAACTGAGGCACAGAGGCAAAATAACTTGTTCAAGGTCACAATCAGTATATGGTAGAATTAGAATTCAGTTTTTTGTCTATAAAACCATGTTCTTCCCACAAATGTTAAGGCAAAAATTGTTAACTGCCTACTCAAATAGTCATTCTCTGCTTCCTTCTCTGTAACAAAACACCTATTTTACTCAGGGTAGCATTATTCCCTATTGAAAGAATATATTTTCCATGCTCCCTTGCAGGCCAAGTCCTGGCCAGAGAGATAAAAATGGAAATGTTGCGTGGAAAATATTATGAAACCACAATACTAGTCCCAGGCTACCAACCTCTAGACTTTCACATGATGACAAAAAACAAGCAAACAGACAAAAATCTTATTTTGTTGTCTCAGATTTCAAAAATTATATATAGCCAAATAATCCTAACCAGCATGCCACATATGTCAGTATTTTACCACATTTTGTTCTTGAGATAGGATCTTGCTCTGTTGCCCAGGCTGAGGTACAGTAGCACAATCATAGCTTACTACAGGTACAAACTTCTGGGCTCAAGTGATCCTCCTACCTCAGCCTCCCAAGTAGCTGGGACTACAGGCACATGCTGCCACGCCTGGTTAATTAAAAAGTTGTGGGGGTTTTTTTGTAGAGATGGGGCCCCACTATGTAGCCCAGTCTGGTCTTCTGGTCTTGAACTCTTGGTCTTAAGTGACCCTCCCGCCTCAGCCTCCCAAAGTACTGGGATTATAGGCTCAAGCCACCATGCCCAGCCCTCACCATGTGTTTTTGTTGTTGTTGTTGTTTTTGAGACAGTCTCACTTATTGCCCAGGATGGAGTGCAGTAGTGCGATCACAGGCTCACTGCAGCCTCGACTTCCTGGGCTCAAGTGATCCTCCCACCACAGCCTCTTGAGTAGCTGGGGCAACAGGCACACACCACCATGCCAGGCTTTTTTTTTTTTTTTTTTTTTTTTTTTTTTTAGAAATGGAGTTCCACCATGTTATGCAGACTGGTTTTGAACTCCTGGGCTCAAGCGATCTGCCTGCCTTGTCCTCCCAAAATGCTGAGATTACAGGCATGTGCCACTGTGCCCAACCACCACATGGTTGGGTGTTTGTTTTTGTGTTTGCGTTGCACAATTTTCTAAAGCCAAATAATTCTGCTCATAATGGCCCATCGATTAGTAAAACAGCTGTCAGTGTCCAAATTATTAGCATTATCTTACAAAAAAAAAATAAACCCAGACCTGGCACGGTGGCTCAGGTCTGTAATTCCAGCACTTTGGGAGACTGAGGTAGCAGAATTGCTTGAGCATAAGAGTTCAGGGCTGCAGTGAGCTGTGATTGTGCCACTGCACTCCAGCCTGGGCAACAGAAAGACATCCTGTCTCTAAAAAAAATAAATAAATAGACCTATAGGTTCTATATTTTTTAAAAAAATACAGAATCCATGCTTGAGGATATCAAAGATATATTTAAAACTTTTCAGATACAATAACGATATTATGGTTGTTTTTAAAACTCTTGTCCTTTAATGATACATACTGGAATATTTCTGGATGAAGTTGTATGATGAGCCAGGTGCAGGCGCTCATATTTGTAATCCCAGCACTTTTGGAGGCCAAGGTGGGAGGACTGCTTGAGGCCAGGAGTTCAAGACCAGCCTGGGCAATAAAGCAAGACCCCCATCTCTAAAAAAAAGTTATTAAATTAAATTGAAATTTAAAAATTAAGAAAAAAATTGTATGATGTATGGGCCTTGCTTCAAAATAATACAGAATGGAGAAAATGGGGGGAATATAGATAAAATAAAATTGACCATGAGTTGATAATTATTGCAATTATTGACCGTGAGTTGATAATTGTTGCAATTATTGACCATGAATTGATAATTATGTGTACATAAAGTATCATTACACTATTTTGCTTTTATCTATGTTGACATTTTCTATAATATAATACAAAGTTAAATAAGATATAGCCAGAATCAAGAGCACTTCCCACAATCTCCAAACTTACTCCTATGGTACAAGTCACCTTTTCTCACCTGCAGTTTACCAGTAGTCTCCCTAGATGGTTTCATTTCTTCTGCCTTTGCCCCTTTATAATCTATTCTACAGGGCAGCAGAGTGACCATGTTAAAATATAAATCCAAATTGCTCCTCTACTCAAAACCCTCCAAGGGCTGCCATTTTACTCTAGGTGAAAACCAAAGTCCTTGCAATGGCCTCCAAGGTGCTGTGATCTATGCCAGTATCCCCCTCAAATCTCATCTATCCTTGCCCCATTCATTGATTTTGTTTCACCCATACCAGAATCCCTGATGCTCCTAGAGAACCAGGAATTCTTTTGCCTTAATGTCTGTGCACATTCTGTTCCCTCTGCCTAGAACATGTTTCATCAAGATTTGTATACTGTTCCCTTCCTCACTTCTTTCAGGTCTATTTTCAAATGACACATTATCAATGAAGCCTTCCCTTGACCACCATACATAAATTAGCAACACTCCACCATCATGACCTTTCCCTGGTTTGTTTTTTCTTTCTCACCCTCACTCAGGCTGGAGTGCCATGGCACAATCACTGCTCACTGCAGCCTTGACCTCCTCCTCAAGTGATCCTTCCACCTCAGCCTCCTGAGTAGCTGGGACTACAGGCATGCACCAGCATGCCAGCTAATTTTTTGTATTTTGTAGAGAAGGGATTTCGCCATATTGACCAGGCTGGTCTTGAACTCCTGGGCCCAAGCAATCTGCCCACCTTGGCCTCCAAAAGTGCTGGGATTACAGGTGTGAGCCACCATGCCTGGCCTTATTTTCTTCATAGTCATTATCACCACTTGATGTACTATACATTTCTTTATTTTCTACCCCTTCCATGCTATGATGCAAATTCCACAAAAGTACCTTTTTTTTATTTTGTTCACTGCTATAGTTCCAGTCACTAGAACACTACCTGGCGCATAATAATAGGTAACTGGCAAATAAATGAAGACAAGCATTGAGATCCTCATTTAACAAATGAGAAAACCGAGGTGAAAACAGGTTAAGTAACTTGTCCAAAATAATATAGGTACTTTGGCCTAAAGCCTTTGTACTCTTCATTCCCTTTGCTCAGAATATTTCCATGTTCAAAGCAGTGTCTTAATCTTTGCCTTGCCTCAAAATCTGTATGCATTGTACTTCAGGAGCTGAAAGTACTTCACAGGGTTACGATGAAGATTAAATATAAATATGAGCATCAGTAAACTTTGTAGAATGTCAGGCCTCATACAGTTTTTAATTCTTGTGGGTTCATCTCTAAGATCAAAGTCAGAAACACTGTTTCTCCAAGCTTATTTTGATCTAGATGTGAAAATGTAACCATTCTATGGCCCGAATAAATTCCAGGCATGAAAATACAGATAAGATGTCTTATATTATTAACATGTGTTTCTTGCAAGTAATGGAAATAAGATATTTCAGTTCCTGAAATGTACTACAGGTCTTGAACTATTCAGATGTGAGCACCTGGCCGAAAGTACACCCATGTGATTATGGTTTAACTATAGCTCGAGGTTTCATCTCTCAGTTGCAGATGCGTTTTGAGGTATATAGATAGCATATATCAATTATAGTCTGCCAGGTAGCAGACATGGAATAACTGAGTCAATTAGTAATAGTGATCCTCAATGTTTTTCAAAATACTGATTTCCAGTTTGCCAAAGAATTGTGTATCTGTAGTATTACACTGCCCATGTGAGAAGCACAATGATCTAAACATTTTGATATTTTAGGAATAAACTGTATTTATGCTTTTTTTCAGTGATCTGTAATGATTTTTATATGAATGAGCATTTTAAAATTATATGCAAGTTTGCAATTTGTCCCATTTAACTAGTGGAAAAACCAATGTGCAAGGCAAACTAACTTGTCCAAATTCCCTTAGTGGTTAAAACAAAGCAGAATGAAAAAACTTAAAGTGGCATTTGCCTGCCAGTCTTTGCTGCTATGACTTACAAGATCATATTGAGAGGTGACAGCATGCTGGCAGCCCGCGCAGCGTCGCTCGCTCTCGGTGCCTCCTCGGCCTCGCCGTCCATTCTGGCCGCGCTTGAGGAGCCCTTCAGCCCGCCGCTGCACCATGGGAGCCCTTCTCTGGGCTGGCCGAGGCCGGAGCCGGCTCCCTGGGCTTGCGGGGAGGTGTGGAGGGAGAGGGACAGGCGGGAACCGGGGCTGCACGCGGCGCTTGCGTGCCAGCTAGAGTTCCGGGTGGGCGTGGACTTGGCGGGCCCCGCACTGGGAGCGGCCCGCCGGCCCTGCCGGCCCGTGCAGTAAGGGGTTTAGCACCCGGGCCAGCAGCTGCGGAGGGTGCGCCGGGTCCCCCAGCAGTGCTGGCCCACCGGCGCTGCGCTCGATTTTTCGCCGGGCCTTAGCTGCCTCCCCGCGGGGTAGGGCTCGGGAGCGGCAGCCCGCCATGCCTGAGTCTCCCCCTCACCACCGTGGGCTCCTGCGCGGCCTGAGCCTCCCTTACCAGCGCCGCCCCATGCTCCAAGGCGCCCGGTCCCATCGACCGCCCAAGGGCTGAGGAGTCCGGGCAGGCTCACGGCGCGGGACTGTAAGGCAGCTCCACCTGCGCCCCGGTGGCAGATCCACTGGGTGAAGCCAGCTGGGCTCCTGAGTCTAGTGGGGACCTGAGTCTAGAACCTTTATGCCTAGCTGGGGGATAGTAAACACACCAATCAGCACCGTGTGTCTAGCTCAGGTTTGTGGATGCACCAAACAGCACTCTGTATCTAGCTAATCTGGTGGGGACTTGGAGAACCTTTATGTCTAGCTAAGGGATTGTAAATGCACCCATCAGCACTGTGTCTAGCTCAAGGTTTGTAAATGCACCAATCAGTGCTCTGTGTCTAGCTGATCTGGTGGGGACTTGGAGAACCTTTAAGTCTAGATAAGGGATTGTGAATATACCAATTGGCACTCTGCATCTAGCTAATCTAGTGGGGACCTGGAGAACTTTTGTGTCCAGCTCAGGGATTGTAAACGCACCAATCAGCACCCTGTCAAAATGGACCAATCAGCTCTCTGTAAAACAGACCAGTCGGCTCTCTGTAAAATGGACCAATCAGCAGGATGTGGGTGGGGCCAGATGAGAGAATAAAAGCAGGCTGCCGGAGCCAGCAGTGGCAAGCTGCTGAGGTTACCTTCCACACTGTGTAGGTTTTATTCTTTGGCTCTTTGCAATAAATCTTGCTGCTGCTCGCTTTTTTTGGTCCACACTGCTTTTATGAGCTGTAACACTCACCTCAAAGGTCTGCAGCTTCACTCCTGAGCCAGCTAGACCACAAACCCACCAGAAGGAACAAACTCCGGACACGGCGCCTTTAAGAACTGTAGCACTCACCGCAAGCCTCCGTGGTTTCATTCTTGAAGTCAGTAAGACCAAGAACCCACCAATTCTGGACACAATATGAGAATGATATAAAAT
Organism: Homo sapiens; assembly: GCF_000001405.40. NCBI lineage: Eukaryota > Metazoa > Chordata > Mammalia > Primates > Hominidae > Homo > Homo sapiens. Next base: position 82,971,953 of record NC_000011.10, read on the forward strand.
TGCAAGTATCTGGCTGTTTTTGACTTATAAGAATGCCAATTCCATGTGGTTCAAACTAATATTAATAATGGAACAGGTAAAAACCATGACACGTGTGAATTTAGAAAAGAAATTTCTGCAAACACATTCTTTTAGTGAAGGTGCTAAAATAGCAAAATTAAGAGCCTCCTACCAACTGCAGATAAGCTGACATAGGACAATAACAAAATTATAGCAGATGATTTTCAAAGCCCAATACTTTATAAATACCAAATAATAGTGGCAGAAAGGGTTACAGTTTGCCTATGTTCAATTAACTAAAGAACACTATGCCAGAGAGCCCAAGGTCAAAGGTTTGACCCCTTTGTCATCCTGTTAACTCTATCATGTTTCATGACCTACTGTACTCTTAGTCCAGGACATTCATCTCTGAAATGCACGCCCAAGGCAGAGGGTGAGAGGTAAGGATTGGAGTGGAAATGAATTTCAAGAAAAGGTACAAATCTATGACTTTTGCAGTGGAGATGGGGGCATCTAAAAGGCAGACTCTTGTGCCTGCCCTATGGTACATGTTCAATAAGTGGTGAATAAATGGATGGGTGAAGGAGTGAATGTCCTGCTAGTGATGAGTAATCTCATTACTAATTTTGTAGAAAATCTCTAGTAATATCACGTAATGTGTTTTAGCTGGAAGGGACCTTGAAGCTATCTAATCTGGTGTCCACATTTTGATAGTTGGGAAAAATAAAGTTTAAAATGAAATGACTAACCTAAAGTCACACTGACTGGGACTAGAATTTATGGCTTCTCAATGTCAGAACTGGGACTAGAATTTGTGGTTCCTAGTTCTCAGTGTAATACTCCTTCCAATATATATGATAGGATAAAGGATCTTTCTCACCAATAGAAATAATTAGCATGTAATTTTCACATCCTGAAATAGCAGAGTAGTCTCGTTTAGTGTTTATAATCGGAGGAGGCCTTAAAGATTATCTAATCTAGCCCCTTGTTTTATAAAGTAGAAAACCATAGTGCAAATGTTAAATGACTTGTCCAAAGTTAGCCAGTTAGAAAATCAACATTTAACTCAGGTCTCCAGATCCCCCAGATCCAGGGCACATTTTGCACCGTGCTGAAAGACATTAGTACACTTAAAGTTTGTTTGCTTTTTACATATTTTGATGGCATATGATTCTCCAAATGTGGGCAACAGGAAATGTTTATTTATATACAAGTACATGGGAAAGCAATTTCCATTTAGTTTTTTTAAAAAATTGTTACAAATAAAAAGTTTTTAATACATTCATCCTTTGCACACAAAATACATTCTTTTTCTTTTACTCTCAGTATGAATTATTTCTTAATAATAGAAAACATAGGCTACAATGAATGGACAGTCATATGGTTTGGTGATTTGACAAACTTTTTTCAAGAAGCAAAGTCCAATTTTAAAAGACAGACAATATATAAAATAACTTACATATTTAAAATGCTACTTCATTGAATCCTAAAAGATTGAATGAGTACTCTTATCCAGCATGATTTGTAGTTGTCCTTTAAACAATGCAGAGGACAAGAAATCCTCTATGTGATGGCAACTCAATTTCTACAAGACTGAAACAGTCTTCATGAAATTGATTGCTTATCACATCTAAATGACAGGCTCATAGAAAAATTCTTATGGATGTATTGGGGAGTTAGTCTTTATTCAGAGGTCTCCTAATTGATCAATTAAACTAAGATCGTAAGTTGCACTCTCCAAACAGGATTGCAAGAGGTTCTACGTAAATAAACATAAATGATTTGATTTGATTTGTCAGACTAATTGTTTTTAAGAGAGATGTGAAAACATACACCCATACAAAAAACTTTTACATAAATGTTCACAGCAGCATTATTATAATCAAAAGGTGGAAAAAACCCAAATGTCCATCAAATGATAAATGGACAAATAAAATGTGGCATATACATGCAATGGAATATTATTTAAACATGAAAACAATGTACTGATTTATGCTACAACATGGATGAGCTTTAAAAACATTATGCTTACTTAGAGAAGCCAGACACAAAAGGCCACATGTTGTTTGACTATATGAAATGTCCAGGATAGGCAAATTCATAGGGACAGAAAGTAGATTAGTGGTTGCCGGATGCTGGGGGAAGGAGGAGGAGGAGTGATTGCAAATGGTATGGGGTTTCTTTTGGAGGTGATGAAAGTGTTCTGAAGTTAGGGAGTGGTGATGTTGCACAACTTAGTGAATATGATTAAAAACATTGAAGTTTACACCTTAATAGGATAAACCGTATGGTGCATGAATGATATCTTAATTTTAAAAAGAGATGCAACTTCATTTAAGAATATTTTGTTCAAGTTTGTATTCCCTCCCCACTTCCCTTTTTTAATGTTGATTGAATTTTTCATACAATCACCTTTCTACAGAAGGTTTTCAGCTAATTGGACTCGGGTCATCAGTGGGTTATATTTCTAACAGGCTTTTTGTTAAGTAAAAAGATCAATATATGAACACATAAAATATGATGTAGTATACTGTTAATATTTGCATATTAACATTTAAAATCAAGTACTATTCTTATATTGAAGTTGGTTAGATTTTATATAACGCTGTATACAAATAATACTGATATCCTATGCTTAAAACCAATAGCCAAATATCAAGAATCGAGTTCATAAAACTCAGTGATTAACCTGTTTATTAGTTAAAACTATGTATGTATTAATATTAAAGATCCATGTTTCAATGGAGTGATAGGAAATGTGGGGGAGATCAAGGATTCTCTAAGTCTTCATAAAGCAGCTTCTCTAAATATTTTAACTAGCTGCTGAGATCTCCAGAATTATATATTTTGCATTTTATTTCATCTCTATACTAAAAGTCATGCATTAAAAGTGTGTACAAGATATATGGGGCACACTTTTCCCTTCAGATTATCAAAAACCTCTTTTTACTCCTGTATTATCTGAAATTTTGAGCAGAGTTTGTTGTTTTTTCTTTTTTTTTTTTTTTTTGCTGAAAACAGAAATTTTGCTCACGAGTTAGTTCAAATACATTTATGTAGCTCCCTTATATACTATCAAAGGAGCTCCAACCATCTGGTATGTCTGGAAGACACTTCAGTGAGTAGAAATTAGAAGCCAGCATTTGAAATTTTCTATCACAGGGACATGAAAGCCTAAACCGGCCTTAAAGGGATAAGAGGATTTTACATTTTTAAAAAATAAATCAATTAACATTCATTGTCAAATAACCTACAAGAAAGTTCCACTAGCATTCTGCAATTGTATAGAATAAGAGAATATTTGTTGCTAATGATTACATTCCAGAAAGCAATATGTTTAGCAGCTGTTTTTCAAAAGACTTGTCAAGTTTTACTATTGTTATTTAATCCAGGCATAAATGTGTAACCTTAAACAAAAACTGTGCATTATTCAACCAGCTAGTGACAAATTATCTTAACAAAGTAGATTATCTTTTGCTTTTCTGTACATGAATTTTTTCTTTATTAGGCATTTTGTATTCCAATTTTTGTTTTAGAATTTAGTGCACACGTAGAAAGGGGAAGAAACGCTTTTGGATGTTGGTAATTATGTACATCAAATAATGTCATATATGAAATTAAAAGCAGATCACAAAACCGAGATTCATGCCTCCATTTTTACCAAGGGGAGGAAACAAGAGCCATACAGCCAGAATAATTCTTCAGAAGCACACTTTGTTATCAATTATGTAACTAAAGAATCAAAGTATGTATATATAACTGAAGAGTTAATCAACAGTAAGACCGTGATCTACATCTGATACCAATAAGAAGCTAAGAGTAATAAATACCTATCCTGACATTCACTAAGTAAATAATGACTATCATTTTAATAATCATTATTTTTTCTGACTGTTATTTTTTTTAAATAGGCAAAAGAGCAATAATAAATGGCAAATGTGGCTCCTTAAAAAGAAGATAGGGATCAACCCAGTTTTCTTCCCATGAAGAATAGGAACAAGAAGAAAGAGGTTTAAATTGCTCTGTGAGGTATTTCAGTTCTAAGATTAAGCTTCCTGATAATGAGTTTACAACCCTGGAATTGCCTATTGGGAGAGAGAGAGAGACCACCTTGCCTGAAGTTTGTAAAGAAATGGAGGGTGACAGTAGTAATGCCCAAAGGCAAAAGGATGGATCAGACAAATGAATTCCTTTTAAGGCACCCTTTCAGAAATGGAGTTCTTTTCTTTGAAGCCAGGAAAGTTTCTTTGTTTTGTCTCTTAAGGATCTACACTTGGCATCAGACCATTCAAAGTCTGCTCTTAATTAAAGTGAAAAAGAACTAATATTTGAGTGCTAACTGTTTACCAAGCACTGTACTTTCAACTTATCTCATCTAATTTTCACAATAATCCTGACAGGTCTATCTCATAGATGAGAAGATTGATGCTCAAATATTGTGCTTCGTCTAAAGTCTCAGCTAATTTGTGGCATACTAGAACTCCTCACACCTAAACTAGTGTTTCCCCTTCTATATAACTCCCCACATCACTCTCCAAAGTGTCAAAGTCAGCAACCACCACCGATTCCGTCAGGAACTAGAACACAGCATCTCCAAAAATTCTGCTTTAAATCAATGGAAAAGTAAAATTTTGGCTCATACCTCAAGAAGTCAAAGAAGTGGTGACTAGCCTTTGTGCTCTGACCTCTTGTCCAAAGGAGTCCAAGAAAGTCTCAATCAAACTCAAATAGATTTGTCACCATACAGATTTAAGACCAATGACTTAAAAAAACAAAACAAAACCATAAAAAAAGACCAATGAAGAGCCGTCTATCAGCCTTGCAAGGGTGAAAGTTATTTTGCAGGTGGAATAATTTGGGCCATAGGCTTCAATAGCAAAAATTGCTTACAGTTACCTCTAATTTGCAAGTCAAAAATACTTGTTTTTATTGCTTTCCACATAAAGCAATTTGACCTCAGTTCTTTTAAACTCATGTATTCTCAAGAGAATCAAACCAACTAAGGAAATGTCATTGATACTTTTCTAAAATAGATCTTGTGGACTGCTTTATGTCAGTGACCCACCAGCCCATCTCTCTTGGGAGTTGGTCTGTTTGTGAGAACTTTAACAGAAGATTCTGCTCTGTTAAAAAGGCCTATCCTAAAATCTTGAAAGAGACACCCATTATTTATTAAACAGAGCAAGGCCTATGTTTAGCAAGTGATAAATGAATATACTTCATGTAACTTCTACTAAAACAATACCTTTTGATTCAACAGGACATCAATGAATGGACCGACAAAGCAAGTCCAGCATAGGGCATAATGGAGGGCCAGTCTCTTGGCCTAACAACGTGCAACCAACCTCTTCCCTGAAAGATAAAGGTGGGATGCACTTGTGGCAGAAGAACGAGGCCCCATTAAAAAAATCATTAGCTATGAATTAACAGATATTTAATTGAACATGTTATGAGAGGCAAAGTACTACATACAACATGGAATTTAGGTTAATAGGTCACCTGCTCCAATCTCCAACCAATTGGATCCTCTCCACATCTTTGCCTCTTGACAGAGGCTATTACCTGAGGCAGACTGTCCCATAGTGAACCAACTTTTTGAGAATGGTCGCCCTGACATGGAACCCAAATCTGTGTCCCTACGGCCTCATTCAGTAGGCCTCATTCCACCCCTCTGAACCACAGAGCATCTTGTTCTAATGCACTAATTGTATTCCCCTCTTTTTCCTAACCTAAGTCTCCCCAAATCCTTCAAGTATTCTTTAAATGGCTTGCATTTAAAATTCCTTCATCAGACTGGTAATGCCTCAATTTGTTTTTAATTTCAAAGTATGGCTCCTGGAAATGATAATAACATTCCAACATCAAGGGACTGAGGAGAGGAGATGAAATGCCATCTCCCTTACTCTAATGTTGCTATATTAATATGTGTTTTGAAGGGATGATAATTTCTTAATTCAGTATGAAAAAATTACCAGTGTGAAGAATGTAAAGGAAGGCATCTTTCCTTCCAAACGCAAATAGGCTCATGCCACAGAAATGAAATCCAAAAAGAAAGTAAAGAAAACATATCCCTCCCTTATCCCAAAATTAGTGTTTAACCATGCTGCTTAAATGGAACACATTTTGTCTGAAGGATGAGAAGCAAATGTTGTTTCACAGCTTTTAATTCTTTAGCGAAGTCTCAAAAGTATCATAGTATAAACATGTCAGGACCATGGTTGAGAAAAGTAACCAGTTGCAGTTAAAACAACAACAACAACAACAAAAAATTTTGGAAAAAAAGGAATGGCAAACTCTAGAAGATCTCTCCCAGAGGCTAATAGAGCAATGATCCCTAAGTACTCATTACTATGAAATACAGAGTTCTACAAGATTAAGAAATAAAAAAGACATTAGATTTTTGCCCTAAATGACAGGTAATAAATCTAAACTTAGGAACATTTCCTCACAGTTCAAAAAGTTCTGCCCACCTTGATTAACTTGTTTTCTGAATACCTTTAGTTGCTGGCTTAGTGGAGAAGGCCATTGGTTTGATATGCAAAAAAAAAAAAAAAGATTTTTTTCTGATTGTGCTATTTCATTCATGTGGCTTGGCTTAAAAGAAGATGTTTCACTTTAGTAGGAAGACCAATTCAAACATCATTTACAACTGACGTTTATTCAGTATGAGTCATGAACTGAAACTTGGTGTGGGATCTGGTGGAATTATGGGCTAGCTTAAAGGGTAATGTGGCAAATCATTGGCCTAATTCTGTGGGAATCACCAGTGTCCTCCCAAGGCATATATTCATGAATGAAAGAAGATAAGAACCCAGTCCTTTGCTAAATCTGGCGTCTCTGGCCAAATCTAAACGGCTTAAATAATCCTCATCCAAATATCTTATTTTGGCCAATCGTTTCTACCTTCCTTATAAACTCTAAATCAGAACTTGACACATTGTCAAATCAACCCATTTAACTTTCATTTTTAGTTTTCTTGCCACTTTACTCAGGGAGAGATAAAAACGTGAAATGATTAAAAGACCGAGAAAAAGAAAGGCCAGGAAGAACCCATGGCCTAATCTAAGTAATCCATCAAAAAAGATAATTGGCCCTGTAAATTCAAAAAATATTAATATAATTCAACAGATTTAATAAAAGCACACAAAGGGAGAAAAAGCCTTCTATGGGCAAAGAAGCACAAAATCCTTTGAGGATGTAGTCTATACAAAGCCATAAGAAAATATCATTATCAGCAAACTATTATTTCATAGATTTTCCCAAGCCTGACTCCATGACATGAGTATCATGCATTTTCACTGGAAACTGAAAAAAGTTTTGCCATATATTTAATAACTTTATTGAATGAAGAAAAAGATCACACCAAAAATGGAGGAATACATCAACCCTGGTGGTCTTAGTAGACCGAGCCAAATTAAACTATATGATAAAGCAATTTCTCTTTTTTCATCCACCACTAAATGAGAGTTCATTTTTATCTAAAGAAGGCTCATCTTAGCAAATATTGCCATGACAATAAGACTGTTAGGCAAACCAATAAATTTAGGTTCTGGCCTGGGTTAAGATGACTGTATTTAGTGTCCTTTCTCAAGTTCTACTTGAAGGAATTTCTGTTTAATCAAAAAAAGCTCCCCCAACCACTACCACCCCACCTTGGCACTTAAATGTTTATTTGACTAATATTTATTGCACCTACAATATTGTCAGGGATTGTTTTCAAACTTCAGATATATTAGTAGACAAGTATCCATAAGGCCTAATCTGGAATTCATACAACTAAGAAAAAAAGAAACAAAGTCCCACATTCTCATGTGTTCCTGCTGATGGGCTGTGGATGGGTAAGTTATGGAAAGGCTGGGAGGAGCAACAAGGAAGATAGAGGCCAAGACCAGAGCTTTTTAATCCCCTTCTGAGTCTGGCCAAGGGTATATAGAGAAGGCTAAACCCTAGGGAATAATACAAGTGTGACCCTAAAAGGTATTATTTTGCAACTAAATCAGTCCAATCTAACACAGCCATTTCCTCTAAGTTCACAAAGCAACTTTATTTTCAACACACTTGCAACTGTGAGACAAAGTTGGGTCATCATGTGCTGGGGACACTGGATTTTTGCCCTAAATGACAGGTAATAAATCTAAACTTAGGAACATTTTCTTACAGTTTAAAAAAAATTCTTCTGCCCTCCTTGATTAACTTGTTTTCTGAATACATTTAGTTGCTGGCTTAGTGGAGAGGATGGGGAGGGAAAGGCAACAATTATTATAAATTATTTTGGTTTTTATTAAAATGACTTTTCTTTCCTGCAGAGACAGATTCTAAAAGAAAAACAAGTCAAACTTCTGGGATGCCTTTCTCTTTCCCACAGGATCAGGAAAAACACAGTGAGGCCAACCAAAAGTATCAGCCCCTTAAAAAATATGCATAATCTCATGTGCAAGACACTGGTCAATCTAGAACCTGCTAGAGAAATGCCAGAAATGCTTTATCCACATCATGTCTCTACATGACTAATTTCTTTACAATTAAATAGCTTTCAAACATCAACATATCAGAACTGAGATTGTCACCATCTACAGCAACAGTGGAATTACACATCATATCCTTATTCCATTACTCATCCCTCAGTTATGCTAAGCAGCAAGCTACAGAAACATCTGACAGCATCAACAGCATACAGGTTTAATTATTTTCCCAATTTGCATTTATATCAGTGAACAAATTGGAAGCTATCAAAGTATGGCACTGAAGAAAAAGAAACACATATTCAGCAGCACATCTCCCATTTTGAGTCCTGTTTTTAAATTGGCTAAGTAAAGGCATATACACCTCCATTTGAATTGGAGATTTGCAGTAACACAGGCATATAAGGATGGGAGGGAAGGAGGGAGGGAGGGAGGGAAGAAGAAAAGGAGAGACCAGAAAAATAGAGAGGAAAAGAGAAAGAAAAAAGAAAGAACATATGGTTAAGCGTCTGAAGGTAACATTATTACAAGAAGGAGGGGATAAATGACAGTTCAATCTGCTTCCACGAGCAGAATTTTTCTAAGGTTATCATCGAAGATATAAAAATGGGTCGTGAGACTTTTCATCTGTTGCTATTCTCACTTATCATACTAAAAAATCTACAAAATCCTAAGCCTTGGTCTGTCCAAGATGGAGAGTACCAGGAAGTAAAAGATGTGACCTACTATCAAGGACTGTGCTCTGCTAGGAGCCCTGCACTACAGTCCATTAATCCACAGTATTTTGGTCATATCTGGTCTGTTTCCTCATACTACTCAAAATGTGTTAGAGCTAAGTTTTTATATTAGAATGTCATCAACCATTTGTTTATTTTTTTCATTTTGCAAACGTTTTCATTTACATAAAGGGCTGGAGAGACAAGAAAGTGGTAGAGATTCAGAGGGGAACATAAAAGGAAAAGTATTCTCTTTTCCCAAAAATCCACCTTTAAAAAGGTAGTAATGAGACTTTGAGAAAGAGTGCTGATTCATGGACTTCCCCCATTTTTTTATTTCTATATAACACATTTAAGGACATTAATGTACTAAAACGTTTGGTCTGTGAAATAGCGGAATCATTAGCACCAAAAGGAGTTATGGAGCTTGTATATATTATTAAAACAATGATTGTTACTGTTGGTCATGGGTAAAGGTTTCATTTCATTTTTACATCCCAAAGTTCTTGAAAGTGCCTGTGGACAAGAGAAATAACACTTTTCAAAATCTCCATGGGGTCGTCAATACGCACCACAGAGACTGTACTTGGCCTTCCCAGTTTTGGTTTATCTGGTAGACAAGAAAACCAGGGCCCCCAGATGATTACCACCGAAGCCCTAAAGAAGAGTTCCCACATGCACCCACTGATGTGCAGGAGGGATCCCTACAGTACATTTCCCCCCGGACTCTGTTTAGGAATGCGCTTTTACTTGCTTTTTAAAAAAACAAAAGCAACATGCTCTGCAGATCATGGAGTGCCTAGTGCAATTTTCTCCTTGCTCCAACTCCAGACTGGAAAAGGGTGAAACCATTATATGTTCTGCTAATGCTGGCCTGTGGTCGAGGCCCTTGGCCTGCCATGCTTTGTAAGCTCAGGAGCCCACAGGAGTCAGAAGGTCAGAGAGCGGGAGCCACAGTCATCGCCAGATCTCCCCAGCATCTCATGGCCCATCAGGGCAGTTGCTGATTCCTTTTCTTCTCCGTGCCTCAGCCTTTAGTTGAAATTACAACAAGTCAAATAGCTGATGCTTTTCCCTTCTCCAGGTAAGGGTGAGGATACATTGTTCACAAGTGTGTTCTGTCTGGCTTCACTGATGAGTCGGCATGCTAAGTCAAGGAAGAGTTTCTCCACATTATCAGATTCCTTGGCTGAGGTCTCCAGATAATACATGTCCTGAGCTTCTGAGAATTCTTCAGCTCGCTGCTGGGAAACCTCTCTCCTTTCAGCCAGGTCAATCTTGTTGCCTATAACAGTAGTAAAATCAAATAAAGAATCAGCATTTGACTTTTTGCAGGCTGAGAAGCATCAAAATTCAACTCCATATCTGAAGTCAAGCCAGACAGATGGGCGAGTAAAACAAAACAAATGTGACTGTGATTACTGAAATGTTTACTTTAAAATATGAGTGCCAGCTGGGCGCAGTGGCTCACACCTGTAATCCCAGCACTTTAGGAGGCCAAGGCGGGTGGATCACCAGGTCAGGAGTTCGAGACTAGCCTGGCCAATATGGTGAAACCCCGTCTCTACTAAAAATACAAAAATTAGCCAGGTGTGGTGGCACGCACCTGTAGTCCCAGCTACTTGGGAGGCTGAGGCAGAAGAATCGCTTGAACCCCAGAGGCAGAGGTTGCAGTGAGTCGAGATCATGCCACTGCACTCTAGCTTGGGTGACAGAGTGAGACTCTGTCTCAAAAAAAATAAATAAATAAAAAATGAGTGCCATTCATAATGGCAAGAACTGGAGACAACCCAAATGTCCATCGGTAGGGCACTGACTGAATAAAGTATGGCACATCCACCCAATGGAGTATTTGCTGCCATAAAAATCAATTAGGAGTATTTCTATATACTGCCATGTAATGGAAACACTGGGATATACTGTTAACCAAAAAAAAAGCGAAGCAGAAAAAAAAAGCATATACAATACGCAACTGTCTATCCAAGAAAAAGGGAAGGATATGAATACATATATTATACACACATTTTATTTATTTTTTTAATAGAAGACTAGACCAAAATCTTAATTTAAAAGAAAATGGTTACCTATGAAAGGAACAGGGTTGAGGTGAAAGGAATAGAAACCAGACCTCTCTGAATATACTTTGTTTTGTAGATTTTACTTTAGGAACTTAAAAATGCTTTATATAATTATACAATTAATTTCAAAATTAAATTTAAAAAGCAATCCCTAAAAACTGAGAGCAAAATTAAACAAATGAACATGTTCATCATGTGTGGAATAACCACACAGACCGTAACCCTTTTTTTCTTTTAACTGAGACAAGGTCTGGCTCTATTGCCCAGGCTGGAGGGCAGTGGCGCGATCCTGACTTGCTGCAACTCCACCTCCTGGGCTCAAGCCATCTTCTCCCACCTCAGCCTCCCAAGTAGCTGGGACTACAGGCAGGCACTACCATGCCCAGCTAATTTTTTTTTTTTATTTTTTGCAGAGACAGAGTTTCGCCACGTCCAGGCTGGTCTTGAACTTGTGAGCTTAAGCGATCCACCTGCCTCGGCCTCCAGAAGTGCTGGGATTACACGCAATTGAGCCACCGAGCCGGGCCAACAGAGTAACTATTTCAAGGTGCTTAAGATACAGTAATTTAACAGTGCAACCCCAGTGGTATATAGCCTAAGGACAAAAAGAATTGAAGGAAACAATCTTGAACTGTTTCAGTAATCATCTTTTTGGTGGTACTGTTGGTATTATTATTCTGAGGTTGCTATCTGTGTATTATGGGATAAAGCAAATGAGTAATTATGCTGGTACCATTGGGAACTGGGACTTTTGGCATAGGAAAAAGGAAATATAAATATAAAATTAATGTGGTTAAGTAAAATTTCTGCAGTCCTGAATTATAAATAGAAGTATCAGTATGAATAATTCATGATGTATTTTATCTTTAAAAAGTTTTCCACCTACCTCAAATTCTCCAGGAAACCTGACAAAGGTGTGTCAATTGTATTATCTGGCAACACCGCTTATGGTAAAAATGACCCCTGATTGATAAATGACTTCTGGCCTGGGAATTCTATCTAAGAATTATAAATACCTAATGGAAAGCCATAACTTTGAGCTTCCCTGAATGTGGTGACTTCATTTGAAGAGACCCTGGAAGTTATGATTGTGGAGTTGTTATAATAGATTTAGTCTCCTATGGGGTATTGAGGCTGCTAGGCCAAGGCAGATCCTCCATCTGTTTGACATGAGCCTTGTTCCCTCATACTAGAATCGTCTGGGGGTTGCGGACTGGGTAGGAGGTCCTGGAAAATTACGTGGACTGCTACTGGGATTACTTCCACTGAAGAGGGTTGCCGGATGCTGATCTGCTGTCAAGCTGTATTTCCTGTCCTGTGTCCTTCTAAGTGAACACGATGCCACGCGTGGTCTACGGTAGTCTTGTGAGTCGGAACGCTAGCAGAACCTAATAGGAAAACTCTCTTGAGGATACTACAGAATCCACCACACACATGCACACATACACACAAGCTCTGTCCACTGAAAGGCCTAAAAACAATGGCCCATCAGGAGGGCTCCTAACACCTCGGTTGTGGCCTCTAAATACGACTTCCCATTGAAAAGAAAGCACTTCTTGAAGAAATGGCTAATTCCAGGTCTGGGGCAGGAAATGCACAAGTTGTGGCTGGAACACTTGTCATACCAGAAAGCAAAAAAATTATCCAACATTCCTGGGGTCATGTCAAAAGGACTCAGGAGCCCATTTGAAGAAGCTCCCACTGGCAAAGTCGGAACAATGGGAGCATCAATAATAATAATTGCAAGGGACTGAAATACATCAAATTTACTTATTTAGTTAGTTTTTGAGACAGAGTCTCGCTCTGTTGCCCAGGCTGGAGTGCAGTGGTGCAATCTCGGCTCACTGTATCCTGTGTCTCCCAGGTTCAAGAGATTCTCCTGCCTTGGCCTCCCGCTGGGATTACAGGCATGCTTGGCTAATTTTTTGTATATTTTAGTAGAGATGGGGTTTCACCATGTTGCCCAGGCTGGTCTCAAACTCCCGACCTCAAGTGATCCACCCGCCTCAGCCTCCCAAAGTGTTGGGATTACAGGCATGAGTCACCATGCCCAGCCCATCAAATCTATTTAAATCTATAAATTTATAATAATATTACAAATATAAACAGATGTCAATAGTTAACTTTTAGAAGATACTGGAGAACCAGCTTATTACCTTGAAAAGTGGTGAACAAAAAAGAATCAAGCATTCTTCCTGCCTGTTCTATGAGAACTACCCCTCAGAGTATGATATATGTAGTGTTTTGTCTAAAAAGAAAACCAAAAAAATCCTGACTCTCATCAGGCCTCTAGACTTATCTATAAATCTGCAAGAAATATAGGTGATGGAGGTGATATCAAATGACACCTTGGGGCGATAAAACAAAATTTAGACTTGTAAAGCCTATAGGTCAAACAAATGCATTAGCAAAAAATTCTAAGAGAGAAAAAAAATGAGAGTGGAAACTTCATAAAAAAGGATGAAAAGATGTAGCTGTCAATTACAACATATGGACCTTACTTGGCTTTTTTTTTTTTTTTTTTTAAAGAGTCTGGCTCTGTCACCCAGGCTGAATGCAGTGGTGTGATCATAGCTCCCTGCAGCCTTCAACTTCTGGGCTCAGGTGATCCTCCTGCTTCAGCTTCCTGAGTAGCTGGGACCACAGGTAGATGCCATCATGCCTGGCTAATCTCGCTACATTGCCCAGGCTGGTCAGAACTGCTGGGCTCAAGCAATCCTCCTGCCTCAGCTTCCCAGAACACTGAGATTACAGGTGTGAGCCACCATGCCCGGCTTCTGGACCTTATTTGGATCTTAATTTGAACAAACAAACGAAAAAAAATCATGAGTCGATCAGGGAAATTTGAACACTGTCTAAGTTTTTAAGGATACTAAGGAATTGTTAACATATTTTAGGTGTAAAAATGCCACTGAGGTTAGGTTTTCTTTTTAAAAATCTATTAGAGATATACACAGATATTGAAACATGAATTAATACAACCTCTGAGATTTGCTTCAAAATAATCTGAGGGAGAAGGTGGACAGCATTGCTAGGGAAGAGAAAATAAGATTGGTCATGAGTTGGTAACTGTGAAAGCTGGGAGATGTGTAGAAGGGGATTCACTATACTGTTTCTCTACTCTTGTTTATGTCTGAAATTTTCCATAGTAAAATTGTGTTTTAAGCCAATTCCTCTTTCATATTGAACTAACTGTCTCCCCTCAAATCTTCATTTACCTTCCTTAGATAAAATCCCAAGTAGTAATGCTTTGACTCAAGTTCCCAAAGGCTTTCTGTAAAACAGAAGGTACAAATGCAGACCTCTCAAATGCTTTATGGCAAAGGTTCAACATTGTCCAAAAGGGTTTTACAGGGAGCACTAGCTCATAGAAACACAGATGCTTCATCCAGCAGCCTGAAGGAAAAGTCCAGCAATTTGTTACAACGTAACATATTACAGCTGGACAACTACAGGGCTTGGAGTTGATCTTACATGCTATGTGACCTTGGGAAAAGAACTTCACCTCTTTGAGCCGTGGTTTCCTGATCTGTAAATCAGGGATCATGACACATAAAGTTCCTCGTATCATTCCTGGCACATATATACCAATTATAACACTATTCTAAAGTGTTTACTGAGCTTATTATTAACCATAATTTGTAACTTAACAATGCTTCTAAGGATCTCTACTCAAATTTCCCTAATTCAGGTATTGCTAGACTATATAGGAACGTTCCTTTCTAGGAAGAAAATATGTTAATGATCAAATGGTTACTAACACTTTTCCACTACAAACAGAGAAGTTTTTAATGACCTGGTCCATTTCAATGCATATATCAGTCATGATAGAAAATCAAGGGTTGTTTTGTGCTTTCCCCCCATACTAAATAGAGGTTTTATTCTCCTACAAGATGAAACAAACTACAGCATTGCCCTTAGCAGATTCTTTCTGAAACACAGAATTTCTCAAATCAGCCTAAATGTTAGGAAGGGAAAAAAAATTACCAAAATCCACCTTTTAGGCAATAAACAATTGCTTCAATAATGAATTCCATATCAACTTAAAAGATACATTTTTCTTCTAGAACAGCCATTCCTTTCATCTTGTAATTAGACTTTTTAAATTTTTAGCAGCTCACATAACTTTCATGGCCATCCAACTTCTTCCCTAGAGCCTACATTGATAGAAAATGTTTTCTACTTTATTTTTCTAAACTGTCACCATGGGATAGGACCTATTTCATTTTCTCTTCAATTGCAGAAGAACTGAAGGTTGACTGCATGAATTATTAGCTAAAGACTATATTCTTGGAAGGCACCAATGTATAAGCTTTATGTGATTATAAATCCTCTAATGCCCACAAATCAATTTCCCTCCTCGTTAGCCCTTACTTACCCACTAACACAGTGATGACCTTGTTGCTGGCATATTGTTCTATCTCCCGCAGCCACTCAGGAAGGCAACGGAAGGATTCCTCACAGGTAATGTCATAGGTGAGGATCAAGGCATTGGCGCTTCGGTAGTAACTCTGGGTAATGGACCGAAATCTCTCTTGACCTGCTGTGTCCCAGATCTGTAGCTGTAAAGGCATAAGATAAGAATCAGGTGAAGAAGGATCAGGTTGGAGAAAAAAAGAAAAAAAAAGCTTTGCCTTGCTTTGGTTTGAAAATGGGTACACCTTTACCCAAACAATTTCATGGTTATTTTCTGCCCTAAAAAAAAAAAAAAAAAAAAAAAAAAAAGCACTGAAAATTAAAAAAAAAAAAATCTGTTGGGTGTGTTTCTGGTTAGGGAGAGGGGCTTATTTTGTTTTGTTTTGTTTTTTCTTTGTTAAGAGTTTCCTTTTCATTCTTAAAAAAATACATATAGGAAATTCGTCAAGCATTTATTATGTGCCAAGCTCTATTCTAAGCATTTTACCTGTGGCAACTCACTTATTCCTCACAGTAACCCTATGAGGTAGATACTATCATAATACCCATTTCTTGCATGAATAAACTGAGGCACAGTAAGATTAATTAACTTGTTCAGCATCTCATAGCCAATATGTCCCAGAACCAATTCAACCAGGCATTGTGGTCCCAGAGTCCCCGTTCTTACTCACAATGCCATATTACAAAAGGCATGATACAGGGCAAGCTGTGACTGTTGGCATTTAATCAGCAACTGGAGGGAGAGCCAACCTCACCACTTTTCCAGTTCAAAATTCAAATGGATGTATTAAGGTATTATCTTTGTTAAAGAAAACAGGAATCATGCCATGGCAGACAACAATATAATTTTCCTTCAGGTCTCTTAAGTTCTATGACCTTGGCCAAGTCACTTAATCTCTTTGGGCTTTGATTATTTCTTTATAAAAAGTGGTTAATAACACACAACCTGCTGAAGGTTCACTTTTTCTGCAGTTATCTACCAGTTCTAAGTCCTAATAACTAATAATTCTAATAACAAAGAAGAAGACAATACTTGTCAATTTCCCTGCACAGAGTAGACAACTACTGAAAACGAATTATTCTCCAGGGTGGCTGCTAAGTGTAGAACAAAACACAAGGCCTTGAGAAATAAGAACATCAACAAAAACAATAATCTTTCCTTCTAATTGCACGAATTTCACAGGTCACAGGTGTATTCATGTCCAGGGACATAAGATTGCTTCCTCAGGAAGGCTTTCCAGAACCTTCAGATTAGGCTAGGTTCCCCACCCCCCCACCCCACACAGTCTCTCTTGCGATACATCCTGTCATTCTCCCTCATGGCACCTGACATGCCTGAATCATTTATTTGTAATAATTTGTTTAATAGCCATCTTTCCCACTAAACTGAAAGCTTCATGAGGGAGACGTCAGGGTCCATTTAGAGCAAATAGAGCACTTGGCAAATAGGAGGTGCTCAAATATTTACTGATGGTCTCATTTAATCTTTACAACAATCCAGTGAGGTAGGCAAGTGTACACCTCCCCGTATTAATGGAAACTGTCCCTTAACTAACTGGTTATTCACAAAGCTAGGACATGGCATCCAGGCCTTCTATTTCCAGTTGAGGACTCATTCCATGCTCCCATGCTGCTGTTGCCACCAAAGACTAACTAAAATGTGCATCTGTATCCAAAGAGGATGAATCCATTGCTGTCACCCTCTGCTCATACTAGCTTAGCTAAAGAGACTGCTGAGTGACCCGTAGTCCCTGCCATGAATCAGCAGCACACAAAGGCTCTCCTTTGATCTGCAGTTGCAGCTGCTCTTCGATGATACACATGAAAGCCTGTGTATGCTAAAGGCCACTGTACAGATGTTACGGTTTTTGCTGGGACAAAGGCTATTTCTCTTCTCTGCCTCAAACCTAGGGACACGGTTCCCCTCTGCCAGGATGTGTCTTAGAATAATGGGCTATTGTTTTAAAGCTGCACTGAGCCCCTAAAACACTTGTGATTGCGATTTAGGAACTGTTCAGTATTAGAAATCAGTGTGTTCCCACATCTTGAGAACAGCTTCGAGGGTTAAAGTCACTGAAATATTTTCTAGAACAGCGATTGTATGAGCATGCCAAGATATGTTACCTTCTCATAGGGGGCTGCCTGTTTCTAGCTGACAGTTGATTATTGAGGATATTCATATTCTACTGCCTTTGTCACTCAACTTGGTTTCACCATTCTCTGCAATTCATTTGCGCCTTTCGGCATCTATAGGACATTAATATATGCAAGGTACTGTGCTAGGCACATGGAGTATATAAAGATGAATAAAACACAGGGAGGATATAAAGATGAATAAAATCAACGCTGATTTCAAACAGCTCACAGTCTATAGAAAGGACACACACAGTTAATTAACTATAGCAGAATACAAGATGTTCTATTAAAAAGGAAGAGAGCGTCTCCTGCTGTTAGTCTCATGCCTGTCAATATGTTTTCAATACTGTAGCCACGGGCTTTCTAACCACTCTCACCTTCAGCATGTGGCTACATTGTTTGTCTACTCTCTTCTCTGCACCACTACTTAAACTCCATTGCCTCACCGTCATAATAATGTACTGCAATCATTGGTTTACTACTCTACTACTGAGTTCTTTGAGAGCAAAGGCTGTCTTTTATTTGACCTTACACCCCCAGTACCTTCCTAACACAGCACACAGCACGTGGTAGAAACATTTGAATGATGGCTAACTAAATGAACAAAGGATTGTGGAATCACAAGGGAGGAACTGGTCAATTCTACTTAACAGATTAGTAGGGTATTAAAGAAGATTTCACAGATGGAGCTAGATGATAGTAAGTTCCTAAGGGGCAGGGATGCTTTACCACCACAGTGCTTGGCACAAAACATTTACTACAACACAGGATGGAGGAATGAATGGATGGACAGATGGTTGAAGAAACAAATACATATAAATACTTTCATGACTCTCCTATCTATCAACATAGATCTGACTGGAAAGAGATACAGCAAATCTTCTATTTCTATTATGATTTATCTCTTAAGGCTAAAATGGTTTAAATTGAGCTTAGAGTTTTTCTTATTACTCATTAATTTATAATAGACTAAAATATATATGAGAAAGTTCTGTGTTTTTTCCATTTTTTTTATTCTGCTAAAACATACATAAAATTTATCATTTTAACCACTTTTAAGCATACAGTTCAGTGGTCTATATATGTTTTAATTATATTTTCTACCAGAGGTCACCTTCATAATGCAGACCCTTTTAAGAGAAGGGCCTCTTCATTAATTTTGTTTTTACTGATTTGGCGCTTACTTGGCCTTAATAGCTACAAAAATCTAATACCTTGGATTCCCTGCCTTCAATCCTGGGAGCCATCCTGGAAAAAATGATACTTGTAGAGGACACTGATGAGGGTGTCAGGAGAGTGGTCCTGCCACTCACCAAGCGGGTGATGCCATACGAATCACTGGTGGATTCTCTTATCCACTGACTTTATGAGGCTCTGGGAAAGCCCGCAAACTACTAGCAAAAAGACACTTTAACATCACTGAGAAAAGATACTCAGTAAATGTTAAAGAAGAAGGATGACAGGCTGGATGTGGTATCTCATGCCTGTAATCCCAGCACTGTGGGAGGCTGAGGCAGAAGGATTACTTCAGCCCAGGAGTGATCAACATGGCAACATAGTGAGACCCCATCTCTACAAAAAATAAAAATAAAAATGAATAGCTGGGCATGGTGGCACACACCTGTAGTCCCAGCTACTTGGGAGGCTGAGGTGAGAGGATCACTTGAGCCTAGGAGGTCGAGGCTGCAGTGAGCTGTGATTGCACCACTGCACTCCAGCCTAGGCAACAGAGCAAGACCCTTTCTCAAAAAAAAAAAAAAAAAAAAAAAAGATGACAATAAGACAACTATGCAGTTCTGCCCTCTTCTAAGAAAGGATTAAAGAAGTTGTTCCTCATATGCCTACATGTTAATGAGGCCCTTAAATTCATGTGGTTGAAGAGGGCCACCCTGTATCTTTATTTTATATATTGGGCTTGAAAGAATCACAGGCAAGTTGATTTGGACTGGATTTGGGAGATGAGCCAACTGTCACTTTTTATAGATAAAGTTCTAGAAGCCTGAAGAAGTACTGGGGATAGAAAGTGTGCTGTGAATACAAATATGAGTAAGACACAAACCTTGCTCTTGGGGAGCCTGTGGCCTTATGGTGGAGTCAGATGTTATAAAAATATCAATTTTTGCAGTGTAATAAGCACTTTTTAAAATAAGGTTTGCAGAAAGTAGAATAAATGGAATATTTATGCCTGGGAATTCAGGAAAGAAAAATAAGCCTGTTCTTTAACAGCAGGGACCATTCCTTATTCACCCTTATTTATGGCCAGTGCCTGGAAGGTAGTAGGCACTAAATCAAATAAATGAACTCATATATATATGAATGGAAAACCCAAATATCTGGAAGTAAAATGCATGAAATAGTAGTTATCTTTACCCAACTCCTTGGGTAACTACCTCCCCTCCACTAGGACAACAGAAAGCTACAAAAGGCTCCTCCCATCAATGCCTCCTGAGCACACTCCTGTCTCTCTTTCCTGTCCCCACAGCCTAGCTCCTTCTTCCCACCCCCCACACTATTTTTGTTCACTTTTTAGTTAGCATTTATGTGGATTTCATACCCTGCTTTTATCTTCCAGTGCTCCAGCTCCCCATTCACTGCTGTATTTGGTGTGGATGTCTCTGCAGTATGAGCTATTTTAAGGAGTCAGGGCTGGAAGAGACACTGAGAGAGCTTCTGGCCCCCATTCAAGGACCTCCTCCTAAACACTTCTCTGTGATGGCAAGTATCTAGAAAATGCTGAAGAGCATTATGGAGCTTCTCTGCTCTTCCCAAGGCACTCAAAGGAAGGAGAGCATGTACGTATGGGAGAAGGATGCAAATAAATGGACCCAAACATAGGATGCTTAGGTTGGGAATCAAGGTAGAACTCTAAAATGCCAGTTTTCATTGTGCTGCTGATAGCTGGGCTATCCTTCCTTTCCTTCCTTCTTTCCATCCCTCCCCCAGCCTTCTCTCTCTCTTTCTCTCTCTCTGTCACCAACACACACACACACACACACACACACACACACACACGGTCTCGTTCTGTCACCCAGGCTGGAGTGCAATGGCACAATCATGGCTCACTGCAGACTCAACTTCCCAGGCTCAAACAATGCTCTCACTCAGCTTCCCGAGTAGCTGGGACTACAGGCGCATGCCACCATGACCAGACAATTTTTTATCTTTTGAAGACATGGAGTCTCGCTATGTCTTCAACTCCTGGCCTCCCAAAGTATTGGGATTATAGGCGTGAGCCACTGTACCAGGCCTTGGCTATCACTTCTTTCCATAAAACCCAGCTCTGAAGAGCCAACTGTGGAACTTCAGTAACTCTGACGGCAGGTAGAGCACAGTGCCAAACATCAGTATATTTATCCTCCTTCCAGGTGATTTAGTCTCCCTTCACATTTCTTTCCATCACCTTCCTCCTTTCCTTGCTCCAGGTGATAGGCCTAGTGTGCCTTTCTTCCCTTCTTCTTTCATGGCAGAGGAGACCCCAGAAAGGCAGTGGGGTGTACTGGTTGGTGAAATGGGTTCAAATCCTGCCTGTCCCCCTTCCTATACTTATCTATGTGTAGCCATGGATAAGTAAGTTATTTAACCTCTCTGAAGCCAGTAAAACGAGGATAATACCACTTACCCCACAGGTTTACAGTAAGGACTAAACTAAATATAACATATGTAAAAGCACCCAGCAGAGGCACTGACAGATTGTAGGTACTCAATAAACATTCTCTCCTTTGTCCTGTTCCTGGACACACCATACTTCTTCCAAGTACCAAATCATCCAGAAGCCACAAAGGCTGGAGGGGCAGGAAGCAGGGGCTAGAGAGCATGTATCCTTTCCCATACTCCTCATTTAGTGTCTTTCCTTTTTAGAGACAAGGATATGAGAGGAGACAGGATAATTTAAATAAGTGATTCATAATGAAATGTAGAAATCGGGAGGCTCTTTCATGGGGCTGCTGTTTAGAGGAGGTAGCACCTGCTTATTGGCCCAGCTCAAGAGATCCAAAAAGAAATTTCTTCCTTATCTTTATGTCACTTGTGACATGACAGGAGACAGGACAAACTTGCCTTAGCCATTTTCTGTCTTCTAATCTGTAAACACATCATCCAAAATTCCTTCCTTCCCCCATAAAAAAGACTAGAAGAACTCTGGAAATAAGCCATTATGGCTGAGTGCATTGTTTCCATGTGGGTTTCAATTAGGAGATTTAATAAATGGTTATGAAAGCAGTACTTCCCCTAACCTCTCACATAGCACCTGACAACCTTAGTGAATATTTAGCACCTTACCTTTACTTTTTCACCATTAATCTCCACTGTCTTAATCATAAAATCAACTCCAATTGTGGCTCCTTGACCTGGGGGGAAAAGACCCTGAAGAAGAAATAATAGAAAAGAACAGCTAAGCAAATATTTCCATTAAATGAAATTTTCTCCTCTCCCCCAGCAACACCCATCACCGGAGTCCTTCCTTCAGCTGAGGTGACTGGTAGAAAAGAGAACTCTGGTTACTCTCAAGGGAGCCCTGTGCAACTCTGTATGTATGTCTTGAGGGAAAGAGAAAGGAGGGAGAAAGTGGGAGAGAGAAATGCTGAAAGAAGAGGAAAGAGACAGGAGGACAGAGAAAAGGAGATAAAGACAGGTGAAGGAGAAAATTGAGAAAGGGCAGGGGAACCTGATTTTAAGAATGAAAAAGAAAAATCAGACACGAAGATAAGATTGAAGGGCATGCGACCACAGGGATGAGATCAGAATTGGAAGGGTCAGGGCAAAATGGATAGGTTCTTTCTAAAAGATAAAATCAAGGATACTTAAAACTAGTTATCAGTCTTGAGCATGGACAGCCACGGGAATGGGCAACAATATGAAAAAACAAATAAGAACTCAGCATGAGAAGCGGGAATAAGACAGTTTTGGGATCTGTCTTTTTGGATCTCCTGAAGCTTCTGAATTTTCCTTTGCCCCAGGGTGATCACTGTTTTCCTCAGTACAATGTACCATGCATGTGTAATTACATGGGATCAAAGCCAAAGACACTGGGAAGATAATCTAAGAAAATTAAGTCATCAAGGAGACAGTAGGGTAGAAACAGCACTAAACCAGGAGGCAGCAGCCTTAGGATCTCTGTGTAACCTCAAACAAACCACTCACCCTCTCTGGGCCTCAAATTCAATGAGTTTGAGGCTGATGTAAGCCATTTTAAAACAAATAAACAAAATGCTTTACTTCAAACTGGAAACTTAACCAGAAAGATGAGATTTTAACAAAGGTACAAGTATAATTTATGCAATTTACTATTACATAATGTTTCCTATACGCTTAGGGAGGGAGTTGGGAGTAGCAAGAAATTCTGTCAAGAAAGAACTCTTCACCCAGTTTCTCTTCCCTCTTCACTTATATTCCAGAATTTCCAGAAATTAAAGTAAAATGGACGTTATTAGTTCTGGCAACTATGACTCAGATATCTTTAATTAAGAATTATTTAAAGTTTTAGCTTAAAAGACTGAACTTCAAACCAAAAGAAAATGTTCTACTGCATGTTTGCAAAAGATGTAAATATAAACATTCATAACTTTACTTTCAAATATTGAATCAATTTTCTTCTATTTTGGCTTGGCTCAGATACAAAAGCTGTCAAGCTTCAAGTTTATAGCTCCAGATGTTTTGCACCTCAACAAATGCCAAGAAGTTAAACGAATTCTTCCCAATGTTTCACCTACCATTTTGTTCCCAACCTCTGTGCCTAAAAAACAGCTAGATCCAGTTCATTTTAACTGTCTGCTAAATAACAAAAACAAACATAATCTTGCCTCTGACATATGAGTTTATGGTGGAGTTGAGGAGCTGGGAGGGGTAAAACGTAGACATAAAAGACAAATAAGAAAGAAGAAAAAAGAGCTTGTTGGCAAAAAATTACTGTTGAAAATGGAGACATTTTCACATCTAATGACAGAGTTTGTGCTTTTAAAGAGAATGGTCTCAGAAGTTAGAATGTATAGGAGACAAATTATCAGGCTAAGAACCTGGAACCCGGGTTCTAATCCTAGCCTTGCCACTCTATCTAATCTCACAATATAAGATCCTAAGCAGGCATTTAGCCCCTCTAGATCTGACCTTTCATCTATAAAGTGAGAGAGGTGGGTTGAATAATCTCTAAGTGACCTTTCAATACTAAGACAAGGTCAAGGAAACTTTTGATAAAGGGACTGAAAACTTTACTACATCTCTGCAGTCTTATCCTTTTGTCAAAAGCAGAAAATATGACTAATGTTAGGTAGAAGTAAAACCAGCTGGAGTTTCCAATATATCTCCATGGCAGTTGACTGAGCCCAGATGCCTATTAGCTTGTTACTTTTGATTTCACCAGGCCACGGCTTAGTAAAAAGCATGGGTTCTATTCACTTATCATGGGAAAAACCCTGACATTTCCAAAGTGACTCTGGGCCCTCTAGCTATTTGTTATTCAATCTGTCTCTTTCGTTTTCCGCAAAACCACAGACTGTCAGAGCTGGAAGGGGCCTTGGAGCTCACCCAGCCCCTGATGTGCAACAGGCAGTCCCAGGAAAGGGAGGTAACTTACCCAGGCTCACAGAGCAAGCCAGGGGCAGAACCAGGACTAAGACCCATGTCTCAACTCCCAAGCCAGTGCTCTTTCCACAGCACCAGGTTATCCTATGCCTTAGATAGAGGAGCAAGTTCCAACTTGCTGAACAAGTACTTTATGAAAATTCAAGATATGTATGTAATGGTCCTACAAAGGGTATCATTCATATTTTTCAGGGGAAAACACACAAAAAAGGTCAACTTTGGAATGATTTCTATATAAAAGCAGTATATAATCTCCAGCAGTGATTCTCAAAAGGGCAGTCCCAAAGGGAACCTGTACTTAGATCATATGATAAGAATTGAATTCAACCCAGAGAGGCCATTCAATTCAGTTCAGATAATTCTTCACTATTTTCATTTCATTCCTACTGAAGAGGTTTAGAAAATTGGCCTATTTGGTCCTAAATGAAAATGATTCACTCAAGTTTCCTGGGAGGATGTAAGGGGGCATAGGCAGAGTTTGATTGGTTTAATTTGTATTAGAGTTTTAAAAAATTTAGGTTCAGTTTGACGTCCAGATTCATTTGTTTCCACCTGGGGATTATTAATTAGTAACTTCCTTTTATCCAATAATTTAGTTTTGATACTGCACACTGACAGCAAAACCACTTGCCTTTGTCATTAAAGGAAGCAAGAAGAGGCATGGGAGGGTTGGTGGAGACTCCCAGGGCCATGCTCCCGTGAGGTGGTTTAAAAACCCCTTGTCTTGGCTACAAAGCAGATGCAGCTTTCAAAGGGTGCATCAGGAACTCACAGCTAAGACCCTGGCATTGAAACTGGTCATCCATCTCGACAGATTCCCCCAACCCCTCAGGCTAGACTGACAAACCCAACCCTGGGCTTACGAGTTCCCTTACGAGTTCCCTTACCTGAGTGAATCTTCGGACGAGGCACGTCTTCCCCACACCAGCGTTGCCAATTAAAACAATTTTGAACAGGAAATCATAATCTTCCATACTCATTTACACAGCTGCAAGGCAAACACAGGCAAAAGTGAGAAAGGCCCAGTCAGACTTGCCCACAGAGCTCAAGCTGCACCAGCCTTCTCTCCGGGGGAACAGGTCTGACTCATTTAAAGAGCAATTTAAAGCTCCCCTCCGGTGACCCTGCCAGCTAGACAGAAACACAGGTGTTTGGTCACAGACGGACTTTATTCCTTCTCAGCTACCTCATGCCACAGAGAATAAATGACGCAGATGTCGTTTCACCTGGTAACCTTTATTCCTCCAAGCTATCATGTCGCAGTTTCCTCCTGTGATAAATCTGTTTTCTTTCAGCATGAAAAGGAGATGACAAACCTCTGTGCAGGCAAGCTGGGGTGCAAAAAAGCAAGGACAATAGCGAGCCCATCCAGAGCTTAAAGGACGTTTATGGAATGTGTATGACTCTGGAAAGAAGTACTAGTGATGCGCAGACTGAATGAAGAGGAAGGAACTATAAAGGGCCCTTTTAGTCTCCTGCTTCTGGAAGTCTTAGGGTCTTACAAATGGTAGTCATAGCCATCTTTCCCCTCTATCTCCTATACATCTCCTGCCAGCCATGCTGATGCTACAGGGCCTCCCAAAGTGCCTGTCTGTTCACTCCTCTGGGCTTTGGTATGTGCCATTTCTTCTGCCTGGGATGCCCTCCCTTCCACCCCTTCTGCACCTTGAAGTCCTTGAAGGTCCAATGCCAGCAATTCTTTCTCTTTGAATCTTTCACTGATCTTCCCCAAATAAAGTTAAACACTTTCAACACTTCTCTGTCCTAAAACTTCACTTGCTGTATACAATTGTTTGTTCAAATATCTGCCTCATCCTTAAGGGATGGGATTATGCCTGTCAGCTCTATTTCCTAGCCCCTGGGACAGAGTTACTCTTTTAAATGTCTATCCTATAGAAATAAAAAATTAATTAATGGGCATGTTGCTTATGTGTAGGCCTTAGTTTCTCCAACTGCGCTAGAAAGACTGTGACTAAAAGGGCATACTAAAAGAATGCTCTGTCTACTTCAGTGGACTGCTGTGAAGATTTTTTAAAACTTACAAAAGAACCTTATACAAAAATTACCCAGGTGTGGTGGCGTGCCCCTGTAATCCCAGCTACTCAGGAGGCTGAGGCACAAGAATCGCTTGAACCTGGGAGGCAGAGGTTGCAGTGAGCCGAGATCACACCACCGCACTCCAGCCTGGGTGACAGAGTGAGACTCTGTCTAAAAAAAAAAAAAAAAAACCAACCTTGATACACATAAAGCCCTATCCTGGTAAAAGCAATTGTAATCTACTGGGTGCTTACTATAGGATTCTGTTATCACCACAGGAAATACAGAGAAGAGACAATGTCTGCCCTCAAGACCAACATGAGAAAAGTTAAATAATGAAAAAAAAAAAAAGCTAAATAACAATTTGCGCCAACAGTGCAAGAGTGGAGCTCTTTTCTTAAGGTGTAGGCAGAACAGACCCAATAGACTCTGGAGAGAGAGGAAATGGGCAGTTAGGGAGCTCATGAGGGGAAGGGTGCTGGGAGATAGGAAAGCGTCAGGGTCACTCCTACCAGCAGACCTGGAGCTCAAATGCCTGCAGGCTTGTAGGGCAGAGAGGAGAGCCCAATTAGCTGAACCTGTCAAGTAGCCAGGGGAGTAAATTCCCTATGTGCAAAGATGATGTCTGTGTAGATTTCAATTAATCCTTGGAAAAATGACTGACAACCAAGCCAACATGTAGGTAGCTCATGGGGTTCCATCCCAGTTCATTGGGCCTGTGAAGGAAAAACATTTCTCTGTACAAGAATCTGGGTCCATAAGCAGTGGTAGCATTATACTTGGCCCTTTATGTGTATTTCCATTTGTTTCTACAAGTATATAAGGTTTGTATTTACTAACACATTATCTGTTTTACAGATTAGTGAACTGAGGTTAAAGGAAATTAAGAGGGTGGCCTGAAATCATAAAGCTAAGCACCAGATTCATGTTCCAAAGGCATATGGTATCATAAAAAATGGAGCCAGAGAGACCAAGGTTCATACCCTGGCTGCACTGACCTTCTAAGCCTGTGCCTTTGGGCAAATGACAATTTTTCAAAGCCTCAGCTTCCCCATCAACAAAATGGGGCCAATAACACCTATACCACAGAACTGTGATGCATGAAAGAATGAATGGGAGCCCCTAAGGGCAGTACCTGGCTCTTTGTCACCCAAACTCCTTAAAAGGATTCTCAAATTTTCCATGATCTGGTTCCTGCTGTCACTGCCAGCTCTGTCTCCTACCACTCTCCTCATAATCCACATTCTAGGCTCACTGGATTTCCTCAGTTACTTAAATACCATGGGATTGCTTTTCTCCTTAGACCTTCACATATATTGTTCCATCTGCCTAGAACACAAAACACAACTGAACCTCGCACCCTCCCCCACCACCCCAAGCCTCCCTGAGATCTCAGCTTCAACATGACTTCCTCCAGTCTGCTCCTCTGACCTACGAAGGTCCTGGGCCTCCCTGCTCTAGGCTCCCACAATGACCTCCTTTCCTGCTATAAACTCACCATGCTACCTGTAATTAATTATTCACATATCTCACACTCTGGCCCCATCCTCAGCACCTCAGCCCTACACACATGTACACTCATGACTGTGAGCAGCATGAGAGCAGTGACGTGTCAGGTTGAGTCCAGATCCTAACCCCTCCCCATCATCATCATCTCATTCTATATTATTAAGTCACTTAATCTCAAAACAACCCTATGAGGGGGACGCTATACTATTAGTATCCTAATTTGGTAGAGGGGGCTGCTGAGACACAAGAGAAGTTAAAAAAGCAGTCGTAAGGTCCCACAGCTGGTAACTAGTGGAGCTGAGATTCATACCCAGATAATCTGGCTGTCACATTCATGTCCTTGAACCACTACCCAAGTGCCTTTCACAATGCTGGCTCAGAGCAAAAGCTCAAGAAAGATGGATGAATTACATGATGAAGGCAAGCACTTAATCAATGTGATCACCCTTTCCTCTTCACCTCTGGCTTCAAATATAAAACTCTACCACCCTGTAGAAGTTTAAATAAGAATCAAAGTCAAACTCCTGATAAACACTCAGGGACATGATATATAAACTAAAATTCAATAACGCTATTAGAAAGAAAAATAATAAAACTCACGGAAGGCACATGGACAGCAGGAAGGCATGAGGCTCTGTGGACCACAACTCTCTGCTTTCATAAGCCCATAAGAAACAGGAAACACAGGACTGGACTGCATTCTTTTTCTGTGCCTAGATTGTTTGACACACACTCATTTCTACATCTTTGCTGGAGGTCAAAGAACCAAAGCAGGAAATCCAGAGGAGAATGTCAAAAGTAAAGACTTTAGAAACAGGGCTCTTAAAGAAAGTTAACGGTGCCCAAATTATGCACCTTTAGAAAAAGAAGGTGAAAAAAAGGCTTTGTCGGCCGGGCGCGGTGGCTCACGCCTGTAATCCCAGCACTTTGGGAGGCCGAGGCGGGCGGATCACGAGGTCAGGAGATCGAGACCACGGTGAAACCCCGTCTCTACTAAAAAAAAAAATACAAAAAATTAGCCGGGCGCAGTGGCGGGCGCCTGTAGTCCCAGCTACTCGGGAGGCTGAGGTAGGAGAATGGCGTGAACCCAGAAGGCAGAGCTTGCAGTGAGCTGAGATCGCGCCACAGCACTCCCGCCTGGGCGACAGAACGAGACTCCGTCTCAAAAAAAAAAAAAAAAAAAAAAAAGGCTTTGTCATGGTGAACATTATCTCATGTGGTTACCACCTGGAGCAAGCTACAGAATAAGTTAAGACACTACCCCTTTCTATAAGAAATTACTCTAATGCTCTGTTGAATGTGTTTTTGTTTGTTTGTTTTGCTTTCTTTTGTTTTTGAGACAGGATCTTGCTCTGTTGCCCACACTAGAGTGCAGTGGCGCGATCATGGATCAAGTGATCCTCCTGCCTCAGCCTCCCAAGTAGCTGGGATTACAGACACAAGCCACTGTGCCCAGCTAATTTTTTAAATTTTTTTTGTAGAGACAGGGTCTCACTATGTTACCCAGGGCTTGTCCTGAACTCCTGGCCTCAATCAGTCCTTCCACTCAGCCTTCCAAAGTGCTGGGATTACAGGCATGAGCCACCACGCCAAGACGTTGCATGTTTTTTAAATGGACCTCTGGGTAAAAATTGGTCTTTAATAATGCAGGCTGTCTATGTGTAAAGCTGGACTGTAAACTCCAGGTAATCTGTTGTAGTTACTGTTTTGCTTCTAATGGAAAACACATTACTGAATGAAAAGATCACAAGATTATCTGCAAACTTCTACTCTTTGACGAAGCCCTTCTGTTTGGTACATAAAGTAACAGCCCAGGCATCACCAATCCCCATGTGATGAGACAGCGTTTCCCCCTGAATAAGGGAAACCCATTCAAAAGCATTTACACCCAGCCCTAAATTGACAACAAAAGTCATGCCTCATCTAGGGAGTAGACACGCCACAAGATATGCTACTACCAAACACTACTGCAGTATTTTATATTCTATTATTGTTAACATTGATAACAGCTGGCACTTATTCAGTGCTTTTTATGTCCTGGGTACTCTTCTACATGTATTTGCTCATTTAATCCTCATAACTCTATGATGTAAGTACTCATATTATTATCCCTAACTTGCAGAAGAGGAAGCTGAGACAGAGATATCATCCTAAAATCACACAGCTAGTTAGTCTCAGGAACAGGATTCAAACCTAGATCCATCTGACCCCAAAGCCTAGTTCTTTCTGCAACAGGATGCTGCTACCCCCTGCCTTGTAATTGACATTGTCTCTCTGTCATGAGGGCTAGAGGCTCAGTTGAATGAGTCCCCAGGCCCTTTGAACTACAGTGTTCTAGAATCTCCCTGCTCCGGAAGCAACACACCCACACTGATGGAGCCAGACACTGACTTCAGATTACACAAGCGCTGCTCCTCACCGTGCCCTCCAGCCCAGGATTCTTTCAGGACCTGAAGTCACACTTTAGCTGCATCACTCTCACAATTCAGTCATCATTCATCCCTGTAACTAAGTACCAGGCATAGGGAATATAAACAGGAGCACAGATGAGCAAGCAAAATCCCCAATATCATTGTCACCACAATAGTTGTAAATAAGTGGATATATGGATAAGATTCAAACTGGAAAAATAGATAAGCAAGATGAAAAAATGAATTTTAAAAAGATACAGGAAAAGAAATCTAGTATGAAAAGCTTAAAAAGAAAAACAAAAACCACTGTAAGCAATGTGAATTTGGCAACATTTAAACCATTCTTTAAAAGTGGCCTTTACCAGGCGTGGTGGCTCACGCCTGTAACCCTAGCACTTTGGGAGGCTGAGGATCATTTGAGCCCAGGAGTTCAAGTTTGCAGTGACTCATGATCACACTGCTGCATTCCACCCTGAGCAACAGAGTGGGACTCTGTCGATAAATAAATGAATAAGTGGCCTTAAAAAAGCCTGTATTCACTGTTGCACACCTGTGCATTTTTCCTCTTTCCCTTTGGGGCTCAATATAACAGATAAAGTCAGAGGCCAGGTCTTCTCCCCAACTTTCTGACACACCTCCAAACCCTAGTCCCCTAAAATATTTTGGTGACTTGTCCTTATTCAAAAACTGTGTGTCTCAGGCAGGTCCTTTGGGCCTTGACTTGGTCTGTAAATGGAGGGGCTGGGTAAACAGGCAACAAGGCCCCTTCCCACAACAGCAAGTGTGGTTATGCTTCCATATCAAAGAGGCAGCATAGGCGATGAAGTAAGAGGGCCTGGATCTGTTAGAGAGCACTGTGTGGTTTCCTCATCCATAAAATGGGGATGATATTAGAATCTATACCAGTGAGTTACGTGAGAGGCAAATAAGATAATATATGGAAAGGTACTCCTTTTAAAAATATATAAATGGTTTTTCCCACCATTCTGACAAAAGTCATATATATTGATTGCAGAAAATACAGACAAGCAAAAAGGAAAAGAAAATCATCTATCATCTCTTTCCCTACCCAGACCTTCTCTGGGGAATAATTACAGTTAGCATTCTGGTATATATCCTCCTAGTCTTTTTCTTTTTTCTTTTTTTTAGACGGAATTTTGCTCCTGTTGCCCAGGCTGGAGTGCAATGGCGCGATCTCGGCTCACCGCAACCTCTGCCTCCTGGGTTCAAGCGATTCTCCTGCCTCAGCCTCCCCAGTAGCTGGGATTACAGGCATGCACCACCATGCCTGGGTAATTTGTGTTTTTAGTAGAGACGGGGTTTCTCCATGTTGGTCAGACTGGTCTCAAACTCCCAGCCTCAGGTGATCCACGCACCTCAGCCTCCCAAAGTGCTGGGATTATAGGCATGAGCCACCACACCTGGCTCTAGTCTTTTTCTTTATATACACTCGTGTCTATGTGTATATTTTATTACAAATTTGTTAATTTAAAAAAAAAACAGCATCATAGAATTATATAAATTTTTTTCTATAGAATGGTATTTTCCCAAAACCCAAAATCAGAACTCATGGTCTGCAAATAGAACCGATTACCAGAGACCCTCAAAATTTATTCAACATTTGTTCATATGACCCTAGATACTCAGTAAGTGGGGGATGTAGAGGATAGCTTCACAGTAACATAACTTTGAGAAATATTAAATACTATCACCCAATCTTGGAGGTTTAAAATGTTCTGAAAATTCCCATAATGAAGGCCAGTTAACTTCATTTAACACAGGATTTACCAAACATGATTTTAGCTGAGAATTCTTTTCTCATATAAAACACCTTTTATATATGCCTTGCTACTAGGGCTCCATGAAACATTAGTGTAGTAAACACTATTATATTTTATAGCATTTGAAATAAGAGCTGCCCAGGTAGGGTTGCCAGATATAGTTTTTTAAAAATAAATAATAAGAAATCCAGGTCATATCACCCTGACCATGTCAAATTTCAGTTTCAGATGGTCAGATGTCAACAAATACACTTTAATATAAATTTGTTCCAAATATTGCATGAGACATATTTTAAAGTTTGTTGTTTACCTGAAATTCAAAATGAACTGGACATCCCATCTGAGTACTCAGGTCACAGTAGAAATAGAGGCCCTAGGCATAACACCATGCTTGCCCAGAAGCTGTGGAGGGCGATGGGCAGGGCATGAGAAACAAGATATCCCTGATAAATCCAAAACAACCAGAGGAATAAAAAAGGGCAAGTAAAACTTCAAGAAGGCATCATAGGGGTTCTTTAGAATCTGGGTCAGACTCTGGAGGGTGGGTTCAGACTGGCACGGGGGCTCAGCAGGTGAATCTCACCCTCTTTGATGATCCCAGAGCACTGTGGACCTTCCTCCAAGTATATCCCCACATGTGTGTCAGGCCCATGGAAGGAGCCATGCTTTATGTGTCTCTCACCCCCTACTATCCTTAAGGACAAAGACTGTACCTCAACAAGACACCTGTCTCTGCTTGTCCCACTGCTGTGTTCAGTAAGTGTACACTGAATTGAAAGCCTTTCATCCATCTTTCCGCCTAACAAGGTTCTGTCCCTGGAAGCTCATTATTGCTTAATTACTAGGAGGCAATTACTAACCATTACTATAATCAACTGCTACAAGCTCACTTGCTTTACATCAGCTGCTAATTTCATGTTATTGCAAGTTAATTATTCTCCTTGGCCACAAATGTCAAACACCCACCTGTGCTGTGGCTGCTCCTTATTCACCAGACTGTAAACTCCAGCATTTTTACATTGCCCTTTATAGTTTACAAAATTCTTTCACAGACATTATCTAATCTGGACCTCCCAACAACCTCAAGAGAAAGCTCTAATCATTCATTCTGCAAGTGAGGAAACTGAGGGTTTAGGTAATGAAGTGACTTACTTACTCTGACACACTGGTGAGTCACAAGGTGGCCTCTGTATCCTGGCTACCTAGAATTTCTCCTCTGCCAGAACACACTATGTGTCCCCAGGTTCCTGGCCATTTGGACCATGATTTGAACACACTGTGTGCTAGGAACGGTGCTAAATGTTTTCCACATGTAATCTTATTTAATCTTTTCAGTAGGCCATCAAATGGGTATTAATATTCCCATTATACAGATAAGAAAACTGAGGTTCAGAGAGATTAATTAGTTCAAAAATCAAACAGCTAATGAGTAAAAGTGCCTGGATTCAAAACCCAGGTCTTTGTGGAAAAAAATTAAGTTGGAGGTCTGTCTCACTCCTTATACTAAAATAAATTCTGGATGGATTCAAAGTTTGGATCTAAAAAACTGAAGGCATAAAAGTACTAGAAGAAAACATTATATATATACATATATATAAAACCTTAAAGTAGAGAAGGCTTTCTAAGAATTACTCAAAATCAAGGCTATAAAGTAAAAAGGCTGAGAAATTTCACTAAATGTTTCAAAAATTCTGTATGGCAAAACAATAAAAATGAAGAACTGACTGCAATATATATTATTAAGGTCTAATTGATTACATGCATAAAAAGTTCCTACAAAATGAATAAGAAAAATTCAATAACCGACTAGAAAAAATAGGCTAAGGACATGAGCAGATAATTCACAAGAAAGGAATAAAAATAGCACTTACATTTTTTTTTTTAAAAAACTGATCAATCTTACAAAAGTAAATTCAAACTATAGTAAATTTATACTTATAAATTATAATTTTAACTATATGTAGTTATAATAAGAGGCCATTCATCTCAGATTGGCCAAGTTTATCCTGTACTGGTGACACTATGGAGAAATGGGGCACTTGTATACTACTGGTGGGAGGTAAATCAATGCAACCTCTATGGAGAGCACTATTGATTTAAAGCTAAAAACGCTATTACAAACCCTCTGACCCAGCAATTGCACTTCTAGGAATCTATCACATTTATACTCACAAAGGCACATGTAGTAGGATATTTATTACAACAGTATTTGGAATAGCAATTATAAAAACAACCTAAAAGTCCATTAGCAGAAAATGGTTATATAGATTAAGGTAGCCATACAACAATGGACCACCACACAGCCTGCTATGGATATCTGCAAGATGTATTAAATGAAAGAAGCAAGGCAAAGAATGGTGTGTTTACAGTATGAAGAAAGGGCGGGGGCATATGATTCTATATCTGTATAGGCACAAGATATTTTTGGAATGACACAAAAGAAACTGGCAACAGTAGTTGCCCCTGGGGAGGCTATAATATTTAGCTCTTTCTAGGAAAGAAGATAACCTCCAACTCTTAAATTATACTCTGCCTTTTTATTCAGTCTATAGTAGTGCTTCAAAAGCAAGACAGTTTTCCTAATACAGGGAGAGAGGCCCTGTTTAAAAAAAAATCTATTTGGGGTACTCTGTTTCAATCTTTGTGTCTTTCTCTTTGCCCAGCTGCACCCCTTCATGGGACAGGGACCCCAGGAAGGAATGTCCCACCCAGACTCTGGAGTTGCTTTTCCAGTTCATTGTGTGTATCACTGCTTTCTCTAAACCATGTCTCAGCACAGTGAGTCTCTACAAGGAGGATTCATTCTTTCAGACCAACTTCCCTCAAAACCAAGTATCCACAGTATGGCAGCCAAAACCAATGGATCAAACAATAGCTTGCTTGTGTCATGAATAAAAACAAAACTCTCACACATTCTTACAGCTTAGAAATTACTCTCACTTCACTCTGACACAGAACATTTCTGAGGAAGCAGAAGGAGCTCATCTTTTTCTCCCCATTTTACAGAAATGAGATTTGAAACCAAGATAGTGACTTGCCTCAGGCCACGCAGCATGTAAGCAACAGAGCCAGAAGAGCAAACACAGGTCCCCTGACTCCAAATCAGAGCTGCTGCCAGGACAAATAAGATCTGCACATATAAATCTCCATTGGGCAAGGCCACAGACAAAACTGTCAGGGGTGGCTGGCATGAACACATGCCATGGATTGGGGGTGGAGTTAGGAGGAAGGAGCTCAGAAGCAGCCCTTAGAATACTTTTCAAGATATGCAAAAAGTAAAAATGAAAATGAAAAATAAAGCAGGCCTGAGACCTCCATAATACTATTTTCAAAAATCAAGACAATCAAATATTTTATTTTATTCTTCATATATTATGTTTGATATTTTCCTAATTCCTAGAAATACAAAACGGATTTGGGATTCCAAACATGAGAATGATTCCACAAAGCAGCATTTCATCAGCATTAACCCAAGCAAACACCTGAATTATCTTCTGGTGCTCTTTCTGCCATAGTGAGAAGCTGGCCATGGGGAGCATCCCTACACTAAGCACAGATTTGGTTTTCCACATATAGGTGAGAAGAGAAGGGAAGAGGCCACCGCTTAGGACCCACTCAGTTAACTCCCCAGGCGGGGCTAATTTGTTTCGTACCACAGCACCTGGGAGCAGGTGCTTGACAAAGAGGCTCAGATGTGCCTGGAAATACTCCTGCTTTGTTTCCTGGGGGAAGAAAAAGGATACCCTTCCCACTCATCGACCCCCTTCCAAGTTGGAGACTTCTGTCTGCAAAACATGTTTGTTAAACTGCCCTAAAAAAGGCACTTGCAGACCCAACTTGCTGTTTCTGTCTTCTGCACAAGCAGGTGGGGCTCCCTCTGTTGTCCTCCTCCAACAATAAACAATACCACTGCAAAGAGCTCTGGGCTTTGCCCCATTGCCTTCCCCCTTGTATTCTCTAAATCAGGGACCGTGTCTAATCTTTCCTCTGCAGAAGCTTCCCTGCGCCTGCTTGGCTGGACCGGAAGAACCTTCTTATCAGCTTATTCAGTCTCCTCCCACCGGGCTGAACACACAAAGCAGCCTGGCCAGGGAGCCAGAGGTCAGGGCCACGGCTCAGAACTGGGCTCAAGTCTTTCCCCTGATGGTCCTCTGCCCCGGAGATCAGAGGCCTACCAGGAACAGAGATGTCTTCTCCCTGTTGGAAGACTGTCACACTAGGCTGGACCCCTCCTTCAGCTGTTCAGATTCCCTCCTCACTGGAAGCAGGAGAAAAAGTGAGAGGGAAGCAAGTGTCCACATGCTCAGCAACCTGAATAGATGAAGACAAAAAAAGAACTCTCCCAAGTTTGTGACAGGTCCTGTGTCAAGCAAAAGAATGACTACTTGTCTAGAGCTTTACACACACCAGGCCATTATTGCATCCTTGAATCAACCCCATTGGGCAGAATTTCTTACATACTGTTACTATCAATGTTTTTACATCTATAGAGCACTTTTAGTTTCCTAAGTGTTTTCCAGTGCATTATCCTGGCAAATTCCTGTATCATGGCAAATTCTTATGCAGAAGATAGGGTACAAATTTTCCCTCAGCAGGGATGGACGCACACACATGCACACACACTCACACAGCATACCATAACCTATCTGTCACCAAGGCCTGCTTGAATACACCCCTGCTTAACCCCTGTCCCCACTGCACCAACATGGCTCAGGGACTAGTCAGCTCTCCCCCACCCAGCCTACTGTGGACTTCTAACCAGGCTCCCTGCAGCCAGTCTACGAAGTGTTTTCCCAAAAGTGCCAACTAATTATCAGCCTTGAGGATGCAGTTCAACTCCTTAGGTAGGATGGTGTAACAAGGCTCTTCATAATCTGGCCCAAATTCACCTCTCTTCAATTCCCATATACGTTAGACTCCATCACATAACAATGAACCCTGAGCTCCTTAAAGTTGAATTCAACAAGTATTTATTAAAGAAATGGCCAAAAAGCGGGAAACCTTTTTTTTTTTTTTGAGCAGAGTTTCTCATCACCCAGGCTGAAGTACAATGGTGAGATCCCAGCTCACTGCAACCTCCACACCCCAGGTTCAAGCAATTCTGTCTCAGCCTCCCAAGTAGCTGGGATTACAGGCACCCGCCACCATGCCTGGCTAATTTTCATATTTTTAGTAGAGACTGGGTTTCACCATGTTCGCCAGGCTGTTCTCAAACTTCTGACCTCAGGCAATCCGCCCGCCTCGGCCTCCCAAAGTGCTGGAATTACAGGCGTGAGCCACCGCGCCCGGCCAAAAACGGGGAAATTTTTAAGCCAAAATAAGTAGTCTCTTTCAAAGAGTTCCAGATTTCAAAAAGTCTATGAAATCAAGAATTCTGTAACCATGCTGCAGGGTACAGTTTGAGAGCTGGGTGGAAGATGTGGATGTGTAAAATTTAGCAACAGATGGAACCTGAGGGAAATCCTAAAGAAAATATAAATTCTGGGATTTTAATCCCAGGAACAACATGCCCAGGGAGCCAAAAACACCAAAAATAAATAAAATAAAATAAAATAAAATAAAAACAAATAACAAAAGACCAGAGAGGTCCAAACTTATTTCAAGATAAACAGATAAATAAATGGCCACTGGTGTTAACCTACTGAAGGCAGGAATGGCATCCAAACATTAA
The DNA here is from genome assembly GCF_000001405.40 of Homo sapiens. Classification (NCBI taxonomy): domain Eukaryota; kingdom Metazoa; phylum Chordata; class Mammalia; order Primates; family Hominidae; genus Homo; species Homo sapiens. Next base: position 83,009,746 of record NC_000011.10, read on the forward strand.
CAGGTGAAGTAGAAAGAGGCACAACTTTCCTCAATAGCAACTTTTCAATACTCATCAAAAGCCTTTCAATACTCATCAAAAGCCTTCACAAGGTCCACACACTTCAACCCAGCAAGAGGAAAATTCTGCTTCTGGGAATTTTCCTACAGAATGCTTCCTAAATGTGCACAAAGATTTACCTATTTACTTACTTTTACTTTCTGTAGAGATGTGGTCTCACTATGTTGTCCAGGCTGGTCTTGAACTCCTGCCCTCAAGTGATCCTCCTGCCTTGGACTTTCAAAGTGCTGGGATTACAGGTGTGGGCCACCACATCTGGCTAAGATGACCCCCAAGATGGAGGGAGAAGTAAAACCTCTATATACCAATAGAGAAGGGCTAACAGAGAAGCCACATGATACAGCATTATGAAATAAATACTTGGACTGGGCGTGGTGGCTTGTGCCTGTTATCCCAGTGCTTTGGGAGGGCAAGAAGGAAGGATCGCTTGAGGCCAGGAGTTTGAGACCAGCCCAGGCAACACAGCAAGACCCAACCTCTACAAGAAATTTAAAAATTAGCCAGGTGTGGTGTCATATGTCTATGCTCCTAGCTACTCAGGAGGCTGATGTGGGAAGATCTCTTGAGCCTAGAAGTTAGGCATTACTGTGAACTGTGATCACGCCATTGCACTCCAGACAGAGTGAAATCCTGTCTCTAAAAAACAAAAATAAATAAATAAATACTTAGAAGGAAATAAATTTTTAAAATTCTTACCTCTGGGTGGTGAGATTATGAATAGCTTATTTCCTTTTTTTCATATTTATATCTTTTCCAATGCACATTATTAAAATATCTTAGGGGCTCAATAGTGGGGAGGGAAACATGGGACAGGTACACATATATGAAGCCAGTGACCATCCACATTCAATGGGCTCTTCCAGAAGGCAGGGTCTTACTTGGCACATACCAAAAGCCATAAAAGAATCCAAACCTTTCATGCAGTTAGCTCACTGCTGAGAATTCACTTTAGGGAAATAACTGAACGAACCCAAAATGCCAAATGAACAAAAATACTCATTACCTCTTATCTAAAACAGTAAAGAACTAGAAACAATCAAAATGTCCAAAGGAAAGTTCCATATAGAACATCAACACCATGGGATGCAAGGCAGCCATTAGAAATGCCAATTATGAAAACTGTGTAGAAAAATGAAATAATGTTGACAATAGGCTGTAAAATGAAAAGAATTTGCAAAGCTGCATTTGTCAGGACTGCAGCTATGAAAAATACACATGTATATCAACAAGGGCATTTCAAAAGTAAAAATGTGTTATGCTAGAATTATGAGATTACAGAGACCTTTTATTTTTGAAGTTTGTTATTTTTTAAAAAACAAGTTGTTAACATTTTGTATGTACCATAGACACATTTTCAGAACTTTGGAAACACAGAAAAGGGAAAAATAAAATTGCCAATACAAATGCAATCACTGTCAACATTTTGATGTGTTTCTCCTAGTTTCTTTTTCCCATGTACTGGCTGGTTTGGTTTTGTTTTGATCGTTGTTGTAATCGCATCAACATTTCTTTAAAGCAGTTACAAAATCATTTCAATTTTGAGAAACCAGAGAACTTAATATAAATCTTGTACTATAACATAATGGTGGCTATCAAGAGACCCCACATAATGTCAGTTTGTAAGTAAAAAAGAGAATATTGTACCACTATGACAAAATAAATGGACCAATCAAGGTTCCTAACACCTGTAGATGACTCTTAGGTCTATTTCAGTAGCCATAAGCCAAGAACATGGCGAGTACTGTGTATTAAAGCTGGAAGACTGAATAATGTAGTTGGAATTAGAAAGGCATTTAACAGACTGAAAACAAGAAGATACAATGATGTACTAAGTTTTCAGATCAGAAGAAAGTTGAAGGAAACCAATTCAATTGGTCATTAGGTCCAGAATATTTAACTTTCTTTACATTTCTCATACCCTTACTCTCCTGGCCTCCTGCCCTGCCCTTCACCAAGGCCAGACTCTGGTAGCTGGGCAGCAGCTGCTGTGTTCTGCTTGTTTTCCCTGCCTTCTTCCTGCCTCCCCACTTGCAGGCTGTCCTTCTTCCATTCTGCTGCCAAATGCAATGCAGACCATCACAGGCCTAATGTGCACCCATATCACTATGGACTTCTCTAGAGAGAGAAACAAGGGCAGGGAAAAACACTATCTAAGCAACGCACAGGCTTGGATATGCACTAAATGAGGGGAGGCTGAGTCTGTTGTCACCACTGAGGGGCTCAGTTTCTGCAGGAGTGTGATACTTTTGTGCTTTTCAAACAAAAGAGTCCCTCAACACAAACTGATGATTCATCTATTATATGCATGTCTTCCAAAGACTCTGTCCTCTGTTCTAAGGATAGAGGAAAAAAGCTGCTGTGTTGGACTGCCTAAGATGTGGTACGCCACCACTAGCATAGCAAACCTCACTCAGAGGCAAGAAGAAATGGAACTTGGCATTTTTTGCCTCCAATGCTTTTAGAAATGAACACTTGTACAAGATGCAATGCGACTCCACTGCAGCCTCTCCAAAGAACTAATCTAATCATGTCATTCCCACACTTAAAACTCTTCCAGGGCTCTGGCTGCCCCCACAAAGTTGTCTGTAAGAAGTAGTACAGTGCCCTGGTTAAGAGGGCAAACTTTGGAGCCACACTGCCTGAGTCTGAATCCTCAGACTGCTCTTTCTGAATGCTCTGAATGCTCTTTATGAGTTGGGTGACCCTGGGCAAGTTCCTTGTCCTCTTGGTGCCTACATTTATTTATTTATTATTATTTTTAAGAACAAATTCAATACCTATCCTATGTGTATTTATTTACAAATAGGGATAATAACAGTACTTACCCCATAGGACCGTTGTGCAGATTAAAGGAATTAATACAATAAAGTACAAAGAAGAGGGCCTGGCAAAGAGGAAGTGCTCAGTAAATGTTAGGTGCTGCTACTGTTATTGTTATTGTTGGGCGAAAGTTCAAATTCTCCAGCAGGGCATGCAGAGCCCTCCACAGCCCAGCACCTCGTATCTTTCAGGCTTTGCTTCTCATGACCTGTTACCACTATGACTACCGCTATGATCACGCAGTCTTGCCAAGTTCCCAGAGCATGGGCCCCTAGACAGGTTCATCCCTTCACACCTTTACTCACAGGGCTCATCTCTCTTTATTGGGTGGTAAACAACCAATTATCTCTCAAACCATACCCCCACCCTCCCTGTGAATTGGTCACTCTCTACTTTGTGCCTCCTCTATGTTCTGCAGAGTTTCTCCATAGACACTTTTTTTTAAAATTTATTTTCATTTTTATTTTTATTATTTTGAGACAGAGTCTCACTCTGTTCCCCAGGCTGGAGTGCAATGGTGTGATTTCGGGTCACTGCAACCTCCGCCTCCTGGGTTCAATAAATTCTCCTGCCTCAGCTTCCCTAGTAGTTGGAATTATAGGCATGCACTACCATGCCTGGCTAATTTTTGTATTTTTAGTAGAGACAGGGGTTTCACCACGTTGGCCAGGCTGGTCTCAAACTCCTGACCTCAAGTGATTCACCTGCCTCGGCCTCCCAAAGTGCTGGGATTACAGGCATAAGCCACTGCGCCTGGCCAGACACTTTATTATTCTTGTTGGTTTATGTATCCTGTTTCCTCCACTAGGCCTTAAGGACAGAGGCTCCTGCAAATTCCTATCTGTATTCTCATCGCCTGACATTTCAGTAGACTAAATATTAAATAAATGCAAAAGAAAAACTGATCAGTACACACAAAAGCTGAGAGTGCTTTTCAGAGAAACTAAACACTATGATGAGGAAATCAAACCCCAAAGCAATTTGATCTTAAGGAGAGTTAATTGGCAAAGATCATATAACCAAAGAGAAGAAAACTATAATTTCCCAAGAGAAAGTCAAACCTTGCTACAATGCAGTGTCTCTGTGTGCGTTGGAGGACCCAAAGTGCAGGTCAATTAAATATAAAATACTGCAGGAGATCCAGACTGCAAGAAATAAAGAAAGAGAACTAACCTTTATTGCATGTCTACAATAAGCCAGATACTTAGAAAATAATAGTTTCTATAAAAACAATGTGCTAGACACAGACCTATCCACTTTACCTGCATTATCAAATTAAATAATGCAAGTCCTCAACAACTCTGAGACATAAGTGTTGGCCTCTCCATTTTACAGGTGAGAAAAACATTCACTCATTTCATACATTTGTACTGGGCATCTACTATGTGCAAGTCACATATCCAGAAGCAGGGGATACCATGATGAACAAGAAGACAAGTTCCCCCTCTCATACAGCATAAAAATAGAGCAATGAATGAATGAATGGGAAAATAAGCATATACACAAATAAACAAGAAAAGTATCAGACAGTGATAAGTGCTAGTAGAGAATTAAAACAGGAGGAAAAGACTGGATAGCTGTCACAGAAGTTCTCTCTGAAGTGGGTATATTTAAGATGAGAATTGAATAAGAAAGAGCCAGACCAGGCTTGGTGGTTCACACCTGTAATCCCAGCACTCTGGGAGGCTAAGGCAGAAGGAACACTTGAGACCAGGAGTTTAAGACCAGACTGGACAACACAGTGAGACCTCATCTCTACAAAAAATTTAAAAATTAGCTGGATGTGGTGGTACACACCTGTAGTCCCAGCTACTCAGAGCTGAGGCAGATGGGTCCCTTGTGCCCAGGAGGTCAAGGCTGCAGTGAGCTTTGATGATGCCAGTGCACTCCAATCAAGGCAACAGACTAAGACCTCTTTCCTTTTGAAAGGAAAGAGAGACAGGGGGAGACAGAAGAAAAGAAAGAGAGAGGCAGAGGCAGAGAGAGACAAAGAAAGAAAGAAGTAAGAAAAAGAAAGAAAGAAAGAAAGAAAGAAAGAAAGAAAGAAAGAAAGAAAGAAAGAAAGAAAGAGAAAGGAAGGAAGGAAGGATGGAGGCAAGGAGAAAAAGAAATAAGAAAGAAAAAGAATGAAAGAGAGAGAAAGAAAGAGAAAGAAAGAAAGAGAAGGGGAGGGAGGGAGGCAGGAAGGAAGGAAGGAAGAGAGAAGGGAAAGGAAAGGAAAGGAAGAAAAGAAAGAGGAAGGAAGGAAGGGGCGAGTCAAGCACATGAAGAATGGAAGAAGTACATTTCAGGCATAGAGATCAGCAAGTACAGGGGCCCTATGTGACAATGAGCTTGGCATGTTCAAGGAACTGAAAGAAGGGACACTGAGGCTGAGCACATGGTCAACAAGAAGAGAACTGGGAGACTGCTGTGGGACAGGTCACATAGAGCTTGGAAAGCCAGGGCAAGGAGTTTGGATTTCATTCTGAGTTCAATGTAAGGCCACGTAGAGGCTTTTAAGAAATGTGACACAAACCAATTAACATTTTTAAAATTTTTTTCTAGTCTCTATAATGGAGGGTATGATGGTGTGGATACCAGTAGAAACAAACAAGACTAGTTAGGAGGCTACTGCAAATAGTCTAGGTGAGAGATCATATGGCTTGGACCAGGGTGCTGGTAGTGGAGATGGAGAGAAGGGTATAAATTTTGGAGTGTTTTTGAAGATAGAGAAGACAGAACTTGCTAAAGGATTGGAAAGAGGATGGGAAAGAAAGAAAGAAATGAAAAGTAATACCTAGATATTTGACTTGAGCACATGGGGGGATAATGGCACCACTTTCTGAAGTTGGGAAGATTGGGAAAACTGAGATTGGAGTGGAGCTGAATCAAGAGTCCTCTTTTGGCCATGTTAGGAAATGTAAGGACTCTCAGACATCTATGTGGACATGAATCTGAAGTTCCAGAGAGAGAGTCTGAGGCTAAAGATACAAACGTGAGGGTCACTAGCAAATGGATGTTATTTAAAGCCATTGAATTATCAGAGGATATCTATGGAGAGTGGATAAATAGAGAAGAGGGCCATTTCAGAACCTGGGCATATCACCATTTAGAGATTGAGGGAAGAAGGTGACTGAAGAAAGCTCAGAGAGGTAGGAAGAGAATCAAGAAGTAGAGTGTCAAAGAAAATGGTGATCAGTCTTGTCAAATGCTGCTAAGAGAATAACTAAGATTAAAACAAAGAGATGGGTTGGGCATGGTAGCTCATGCCTGTAATCTCAACACTTTGGGAGAATGAGGCAGGCAGATCCCTTGAGACCAGCAGTTTGAGACCAGCTTGGGCAACATGACGAAACCCTATCTCTACAAAAAATACAAAAATTAGCTGGTCATGGTGGCACGTATCTGTAGTCCCAGCTACTGAGGAGGCTGAGGCAGGAGGATCGCTTGAGCCAGGGAGGTTGAGGATGCAGTGAGCTCTGATCATGCCACTGTACTCCAGCCTGGGCAACAGAGTGAGACTCTGTCTCAAAACAAAATAAAACAAACAAACAAAAAAACAACGAAGTGGCCTTAGATTTGGCAACATGAAGGCCACTGGTTGACAGAGACAAGGACGGTCCTGATGAAATGAGAGAAAGAGATTAGAATTGGGGGAGTGGAGGAGAAAGTCAGACCAAAACTATGGACAACTTATGTAAGTGCTTCTGAGAAAAGAAACAGAGAAACTAGGAGATAGCTACAGGGGATATAATGTCAACAGATTTTTAAGTTAAAAAATAAATTTATTTTGCAATATTTAAGAGACAAAATTTTAAAAGGTTATGGGAATTTGGGAAGGTTGGTTTCTTTTCAGATAAGAAATACTACAGCATATTTATTTGTTACTGAAAATAATCCAGTGATTAGATAAATTTAATGATGGCAGAGACATGGGGCCTAATTACAAATTACAAAGATCTATAAGACTTAATCTTAAAAAGTTAAAAATGTGCCCAAGGCTAACAAATAACATTGGTAGGCAGTGAAGCCAGGACACTAATCCAGGTGTTTTGACTTGCAAGTGCATTCTCTTTCTACACAATTGACCGTAATATATACAACAGCATTTGCAAAAGGTCCCAACTCCAGGCTCTGAAAATAATCAGAACAGAGTCGGAAGGAAGCTTCAGAGAACTTGGGAGCACCAATGCAAACACACACCCCCTTCTCACTTCAATGTAAGCAACCTCTGTTCCTCACACAGACTTCTATTATTGCATTTTCACTCAAATGTCATTTATGTGTGCACATCTGGCTGGGGTCCTACTAGCTGCAGGACCCTCAATGGTTGCCCTTTCATGTTCAGAAAGAGTTGGAGGGGAGGATGGGGACATGGAAAAATCACAGTGCAATGTAAGTGGAAAAACTTGAGGGGCTAAACTCTTCAGTGACTTAATAAGGTATAGAAGCTGGGCACGGTGGCTCACACCTGTAATCCTAGCACTCTGGGAGGCTGAGTTGGGCAGATTACTTCAGCCTAGGAGTTCGAGAACAGCCTGAGTAACATGGCAAAACTAAGTTCCCACAAAAAATACAAAAATTAGCTGGGCATGTTGGCGTGCTCCTGTAGTCCCAGCTACTAGAGGGTGAAGTGGGAATATCATTTGAGCCTGGGAAGTAGAGGGTGCAGTGAGCCGTGATAGTTCCAGTGCACTCCAGCCTGGGCAACAGGAGTGAGACCCTGTATCAAAATAATAATAATAATGTAGCAAAGAGATTTTTATTTCTTTTTTAAATTTCTTTTATTTAAATAGTTTTTGGGGAACAGGTGGTTTTTTGTTACATGGCTAAGATCTTTAGTGATAATTTCTGAGATTTTGGTGCACCCATCACCCAGGCAGTGTACACTGTACCCAATGTGTAGTCTTTTATCCCTCAGCCCCCTCCCACCTTTCCCCCCAAGTCCCCAAAGTCCATGTCATTCCTATGCCTTTGCATCCTCATAGCTTAGCTCCCACTTACAAGTGAGAACATACGATATTTAATTTTCCATTCCTGAATTATTTCACTTAGAATAATGATCTCCAACTCCATCCAGCTTGCTGCAAATGCCATTATTTCATTGCTTTTTATGACTAAGTAGTATATCATGGTGTATATATACCATATTTTCTTTATCTGCTCATTGGTTGATGGGCATTTAAGCTGGTTCCATGTTTTTACAAGTGTGAATTGTGCTGCTATAAACATGTGTGTGCAAGTGTCTTTTTCATATAATGACTTACTTTCCTCTGGGTAGATACCCAGTAGTGGCATTGCTGGATCAAATGGTAGTTCTACTTTTAGTTTTTAAGGAATCTCTGTACAGTTTTCCATAGTGGTTGTACTAGTTTACATTCTTACCAGCAGTGTAAAAGTGTTTCATTTTCCACTGGGCATGGTGGCTCACGCCTGTAATCCCAGAACTTTGGGAGGCCAAGGCAGGTGGATCACAAGGTCAGGAGATTGAGACCATCCTGGCCAACATAGTGAAACCCTGTCTGTACTAAAAATACAAAAATTAGCTGGGCATGGTGGCATGCGCCTGTAGTCCCAGCTACTCGGGAGGCTGAGGCAGGAGAATCACTTGAACCTGGGAGGCGGAGGTTGTAGTGAGCCAAGATTGTGCCACTGCACTCTAGGCTGGCTGCAGAGCAAGACTCCATCTCAAAAAAAAAAAAAAAAAAAAAAATGTTTCCTTTCACCACATCTGCACCAACATTTACTATTTTTTGATTTTTTAATTATGGCCATTCTCGGAGGAGTAAGGTGGTATCTCATTGTGGTTTTAATTTGCATTTCCCTGATAATTACTGATGTTGAGCACTTTTTCATGTTTATTGACCATTTGTATATCTTCTTCTGAGAATTGTCTATTTATGTCCTTTGACCACTTTTTGATAAGATTAATTTGTTCTTTTTCTTGCTGATTTGTTTGAGTTCCTTGTAGATTCTGGATATTAGTCCTTTGTCAGATGCATAGTTTGTGAGTATTTTCTCCCACTCTGTGGGTTGTTTGTTTACTCTGCTGATAATTTCTTTTGCTGTGCAGAAGCTTTTTAGTTTAATTAGGTCCCATCTATTTATTTTGTTTTTGTTACATTTGCTTTTGGGTTCTTGGCTATGAACTCTTTGCCTAAGCCAACATCTAGAAGAGTTTTACTGATGATATTGTCTAGAATTTTAATGATTTCAGGTCTTAGACTTAAGTCTTTGATCCATCTTGAGTTGATTTTTGTATAAGATCCAGTTTCATTCTTCTACATGTCGCTGGCCAATTATCCCAGCACCATTTGTCAAGGTGTCCTTACCCCACTTTATATTTTGTTTGCTTTGTTGAAGATCAGTTGGCTGTAAGTATTTGGCTTTATTTGAGTGTAAAAAGTTTTTTTGTGCTTTTTGTTTTGTTTTGTTTTGAGACAGAGTCTCACTCCGTCACCCAGGCTGGAATGCAGTGGCATGATCTCGGCTCACTGCAACATCCACCTCCCAGGTTCAAGTGATTCTCATGCCTCAGCCTCCTGAGTAGCTGGAATTACAGGCATGTGCCACCATGCCCAGTAATTTTTGTATTTTTAGTAGAGATGGGGGTTTTGCCCATTGGCCAGGCTGGTCTCGAACTCCTGACCTCAAGTGATCCGTCTACCTCAGCCTCCCAAAGTGCTGGGATTACAGGCATGAGCCACCACACCAGGCCAAAAGGTTTTTTTTAAAAAATAACAACTATGTATTTATGTTCAGCAAAAGTGAAGATGGAAATTAAGGTACAGGTCATTTTGTTTCTTTCCCTTTTGCCTGGCTATCTCAGGAAGCAAGTGGCTAGGAAGTGGCCTCTTGTCACCTGTTTTCTATGCCTACCCTGTTTTACCATGTGGCAACACAAACCCCCACTCCCCTGCCCCGTCTTTCTCTCACCTAGCTTCCCATTAACTGTTCCAGTTTGCTTCTTCCTTCAGGGCAGCAGACATGCCATCTCCCCCACGAAGTCCTCCCTCATCTCTCCATCTCTGAACCTTTAGAACACTAAGTTACTAGTACACACAAATTTAGCTCTTGATCATATTTGGTCTTATAATCATTCTCTGATTCAAATATCAGAGTGGGAGCAAGAGTACTTTTTTTCAGTACGAAATTCAATACAATTGTTGGCTATTGTTACCACGAGAGGTAGCTTAATGGAATGATTCAGATAGATTTGGGTTAAAATTATGGCTCTGTTCCATCTCTTACAGGCCGAATGACTTTGGGCAAGTCATTCCCTGAGACTCAGTTCCCCTAACTAGAAAATGTGAATAATACTGCCTACTGATGACAGTGGTGAGCTGTCTGGAGCAGCCACTGCCATCATGCTGGCTACAGCTGGAAGGCGTGGCCAGGACTGCATGTTCCATGGAGCTGGCGAGAGCCAGGGACAAGCAGGAGCTCCACCCCTTCTGAACTGGGGAGGGAGCTACCCAGGTGCCACTGCAGCTACACAAACCATGGCTGCAGACCCAGGCCTCCCACTCCACGGAGCAGGTAGAAGCCCCACCCTCTCGGGCACAGCTACAGCCACTCAAACCACGGCTGCAGACCCAGGTATCCCTGTACTCTTGGGGGTCCAGGAAGGCCCCCGCTTGCCTGTGCAGGCTCAGAGGTGCCTGCTCCCACTGCCTGGCCTCTCCCCCACTCCTTATGCCTGCTCTAATCTCAGAGCAGGGTTGGGGCCAAGCTCGGGCACTGTCACAGCCTGGCTGGGTGTGCTCATGCTAGGACTCTGTTGCCTCAGCCCCCTCCGGACTTTAGGCACCAACAAACATGGGAAAAAGCCAAGGTGGGGGCTGAGGGCGGCTCTGCGCTGGCCTGCACTTGCCCATTGGCACGAGCAGCCTGTTATGCCTGTTGCCACAACTGAGGCAGGAGGCAGACAAGCTCCTGGACAGAAGGGGGCGAGTCCCTGTTGAGACCCCACCTTCAGGCCAGGGGAGCCTGAAGCCTGGGAGCTGGGCTGTGAGTCCCACAAACCAGGGTGGCGATTTGTGGTGCCTTTTTCAGCCTGCCCATGGCCACCCATGGACCAATTGCATGCACTTCTTCCCCTCTAAGACCCATAAAAGCCCTGGGCTCAGTCAGACCACGGAACAGAGGGAGGATGGGACAACCAGTTGTAGAGAGGAGCTACCTTCTCTGCTGAGAGCTGCAGACAATGGGACAACCTGCTTGTAGAGTGGAGCCACTCACTTTATGGCCTCCTCTCTGCTGAGAGCTGCAGACAATGGGATGACCTGCCCGCAGAGAGGAGCCACTTCCTCTCTGCCAAGAGCTGCAGATGACAGGATGACCAGCTGCAGAGAGGAGTTACCTTCTCTGCTGATAGCAGGAGCTACCCTCTCTGCTGAGAACTGAACACTTGTTGGGACAACCTGCCTGCGGAGAGGAGCTATCCTCTCCGCTAGGAGTTAAACACTCATCAGGACATCCTGGCCATGGAGAGGAGCTGCTCACTGCGGGTCTTCTCTGAGCTGTTGTATTGCTCAATAAAGCTCCTCTCTGTCTTGCTTACCCTTCCGCCTGTCTGTGTACCTCATTCTTCCTGGTCATAGGACAAGAACTTGAGACTCACTGAATGGTGAGGCTAAAAGAGTTGCTGTAACACAAACAGGATTGAAACATGTCCCTTGCTCACCAGGTTATGAGTGAAGAGGAGAGACGAGCTGTGGCCCTCCAGGAAGCCCAGACCTGGGAGCTCCCTGATCCAGGGCTGTGACTCCCTCTTCTGGGCCCTGTGGTTCCTGGTGCCTCCAAGCTTCCAGGCACCACCTCATTCCCCAGTGCCAGCTGGGAAAGCTGCTTGCGGCGCACCTGGTCCAGCTGCAGCCTCACAGAGAGCTAGCGCCCATGCAAGCACCTTGAGCTGCCCGCCCGGCAGCAGCAGCTGGGATGTCTGGCTGTGCAGAGGCCAGACTCCATGCTCACTCACACACCTCTCTCTGCTCCACGCCTGACTCCAGTCTCCCTTGGAGGCATGGGATCCAGCCCGGTAGCATGAGCTGAGCACAGCCTGCCAGGCCGAGTGGGCGGAACAAGCCCAGAAGGCCTGAGCAAAACTAGGGCAAAGGCGCCACCGGCCACAGGTTTCCAGCCAGAAAAGCAACGCCCCAAAGATCCCATGTCACTACCTCAAGGGCTGTTGTGAGATTTAAATGAGATATTTTTGTAAAGCATCTGTCACAGTACCTGGCCTATAGGAAGTGCTCTATAAATATTAATTCCCTTCCTCCTAATGACTTTGTGAATGTCAGTTTTATCTCTCCAACAAGATGTTCTTGAAGACAGATCATATATTTTATGTATTTCATTAGATCATCCACATTCCTAGAACATAGCTCAATGCATCATAGGCACTTAATTAAGTACTTCTTGGTTTGATCACAAGTGAAAATCACGGCTGTACGTATGCCTGACAATAGACCAGTGTTTCCTAAATGCTGGTACCAGTTGAACTGCATTAAACTCATCCAAAGAGCTTCTTCTTATTAGGGGTGGGGGTGAAGGGGTGGGAGAGATAGGGAACAGGGCCTTGCTCTGTTGCTCAGGCTGGAATCCAGTAGCACGATCACATGGCCAGTGAAGCCTGGACCTGCCAGGCTCAGGTGATTGTCCCACCTCAGCCTCCCTTGTAGCTGGGACTACAAGCACATGCCACCACACTCAGCTAATTTTTAAATTTTTCTGGAGACATGGTCTCACTATATTGCCCAGGCTGGTCTTGAACTCCTGGCCTCAAGTGATCCTCCTGCCTCAGCTTCCCAAAGTGTTGGTATTACAGGTGTGAGCCACCGCACTTGGTCCAAAGAGCTTCTTAAAAATAAAACTGCTAGATCCCTTCCCTAGATATTCTGATTAAGAAAGTCTGTTCCATTAACTTCCAATAATGGAGAAAGGTCTTCCAATTTTTACTTTAGTATTTTTATTAGATATTTTTGCATTGCTTGAATTTTTAAATAAGTATCCTTTATTTTATAATTTTAAAATAAAGACAACTTTTAAATAAAAAAAAGAATAACTGACCAGAATCAGAAGTGAAATCTAGAATACTACAAAATGTTTCTTTCATTAGTAATGGGCAATTTAAAAAATAATAATAATGAAGTAAAAATACCCCCTGGTCACAACTGGGGAAATATGAACATGGCCTGATATCAGATGATCATTTTGTTTTTTGTTTTAGATACAATTTTATGTTGTATCAAATGTCTTTATTCTTAGAATACACATGCTGAAATGAGAGTTTCAGGTGAAGTGTTATAACATTTGCAACTTTCAAATGGTCCAGCATATATGTATATATGCATATGTATGTATGTGTATATATATATATGTATATATACACATACACACAAACATGAGAAATAAGACAAAATGTTAACAATTGTTTAATTTAGTTGGTGGGTATTTGGGTGTTCAATTTGTTACTCTTTCAAATTCTCAGTATGATTAAAATTTTTCTAATAGTTGGGGGAAAATATTCTCAGTTGATTCTGGTGATAATCTAGCTTGGGAACCACTGCTTTACCCAATAGATTTGTTCCTGAAGTTAGAAAAATAAGAATTCTGAGATACACAACATATAAATGCTCTGAAAGCAATAGTATTTAAAGAAATCTCATGTCACAATCTCCCCATAAAACACTGTCTCCTAATTAATTGTTCATAAACCTACATTTCACATAGGATTTGCTTAAGGTCAGCGCTCAGATAAGGGCAGACTTGAAATGTTGGTTAAGGGAAGAAGAGGCATGCACAAGCACAAAGCCTGAGGGTTGTACTTGACTCTTGTCTGCTCCTGTCTTGCTGATTTACCTGCTGAATATTTATCAAACCAGTCTCCTCCTCTCTTCTACTCGTGCTACTGCCGTGGGTCAGACTTCATCCTATCTCCCCTGCACCAGTGCTGAGAGCCCCAGCTGATGGCCCTGCCTCAGGTCCTACCCAGCTCAGATTCACTTCCACCTTGGCTAATACATATCCAAAACACGTGCTGGCTCATTGCTCTTCTACTGAAAACCCTACAATGGCTTCCCATTTCAAAATCAAGTCCAGAACTCTTCAATCTGTTTATAATATCCTCTCAATTTTGCCAGCCTCAATTCTCACCAAACTCACATTTTATAGCCCAGTAACAGTGAATTCCCCGTGATACGTCTCACCTCCATGCTTCAGCCCATGCATTCTTATTCCACCTTGCTCAGGCATCACTCTCCTTCTGAAAGCTTTCTTGGATTCACCACCTGCCATGCCTTCCCTCCCATCTCCCATACAGAGGTCAGAGTCTCCTATTTGGTTCTCCCACAATACCTCGACAGAGTTTAATCCGTGCAGTTACCCCACTGCTCACAATTATTTACTTATAAGACTATCTACTCCATATCCCGGGGCCTCTTGGGGAAGGACTGGATTTTATTCATCTTTGCAGCCCCAGTACTTACTTCTGCTTTGCCTTTCTGATGCCCCATTTTCTCATCTAGAGAATCAGAAGAATATCACCAACTTGAAAGGTTAGCGTTAAGTTTAAGTATTCAAAGCTTACCACAGGCATACAATAGGCCTTCAGCACATTTGATTTATAAGGTCAGCATCTCTTGTTTTTCGCTTTCCAATTCTGCCCTTCAGGACCAACTTCTTACACTGGCCCTGTGTCCAGCAAGGACACAGCGAGCAAGCTCCCCACCCATCTACATGCCAAAATAGTGAGGGTCTCAAACTCCAGATCTGCCTCAGGCTTCCCCACCCTGCCAGTGCCCTCTGGACTCTAGGATGACTCAACTAAGGAACCAATGCAGTACTGCAAACATTTCTTGAGCAGTTTTATGGAAGGCAATGTCCCTGATGCAGTGGAAAGTGATATAACATGTACAAAAAATGTATGACCTCTTATAGGGTAGGGGAAGGGTGAGGAGACAATTAGACAAGTGAAGGCAGTACAATTCAAAGAAGGAAAACATTGTATATCTCTGGGGGTAGACAGAAAAGCCTTAGAGGAAGTGGCATTTGAACAAGACCACAAAGGATGGATTTAAGCTAAGAGGCTGTTTCCAGAATTGTGTGTGTTCCACAAAACACAACACTGAAATGCTACTGTTACTCAGATGAAAAGTAAATTTAGAAAATGCTGCCTACGATGTACCCCTCTAGGAGATCTGCAATGCACAGTAACAAGCGTGAAGTAAAGAACCCTACTTAACTGTGTTGAACTCAGCATCCCAAGTTTGTTTGACTACTAGTTAATTCCCTATTTCTTTCCTCCTGGAGGAGAGAGTTATAGCATCTTTCAAGATCTGAGGTGTCTTGAAGTAGGAAACCCTATTTAACTCCGTTTAACCGAGCATCCCAAGTTTGTTTGAACGCTAGTAAGTTCCCTATTTCTTTTCCCCTGGAGGAAGATGTATAGCAACTTGGAGAACACACTTTAAGAAACAACAGGTTAAATGTTACCCTTTCAAAGCTATCCATTTGCATTTTACCAGGACTTCACATTGATAATACCTTCATATCTGATTTTTTAACAACAAAATCAGCAATTTTTTAAAATTCTCCTGACATTTTATCAGAAGAGAAAAAGCAATGGAAGATGCTGCAGAACTAAGAAGTTTCTCATTGTGAAGCACAGTGTAGACCATAAGCCTTTTAATCAAACGAAGGAAACAACACATCTCTGACTGAGTCCATTCATTCTTTGTTAGGATGTTTACACTGTTATAGCTGCCCTCACTCCCTCTGCAACCTGCTGACTGTGTAAAAAACACCAGACTTGAAAGCAAAGGGAACAACATTGCATAACAACAAGCCCTCAGGGCATGTTTTGCTCCTTTATATTTACCAAACAGTTGTGCTTGTAAAAGACAAGAAGGAAAGGGGCACTGCAGCTCATCCCCACTCCTGAAATTACAATGCTGAATTATCCAGTCTGAGAGTTAACATGTTTACTGGGAGTGAGGCACTGTGCTCATGATACAAAGAAAAATAACGTATAGCTGTTACTTCACAAGCCAGGACAGATAGGTAAATAAACTGTAATGCAGCAAAGTGCAAGCAAACACTTCTATAATAAGAGGGGAGTACACAGAAGCTGGGACTCCTTACCTTTGCCTGGGCTTAAGGTCAAAAGAGAAGCATGTTAAAATAAGGAAAAACTCCTCTTTGTTCTTAAAAAATTGAAAAGGAGTTTTCCAGGCAAATAAAATATATACATAGGTATAGATAAACAGATATAGATAGATGATATAGATATAGATACAAGGCCAGGCATGGTGACTCACATCTATAATCCCAGCACTTTGGGAAGCCAAGGTGGGAGGATTGCTTGAGCCCAGGAGTTTGAGACCAGCCTAGGAAACATAGTGAGACCCCCATCTCTTCAAGAAAATTAAAAAATTAGCCAGATGTGGTGGTGTGTACCTATAGCCCTAGCTACAAGGGAGACTGAGATGGGAGGATCACTTGAGCCTGGGAGGTTGAGGCCACAGTGACCTCTGATCATGCCACTGCACTCCCACCTAGGCTACACAGCAAGACCCTGTCTCAAAAAAAAGACATAGATATAGATACACATACACACATACATAAAAAAAAATAAGGCCATAGGGCTGAGTAGAATAGGATACGTGATATGATTTGGATATCTGTCCCCTTCAAATCTCATGTTGAAATGTAATTCTCAGTGTTGGAGGTGTGGCCTAGTGTGAGGTGTTTGGATCATGGGATAGATCCATCATGAATGGTTAGCACCATCCCCTTGGTGATGAGTGAATTCTGGCTCCGGTAGTTCATGTGAGATCTGGTTAAGAGTACGGCACCTCTGTCCTCACTCTCTCTTGTTTCCACTCTCACATGTAACATTCTGGCTCCCGGTCACCTTCTGTCATGACTGTAAGCTTTCTGAGGTCTCACCAGAAGCAGAGGCCAGCACCATGCTTCCTGTAAAGCCTGTAAAACTGTGAGCCAGTTAGATTTCCTTTCTTTATAATTTTCCCAGCTTCAAGTATTTCTTTGTAGTAATGCAAAAATGGACTAACAATAGGATAGGGCAAGATTGAAAAGAAAAAAAAGAGCAGCCAATCTGGAGAAGGTGTCACACTGAACTACTGCATCTAATTTCACTTATTCCAAAAACCCCACAAAAATTCAGTAAAGTGCTTTATTTTTATTAAAAAAAACCTTATAAGTACAGAGAAGATAAGACAATGGTGTCAAATTTTGGAAGCTTGGGAAGCAGATGAACAAGTAGTAATTGACTTAGCATACTCAGAAAATGTGGAATTCAGCTGATTTAAACCACAGAATCCTTAAAAAACACAGGAACTGACAGTACCTTGTACTCCTAGAGCAGGCGTATAGGATGCTAGAATAAAGAACACAAGAGAGAAGGCTACTCAAGGAGTTAGATACCTAGATTCCCCCTCCTCATTAACAAAACTCCAAAGGCCTGTCTCTGGGGAGCACAAAACAGAAATATCCAGCATTTGCTTGAAATAATCTGAGGAAGGGGATTGCGGGATACAAAGCAAACTAAAATATCCATCAAGTGAAAACTAGTGAACCTGAATGATGGGTACATGGGAATTCACTGTATTGCCCTCCCTACTTTTGTAAATCTTTAGCATTCCCCATAAAAAAAAAGTAAGAGTGTCTTTGGCCTGGCAGTATCCAGCGTGGATGAGGGGGAAACATATCACAGATAAGGCACTATGTCTACAGAAGGTAGAGTGCAAAGGTTCCCATGTTTCTTCTCCCGAGTACCAAAACATAGTCAGATAGAACCCCACCATCCGAAGAAGAGTGAAAGACTCTTTGCTGGTGAATGTACCCAAGGGAAAACCTGAAGATGGTAACATCAGGGGAGCCCAACAAACAGCCCATCCAGATCACCGTACCGTGAGGCTCAGAGCTAATTATCTCCATTCTGTATTCAGAGTTTCCTGACAGTACTTTTTAAAAAAAGCTTTATGTCACATACCATATAATTCACCCTTTTAAAATATGCAATTTTCTCTAGGAACTAAATGAAAAAAAATAAAATGTACATTTCAATGGTTTTTAGCATATTTACAGAGTTGTACAACCATCACCACAATCAATTTTAGAACATTTTCCATTCCCCCAATGAAAATCCTACACACATTAGTAGTCACTCTGCATTCCCCCCACTCCCCAGCCGCAAGTAACTACTAATCTATTTTTTTGTCTGTATAGATTTGTCCATTCTGGCCATTTCATATAAATGAAATCCTACACTCTGTGGTCTTTTGTGAGTGACTTCTTTCACTTAGCATAATGTCAAGGTCTTGACAGCTTTTTTCCTCCCCCTCTTAATCAGGAGCAACACAGCCAAGGATCACATTTTAGAGTGACATCTTGGGAAAGCCTCTAATAAAGATACAGACCATGGCAAACACAAAAAAAAGTGACTTGAAGGAAACAGATAATATGCAAGGGCGGAAATACCATTAATATTCTCACAAAAATGAAATAAAACTACATCCATGAAACAAAAATAGGATGCTATATAAAGGAAACATAGAGAACAAAAAGAGCTCTTAGACATTGACAACATAATAGCAGACTTTTTTTAAATCTTCAATAAAAGGATTGAATGATAAAATCGAAATCTTCTAAAGAATAAAATCAAAAGACAAAGATATGGAAACAGCAGAGAGAAGTTAAGAATATTCTAAAGGTCCAGTACAGGAGGGGTCCTATATCCAAATAAGAGAAATTCCCAGGAAAGAGCAGAAAAAAGAAAAATCATAACAATATATTCAATAAAATTTCAGAGAACTGAAGGATGCAGGTTGCCAGGTTGAAAGGGCCCAGCACACGAAGCACACTGTGAAACTTCAGAAAACTGCAGACAAAGAGAAGATTTTACAAACTGTCAGAGAGGAGGGAAAGACAAATAGGTTATATATAAAGAATCAGAAATCAGAACCCTTCCAACTTCTCTACAGCAACAATAAAAAGACAATAAAGCAATGCCTTTAAAATCTGAAGGAAAATGATTTTCAACTTAGAGTGCAATACCCAAATAAACTACCAATAAAGCACGAGAATAGAAGAAAGATACTTTAAAGTATACAAGACCCAGAAATTCATATTCCATGCACCGTTTTATAAGAAGCTCCTACTTTGGGAGGCTAAGACAGCAAGATTGCTTAAGCGCAGCAGTTTGGGAGCAGCCTGACCAACATGGCGAGACCCTATCTCCACAAAAAGTGAAAAAGTTAGCCAGGCATGGTGGCATGCACCTGTGGTCCCAGGTACTTGAGAGGATCACTTGAGCCCAAGAGTTCGAGGCTACAATGAGCTGTTTCACTTCACTGCACTCCAGCCTGGGCAACTGAGTGAGACCCTTTCTCAAAAACAAACAAAAAAAAGCTCCTGGAGGATGTCCTTCACTAAGTGGTATAAAAGAAACATCAAGAGATCTAGTCCAAAGACAAGCAACAGAGGACGCCAACATGACTACCACAGGAAGTAGCCAACCAGAATAAAGAAGTATAACTCAAGAGACAGACACATTGAAGACAGCCATCACCAACAACCCCACTGCCATTAAACCCTCTTTTGTGTTGTGTTCAAATATTTTAAATATATGATTATAAAGTTTTCAAATATACATAAAAGCAGACCCCCCAACACCCATTACCAAAGTTCAACACTTACCAAGATTTTGACACGTTAACTTAATCTATCCCTTTCCCCCCCTATTTTTTTCTTTGCTTAAATATTTTATTATTATTATTATTATTATTTTGAGACAGGGTCTCGCTCTGTTGCCCAGGCTGGAGTGCAGTGGTGTCATCATGGCTCACTGCAGCCTCAACCTCTGGGATGCAGCAAACCACCTGCCTCAGTCTCCCAAAGTGCTGGGATTACAGGTATGAACCTTAGCATCCAGGCTGTTTAAATATTTTTAAACAAATTCTACATCATATCATTTTATTCCTATGTACCTCAGAACTCATCTCTATATTATTCATCTTCTTACATTATACTATTATTATCACACCTGAATAAAAGTAACAGTAATTCCTTGATATCATCTCAAAAATTTCTTTTTACACACATCTACATGCATACTTGTAGCAGCACAATTCACAATTGCAAAGATATGGAACCGACCTAAGTGCCCATCAACCAATGAGTGGATAAAGAAAATGTGGTATATATCCACCATAGAATACTACTCAGCCATAAAAAGGAATAGAATAATGTCTTTTGCAGCAACTTGGATTGAGCTGGAAGCCATTATTCTAAGTGAAGTAACTCAGGAATGGAAAACCAGATACCTTGTTTTCTTACTTAAGTGGGAACTAAGCTGTGAGGACACAAAAACAATACAGAGCAATATAATGAAATTTGTGACCTGGGGAAGGAGTGGGCAAGGGGAGTGAGGGATAAAAGACTACATACTGAGTAGGGTGTACACTGTTTGGTTGACAGGTGCACTAAAATCTCAGAATTCACCACTGTAGAATTTATCCATGTAACCAAAAACCACTTATAACCCAAAAGCCATTTAAAAAAATTTTTTTAATGTCTTTTCAATGCCAGGTGTGGTGGCTCATGCTTATAATCCCAGCATTTTGGGAGGCCAAAGCAGGAGGATCGCTTGAGACCAGGAGTTCAAGAGCAGCCTGGGTAACATGGTGAGACCGCATCTCTTCAAAAAAAAAAAAAAATTAGTTGGGTGTGGTGGTATATGCCTGTAGTCCCAGCTTCTTGGGAGCCTGAGGTGGGAGGACTGCTTGATCTCAGGAGGTCAAGGCTATGTTGAGCCGTGTTCATGCCACTGTACTCCAGCCTGAGAAACAAAGCAAGACCCTGTCTCAAAAAAAAGTCTTTTTTTGGCTGCGTGTGGTAGCTCACCCCTATAATCCCAGCACTTTAGGAGGCCGAAGTGGGCAGAACACCTGAGGCTAGGAGTTCGAAACTAGCCTGGCCAACATGGTGAAACCCCATCTCCACTAAAAAACAAAAGTTAGCTAGGCATGGTGGCACGCACCTGTAATCCCAGCTACTCAGGAGGCTGAGGCAGGAGAATTGCTTGAACCCGGGAGGCAGAGGTTGCAGTGAGCTGAGATCGTGCCATTGCACTTCAGCCTGGGCAACACAGCAAGACTCCACCTCAAAAAAAAAAAAAAAGTCTCTTTGCAATTAAACTAAATTATGTCCCCCCACAAGTTCATACATATGTTGAAGCCCTAATTCCCAGTACCTTAGAATGTGACTGTTCATGTATTTGGAGATAGAGCCATTAAAGAGGTAATTAAGTTAAAATGAGATTGTTAGGGTGGGCCCTAATCCAATCTAACTGGTGTCCTTATAGAAAGAGGAGAATAGGACACGTAGCAGGACACTGGGAGTGTGCATATATAGAGAAATGACCATGCAAGGAGGTGGAAAGAGGGCAGCCATCTGCAAGCCAAGGAGAGAGGCCTCAGAGGAAACCAATCCTGCCAGCACCTTGATCTTGGACTCCTAGCCTCCAGAACTGTGAAAATACTAATTTCTGTTGCTTAAGCCACCCAGTGTGTGGTATTTTGTTATGGCAGGCCTAGCAAACTAACACATAGACTATCCGAATAAAAACAAGGTTCACACATGACATCTGGTTATAATTCTTAAGTCACTTTATTATTTTTTTCATGTCATTGACTTGTTGCGGAAGCCAAGTCAGTTGTCTGACAGAATGTTCTACATTCTAAATTTCTCTGTTTGTTTCCTTAGAGTGTAATTCCACTTGTCATCCTTTCCCCCATCTTTCCAATATATTAAAGTTAGCTCTAGAGACTTGATGAGATTTTAGGAGTCAACATTTGGGTAAGAATATTCCGTAAGTGGTTCTGCGTATTCTTTTTTTTTCTTTTTTTTTTTTGAGATGGAGTTTTGCTCTTCTTGGCCAGGCTGGAGTGCAATGGTGCAATCTCGGCACACCGCAACCTCCGTTTCCCGGGTTCAAGCGATTCTCCTGCCTCAGCCTCCAGAGTAGCTGGGATTATAGGCATGTGCCATCATACCTGGCTAATTTTGTATTTTTAGGAGAGATGGGGTTTCTCCATGTTGGTCAGACTGGTCTCGAACTCCCAACTTCAGGTGATCCGCCTGCCTTGGCCTCCCAAAGTGCTGGGATTACAAGTGTGAGCCACCAGGCCTGGCCTGCATATTCTCTTTTTAACCTGACAAAAAATGCATAGGTAAACTTAGTCGAGGTTCTTTTCTGCCTCTATTTGTCTTGACCATGTGCTGATGAAGCACCTGCTCATCTCCACACTATTTGTTTGGGTTAGTTGGTGACGTTCACTTCATCCTACAGAAGAGTTTTGCTTTGACCTACCCCTTGAGAGCTGAAAGGACGCCAAAGAAAGACTGGAAGTAGAAAAGACAGAGCCGTCCACTCTTTGTGACCATATTCCATATGTCCAGTGTGTGCCCACACTACAACCCTATCAGATGTCTCAATAGTAGTGATCCTTATTTCCTAGGACTCACTCACATCCTTGCCCACTGACTTCCCCATTAGAGCCTTTTAAACCCCCTGGGAATCTAAAGCTATATTATGACCCAGAGTTTAGATCTAACAGTAACAAAGCTTGCTAGGTTTGTGCTTGCTTCTTGGTTTTTTAAAAAACAACATTTGTTTTAGTAATACAAACACAGGTGGTTAAACTGTACAGAAAAGTAAGAGAACGATGAACACAAAAGTCAGGATAATCATTATGTCTGGTGAGGAGGAAAGGGGGTATGATTTCAGGGCAGAGAGTAGACAAACAGCTTCTAGGATACAAATAATGTTCCATCTGATAAATTGGATGGCAAATTCACAATTTTCTTTCTTTTATTTTTTGAGACAGCATCTCACTATTTTGCCCAGGCTGGTCTTGAACTCCTGGCCTCAAGAAATCCTCCAACCTCAGCCACCTGAGTAGCTGGAATTGCAAACATGTGCTACTGCATCTGGTCACAATTTTTATGTTCTTCTTTAAACTGTAAATATGTATTTAAAACATTCTTTCATATGCATTGTATGTTTCGCATTAATTATTTTTATGTAAGCAGTCCACCATAGCTAGAACACAGGGTTTGAAGAGTAGAGTAAAAGGAGAAAAGAATGGAAAAAGAGTGTACTCTAAAGGTAAATAGGAACCTTAATCATGCTCTCTTGGGAGTAACATCAGGGAACATTTATACCCAATATTAATTAAAATGACTTTCTCATAATCTATCTATCAAGAATGATAGGAAAAATCCATTTTTTCTAAGTTACCTAGATATGAAATACCCGACATCTTAAGCATCTCACTGGGGAACATAATAATATGGTTTTGATGTATTTTTCCAGGGAGAGGAGTTTCAGCTTGCCCTAGGGAACATGTTTGCCTCAAATTCTTTTTTTTTTTTTTTTTTTTTTTTTTTGAGACAGAGTCTTGCTCTGTCACTCAGGCTGGAATGCAACGGCATGACCTCAGCTCACTACAACCTCTGCTTTCCGGGTTCAAGTGATTCTCCTGCCTCAGCCTCCGGAGTAGCTAGGATTACAGGCACATGCTACCACACCCAGCTAATTTTTGTATTTTTAGTAGAGACGGGGGTTTCACCATGTTGGTCAGGCTGGTCTCGAACTCCTGACCTCAGGTGATCTGCTCACCTTGGCTTCCCAAAGTGCTGGGATTACAGGTGTCAGCCACTGAGCCCGGCCTGCCTCAAGTTCTTAAATGACACAAAGCTGGGAGGGATGTGGAACAAATGTTTTATATTACAGAATTAAAATATATCTTGGCAAGCTAGAGTGACAGGTCAAATTTAGGCCAATTTCTAATAACATCTCCCATTTGTTGAGAACACTCGATATGCCAAGAGCTTTACATAATTTATCTCACTTAATCCCTACAACCACACTGTGAAGCTGAAATCCAGGAAAGTAACTTGCCCAAGGTCATAAGGCAAGTTAATAACAGAGTTATGATTTGAACCTAGGTTTGCAGGCTCAAGTTTCAGTCTCAAGTGAGATTCCTTCAGCCACCAGAAATTAACATTCAAAACTGAATCCTCTGCTACCACACTGGGAATTAAGAAAACAATAATAAATAAATAAAAATCTCAATCCTCTTTAATTCAGCATGTCACCCTCAGAAAACTGCATCACCCAACCTCAAGCCCCTTGGGCATATGAGGGTATCAAGTACCTCCAAAGAATGATCAGATCAAATGAAAAAAAAACCAAACAAACAAAAACAAAAAAGAATAATCAGATCAGGCCATTTTCATTAATGTAACACTTGGGGACCTCGACAGCTGCCAGGAAACCTCCATCTGTCCTCAAGAGCAAGTCCATCCTCAAAAGCAAGCTGTAACAGGATTCTCTCTGCAACCCATTCCCAGCTCAGCCATGTCTGCCTCCCCATCTGTATTTAAGACTGCAAAACTCAAGCTCTGCAGTTATAAACGGAGGCCACTTACCACAAAGATTGCTGAGCAAGAGCCCTCAGCCAGGCTATTGCCTACCTTCAATTTTCTCTCGTCCTCAGGGGCACTGTGATTTGATGGGTGTGTACAGCTGAGAGAACAGCACAACCGGCTCCAGTGCACAGTCATATCCAATGGAGCTATCCCAAAAGACAGCCAGAGAATTTTAATGAAAACCAGAAAACCCCTGGCTGCTAAGTCCAACTGCGGTTCAGGCCTGCCAGCCCCTCCCCCTGCAGCTAAGAATCTCTGAGCCAGCTTTGCCCCAAAGAGCAGGGAAGAAAATCCATTTTGCACTCAGTAAATCCTTCCATAGCAGCCACTTCGCAGAGTCATTTAGGTTAAAGGTGAGGCATATGATAACTGCAACAGGACCCAGGGACCCTGAGAGGCACAGGGTGTGGCAGCAGCAGATTTGAGCCAACAGATTATGAAACAGTCATTTAAAAAAAAACAAAAAGTCTTTCCTTCTGCCAAAGCTCTCTGCCCACAGCTGCATACAAGGCTAGTGAGGAATCTTAACAAGCTTAAAGGGGCCGTATTTCAGATACTCCAGAACCAAGGTGGGAGGAAATAAGTATTTTGAGCACTTACTATGTATCAGGTGCTCTGATCTCATTTCATCCTCACTGTGAGATGGGAACTGTAAACTGCAGGTAACAGATAAGAACATTGACTCAGAGAGGTTCCATAACTTGTCCAAGGAACACAGTTAGCAAGAGGGGAAGCAAGACTGAAAGTTCAGTGTGGGTGAGGCTCATCAGAAGTATCAAACTTTTTGTTCACAGAGAGCAGAAAAAAATAAAAAGAAAAGAAAGGAAAAGAAATACTAAACTCAAAATCCTGACTAATAAAAAGAATGATCATTTATTGACCACTGGCTATGTGCCAGGCACTAAGCTAATATTTTTACATGCACCGTATCATCTAATCCTCACAGCAACTAGATAAGATACAGGTCATTATTACCTCCATTTAATAATGAGCAAACTATGGCTCAGACATTCAATAATTTGATCAAGGTCACTGCATCACCAGGATTGGAACCCAGGTCTACCTAATTCTAGAGTGCTCACCTTAAAACACTCATCCTAACAGCATTCAGAAGGGAGCCACCTAGATCATCATGCCAAGCACGCAAGTTGCAGCAAGATTTCTGCTCCCCTCCCCAGCAGGTAATGCATATTCCAGACTTGCCTTTCAATTCCTCCCAGCAATCTTCAGTGGAGGCACAGTATCACTGGCTCTGGGGAAGGTGATAGCTATGTCTCTACCTTCCCATGCACCATGGACTCAGTTGTCCCGACATGAGTGAAGGAGAAGGCCACCACCATGATCCAGAGACTCACATGAGTATAGAAGCAGACAGCTTCTTTCCCCAGGCCCTGCTCCATAGGCCCATGCAACCTCAAGCAGCAACCTCTTCCTCAACAGCTCACAGGCCTGTTTTGTATTCTTAACAGGAGACCACGTGCCTCCTTTTTAAGCAACTGTGATTTCCCAAGGGAGATGACTGTCTAGACACAGCATCTATCTTGACAACCAGACTGGGCCACACGATGTTAGGTTTGATAATTTAATTTTAGGGTCTGTGTTCAGCTCTCCAGTGAAGGCTCTGTGCTTGGCACCCCTGGGTAATCAGATCGAGTATCACTCAGTGCAACAGCTGACACCCTGGGTTAGAACTGTCTTTCCAGCCAGGCAAGTGTTACTTGCGGGAAGTCACAGGCATCTTATGGATCACACACACACAGGCACAACACACAAACAGTTCCATTAATGAGGCTGAAACTTGATAGAACTCTTCTATGCATGTTCAGAATTAAGTGCCAGGCTTTGACTGGTGGTGGACTGAATACTTAATATGTATCAGGTACTGTGGTGGGTACATTCACAGCCAATATCTTAACTGACCCGCACAACATTCTGTAAGGTAGATAGAACTGCTATTATACAGATGAGGCAACTAAAGCCCAGAAAGATAGCATAATTTGCCCAAAGTCACACAGGAAGTGGCAAAGCTCAGGTTCAAATTCTTTTTTTTTTTTTTTTGAGATGGAGTCTCACTCCACCTCCCAGGCTGGAGTGCAGTGGCACGATCTTGGCTCACTGCAACCTCCACCTCCCAGGTTCACACAATTCTCCTGCTTCAGCCTCCACAGTAGTTGGGAATACAGGCAGGCACCACCATGCCCAGCTAATTTTTGTATTTTTAATGGAGACAAGGTTTTATTATGTTGGCCAGAGCTGGTCTCGAACTCCTGACCTCAAGTGATCTTCCTGCCTCGGCCTCCCAAAGTGCTGGGATTACAGGCATGAGCCACCAGGCCTGGCCTCAAATTCATTTTTAATACAACTTCAACACCCTTTCAGTCAATTATGAGTCCATTCATTTATTCCTCAGATAGTTATTGAGCACTTTCTATGAGCCAGCTACTGTGACACCTACAGAGGATACAACTGTTAACATAAGGTAGGTCCAGTTACCAAAGAACTACTGTTCTCATGAGGATAGATGACAATGCAGATAGATAATTACAGAATGATGAGATGAGGCCTCAGAGGACTGATGGGATCAGGCCTCTCTGAGAAAGTGAGATGTGAGCTGAGACCTGAAAGATGAGAATAAGCCAGGCATTTGCAAAGCTAGGAAAAGAGCGCAGGCAATAGATACAAGAAGTGCAAGGGTTAGCTACCAGAAAAGGCTTGGCGTGTCCAAGGAACATAAAGGAGAACAGGGACCAAGGCTGGGTGAGCAACAGGGAAAAAAGAACGGTTGAGATGACACAGGGCCTCGTTGACCATGGAAAACACTTTGAATTTTGTCCAAAGGGCAATGGGAGATCAAAGAAGAGTTTTAATCAGGGAAATAGTGTAATCTGACTTGCGCTTTAAAGAGATAATTCTGGTTGCTGTGTGGAGAAGTGAGTGTAGGGAGTGGGCAAGACTTAAGAATAGGGGAGAGATAATGGTGGCCTGGACCAAGATAATGGTAGGGGAGAGGATTTTATATTTGGGAATAACAAAGAAAATACTTGAGGTGATACTAAGTGTTTTTTTAAAAAATAAATAAATAAAAACTTTGAAATTTAATTACAATTTTAAAAAATAAAAAGACAAACGAATTTTTTTTTTGAGACAAAGTCTTATTCTGTCACCCAGGCTGGACTACAGTGGTGTGATCTCGGCTCACTGCAACCTCTGCCTCCAGGGTTCAAGCAATTCTCCTGCCTCAGCCTCCCTAGTAGCTGGGATTACAGGCGCCCACCACCATGCCTGGCTAATTTTTGTATTTTTAGTAGAGACAGGGTTTCGCCATGTTGGCCGGACTGGTCTTGAACTCCTGACCTCACGTGATCCACTCACCTCGGCCTCCCAAAGTGCTGGGATTACAGGTGTGAGCCACTGGACCCAGCCGAATGAATTTTTTAAAAAATAATGAAAATACTTGCTGATGAATGGTATGTGAATGGTGAAGGGAACAAACTCCTGGGTTTCTAGCTTGAACAACTGGGTAGAGAGTGGTACCACGTATTAAGAGAGACTGGAGGAGAAGCAAAATGCTCGTGAGATAGCCAACTATATCACACTAAGAAGAAAAAAAAAGTGGACCCCAGTTGTGTTTGTTCAAGGGGAAGCTAGGAATTAAAGGCCTGAAGCTGCTACTCTGGTGAAGATAAAGTGTTTGGGGGTTATGATAGAGAGTAAAGTGCAAGAATCTGAAAGGATGCCTTAGGAAACAGGGGTTCCACTTACTTCATGTGGCCATCACTGCCAAACTGGGACCAACGTGCGGAAGACAGACAGGAAAGGAATTCAGTCTGACATAAGGAAGGCTGTCTCGTGGTCAGAGTGAAATAAGCTGCCTTGGGAGTGGGAGAGGGTGAATGATGACTTCTCTGTCATTGGAAGGGTTAAAGAAAAAAACAGATGACTCCTTGACTGGAGGGTTAGAGAGAGAATTCAGTAATTGAATAGGGAAAATGCTACATAAAATCCTTCTAAACTCTGGAATTCTGTGGTTTTAAGATAAAATCTTAATTAATCTAACCTTCAGGACTGGAGTTTCTCCAACAGGGCAGAACTCCCTTGGTATGTCCTACCTCTCAGAAGGCAAATGAGATCAACGTTAGCTAATTTTAGTCACTATAAAGTGACTCCTAGTTCATTTCTAAGTGTCAAACAAGATGCTGAAAGGCTTTTTGGTGTAGGTGAAAGGCATATGCTATGGAACTGGATATCCCATATCTGCAATTGATTAGCGCTGTGTCCTCTGGCAAATTATTTAAATCCTCTGAATCTCAGTTTATTTCTTTGAAATAGGGGGAAAGCAATGCCTACCTCAAGATGTTTACTGTGAGGACCAAAGCCTTATGCCTGATACATTCTATTAAGAAAAATAATGAGGCTGGGTGCAGTGGCGCACACCTGTAATCCCAGCACTTTGGGAGGCCAAGGCAGGCAGATCACCTGAGGTCGGGAGATCAAGACCAGCCTGGCCAACACGGTGAAACCCTGTCTCTACTAAAAATACAAAAATTAGCCAGGCATGGTGGTGGGCGCCTATAATCCCAGCTACTTGAGAGGCTAAGGCAGGAGAATCACTTGAACCTGGGAGGCAGAGTTTGCAGTGAGCCAAGATCGCACCACTGCATTCCAGCCTGGGAGACAAGAGAGAAACTCCATCTCAAAAAAAATAAAAAAAAAAAAGAAGAAGAAGAAAAATAGCTAACATCTATTACTACAGATCCATAACTATATGCTAGGCATGTGCTATGTGCATTTAAAAAAATCCAATCCTTACAACAACCCAGAAAGTAGCCACTATTGTTATTCCATTGTAAAAATCAGAAAATTGATTTCTAAAGGTAAAGTAACTTATCCAAGAGTCATATAATTAGTAATTGCACAAATTAGGAAAAAACAAACTTCGACAAAGTTGAAAGAAAAAGACAAAGAAAACCATATTTAGATAATTTGAAAGAAAGTTACCTACTGTTGAATTAACAAACAATTCATTTTACCAACTAGTCATTTAGTAAATATTTATTGAATATATAAATAAATAACTGAATGAATGAATGATTCCAATGAATATTTCTTGAGTTCCTGCTAGGCACATCATCAAGAAGCTAGGGTTACAGAAAATGTCCATCAATTTAATTGAGAGTTTGCCATTAACACCACAATCTTCAAACTCCAAATAAACTGCCAACATAACAACACTTAGTCCATGATAAAAAGTCCTAAGAAATGCCATTCTCAGCTAAGCGCAGTGGCTCCTGACTATAGTCCCAGCACATTGGGATGCCAAGGCAGGCAGATAACTTGAGCTCAGGAGTTTGAGACCAGCCTGGGCAACATGGCAAAACTCCATCTCTTCAAAAAATACAAAAATTAGTCGGCTGTGGTGGCGTGTGTCTGTGTTCCCAGCTACTTGGGAGGCTGAGGTGGGAGGATCACTTGAGCCTGGAATGTTGAGGCTTCAGCTAGCCGAGATCACGCCACTGTACTCCAGCCTGGGGAAGTCAAAATTCTTGGGGAAGTCAAAACTCTTAGAGGAGAGCTCTGAGCAGTAGGCAGATAACCAAGAGCACACAACAATGGAAGCTGAGAAAGGAGGCGGTCTCAAAGAAAAGATGAGTAAGACTTCCACAGGAAGCAGAAATCAAAAAGAAAAAAGGCTGAAAAAATGGCCGACTTAATAAGTAGGAGTTTGTCAATGGACTTCTCTGGAACTGTGGGGAAAGAAACCAAGTTTCAAAGGGCAACTGGATGAATGGGTTAAAGAGGAAGAGGAGGCAGTCTTTTAAAAAGTTTGGCAGTAAAAGGAGGGAAAGGGTAAGAAAAGTAAGTAGTCTGATGAGGAGAAGCAGCAAGACTGTTAATAAGAGTATAAGGTGAGGAGCAGGAGCCAAAAGAAAAGGAAAAGTTGAAGACAGAAGATACATGGAGAAGATGTAAGAAAGAAACAGGAGGACCAGACTCCAGCACGTCAAGAGGGAATAGGATACAACACACAAGTGAAAGGCTACCCTTGGGAAATAAGTCACCTTCTGCTCTAAGACAGAAATGAAAGAAAAGAGATTTTGACAAATGGACATGGTGAAAAGTTACTCTGAATCAACCTTGAATACAGTACAGAGAGTGATCACATTGAATAACACTATTTTGGGCTGGGTGCAGTGGCTCGGGCCTGTAATCCCAGCACTTTGGGAGGCCGAGTTGGGTGGATCACCTGATGAGGTCAGGAGTTCGAGACTAGCCTGACCAACATGGAGAAAGCCCATCTCTACTAAAAATACAAAATTAGCTGGGTGTGGCGGTGGACACCTGTAATTCCAGCTACTCAGGAGGCTGAGGCAGGAGAATTGCTTGAACCTGGGAGGCGGAGGTTGCAGTGAGCCGAGAGTGTGCCATTGGCACTCCAGCCTGGGCAACAAGAGCGAAACTCTGTCTCAAAAAAAAAAAAAAAAAATTGAATAACACTATTTTGAACTTAAAATAATATTGATTTTCTTGGATCACTCCTAACTTGGCATTGAAAAGGACAACCACCATTTGGATGTAAGTTCTATACAGTTAAAAATCAGAATCTTCTTTTTCTGGACAGGAAGTAGGATTTATTGGTGGGCATTAGGAGGGAGCAGCACAGTGGAAGCCTTCGTGAATGCAGGGCCTGCCACTTGCCCAGACTGGAGATGTATTTGACCCCACAGCCATCTGGGATGAGCCACTTCTCATACCAGAGCCACCACGTCTTCAAATTCATCTGCACTGGCTGGGCACGGTGGCTCACACCTGTAATCCCAGTACTTTGGGAGGCCAAAGTGGGCAAATGACTTGACGCCAGGAGTTTGAGACGACCCTGGCCAGCATGGTGAAACCGCATCTCTACCAAAAAAATACAAAAATTAGCTGGGCGTGGTTGCATGTGCCTGTAGTCCCAGCTACTCAGGAGGCTGAGGCAGGAGTATTGCTTGAACCCAGGAGGTGGAGGTTGCAGTGAGCTGAGATCACACCACTGTACTCCAGCCTGGGAGACAGAGTGAAACTCTGTCTCAAAAAAAAAAAAATCATCTGCATCGAACTTTGAAACGCCCCACTTCTTTCAGATGTGGATCTTCTGGTGACCAGGGAACTTGAACTTGGCCCTGTGGAGGGCCTCAATCACATGCTCCTGGTTCTATAGCTTGATGTGGATAGACAAGACAACTTGGCCAGTATGAACCCTGATCAAGGCTCCTTGAGGCTTTCCAAAGGCACCTCCACTGTCTGGAGCCTACACTGGGGACAGTACAAGGTCAGAGACATAAACATATATTAGAAAGGGCTGTCTCCAAGGTCCTTTAGAGCAACCCATACAAGAAACAGGCTGCATACACTACCAAGGAAGCTGCTGTTTGCAGCTATTGAACACCAGGCCCCAAAGAGGAAAGGAACTAGGTCGGCTTAATTGGTTGCAGAAAAATCAGTCTTACTGAGATGTTGGTTACGTTCTGTTTCTTAATCTGGATACTGGTTACCCTGATGTGTTCAGTTTGTGAACTTTATTAAGCTAAAAAAAAAAAAAGTTTTTATAAACTTTTTAACTTTAAAACTTTTTTTAAAAAGTTTTTAACCTAGGCCATGTGCAGTGGCTCATGCCTATAATCCCAGCACTTTAGGAGGCTGAGCTGGGTAGATTTCACTTGAGGCTAGAAGTGTGAGACCAGCCTGGCCAACATGGTGAAACACTGTCTCTAGTAAAAATACAAAAATTAGACAGGTGTGGTGGCACATGCCTGTAATCTCAGCTACTCAGGAGGCTGAGGCAGGAGAATCGCTTGAACCCGGGAGGTGGAGGTTGCAGTGACCACTGCACTCCAGCCTGGGCAACAGAGTGAGACTCTGTCTCAAAAAAAAAAAAAAAAAAATTAGTTTTTAACTTAGAATCACCACTCCTCTACTATTTGTTCAGTTTTTAAAGAGTAACTCAAGAAAACTATATATTCCTTCAGGCAGGGAACACGCCTTACCATTCTTTTAGATCCCCATAGCACTAAATCAGACTAGATATACAATAGGTATCTAATGAATATATGTTGATGTGATTGGAAGGATGCTAACACCAAATGTCGAGACTTAAAACAAATCTAGGCCAGTTGCAGTGGCTCATGCCTGTAATCCTAGCACTTTGGGAGGCCAAGGTGGGTGGATTGCCTGAGCTCAGGAGTTCAAGACCAGCCTGGGCAATACGGTGAAACCCCATCTCTACTAAAAAAAATACAAAAAATTAGCTGGGTGTGGCGGCACACACCTGTAATCCTAGCTACTCGGGAGGCTGAGGCAGAATTGTTTGAACCCAGGAGGCAGAGGTTGCAGTGAGCCAAGATGCACCACTGCACTCCAGCCTGGGCAACAGAGCGAGACTCCATCTCCAAAAAAAACAAAAACAAAAAAACCCACAAATCTTTCTCTAGGAAATGGCAACTTCATGACTACAAAATCTGGCAGCCCCCACTTTAGGCAGTGATTCCACTTAGCATCACTAATGATCTGGACAAACTAAAATTATGTGCCTCCTTTTGTGATGATATGGGAAATATACAACCTCAGCTTTAGAATTCTTGCCCAAAATATTTAACCTGTATATAATCATGTAGAAATAATTATACAAATTCAGATTGTGAGATATTGTTAAGAAAACAGATCTGGAATCTTAAAAATATCATAAAACACAAATAAGCAGGGAGACTCCTATAGATTTAGAGACTAAAGAGGTAAAACAACTACATTTAATGTGTAATCTTGTTTGGATCCTGGATTAAAAACGAACCAACAGTTATAATGATTAACATTACAACATTAACATTATTATTAACGGTATTTGGACAATATGGGTATGATAGATTGCAAAAATGGCTGTGATTGTTCATGCCCCTGTATCCATGCCCTTGAGCAATATGACTTTGCAGTTATTCCCATCAAGAGGAGCATGTGACTTGCTTTGACCAAAAGATTGCAGAAGTGATGCTGTGCCAATTCCAAGCCTAGGCCTTAAAAGGCTTTGCACTCTTCCACTCTCTTAGAACCTTCCCATAAGCCATGGAAACAAGCCTGTTCTAGCCTGTTCTAGACCCCTCTAGAGCAAAGAAAAGCCATCCAAACTGAGGCCGACTTAGACCAGCCAGCTCCTAGTCAGTCCAGCAGCTGACTCCAGAGGTATAAAGGAGCCCAGTTGATCAGCTGAGCCTAATCCACATTAGAAGAACCACCCAACTGGCCCGTGGAATTATGAGCACTAATAAACTGTGGTGGTTTTAAGCCACTAAGTTTTGACATGATTTGTTTATCAGCTAGCTGATCAAAGGCAAAATTTAAATGTGGACTCTATTAGATGACATAATGGAATCAATATTAAATTTCTAAGGCATGATAATGGTATTGTGAAGAAGAATATCCCCCTTACACTTAGGAGAATACTGATATATTTAGAGATAAAGGATCATGATGTCTGCCCTACCCCCTAGTGTAAATATGCATTTATAAAGAAAGATAAATCACATGTGGCAAAATGTTAGCAATTGGTAAACCTAAGTAAAGGGTTTTTTGGTTGTCCTTTGTATTAATATGTTTGTTTTAAATTTTTCAAAATAAAAAATTAGATAGAAAAAAAACCACACACCTCTATTTACCCCATAACACAGCAAGTTACCGTGCAGTGAACAGATCCTTTCCATCTCCCACCCCCTGACCCTTTTTACTGGAGGAAACACTACTACTGCTGAGTGGGGAGGGAAGTAGATATAAAGTGCAGTAAACCAGGGTTATATTATGATATAGTTAAATGAAAGACTCATTAATAGTTAAGAAATGTTTAAAGGTAGATGTTAACAGCAAGCAGCCATTAAGGTTTTCTTCCTAATATAATCAGAAGAAAAATTTGTGTAGGGTTGGATGGGACTTGAAAAGAACAAAGCTTTGGCAAGAAACGTGGGCAGGTCTTTGAATTATTTTTTGTTGGAAAACAAATATTCCTGTGTTTCTCTATTTTAAGAGATTTCTCAAACACCTGCAAATGAGAAGGGTATCTTGTATTCATCTCTACCCCCTGAAAATCCCTAAAGAATCTTACCAATATAACCAAAATCTGTTTATTCACAACCTAATGAAAGCCTTCTTTATTTAATTTGGATTTTCCCTCAAGGGATATGCAGCAATTATTAACGCTGTATATTGACTTATGTGAACAAACCCAGAGGCCTAGGTTCAAAGGATATGGCTTTCTGAACTAAAATCTAAGGACTTCAGCTTTATTATGCCATATAGAAAAATTCCACTTAGAGTGAATGGCAAACAAAGCCCATTCTCTATATAAAAAACAGTAATCCAGGTAGGAAGATTTTTTTTTTAGAAATATCACTACAAGTCTGTTCAAAGATCTTTGAACTTCGAAAAAGTCCAGAGCAATCCCATGTATTACCATTGTCAGATGAGAAAAACATTCAACTTATATAAGAAAGAGAAGAAAATATTGCCAGGTACTCTACATTTAATGAGTTGGTTGTTCTCGTTCATCAGAACTGAAAAATAAATGCAGCAAAGAATTTGTTTTAGGCATCATTGGGCTCAAAGCCAAATCCACCCCTCATTTTTCTTACAGAATTCCTTGATTTTTTAGCCCACAAACCCCAGGATGCTTCAGAATATAGTTTGAAACTATAGCTTTAAATTAAAATGGCTGTGCAAAAGGCAGGTACCACATACAGAGAGAATCTTCCAGTTATCTCTACAAACTTCATCAGATTCAGAGAAACCAAGCAGGCTATCAGGTCTTCAAGGAATCTTTGATGTTCAAAGAGAATTTTACTGTATACATTAATTCTCAAAAATGTTCAGGGGCACTGTAAAAACAACTGCAGGGCAATAGGCTTTCCTAGCCGAAATCTGCACATTAGCCTATCTCATGAAAGGACTAGCCGTCAGCAGACCTAGACATGGTCTAACACAGACACTGAACTCCCATTGACTCATCACCGGAAGTGTCAACTGTTTAAAGAAGGGTGGATTACTCATTTATTCATTTATTCTGTAAACATTTTTTTTTATAGAGACGAGGTCTCCCTTTGTCACCCAGCCTCCCAAGCAACTGAAACTACAGGCATCCACAACTGTGCCCATATATATATTTTTTTTCCTAGAGATAAGATCTTGCCATCTTGCCCAAGCTGGTCTCGAACTCCTGAGCTAAAACGACCCTCCTGCCTTGACCTCCCAAAGTGCTAGCATTACAGGCATGAGCTACCACACCCAGCTCTGTAAACATTTATTGAACAAATTGTATATGCCAAGCCCAGAGTAGGAAAACACAGATTAAAAGGGCATACCCACTGCCCACCAGGAGGTCGCAAATGAATGGAGAAGCACAATCCAAGCACTTAGTCAAACTGCAATAAACAGCCTTGCCACGGTTAAGCACTTGAGCCTAGATCCTGACTCTACCACTTATTGGCTTGGTGGCTTTGGACAAAATTGACTTAACCTGTACAAGTTTTGTCTCCTCAGCTGTAAAATGGGTATGGTAAACCTATTACATTGAGTTACTGTCAGAACTGAGATTACGTATATGACTATACATATTATAGTAACTTTAGGTAAATGTTGGCTATAATTATTAATCTTTGTTATTATCTGAGTGGTTACACTAGGTATCTAAAATCCACCCTGAGATTCTAATAATTAGCTGTGTGACCCAGAGTAAGTAATTTAAAATCTCTGGGTTTCATGCTCTTCATTTGTTAAATGAGAGGTTATAGCTAAGTGATCCTAAAATCTCTTCAAGCTCTGGAATATTAAAAGGCTCTATGATTGATCTTACATGGTTTCATATATGTCTCAATGACACTGCTCAGATAAACTGGTGAAACAAAGCAACTGCCAAATAAATCACCTTTCTTCAGTAGTTGTCTGAATCTTTCATTTTACTTCCTTTAACCTCATTACTTACCCAGGCATATATGGGATATACTAAGCTGACTGAGAGCTAAGGCTTTGTTGTACCAAATTGTGCATCCTTAATCCCAAACACCGTCCTGGAAAGTGATAGGCACCCAGTGTCTTAAAATTAAGATTCATACTTCCCTCGGGACCAAAGCTATACATATGCAAGGTGAGTGGACACTCTGAGGTGTAGGCCTGACCTCTAGGGATCCTTTTCTAAGTGTCACCACTTAGAAAAAGGGCTGGAGAGGTATTCCACCCTTTGGCCTTCAGTTTCCTCATTGGTAAAATGAAGGGAATCTATTAGATCAGGGGTTGGCAAACTATGGCTCATAGGCCAAATCCAGCCTATATCTCTACCCCCAGCTTAGAATAATTTTTACTTTTTTTTTTTTAAGAGACAGGGTCTCACTCTATTGCCCAGGCTTCAGTGCAGTGGCGTGATCATAGCTCACTGCATCCCTGAACTCCTGGGTTCAAGCCATCTCCCCACCTTAGTCTCCTGAGTAGCTACAACTACAGGTGTGTACCACCATACCCAGCTAATTTATTTTTATTTTGTAGAGACAGGGGTCTCACTTTGTTGCCCAAGCTGGTCTCGAACTCCTGGCGTCAAGTGAACCTCCCCACTTGGCCTGCCAAAGTGCTGGGATTACAGCTGTGAGTCACAGCACCCAGACAATTTTTACATTTTTTAATGATTGCAAAAACAAAGAACAATATGCATCAGAGATCATATGTGGCCCCCAAAGCCTAATATATTTACTTTCTGGACCTTTTAATAGAAACAGCTTGCTGCCTCTGGATTAGATTATCTCTAAAGTCCCTTTAAACCCTGACATTTTAACATTCTAATTCTGCTGGGTTTCCTTGAATTGTGTGATTCCGGCTCTTCACGCAGAGCAGTACCAAGTCTGAAACAATACCAAAGGCACAACAGGAACTCAACTACAATTTGCTAACTGCATAAATGAATTCTGCAGCAGCAACCCTAAGAACTAAATCCTCTACCAAGGGGGCAAGTTGGGTCAATGTGTATCCAGTGACTGCCTAATAAATGCCCCCAGGGTGGACGCCACAATGAGAGGAACAATCTACTCTTATTGGCCTTTTGGATGACGGTGGCACCTGGAAAGGCCTGGAGCTCAGATAACCAGGATTAAAACTCACCTTGTTCCACCAAATAAAAAAATACATGTAGCCATCCCCTGAACAAACCCCTTGGGCAAATTATAAAGCTATCTAGAAAGAGCTATCAGAAACACAGATCATCTAAACTGATCATCTTAATAGCCATGGACCCAAGAGAATAAATTCCATCCACAATAAGGCATATAGAATAATTTAGCTCACAACATTATTTCTTTTTCCCTCTATTGTTGTTAAAAATACACGATACCAAAACAAGGAATTCAAATATTTATGTCAGGGCAACAAGCCAAGGAAAGTCTTGAGTATATGATCCTATTAACAATAATAGAAGATAGAGCAAGGTAAAAGAAAAAATAAAGCTCCCTGCCTCGACTCTTGACCACACATACTTTCCCAAAATAAACAGCCAGCAATTATTCTTTTAATGTTCCTCCTCTGTTCACCCATAAATCACTGCTATGTATAAACCTCTTGCTGATTCAAAGGATTTTTTTTTTCTTTCAGTCTTCCTCTTTTTGATTGCTAACAATGAGTTCTGAAAAGGGCTGAGAGTGCTTTTCCACCATCCCTCAGTAGAGCATCTCCATTTACAAGTACAATACACTCCAACCACACACTTCATTGTCATACTGTTACGTATAAATCACAAAGTTGATCTAGAGATTCTGCCTTTTCTCCTTTCCTCTAAAGAAGCAACTTGGGGCTGGGCATGCTGGCTCATACCTGTAATCCCAACACTTTGGGAGATAAGAGGATGGCTTGAGGCCAGGAGTTTGAGATTGGCCTTAGCAACATAGCAAGACCCTGTCTCTACAAAAAATAAAACGATGCTCACTTCTCTCCACAAGGCCCCGTATGCCCAGTAATGACATGGAGTCACAAATCTCACCTTCTCCCCAGGCACCCTGCTCTAGATATGCTGGCCTAGAAGGTTTAAAAAGAAAAAAAATCCCACCTCTAATCCCAGCACTTAGAGGCTGAGGTAGGAGGATCGCTGAAGACCAGGAGTTCGAGACCAGCCTGGGCAACATAGTGAAATCCTAAAAAAGTAAGAAATTAGCCAAATGTGGTGGCACATGCCTGTAGTCCCAGCTGCCCAGGAGGCTGAGGTGGGAGAATCACTTGAGCCCAGGAAGTCAAGGCTGCAGTGAGCCGTGATAACACCACTGCACTCAGCCTGGGCAACAGTGAGACACTGTCTCAAAAAAAAAAAAAAAATCCTGAATATTATAATGCTCATTTCTAAGCTCTTCATAAACCAGAAGAGAGACAGTTTAAATTTGGATTCTTTCCCCGACTCAGTAGGTAAGCTTTTTCTTTTTCCAATAGCCAGAGGAGGTAGGCAAACATTGGCCCCTCTGCTGACCTTTCTATGAACCTCAAAAAAAATCTCTTTACTTCCCAACCTTGGGGTTGTCTAGCCAATCAAAATGAGTTTAATGTTAGCCTGCATCCTTGTTTGAGAGGTAAGGAGCCTGCATTAGGTTCATGCTGTCTGAGCTCTGCGACCTCTAAGGAAAGGTCCTGTCGTGGCTGCTCGCTGATGCCAGCCCCAAACAGCCTCACCCACCGTCTCTCCAAATCCCATTGCTGTAAGCCCTGCTGCTGGGCCCCAGCATGGCCCTGAGTGGCTGTACTCCACCCTTCTTAGATGCTCTGCCCTTCTCCCTGCTGGAGCATGTGAGCTGGAGCATCCACTCAAGCTCGAAAAAGAACCACATGGTTAAAAAGAAACTTTTTAAAGTAGGTAGATAATTAATGTAAAGAGGGGCAGACTGCCTCTACAATAAGATAAGTCTGATATCGCCTTGTTTTGTAACTATAAAAGTCCTTGCAAACTATTTATTAATGTTTGCAAAAAGATGCTGGGTGTGGTGGCTCACACCTGTGATCCCAGCACTTTGGGAGGCCAAGGCAGGCGGATCATGAGGTCAAGAGATCAAGACCATCCTGGCCAACATGGTGAAACCCCCATCTCTACTAAAAATACAAAAATTAGCTTGGTGTCATGGCATGCACCTGTAGTCCCAGCTTCTCGGGAGGTTGAGGCAGGAGAATCGCTTGAACCCGGGAGGCGGAGGTTGCAGTGAGCCGAGATTAAGCCACTGCACTCCAGCCTGGCAACAAAGCGAGACTCCATATCAAAAAAAAAAAAAGGAGGCCAACATTTGCCTGGTTTTTCTGGGGGGCAGAGGCGGGGGGTGCAGGGGGCAGTTTTTGTGTTTTTTTTTTGAGACAGGGTCTCACTCTGTTGCCCAGGCTGGGGTTCAGTGGCGTGATCATAGCTCACTACAGCCTCAACCTGCGGGGCTCAAGCAATCTTCTCATTTCAGCCTCCCAAGTAGCTGGGACTACAAGGTATACGCCACCATGCCTGGTTAATTTTTTTTTTAATTCTTTGTAGAGACAGGGTCTCACTATGTTGCCCAGGCTGGAACATGTGCCTTTTGAAGGTAAAGTTCAATAGAAAATTTGAGGTGATTCAAATAGGCTTTGGAAAACACCTTGGCCTACTTATTGATTATTATCAGGCATCTTTGGAAATAACTACACATCAATTATCCAAAGAGACTATTACTCTTTTAATAGTGTACAATCATTTTAACAGTAAGAATAAGAATGGTACAACTATTCTCACTCCTCAAAGTAGAATTGGCCATTCCCCTTCCTTTTGGGGCCCACAGTACCCTATAGAGATTTTAATAATGGGGCCAAGCATGGTGGCTCATGCCTATAATCCCAGTGCTTTGGGAGGCTACAGTGGGAGGATCACTTGAGCCTAAGAGTTTGAGACCATTCTGGGCAACATAGGGAGACCTCATCTCTAACAAAAATAAAAAATTAAAATTAGCTGGGCATGGTGGTGCATGCCTGTAGCCTCAGTTACTTAGGAGGCTGAGGACTACTTGAGCCTGGGAGGTTGAGGCTGCCCTGAGACATGATTGAGCCACTGCACTCCAACCTGGGCAACAGAGCAAGACCATGTCTTAAAAAAAAAAAAGACTTTAATAATAGGACCTGAATCCCTTTATTTACTCATTTGTTTGCATGATTGTCTCTCAACACCCCGCTCCCCTTACTACCCACACTGTAAGAACCTTGAGGTTCTATAAGAGCCATCATATTCCTTCTTGAGCCCTATTGTTCAACAGACTGTCTGGCACACAACAGGTACTTCATAACAACAGGATGATGGAAAAGGAGGAGAGGGGATCGCTGAAAATGAAAAGGGGAGAGGCAGTAAGAGTTAAGAAGGCAGAAGCTGAATTTGTTTTATTCATTGTTACCTGGCCTGCAAGTATTTTTTAAATGGACTGAAAAAACTAAATGAGCAGTGGTACCAAGGCATGAAATTATAGAGCTTTGTTTTAAAGTGATGAATATGATCCTTCATCAATTCTAAAAATACTTTTTCTTACATTTTTGACTGGTTGGAAACTAGGATGCATTTTATAATGGCATCTTAGCATTTTGTGATAGTGTATTAGGAACCTCATTTTCTTTTTCTCAGTGGTACATAAAATACTTGTACATGTTAGAAATGATGGTGACATAGATTCCATGAAATGCAATCATTTGGTGTGGCTGTGGTAATAAGGGTTGGAAAGGTTGCAGTGAACCGAGATCGCATCACTGTACTGCAGCCTGGGCAACAAAGCGAGACTCTGTCTCTTAACAGCTTTTGAGTCCCTGTGTGGTTCAAACTAGCTAGGTGCTCACCAAACCTATTTTGTTTTCTTCCTGGGCAAACAGGCCTTTCTCAGTTGTTACTGGGTCACAACTAAATTATGGGGTCACAAACTAAATTATAATCAATAGATTGAGGACAGAAGTGATATAAGCCACTTTCAGACCTGGCCCATGGAATCCTTCCATGTGAGATCCTTCCATCTCCTTCTCCATCTGCAGGTTAAAAGGAGAAAGCTCTAAGAACAGAGGAGTCACAAGATGGAAGGAGCCTGGGTGCCCGAAACATTAAAGGCAGCTTAGCCAGGAATAACCATGTTGAACTGCTGTACACACAAGAAATAAACTTCATTTTTATTGAGCCACTGAAATTTGGGGGCTGGTAGGGAAGTTACCTGCTCTAAAACCTCCTGGTTCCGGCTGTACCTGTTCTTTTCATGGTTACATAAAATACCTCAGTATCCTTCCCACACATTCTCTCTTTACCCCAATTAGAGTTGGGTTGCTTCCGTCCATAACTTAAAGAGTTCTAACACAGCCAGGAAGAATGAAGAGCTATCATTTGAAGCGGCAAGAAGGTGGAAGTAAGCAACGATCCCTAAGTGTCTTGGGAACACCTAGAAAATTTGTCAGAACAGGGTAATAATTCCAACAAACTGATGACAGTCCACGAAAGACCCTTTTCACTTTCCAAGGGCTTCTAGCTTTAAACTCATAAAGCACTTACAGTTAAAAAAAAAAAACAAAAACCCTCTTCCCCACCCTCATTTCATTCTCAGAAGCATGTATGAAGTTGTAATAGCCCTGACGTATGGTTTACCTACTAAGATACCCTCAGGAGTTCTCATCTAGCAAGTGAGATACACCTTATTTATCATACATAGCCAGCTCTGCTGTCCCAGAATCTATTGGAAAATGAATCACACATAGCTCTAAGAATTCAAATAATTACTCTGGGGTAAATAGTTCTGGGTATGAGTGTACAACCCTGGCTAGAGTTTTCAAAGATAAATATTCAACAATCACCAAAGCTTCTGGTAGCATTTACAATACTATAAATGAGATTACAAAAATAAACAGGAGAATGATGCCACAAATGCCTCCTTGAGCAATAATCAGGTTTGCCAGGAACTGGAGACCAGTGATGACAGAGCAGGCCTCCTGCTCAATTTCCAGAAACATTTCTCTTTGAGCCAAATTTGGTCTTTAAGAACAAGCTCTGGCATCTGTAAAACACGCTACAGGCTTGTTATAAAGCCCATTTATACTATATATTGAGTTACGTGACTCAGAACAGCAGCATGAAGCTGGGATTGTCATCAGTCCTTCCTTTTCAGCAATAAAAACAGGCTCAAACAGATCAAGTGCTCACAGCCCCAGGATTTGTGACTTGAGCCAAGACTTAAGCTCTGATCTCCTGACCTCGGATCCTCTATCCATTTCGCTATAGCCCAAACTATGGAATACCAGGGAAGAGAAATGGCCTGGCTAGAGGAGACTTTTCCCCACTGCCATAATTCATCAACCCATGTTGGAAGCTAGTTTTCCATGTTGCATGCAGCCATGTGTGGGAACTTAACAGCAAGGGCTAAAGGGCCTGAGAGAGATGTCTGGCCTGCCTCCAAAGCCAGCTGGGAAAACATTCCCTGACAAGACACTGTGCCCACAGGGGAACACGAGAGAAGAAGGAGCCTGAGGCAGCAGATTAGAAGTGCTGAGCCTTCCATGTGATCCTGTCTTAATCTTATAGTTCAAGGCCTCTAAGAACCAGTTGACAAGGTCTCTCAGAACTGCAAAGATAGAATCTGGAGCAAATGAGCTGAAGTTTTCCTTTGTTGGGGAGGGAGAAGGGATCCACTACAAACCTAGCTGACCTCAATCAGCATTCTCTCAGATGATTTTTATGAGCCACTTCTAAAAGACAAATTGCCAAGATCAAACACTCATACATTGACTGGGAAAAGAGACAGTGAGGTGCAAGGCAATATTAATATATTAATGTTTTAGTAAAAAAACTTTCCCTGTGACTTGGTGATCTACCACCTCAGAGAGAAGACACAGGGAACTGGAGCTGTCCTTCAGTGTGTTAGAAAAGTTGAAGAGCTGGCCTCCCCTAACTATCATGAATCCCCTGGGCTCCATAGATGGAAGGGAGGCGTCTATGCCCTGCACCCTGGGTGGTTCCTCCAGAAATAGAAACTCTAGTGTTTTGAAGGAGCATGAAGTAGAGGAAGGAGCCTTAAACCACTGTTTAGTCTCCTTCCAGCTGTGACCTTAAGCAAGTCACAACCTCTTTGAGCCTCAGTTTTTGTACTTATAAAGCCAGGATAAGAACACCTACATTACAGGATTGTGGGGAGGATCAAATAAAATTATAAATGCAAAGGGCAGAGCACAGCTGCTCAATTAATGGTTAGTGCCTAACTTTTGCCCCTCAACCTCCACTTCAATTTCTTAGTATTGAAATTGTATATTTAGTAATTCTAATCCTTAGTAACTCAGCGGTACTTAGTAATTTTGAGAAAATCACATATATTACCCAGTGTCTTGGCAATTTCACTTGCTTTTTTGAAGCATAACCATCTGTGACTTTAGTTGTGAGCATCTCCAATAACTCTGGACCCTTGAGTCTCTTACTAATCTGCTCTATGCTTCCTAAATGCCTTCAAAAAAAAAAAAATCTAACCCACAGGTCCCTTTTTAACCTTATAATCTTTCTCTAATCTGGAAGAGATTCTAAACCTTATAGATATTTGACAAATTGCTGGGAACTTAACTGTCATATATGACTAAATTTTCCATAAGACTTAAAATAAAAAGTTTGCCAAAGTTTTAATGACTTTAATAAATAAGTGGCCAAGTGTTATGGTTCATGCCTGTAATCCCAGCACTTTGGGAGGCCAAGGTGAGTGGATCACTTGAGGTCAGGAGCCTGAGATCAGCATGGCCAACATGACGAAACCCCGTCTCTACTAAAAATACAAAAAGTAACCAGGAGTGATAGCATATGCCTGTAATCCCAGCTACTCAGGAGGCTGAGGCAGGAGAAACGCTTGAACCTGGGAGGCAGAGGTTGCAGTGAGCTGAGACTATTCCACTACACTCCAGCCTGGGTGACAGACAGAGGGAGACTCTGTAAATAAATAAATAAATAACATGCTTATGACCATAGGGACAACAGGAAGGATGAGGTTCTTGTGGTCTTCTTCATTATCTTCCTGGAGTCATTTCCTCTTAACATCCTCTCATCCTAGACAGGGTCAGGTGCCCCTCCTCTATGCTCCAGTAGTTATCTCTATGTACACTGCCAGCATTATGACCATACTGTATGATAATCATCTCTTTTACGTCTCTTTCTTTAGCCTACAATCTCCT
The DNA here is from genome assembly GCF_000001405.40 of Homo sapiens. NCBI lineage: Eukaryota > Metazoa > Chordata > Mammalia > Primates > Hominidae > Homo > Homo sapiens. The sequence continues at coordinate 83,054,329 of NC_000011.10, forward strand.
TATAGTCAAAAACAGTGTGCTGTCAAATCTTGATTGCTACTACCCATGAGCACAGTATCTGGCATATAATAGATATAAAACTTGTGTTTGATGAATGAATAAATTAGGTTTTTAGATCTGGGAGAAACTTTAGAAATAACCTGGTCTAATACAGGCCTTCATTTCACAGACAAGAAAGCTGAGCCTGTCCCTGGTCATCTAGGTGGCTAGGAAAAACAACATTAACAACAACAACAAAAAAGAAAGTTGAGGCCACGCATGGTGGCACACCTCTGTAGTCCTAGTTACTGGAGAGGCCAAGGAGGAAGGATCACTTGAGCCCAAGAGTTTGAGACCAGCCTGGGCAATAGAATGAGACCCTGTGTCTACGAAAAAAAAAAATACAAAAATCAGCCAGATGTGGGGGTGTGCACCTGTAGCCCCAGCTACTCAGGAGGCTGAGGTGGGCAGACTGATTGAGCATGGGAGGTTAAGGCTGCAGTGAGTCGTGATCATGCCACTGCACTCCAGCCTGGGCAACAGAACAAGACCTTGTCTCAAAAACAAAAAAGAAAAACGAAAAGAAAGCTGAGCCTCAGAAATGTAAGGTATCCTCAGAAGCAGCAAGAAGATGGCAAGTGGTGGCGGCCAGGTGCCATTTTGACTGTAGTTCAAAAGCAGACATCACCTGGCACTCACCTGCAAGAAGAAGCGTGTGGCTTAGTGGACACAGCATGGGCTCTATAGGAAAAGTCTTGCTCCTGCCACCTACCCGTCATGTGATTTTGGACAGGTTACTTCCTCTCTCTGAGTCACAATTTCTGCATCTGCATCTGCATCTGTTAATTGGAGCTATTAATAGCTCCAAAGTTGTTAGGGTTATTAAATCTGCCACCATACATAAAGTGCCTAGCATAGCACCTGGCACTATGTAAATGTTTACTGAATGAATCATGAATGAGTACCTGTCCAGCACACCACAACTTCATGAACCTGGTTTAGACTTTGCTTTCAGGTCTCTGACCACAGCAAAGATGGCTGGGACACCCACAATTATAGAACCATGAACTTGGAGATCTGTTCCTTGCAAGGACTGGACTTTAAAGCATGTCTATAACTTTGCTCACTGTTCCCTTCCCCTGAGTTGCCCTTCTCACCTTCCTCATTGACACACAAATTTTATCCATCTTCTGCTGCGCAGCCAGATCTACCCTGTCTTGGAAGCCATTTCTAACACTTATTACTTCTCAGTCCTTCCTGTCTCACTGATCACTTTCTACCAAGTAGTAAAGGAGTGCTATGATTTGAATGGTTTGTGTCCTTTTCAAAATTCATGTTGAAATTTAATCCCCAATGCATCTGTATTTAGAGGTGGGAACTTTAGGAGGTAATTAGGCCATGAGCGCTCCATGCTTATGAAGGGATTAGCACCTTACAAAAAGGGCTTGAAGGGGTGAGTTGTCCTTCTGTGCCTTCTACCATGTGACCACACATCCTTTGGAGGATGCAGGAACAAGGCACCATCCAAAGGGCACAAGAGTAGAAAAGCAGAGAGTATCCTTCAGCAGACACCAAGCCTGCTGGCGCCTGGATCTTGGACTTTTCCAGCCTCCAGAACTGTAAGAAATAAATTTCTGTTGTTCACAAATTACTCAGTCTCAGATATTTTGCTATAGTAGCACAAATGGACTAAGACATAAGGTGTATCTGTTTGGTTTTTTAGATATACATAACATAAAATTTACCATCTTAACAATTTCTAAGTATACAGTTCAATAACATGAAGTATATTCACATTGATGTGCAGCCAATCTATAGAACTTTTTCATCTTCTAAAACTGAAACTCTACACCCACTAAACAGCTTCCCACTTCTCTCCTGCCCCCAGCTCCTGGTAACCACCATTTTACTTTATATTTCTTTGTATCTGACTACTCTAAATATCTCATATAATTGAAATCATACAAAATGTGTTTTTTTGTGACTGGCTTTTATTTCACTTAGCATAAGGTCTTCAAGGTCATCCACGTGGTGGCATGTGTCACAACTTCCTTCCTTTTTAAAGCTGAGTAATATTCCACTGTATGTAAATACCACATTTTGTTTATCCATTCAACCATCAATGGGCACTTGGGTTGCTTCCATCTTTTGGCTATGGTGAATAATGCTGCTAGGTGAACGCCTTAATCATAAAGATGTGTTTCAACCACCTCTATAGTTCTCAAGGTGCCTGACATGTGATGGGCTCTCAATAAATACTTATCAAGTAAAAAAGGACTCAGCTTTCAAGATTATAAGGTGAAAAAATGAATCATCTTCCACATAAAATTGCAAATTGTCCAGCAGAAAAATCACACAGCACAGACTCTGCAGTAAGACAGTCTTGATTTCTGGTCCTGGATCTGCCTCTTAGCTAGTCATACGATCTTAGGCATGCTACTTAAGTTTTCAGAGATTCAGTTTTCTCATGTGATTTTTGCCAAAATTAAATGATATAACATGTTAACACAGTGCTTGGCAGGTCATCAACTAAAAAAAAGTTTGCCAATATTATTATTATAAAGTTACAGAATGAAAATAACTTACTATACTTGCAAACATGCCATTTTGCTTCCTGACCATAATTTTAAAAGCAAAAAGCATGCAGAATTCTAAGACCAAACAATCTGTGGCAGGTAATAGTCAAAAAAGGACAGTTCCACAGCAGTAACAGTAAGTACAGATTTGTATCATTGAATTTGGAATCTTGAGTTATACAGCTATAGCTCCTCAGAAGGTAGAAATTTTGTCACTTCAAAGGGACAGGCTTAAATGTTACACTAAGGATCTTCTTACTCAACAAAATAGTCTGTCTGATATCTCAGAAATGTTTTAAAATCCGGATCACTTGAGGGTTTTTTTTTTTTTTAGTGCTAAATCTATTTTGAATTTAATCATTCATATTTTGAGGCTGTTAGCAAAAAGATGAAAAAATAGATTTTTATTACTATTTCAGACAGAAGTATATATTTTAATCTCTCTCAAAAGAAATTGAGCTCTCTACCCAACTTCCAATTCCTGTAGGACATGAATTCCTTTTCAGGTTGCTACCTAAATTTTCCAGGCCAGAAACATTCTTTCCAATGTTAACTCTTAGAAAGCAAAGTTCTTGAGTTTTGGAAGGAAAAGCTTATTCAAGTTTCTTTTGTCTGCCAAAACAATTAACATTTAACATGGCTAATTAAAATAGCTCTCTGCAACAAAATCAGAAACTGGGCGTTGGGTTGAGGGAGAGGAAAGGGAAGAAAAGGTAAGAGATAGTTGCCCAAATGCTAGTAGTGGCCCCAAAATGGCCCAGATGGAAAGGGACCATTACCCCTAGCTTTCCTAGGACAATCACAACTTCATATAAATTTAACACTATACTGAGATGATTTGTTAAGTGGATAACTAAATGTGATTTGATGTGTGTACTTTTAGAAACTTTGCAATTAAATGAATTTATAAATAAGAGAGAAAAGTATTCGTCAGACCATGAATTCCAATTGTGGATTCAGAACAATACTGTCACCATATGCCACAGGCCAATTTTAATTTGGCTCCCACATGATGGCTAAGAGCTACTGTCGGCTTTGCCCATCCTACAATGCCAGCCTGTACTGGGAAGCACACCAGGTGACAGGCACCACGCTGAGACCTGAGCCTTGTTTTACCCTTGCAACAAACCCTGTGCTCTAAGTATTGGCATCTCCCCTCTCACCATCTTTACCTCTTTATTTTTAATTAATTTCAGACTTACAAAAAGCTTCAAGAAAACTACTAATTACCCTTCACCCAGATTACTCAAATGCTTTACATTTTCTTTATCATTCTCCCTCTGTAATGGACATTTCTTTACCCTGAAATACTTAGTATTTCCTAGAAAACAAGGACAGTCCTTGTGTTTCCACGGTATAATTATCAAAATCAGGAAATTAACATTCATCCTATACTATTATCTAATCTCAACCCTTATTCAAACTTCACCAATTAACCAAATAATGGCCTTTATGGCAAAAAATAAAATAAAATTTCTCTAATATCCAATCCAGGATCATATGTTACATTTAGTTTTTAATGTGTCTTTAGTCACTTTTAATCTAGAACCATTCCTCAGTCTTTGTTTTTCATGACCTTTACTTTTTTGAAAAATACAGAAAAAAAATATTATGTAGAATGTTTCTCAATTTTGGTTTATCAGATATTTCCTTAGCTATTTCTGATTAGATCAGGTTCTGTATCTTTGGCAGGAATGCCACACGAGTGATACTGTGAACTTCTCAGATGTTGATTTGTCCCATCACTGGTGTAAACGTTGATCACTTAAAGTGGTGTCTGCCTTGTTTCTCCACTGTGAAGTTACTATTTTCCTTGTAACTTGTAATTTCCTTGTAACTATTTTCCTTGTAATAAGTACCTTGTGAAGAAACATTTTGAGACTAGACATCCCCTATTATAGATGAAGAACCTGAGTCTCAGAGCAGTTATGACTTGCCCAAGATCGTGTAGCATGAAAATGCCATAACACAAATTCAAACTCCAGTTTGTAGGCTCTCACACTTGGGATCTTTTTAAAGCATCCCTCTGTCTCCTGACCAGCCACCAATGGCTAAAGCAGCCTTCTCTAATGTCTTTTTGAGACAGTTTCACTCTGTCACCCAGGTTGGAGTGCAATGGCACGATCTTGGCTCACTGCAACCTCTGCCTTCCAGGCTCAAGTGATCCTCCTGCCTCAGCCTCCCAAGTAGCTGGGACTACAGGCACATGACACCATGCCTGGCTAATTTTTGTATTTTTGTAGATCTGGGATTTTGCCATGATGCCTAAACTGGTCTCAAACTCCTGGGCTCAAATGACCTGCCTGCCTTGACCTCCCAAAATGCTGGGATTACAGGTGTGAGCCACCGTGCCTGGCCTCTTTCCAGGGTTTCTGTGTGCAAAATCGAATATATTTTCTTATCCTCAATTTAGTTCACAAATATATACTGTTCTGCACCTTCCTTCTTTCTTTTAATATATCCTTGGAGATTTTTCCATATCTGTACTTAGAGAACACCCTAATTCTTGTTTGCAGTTTCATAGTTTTCCCTTGTGTATACATACCCATTTATTTAACCAGTTCCCTACTGATACACATTTAAGGTGGTTTCCAATTATTTGCTATTAGCAACAATGATGCAAGGATTGTGCTTTCTTTTTAAATTGGTTTCAGCAAGTGACATTCTGTTCATGGTCCAACAGGATGCAGTGTGGAGTAGCAGGAACCAAGTAGCAGGACCAGCTTGAGTTAATCAAAACTGGGTTTTCATCTGGCCACCTCTGCTAACTAGGTATACGACCCTGGGAAAGTTACCTGTAGTTTCTGAGCCTTCATTTACTCACTTGTAAGTGCAAAATCTCGCCTACTTTATCAGATTGCTTTTGGGGCCAAATAAATAAGATAGGCTCACAATAGCTACATTTGGGACAATTTGAATATCAGAAAGCATAAGGTTGAGGGGGAAAAAAGGCAAGAAGATTAGTAATAGATTATAACACATTGTGAGAAAAAGAAATCATGGGTCCAAGTGATATTAACAAAAAAGCGGGGGCGGGGTGGTTGGGGCCAGACACAGTGGCTCATGCCTGTAATCCCAGCACTTTGGGAGGCCGAGACGGGCAGATCGCTTGAAGTCAGGAATTCGAGACCAGCCTGACCAACATTGTGAAACCCCATCTTTACAAACATTAGCCGGACATGGTGGTACACACCTGTAATCCCAGCTACTCCGGAGGCTGAGGCAGGAGAATTGCTTGAACCCGGGAGGCGGAGGTTGCCGTGAGCCGAGATTGCGCCACTGCACTCCATCCAACCTGGGCAACAAAAGCAAAACTCTGTCTCATAAAAAAAAAAAGCAGGGCGGCAGAGGGGTTGGGGGCTGAAAGCTAATCTATCATATGATAAATACAGAAGGAAAGAGAATTAGAAAATCATCCCTTCATGAATACCAATTGACCGAGGCCAGGATTATCGATAGATGTTAAAACTTTTGAATTAAAGTTATTGAGGAACAGGATACTCAAACAATCTCAAGATATCACCTCACAGATAATTTTATTAATTACAAAGGGAAAAGGGTGCCCTTTCAATGGAGAGATCTGGCAATACCACCTCAACCAAATGATCAAACCTCATGTCACCAGTGATGTTACAAACTGACATTAGGTGTCACCTATGATGCACGGGGAGGGATAGAACATTGCAAAAAATTCTCACCACAAGTGTTTAACTTGAATCTAATAATGAGAAAACAATCAGACAAATCCAATTCACAGACAACAAACTTGGAATCTTCAAAAATTTCAATATCATAAAAGGCAAAAAAGGCAAGGGTACTGTGGTGGTTAATTTTAGGTGTCAACTTGATTAGATTAAGAAATACCTAGAAACCTAGTAAAGCATTATTTGGGGGTGTGTCTGCAAGACTGTTTCCAGAGGAGATAAGCATGTCTCAGTGGACCAGGTGTGGAAGAACCACCACCAATGTTGGTGGGCACCATTCAGTCTGCTGGGGGCCTGGAGAAAACAAAAGCAGAGAAAAGGCGAATATGTCAAGCTGTCTGCTGGAGCTGAAATACACTACACTCTTCCTCTCCTGTCCTCGGACAACAACTCCAGGCTACCTGGCCTTTGGACTCCAGGACTTAACACCAGCAGCCCCCCAGTCTCTGGGTCTTCAGCCTCAGACTGAGAGTTCCACTGTCAGCTTCCCCAGTTCCAAGGACTTTCAACTTGGACTGCACTAAGCTACCAGCATCCCAGGGTCTCCAGCTCATAGACAGCCTGTCATGGGACTTCTCAACCTCCATAATCACACGAGCCTATCGCCCTAACAAATCTCTTCCCACCTCTCTCTCTCTCTCTCTCTTTCTCCCTCTCTCTCTGTCTATCCATCCATCAATCCATCCATCCATCCTATTGGTTCTGTCTCTGGAGAACACTGACTAATACAGGTAATATGCTACATTAAAGGAAACTAAAGAACACAACTGTATTGGGTAAGTAGTCTTGATAAGATTCTGGATCAGAAAAATTTTTTAAAAGTTATAAAGGACATTGGAACGACTGAGGAAATCAGAAAAATATGATTGTTTCCATGTAATGGTATTGTGATTACATGGGAGAATGTCCTTGTTCTTAGGGGATATATGCTTAAGGGCCTAGAGACAAAGCATGGCGATATCTGCAACTTACTTTCAAGTGGTTTAGAAAAAGTATCTGTGTGTGTGCACACGTGTGTGTGTATGTGTGTAAAGACAAAAGCAAATTAATCCAGATAAAAGGTACATGGAATGTTTTTCGTTTGTTTTTTGTTTTTTTAGGTGGGATTTTTTTCTTTCTTTTCTTTTTTTTTTTTTTTTTTTTTTTAAAGATGGGGTCTTACAACGTTGCCCAGGCTGCTCTTGAATTCCTGGGCTCAAGCATTCTTCCTGTTCCTGAGTAGCTGGGACTACCAGTGTGCACCACAGTGCCTGGCTTCACTGTACTATTTTTGCAATTGCTCTAAAGGTTTGAAAGGTTTCGAATTAAGTTGGAAAAAGAATCAAATAAAACATAAACCACCTGGCACCCAGTAGATGCTATGACAGTTCACATTATGGCTCCAGTGAACAAAAGGTCTACAGAAAACTCTTCCCCCGTGCCTGAAAATAACATGAACCATATGAAAGTAAATGCCACCAGACGGTCCTGGCTTCATGAAGCTTATATTTTCAATCAGAAGGCAAGGCAAGAACAGGAAGCAGCTACAGAAACAGTATAGTTTTGGTTTCAGAAAGCCTACCTAGGGTCTATATCTGCATTTTTCAGAGTGGGAGGGGAGGGCTAGGTCATGTCGAAAAACAAAACAAGTTTACTTAACCTTACTGAAAATTGGTTCCTCATTTGTATGTAAAAAATTGAGCTAAATTCTACTGCCTAGAATTGAGATAATAAGACAGCATCCACAATACAACTTTGTAGAGCATCTTTTATTGAAGACTCTCATTAAAAGATATTAGTTTCCTACAATTAAAGTGGTGAACAAGGAAAGCACTCAGATGGTTCCACCTTTGTTTTTTTATCAGAATACCCAGCACAGGACCTTGCATTTAGCACACAAACACTGGCTGAAGAAGGAACAATTAGACAACATGAGACAGAATTCCTTTCAAAAAGTCATTCAGCCTACAAAGGCCACTGGAGTTAAAGGAAAGACTAGTATGAACTTGCTCAGTTTGAGAGTTTGAGACATGAACCCTTTGACAACAGAATATATTTATGTGCACATAAATTTGCCAAAGTCCTTTTATACACAACATCTCCTTTGAGCCCCACAATAATCCCCATTTTATAGATAAAGAAACTGAGGCTCAGCCAGGCATGGTGGCTCACACCTGTAATCCCAGCACTTTGAGAGGCTGAAGTGGGCGGATCGCCTGAGGTCAGGAGTTTGAGACCAGCCTGGCCAACAAGGCGGAACCCCATCTCTACTAAAAATACAAAAAAATTAGCCAGGCATGGTGGTGGGCACCTGTAATCCCAGCTGCTCGGTAGGCTGAGGCAAGAGAATCGCTTGAACCCAGGAGTTGGAGGTTGCAGTGAGCCAAGATTGCGCCACTGCACTCCAGCCTGGGTGACAGAGTGGGACTCCGTCTCAAAAAAAAAAAAAAAAAAGATAAGTTGTCCACGTAGCAAACAGCTCAAATTTTTTGTTTGCTTCACCCAGCCACAGTGGCTAAAGAGTGAAAATAATTCATGGCTGCGATCCTCACAATCTCTTCCCCAGGGTTCCTGTTAGGGCAAAGTGACTCACTGATGGCCACTCCTAAGCTCACACCTGCTTCTCTAAAGAAAAATGCCAAAAATCTGCCCTTTGATTGCTTCTACTGAAATTCAGAAAAATGAACACTCGGGCCTTTTAACCACCTGCTTCAGATATTTTAAAAGTGGAGCTTAAATTCTCTTTGCAATGTGGTTGCATGACTGAGATGTAGAGGAAGTGAGCAGAAGATATTTTCATTTCAAGGTTGATGACGTCCACATTTTAGTGAAGTTAACTAACCGTAACTAGAAAATAAAATTTTTCTGCAGAATTCTCTGGGGAAAACTCTTGACTGCTTTATTGTTTCAGTTCACTTTTTAAACACTGTACTGTGTTGCAGGCAGGGATAAAGTATTTCTCTCTTCCAGGGATTTCTACATTATTTACACATCAACTTTTATTACCACCATCACAAAAACCAGCAGGAACTCCGTAGTTCAATTTTTGCCCCCGTTCTGTTCACCCTTCGCAACTAGCTTCCCTTAGTAAAAGAGTTCAGCCCAAGTGGCTAATGGACTTGGCAAAGGTATGTAGAGTTAGCCCTCTCAACATTGCTGACAAGAATTTAAATCAGGGGGCAATGCTAGTGCCCTTGGACTCAGCATTTCTGCCCCCTGAAAGATATCTTACAGAAATATTCCCACAAATTCATAATAAAATGAGGTACTCAAAGGCTCACTGTAGCACAGTTCCCAACAACCATTAAAACAGGTAAGTTGGAGCAATATGCAAATACATGGGGGAAATGCCCAAAATATATTAAGTAAAAGAGAACAAGCAGAATTACATGTGCTATAATAATATTGCTAGTACACATATGGGGAAAAATGACAGAAGAATACACATCAAAATCTAACAGTTGATTATCTTTGTGGGTAGAATTAAAGAGGACTTTCCCTATACAGTCCATGTGTTTTTCTGTAATGAATTTTAATTAATCTTATGTTATTTCTTTCTTTTCTTTTTTTAAGACAAGGTCTCATGATCAGGGCTCACTGCAGCCTTGACCTCTGGGGCTTAAGGGATCCTCCTGCCTCAGCCGCACCCTTCCCCATAGCTGGGACACAGGTGTGCGCCACCACACCCAGCTAAAAAATACAAAAATATCTTCATATTTTTTGTAGAGACAGAGTTTCACCATGTTGCCCAGGCTGGTCTCAAAGTCCTGGACTCAAGCAATTCACCTGTCTCAGCCTCCCAAAGTGTTGGGATTACAAGCATAAGCCACTGCGCCCAGCCAATCTTATGTCAATTCTAGAATCAAAAAACAAATTTGAGATATATATTTAGGTACCTTTTCCCTTCGATTTGGGAACAGCTAATGTTCCTCCTGCATTGCTCCCTCTAGTAATGTCACACATAGAGTGCCAGCTGTAGAAGTTTCCAGTCACAGAATACAGGATTGTATTTAGAAAGGATATAAAACAACACTTACAATGTCCCAAAAAGTGGTATCCCAGCCCATAGGCTGATTAAATACTTGAAATGACCAGGAAAATCACTACCTCCTGAAGCAGCCCTTGATGTGTTCTAGCTTTGCTATGACATTCCTGAAGACATTCAGGAACGCCAGCTGATCATATACCAATATCTACAACGTGTCAGGTTAAACAAATGGAATCATTATCACATCCAAGAAAACTAACATTGTTACTGATTATCTAATATGTAGCTCCCATTCAAATTTCCCCGATTATCCTGAAAATGTCTTTTGTAGCTTTTTTTTTTAAGTCCAGGATCCAATCTAGGATTACATGTTCCATTTGGTTGTCATATCTCTTTAGTCTCCCTTAATATAGATTGTCGTCCCTCATACCTTCCATTTTTGTTGTCTTTCATGCGTGACATTTTTGAAGATCATAAGCCAGTTATTTTGCAGTATGTCCCACAATCTGGATTTGTCTGATTATTTATTTATGGTTAGATTTTTTTTTTCTTTTAATAGAGACAAGAGCTGGGCACAGTGGCTCACACTTTGGGAGGCTAAAATGGGAGGACCACTTGAGCCCAGGAGTTCAAGACTAGCCTGGGCAACATAGTGACAGTTTGTCTCTACAAAAAAAAAATTTAATTTAGTCAGGCATGGTGGTGCACACCTGTGGTCCCCACTGCTCAGGAGTCTGAGATGGGAGGATCCCTTGAGCCTAGGAGGTAGAGGTTGCAGTGAGCTGTGATCACACCACTGCACTCTAGCCTAGGCAACAGAGTGAGGCTCTGGAAAGAAAGAGAGAAAGGAAAGAGAGAAAAGGAAAGGAATGGAAAGGAAAGGAAAGGAGAAGACAGAGTCTCCCTATGTTGCCCAGGGTGGTCTTGAACTCCTGGGCTCAAGTAATCTTCCTGCCGTGGCCTCCCAAAGTGCTAGGATTCCAGATGTGAGCTACTATGCCCAGCCCCATGGTTAGATTTAAGTTAAGCATTTCTGGCAAAAATTCTACATCAGTGATGTTGTGTACTTCCCATTGAATCAGGTTGTGTAGTTACACTAAATTATCTTTTTCCTCATTTTGTCACTGTGGATACTAAACAAGCACCACCCAATAAATAAAATGTTTAAAAGGATAAATAATGTTAAAAACAGCTACCATGAGCACCAGCTATACCAAGCATAGTGTCAGACATTTAAAACACATGATCTCATCATGTGAACCTCCCAACAACCTTACAAAGAAACAGAGGCTCAAAGAGATTAAGTAATTTGCTCAAGGACACACGCGTATGATACAAAAATATGTGCATGTACGTATGAACTCCAGCACATAAATATGTATACGTATACAATTTAACATGATCTCAAAGGTTCATGGTCTTCCTGAGGACCTTTCAGGCATGAATTAAGAACTGCTACGTTAGGCTAATCTTGAGGAGGCCTACGTAGTTCTCAAAAGTTGGCTTCCTATAAGGAAAAAACTAAAAATAAATTAACTGTGGTCCATATTAAATTCCTCCATACTTGGAAATGCCCTTATTTGGAGATGGATCACATTTCCACCACAGCCAAGAAAATAGGGCAATGGTTCCCTAAATTATTACACTATTCTGATGTTTCATTTCTGCAACAAAATGAGAAAACCCAATGTAGAGAATTTTTCATAAAGCTAAATATATTTTCTATGAGATAAAAGTGAGGAGGCATTTTCAATTTACTACAGAAGAATAACTATTGTTCACAGTACATTCAATTTTATTTTTTGTAATTTTACTAATCTATATAATTCAAAACTCTGAGACCCATTGATTCAGGGAACTCTGTGCAATTAGAATGATTTTTTTGAGAAACTGACTTGAATAAAGGAAGTTCAGCCCAAAAAGAAACCAGATCTGAAATATTTCTGAATTTCCCTAAAAGTGATCACAAAATATCTCAAAAGCTGAAAGTGTCAAGAATACTTTTTTTTGTTTTGAGACAGAGTCTCACTCTGTGGCCCAGAGTAGAGTGCCATGGCACAATCTCGGCTCACAGCAGCTTCCGCCTCCTGGGTTGAAGTGATTCTCCTGCCTCAGCCTCCTGAGTAGCTGGGACTACAGGCATGCACCACTACACCCCCGCCTAATTTTGTATTTTTAGTAGAGACGGGGTTTCACCATGTTGGCCACGCTGGCCTTGAACTCCTGACCTCAGGTGATCCACCCACCTCAGCCACCCAAAGTGTGGGGATTACAGGCGTGAGCCACTGTGCCTGGCCTAGAATACATTTTAATGGGTCTCTTAAAAGCATTTTACATTTGGCATCTGTATTATTACTAATAGTCCTCTTCCAATGTGTTGATATTTCCTGCTTTTGAATAGGCCCTTAGTGACTTAGGTTAATTCACTCACTCTACCAACATTTAGAGTCCCTAATTTGTGTGAGGCATTCTGTTGGGTGCCTGGAAACACAGTCTGGAGCGCTTTTGCTTGCCTTCATGTCTAGGATCAAAGGTGTGGATGCCTCCCGCACCCATCACCCCTACCCCCTAGCCTAGTATTGCCAAAGTACCTCTTTGTACGTGATTATTTACGTTTGTCTCCCTCACCTGAGTGAATTCCTCCGAAGTAAACAGTATCTTATTCAATGTTGTTTTCCTAGCATGGTGCATGGAAAACTGTTATAACAAATAAGTAAACTGAGTATACTGTTGTTTTCCATGCTGGGGTAAGTATAAACTATTGGAATAAATACATTGTACAGATGAGGAAACTAAAGCTCAGAAAAAAAAATGTGATATGTCCAACATCATACAGCTAATAAATAAGCAGTGTCCAGTGTGAGAAAGCCTCGTCCAGAGCTCTCTTCTACTCCATCATGCCACATCCTACACATGGACAGCAAGAGTGAAAGATCTTAGATGTCTTCCAGGAACCTCAAACTCAGCATGTCCAAAGGTCCTCCCTTCGGAAAACAAAAAGACCTGGTTCCCATTCAGTGTTCTCTTTCTCTGAAAACGTCATCCCCAGTTGCTCAAGAAAAAAACTCAAGTCATTTCATGACTCCCTTTTCTCCCTATCCCCCCATCCAATCAATCAACAAATCTTATCAATTACAATTTTCAAAGTTAGTGTCGGCCGGGCATGGTGGCTCATGCTTGTAATCCCAGAACTTTGGGAGGCAGAGGCAGGTGGATCACCTGAGGTCAGGAGTTCGAGACCAGCCTGGCCAACATGGTGAAACCCCATCTCTACTAAAAATACAAAAGTTGCCAGGTGCGGTGGCTCACGCCTGTAGTCCCAGCACTTTGGGAGGCTGAGGCGGGTGGACCATTTGAGGTCAGGAGTTTGAGAGATCAGCCTGGCCAGCATGGTGAGACCCTATCTCTACTAAATATATAAAAATTAGCTGGGAGTGGTGGGTGCCTGTAATCTCAACTACTTGGGAGGCTGAGGCAGGAGAATCGCTTGAATCCAGAGATGGAGGCTGCAGTGAGCTGTGATCATGCCACTGCACTTCAGCCTGGGCGACAGAGTGAGACTCTGTCTCAAAAAAAAAAAAAAAAATACAAACGTTAGCTGAGCATGGTGGCGGGCACCTGTAATCCCAGACAATAGGGAGGCTGAGGCAGGAGAACTGCTTGAACCTGGGAGGCGGAGGTTGCAATGAGCCGAGATTGCGCCATTGTACTCCAGCAAGGGCAACAAGAGCAAAACTCTGTCTCAAAAAAAAAAAACAAAAAACTTAGTGTCTCTCTAAACCCTCTGTCACCACCCTAGATCTAAGCACCATCATCCCTCATACAGACGACAAAAATTATTTGCTACTTGGTCTCTACACATTCACTCTGACCAAGTCTTTCCTTCAATCTCCTCTACTTAACAGCCAGGATAATATTTTAATATCATCCTACATATGCCATTCATCTAGTTTTTTAAAGCCAGGCTAGGTTCTCATTAGCCTTAGGATAAAGACCAAAATACACCTGTAGCTCAAAGAACTGCCTACTCTCTAGCCTCTGCCCACCTCTCCAGCCTCATTCTTCATTCTAGTCTTTCTCCTCTTGCTCTGTCTCTAACTTCCTTTCAAATCCTCAGGTTCACCACTCTTCCCTTTGAACTTTGAACATGAAGTTCCCTCTGCCAGAAACCTTTGTCCCACTATAAGCATCTCCCACTGCCATCCTGAATTACTACTTCCGTTTACCCTCCAAGTCTCTTGAAGTGTCACTTCCTATAGGAAACCTTTCCTGATAACCCTAGACAAGGGGAAAGTACCATGTCAGGCACTCCTACCCAACCCTTTTGGAAATGGCATTCATCACACTTGCAATTATTTATTAAGTATATCCCCTATTAGAATATAAGCTCCATGAAGTCAGGGAAAGCATTTGTTTTCACTGATGTATCCACAGTGCTTAGTACATGGTAGCTGCTCAATCAATATAAATTGTCAGAATTATAGGTTGGGGCCAGATTATAGAGGGCTATAACATCAGTAAACCAAAGAGCAAGGATCATTATCCCTTTGCAAATAAGTAAACCGAAGCAGAAAGAAATGAATAGTTATTTAAGGTCCCAGAGACAGCAGTGATGAGGCCAAATCTAACACTACATTCAGCCCATTTCTCCTCCCTAGGACAATAAAAGAAACTTTGGTGGGTAAGGAAGTATTTCAGAAGAAGAAAATTAGGAATGAGAAGATGGTGCATAAAAGGTCTAAGAGGACAGCTTCTGAATCTGCCTGTTACACTAGTTGCCTCCAGATGGATAGCAGTTAGACTTTCCACACCTAGAGGAGCACTGCTGTTACATAAACAAATATAGCCACTATCACACTCTTCCCGTTAAGAGAAGAGAATAAAATAACAAACTTCTTTCCTGCACAGAGGAGAAGAAACAACCAGGGTGGGTGGGGAACTGTTGTCCTCCAAGTATCTTCAAAAAACCAAATGGGCAGTTTGGCCACCTGGATTGCTACTCAGCAATCCACAGGGAACAGGAAGAAAGAGGGGGGAAAGATCAGCCTTCCCACCACCAGCTGCAGCAAGGATAAGGAAAAAAAAAATGTATTGTATAAGGCAAGCCACTTGAAGACTACTTATTCCTTGGGAATTATGAGAACATTTCATGTAGAGCATTTAAAAACCTTGCTAATCCATAGGCAGGTGCCAGTGAAAGGAAAAGTGGCATGAGCCCAACTGCAGCATTTCATTGTTCACATGCTGCTGGGGCTAAATTATGTCTGTCACAGGAACTACAAACCAGACCAGGGGTCAGGCTCATTGCTGCTCATCCTGCCAAGCACAGACTGCAAGAAAAAGAAAAGGCAAAGAAATTCTCTTCAAAGAGGATTCTGCAAAAATATTCACATAGTCTACATCCACCCAGGAGTTCCTAGTTGAAGTGGAGGACCAGGGAGTGTGTTCTAAGATTGAAGAGAAAGAGATGTGATATGCTGGTGATAAAGGAGGGGTTTTGAAACAGAAAGGAAAAATGTAAACTGCAAATGGAGAGATAGAGAAATAAACAGAATTTCAAGAGATGTGGGTGGGATGGGGTGGGGTGGGGGGAAGAAATGAAAGTACAGGAGAGAAGGGTAGGGTGTCCAGAAGAGCAGAGCGTCATCAACAGAGAGACGCAGAGGCAAAGGCTAACTGTTGATCTTTTCCCAAATCCAAAAGCTGCTCATTGGCATCCCAATAAATCACTCTACTACAAAGCCCATACAATGGACTGTCCTTTGCATTCAGCATCAAGCAGCATTTAATGAAATATCACACAGCTACAACTTTGGAGACCTAAGGATCTGAATTTAAAATGAACAAAATTGGCTTAGCAGCAGAAGACAGCCAGTAAAGAATTTCGCCCATGTCTGACTCAGCTAGGAAAAGGTTTAGCATTCTAGAGTTAAGCAAATACTCTGGCATTTCTCCTTCTTTTGACATTCCAAGAGGGGGTGTGGTTGACCCCAGGCCCATTCATTTCCAAGGGTGTAGATCTCTCAGCCAAGACTGGCCCCATCTGTTGTGGAGCCAGCCAGCTGTTTATCTCAAAGTAACATATCTATTGCCCTAATTATCCCTATAACTCTTACAAGAGCATCATGTAAGTCAGAATGCTTTCTCTCCTGTTAAATGTCAGTTCGTTTAAAAAAACAACAATAACAAAACAACCAAAATCACTCTTCCATGGGCACCTTTCAGTAATGGCAAATGAAGGTTAACAGCGCTTCTAACTTTCCCTTTCTCTAATGTGTTAAAATGAACCCCTCTTCCCTAATCGATCTCTTCAAACCGTTATTTGTGAGTAGTGACTATGCCTCAGGAAACAGCAGCTCATTATGGTACCATTGTCAGTGGCAAAGAGCCTATGCAATGTAATTTAAAACACACAAGCACAAATCTGTCGGCTCCACTTCCAAACAATCTTGAATCCAGCAGTCGGAGAACGGAAAACATTTAACAAAAACGCTGCTTCCAGCAGCCTGAAAGAACCTTCGCCAGACACGTGAAATGTTTCTGACTGGCACGGAGTGCACCATTAAAGGACACTGTCACCTCAAATCAGCAGAAAAGGCGAGACAAACCACATAGACATACACACATAAAATAAAGCCCTACAAAACTTAAGCACGTTCATCTTAAAAATTAATAACTAGTGCTCGTCCAAGCGACATTCAAATGTTCTAAAGTAGTGCGACCACATTAATTCACTGTCTCCATTTCTCCCCACGCATCACCCCTTCCCACTCAAACCTCAGCTCTCGGGCCGTGTGTGACAGGACTGCAGTCCCCCACCTCTGCCTTCCTCAGATTTTCCAAGAGCACTCCCCAACATCCTTCCCAGCCCAGCCCCCTCTCTCCGCCTCAAAAAGGTTGAGAGGAGTTGCGACTAGGGAATTGGCAGGCACCCGTCCTCTGGCGGGGGAAGGTTGCTGGAGTTGTTCTTTGCAGTGACCCAAATGGCACAGAGCTTTTCCCCTTAGCTGTGCCTGCAAGCCTCTCCCCAATCCCCCCCACCTCCCCACCGCTCACAGCTTCCCAAAAGAAAGCCTTGAGAACTAAGCGGGAGGAATAACTTGGTAGAAGCATTTGAATAAATCACTTCAACTCACCTGGTTTGGGATTTTTCTCCCCACCCCAGGCATAAACAGAAATGGATGTGCGAATGAGTCACGCACGCAAGGGAAGGTCTGCGATGTCCTGAGTCCAAGGGCTGGAGTCAGTCCCTGCCCTGGTGCTGCTGCTACACTTAGCTCAGCTGGAGCGAGCGGCAATCGCAAGCCCAGCAGCAGCAGGGGGTGGAGAGACCGTAGCACAATGAATGCAGTGGGGCTTTTGCAATGACATCATCCCTCTGTCCAAACGTCCCCAATAGCCATGCTCGGGAGCGGTGCTTTCTGGGAACTGTAGTCTTCTTACGTCCTGAAGGGATACCCAGGCAATCCCCGAAACTACAATGCCCAAAATGCTCCAAGTGGGACGCGCCCAGAGTGAAGGAGCAAAGGGGACTCGGCCGCCATGTTAGGAGTACTGGGACGATTCCGCGGAGCCGGGCAGAGGTTTTAGGGGTGCGCAGGAGTCAAGTGGTGGTTCAGTGGGGACGGTGAGGTGGAGGACGATCTGGTCGGATAGCCGCGGGCACGAACCTGGGAACCAGAGGGTGGAGGCCATGCTGGGGACTGATGTAGGGCGGGACCGACTGGAAGCGGCATCCAGAGGCCCAGTGAGCCTCGGTCTCAGCTCCTGAAGGGGTTGCATGGGGCCCTACGCTTCCTTCTCCATTTTTTAGCTAAGAGATTGAGAGAGTCGGTTTACTTTTGGGCTTGGAGTATCATTTAGATCTGTTAACAGTACAGTTGAGAGAGTTGGTGTCTTTTGTTGAGGTGCGAGGACCCGAGGCGGCGACCCTCGCCTTTATTCGGAGAAGCCCACTTCCACCCACAGAGTTGGGGTAGTCCTCCGAAATGCATTTTTGTTTTGCCGTTTGTTTTCCAACCCCCTTTCACTCTCCCCAAAGCTTCAGATTCACTGATTTTTCATACAGGAATGATTAACAAAGGCGTCCGAAGAAATCGTTGTTGGAAGGTGACCAAGGTGGAAAGAGACGTTGCTTTGGCCCTGCAAGTAAGAAGAGAGAGGGAATAGCCTGAAGGAGTAACACTAAATTTAAAATGACACTTTTTTACCAACCAGCGAAAGCAGATGTTCAAAGGGGATATTGGCCAGGTGCGGTCGCTCACGCCTTTAATCCCAGCACTTTGGGGGCAGACGCGGGGAGATAGCGTGATTCTAGGAGTTCAACCCCAGCCTGGGCAACATGCGGAGACCCCGTACCGTCTCTACAAAAACATTAAACAAAAAAATTAGCTGGGCATGGTGGTGTACCCCTGTAGTTGCAGCTACACTAGAGGCTGAGGTGGGAGGATCGCTTGAGCCCGGGATGTTGAGGCTGCAGTGAGCCTCGATCCTACCACTGTGCTCCAGCCTGGGCGACAGCAAGCCCGTGTCTCAGAAAAGGCGGGAGGGGTGGGATATTATTGATGATAGGCCTTCTGACGTCTGGCAATAGATTCCAGAGTAACATCGGTCATGGATAAATTTTTTTTTTAACTAAGTGACTGAAACCAAAGTTAATTGTCTTTTGAGTGATTTTGCACAGTATCTCAAAATGAACTGTACTTTTTTTCTTGTGTCACTGAAACAGTGCTGTGTGTTCTTTTTCAGAGTCTGTCACACTAAGATGAGAAATGTCCTTTCTTCCTGAAGGTGTCTGATGTGTAAAAATATGATATACTTTGTGCTGTTTCCTCCCTTCCCTTTTGCATATTATTCTGAAACAACATTAACTAGTTACTTTGCGTCATTGAAGGTATGCACTTCCCCTCTATGTTAGGAGTGAATAAAATTAAAAATAGATCCTTATAACAAAGAAAGGCAGATAGAATGATTAAAAATGACCAAAACATGTTAGAAACAGTCTCTCAGGTGTATGCAGATGGTAATTACAAAAATACTTTTTCAAAAAATGATCTTCTGTGTCATGTTTCTGGGAACAAGTCAAGATGAATGAGTTTGATTTTTAAGCAGAAGTAGTATGTGTTGGTGTCATCCATGAATACAACAATGAAAAAGGCTCAAAGTTGTTGTTATTCAGAAACTTCTCTAAGTAATGGTGGTAAGTACAGGAAAAGGAGCAATGTCTACCATTTTCTTTCTAACCTTCGATTTAACTATTGTAATGTTGTAAGCTTAACAGAGACTTACACTTAGGCTTAATTTCAAGCTCTTCAATCATTTTTCCCGGTTGGTGATTCAGGTGTATTCTCATGTCTTATGTAAACTTATCATGAGTGTTGTTGATTTATAATATATTTCTTTATGTAAGCCATAGCCTTGTCAGTTTGAGTTATATGGAAGACAAATTGTAGGGAAAAAGAGCAACAGATTACTCAGAAACCTTCTGTGTGAGCTGGGCATAGTAGTGCATGCCAGTAGGCTTAGCTACTTGGGAGGCTGAGGCAGGAGGATCACTTGATCCCATTAGTTTGAGGCTGCAGTGAGCTATGATTGTGTCACTGTACTCCAATCTGGACAACAGTGAGACTATGTCTGTTTTTAAAAAAGAAAGAAAGCTTGTGTTTGAGAAGTGATACCTCTAGAATACAGTGATTTCTATAATTTGTCATGTGTTTGGGTAGTTTGAAGTTTTTCTATCCTTGTATCTAATGGACATCTGACCATAAAGATGAAAAAATCCTGCACTCATTATAAATTTTATTTATAAAATTGATATTTGAGGAGTTGGGGAGGCCAGCTTCTGAAAAAATAACAGTGTCCCATAGAAACACCACAACTTAGGAAAATATTGTTAAAGTGGAATTAGGAATATCTAGAGGAGGTAAAGCTTTTCATCTCTCAAAAAAGAATTAGGGCCAGGCACAGTGGCTGACACCTGTAATCCTAGCACTTTGGGAGGCCGAGATGGGCACATCACTTGGGGCCAGGAGTTCAAGACCAGCCTGGCCAACATGGCGAAACCCCATCTCCAAGAAATAGAAAAGTTAGCCAGGTGTGGTGGCGTGCGCCTGTAATACCAGCTACTAGGGTGGCTGAGGCAGGAGAATCGCTTGAACTGGGGAGGTGGAGGTGGCAGTGAGCAGAGATTGAGCCACTGTACTCCAGCCTGGGCAACAGCAAGACCCTATCTCAAAAAAATAATAAAGAGAATTAGGACATGGATTTGTATTAAAATTATAGGTAGCTCATTTAAGAGTATGAAGCCAATTGCTGTTAGAGCAAGGGTTTTTTTCAGTAGAGGTGTCAGGATAACCTATACAGCTCTAAAAGTATATGGCTGTTACCTTCCCATCCCTGTTGAAATCTCCAGGGTTAGAACCAAGTATTGTGTTTTTAAAACTATAGGTGAGTCTACAAGAGTTGGGTGGAGTAGTCCTCTACATCCTGTGTTTGTATTTTTGCAGTAAGTCACACAATAACAAAAGCTTTGAGAAAGATTTTAGGTTTATTGCTAATTATACCCATGAATGAATTCTGAAAATGTGTAGATAAGGAATTTACCTGGTGAACGGTTTACACATGGCAATTGTGGGAGGGAGAGGGGAGTGAGAGGAGATGAGATCAGTTTTAGCTTTAAGAGGACCAACCGGGCCAAGCACGGTGGCTCACGCCTGTAATCCCAGCACTTTGGGGCCGAGGTGGGTGGATCACGAGGTCAGCAGTTCAAGACCAGCCTGACCAACATGGTGAAACCCCGTCTCTACTAAACATACAAAAAATTAACTGAGTGTGGTGGCGGGTGCCTGTAATCCCAGCGACTTGGGAGGCTGAGGCAGGAGAATCGCTTGAAACTGGAAGGCGGAGGTTGCAGTGATCCGAGATTGTGCTAATGCACTCTAGCCCGGGCAATAACAGCAAAACTCCCGTTTAAAAAAAAAAAAAAAAAAGGGACCAACCATGATATCCTGACTAACCTGTATATTTCTTAGAATGAGGGTTTAGCCTAATATTAAGAAAGTCTAATGTTAAGAGACACCTAGTAAGAGCTCAACGCTGTGGTAAAATTATGATAGTTATGCAGAAACTTAAAAGCTGAAGTATCCAGAGACAATATATTGTTTAGAATTTTCTGAAAATAAAAATTTTCTTGCCCTAAGTCTTGAATTTTTAAGTTATTGATGTTAATATTTATGATCTTTGAACAAATGATATTATAATAGAGTATCTTTTAGGTCACAGAGACCCCTTTTTAGAGCTGAGAAATCTTACAAATTCCTCAGCCCATGTTTTACAGATAAGGAAATGGGCATGCACACAGTGAAATTAAAAATTGCTAGTGGTCACACTGTACATTGATGGCAAAGGCAGGGCAGAATTAGAATCCAATTATCTTACCTGTTCAGTGTCTTTAATGATACAGCAAGCTCACCACTGTTTCTCTTTACTCTTTAAACAGTGGATTTTTTTTGTCATGATTTTGATTTCTTGTATAATGCAGTTCAATACTTGTTTAATTTTAATGTTGGACTCTCAATTTTTAAGACAGTAGTACACATGAAATGTGCTTTATATTTTATGTTTCAACAAGAAAATACACATTTTCCTTTTAATAGAGGAGCTTAAGTTCCTAATTTAAATAATTGAGTATGAGCTTCAGATACTTCAGAGTGGTATTAATAAACTTTGCTTTTCCAAATGGTTTCAGATAAGCATTTAATATTCAAAGCTTCCTCTTTACAGCTTAGGAAGTGGTCTGGTTAAGTGACTTGAGTTCATACAGGAATATATCGGTATGTTCCTAATTCCCATCAAGTGTACCATTATGTAATCATATAATCTTGCTAACAGATCTAACAGATTACTTTTTTTTTTTTTTTTTTTTTGAGACAGAGCCTTGCTCTGTCGCCCAGGCTGGAGTGCAGTGGCGCGATCTCTACTCACTGTAACCTCCGCCTCCCAGGTTCAAGCAATTCTTCTGCCTCGGCCTCCCAAGTAGCTGGGACTACAGGCAGGCACTACCACACCCGGCTAATTTTTGTATGTTTAGTAGAGACGGGGTTTCACCATGTTGGCCAGGCTGGTCTGGAACTCTTGACCTCAAGTGATCCGTCTGCCTCTGCCTCCCAAAGTGCTGGGATTATAGGAGTGAGCCACTATGCCTGTCCTCTAGGGAAAATCTTTAATTCATTCTGGACAATGAGAAAACTTTTATTTTTACTTTTAGTTAACAATACTCAGGAAAATAAAAAGTGTGCTTTTTAATCTTAGTAACCCAATTTGAGTTTGAAACAAATTTACATAATTTTAGCTGCTTAATATGCTGCTGAAGATAAATGCAGTAAATATCCCAAGGTCAAGATTTGAAATCCAAATGTCCATAGTAATGATTAACAGGAAAAGAGAGTCCTCTGTTAACTTTATTTCTCAATTTTTTACAGGTTTGGATAATTAAGGGAGCACTAGAAAACTTTTTTTTTTTTTTTTGAGATGGAGTCTGTTGCCCAGGCTGGAGTACAGTGGTACGGTCTCGACTCACTGCAATCTCCGCTCCTGGGTTCAAGTGATTTCTCTTGCCTCAGTCTCCTGACTAGCTGGGATTTACAGGCGCATGCCACCATGCCCAGCTAATTTTTGTATTTTTATTAGAGACGGGTTTCATCATGTTGGTCAGGCTGGTCTCAAACTCCTGACCTCGTGATCCACCCGCCTCGGCCTCCCAAAGTGCTGGGATTACAGGTGTGAGCCACCGTGCCCAGCCGAAAATGTTTCTTTGCAAGGATAAATATATGAAGATAAACTTGCCGAGCGTAAATATGTTCATGAATATAGCCACTTAAGGAAATTCAAACATGCAGAGATGTTCAGCTGTATGCAGTTATGTATTCATGAAGTATTCATGTATTCATGAAGCCTTATTTGATGTAGAATCTGAGGGTGCTGCCTATACATAAACTTGCTTAAAGGTTAAAACTTAAGGAATGTTCATCAAAGTCACTTTCTTACACCTAACTCCTGATTTCATGAATATAACACATAGGTGCTTATCAAACTGAATACCTTGGAGATGAGCTGCTCCAGCACCAGAAGATAAAATTCAGTAACTGTAATCCTTGAGGTACCTAAGTGATACATTTTTTTTAAGACTGAGCCAAAATAAAACAGCTTTCCTCCTTCCCTACCCTCTCCGACCAAACTTTTAGCCATTTTATTTATTTATTTATTTGAGATGGGGTCTAGCCATGTGGAGTGCAGTGGCTATTCACAAGCATGATCATAGCAAATGACAGCCACAGACTCCTGGGTTCGAGCAATCCTGCCTCAGCCACTCAAGTAACTAGGACTACAGGCGTATACTGGGGCTTCTAGCCATTTATATGGTATTAAGTGACAGCTTCTATAGTTACTTGGTACTTGTCCCTGTAAAACTGCACAGTGTGTATTCTCTTGGCTCAATTATTAGCATATTCTGCCATTTCCTTGTGAATGTTTTGTATTTTATATAGGAAAACTTAAGTTTTTAAATATCCTGAAATAACTGAAGAATTTTGTTTTTGCCTTTAAGTGGTAATGTATAAAGTATACTATTGCAGAGATACTTACAGAGTGCTTTCATTGCAATTAAAATACTGCAGCTAACTAGCATGTTCCATATGTGTAATCTAAATGACATACTGGTCATGTGCTATTTCTATGGAATACTAACAGTAGTATGGTACATTTATGCAGTCTCAACAGTTTAAAGTGTTATTTTGGTGATAAACTGTTTACATTTATTTGTTTTTATATTTGGCAGTCTAAATGCAAGAGTCTCCATTTCAGCTCTTTACTCTGCATATCTTTAATGTTGGGCATTATGCCTCTTTCTTGAGTTTCAGTCCTATGACTGTTCCATTTTCAGTATTCATGTTTATGTGTCTTTCTAAAATTGTTTTGCTTCTGTTTCTTGCTGCTCTTGAGACAATTTATGGGCAAATTTTGTTACTTTTCAACTGGCCGTGTATTTCCCTGTGAAGAGTTGCTGGATTGTCTCATTTTCCAGATAAACTGAATTAATGTAGTAGTGAGGAGAAGCCAGATTTCAGAGGTTTGACAAGTGAACAAATGGGAATGAGAAAAGAAGTAGGTACTTAAACTTTTAAGAAGTTTGGCTCTGAAAAAGGCAAGAAATAATGGGTTAGAGAGGGCAGGATTGTAAGGATTTAAGATAGGAGAAGAGGCATAAGCATATTTAAATTTCCCTACTTAAGGGCCAAAATCATACTGTACCTCAGTCTGAACTTTTTAAAGGAATTCAAGGACACAAAATTCTGCCCTGCCCTGAAATCCAGTCAGGAGGAAGGGAGAAGAGCTCTGAAGTACTTTTGTAATTTTCTTCTACATAATAATTGATTTTTGTTTGATTATTTTTCTTTCCTATAGCTCCTGTTTGCCAGGTTTTTCATAGCTGCCTATTTAACCAAACTTGTACTCCCAAGAATAGTGCATATTTATGATTCTTAATTCCAAAAACACATGGCAATGATAATGTCTCTGCTTCTTTTGAGAAATTAACTTGGTTCTGAAAGATGGTGTTTGCTTTTCACACCTGTATCATTAATACTTCCTTGCCAAACCTAACTAGGATCCTCACCACCACTGTTAGAGAAAACTGATGCTCAGTTGAACCAGAATGTTAAATGTGAACAGGATTTGTCTGTGTTGTTGCCCAGCTATGTTTATCCATACACATTACCTGGAGGAAGAGAAATCTGAGATAATTGAGTTGATTAGATTACTTACATGAAGATGGTTTAATTGTATCAATACAGAAAAATGCACAAGGAAAGAAACTGACACCTTAAGGCAACAAAGCCCTCCATAAAAAGTAACCGAATTTTGAGAGTTACGAACTAATGTCCATTACCTGAAGTCCTTCTCATTCCATTACCCAGTAACATAAATCAAATTCAGTAAATAAGCTGCTTTATGTCTTGAGAAATTTAACTGGCAGAATAAATGGAAAGAAGTCAGTAAAAAGGGAGCAGTTGAACAAGCATGGTGTCTCACACCAATAACCCCAGCACTTTGGGAGGCCGAGGCAGGTGAATCACTTGAGGTCAGAAGTTCAAGACCAACCTGGCCAACATGGTGAAAACCCATCTCTACTAAAAATGCAAAAATTAGCTGGGCTTGGTGGCAGGTGCTTGTAATCCCAGCTACTCAGGAGGCTGAGGCAGGAGAGTCACTTAAAACCCAGGAGGCAGAGGCAGTGAGCTGAGATCGTGCCACTGTACCCCATCCTGGGCAACAGGACGAGGCTCCATCTCAGGGAAAAAAAAAAAGAAAAAGCTGAGCATGGCGGCATGTGCCTGTAGTCTTAGCTACTCAGGAGGCTGAGGCAGGAGGATCACTTGAGCCCAGGAGTCGTAGGTTGCAGTGGTGCCATTGTGTTCCAGCCTGGGTAAGAGTAAGGCCCTGTTTCAGTAAAAAGAAGGGAGTAACCAAGACAGGTAGGGATTCAGTATAATAAAAGTCAAAAGTAGTTGTTTATTACTAGAGCCTGGCACTGTAACCTGGTATGTCCAAATGTGATTTAATTTGCTCTCAAGATGTGCACCAGAAGAAATAACCCGAGGCATTTCAAAGAAAAAACAAAATGTGACCTGCTAGTTCTGTTACTCTGCCACAAGTTAACACATTTTGAACTTAAGTGCAGAGTCCCATACATCCAGTGTGACTCCCCAAATCTCAAAAATTTAGGCTAAAACCTAATTTTGTGTCCAAGCCAGTGCCTGCTTGTTCCTGCTGAATTTAAAACTTTGGGTCCAGCAATCTTCTATCGCTGGAGGGAGGGAGAGGTATGAAAATAATGTTTAATGGTAATTGTTTATTGTCATGGGCCCATATTATACCCAGATTTAGAGAGCTATTTGACACACCTGTAACCTAATGTTTATTTTAACTTAATATCTGCTCAGTCAGGTAAGAGATGCAACTTCACAGAGGTCCATTTAACGTGCCTAAACCTAAGTAGAAACACAAAAGCTATGTATAGTCCCTTGTTTGAGATAACACTAAATTTTTAGAGAATAGCTTGGTACTGTGGTAGACAGAGTTCACTTAAAATGCATTTAACAATTTACAGATAACTGGAAAGTAATTCATTCATCTTAGAACCCTGGTAGGGACATTCTATTAAAATATTTGTGTACTAGTTAAAGTCAAAATAGAAATACAGCCTATCACACGGTATTTATACTATGCATTATGATTAATAAAGCCACCTAAGGTCGTTACTCCATGATCATGGGAAGTTGTTAGTCATTAAGAGTTCGGGTTTAGCAACAAAAATCTTGCGTTTGAATCTAAACACATTACATGATTTTAAGCATGTTCATCATTCTGAGATTAAATAAAAATTAAGGAAATATATGAAAAATGCTTAATAAGTACCCAAAAGGTAATATGGTGTAGCAACTTAGAATGTAGACTTCAGAGCCAGTCAGCTAGGATTAAAATGACACTTCGGCCAATCACTGTTGACTATAAGCAAGTTATTTAACTCTGCCTCAGTTTTGTCTGTGAAGTAGGGATAAAATCTTCCTCGCTAGGTTGCTATAAGAATTAAATGGATATATTAAGTACTATCATGTGAGATCACTTTATTTGAGGCTAAAAAAATTTTTTTTAACTAGGATTCACTGAAAATACATCTATAAAAAAGCCACTCTTTATCATGAGAAGTATGATTTTCTGTACCTTAGGTGTTATAAAGCAATATCCCCTCAGTTTTAACTTTACCAAAATACCTGTCTTAGTAAATGATACTATATATACCAAATATTGCATATGTGTATATAAACTTCAACTGTCTACTTCTATCACTGACAGTTTAAAAATTGAGATAAAGTAAGTATTATCTGAGTAATATAACCATTTTCTATTTATTTATTTATTTAGAAACAGTCTCACTCTGTCACCCAGGCTGGAGTGCAATGGCTCGGTCTCAGCTCACTGCAACCTCCGCCTCCTGGATTCAGGCAGTTCCCCCACCCCACCCTCCCGAGTAGCAGAGACGGGGTTTCACTGTGTTGGCCAGGCTGGTCTCGAACTCCTGACCTTGTGGTCTGCCCGCCTCGGCCCCCCAAAGTGCTGGGATTACAGGCGTGAGCCACCGCACCCAGCCAATCTAACCATTTTCAAGATTTGATCTGCAAATACCTGAAGTAAGTACAAGCACTGTGGCCCAGTTAAAGAGTGTTAGAACTGTAAGAAGTCCAAAGGCATAGCTAAGAATTGCTTTAGAGTCAGTTGTGGGTTCTGAATTCTTGCTCTGATAGTTAGCAACTATGTCTACTTTGGCAAATTTAGGTTTTGAAGCCTTCCATATCTTTAAAAGGAGGTAACATTTAACAGAGCACCAAATACAAGGTTTTCTGTAATATTAGTTCCATAGCATGGTCTGCAAACTTCCAACATCAGAATCTCCTGGGATATATGCTAAATGCAGATTCTGGTTTCCCAACCAGAATATACTGCTTAAAAATCTGAGGGTTAGTTCTAGGAATCTGCATTTTTTTCTATACAATGTATGTATTAGGGTTCCCTGGAGGGACAGAACTAATAGGAGATACATATATATACACACATATATTTATTAAGTTTATTGAGAACTTACACGATCACAAGGTCCCACAGTAGGCTGGCTGCAAGCTTGAGGAAAAGAGAGAGCCAGAGTCTGAGTCTGAAAACTGAAGAACTTGGGGGTCCAGTGTCTGAGGGCAGGAAGCATCCAGCGTGGGAGAAGGATGGAAGCTGGGAGGCTAGGCCAGTCTCTCCTCTTCACGTTTTTCTGCGTGCTTATATTCTACCTATGCTGGTAGCTGATTAGACTGTGCCCACCAGATTGAGAGTGGGTGGGCCTTCCCCAGCCCACTAACTCAAATGTTAATCTCATTTGGCAACACCCTTACAGACAAACCCAGGATCAGTATTTTGCATCCTTCAATCAAGTTGACACTTAGTATTAACCATCACAATGTATGATTTTTAAAATCTGCATTTTTAATAAGCTACTAGTTTATTTTTCCACCTAATCCAATTCCTAATTTTATTTGAAAGCACCAAGGTAAATAGTTCCTAAATCACTGTTATTTAAATTGTGCTCCAGTACCCCTTATTCTTGCTGCAATTCCAAGACAGAGATAACAAAAATTTTTTTTTCAATGTTTTGTTTTTTTGAGACAGAGTCTCGCTGTGTCCCCCAGGCTGGAGTGCAGTGGCTCGATCTCGGCTCACTGCAAGCTCCGCCTCCCGGGTTCACGCCGTTCTCCTGCCTCAGCCTCCTGAGTAGCTGGGATTACAGGCATGTGCCACCACACCCTGCTAATTTTTTGTATTTTTTTTTTTAGTAGAGACGGGGTGCATGCTGCATGCTCCGCCTCCCGGGCTCTCGCCATTCTCCTGCCTCAGCCTCCGGAGTAGCTGGGACTACAGGCGCCTGCCACCACGCCCGGCTAATTTTTTGTATTTTTACTGGAGACGGGTTTTCACTGTGTTAGACGGGATAGTATTGATCTCCTGACCTCGTGAGCCACCGCGCCCGGCCTGCCAAAATTTTTAATGTTTGCATGTACATAGTTACTCAACAAAGAGGCCAGGTGTGGTGGCTCACGCCTATAATGCCAACACTTTGGGAGGGTTGCCTGAGCCCAGGAGTTCGAGACCAGCCTGGGCAACATTGTAAGAGCCTGTCTCTTAAAAATATATATTTTGGGGAGCCAGGTGTGGCACCTCACGCCTGTAATCCCAACACTGGGAGGCTGAGGTGAGTGGATTGCTTGAGCTCAGGAGTTCGAGATCAGCCTGGGCAACATGGCGAAACCCTGTCTCTACCAAAAAAAAAAAAAAAAAAAAAAGTAGAGGCATCGTGGTGTGTGCCTGTGGTCCTGGCTACTGGGAAGTCTGAAGTGGGAGGATCGCTTGAGCCTAGGAGGTGGAGGTTGGAGTACGCCAAGATCACACCACTGCATTCCAGCCTTGGTGTCAGAGTTAGACCCTGTCTCAAAAAATATATTTTAAAATGATATTAAGTAAAGAATATAGTCCAGCCACATGAGCAAGTATTGCTTATCTAGAAAGACGTATAATAAAGTTCTTTTGGGGAGATAAACTATGATCCATTCTATGTTTCATGTAAATCAGGGGCAGCCAATCTTCTGGCTTCCTTGGGCCACATTGGAAGAATTATCTTGGGCCACACATAAAATACACTAACACTAATGATAGCTGATGAGTTTTTAAAAAGAATCACAAAAGCAATGTTTTAGCAAAGTTTATGAATTTGTGTTGGGCTGCATTCAAAGCTGTCCTGGGCCGCAAGGTGGAAAAAACTTGATCTAAAGTATTTGATTTTTTTAGAAAAGTTTTTGAATGGCCAGGTGTGGTGGCTCACACCTGTAATCCCAGCACTTTGGGAGGCCGAGGCAGGCGGATCACGAGATCAGGAGATCGAGACCATCCTGGCCAACATGCTGAAACTCCATCTCTACTAAAATACAAAAACTTAGCCAGGCATGCTGGCATGCGCTTGTAGTCCCAGCTACTCGGGAGGCTGAGGCAGGGGAATCACTTGAACCCAGGAGGCGGAGGTTGCAGTACAGTGAGCCAAGATCGCGCCACTGTACTCCAGCCTGGTGACAGAGCAAGACTGTCTCAAAAAAAAAAAAAAGGAAGCTTTTGAATAAGAAGCAACTCTACAGTACTCTATTGTAGACAACCAAAGTATTAATATTTGGGGGGCACAATTTCAACCAACTTTAAATTATTTCATTCTGGAAGTATGTGTTGAGTAAATATGAAGTATAAGGCCCCTAGAGGTACAGATGGCTATGGCCGTCTAAACCATTTTACTCTTAACTTTTAGTGTCATGGACCTCTTTGTCAATCTAGTGAAGTCTATGGACCGCTTTTTTTTAAAAAAGCCTTTAAACATATAAAGTACAGTACATTGAATTACAAAAGGATCCAAGAATATTGAAATAGTTACCAAAAAAATTTGATATAGAAATATATGTGGTTTATTAATGAATAAGATCTAGCAGTGGCCTTACTATAATTTCAACACAGTAGCGTGGTGAGCATAAATATTTCAACTTATCTGCAACAATTGTAATGTGATATGGAAATAATCAGTTTAATTGTGACAGTCACATTTACTGCTAACTACTGTGATTGACTGGCTATGTTTACATTTTATTAGAAGTTATTGAAAGTAGATGCCAGGCATGGTGGCTCATGCCTGTAATCCTAGCACTTTGGGAGGCCAAAGTGGGCAGATCATTTGAGCCCACGAGTTCGAGACCAGCCTGGCCAACATGATGAAGCCCTGTCTCTACTAAAAATAAAAAAAAAAATTAGCCTGGCATGGTGGCCTGCTGTAGTCCCAGCTACTCACAAGGCTGAGGCAGAAGAATCACTTGAACCAGGGAGGCAAAGATTGCTGTGAGCTGAGATCACGCCACTGCACTCCAGCCTGGGCAACAGAGCCCGACCCTGTCTCAAAATAAAAGAGAGATGTAATGGACCCCTTTAATTAATCTATAAACTCCTAATTAAGAACCCTGGTTAAAATTTTTTAATAGGAGCTTGTCTTCTTCACTGTTGTATCCAAAGCCTGACTGAAATCTGTAGACACCTAAGCAGTGAAAAATTTGATGCCTTAACCTATATAATTTAAAATCAAAATATTTACACTATAAGGTGAATTTAAGGAAGATCTCATTTTTCTCATGGTGAAGACTAAGATACTTTTTCAAAATTACTAAATTTTCATTTGTTTCATCAGGGATGAGGTTGGGGGAGGATCTAGCTCCTTTATTAATACCTGAATATATAGGTTTTAATATCCAAGCTTGACTATATCCACTACACTTGGTACACAACAGAACAAATGAATGAACATTTTCATGCCTGTAATCCTAGCACTTTGAGAAGCCAAGGCAGGAGGATTGCTTAAGCCCAGGAGCTTGTGACCAGCTTGGACAACATAGGGAGACCTTATCTCGACAATAAATTTAAAAATTAGCTGGTTGTGGTGGCACGTGCTGGTAGTCCTAGCTACTGGGGAGGCTAAGGTGAGAGGATCGCTTGAGCCCAAGAGGTTGAGGCTGCAGTGAGCCATGATCATGCCACTGCACTCCAACTTGGGCTACAGAGCAAGACCTTGTCTCTCAACTAAAAATAAAAAATAAAATTCACGATACTCCCCAAAAGCTGATGATAACATGTAAGAAGCGACTTGATTTTACCTTCTAACTCTCCCTCCCTTTTAGCACAATGCTGCAAAATGACTGGCTCATAAACCACTAAGCTGCCTTGGCAGCCACTTGTTATTGTTACCAGTAGGTAATATGCTGTTTTCTTCTGCTTGGCACATAAGCAGTAGGCATGAAATAATTGCTTAATGGATAAGTAAGTTGTTAAATTATAAAACTCTGATGGATTGCTTAGTCCTTTAACAATTTACACCCCCCTCCCACTTATCCAATTCTTTTGTGACAGATTTTGCACTAGCAAAGTGCACTGTTTCAGACAATCAAGGAAATAAAACATTTCTTGATGAAATCCTACCTCGCCTCAACAGGAAACTGAATTGGAGTCCTCAATTCTCAGTACATCAGAACTAGTGTGTGAAAGGATCAGGAGAGGACCATAGTATTGGAGAATAAAACATTATGTATTGATGGTTGAGCTTTATGTCATCGTGTAGTAAATGCTATGACCATAAAGCCATTACTGTTAACACTTAAGTTTATCTTCTGAAAGAAGCCTATGAAATATCTCCAGAAAGACTAGGGGATTTTCTTCTGTTTGTTTGTTTGTTTGTTTGAGATGGAGTTTGCTCTGTTGCTCAGGCTGGAGTACAGTGGTGCGATCTCGGCTCACTGCAACCTCTGCCTCCCAGGTTCAAGTCATTCTCCTGCCTCAGCCTCTGGAGTAGCCAGGACTACGCACTGCGCCACCACACCCAGCTAATTTTGTATTTTTGGTGCAGACAGGGTTTCCCCATGTTGGCCAGGCTGGTCTTGAACTCCTGGCCTCAAGTGATCCGCCCACCTCGGCCCAAAGTGCTGGCCACCGCGCCCAGTCAGACTTGTTTTTTAGTGAAATAAATTGTTTTCCTTTAGGACCTTATTCTTTATGATAACAGATTCCAAGAATATGCAGTCTTGTCAATGGCTGTTTCATCCTCAGTTTCTTTAAAAATAAAATACAATTAGAACATTTTTAGATATGCTATATCTATCCAATCTATTTTCCTGTCACCCAGTAAGGTTTTCTATCATCAGCACAGGTCTATGAAAGGACAGTAAAGGGTCTCCTGTTACATACCCTAGCACTAATGTTTGTAATAGAATGTTAAGATAAGTTGTTTCATGTAATCGGACTACATTCAGTCTTTCTCTACCCTCTGTCCTCTATTTACCCACCTATGCATGTGGCCTACTAATTATATTGACTGTACATGACCAGCAAGTTGTAAGTTCTTTTAAAAGCAGGAGCTCAACCATATTTGTATTCACATTTCCTTCTGCTTAAAACAGGGCTCTTGTTTCTTCAGTAAATATTCATTCGGTATCCACTAGGTGTCAGATAATATACAAGGTAGGTTCTAGGGATTCCAAGATAAATAAACACAGATATGCCAATATGAGTCTGACAGTTTTGGCGGGGAGAGGTGGAAAATAGATCTGCAAGCCAAAAAAGCTACAGTAGAATAATATAAATATTGTAATGGCAATAAAATACCAGAACTATTAATTTTACATTTAGTAATCATTCAGTATCAATTAAATGGGTAAAATGGATATGTTGGCATGAATGACATATAACTGAAAAAACACTAAGAACTGTATAGAAACTGAATTAGACATATGAGTAATATTAGTAGGAAGGGGAGAGAATATTTGATTCCAGGTAGGCTACCAAGCAGGATGTTTTTTCAGCACAGCCTTGGAATAAAATCTGTAACCTTTGAAAACAATCACATTTTTGTTCTTATGCAATCTTTGTTTTTAAATGTATTTATTGTTTTGGCTCTAGTCCCTGAATGTTAAAATTTTAGTGTCAGTGTTAATTCTCACTTATCTTCTCCAGACCTTACTCCCTAATTTTCTCATTTTCATTTGCCCCAATAAGTGCCAACCTTACCTTGAATAGAATAGTGGATTTATCAGCTTACAAGGACTAAAAAGTCGTCATTTCCAAAAACATCTGTCCAATAAGTCTGCCTCAGTGACTACATTTCTAGCATTACAATGTCATTCTTAGTACACTGATTTGATCTTTACAAATTACATAAATGTATAAAATTGTCGCATGTACCCTAAATTATATACATCTATTATGTATGTATCAATAAAAAAATAATTTTCTGTGCTTTTTCTCCTGTTAAAAAGAATTCTTTTCTTTTTGAGACAGGGCCTGGCTCTGTCACCCAGGCTGGAGTGCAGTGGTGCAATCTTGGCTCACTGCAGCCCCTGCCTCCCAGGCTGAAGTGATCCTCCCACCTCAGCCTCCTGAGTAGTTGGGACTACAGATGGGTACCACCATGCCTGGCTAAGTTTTTGTAGAGACAGGGTTTTGCCATGTTGTCCAGGCTGGTCTCAAACTCCTGAGCTCCAGCAGTCTTCCTGGCTTGGCTTCCCAAAGCGCTGGGATTACAGGTGTGAGCCACCACACCCAGCTGATTCTTTAGAAGACCAGTATTGCATTGTGATTGCCTCTGGGCAGGAAAACTAAGGGGCATCAGTAGACTATGCAATTACTTTCTTCCTCTTTAAAAAAGTATTGTTAATTTTTAAATTTACATATTTTGGTATACAATTCTATGAGTTTTGACAAATGCAAAGAATCATATAACCACCGCCATAATTGAGATACTAAACAATTCTATCACCTCAAAAAAAATCCTCTTGAGCTGTCTCATTTATAATTTTTGTGATTAAAAATGGTTATTTTTCAAAAAGTAACGTTTGGGCCAGTGCGCCTGGAGTGCACCAGTAGTCCCAGCTACTAGGGAGGCTGAGGCAGGAGAATTGCTTGAACCCGGGAGGTGGCGATTGCAATCAGCTGAGATCACACCACTGCACTCCACCCTGTGAGTGGGCTACAGAGTGACACTCTGTCTAAAAACAAAAACAAAAAAACACTTTAAATGTTTCATATAGTTATTCCTTATTCAAAAAGTATGCCTTTTTGGGTTAAGACAGTGCCATTTCAAATAGCCTTGTAGAAATATAAGCAAGGAAATGCTAAATTATACCATTATTGATCATTAGTACCTTAGCTTGTAGTTTAAACTGTTGAAGAGAATTAGGACTCCACCTGGCATTGTGGCATAAGCCAGTAGTCCCAGCTACCCAGGAGGCTGAGGCCTGAGCTCAGGAGTTCAAGACTAGACTGAGCACATAGCGAGATCTTGTCTCAAAAAATGAAAGAAAAAGAATTAGGACTCAGAAAAGGTAAAGGGTGTGTGTGTTTGATTAGATAGAGGATGGGATTGAAGGCTTAAGGAGGAGATTAGGGCCTGAGATGGAACAATGCGCATGGAAGGATAGATATGGGTAGTGTGTTCTGAGTAATATAAGAGACCTAGATTCTCAAAGATAGAGGGCACCAAAGAGATGAGTCCTGTAGAGGGGTGACCTTCATGTAAAAAATGATCTATCTTAATTGGGAGCTACAGACCTGGGATTCTGTACTGAACTTATACAGAATAAGTAATTTACTCTTCAAAAGTCGCTTCCCCAGCTGGGCGCAGTGGCTCATGGCTGTAATCCCAACACTTTGGAAGGCTGAGGCAGGTGGATCACCTGAGGTGAAACCCCGTCTCTACTAAAAATAAAAAAAAAGTAGCCAGGCATGGTGGTGGGTGCCTGTAATCCCGGCTACTCGGGAGGCTGAGGCAGGAGAATTGCTCGAAACCAAGAGGCAGAGGTCGCAGTGAGCTGAGATGGTGCCATTGCACTCCAGCCTGGGCGACAAATGCAAAAACTGCATCTAAAGAAAAAAAAAAAAAGTCACTACGCCTTTCTGGGCCTCAATTTCATAATCTGTAAAATAGTAAGGTTGGACTGAGTATATACCAAGGTCCATTTCAGAGTTCTCCAGCTAGAAGCAAAACCCTTGTGTGTATGTGTTAGTTTTTTTCCCCTAAGGTTTTGTCCTCTAGTTTTAACTAGAGAGACACATTTGGGATATTAATAACCGAATTCTAGCAAGCATTATGATCTCTTCAGATTTCATGTAGTTTGATGTCAGAAGCTGCATAGCAAAGTTAAGCCTGATCTGAATTGGCTTCAAGTGGATAGAGCTGTATGACCCTCAGTCTTCTCATGTATAGAATGACTTATATACTCTAAACTTCCTTGTAGTTTTCATATTTCATGACTATGAAACCTGTGAAAACTTACCAGTGTTTTTTCTATTCATACTTCCTTTGAGTCTGCAGCTGCTGTTCTTCTGATTTGATTTTTTTGTTGTTTATTTTTATTAGCCACTATTCATTCAGTACCTTTTATATGTCAAAACGTTTGATATTTAACCTACGTTATTTAAGGGCTTTTGTACTGCTGCTGTACTTTATAGGTGCATAGATATGGTAAAATCACACCATGCCTCCTGCTCTGACTCTGGATAACATATTCCTACAGCAGGATCTCATTTCAATAAAAATTAAAAGAAACACTAGAGAGAGGAAGAAGGGGAGAAGATAAATGTGGCTTTAAATTGATAAGTGAAAGGCAAGGAACTAACATTTGAGGATCTACTATGTGTTAGACACTTTATAACATGGATCTTCTTTAGATCATTGAGATAAGCAGGTAGAAAGACATCACAAAGGGAGTCTGCTTGTATTGATAGCAAGAAGAAAAAAATGACTTCATGCCATAAATCACTGGAATTATTCAGAATTTTTGTTTTGCATGTTATCCTCCATTATGAGGACAAAGACAGCATAATGTCTCTATGTAGTAAGTGTTTGGTGAATGTTTATTGAATAAGTAGGGATTTTTATCATGCATATAGTAGTGTTTCTTAATGTTTTGGATCCATGGACTTATAAAAATTTTATAAAAGCTATGGCTACATCCAGGATGTTACCTCCCTCCCCTGCCACACACAAAAGGAAACAGCCAAGTCCCTCCCCTCACTCTAACCATTCCCACATCTATATTTGTGTAAAACCCATGATTTTAAACTGTTTGCAGCCCCTCTGTAATCCATTCACATGACCCAAGAACTCAGCCCTGGAAACATCTCTGGGTATCCAGGTAGACTAAAAGCATAGTTCCATTAATTTATAGTGCTATATGGTTCTGCCATGCTTTATTGGTCCTTTATAGACTTGAGAAAATCACACCATGCCTCTTGACCATTAACAAATGGTCATGTTCAGTCTTCCTTTTTATGAGTGGAAATTCCATCCAATTTGCTTTTAGGTTCATTAATA
Organism: Homo sapiens; assembly: GCF_000001405.40. Classification (NCBI taxonomy): domain Eukaryota; kingdom Metazoa; phylum Chordata; class Mammalia; order Primates; family Hominidae; genus Homo; species Homo sapiens. Next base: position 83,091,091 of record NC_000011.10, read on the forward strand.
TGTACTACAACCAAAAGATCAGCAGCATTATATACTTTATCTTTTTTAGTCTTTTGAAGTACAAATTATGCGATTTTACAGATAAATTATCTCATGGGTAGCATATGTCTGGCTTTCTAGGTGGAATGATTCCTATTTCTTTTTGTACCTCTCCCCATTCAGAACTCACTTTGAGGCCAAGCGTGGTTGCTCAGGCCTGTAATCCCAGCACTTTGGGAGGCCGAGGCAGGTGGATCACCTGAGGTCAGGAGTTGGAGACCAGCCTGGCCAACACGACAAACCCCGTCTCTACTAAAAATACAAAAATTAGCCTGGCATGGTGGCACACACCTGTAATTCCAGCTGCTCGGGAGGCTGAAGCATGAGAATCACTTGAACCTGGGAGGCAGAGGTTGCAGTGAGCCAAGGTTGCAGTGGATCAAGATCACACCACTGCACTCCAGCCTGGGCAATAGAGTGAGACTCTGTCTCAAGAAGAAGAAAAAGAAAAAAAACTCACTTTAAACTCTGCTAGACCATTGCCCTTGTATGTGAAATTTTATCTGGATAGAAGAAGATGAGGAAAAAAATTTTCTTGTCTTTTAGTGGAGGAGAATGACATGTAAAACAAGTATTCTTTAAAAATTCCAAATATGATATGAGAACTACCCCATAAAGTTGTGAAGGTCACATTGGTGAAAGGAAAACTAAGTGCTGTGTAAATTACAAAGTTGTCTAAGTATCCACCTGGTCCTTACCTTGCTATAGAATCTTTTTTTTTTTTAGACGGAGTCTAGCTCTGTCGCCCAGGCTGGAGTGCAGTGGCGCAAGCTCCGCTTACTGCAAGCTCCGCCTCCTGGGTTCATGCCATTCTCCTGCCTCAACCGCCCGAGTAGCTGGGATTACAGGTGCCCACCACCACGCCCAGCTAATTTTTTTTTTTTTTTTGTATTTTTAGTAGAGACGGGGTTTTCCCATGTTAGCCAGGATGGTCTTGATCTCCTGACCTCGTGATCTGCCCACCTCGGCCTCCCAAGGTGCTGGGATTACAGGTGTGAGCCACCACGCCCAGCCTACCTTGCTATAGAATCTTTAGGCCTAATATAGTCTAGCCAGAACAGCTATTTGGATGCTTGCCTAATCTTCAATACTGGTTTCCCTTTTATACATGACTGCAAAACTGACTCTCACCTAGGTTTGTGATGTTAGAAACTCCAGTTGTTTACTATTATTATTAAAGTGGGAAACGGAGTTCGTTGATCAAATGGATTAATGTTTTGAGTACTTACTATACACCAGGGGCTCTTAAATTTTTACATAAACTTTCTGGATGGAGAGTGATAGAATCTCCATTGTTCACTTGCCACAAGCCACACCATTTGTAGCTAACATTTGAATGCTTACTATGAGCAAAGGCACTGTTCCAAGGGCATTACATGCACATCATTCATATTTCTCATTTAATCTTTATAACAACTCCTTAAAATACTGGTAGTATTCTTGTTCCCTAATTTGTCAATAAGAAAACTGAAATTTAGAGATTATACAATTTGCCCAGCACTATTGGAAAGCTGGGACTTTGAAACCTGGCTGATTTGACTCCAAAGTCTGCACTCTATTCCAACAGACTGCCAGTGCCTCCAGAATTAATTAGCATTAATATTTTCTGTTGTTTATGATCTAAGTATGGCTGTCCATGGCAGGGAGTTAATGAGGGAGGCATTAATGGGGAAACACTGGACCACTTCTGAGAGATGTGGTGCCCTCCCTCACAAACAGGTTTCTTGTGGTGAAATCAGGTTGGAAGGATAAGAGAGGCTGAAGAAGGTGGAGGTGGTGTAGTTGGGCCTGTTTAGGAACTGATTACATCTGAGCCTCTGGCCCTTTTTCCTGCCAGCTGACTCAGAGCTGGCAGATGGGCCAAAGTCCAGGCAGGTTGATTTCATGGGCTGTATACTTCAAAGGATCTGATTCCTGGTGCTACTAAGCACATTGCTTTTCCGAAGGCACAGTCTTGTGGGGGAGGGAACAGGATGGTCTCCATGAGGTGTTTGTGAAAGCCCTAGGCAATGTTTGCTCTAATCCAAATATATACAGCTTGTTTTGAGTTTGGCAATAAAACACAGAGCCAGCCCTAAGCAGGGCTGAAAACTGAGTATTTAAACCTTAAGTATTCTGCAATACAACAACAGTTAAGTATATGGGTCCTAGAGTCAGATAGAACTGAAATCTAATCTTGACTTCACCACTCAGCTGTAGATAAATTACTAGACCTCAGTTTTCTTGTTCGTGAAATGGGGATTTTAGTTATAGAGTACCTACTTCATATGGTTGTCGTGAGGATTAAACAAAAATGTATACCACAGTACCTGAGATGTAGTAAACACTCTTGAAACATTAGTCATTATTCATTTTTTAAATTTTTCCTTCAAATACTTTCCTATCCAATAGTCATTATTCATTGAAAACTTCTATTTTATAAGACGATCTCAGCACTTAAACAAAATAAATTGATTCATCATGTTTTCACTTAACAGGCATTCAAAAGGCATTTATTATTGTGTTGGGTAGATGGATGGAGAAAATAGCAATAATTTTTGTTGAACACCTAAAATGAGCCAAACTTTTTAAAAAATATTGTCTCATTTTATGCTCACAACAGCTCTATGAAGTATTTTCCTATATTATAGATGAGATCATGGGCCAAGAGAGGATTAGCAACATGCCTAAGATCATATAGTCAGCACTGTCTAATTCTGAAGCCTATGAATAAGGTAGCATTTATCCCCACGGAAGCATGGTATTCAGCAGGCAGGCAGACACATAAACAAGTACAGCTGGCCCATCTAGCCTCACGTTCTGCATCCATGGATTCAACCAAAAATGGATTTAAAATATTGGGGAAAAAACAAATAATAAAACAACTAAAAAATACAAATTTTAAAATATAGTATAACAACTACTTACATAGCTTTTACATTGTATTAGGTATTATAAGTAATGTAGAGATGGTTTAAAGTATACAAGAGAGTCTGGACACAGTGGCTTATGCCTGTAATCCCAGCTTTTTGGGAGGCCAAGGTGGGTGGATCCCTTGAGCCCAGGAGTTTGAGACCAGCCTGAGCAACAAGATGAAACCCTGTCTCTACAAAAAATACAAAAATTAGCCAGATGTGTTGGTGCATGCCTGTGGTCCCAGCTACTCGGGAGAGTGAGGTGGGAGAATCACTTGAGCCTCAGAGATCGAGGCTGCAGTAAGCTGTAATCACGCCACTGCACTCCAGCCTGGGTGACAGAGTAAGACCCTGTCTCAAAAGTAATAATAATAATAAAGTATACAAGAGGATGTCATATGTTATATGCAAATATTATACCTTTTTTTTTTTTTTTTTTTGAGACAGTCTCTTGCTCTGTTGCCCAGGCTGGAGTAGAGTGGTGCTATCATAGCTGACTGTAACCTCGAACTCTTTCCTGAACTTGAGTGATCTTCCTGCTTCAGCCTCCCAAGTAGCTGAGACTACAGGCATGTGCCATCACATCCAGCTAATTTTTAATTTTTAATTTTTTTTGTAGAGATGGGGTCTCACTGTGGTGCCCAGGCTGTTATGCCATTTTATATAAGGGACTTGAACATCTGCAGATTTCAAGGGGAAAGAGTTTGAGGTTACAGTCAGCTATGATAGCACCACTCTACTCCAGCCTGGGCAACAGAGCCAGAGACTGTCTCAAAAAAAAAAAAAAAAAGAGGAGAGTCCTGGAACCAACTCCCCACAGTTATGGAGGAAGGACTGTACCTACAGTCAAAGTGCTGTCGTTGAGTTTTACACTAGGTGCTTGGGAGAACAGAATGGAATAGGTGAACTCTGGGCATGAAGTGAAGGTAGTCCCCTTCACAGGAATAAATGCTAATAATGGGGCTTCAGGTGAGAATGAGGAAGGAAGCCTTTGCTGGTGGAGGAGTTAAGGGAGTTCTTTCTGGGTTTCCCTAAGTCACACTAGAAGAAAAGGGTTACAGGGAGGCCTTTCTGGAATTCCTCAAGTCAATATGACAGCCTCTTAGATCCAGCATTACAACTGCAGCAAATTTTATAGCTGCAAACAAAGAAACTGTCTCCAGAGAGACAGATTATGTTGTTTACTTGAGGCAAAATGGTGGGGGTTCTATATAAATGATATGTCTGCATCCGAATCATCTGTACCTTTTTGGGCTTTAGAACCAAACCTAATAGTAATAATAGCAACCAATTCTTAACTGCATGATCATTAGGTACTAATCACTGCTATGTTCACAGGCTAGAACTCTCAACTGGAGAAAGGTAGAGTTGTTTGTCTAAATCAATAATCTCAAATTAAGTACACTTAATTTGAGCATATACCCCCAATATATGTATATTACTTTATAAGTTATACACATCCACTATTGGGCTAATATAAAATATACATTATGAAATGTAAACAAAAAGTTTGAAGGAATACAATGAAAATGAATAAACTTTTATCTCAGGGAAAATATATACTTAGGTTTCTGTATCTTGTTATTAAGTGGATACAAATTAATACTGTATTTCAAATAGATTTTTTAATAGTTTTGGATGTTTTGAGTCAGCTGGTCAGATTTTGTTAATCATTGTATTTAACTTCATAATGTGACTGATGAAGGGATCATACTAAGTAAAAGTGTCAGTTCTGCCATTTGAGAGTGGGGGATCCTATGTATCATCTTCAATTCACAGGGTTTTCTTTTTCCCAGCAATTTTTTAAAACCAATTATTCACTTTGTAATATTTCATTTTGTTAAAGTTAGATTTTAAAAATCCATAAATCCCCTTTTGAACCACAATATGTCACTAATGCTCAAAGAAAGAAACTCCATTTGTATCTCATCTGATGTGAGCGTCAAATATAGAAACAATGTGGGGATGCCAACCTCAATCCATATGGATGAATAGGGCTTAATTTTCTCATGATAAACCTAAGTAGAAGCTATGAAAATTCTTACCACACTTCAGTGAATTATCTTGTATACCTCTAGAGTGAGCACATTCCACTTTGGAGATCAGTAGTCTCAGCAACAAGACCTGTGGCCATAAAGTGGGAATAAACAATCCAATTTTTAGCAATGCTTGGCCCAGATTCACTTATGAGTGACATGAGAAAGGTACAACATGATATTCCAGGAAATCAGAAGAGCTAAGTATATCTGAACCTTTGAGAGTATGGCCTGTCCATACAAAGGCAGAATCTACATTTGTCAAGTGCCTTCAAGAAACATTCTACCAAGATATGCACCTCCACAAAAGTAAGAAAAAGAGAAAAAAAAGATTTTAAAATTTTATTTTATTTTTTTGAGATGGAGTCTCGCTCTGTCCCCCAGGTTGGAGTGCAGTGGCGCTATCTCAGCTCACTGCAAGCTCCGCCTCCCAGGTTCACTCCATTCTCCTGCCTCAGCCTCCCAAGTAGCTGGGACTACAGGCGCCCACCACCACACCCGGCTATTTTTTTTTTTTTGTATTTTTAGTAGAGACGGGGTTTCACCGTGTTAGCCAGGATGGTCTCAATCTCCTGACCTCGTGATCCACCCACCTTGGCCTCCCAAAGTGCTGGGATTACAGGCGTGAGCCACCGCACCTGGCCTTTAAAATTTTATTTTTAAAAAATCACACACACACAAAATACATTCTACTTTTTAAGAAAATTGACTTAGATTTAATCCCAGCTCTGCTATTTGCTAACCATGCAATTTTGGGAAAGTAACGACCTATTGGAGCCTGTTTCCCATCTCCAAAGTGAGAATGATTAATGCTATACCTACTTCACTGAGAAGAAGAGTGTATCATGGTCATATTGACCCCTCACTATGTGCATAGAGATGCTGAGCTAAACTCTTTACAAGCGTTTATTTAATCCTCAATATACCAGTGACTAGAGGCTAAGCAGTTTACCAAAGCATTTTCCTTTCCCTCCTTAGCACACAGGACTATATTTCCTGGCCTCCTTTGCAGTTAGGTGCAGCCACATTACTGTGTTCTAGCCATTGAAATATGGAAAGAAATGATCAATACTACCTCCAGCCCTGGCCCATAAAACTTTCCTTTCCATTCTTCGTGCTCTCATTCTTCCTTCATCTGCCGGAGGATTCAGCAGAACCATTAGGTGCACAGAGCTCTTCTCTCCTCCCACTACTTCCAACGTGCATTGAACTGTGATGTGAGCCAGAAATAAACTCTTATTGTGTTAAATCATTAAGATGTGAGAATTGTTTGTTGCAAGAGTTAGCATACCCTGACTAATACAGCAAGGTTTGACAAGAACCCAGAAAAGGGAGAGATAAATTGTTTACAGTGTCTGCTAGATAATGGAAAATAAAACGGGCAATAAGCATCATTAACTTAAGGAAGATGAAGATTACCTTCATGAGATAACTTATGAGCAAGTGTCTGTAAAAGTCCTTTGGGTAAAGTGTGAAAAATGTCAAGAATCACAGATTTACACTCTGCTTTCCAAAGCTTTTTGCAGACACCACTGGGGACTCCTCAATGAATGGAGACATGACCCCTTTAGTATCTCATGCTCTACAGCCTACTAAATCAGTTCAACACATTCCTCTGAGTTAAAAAAAAAAAAAGGAATAACACGTATGAATGCATTTTTTTACACTGCCTTGGGAATCCTTCCTCTACCTTAACAATGTTTTCTGTTTATTCAGATCAAAGAGCTGAAGTGTTTTTAAGATTTTTTCCTCAAGTCGGCCTGAATGTAACCCATAGTTTCCTTTACTCTAACAAATTTTCAGGACATACAGTACTTAGCTGGAACCATATTTTTAGCTTGACTCATTATATTCCTGTTATTTTGATTACCCTTGGTAAACTAAATGATCTCATGGCATATTTTTCAACTAGAATATATTACTATGTTTTTCTCTTTTTCATACTTACTTGCAAAATTGATGTCTATGGAATTGCCTGGATAGCTAATTAGGCTCTTGGTTCATATTTTTTGCTCAAATGCAGATGAATTATTTATTGTTGACTTTGATGAATCAGATCATCAACACAGCCTCTCCAGACTATCTGTTGCTATCATGCTTATCATGCTACTTCCCTCAATCCTATGACTTTTTTTTTTTTTTTGAGACAGGGTTTCACTATGTTGCCCAGGCTGCTCTTGAACTCCTGGCCTTAAGCAATCCACCTGCCTTGGCCTCCAAAAGTGCTGGGATTAGAGGTGTTAGCCACCACCCACAGCCACAATCCTATGCTTTGGAAACATTCAGGACCCGGGCAGTGAGTTTTGAAGACTTAATAAATATAAATGTTCATGGAAGCTATGTGGAGGTTGCAGGGAGCCAAGATGGTGCCACTGCACTCCAGCCTGGGTGACAGAGTGAGACTCCACCTCAACAACAACAACAAAAAATGTAATTTACACCCTAACTGATTAAAGGCATAAACACATAGGGTCATTTCAATAGATGCAGAGAAAAAAATGCTTGACATTTATTCATTAAGAGGACACAAGCCAACTTCATGTTTAGACAGACCTGACTTCCAGGCCTGGCATAGCCACCAATTAGGTATACATGACCTTGGCAAGTTATTCAACCTCTTTGACATCACAAATACAATGGAGATGGTAAAACTCACTTTGCAAAGTAAATGAGATATATAGACTGTTGTCACTTTTGAACCTGGGTACAAAGATCATAAATAAAATACTAGCAAACCAAATTCAAAGTATATATCATAACCAAGTATATCAGAAATACAAGTTTCATTTAATATTTTTAAAAATTAAAAATGTAATTTACAGCCAGGCACTGTGGCTCACGCCTGTAATCCCAGCACTTTGCGAGGTCGAGGCGGGCAGATCACCTGGGGTCAGGAGTTGGAGACCAGCCTGGCCAACATGGCGAAACCCCGTCTCTACTGAAAATATAAAAAATTAGCCGGACGTGGTGGCGGGCGCCTGTAGTCCCAGCTAATCGGGTGGCTGAGGCATGAGAATCGCTGGAACCCGGAGAGGAGGAGGTTGCAGGGAGCCAAGATCGTGCCACTGCATTCCAGCCTGGGCGACAGAGCGAGACTCTGCCTCAAAAAAAAACAAAAAAAAAACAAAAAAAAAACCTGTAATTTACACCTTAACTGGTTGAAGGCATAAACACATAGGGTCATTTCAATAGATATAGAAAAAAAATTGTTTGACATTTATTCATTAAAAATAAAACTCTTGGCAAATTGAGTGTAGATTTCTTAAACTGATAATGGGTATCTATAAAAATACGGCTAAAAAAGCAGAGCTTTTTTAATTGATAAAGAGTATCTCTTAAAAGTATATCATTATACTTAATAAAGAATGAAAAATTTCCTTTGATACAAAACTTAGCCAGGCGTAGTGGTGCATGCCTGTAACCCCGGCTACTCGGGAAGCTGAGGCACGAGAATCACTTGAACTCAAGAGGTGGAGGTTGCAGTGAGCTGAGATTGCGCCTCTTCACTCCAGCCTGGGCGACACAGCGAGACTCCGTCTCAAAAAAAAAAAAGAAAAAAAATCCTTCTGAGACCAAGAATAAGAGACTTCTTTATTTACCATTGTCCTGGAGGTCCTAGCCAGCTCAGTAAAACAAAATACATATAAATAAAAAGTATTAAGGATTGAAAAGGAAGAAACAAAATCTAAAAACCACTATATATACATTATTAGACTTATTAGAAACTTAGAAAGTTTATTGAATACAAGGAAATATGGAAAAATCAATTGCATTTTTATATATCAGCTACAAATAGTTTTTTAAAGTTTTAAAGATAGAAAATTTATCATAGCATTAAAAATATCAAGTACCTAGGACTCTAACAAAAGATGTATATATCTCTAGAGGGAAGACTGAAACTTTGTTCAGAGACATTAAAGAAGACATAAGTCAATGGAGAAATATGCCATGTTCAGACTCACTGTCTCCTTCACCCTCCTTTTTATTGCTCTGGATATAGTACCCTACCTGGAACCCAAGTCCTGTGCTTCAGAAAACTTCCTGCCTCCAGTTCTTCCACGTGGAGGATCAGTCAGCTACAAACAAATGTCAGTATAAGAAGGAAGAACTCGGTGGCTCACTCTTGTAATCCCAGCACTTTGGGAGACTGAGGCGGGCGGATCACAAGGTCAGGAAATCGAGACCATCCTGGCTAACACGGTGAAACCCCGTCTCTACTAAAAATACAAAAATTAGCCGGGCGTGGTGGTGGGCGCCTGTAGTCCCAGCTACTCGGGAGGCTGAGGCAGGAGAATGGCGTGAACCCAGGAGGCGGAGCTTGCAGCGAGCTGAGATCGCGCCACTGCACTCCAGCCTGAGCAAGACTCCATCTCAAAAAAAAAAAAAAAGGAAGAACTAAAAACTGTTCAGAAACAGCTGCTGTTAATCTCAGCACTGTTGTATCCAGTCCTGGACACAAGGTTACTTTTAGTAGCGGGGATGGCAAGGAACACTCTACTGGGGCTGCATGGTGGACCCTGATCTTAGAGAGTTCTCCAGACAGAAGAAGAATAGACCGCATTTGTAGACTGGTTCACTCTATCCAAATCATATTATTTCTTTTGACCCTTAGTACAATCTTATGGGGAAAGAATTTGTGTTATCTCCATTTCATATGCGAGAAAGCTAAGGCTCTTCAAGGTTAATGCCGGCCAGTACCCACAGTCACTCATGGAGCTAGAACTCAAACTAGGCTCTTTGATATAAAATTCAATGCATTCTCATCTATAAAAGCAATATTTCTTTCTGAGAGCAGTCCTGACCTACCACATTCACCAGGGAAAATACAATGTCTTATGGATTCCTGAATTTTGGATGACTGCACAAACCTTTTGCTGGTGCCTCTATTTTCAAAGAATGAGTTTCTGTAGGGATTATATTTTTACCTCTTAAGAAGGAAAGGAAAGAAGAGAAAAAAGAGAGAAGAGACTTTACAGTATTTGTCTTACAAATTGGCAGTTGCTATTTTTAGACAAGCCAAAACCTCCCTTCTCTTACCTGTGAAACTGAGACAATAGACGTGCCTCTCTCTCAGGCTTTGGAGGATTAAATAAAGTAAAGAAAAAAGAGAATTAGACAGGCGCAGTGGCTCACGACTGTAATCCCAGCACTTTGGGAGGCAGAGGCAGGTGGATTGCCTGAGCTCAGGAGTTCGAGACCAGCCTGGGCAACACGGTGAAACCTTGTCTCTACTAAAATACAAAAAATTAGCCGGGCGTGGTGGTGTGCACCTGTAGTCCCAGCTACTTGGGAGGCTGAGGCAAGAGAATTGCTTGAACCCGGCAGGCGAAGGTTGCAGTGAGCCAAGATCGTGTCACTGCATTCCAGCCTGGGCGACAGAGCAAGACTCCGTCTCAAAAAAAAAAAAAAAAAGAGAGAGAATTAAATAAAATTTTTAAAAAGAGTTCACCACTGTGCTTAGCCCATGGCATGTGTTCAATAAGTGCTAGCTATTGCTATTGACAACTACTACACCATCAGAAGATAGCCCTGTGGGCTTTACAACCAGAGTGCTCCCCAAAGCAGGACAGAGGAGACATAACACCAGAATGACTATAGCCTTCTTTTGCCAGGTCTTTGTGCTATTCTTGAAGAAACGTCCGTTCCTGGTGAACTGCAGTGGGGAGAAAGACCCCTAGGAACTAAATGTTTTGACTCTCAGTACGTGATTCACAAGGAAAGTCACATTGTTTAAAATATCTTCTTTGTTCATTTGTTCATTCTTTCATTATTTTATTCAATAGATTCTTTTATTGAAGAGCCAGCTATGTTCCAGGCACTATGCTAGTATGGAAAGAAATATGTCACAAGATGGCATTGCAGAGGAAACTGTGGCAATCATCTTAGGCTTCATAGTATGGGGGTTCTGGGCTGTTCATTGGGAGGAAGAGGGGGCAGAGTATCAGGTATGGTGGAAAAAGCACAAGCTCTGGCATCAGAGAGATCAGGATTTCAAAGAGGTTGCTACTCACTTTCTGTGTGAACTTGAACAGATCCTTCACATCTCTAAACCTCCATTCCCTCATCTGTTAAATGGGAATGACACACATACATTCTATGATGGGTTATTATAAAGATTCAGTGGGTTCATGTAAGTGAAATGCCTGGCCCCTAATGGATCCTCCTTCTCACAAAAGCAATATAGGGGTGCTCTGCCTCTACAACTTCTGCACTCCACATTGCTTTTTTGTTTGTTTTTTTGAGGCAGAGTTTAACTCCTGCCTAGGCTGGAGTGCAATGCTGCGATCTTGGCTCACCGTAACCTCCACTTTCTGGGTTCAAGCAATTCTCCTGCTTCAGCCTCCCAAGTAGCTGGGATTACAGGCATGCGCCGCCACGCCCAGCTAATTTTGTATTTTTAGTAGAGGCAGGGTTTCTCCATTTTGGTCAGGGTGGTCTCGAACTCCTGACCTCAGGTGATCTGCCTACCTTGGCTTCCCAAAGTGCTGGAATTACAGGCGTGAGCCACCGCGCCTGGCCTCCACATTGCATTTTTATCTTTTGTGTCTTCTTTTTCCTTTTAAGCTTGACCTTAATTTGCTGTAAAACCTGCTCTTGTACACATAATAATAATAATAATAATAATATAACAATAATAAATGGAGAAGTGGGTAGAATACACCATGTACTTTGTCCCTAACTAGGAAGCCACCTTCCCACTTCTCTTCCCACACAGCCATTATTGCTTCAAGCACACATTAAAGGATCTCAAAGGCCAGCTGTCCTTAATTGTCCATAACCAAACATTTCAGGCCATCTCTGATTAGTACATCAAACGCATCCATTTGGTGCAGGTGGACTATTTCCACATTTGCTCTTTATACCTCAGTAACTGGTCAGACTATTTAGAGGGAAAAAGAATCTTGCAAGGCAGTTGGCTCTAAAGGAATGCTGAATATTTCATTCTTGGGCTCTTGATGCATCAGAACAAATCCCCTTTGTCTTCTTCTGGATACAGAGTGATGGCATTGGTTCTTTATGTATATTCAAACCCTGCCCTAAGCACTGAGAAAGTTGTTTTGCTCATTTATTTACATATGCCTTTATTCATTCATTTAATAGCCATTTATTGAGCAACAACTATGTTCCAGGCCTGTGCTAGATCTTGGGGATATATCGCTGAGAAAGACCGGCAGACTTACATTCCACCAGGATAGGCAGACCAAAAAACATGTCATCAAATAAGGAACAAGAAAATTGTGACAAGTACTATAAAGAAACTGTATCTGGATAGTGTAATTGGGCAGAGAGGGATGCAAAGAGAGATGGGGTGGTCAGAGTGGACCTTTCTGGGGAGAGAATATTTAAACTGAGTCCTGAAGAATGAGAAGCCAGTTATGTGAAGAGCCAGGAAAGAGGTTTCTCAGCAGGGCAAAGGTTAAATGCAAGGCCTCTGAGTTGGAGAAGAGCTTGATAGGTTTAGAGAAATGAAAGGAGAGTAGAGAGGTTGGCAGAAGACAAGTTAAGCAGGGTTTTGTAAACTAGGACTATAGATTTTACTTTAAGTACAACTCATTATGCATTCAACAAACACTAATTGAGTGCCTAATATGTGCCAGGCACTATTCTAGATGCTGGACATGGAGCAGTAACAAAACATAACAATCTTTCCCTCTTGTAAGTTATATTCTAGTGGGGAAGATAGGAAATAAACAAAATAAATAAGTAAAATAGTAATTTTAGATAGTGCTAAGGAGACTATAACAAACCAAGGAAAAGAGTTAAGAAGTGTAGGACTGTAATTTTAGGTAAGAGTCACCAGATAAGGCTTCACTGAAAAACTTACATGTAAGTAAAGGTTTGAGGTGTCCATGTGCTGCCCAGGAGCAAAATCCTGGGCCACTTTAATATTTAAAGGTCAGGGAGAAGACCAGGAAAGGAGAATGACAAGGACCATTGGGAAAAGTAAAAGAAAAATTAGGCACATGTCCTGAAAGCTGGAAAATATTTCAGGGAGAAGAGAAAGCAACCATGTAAAATGCTGCAGATGGTAAATAAAGATGAGGACTGAAACATGATCATCTGTTTTTTATTTGTTTGTTTTTTGAGACAGAGTCTCACTCTGTCACCCAGGCTGGAGTGCAGTGGCACGATCTCAGCTCACTGCAACCTCCACCTACCAGGTTCAAGCAATTCTCTTGCCTCAGCTTTCCGGGTAGCTGGGATTACAGGCGTGTGTCCCCACACCCAGCTAATTTTTGTATTTTTAGTTGAGATGGGGTTTTGACATGTTGGCCAGGCTGGTCTCCAACTCCTGACCTCAAGTGATCCGCCCACCTCAGCCTCCCAAACTGCTGGGATTACAGGAACGAGCCACAGTGCCGGCCTAACACATATTCATTTGATTTAGCCATGGGGAAGTTATCGATGACCTTGAGAAGAGCAGTTTCACTGCTATAGTGGAGATGAAACCTGGGTAGGAATACGTTCAGGAGAGAGTTGGAGAAAAGAAACTGGAGATTCAGAGTGTAGACAACACTTTCAAGGAATTTGCTGTAAGGGTAAGGGATTTGAAATGGGTCACCGGCCACAGGAGAATTTAGATCAAAAGAGGTTTTTCTCCAACTTTAAAAAAAATGTTCAAATGTACAGAAAAGTTGGAGAATAGTAGAATACTCATATACCCTTCATCTTATTGCAGCAATTGTTGACATTTTGCCATATTTGCTGTCTCTCTAGAGAGAGGATTTTAAAAATTTTTTTCAAATTGCTAAGTGTAATGCATATACAGAAAAATTGACCAGACAAAAATATATAACTCAATAAATGATCAAAAACAAGCACATGTAACCACCACCAATATCAAGAAATGTGCTTTTGGGTTGGGGTTTCGTACATAGCCGAGCAGCTCCCTCGCTGTGATCTATTCAGTCAGCCCTCAACACAGGAGTTTGTAAAAAAAAAAAAAAAAGGTATCATCCTCATAGTCCCCTTGTGCCCCCTCACTCCCATCAACACATAACCGCCATCCTGAATTTATGGTAATAACTTCTTGCTTTTCTTTCTAATTTTACCACATAAGTTTCTAAACATGACAGTTTAATTTTTGCTTGTTTTTGAACTTTAAGAATCAAATCATTTATGTAGTAATATTATTTTATATTTGACTTCTTTAGCTTAATATGTTGTTGTGTGTTTATTGTTCCACTGTAGTGTTCTGTTGTAAAAATATGCCAGCTTTTATTTATTCATTCTACTGTTTATAATGATGTTAGTTGTTTCCAGTTTTTTGCTGCTATGAATAATGCTGAGTGCTGCTATAAATATGCTTGTTTATGTCTCCTGATGCACATATTCATGCATTCTTATCCAGTACATTCCTAGGAGTAGAATTGCTGGGTTGTAGGAATGTATATATTCAACTTCCATAGCTAATACAGAGAGTTTTCCCGATTGGTTATACCAATTTACCTTCCCATTAGCAATGTATGAGAGCTGTTGCTCCATGTCTTCACCAACAATTGGGATTGTCTGTCCTCTTACGTGGGTGCACAGTCATATTTCATTGTTGTTTTAATTAACATTTCCCTGAATACTGACATTCATTGGCCATTTGGATATCTTCTTTTACAAAGTGCCTGTTCAAGACGTTTGCCCACTTATAAAATTAGATTTTTTAGACTTTTTCTTATGATTTGTAGCTGTTTTTCTTGTATACTAGGGATATGAGTCCTAGTAGATTATATGTGTTGCATATATCTTCTGTCACTCTGGTTTGCTTTTTCATTTTCCTAGTGCTATCTCTTGATGAATAAAGCTCTTCATTTTCATGTAGTCAAGTTATCAGTCTTTTCCTTTATTGTGCTTTTTTGGGTTATGTGTAGGAACTTTTCATCGTCTCAAGGTGGATACGCTCCTGTGTTATCTCCTATAAGGTGTGTTGTTCTATCCTTCATATTTAGGAATATAGTACACCTGGAGTTTTTGTATTATCTTTTCATTTTTAGCACTTGGATATCTAATAACCCAGCATCATTTATTGAAAAACTTTTTCCTACTGTTCTGAAGTGTCATTTTTGTCATAAATTAGATGTCCTTATGGAAGTTCATTTCTGGGCTTAGTATTTTCTATCCTTGCAACATTACCATACTGACTTAATTGCTATAGCTTTATAAGTCTTGATATTCAATGGGACAATTACTCCTACCTTGCTCCTTTTCAAAAGTTTATTTTCCATTCTGGGTCCTTTCCATGTTTCTATAAATTTGAGAATCACCTTATGGAGTCTTATAAACCAAGTCCTCTTGGAATTTGGATTGGAATTGCATTGAATCTGTAGATAATCTGAGATGAAGCAGTATCTTTAGTGTAACTGGGTCTTCCAATCCATGAATATGGTACAGCCTCTCCTTAATTTAGTTGTTCTTCTTTTTTTTCAGGTGGGTTGGGGGAGAAGGAGCCAATTCAATGTCTAGTCTTTACTGGAAAGAAGAAACTTTACAGCGCATTTTGAGCAATTTAGTGCAGAGTCTCAGTGGGTCAACTGGCGGGGCACCAGATAGTAATGGATTTCACAGTTAGGGCATTGCTGGGTCTCACCTTTGTGCAGCCAAAAACTAGAGGACAGCACTGTTGTACTCTTCACAGATGCAGCCCACTATTCACTTGTTGGTGATGGAGGAGACTAAATTAGGGTCTTCTTTGGTGCCAGAAGCTTCCTTTTGGAGTAGTGTATTCTATGGGTCCAGTCCCTTTCATGCAGCCATTATGACCTACATCTCCAGTCCAGACACATCACCATCAGTAGGAACACCACCTTCAGATGCCATGGAGCACATCAAGGCCACCCACTGGAACCATGGGCCCTCAGAGTCTGCAAGGGCAGCACTCCAACTCTGTGGCATAACCTCAAAGCCATATGCTCACGACAAGCAGCAGCACTTCTGGGAACAGGCTTCAGAGACAACTTGAGTTCTTCCTTAATTTCTCTCAGTAAGATTTATAGTTTTCTATGTACAGGTTGTGTACTTTTTCTTTGTGTGAACTTATTCCTATTTGAAACTTCAGATGCTGTGGAAATTGTATGTTTTTAAAAAAGTTTTCTAACTGTTTATTGTTGGTATGTAGAAATATATCTGATTTGCATACTGGTCCTTTATCCAGCAACCTTCTTAAATTCACTTTTTAATTCTAATAATTTATCTGTAGATTCTTTTGGATTTTCTATGTATGTAACTATATCATTTGTAAATAATGCCAGCTTATTTCTTCCTCTTCCTCACTCTG
This sequence comes from Homo sapiens, assembly GCF_000001405.40. Lineage (NCBI taxonomy): Eukaryota > Metazoa > Chordata > Mammalia > Primates > Hominidae > Homo > Homo sapiens. The sequence goes on from NC_000011.10 coordinate 83,107,326, forward strand.
ACATTCTAAAATGTCTCCTCTTTTCTATAAGTACTTTAAAAATAATGATTAAATAATTTATTTATCTGGAGTTTATTTTGAGCATTGAGTATGCAGTGTGGCTCTAAGCTAATTTTTTTCCCAGATGGATATCCTGATTTTTATGTAACAGTTATTAAATAAACCATCTTTCCTCAATAATTTGAAATGAGACCTTTATAATAGATTAAATTCCTATGTGTATTTGATTTCACTTTTGTGGGTTTTTTTTTGGATCACTGAACTCTTTTAGTTATTGTAACTTTAAAATGTTTTAATATTTGGTAGATCTTCTTATTTATTTTTGGAATATATATTTCTATTCTTATTTAATTTTTCATATAAATTTGGGAATCAGCTTATCTAATTCCAAGACAAAATTCTATTTAGATTTTTATTAGGAGAGCTTAAGTTATAGATTCTATTTATAAAGTTGAGCTTTCCGGATAGGTGCAGTGACTCACACCTGTAATCCTAGCACTTTGGGAGGCTGAGGCAGGAGGTCAAGGCTGCAGTGAACTGAGATTGTGCCACTGCACTCCAGCCTGGGTGACAAAGTGAGACCCTGCCTCAGAAAAAAAAAAGTTGAGCCTTCCTATCTTTTTCTCTGTTTCTTTTCTTTTCTTTTCTTTTTTGGCAGAGTCTCACTCTGTTACCCAGGCCGGAGTGCAGTGTTACAATCTCAGCTCACTGCAACCTCTGCCTCCCAGGTTCAAGTGATTCTCCTGCCTCAGCCTCCTGAGTAGCTGGGACTATAGGCATGCACTACCACGTCCGGCTAATTTTTGCATTTTTAGTAGAGACAGTTTTGCTATGTTGGGCAAGCTGGTCTCGAACTCTGGACCTCAGGTGATCTGCCCGTCTCGGCCTCCCAAAGTGAGCCACTGCACCTGTCCAAGGGCTACCTTTCTAGTGGTTCAAATTGTTTGTGTCACTTAATACTTTAATATAGATCTTGTGCATATATCAATTTATTTCTAGACATTTATCTTTTTTGTTGGTACTGTTAATAAAGCTATTTTCTTCATTATGTTTCCAAACTGGTCATCGTTTGCTTGAATGTTGCTTATTAACCTTTCTGTGAGTTAATTTTGGGTTTTTTGTTTGTTTTGGTTTATTTTGTTTTTGCTTTTTCTTTTTTTTTTTTTTTTTTGAGACAGGATCTCACTCTATTGCCCAGACTGAAGTATAGTGGTACAAACATGGCTGAATGTAGCCTTAACCTCCTGAGCTTAAGAGATCCTCACACTTCAGCCTCCCAAGTAGATGGGACCACAGGCGTGCACCACCATGCCTAGCAAATTTTTTTGTTTTAATTTTTATAAAGATGAGGTCTCTCTATATTGCCCAGGCTAGTCTCAAATTCCTGGGCTTAAGCAATCCTCCTGCCTTGGCCTCCCAAAGTGCTGGGATTACAGGCATGAGCCACTGAGACCAGTCATTCTGTGAGTTAATTCTGTAATCCAACCACTGAACTAAATTCTCTTCTTGTTTGTAATAGTTTTTCAGTTGATTCTCTTGTTTTTCTCAGGTAAGCAATTTATATAATTTTTAAACAACATGTAATTTACTTCTTCCTGCCTGTTTTTTATTTCACTGATTTCTATTAAGAGATTTTAAGCAGGAGAGCCCTCCTGCTTAAATCTAATCTGATTACAACATCAAAAGATTACACTGGCTGCAAAGGTGGAATCAAGAAAATCATTTAGGTGTCCAGTAACAAAAGATGGTATCTTGAGCTAAGAGAGTGGCAGTAGAGGTAGAGAGAAGTAGGGAGATGGGAGATATATTTTGGAGGTCAAATATGTGGCAGAGAAAGGTTAATCATATTATTCTAAAGATTTGGAAAATTCTTGGAAATCTTAGAATATAAGAATCATAGTTTATTAGAAGAGACCGTAAATATAATCAAGAGTCTCTAACCCGATGCATTCTCAGTTTCACTACAATTTCCTGGCTACTTCCAGTGGTAGAGAACTCACTACCTCCCATGTCAGCCATTCAATTTATTCAATTCACTCCACAAACCCTGCTCTTTGTCAGGTACTGTGAGGGACCCTAGAAAACATGGATAATGAAGATCCACTCCCTTCTCTGGGGAAGTAATGAAGATTCACTCCCTTCTCTGGAGAAGCTCATAGAAATGGACAACTCTTTTGGAAAGTCTCTTTCCTGGCTGGGCAATGTGGCTCAGGCTTAGCAACCTTTCTAATGGTTTAAATTGTTTGTGTCACTTAATACTTTAATATAGATCTTGTGCACTTCTTATCAATTTATTTCCAGACATTTATCTTTTTTGTTGGTATTGTTGATAAAGTTATTTTCTTCATTATGTTTCCAAACTGGTCATTGTTGGCTTGAATGTTGCTTATTAACATTTCTGTGAGTTAATTTTGGGTTTTTTGTTTGTTTGTTTTGGTTTGTTTTTGTTTTTGCTTTTGTTTTGTTTTTTCTTTTTTGAGACAGAATCTGACTCTGTTGCCCAGACTGAAGTGCAGTGGCACAAACATGGCTGAATGCAGCCTTAAACCTCCTGGGGTCAAGAGATCCTTCCACTTCAGCCTCTCAAGTAACTGGGACCAGTGGCTCATGCCTGTAATCCTAGCACTTTGGGAGGGCAACGCAGGCGGATCGCTTGAGCCCAGGAGTTGGAGATCAGCCTGGGCAATATATGGTGAAACCCGCATCTCTACAAAAAAATTAAATACATAAATACAAAAATTAGCTGGGCATGGTGGCATGTGCCTTTAGCCCAAGCTATCTGGGAGGCTGAGATAGGAGGATTAATTAAACCAAGGAGGTCGAGGTTGCAGTGAGCCATGCTCATGCCACTGCACTCCAGTCTGGGTGACAGAGCAAGACCCTGTCTCAAAAACAAACAAACAAAAATTTAAATGGCAAATCTACATATGAATTCAATACAGTAGACATTTAAACCTTGCACTGCCACATAATTATTTATTTTGTGAAAAAATGACATACTTTTTGAATATGTATACATCAAAACCAAAAACTAAATGTTTACTTTTTTGTTTATTGACAGCTTTTTGTTTGTTTCTTGTTTTTTGTTTTGTCTTTTGAGACAGGGTCTCACTCTGTTTCCCAGGCTGGAGTGCAATGGCACCATCAAAGCTCACTGCAGCCTTGATTTCCAAGGCTCAACTGATCCTCCTGCCTCAGCCTCTCCAGCAGCTGGGACTACAGGCACGTGCCATCATGTCTGGCTAATTTTCTCCATTTTTTGTAGAGACAGGGTCTCCTTATGTTGTCCAGGCCAGTCTTGAACTCCTGGGTTCAAGTGATTCTCCTGCCTCAGCCTCCCAAAGGCTGGGATTACACGCATGAGGCACTGTGCTAGGCCTCTACTGACAACTTTTTTTTTGTTTTTTGAGACAGGGTCTCACCCTGTTACCCAGGCTAGAGTGTAGTGGCACAGTCTCCACTCACTGCAACCTCCAGGTTCAAGCAACTGTTGTGCCTCAGCCTCCCAAATAGCTGGAATTACAGGCGTGCACCACCACGCCCAGCTAATTTTTGTAGAGACAGAGTCTCATCATGTTAACCAGGATGGTCTCAAACTCCTAGGCTCAAGCAATCCCAAAGTGCTGGGATCACAGCCTCCCAAAATGCTAGGATTACAGGTATGATCCACTTTACCCAGCTTTTACTAGCTTATTAAGTAACCGGAGAGTTTAGTCCCTACAGTTTTATGATGCATTTTTAGGTTTCAGTTCCCAGAGGTCATTTTTTACAAATGTTGAAGATGTACCTCTGTCCAGCTTGCCAGCCTTTTTCTGTTATTTCCTTGACTGTGTTCATATATATTCTGATTCTTTCCAATTCCTTCCTGCTTTACTAGCTGTTTCTTAGTATTAACTCCTTGAGTTGCCAAATAAACTCAAAACTTTAAATTTAATGTGTACATAGAAACTAAATCCACTTTCACTTGTTTAAGTGGGTCCAACTTCTGCAACAACTCATTTCAAGAAACAGACATCATGGTCTTTAGCATATTATCCACAGCACCAGTGTAATTCTCAAGCATTGACAAATATTCATGAATTTCCACTGGATGGTCTTCATTAATTTCTTCATGTGCCTTAATGACTGACTCACAGCCTTCAAATCCAGTCTGCCAGAAAGTGGCCAAGCAATGATGGTATCAATTCATACTTTCATTTTGGTTTAATGTGTACTTTTTTTTTTTATTATTAGAGACAAGTTCTCGCTCTGTTCCTACTGAAGTGCAGTGGTGGGATCATGGCCTTCTGCAGCACAGAACTCCTGGGCTCAAGCAGTCTTCCCATCTCAGCTTCCCAAAGTGCTAGGATTACAGGCATTAGCCACCAGGCTCAACCTAAAAAAAAAAAAAAAAAACCCTGTCTTTTTAGGAATTTATTATATCAAGTGTATGACTAGCTTTGGAAACAATATACTAAACAACTATGTAATCAATTACCTTGCTAGGCTCAGCAAATACTAGCTGATTACCATTACAAAAGTATTTGTCGACTGAAAAGCCTGGGAATAAAACTAATAACACATATGGAAGGAAGTTGATAAATGTTGATAAATGTTACAAGTGAAATAGAAATATTTGATTTATCCAAGATAAGCGATGATACAAAGTCTGCTTTTACAGACAACAGACACGATTATAATATCCATTTCCAAATAATCAACCTTTTTTTAAAATGGGCAACAGTCCACTACTCTTCCAAAGTATTAATAGTTATGTTAATCATGTGTTCAAAATCCTCATCCTAGTTAACCATCAATATATTTAATGAAGATATTATCTTCTTGATAAGGCATTTTAATGCAGCATTTGAATAGGACTAAATTTACAGTATCAAAAGTCTTAATACAATTTGATGTGTTTTCCCAAATGAGTTGCAGAAAAATGACAAGGGGAGAAGAGTGATTTTTCTATAAAGGGGGTAACCCTGGTCAATTCAGAATTAGAGACAGCTGTGAGTTATAATGGGTTCCTCTGAGAATTGCCATGTTTAAATTAAACTGATGATCTGATAGCTCGGGGAATAATTCCTGGTGCAAGTGTTGTGGGCATTTTGCATCCTGCATGATGTAAGATAATTTTTCTCCCTGAATGTTTTCTTTAAATCTAGGTAATTTGAACTAGTATAAACAGCATTGGTGGCCAGGTGTGGTGGCTCATACCTATTATCTCAGCACTTTAGGAGGCTGAGGTGAGAGGATCACTTGAGCCCAGGAATTCAAGACCAGCCTGGGCAACATAGTGAGACCCTGCCTCTAAAATAAAATAAAATAAAATAAAATAAAAATCATTGGTTATCCTATCAGAGATGTCTGACTTTGCATTCTGATATGAATGTTTTGGAGAAATCTAATAGTTTTTTTTATCTTGCACATGTTACTTTTCTAATTTTTTCATACTTAAATAGATTATAATATTTCCCTAATAAAGATGCTGTGAAATTGGATAAATGCAATGTGTTTATTTTCACTCATTTGATTTCCATATACATAAATGTATATATAACTAACATAAACCCTTACTTAGTAGGTGTTTAGTAATGTCAGAGAGCAAATTCCCTACCATGTATTCCCTTTCTTTTTAAGCCATTCATTTGCCTAAGTAATTTCTCTCTCTCCTTACCCGACATTTATTGTGTCATCAAGTTCTTTTGATTTGGCTTCTGCAATGCTTTTCCAATTGGTTTCATAATTTTCATTCTTTCCTGAATTCTCAGTTCAGGATTGCAACGACCTTTTAACTAATTTTTTTCACTCCCTCTAGTCTTGCCACTTCCATTCCATCTTCCACACTGTCCAGAGCTTCTCAAAACACAGTTCTGATTATGAGTCAACATTTCTTGCCTAAATAATTTTAATGACCAATCTTTATATTGCAGGGATCTTGTCTCCTTCATCTTGCATCTCCATAGTCAAACAGCATGTTCCATGTTTACCACCCCATTCTATCAGCTTCTGACGTTTTCTGTGATTGGATTAGGTTATAGCAAACTTTCTGAACAAAAGATCTATAACTAACTTTTTATTTTATTTGAGACGAAGTCTTGCACTGTCACCCAGGCTGGAGTGCAGTGGCACAATATTGGCTCGCTGCAGCCTCCACCTCCTGGGTTTAAGAGATTCTCGTGCCTCAGCTTCCCAAGCAGCTGGGATTACAGGTGTGTGCCACCACGCCTGGCTAATTTTTATATTTTTTAGTAGAGACGGGGTTTCACCATGTTGGCCAGGCTGGTTTTGAACTCCTGACCTTAGGTGATCCACCCACCTTGCTTTCCCAAAGTGCTGGGATTACAGGCGTGTGCCACCGTGCCCAGTCTATAACTGACTTTAAAACACATGAAAAAGATGTTCACTTAAAATAAGGGATGTGCAAATTAAAACTAAGATATTAGCTTTCATCAGTTTGGCAAACATCAACAAGTTTGACCATAAATTATTTTGGCCAGGATGTGGGGAAACATTCTCAAAGTTTATAGGAGGACAAATTGGAACCATCATTTTAGATAACAGATTTTTTTTTTTTTTTTTTTGAGACAGGGTCTCACTCTGTCACCCAGGCTATAGTGCAATGGCCTGATCTCACCTCACGGCAACCTCTGCCTCCCAGTTTCAAGCAATTCTTGTGCTTCAGCCTCCCGAATAGCTGGAATCACATGTGTATACCACCACGCCTGGCTAATTTTTGTATTTTTAGTAGAGACAAGGTTTTGCCATGTTGGCCAGACTGGTCTCAAACCCCTGGCCTCAAGCCATCTGCCCTCGCTTCAGCCTCCCAAAGTGCTGGGATTATAGGCATGAGCCACCACGTTTGGCCTAGAGAATAATTTCTTAATATTTATCAAGAATGACCAAAAGTTTGACCCAACATTTTTAATTTATCCTACAGAAATACACATGCAAAGATATATACAAAGAATATTCATTGCAGTATCATAACATAAGCATCCCAAAAGATGGGAAATAGCCAAAATGTCTATCAACAGGGTAATGGTTATGTAAACTGCAGTGTATCCATAAAATGTAATCCTACGGAGCCATTAAAAAGAATAATGCAGGCTGGGTGCACTGGTTCACATCTGTAATCCCAGCACTTTGGGAGGCCGAGGCAGGCAGATCACTTGAAGCCAGGAGTTCCAAGAACAGCCTGGGCAATATGGTGAAACCCTGTCTCTACTAAAAATACAAAAATTAGCTGGATGTGGTGATGCACACCTGTGATCCCAGCTACTCAGGAGTCTGAGGCACAAGACTCACTTGAGTCCAAATGACGGAGATTGCAGTGAGCCGAGATCACGCCACTGCACTCCAGCCTGGGCATCAGACGGAAACTGTCTCAAAAAAAAAAAAAAGTGATGTGCGTGTACTGATACGGAAAGATCTCTGAAATAAAGTTTAAAAGTGAAGTGCAGAGCAGTGTATGTAGTATAATTTTTATAAAATTTTAAAAAATATATACATATATATTAAATATTAAAATATCTCTGGAGTGATATACAGGGGTTAAGGGGAGTGGTTGCCATTGAGGAGGTGAGCAAGGGACAAGGGATTCAGAGTGGTAGAGAGACTACTCTGGCAAAGTTTTTTCATCAGGCACAGAGCAATGGTTAAGCAAGTTATGGCAGATCACCTTGATGATATGAGTCTGGTAAATCTCATATATCAATTCTGATGTCTATTGCATCTCAAAACAGTCCTATGAGGTGGCATTGTTTATCTCTAACAGAGAGGCAAATTGATGATGGATGAGATTGAGTATCTGGTTGAGATCCTTTTATTGTTAGAAGCAATAGGGATTATGAATCCAGGACTATCTGGCACCAACTCCCTGCAGCCTGCCTGGAAAGTATCTCAGCTGTAAAAGAGATCCCATTGTATTCCAAGTATCATTCATGTCTGTGCTCTTTCACCACTAGACTGAAAGCTTCTTGAAAAGAAGAACCATACATCACTTCATCATCGCCACTATCACAATGACTAGCGCACGACAAGTGTTCAGTAAAAGTTTATTGACTTGAACAGTTAGATGATTTTCTTTAAGCAATCAGATACTTATGAGATGTAAATGCCACGATCTGCCATCTTTTCTAAAAGGTAGACTATTTTGATTTGTGTCCTCATCACACGAAGCAATTTAAGAAAGAAAAAACAGGATGGTGAGTGTAAAAACTACAGCCGCAGAATTCAGGAGCAGGCTGTTTTCTTTGATGGTGTTTGGTTTTCCAGGGCATGAGAGAAGAATTCAAAACTTTCTACAAACACTTGCCTCTCCACAGAACTGACAGGGCTAAGTGTGAAACAGACTCTGCACTTTATCCTGTGAAATGTTTTACTAGATGGCTCTTGTTTCTAGCTCCATTTAGACTGCTCAGAGCAGAAGCTGGCCCCCGCCTGTTTGCCCCCTGGAGGATTCCCATCACATGTCAGTGATGTATGTGTTCCCACTAGCTCTAGTGACCTGCCTCTGCGATGTGCTGCAAACACTACACTCAACGGCAAAGCGTCCAGCCTCTGGAAAACCGGTATTGAGAGACTTTCCAGAGCATTAAGAGCTCTTAAAGGACACTCTAAAGTTACTGGGAATTTTCTAGAACAGTGCTTAAAGCAACATTTAGTTTCCTGAATCTGCAAGAAAGGCACTCTTTTATTGGTCTCCCCTAATTTCCCAGCTTCTCTGAAAGCATGAGTCAGCCAATGGAAGAACAGTGGGGAGGTGAGTATATCAATTTAGACTCAATCTTTGGGCTTAGCAACTTAGAATCTGGCGAATTCCTTTCCTAGGATCACTTGGACAAAGCAGAAAGGTGTAATGGAAATAGCACAGATAGAAAGCAGATTAACCTGAGTTTAAAACTAGCTTCTGTCAACAACCAGTCACATGACCTTAGGCAAATTACTTAATTTCTTAAAGGCTTTGTGTCCTCATTTTGCAATATTCTTGTGAAAATTTGGTAGGCCATCATCAGCACAGTTCCAGGGACAATAAACTTTTTTTTTTTTTTTTTTTTTTGAGAGATAGGGTCTTGCTCTGTTGCCCAGGCTGGGATATAGTAGCACAATCATGGCTTACTGTAGCCTCAAACTCCTGGGTTCAAGCCATCCCCCCACCTCAGCCTCCCAAGTAGCTGTAACTACAGGCATGTGTCACCATGCTCGATTACTTTTTAAAAAATTTCTTGGCTGGGCATGGTGGCTCATGTCTATAATCCCGGCACTTTGGGAGGCCAAGGTGGGTGGATCACCTGAGGTCAGGGGTTTGGGACCAGTCTGGCCAACATAGTGAAATCCCACTACTAAAAGTACAAAAAAATAGCCAGGTGTGGTGGCACGCCCCTGTAGTCCCAGCCACTTGGGAGGCTGAGGCAGGAGAATCGCTTGAACCGGGGGCGGAGGTTGCAGTGAGTAGAGATCATGCCACTGCACTTCCAGCCTGGGCAACAGAGCGAGACTCTGTCTCAAAAAAAATTTTTTTTTGGTACAGATAGGGTCTCACTCTTTTGCCCTGGCTGGTCTCAAGTCCTGGTCTCAAATGATCCTCCCACCTTGGTCTCCCAAAGTGCTGGATTTACAGACATCAGCCACCACATCCAGCCTCCAGCAACAATAAATCTTGTTGAACAAAATGAGTGAATAACATACTTAAGATGACAAGCATGTAGAGGAGCTTAATAAATATTAATTCTTCATCTGGATAAAGGCCAGAATTTTAAAATAAATACATAAATAAATAAATATTCATTATCTTCCCACTCTCTGCCCTACTCACCTTCAGTTCAGGCTATACGTAGCCCTTCAGCGAATTTTTCCCCTTCAAGGTCACTTCCAAAGGTCACCAAGACCTATTTTTAACCAGAAAAAAAAAATAATAAAAAATAAACAAGAATTAATGAAAGCACCAGCCTGGCCAACATGGCAAAACCCCGTCTCTACTAAAAATACAAAAACTAGCTGGGCGTGGTGGCACACGACTGTAATCCCAGCTACTCAGAAGGCTGAGGCAGGAGAATCACTTGAACCCGGGAGTCGGAGGTTGCAGTGAGCCGAGATCACGCCACTGCACTCCAGCCTGGGTGACAGCGAGATTCTGTCTCAAAAAAAAAAAAAAAAAAAGAATTATTGAAAGCAAAGAGGAAACATGAAGTGGAAATGTATTCACTTTCGGTTTCTAAGCCCCTAAAGATGGCCTTGTTTTTCTGTTTGTTTGGTCAAGAATGGACCTATCCATGTTGTTTAACAGAGAAAAAGTTTAATTTTTATTTTAAAGCCCATTTATCTATAGTGTTGCAAAATGGGTTTCAGATAAACAACAGACAGCAGCCATTGCCAAACAGTGCATTCGAAACTTTTATACTTTTCTTATGAAGTCACCATGGCTCAGTAGTTCAGTACATGACTTCAACCTCTGACCAACCTAGATTAGAGTCCAAACTTGTCACTTACTTTCCTTATGGGCTTGGGCAATTTTCTTAATCTGTCTGACCCTCAGTGTGCTCGTCTGCAAAATGTGGCTAACAAGGGTGCTCACCTCATGATTTTCATAAGGATTAAATGAAGTAATTGGCATGCCTACTGCGATGCCTGACACAAGGTTCCTGTCAACTAATTGTAGCTATTATTATCATCATCTCATTAATATAAACCCATGAGGTAGCTACTTCTATTTTACAGGGAAAGAAACAGAATCTTGGATGATGAATATAAAAATATTCAGTACAGCAGGGTGCGGTGGCTCATGCCTATAATCCCAGCACTTTGGGAGGCCAAGACGAGTGGATCGCTTGAGGTCAGGGGATTGAGACCAGCCTGGCCAACATAGCGAAACCTGGTCTCTACTAAAGATACAAAAATTAGCTGGGCATGGTGGCACGCACCTGTAGTCCCAGCTACTTGGGAGGCTGAGGCAGGAGAATCACTTGAACATGGGAGGCGGAGATTGCAGTGAGCCAAGATTGTGCCACTGCACTCCAGTCTGGGTGACAGAGCAAGACTCCATCTCAAAAACAAAAAGAAAAACAAAACAAACAAACAAATGAACAAACAAAAAATATAAAAATATTTAGTACATCACCAAGCAAATAGTAAAAACCCATAGGTGAGCTTAAAAAGAAATTCAACAGTCTCCAACCTGCAGATCAGGAGTACTGACCCTCTATTCTTTGTAAGCATTTTGTGTAGGAAGAAGAAACTGAAAACAGCCTGTTAACTTGTCTGTCTGTCCTTATCTGTTAGGAGGAAATGGTCAGAGTTCCTGTACAGCTAGTATGTAGGCACTGCAGTTGTTCAGTAAGTACTTGTTAATCAAATAAATGGAGGGGTGAGCACCCAGGAGCTCTGGTCTGGATGTTCCCAGTCAGGAGCTGCACCCACACTCATTTCTGCTCCCATCGCCCTATCTTCATTGCTACTTCATTCCTCACCTTAAAGCTTCAGGAAAATCCACAGAAGGTCTTCATTGGAAGATGAGAGGATGTAAACAAAAACCTGAGCCTTCCTTGAGATGTCAACCCTGAAAATTATATCCAAAGTTCAAAAAAATTGAGAAACTGTGGTAGACTATTAAAGTTGGGCACTAGAAAGACTGTAACATTCCTGTGGATGAGCAGGTCTCATGTTGCTTTAGAAAGAAACATGTTTAAAGTCTGAATAAATCAATGGTTAAGCTTTGGAGACCTTAGTTTAAACAAACATATCTTGACCTACAACAGGAATATAAACATGACCCTAAAAACACATTTGCAAATGATTTTCTTGGCCACAGACATAGAAGAGTACAAAACTATGATCCCCAAAAGAATCCTTAAGTTTGGATTTTATTTTGTAAAATAAATTTGAGAGTCCTCTTAGGGATCATAGTTTTGAACTGTTTTATGTCTGCAACAGAAGAAAACATATAGGAAAGAAATGTAAAAATTTAAACATGAAAGCATGTTTGTGTATTTCAAAGAGAGAAACATTAGTCTAGAAGGGAGAAAATGAAAGTCTGTAATAGTGGCTTTAGGGTCAGACAATCCTAGGCTAGAATGCTAGAATTCTGGCCCAGTCAATTACTCGTAGGTGAGGCTGAGCAAGTCATACACATATACAACTACACACACACACACATACACACTCACACACACGATTGTAAGATTAGATGGTTACTGTTAAGTACTTATCACAATGATGCATAGTACACAGAATGTCCTCAGTAAATAATCTTTTTTTCCGCTTTTTTATTTTTATTTTTAAAGAAACAAGGTCTCAGGCTGGTCTGAAACTCCTAGCCTCAAGCAATCCTCCTGTCTTGGCCTCCCAAAGTGGTGGGATTATGGCATGAGCTACCACACTCAGCCAATGATAGTTTCTATTATCAGAGAAAGAACAGAAAGAGAGGCCAAATCCCTTGACAATAATTTCTCTTATCCACCAGAGTTCCCAGACAGTCGCCAGAAGCAGTGTTTTATTGCTATGTTTACAAGGAATTGCCTAGAAGACAAGCACCTGTGATGTGGGGACAGCATGAGATTTAGGATTAGAAGAATCTAGGCCCCCAGTTCTGACCCTGACACTTTCAGGCAATGTGTACTTGAACCAATCACATATCATCTCTGAGATTTGGATTCCCCATCTGAAAATGAGTCCCAGGATTTTTCTGAGTACTAAGAGAAATAACGTGGGTTATAGCCCTTTATAAATTGTGACACTTTTAACCGTAGTGAGTCCTTTAGTCTCTGGCCCTGTAACAGTCTTGCCCTAAGAAAGTATATATAGTCCTGTAAGGTAAGGTGCCAGGTTTCCCATCAGATGGGCTGCAAAGGTCTCATGACCTAACAGCCACACTTATGTCAGATGCCAGGCCACTGACATTTCAGGGTAGAAGGGGACATAAAGGAGAACTCTGACACAAAAAAAGTTCAAAGTCAGCTGTCCCAGGCCCGTCCAGCAAGGAAACTTTCACCATCTCTCACCCTGATCAGAAAAGCTCACCTGTACCCTCAACATTTTCACATAAGAAATCTTTTCTAAGGGATTCAAGAACTTGAAGGAAAAAGAGGGTCTAGAGGAAGAATGCTTTTGCTCAGTAGTGAGAGCAGACTTTTCATCCTCATACCATTGCAAATAATTAGCATGTTTCATGAGCTAGTTCTTACAGCAGCAGTGTGCTGTCATGCAAAAAAGCTTCAGAGTGACTCAAGGCTTGGCTAAAACCCTCCATTCTTTAATTAATGTGTGACCCTCAGTTGATTGCCAGTTCCTTTGAATTATGGCTGCTTTTTGAAGCTAAGCAAAGCCACAGATTTAGAGGAGACACATCTTGCAAGTTCACCCAGTTGCTCTTAAAAGGCACACATTTTTTTTTTTTTTTTTTGAGACAAGGTCCCACTTCATCACCCAGGCTGAAATACAGTATTGCAATCATAACTCACTATATCCTCAAATTCCTGGCCTCAAGTGAACATCCTGCTTCAGCCTCCCAAGCTGTTGGGATTACAGGGGTGAAACAGCATGCTCTTCAGAAGGCACATTTTTAGTTTCCAAATAGGTTTCACCTCAAATTGTTCTTTGAATGTTTTACTTGAGTTAGTCTAGTGTCCCCTTTTTTTTTTGTAAGCTCCAGCACTATCTTCTTTATTTGACAATTTAGTACCAAAGCCTGAACCTAGCACATAGTATGTTCACATAGTGTGTTCACAATACATATTTGTACAATGACTGCCTATAGGAATTAATTTACAACTCACTGTAATCTCCTTGAGTCAAGCCCCCAAAGTACCTAGCAGAATGCATAGCAGATGCTGAAGAAACACAAATTGGTTAATTTATCTGTGTCGTATTTATCATCCCTTCCTCCTGCTTCACTGGCATCTTCTCTTCTCTGGAAAGTTGAAATTTCCTGCTGTGTTTTCCACTTCTCAACTTCCACCAAGCACTGGTACTAACTGCCATACTCTTGGAGGCTTTTGGAATCTCCCTTTATAGGAATGGTTGCCCGATTTAGCAAATAAAAATATAGGACACCAAGGTTAAAATGAATTTTAGATAAACAATGAATAAAAATTGTAAAGGTATAAATATGTCCCATTCAACATTTGAGTTATATTTACACCAAAAAAATTTTCATTGCTTATCTGAAATTCAAATGTTACAGTGCATTTTATGTGGCAACCTTATTTACAGGATCTCACCACAAGTATTGACACTAACATAGAAGTTGTCATTTCTCATAACTACACCTTTTAGGCTCTGTGATATTTATTTATTTATTTATTTATAGAGATGGGGTCTCACTTTGTTGCCCAGGCTGGTCTTGAACTCCTGGGCTCACATGATCCACCCACTTTGGCCTCCCAAAGTGCTGGGATTGCAGGTGTAAGCCACCACACCCAGCCTAGGCCCTGTGCTCATTAATTAGTCAGTTCCAAACACCCTAAGGAGACAGAAAGCTGCTTTATCTTCTTCAAGTACAGGCCTTGCTCAGAGTAATGTGCTGGGGAAGGGAGAATCAAGTACCTCAGTTTTTCTCCTGGATTTGAAGTTTCATTCATTCAACTAGTGAGCTGCTCTCTCTCCTCTCAGCTGAGGGATAGATATTTGTGTATATTCCACCGAGCCCAAATTAAGAGCATCCAAACACTAAGCATAGATTTCCTCCTTTGCATTGCTCCTGACACAGTTTATCCTTCCAGATCACCCAGCTGCTTCCATTGAAACATAGAAATCTTACCTACTTCTCCAAACATCAGACACCTTTAAAACTCTCTCCTTTGTATGCTTCTTAGTGTACTCAGTTACAAAGTTCTGGGTTTGTTTTTATTGCAGTTATTTATTTTCTGTTGTCTTCCCTACAGAAATACTTCTCATATCTGCCTCTTCCTCTTTCATTCCATTTCTCCAGTCTGTCCTGCCCATTTAATATGTCATCACCTGAGGCCTAGATTGCAGCAACAGTGTCTTAGCTCTTCTGGCTTCCTGCATCTGTACACCTCCTAGCAAATGTATCCTAATATAGTCTCCTTTTCCCATCTGGGATTCCCCTTTGGGGAAAGCTGGCATAAATCTTGATTTTCTATTTAACAAATCAATACCAGGCTCCATAGCTGAGGCTTCAAGATACCCCAGCCCTTCTATTTTCTTTGCCTTATCTGTCTTCCATAGACTGATACAGTCCAATTTCTATTTGCTCAGATCTGGGCCTCATCCCTACATCTGGCTGCATGAGCCCCATCATTGCTCCTGCCTTGAATACTCAAATCCCTTCCCTCCTCCTCTGGGCCAATCCATGTCCCTTACCTCCTTCAAAACCCAGCTTTTTAGAAGATAATACAGCCAATCTTGGGGTGGAGAAAGCCTTTTCAAAGAGAAGAAAACAAAAGAGGAAAATGCAAAGGGAAAAGTTTAGTAGATTTGATGACACAAGAATGAAAAGATTCCTTATGTCAAAAAGTACTGTAAACAGAACAAAAACAACTAGAAAAAAATCGCTACCTATAATAGACAATGTTAATATTCTTAACGTAATTTGCAAATTAGTAAGAAACAGACATTCCAAAAGAAAATGAAGAGCAGGTATATTTGTGTGACACACACATGAAGCAGAAGAGGCCAAAAACATGAGAAACCACAAAACCTCAGTAGTACTAGAGAAACACAAATTAAAAGAATGAGTTTCCTTTTTCTTTCATCAGACATTTTTTAAAGATTGATACTCCATGTTGATGAGAGTGAAAGAACAGGATTTTTCTTACATGCTTTAGCAGTGCTCTTTCTTACACTTCTTTTCTTTTCTTTCTTTTTTTTTTTGACACAGACTCTGACTCTGTTGCCCAGACCGGAGTGCAGTGGTGGGATCTCGGCTTACTGCAACATCCGCCTCCCAGGTTCAAGCGATTCTTCTGTCTCAGTCTCCCAAGTAGCTGGGATTACAGGTGTACGCCACTATGCCCAGCTAATTTTTGTATTTTTATTAGAGACGGGGTTTCACCATGTTGTACAGGCTGGTCTCGAACTCCTGACTTCAGGTCATCTGCCCACCTTGGCCTCCCAAAGTGCTGGCATTATAGGCATGAGCCACCATGCCTGGCCTCTTATACTTCTTTAAAATAGCATAGATTAGGAAAACCTTACTACTTGTTTACTTTGTTAACAGTGTTTTCCAATTTTCCTATAATAAATATGTATCCTTTTTAATAATTAACACAATATGTATATGCACTTTTCAAAATCTTATGAAAATTGAAGGGAGGATAAGGCAGGAGGAGAAGGAAAGTGCATTTTTCTTAACCAGATAGGCCTGGTTTAGAAATCCCTCATTGCCTCTAACTAGCTGCAATTGACTTCTCAAGTCTGGGATCCTCACCTCAGTGAGCTGTTAAAATAGAAAAAAGTATGTAACCTGTTATTACAATACCTGGCACTTTGTAAACATTCAAAAAGTGGTGTTATTTGTTATTATTTTGTTGTATCCTCAGAGAGCATATAGTTTCAGTCTTTTGCATGTAGTAGATACAACATTAAAATATCTGCTAGATGGTCTGATTATCATTATTATTATTGTTATTATTATTATTATTTGAGCTGGAGTCTCGCTCTGTCGCCCAGGCTGGAGGACATTGGCCTAATCTTGGCTCACTGCCACCTTCACCTCCTGGGTTCAAGCAATTCTTGTGCTTCAGCCTCCCAAGTAGCTGGGATTACAGGCACCCGCCACCATGCCCAGCTAATTTTATTGTATTTTTAGTAGAGACTCACCATGTTGGCCAGGCTCATCTCGAACTCCAGACCTCAGGTGAACTTCAGATAAGTCTGACAAACCAGCAGCTTTTGGAACTGAGTTTTATTTTTATTTATTTATTTTTAAGACGGTCTTGCTCTGTCACTCCAGCTGGAGTGCAATCACAGCTCACTGTAGCCTCAAATTCCTGGGTTCAAGCAATCCTCCTGCCTCAGTTTCCCAAGTTGCTGGAAACTACAGGTACATGCGGCACTGATTTTTTCTTTACCTTTGATATTCTTCTTCACTAACCCCATTTTCTCCTCCCCCTTTTCCTTTCCTCCTGTCTGTTCCACAACTGTCCTATTCATTCCCTTTCTTCTTATCACACTCTGTTTCTTATGGACCAATCTTTCACAAGTTCTTTGAATAGCATTTTTCAGGCATGGCCGCATGTACCTGTAGTTTCCAGCAACTTGGGAAACTGAGGCAGGAGGATTGCTTGAACCCAGGAATTTGAGGCTACAGTGAGCTGTGATTGCACTCCAGCTGGAGTGACAGAGCAAGACCGTCTTAAAAATAAATAAATAAAAATAAAACTCAGTTCCAAAAGCTGCTGGTTTGTCAGACTTATCTGAAGTTCACCAGCAATGACAATGGGCTCCCTTTTCTCCTTACTGTTACTCTTTATTTTATTAATATTTTGATTGAAACTCATCTGTCTTTGGAATGCTTCCTATGCTTGACGGCACCTGAGTCTATTAACGTCAGTGTTTCCTGGTAATCTGTGACCTATTTGTCTGCTGACCTTCTCTTTCCTCCAGGCAGAAGCTAATTCTGTGTTTCTTATGAGGCTTCTTGCATGTTCATGTTCATCAGTGTTGTAAATTAAATTAATAGTATTTCAGGTCAGCAAAATAGCTTCCCTTCCCTTCCTCTTCTTTTCCCCTTTTGTCCCTTCTACTCCTTTGCCCTCCTCCCTGAAAATATAATTATTAATTATTCCTTTTCTCTGACATAAATCTATATTTGCTTTTGGAAAGTAGAATGAATACTTTTTTACTTATAACCCATATTGAATATATGTCTTTTTAATATTTGGGAAACACGCACTAAACACTTTAGGACAGTTGCTAAGAGATTATAACAACAGCGGAAGGTGATTATGCAACAAGCACTGGATTCTCCCCTCCATATCTTTATAACTATTAAGGTCTATAATTATGGGGCTTGGCATTAGAACAGATGTGAATTCTGTCTCCAATGCTATACAACCTTAGGCAATTCAACTATCCTCTCTGGGATTTAGCTTCTTTGTCTATAAAAAGTTGATAACATCTATAACAAAAGATGGGAGTTAAATGTGTATAAAGTATATAAGAAACAATCTAACACAGAGTAGATGTAGGGATACTATCTAACATAAAGAGAAATGTGAATTTCCCCTTCCCTTTAGGAGGTTCATTCATTTCTTAGGGGATTTATAATCCAGTGGGAAAAATCAAGATCTACATAAACACTAAACATAATCAAAACTAATTTATTAAGCATGTAGGACATAAAATGTGTCATATACTCCACTAAAGGAATTTTGCAAAGACGGTCTTATTTAATCTTTATAACTGGTACTGTTATAACTTTATTTATATCTTTTTTTTTTTTTTTTTGAGGCAGGATTTTGCTCTGTCACCCAGGCTAGAGTACAATGGAATGATCGTGGCTAATTTTAGCTTCTACCTCCCAGGCTCAAGCAACCCTCCCACCTCAGCCTCCTGAGTATTGGGACCACAGGCCTGCACCATCACGCCTGGCTAATTTTTTGATTTTTTGTAGAGATGGAGTCTCGCTATGTTACCCAGGCTGATCTCAAACTCCTGGGCTGAAGCGATCCTCCCACCTTGGCCTCCCAAAGTGCTGGGATTATAGGCATGAACCACCATGCCCGGCCATAACCCCAGTTTTAGGATGAGGAAACTGACATCCCTATAGGTCCTGTAGTTAGTAAGAGGTACAGCCCATACAATTAGGTACCAGTGTCCATGCTCATAACCAACCACATCATATTGTTCTCACTCATGTCTTACACAGAGTAGGAACTCAATAAATATTTTCTAATATCTCCTCTAATTTCTTTTTCCAAAGCAAAGAATAACCGCCACACATCCCAGAAAAGCACATCTTACCTAGTCTTTGATAAAAACAGTTGGCTGCTTTGCACAGTCTAAAACTCAGATACAGTTTGGTGCAAAGAAAACAGGGAAAAAGACCGGGTGCGGTGGCTCACGCCTGTAATCTCAGCACTTTGAGAGGTGGAGGCGGGCAGATCACAAGGTCAGGAGATCGAGAGCATCCTGGCTAACACAGTGAAACCCTGTCTCTACTAAAAATACAAAAAATTAGCCGGGTGTGGTGGCAGATGCTTGTAGACCCAGCTACTTGGGAGGCTGAGGGAGGAGAATGGCGTGAACCCGGGAGGCAGAGCTTGCAGTGAGCCGAGATTTTGCCACTGCACTCCAGCCTGGGCAACATAGCAAGACTCTGACTCAAAAACAAAGAAATTTGGAAGGGCCAGGAGCGGTGGCTCATGCCTGTAATTCCAGCACTTTGGGAGAGCGAGGCAGGTGGATGATTTGAGGTCAGGAGTTCAAGACCAGCCTGAGGAACATGGTGAAACCCCGTCTCTACTAAAAATACGAAAATTAGCTGGGCAAGGTGGCACATTCCTGTAATCCCTGCTACTTGGGAGGCTGAAGCAGGAGAATCGCTTGAACCCGGGAGGCGGAGGTTGCGGTGAGCTGAGATTGCGCCATTGCAGTCCAGCCTGGGCAACAAGAGTGAAACTACGTCTCAAAAAAAAAAAAAAAAAAATTTGGAAGCACTCTGCGTTCTCAACCAACAATCAGGGGTGTAACTCTGGCAATAACAGTTTCTCTTAGAACATTTAGACTAAGTCTTCAGGACAACAAGTTAGTAGCTCCGATTTGAGGATATGATAATGGGCAGAAAACATTTTGTTCCAGCCAGTCTGTGGCTCTATCCATCAAAATTAATGATACCAAAATACTTTGAAGGTTCAGACTGCTATAAAAAGATGAATTGTAAAAGCCCTGGACCTCAACTGTATTTAACCCTGTTTCAGTATGACTAACATTTCACCCTGCTGGTTAGGTTTTACTGTGAGTGTCCCATTAGCACATTCGAGAATGTGGCTAGGAATAAATTGTTGACACCACTGATGTTGGCGCTCCTTATTCAAACCATTGTGGACACTAACTTTTCTTAAAGTAAAGACAAGGTTTCACCATGTTACTCAGGCTGATCTCAAACTCAGGGCCTCAAGCGATTCTCCTGTCTTGACCTCCCAAAATGCTGAGATCATAGGTGTGACTACCATACCCGGCCATGAATTTATTTATTTATTTATTGAGACAGAGTCTCACTCTGTCACCCAGGCTGGAATGCAGTGGCCCAATCTCAGTTCACTACAAGCTCCGCCTTCCTGGTTCAAGTGATTCTAGTGCCTCAGACACCCAAGTAGCTGGGATTCCAGGGATGCGCCACCCAATCCGGCTAATTTTTGTATTTTCAGTAGAGACAGGGTTTCACCATGTTGGTCAGGCTAGTCTTGAACTCCTGGCCTCAAGTGATCTGCTCGCCTCAGCCTCCCAAAATGCTGGGATTACAGGGGTGAGCCACCATGCCCAGCTGAATTTATATTTTTAAAGAGAACCTATGTGCTATCCAAAAATAAACCTGGAATGATTCCATCTTAAGACATATTTTAAATGAGTAAATTATCCAGTTATAAGATGAAGATCAAGTTTATAGCAAGATAACAAATGGATTCTGAATGCTTATTAATGTAGATATCATCTATTTAGACTTAGAGATAATTTTGACAGGGTTCTGGGTAAGTATACTTTGGCTTAGCAAACCCTTTCTTCTAAACATTAAGTCATAACATGGGGTTCCTGGATATTTAAGGGATCTGTAGAAGTGGTAAAGGAGGTTTCAGAACAAACTTCAACCTCAAATGGGGCTGTCCAGGCTAAGTCATGTGTTAACTTAGGGGCTGTGGTGATCAACTCAGAGTGACAGATTAGCTCTGATGGGCACTCACAAATGTTCTTGACTATTTAAAAAATAATGAAACAATTATGAATTAATATAGCTTTGCTGACAATACTTTTCAAAATTTGGGATCCATGATGGGAAGGATAGGGTCTATGTGTACCAAAAAATGTACTTGATGGTGAAATATTTGTAAATCGCTTTCCCAGAGTATAAATTAATAAAATTTTAAGACCATAGAGGAACATTTAAAATACAGTATGGTTTTGGGAGTGATGTCAGCTAGCTGGCAGAATAGGAGTTTTTAGTGCCTGTCTCCTTGCAGAAACACTAATTTAAACAGCTATCTACATGCAAAAATACTTTCATAAGAGCTAAGGAATTCAGGTAAGAGATGAGAGTATGTAGGTGGAACACAGAAATAAGAAAAGATGCATTAAAGAGGGTAGGAAGGACAGTTTTACATTACCCACATTATCTGTCTTCCAAGCCTTCTGAGGGAGGAAGAGGAGTGAACACCCATTTCACCATGAACCACAGCACCAGGCCCTCCTCATTGAACCCTTGTGGCTGGCTGGTCCCTATGGATCCAGACTCTAGGCCATCCCCTGCATCCCTGGGCTCCAGGCAAGACCCCACATCCCAAAGACCCAAGCTCACCCAACACCAGGCTGGCCCCCACATCCCCAGGCTTTAGGCTGGCCCCCACAGACTAAGCCTCCAGACCAGCCCCACAGACCCAGGCTCCAGGACTGCCCCAATGCCATGCCACCAGCCCCCATGGCCCTAGCCACCAGGCTGGCACCTGTGGCCCCAAGTTCCAGCAGACCCAGGCTCTGGGATCCCTCCCATGGACCACCCCCATGGACCCAGGACCCAGATCCAGCTCTGCAGACTCAGGTTCCAGACCTGTCCGAGCACCAGGCTAGCCCTTGTAGACCAGGCCCACCTTGAGAACCCAGACACCAGGCCTGCCCTAGCACCAGCACACTCCCCAGCAGACTCATGCTCAAGACCCATCCCAGGGCCAGGTTAACTCCAATGGACCCGGGCTTCCTGTCAGCCCCTGTGGACACAGGCTGTAGGCCTATTCCTGCAGACTCAGGCTCCAGGCCCTCTCCAGCAGACCCAATCACCAAGACCACACCAGTGAACCCCAGTGTCAGGCCATCTCCATGGACTCAGGATTAAGGACTGTATCCACAGACCGGGGTTGCAGATTCACCTCTGCAGACCCAGACACCAGATCAGCCCATCTGAGGACTTCAGAAGTAAGCCTTGAACTCATCAGATGGTCCTTCCAGAATCACAAAATAATAATCAGGGAAACATGACACCACCAAAGGTAAAAAAAATTAAAGCACTAATAACCTGACCTTAAAAAATTGAGATACACGGCCAGGCATGGTGGCTCATGCCTGTAATCCTAGCACTTTGGGAGGCCGAGGCAGGCGGATCGTCTGAGGTCAGGAGTTTGAGACCAGCCTGGCCAAGATGGTAGTAGAGATGGTGAAGCCCCGTCTCTACTAAAAATACAAAAATTAGCTAGGCACGGTGGGGGGTGCCTGTAATCCCAGCTACTTAGGAGGCTGAGGCAGGAGAATTCCTTGAAGCCGGGAGGCAGAGGTTGCAGTGAGCCCAGATCGCGCCACTGCACTCCAGCCTGGGTGACAAAAGCAAGATTCCATCTCAAAATATAAACGTAAAAATAAATAAAAAATAAATTGGGATACGCAAACTTCATGAATTTGTATCTCAAAATAATTTGTAATTATTTGAAAATTTGTAAGAATTCAAAATAATCATCTTAAAGAAGCTCAAGGAGCTATAAGAGAACACAGATAACTAAATGATTATTAGGAAAACAATTCATGAACAAAATGAGTTCAACTAAGGGAGATCTTCACCAAGAGACATTATGGTGAAATTCTCAAAAGTCAAAGACAGAGGCCAGGCAGGGTAGCTCACACCTGTAATCTCAGCACTTTGGGAGGCTGAAGCCTTTATCTCATACCATATACAAAAGGCAACTCAAAACCAGGCCAGGCGCAGTGGTTCATGCCTGTAATCCCAATACTTTGGGAGGCCGAGGCAGGCAGATCATTTGAGGTCAGGAGTTCGAGACCAGCCTGGGCAACATGGTGGAATCTTGTCTCTACTAAAATATAAAAATTAGCCAGATGTGGTGGCACACACTTGTAATCCCACCTATTCCAGAGGCTGAGGTGGGAGGATCACTTGAGCTCTTGGGGCAGAGTTTGCAGTGAGCCGAGATAGTGCCACTGCACTCCAGCCTGGGTGACAAAGCAAGACCCTGTCTCAAAAAATAAAATAAAATAGGCCAGTCATGGTGGCTTATGCCTGTAATCCCAGCACTTTGGGAGGCCAAGGCAGACAGATCACCTGAGGTCGGGAGTTCAAGACCAGCCTGACCAACATGGGGAAACCCCATCTCTACTAAAAACAAAAACAAAAAAACAAAAACAAAAACAAATAACAAAAGCAAAAACAACCAAAAATCCTTTTATCAGATAAATACAATTGCATCAAACTATACAGCACAAATTATACTGCTCACCAAAGAAAATGATCAACAGAGTGAAGAGACAACCTACAGAATGGGAGAAGATATTTTCAAACCATTTATCTGATAAAAGTTTTTTTTTCTTTTTGACACAGATTAGTCTCATTCTGTCACCCAGGCTGGAAAAAAAATATATTTTATATATATATATACAAATTGGTATAGCCATTGTAGAAGAAAAGCATGAAATTTCCCCAAAAAATTAAAAATAGAGCTACCATATGATTCAGCAATCTCACTTTTGGATATACATCCAAAGGAAATGAAATCAGTATGTCGAAAAGATATGTATATACATGTTCATTGCAGTGTTATTTTCAATAGCCAATATATGGAATCAACTTACGTGTCCATCAACAGAGGGACAAAGAATGAATAAAGAAAATGTGCTATACATAATGGAATATTACTCACTCCTCAAAATGAAGGAAGTCCTGTCATGTTCAAGAACATGGATTAACCTGGAGGACATTATGCTAAGTGAAATAAGTCAGGCACAAAAGGCAAATACTGCATGATCTCATTTTTATGTGGAGTTGAAAAAGTTTAAATTCATAGAAGGAGAGAGGAGAATGCTGGGGGTGAGAGAAGTGGGAAAATGTTCATCAAAGTAAACAAAATTTCAGTTAAACAGGATGAATAAGGTCTGGATTAATAAGTCCAGCATAATAACTATCGTTAATAATATTGTATCGTGTGCATGAAACTCACTAAAAGAGTATATCTTAAATTTTCTTAGCACCAAAAACAAAATTGTAACAATGCAACATGATGAACACATTAATTAGCTTAATTGTGGCAATCATTTCACAGTGTATATACATATCAAAACAACTTATATCACATTGTATAATATTAATATACACAATATTTATTTATTTATCTTTGGAGATGGATTCTCACTCTGTTGCCCAGGTTGGAGTGCAGTGGTATGATCTCAGCTCACTGCAACCTCTGCCTCCCAGGTTCAAGTGATTCTCGTGCCTCAGCCTCCCGAGTAGCTGGGACTACAGGCATACGCCACCACCCTTGGCTAATTTTTTGTGTTTTAGTAGAGATGGGGTTTCATCATGTTAGCCAGGCTGGTCTCGAACTCCTGACCTCAAGTGATCCGCCCACCTCAGCCTCCTCAAGTTCTGGGATTACAGGCGTGAACCACCACGCCCAGCGTAATATATACAATTTGTATTTGTCAGTTATAGCTCCATAAAGAGGAAAAAAAAGTAGCAGTAAGAAAAATAAAATAACATTTTATGTGATATTATGTATATTATTAAAAATTGGATGGAAATAACTGAAATGGAGAAAACATAGGCCAATATAAGGTCCCCAGAATGGCAGGCACAAGTTTGGTGGCCGGAGAGGTTGTGGTGGAGGCGTTGCCTTATTTTGATCAAGGTTATGAAGCCCCTGGTGTGTGGAAAGCTGCTGAGGTGCTGGTGGAAGAGCAAACTCACCTACTAAGAGCTACCTGAGCTGCCTAACAGCCCCGAATTATTCTGCATTTGAAATTCTAGACAGCATTTAACCCAGAGAAGAATTAGGGGAAGGAAAATAATCCATTATAATGACTGACATAATGAGAAATGAATTTGCAAGACTGGCTGCTCGACAACCAATTGAATTGCTCAGTACGAAATGATATGAGCTTCCAGCCCCTTTCTCCCATCAAAAAAATGACACTGCTGCATGGTAAGAATGTGTAAACAATTTTATTGCCCAGTTAAAGCAGCAAGCAGTTAGAACTGAGACTCTGGAACTAATGTCACAGCATGGATATAATGCCTAGAAAGTTTACAATGAAAATCTAGTTCGTATGATTGAACACTCACAGAAAGAACTTCAGAAGGTAAGAAAACATATTCAAGGCTCTCCCTCTCCCTCTCCCTCTCCCTCTCCCTCTCCGTCTCCCCACGGTCTCCCTCTCCTACGGTCTCCCTCTCCCTCTCTTTCCACGGTCTCCCTCTGATGCCGAGCCGAAGCTGGACTGTACTGCTGCCATCTTGGCTCACTGCAACCTCCCTGCATGATTCTCCTGCCTCAGCCTGCCGAGTGCCTGCGATTGCAGGCACGTGCCTCCACGCCTGACTGGTTTTCGTATTTTTTTGGTGGAGACGGGGTTTCTCTGTGTTGGCCGGGCCGGTCTCCAGCTCCTAACCACGAGTGATCCGCCAGCCTCGGCCTCCCGAGGTGCCGGGATTGCAGACGGTGTCTGGTTCACTCAGTGCTCAATGGTGCCCAGGCTGGAGTGCAGTGGCGTGATCTCGGCTCGCTACAACCTCCACCTCCCAGCCGCCTGCCTTGGCCTCCCCAAATGCCGAGATTGCAGCCTCTGCCCGGCCGCCACCCCGTCTGGGAAGTGAGGAGCGTCTCTGCCTGGCCGCCCATCGTCTGGGATGTGAGGAGCCCCTCTGCCTGGCTGCCCAGTCTGGAAAGTGAGGAGCGTCTCTGCCCGGCCGCCATCACATCTAGGAAGTGAGGAGCGTCTCTGCCCGGCCGCCCATCGTCTGAGATGTGGGGAGCGCCTCTGCCCCGCCGCCCCGTCTGGGATGTGAGGAGCGCCTCTGCCCGGCCGTGACCCCATCTGGGAGGTGAGGAGCGTCTCTGCCCGGCCGCCCCATCTGAGAAGTGAGGAGACCCTCTGCCTGGCAACCGCCCCGTCTGAGAAGTGAGGAGCCCCTCCGCCCGGCAGCCACCCTGTCTGGGAAGTGAGGAGCCTCTCCGCCCGGCAGCCACCCCGTCCGGGAGGGAGGTGGGGGGGTAAGCCCCCCGCCCGGCCAGCCGCCCCGTCCGGGAGGGAGGTGGGGGGTTTCAGCCCCCCGCCTGGCCAGCCGCCCCGTCCAGGAGGGAGGTGGGGGGGTCAGCCCCCCGCCCGGCCAGCCGCCCCGTCCGGGAGGTGAGGGGCGCCTCTGCCCGGCCGCCCCTACTGGGAAGTGAGGAGCCCCTCTGCCAGGCCACCACCCCGTCTGGGAGGTGTACCCAGCAGCTCATTGAGAACGGGCCATGATGACAATGGCGGTTTTGTGGAATGGAAAGGGGGGAAAGGTGGGGAAAAGATTGAGAAATCGGATGGTTGCCGTGTCTGTGAAGAAAGAAGTATACATGGGAGACTTTTCATTTTGTTCTGTACTAAGAAAAATTCTTCTGCCTTGGTATCCTGTTGATCTGTGACATTACCCCTAACCCTGTGCTCTCTGAAACATGTGCTGTGTCCACTCAGGGTTAAATGGATTAAGGGCGGTGCAAGATGTGCTTTGTTAAACAGATGCTTGAAGGCAGCATACTCCTTAAGAATCATCACCACTCCCTAATCTCAAGTACCCAGGGACACAAGCACTGCGGAAGGCCGCAGGGTCCTCTGCCTAGGAAAACCAGAGACCTTTGTTCACTTGTTTATCTGCTGACCTTCCCTCCACTATTGTCCTATGACCCTGCCAAATCCCCCTCTGCGAGAAACACCCAAGAATGATCAATAAAAAGTAAATAAATAAATAAATAAATAAAAAGAAAACATATTCAAGAGTTTAACGGGCAGAGAAAGAACATGCAACTCGCTGGATC
This sequence comes from Homo sapiens, assembly GCF_000001405.40. Taxonomy (NCBI): domain Eukaryota; kingdom Metazoa; phylum Chordata; class Mammalia; order Primates; family Hominidae; genus Homo; species Homo sapiens. The sequence goes on from NC_000011.10 coordinate 83,134,265, forward strand.
TAAATTGAGAGAAATGGAGTCAAATTGGGTATCCCTGGTCAGTAAGAATTATGAGATTGAACAGACTATTGTTCAACTAGAAAATGAAATCTATGTGGCCGGGTGCGGTGGCTTATGCCTGTAATCCCAGCACTACGGGAGGTCGAGGCAGGTGGATCACGAGGTCAGGAGTTCAAGACCAGCCTGGCCAAGATGGTGAAAGCCCGTCTCTACTAAAAATACAAAAAATTAACCTGGCAAGGTGGCGGGTGCCTGTAATCCCAGCTACTCGGAAGGCTGAGGCAGAGAATTGCTTGAACCTGGGAGGTGGAGGTTGCAGTGAGCCGAGACTGCGCCACTGCACTCTAGCCTGGGCAACAAAGCAACAGAGCGAGACTCCGTCTCACAAAAAAAAAAAAGAAAGAAAGAAAGAAAATGAAATCTATCACATTAAGGATCAATATGGAGAAGCAAACAAAACATCCCATGAGACTTCTGAAAAAATTTTATAGGTCGAAGAAAAGTTTGGCTTTCACAGAAGGGATGTGAACTTTCAATGAACTATGAAGGATAACAGCATCTTCCAGAAACCATTGATATTTAAATGTTTAGAAATCATAGACTGTGTGGGCCGGGTGCGGTGGCTCACGTCTGTAATTCCAGCACTTTGGGAGGCCAAGGCGGGTGGATCACGAGGTCAGGAGATCGAGACCATTTTGGCTAATACAGTGAAACCCTGTCTCTACTAAAACTACAAAAAATTAGCCGGGCGCAGTGGCGGGCGCCTGTAGTCCCTGCTACTTGGGAGGCTGAGGCAGGAGAACTGCGTGAACCCGGGAGGCGGAGCTTGCAGTGAGCCAAGATCGCACCACTGCACTCCAGCACTCTAGCCTGGGCGAGAGAGCGAGACTCCGTCTCAAAAAAAAAAAAAAAAAAAAATTAAAAAAAGAAATAATAGACTGTGTGGATGGTTGTAGTAATTCTATTTGTATACCCTAGGAAAATAAAAATGTCTAGCTTGACGGTTAAAAAAAAGAAAGAACTGAAATGCAACAGTGGTTGTTTTTGGTTTGTAGTCTATAGGCAACCAATCAATTTGTTCTTTTCAGTATTTTCCAAATTGTATTTAATGTGTGTGTATTAACTTATAATTGGAACTATATATACTTTTTATTGTTAATAAGTTAAATCATAATTTCTAAGTAAGTATTGTGGAAAACACTAATTTATACACATTATGTATTATTCTTATCTGTTTCATTTAATCGAGAACCTTAATCCCTCTACCTTTCCCCTATTTCATCTACTTTAAACCTACCTTAGTCATTTAATGCTTTTAGATTAATGGTGAAATGACCCACTGGGGCCCAAGTCTTGATCTGATCTTGCAATTTTCAGAAAATAATGTCAAACCTGTCAATTGATTGAGATTAATCTGAGAGGGGAGAGACCAAAAGTGTACCCTGCAGATATGGCTACAGAGTATTCTCAAAAAGTAACTAAGTTTGCTCTAGCACCTAAGAGAATGAGGGAGTCAATTAAACTCTACACTGGACATAGCCAAAAACTATTCTTCCAGAACATAACCTGGAAGCTTTATTTAATTAATAATATTTTTAAAATATATATTTTAAAAAATTTAATTTTGTGGATACATAGTAGATATACATGAAATGTTTTGAAACAGGCATGCAAGGTGAAATAAACACATCATGGAGAATGGGGTACCCATCCCCTCAAGCACTTATCATTTGTGTTACAAACAATCCAATTACATTCTTTTAGTTATTTTTAAATACACGGTTAAGTTATTATTGACCATAGTCACCCTGTTGTGCTATCGTATAGTAGGTCTTATTCACTCTTCTTATTTATCTGTTTTTACCCATTAACCATGCCCACCTAACCCACCCAGCCCCCAGTACCCTTCCCAGCCTCTGGTAACCATTCTTCTACAGTCTATGTCCGTGAGTTCAATTGTTTTCATTTTTAGATCCCGAAAATAAGTGAGAACATGTGATGTTTGCCTTTTTGTGCCCTGAAAGCTTTATTTTTAATAAAAATAAAATATCGGTTTTTCTTTTCCCTTTCAAAAAATTAATACTGTACATGGTCAACGTGGAAAATTAGAAAACAAAACAAAGCTATAATGCAAAATAATTTTTAAAAGTTACCCCAGAAAAGTTTTTTTTTTTTATCTTTTGGATACACTTTTAAAATATAGATTCCAAAGTTGTCTTCTTAACCAACTGAATCAAAATATCCAGTGTGGAAGCCAGAAATCTGCATTTGTAAACCAATATGCCAGGTGAACTGGTGGTTCTATGTAGAGAAGACCCTCGTTACAATGTAGTCCACATTGTGCAAAGCACCTACGGAGTGTATCACTAAAGATAAATTGATTGCATAATGTACACCCAGGTTCTCAATGAGTTATCTTGCTGTATAAGGTAATTTAGCTTTATATTCCCTTCTTGTTTATTGTCATTTGGACTTTTTACCTTCTTTTTGGATACTTTGGCCTAATACACCTATGGAAGCCATCCATCTAAATAAAAAATGGAGACACATCTGATATAGGATTATATGATTATTATTACTATTATTTTATTTGGAAAATTGAGGCTTAGGAGGTGAGGTAACTTGCCTGAAGTCACACAAAGTGGTTGGGACCATATTGAAACTAATTCTACTAATTCTGTTCTAAGTATATAAATACTGAAGTTTTAATGGTGGTTTCTCTATAGAAATAAAATAATTATGATCTTAGGATTTGTTAACCTTAAATCATTGTATTACTTTTAGAAAAAATGAACAGCTTTGGTTGTGGAAGTTGTAGCTACTGACTACACAGACTGCCCACAAAAACCAACCATAAAAGAGAAAACTCTCAGAAATGCTCGATCTTTGCTTAGCATGCAAAGTTTTTCTCCTAGGATTTGTGGTTACCCCATATGCATTGATATTTATCTGATAATCAGAAATTGTGCGTGGGTTGGCCTCCCTGTTTCCAGGACTTATTTATTGGATTCATTATCAGTACCTTCAGCAGGGAACACCAAGACAGTGATTGTTAAGCCTGAGGAAGTATTTATGGGTTTTTAAAATTATTATTAGCTGACACCTGGAATTAAACTATCTAAAAAAAAGACCAGCAGGACACTCCAATTAATAGCAGATTCGAAATAAAATAGTAAAAATGCAAAATGATGACCAAAATTCTGAAATTAGTCATTAGTCTGAAATTGAAGAATGCTGATCTTTAAAGTAAATTTTCATCATTATTCATGAGCTCTCTACACTTGAGATTTTGTGAATTTCTATGAAGTTTGGACTGTCTTGTTCCCAGGATAGAAATAGATCAAAGTGGGAGCTCACCCCATGAGGACAGTTTCAGAGTCAGTGAGTGTTTAGTTCTAGATCAAGAGGTTGGAAGTGAAGTGTTGTCTTTTGGATAGGTAGAACCCAAATCAGAAAGAGTCAAAATAGTATAATTAGCACCAGGCAGGGAGAAGGCATAGGATAATTAAAGAAGGAATACAGAGGAGGAAGACCTGTGAGACAGAAAGAGGACTAGATGCAAAACATAACCTGTGTAACAGAATGTTCATTTTTAGCTGGGCCCGTTGCTACCCATCTTAAAAAATAATAATAACAAAAAATGATAACAAAGAAAAACCCTATTCTTCAAGTTTCCCTTGTAGCTAGGTAGGGCCACAAGCAATTAGAAATGATATATGATTCTTACATCTCTCTCTTTTTTTTTTTTTCCTGAGACGGAGTATCTCTCTGCACTCAGGCCGGAGTGCAGTGGCGTGGTCTCAGCTCACTGCAACCTCCGCCTCCTGGGTTCAAGCAATTCTCCTGCCTCAGCCTACTGAGTAGCTAGGATTACAGGCGTGCACCACCACGCCCGGCTAATTTTTGTATTCCATGTGGACCAGTCTGGTCTTGAACTCCTGACCTCATGATCTGCCCACCTAAGCCTCCCAAAGTTCTGGGATTACAGGTGTGAGCCACCGCGCCCGGCCGATCCTTACATCTCTTTAAAAGGAAGAAGGCCCACCCTTCTTTATTTCTCCATCCTGCTGTCTAGATGATGATAGGATTCCTGGAGTTCCAGCATCTGTCCTGGAACATAAGGATTAAAGCCACCTGTTAAGGATGTGGACTAGAGAGAAGGGGCTTGGGCCTCTGATAGTCTGATAACTTGCCATAACCATCTATCTCAAGACTTCTTTTACATGAGAAATAAATTCTGCATTGTGTAAGTCTCTCCTGTATTGGATTTTTCTGTTATGTGTAGCCAAACTAATCTTGAATAATGTATTTCCAGAGCTGATCTTCTCTGTGGTGGTGGCAGGTACCTCTTTACAAAACCCTTATCAACCCCTAACGTATTATTTTTTATTTTTTACTGCCTGTTTCTTCCCACTAGACTTTTTAAGGACAGGGACTTTTCTTGGCTTTTTGTATCCCCAGCTCCTTGAACAGTGCTCACCATATAGTAGGGGTTCAGTAAATATTTTCTAAATAAATGAATGGTGCCAGGAACTGCAAACTGCAGTTTGCACTGCAAGGAGTGGGCACTGCTGATTCAAAAGAGTCACATTAGGAAGTATAACTTTTGCACCCATTAGTGTATAATGAAACACTGAATTCATACTGTCTTATACTTCTATGCCTTTGCATGAACTGTTCATATTGCCAAGAATGTCTTTTCCCCCTTGCCCACCAGACACACTACTACTTATTTCTAAAGTTTTCCCTTAATCATCACCTTCTCCAGGAGACTCTACCCCAGTCACCACAAGTAGAGCCGATCTTTCTTTTACTCAACTCTATATCCAATTCTTAATTGAATTATAGCACTTAGCATGCTACATTACAACTAATTGTTTGTATGTCTGCCTCTTAGACTGGATTCTGGGACCTGAAGGGTAAAGTATATGACTTACTTAACTCTGTGTTCTTAGGACCTAGCCTAATGCCTGGCTAATGGTCAGACTCGGTGTATGTTTGCCAAGTTCTTAGTAAGATCACAGATCTGAGGATGTGGTTTGAATCTGCTAGTGGGAAATAAAAACTGTAAAGGCACTTTTGGATTACATGTTTAGTGGGAAATAAAAGCTCAAGCTGCGCTGCACCAAGAGAAGGACAACCTGGATTCTGGTCCCAGTCCTGGAGCTTCCTACCCAGCAACCGTAGCCCCTTTGAACATCTGACGCCTCATCTATAAATTGGGACATAAAGACCTCACAGGGCTGTTGTGAAGCTCAAGTCAACAACTGTGGACAAAAGCTCTTTTTGTAAACTATACTATTAGGCAAGAACAAATTTAAAACTGTCCAAGTGGAGAGTTTGTCCTTTTTAAGACAACAATAATCCCCGTAAAATTCTCCTCCCAGTTCTCGAGGCACGTAGATAAATATGCAGTAGTTTTGGTCTGCTCTCCATTCTTAGATCTTGAAAGAGCCTCTGTGAAGCTGGAGCAGCTTTCAAATTTTGAAGTCAGTCTTCTTGAATCAGTCTTCTTCCCTTTGACATAGCTTGTCATAGGGATTCGTATGTATTTAGTATTAATATTTACAATAAGGCCTTTCCCTCCCCTTTGAAAATTCTACGCCAAACAACAGCCAAAATCTGAGGCCTTTTTGTCCTTGAAACTTGGGCTAAATGGCTCCAGCATGTGGAAGACTCCTCCTCTCAGCCTCTCAAAATTGTGTCTCTTCAGAGTATGATAAGAGACATAGCTGGCCGCAGTGGTTAATGCCTGTAATCCCAGCACTTTGGGAGGCCAAGGCAGGCAGATCACTTGAGGTCAGGAGTTCGAGACCAGCCTGCCCAACATGGCTAAATCCCTTCTCTATTAAAAATATGAAAATTAGCCAGGCATGGTGGCTCACCTGTAACCCCAGCTACTTGGGAGACTGAGGCAGCAGAATCACTTGAACTCGGGAGGCGGAGGTTGCAGTGAGCCAAGATCGAGCCACTGTACTCCAGACCGGGCGACAGAGCAAGACTACATCTCAAAAAAAAAAAAAAAAAAAGGAAAGAAAGAAAACGAAAAAAAAAGAAAGAAACAGCATCACACTCATTTTGTTTTGCTCTGATCTTTTGAGTCTTACTTTGATTTGCTCTAGTAGGCTAAAGAATTTAACAACTCAGCCAATGGATTCTGAGTTCTGAGGGGCAGTCATGATTTAGTGGGAAGGGTGTATGAAGAGACAGGGGAAGATTGCAATGGAAGAGGTGCTTTTTTTTTCTTTTTTTTTTTTTTTGAGATGGAGTCTTGCCCTGTCACCAGGCTGGAGTGCAGTGGCATGATCTCGGCTCACTGCAACCTCTGCCTCCAGGTTTCAAGTGATTCCCCTGCCTCAGCGTCCCAAGTAGCTGGGACTACAGGCATGCACCACCATGCCCGGCTATTTTTTGTATTTTAGTAGAGACAGGGTTTCACCATGCTGGCCAGGATGGTCTCAATCTCCTGACCTCGTGATCTGCCCACCTTGGCCTCCCAAAGTGCTGGGATTACAAGCGTGAGCCACCACGCCCGGCCAGGAGGGGTGCTTTCTAATTGCTACCCTTAGCACTCAGGGATGTTTTCTCGGACCTCACCCAGAGCTATACGTAGGATCAAATGGAAATACGGGATCATTAACTCAGCCCTGGAATGCAGTCTAGCAGCATTGATGAAGCAGTTGCCATAGTCCGATTCCTCTGGGCTGGCTGTACACAGAATCTGTGTTGTTGTTGGGAGATCATGAGCACTTTGCAAGTTTCTCCAGTGCTCCTACAGCTTCTGTTCTCACGATGGTTGTGGCTACCTTTTCCCATTTCCCTTATGGGGCCTATAAGTTCTCAAGTTTGCCTTCTGGACTGGGAAGTCTTCCCTTCCAGCTCACAGGTGGCCCCATCAACACTGGAATAGCTATGGCCTTCAATTTTTCAGACTTCTACCTCTGCTCCATCCAGATTACTACTACCACACATACCACATTCGATCTTACTTCCTCATTTCTTTCCTCCACTAGTGCCGCCACCTGGAATGCTCTTCTCTTGTTAATCTTAAATCATGCTTTCATACCCAGTTCTCAAGTGACATCTCACTTTAGTTCAACTTTTCTCAAACTCCTACTATCTATTATGAAGTAGGCATTGCATTAGATTATGGGGCCACAAGGTTAATGATACACAAACATGGTTTCTGACCTCACAGAATTTACATTCTGGGAGAGAAGAAAGACAAGAGAACAAATGGAATACAATGTGATCAGAGAAATCACCTAGTGGCATGGGAAATAGAGATGCCTGGGAGAATTTAGGGCAATTTATGTATTTTCTATGAAAACTTCCTTGAACTATTCAATATACCCATGTGTATTTCCCAGGAACTCTTAATATGTTTGAAGTCACTTAGCTTAGTTCATGTTATTTTTGTGTCTCAACCAGATGTCAGGCCCTCATGTTTAAGAACCATGTTCTTTTGTATCCCACCCATTGTAAGTAACATTTCATAATACTTATCTGGCTTAATAGTTGGTTGCTTGCTTTGGGGTAGAATGGAGTTGGAGAAAAAGCTTTGGTTGGGGAACCAGGAAACACTGGGTTCTAATTTTAGTAATGGCATTTGTTAGTGGTAGACTTTGGCAAGACTATTAGCCTAAGTCTCAGTTCTTAAAATGGAGATAAGAACATTTTCTTCACAAGTTGTTATGATTTAATTAGATAATTTAAGTAAAGTGCCTGGTTTTAAAGTAAAATTCTCTTTCTTCCTCCTCTATTTTCTGAGAGGACTGTTCTTTATGTCTCTCCACAGCTAAAGTGGCCATATTTTTACAAATGAAAAATCTGGACACTAGCTTTGAAAAACTTTTTTCCAGTTTGTGAATTTATTCATATAGAAAAGTCTTACAAAAACATAAAAATTAAACCACATCTAGAGCTTGCCTCTTGAGGACAAGGATCATGTCTGTCTTGTTCAACATTGTAACAGTGCTTATCTCATAATAGGTATTCAACAAAAATCCAAGGATAGAACGAATACATTGATAATAGTAAATTTATATGAAAAGGATTATAAGAATTCACAAAAATCGGTTTCAAATATCAGAATAGGCCAGGCACGATGGCTCATGCCTGTAATTCCAGCACTTTGGGAGGCCGAGGTGGGTGGATCACTTAAAACCAGGAGTTCGGGACCAGCCTGGCCAACATGGCGAAACCCCGTCTCTACTAAAAATACAAAAATTAGCCAGGTGTGTTGCTGCATGCCTGTAATCCCAGCTACTTGGGAGTCTGAGGCAAGAGAATTGCTTGAACCCGGGAGGAGGAGGTTGAGGTGGGCAGAGATTACACTACTGCACTCCAGCCTGGGCAACAGAGCAAGACTCTGTCTCAAAAAGAAATAAAATAAAATAAAATAAAATATCAGAATATTTGAAATTTAGACTGTCTCAAAATGTCCAAATCAAAACTGTATACTCTTGGCTTCAATATGACTGCCTGTGGCACGAACCCACTGGCTTAGAGGAGCTTGATTGAGGATGATTGGCAGTAAGATTCCACACTGAAGGCAGTTGCCCCTGACAGGTAAGTGGGGCAGCTGCAAGCAGGATAGGTGGAGAAATGGTAGTTTCACACAGTGAAGTCTAAAAATGCCTCAAAATATTGATTTTAGAGAGAAACAGGAAGAGGGACACATATCTAGCCAACTGTTCCTGAAAAATAAAAACTGAGGCTTTGACTCATTGGTAGGGGAGAGGTAGCACCACATTTCTCCAATATTTTCTGTTTTTTTGAAATACTTTTATACACATTCTGTCATTTGATCTCTACAATAACTGTGTAGACTAGGTAATTCAGTTCAATAACATTTGAGCATTTTCTAGGTCCTAGTTACTGTCCTTAGTACTATGGGACATGAATATGAATGTCATTGTTCTTTTGCTACAATAATAATTACCATGTATTGGGCTCTAACTGCTTGCCAGGCACTATAGTAAGTTTCATTATTTACTTTTAAAATATATCATCACATTTATTCCTCAAATAATGTATGATATTGCTTTTTGTTTGTTTGTTTTGCTTGTTTTAGACATAAAGAAACTCATGCTTAGAGATATTAATAACTTGCCAAGGTCACATAGTTAAGAAGTCATATTAACACACAATTAAAAAGTAAGACGTGGAACTCTAACCTGGGTTTCTGTGACTTCAAAGCCTTTGTTCTCTCAACAGGTTACCAAAAGATGCTAGTAGTAATTTGGCTAACAGTTGATCAACCCTAGAAATGTGTCTCAAATCCCATATGAAATAAAATAGAATATACATTTAAATAATAAAAATGTTGTAGTCCTTGCAAAATAGGCATTTCTTACACCAACTTTTTTTTTTTTTTTTTTTTTGACACAAGATCTTGCTCTGTTGCCCAGGTTGGAGTGCAGGGGCATAATCATGGCTCACTGCAGCCTTGACCTCCCAGGCTCAAGCAATCCGCCTGCCTCAGCCTCTCGAGTAGCTGGGACCACAGGTGCACACCACTACACCTGGCTAATTTTTTAATTTTTTGTAGATACAAGGACTCACTATATTGCCCACACAAGTCTTGAACTCCTGTGCTCAAGCGATCCTCTTGCCTTGGCCTCCCAAAGTGTTGAGATTACAGGCATAAGTCACTGTGTCCAGCCTCTTACACCAACTTTTGTGGACAGCCATTTGGCATATATCAAAATTTAAAATGCTTAACCCTTGAACTAGCAATTCCACCTTTGTAATTATTGAGTGACTCTAAATAGGCAAATACAGTGTTTTAGGCCGGGTTCTTCCTGAAACAGTCGCTGAGACAAGGCATTGAGTATAAGTAGTTTATTTGGACAGTGACCCCAGAATCACTGGTGAAGGAGTAGGGAAATGAGAAAGTGAAAGGAAGGAAGACCATACACAATGCAAGGTTACTAATGTGGGAAACTGAGGCTCAATCCCACTCAAGGAGACTATATAAAATTTGTCTCAGGCCGGGCGCGATGGCTTATGCCTGTAATCCCAGCAATTTGGGAGGCTGAGGCGGGTGGATCACCTGAGGTCAGGAGTTCAAGGCCAGCCAGACCAACATGGTGAAACCCTGTCTCTACTAAAAATACAAAAAATTAGCCGGGTGTGGTGGCGGGTGCCTGTTATCCCAGCTACTCAGGAAGCTGAGGCAGGAGAATCACTTGAACCCGGGAGGTGGAGGTTGCAGTGAGCCGAGATCGCGCCATTGCACTCCAGCCTGGGTGACAAGAGGAAAACTCTGTCTCAAAAAAAAAAAAAAAAAACTGCCTCAGCGGTGCCTTACCCAAGGAAGTTGGGATATTTACAAATTCCTATCCATCATTGGATGGTGGGCTGCTGGGGAGAGGGGGTTCTTAATGCCTTACCCACCTGTGGACCAAGCTCTCTCCTACCACTGAGAAAGCCTAAGGCATAGTCACAGGTGGTCAAAGTAAAGATTTCACTATGCTTAAGGAAACAATGAGTGCCAAGGGACTATCAGTGAGGCACCCACAGTATCTGTTGTAGTAGATTAATGTACAAAGGTGTTAGTTGGGTCATTGTTTATAATAGCAAAATACTATAAACAACTGAAATATATTTTACTTCAGAAGGGAGGGGTTAAGGTTGCCTAAACAACCTATGACAAAGAGAAGTGATTTCTTTTAAGTTTTTTCAAAAACTTAAACCCAGGGGTCCCTCACTAAGTCTGGAGTATCAGGAAAATCCTTTTTGGGAAAGTGACAATAATCAAGTATATGTTTCAGGGAGGGAATGCTGGAGGGAAACAGTCCAAGCAGAGGAAATGGCATGGCTAAAGCCCTAGTGAAAAAGAGGCTAATGTGGCTGGAATAGAGAGAGAACCAAGGAAGACTGGCTTCCTGAGATTTAAGGGATAGGTAAGGGCAGAGTAAGTAGTACCTTGTGGGATTTGGGACTTGATACTGGGGACAATGGGAAGCTGTAGAGGGGTTTAAGTTTTTGCAGCACTACATCAGTGTAGTGTGGGATAAAAATTAAAAAAAAATTTTTTTTAAGTTTTTGCCGCAGATATTTAGAATGACGGCTCTGGCTGCAGAATAAAGAAATAGGAACCCACAGTACACTACATAGCCTCCAAGTTCTTTGATGGTTTCAAGTGAAGAATATCAGGTTGTCAGGAATGTATCTGAAGCTTGGATTATTTAACATGCTGATTATTGTTGTATTTAAACAAAAAAAATTGATATGTTATTTTCAAATAATAAGAGATACCTATAACTTGTATTACCTAATCTGACTCAACAAAGGATTTTTTTAATGAGAATTTTTAAACTGTTCTAGAATTTTTTTTTTTTTTTTTTTTGAGATGAAATCTTGCTTGCTCTGTCGCCCAGGCTGGAGTGCAATGGCATGGTCTTGGCTCACTACAACCTCCACCTCCCAGGTTCAAGTGATTCTCCTGCCTCAGTCTCCCAAATAGCTGGGATTACAAGTGTGCACCACCATGCCTGGCTAATTTTTCTATTTTTAGTAGAGATGGGGTTTTGCCATTTTGGCCTGGCTGGTCTCGAACTCCTGACCTCAAGTGATCCGCTTGCCTCAGCCTCCCAAAGTGCTGAGATTACAGGCATGAGCCACCGCACCTGGCCCTAGAATTGTTTTTATAAATAGGAAAGACTTTTCACGAGTTTTAAAAAATTAATATTCCATATATTAAGATGACAATTGAAGGACTTTGAATTAAAATAAAGCTAATTATTTTATTATTATTATATTGTAAAATATTTAAATTTACCTTATTAATGTTCAATCAACTCAATTTGAATAAATAAATCTTTATCAAACAAACCTATTTTCAACTTAATTAATTGAGTTTCTTTAAACACTTAAATTGCATTTATAAATTCAATACATTTTCTTTTCTTTTTCTTTTTTTTTTTTTTTTGAGACGGAGTCTCACTCTGTCCCCCAGGCTGGAGTGTAGGGGTGTGATCTTGGCTCACTGCAAGCTCTGCTTCCTGGGTTCATGCCATTCTCCTGCCTCAGCCTCCCGAGTATCTGGACTACAGGCGCCCACCACCACACCCAGCTAATTTTGTTTTTGTATTTTTAGTAGAGACGGGGTTTCACCGTGTTAGCCAGGATGGTCTCGATCTCCTGATCTCGTGATCTGCCTGCCTCGGCCTCCCAAAGTTACAGGCGTGAGCCAGTGCGCCCAGCCCATTTTATTTGCTTTTAAGCACTTTAAATGGTTGGCCTCATAAGCAAAACCTTTCTAAGTTCTTAAGTTCTTTTAAATATTGGAATACTATTTATAAACAGTAAAATTATTTTATAAGCCTAAAATCAATTACTCTGTTACATATTTTTAATTGTGAATTGGAAGATCAAGTGTCAGATTATCTAAAATGCAAAGTTATCTAAAATTATAAATAGTACTTTTTAAGAAGACATGCCTAAATTAATATAATACTCAATTTATTTAAACACCACCTATCTCAAATACAACAAGAGTCTCTGAAAGTATCATTGGAAATACAGATTATCTGAGGTATGGTGTGACAATTCTGATTCAGAGGTAGCAAGTTCTTAGAGTCTTTGGTTGTTGAGGCCTTTGATTTGTAACAGGAGGAGAAAAACATTTCATGGATGGTACAAATAAGACCATAGAAACTTGCAAACAGAATCTTTCTTTGATTACAAATGAAGTGAATAAATAGAAACATGAAAATCCTGGCTCCTCTGTGATCACAGAGCAGCTGATTTTTTCTGGGTTAAACTATAAACATAAAAACTATTTAAAAAATAAATGCACGTATTTGCTTCATTGTTATAGAAATACCTCTTAAATGTTCTAGATAGTGAAGATGTAAAGGTCATGAGTCCAAAACAGACTTTTGGTAAAAGGTAAAATATGCACCAAGAGAAAGAAAAGGAAGCAAATTCTCTGAGCAAAGGATTCACTACAGAGCTAGAATGTTAACGTGCTGCTGATGAGATCAAGATGTTTATCAAGTCTCTATCAGTTATGTCAAACTATCTCACTTATGTAATCAAGGTGACTAGGATATAATTGCCAGAAGTTTACTGAATTACATTTTTAACTTTAGATTTTTTTATTTTATTTCTGAGATTTCCATTTCGTTCTTTTTTCTCGCTTTAGGGATTCATTTCTCTGTTGAAATTGTTTCTCTTTCTATTCATTCATTTATATCTTCTCAAATTCCTTGAATACATTTATAGTAGTTTATTAATGTCCTTGTACACTAATCCATCTGGGTCATTTGCTTTTATTGACCTTTCTTTCTCCTTTGATTTTTAGTCACGTTGCCTGTGTCATCTTAAATTTTTTAATTTTTAATTTCTGTCTGCAAGATATTGTTAAAAAAAACATAGACTCAATATGTGCCTGTAGTCCCAACTACTTGGCAGGCTGAGGCAGGAAGATCACTTGAGACAAGGAGTTGGAGACCATCCTGAGCAACATAGCGAGAGAACCTGTCTCAAAACAAAACAAAACAAAACATGCCACCAGCCAACCAAATTATGCACTGAAGTATATAATTTAACACCCTCCTACCCCCGACCCGGGGCATGCCTTTTTTTTCTGTCAAGAATCTAAGGAGCTCATCACTTTGATTAAATCAATAGTTGAACTGGTCAGGAATGGGCTGCATCTTTAATTAGCTCCATCTCATCTTTGGTTTCAAATGTCTCGAGGAAAATACAGATTTTATGTATAATAGAGGGTTTCAATTTTATGCTCTGTCACACGCTGAGCCAAAATCCTGCTGCTGGATCTTCCCGTCTTCCAAGAATGACTCAGTGTGTGGGGGCAACAGCACCTTAAGCTGACATACTCAACAAGGTTGAAAGGCTGAAGAGTCAGCCTGGGTGACAGAGCGAAGTGGCAGCTTACCCTGGCCACAAACCCCTACTGCTGCCACTTTCTTGTTCCCTTCTCCTCCAATAAGGACTTTAAATACCAAATACATACAGATGATCCCTATATGGTTTTGATTTACTTCATTGTCTCTCTATTTACGAATCCAAGGAAACTGGGGTTACCAGCTCAGCAGAATGAAGTTGTTTATGGACCAGAGATTTTGTCTTGGGCTGCATATACCCAGAACCATTGTTCTTGAGCCAGTAAGGACCACTCTTAGCTCTTTTAAAATGATGTGATAGATTGAATTATTATTCCAATGCTTCATGAACTTCCTGTATTAGCATTCTCCATCTATATCCTTACCACATAACTCTTCAGTGTCTTTCATATGACTAAGCAGAGGATACATCTCCTCCTCCCAACTAATGATGTGCTTGGTCTTGTAACTTGCTTTGGTCAATGAGATGTGGGCCAAAGTGACAACTGTGCCAGTTCCAGGCCAACATCTCAAGGGGCATCTTACGTTTCTGCTTACTTTCTTAGACTCCAGTGACCCTTCATGAGAAGAACATGTCTGCGGTAGCCACTGGTCCAAGGAGAATGAGGAAATATGTAGAGCAGCTTTGAACCTAATCAGCAGTCTGAAGTCAAGCCCAGTGGATTCCAGCCAAGCACAGCAGAACCACAGCCAATCTATAGAACTATGAGAGAGGAAATAAATATTTGTGGCTATAAGCTATTGAGAGTTTAAACTTGATTGATAGGCAGCAAAAACTTTCAAATCAATTGTTCTTATTAAACATTTTGCTTTTGTTTTGTTTTGTTTTTGAGACGGAGTGTCACTCTCCTCCAGGCTGGAGTGCAGTGGTGCAATCTCAGCTCACTGCAACCTCCACCTCCCAGGTTCAAGCAATTCTCCTGCCTCAGCCTCCGGAATAGCTGGGATTACAGGCGCCTGCTACCACGCCTGGCTAATTTTTGTATTTTTAGTAGAGATGGGGTTTCACCATGTTGGCCAGGATGGTCATGAACTCCTGATCTCAAGTGATCTGCCTGCCTTGGCATCTCAACGTGCTGGGATTACAGGCATGAACCACTGCACCAGCCCTTATAAAACATTTTTTAAAAGTTTATGCTGATCTGGCTCTATTGGATTGACTAGATAACTCATATTTACTGCCTGATTGACTTGGACATTATTTTTAGAGCCATATTTGGCTATCTCCACAATTATTATGATCATTCTAATAAAAGATTTAAAATAACTGCAATAATCAGGATGTTTGGATTTTGTGTATTTAATTCTAAGGCAGTTTAATAAGTATGCATTCAGGATAAAAGTTTCTCTCAATTGTTTTACATTTTTCCTATTGTTAAAAAGGCTTTTGAAATAATGGTTTTATCTCAGAATCAAAAGGCATTATACTAACTGAACATCTACCAGGCATGTGGAAAGCATAAATATATACATATATAATCTCTTTATTTAAAAACAAATTATTTTTAAGATTTGTTAATACTTTCACAAGCCAGAAAGTTTTTTTTGTTTTTCTTTCTTTTTTTTTTTTTTACTGCAACCTCTGCCTGCAGAGTTCAAGTGATTCTCCTGCCTCAGACTCCTGAGTAGCTGGGACTACAGGCGTGTGCCACCACACCTGGCTAATTTTTGTATTTTTTAATTAGAGACAGGGTTTCACCATATTGGTCAGGCTGGTCTTGAACTCCTGACCTCAGGTGATCCGCTGGCCTCTTCCTCCCAAAGTGCTGGGATTACAGGCGTGAGCCACCGTGCCCAGCCTCTTAAGGTAAAAAGTTTAAAACACTAAAAAGAGAATTAACTGAAAAGATTTCTTCTTGCCCTGTCTTCTGGTTGCCTGGTCCACAGGCAATTATTGTTACCAGCTCTTTTTTATATTCTTCCAGTGATATTACATGTACATACAAATACATATTTATATGTATATATTTTTTCCTTGAATTTTTTTTAGTTAATGCAGTACTGGAATATCATATAAACAGTTCTGTATCTTGCCTTTATTTTTTTACTTATTCTTTCAATGAATTTTTTTTTTAAATGGTTGCTTTGTGGTATAGTTGAAACGAAATATATCTTAAAGATTGCTCTACAGTAGTACAGTTTCTTCATTCTTTTATTTTATTTCCCCGTGTTTGAGTAAATTGGTCTTTAGTGGGATTGCTGGGTCAAATATACAATGGTAAAGTCTCACAATAGAGTATGACATCTCATTCCGTCTTTATAACAACATTACGAGGTGAGAGTTGTCATTATTTTCTTTTTAAATATGGGAAAACGGAAGCTTACAGAAGTTAAATAACTTTCTAAGAGTCATGAGGCTAAGAAGCTGCTGCAGAGACAATCAATCATTTCATCAGACTTCATGCTTTAAACCACTATTCTGATTATGGTTTCTCCATGTAATAATCCATGTATACATCCCTTTGGTTTAACTCTCTTGTCTGATAACAGGCTCTATGCTTGCCTTGGCTTAAGTTATTTCCTGGCACAGGACAGTTCTGGAGAAAGCAGATGAACCAGGCCTCTCAAGCAAAAACCAGTAGCAGAAAACCACTTATGCGATGAGAATGAGCTCTTTTATTTTGACTCACAGAAACCACCACCAATTTGGGAAATGAATTTTACTTTTTTTTCCTTTTTTAAACTTTTTTTTTTTATATAGAGATGGGGTCTCCTTGCCCAGCCAGGAAATGAATTTTAGAATATAATGCAGTTATAACTAATTCACATAATATTTAGGCCTGGCAAGGTGGCTCACGCCTGTAATCCCAGCACTTTGGGAGGCCAAGGTGGGAGGATCACTTCAGGTCAGGAGTTTGAGACCAGCCTGGCCAACATGGTGGAAACCTGTCTCTACTAAAAATACAAAAATTAGCTGGGTGTCGTAGCACGCGCCTGTAGTCCCAGCTACTTGGGAGCCTGAGGCAGGAGAATCGCTTGAACCTGGGAGGCAGAAGTTGGCAGTGAGCTGATATCACGCCATTGTACTCCAGCCTGGGCGACAGAGCAAGACTCTGTCTCAAAAGAAACAAAAACAACTAATTCACATAAGTTTTAGAATAAACTTTATAACCAAACCCATATGTCAAAATAACATATTTGACAAAGAAGAAGCAACAACAAAAAATGGAGATTCAAACCATGGCAGTGTGTAAAATAAACAATCTTACAACCCCCACCAAATGTATGATATACAGTACATTTGCTTTTTCCCCATGACACTTCCACTCTGTCACCCTTCATTAAGCAACATTATATTTTACTTAGGCACACAAAGCAGACAACTCTTTTTTTTTTTTTTTTTTGAGATGAGTCGTGCTCTGTTGCCCAGGCTGGAGTGCTGGAGTGCAGGTGGCGTGATCTCAGCTCACTGCAACCTCTGCCTCTTAAGTTCGGGTTCAAGTGATTCTCCTGCCTCAGCCTCCAAGTAGCTGGAATTACAGGCGTTCACCACCGCGCCCAGCTAATTTTTTTTGTATTTTTAGTAGAGACGGGGTTTTGCCATGTTGGCAAATAATATTTACCTGTTAGATGTTATATATTTGCCTGACCTCAAGTGATCTGCCTGCCTAGGCCTCCCAAGGTGCTGGGATGACAGGCATGAGTCACGGTGCCCCACCCTGGTTTAATTTCTTATCTGACCCAGTTGACTATGAGCTCCTTGAGAGCATGGGCCACACTGAATGAACAAATGAAAGAACGAACAGAAGCAACTTTTTTCCCAAGAATATCTTTTATTCTCTTTCTTTCTCTAAATACGTGTATACAAATACACACACACACACACACACACACACACATATATTCCAGAGGATACTACACATTTTATAAATAAAATTTATGAAATAATATTTTTGGAAGTTTTCTATTAGCTTAGACTTTTTATTCTCTATTTCTAGAGAGAGACCCCAGATAATAATATATAATAATGCAGATTATTATGTGTACAATTAGTTATGAATTCATGTTTTGGAGGTGAGTATTCATTTGCTGCTTGTTCTTTTGCTTTCTTCATCTATATATGGAAGGAGATGCCAATAGATAAGATAAATATATGGGAGCAAAACTTAAAATTAAGAACTATTGTTCACTAAATCATATTTTTCTGCAAATGAGTGAAAAGATTGCTGGCAAAATATATTTTCTAAGTCTTAAAATGATGAACTGGTTTTTGGAATTTGGTTATCACGCATTTGAATTGTGAGCCAGGGTCCTTTCCTGATAATCACTATCTCTAAACTCCATAATACCAAGTTCAACCTCCACCCTAAGTTCTCAACTAATGCTGCATTTGTCTATTCATACTGTTGGAGGATAACAATGGACAAGCAAGGTGAAATTGAAATCAGGGCCTGGATCAGTCAACAAATATTCATTGAATATCTACTACATGCCAATTTTAGAGCCTGGTTTAGAGCCAACATTAGAATGGCTTGATTCTTGCCGTAGCTATCTTTCTAAGCCACAGACTTTAAAAACAAATGCTTTGAATTATACAGCATCTCGACTGTTCTTTAAAGGAAGTCCATGCACATGAAAGGATGAATGTGACACCTTGAGTTTAAAATGCAAGTTAGGACGGGCACTGTGGCTCATTCCTGTAATCCCAGTGTTTTGGGAGGCTGAGGCAGATGGATCACCTGAGGTCAGGAGTTCTTTGAGACCAACATGGCCAACATGGTGAAACCCATTCCCTATTAAAAATACAAAAATTAGCTGGGAATGATGGTGGGCACCTGTAATCCCTGCTACTCAGGAGGCTGAGGCAGGAGAATTGCTTGAACCCAGAAGGCGGAGGTTGCAGTGAGTCGAAATTGTGCCACTGCACTCCAGCCTGGGTGACAGAGCAAGACTCCATCTCAAAAAAAATAAATAAATAAAATATAAATAAATAAATAAATAAATGCAAGTAATTAATATTAAATAGATATATATGCACATGTGTATTATATTTTTGTAAAAATAAAACATAGATTTACACTTCCCAGTCAGAAAGGTGGTGAAATTAAAGAAACAAAAAAAAAGCTTTACATATTGTGTTTATGTGTACGTTCATTGAAAAAGGCATGGAAAGATAGATATTAAACTGTGAGCAGTGGTTACCTTATGGCCAAGGGCAGAGAGATGGAATTTTCATTTTTTCTTTGTGTACTTGTATTTGAATTCTTTAAAATAAGCATGCATTACTTTTGTGGTTATAAAACATGTAAATAATAATGTTGCAGGGAGCAGTGGCTCACTCCTGTAATCCCAACACTTTGGGAGGCCAAAGTGGGAGGATTGCTTCAGCCCAGGAGTTCAAGACCAGCCTGGAAAACATGCCGAAACCCCATCTTCTATCAGAAATACAAAAAACTAGCCGGGTGTAGTGGTGCAGGCCTGTGGTCCCAGCTACTCAGGAGGCTGAGGTAGGAGGATCCCTTGAGCTCTGGAGGCAGAGGTTGCGGTGACCTGAGGTCGCACCACTGCACTCTCCAGCCTGGGTGACAGAGTGAGACCCTGTCTCCAAAAATAAAAAAAGTTTATATAAGTAAACTACATATTTCTAGCAAGAATAAATAAATGTATATGCATATATAACAGGTAAATATTATTGCTGCATATTATCTACATACACTGGGTTTACATATAAAAGGGGGAAATTCTACCTGCTGACAGTGCTCGATAACTATTTGATTTTAAAGGGATTGGCTTTCAATTTTCATTTCCTTTTTTTTTTTTTTGAGACGCAGTCTGGCTCTGTCGCCCAGGCTGGAGGGCAGTAGCATGATCTCAGCTCAGTGCAACCTCTGGGGCCCAAGTGATCCTCCCACCTCAGCCTCCCACAGTGCTGGGATTACAAGCGTGAGCCACAGCGCCCAGTCTATAAATTTTAAAGGAGTAGCTGGGATTACAGGCATACACCACCACACCCAGCTAATTTTTTGTATTTATGGTAGAAGACGGGGTTTTGCCATGTTGGCCAGGCTGGTCTTGAACTCCTGAGCTCAAGCAATCTGCCCTCCTGGGCCTCCCAAAGTGCTGGGATTACAGGCATGAGCCATGGCACCTGGCCTATGTCCTTTCTACTTTTGTGTTTAGTGTCCACATTTCTGTCTTTCTAATGATATAAAAAATTTACATGAGAAGAGTTATTGATTAGATACAACAGAGGTTTCTAAAATTTAAATTAAATTAAAAATTTAATTAATTTATTTTTTGATAATTATTACCACTCCCAGGCTGAGAGATTTTTTTAAAGGAGGAATTAACTCCTCTTGTAAATACTCTGTGAACCAAGGGAAGGGTATAGCTATTTTCCTCAAAAACAATGGAAATGCTTCATATTCTGCAGAAACACAATAATTAGTGGATTTGATTATTGAAAATAGTCCTGGGATACCACTGGTTCCTGGACAAATGTAGTACTTTTTCACATTACTACATGAGGTTATGATTGAGGTATACATTTCATGAAGGTATGGCCAAGGGGCTATCTTGTTCACCACTGCACCTAGCATAGAGATAGGAAATAACCGGGGCTTAATGTTGGTGGAAAGTAAATTCGTTGCATATTCTGATGAAAGAACTGGTAGTGAAAATCCATGAGAGAAGTTTTGTGCACTTATTTGTATTTAAAATTCCAGTTATCTAGTTTGTGCCCTGTCCTGAGTATTTAAAGAAAAAATGTGCTTGTTACAGTACAGCACATGATTTGAATAAGATTGCTAGTCTCTTGAGTTTTCCATGTCATTTGTGGGGACATAAGTTTGTTGATTTATGTGCTAAGATATATTAATTGTTTACTCTGTATATAGTCTGTGAGGGATACAATAAAAGCCAAATCAGAGCTTTGGAGCCTTTTTTTTTTTTTTTTTAGAAGTTCACTTTGCTGTTAAAAGAAAGTTAAAAACTGTAAAAGGCAGACATTTCTATAATGAAATTCACCTTTAAAATGAAAAGAAAATGAACAGAGGACTATTTCACCCTGGTCATTTCCCTCCAGAAAATAAAACCTTTGGACGTTATTAGTTGAAACTTTCTAGTATATCTAAATAGCACCACTAACAATAGTGTGAAATTATTGAGATTATAAATACTTATTTAACAATACTTCTTAGCTTCAAATGAGGGAAGACCAGTTTTCCTCCCCAGGTTTTACTTTTCATTCATGTGTGATATCATGCTAAGAAAAAAATGGAAAATACATGTCAAAACTTAACCTTTGCAGCACACTTTATGCAGTTCATTATGTTTCAATTAGACAACAATAAAGATGCTAAAAAACTCAAAGAAACAAAAAGAAGAAATGAAAATGTTACTTTATATGGGACAAGTAAAGAGTAGTTTGTTTGTTTGTTTGTTTTTTGAGAGAGAGTTTCACTCTGTCGCCCAGGCTGGAGTGCGGTGTTGCGATCTCGGCTCACTGCAACCTCTGCCTCCCGAGTTCAAGTGATCCTGCCTTAGCCTCCCAAGTAGCTGGAATTACAGGCGGCCGCCACCATGCCCGGCTAAGTTTATTTTTTAAGAGCAATTTCTTCTGGGGAGCAACAAATTATCTCTCAAATGCCTAGTAGCCTACGGAAGGCAATGGAAAAGCAATTTTAGGTAATTGACACTTTTTTTTTTTTGAGACAGACTCTCGCTGTCACCAGCCTGGAGTACAGTGGCGTGATCTCGGCTCACTGCAACCTCCACCTCCCGGGTTCAAGCGGTTCTCCTGCCTCTGCCTCCCGAGTAGCTGGGACTACTATAGGCGCACGCCACCACGCCCAGCTAATTTTTGTATTTTTAGTAGAGACGGGGTTTCACCATGTTGGCCAGGGTGGTCTCGATCTCTTGATCTCGTGATCCGCCCGCCTCGGCCTCCCAAAGTGCTGGGATTACAGGCGTGAGCCACCGCGCCCAGCCCGTAATTGACACATTTTAAAAGCTTATATTTAGGTCAATATCGCTACTCAATGAAAAAATTACGTTTGGTTTGTGTTATGTCGCAGCTCCACGGTGAACTATTTGAAAGCTTTGTGTGTTTTACGAGCATCATTTCCAACCTGGGAAGACAGCCCCACAAGTTTAAAACAAAAGTGCATGCGCGTGTGTGTTTTCCTACGTGCCCCAAATAGTGTATGCTAAGGAGGTTCTGAAATGCAGATTCACAGTGGAGATATTACGGTCCAGCTGGGTGTGGCTGTTGTGAAAAACTCTTCCTAGAGCTCATAGTGGGCTCCTTAAAGAGCTCCTCCAAACCCCCAAGGAAAAAGCCTTTCACACTTAATCTCTAAATAAAAGGCATTTTCCTGGGGATTCAAGTCAGGCAAGCTCGCCTAGGTATTTTTGTGGGTGTGGGAAGCGGCGTGCTGGAAGAAACTCTCCAGCAGTGCTTTCCGAAGTTCCGGGTAAATTGGGCACCTCCCTCCCACTTCCCAGTTCCCAGAGGGGCAGCTGGACCCGCCCTGGCTCTCCAGAGCACCTGAGACGCTAAGGGAGAGGGGGTGCGGCGGCAGAAAGCCTCCGCTCCCTCCAACCCCCGCTCCCTCCAACCCCCACCGTCGGTAGCAGCTACGGGGCAGGCGGGAGGAAAGATGATTGACAGGCCCGCTCAGTGGCTGGGAAGCTAGAGGGAGGGACGAAGAGGGGACGGCTGAGTCTTCTTCTCAAAGTGGTTGGGTTGGGCCGCGGGAACTGCCTTCCCAGGCCTATTGGCTTCCCTGAATGGGTTGTTATGGTAACAAATGACCGAACAGTCCCTTATGAATCGGCCAATGAGAAGGGCCGTCTTTTCCAGTGCGCCTCCGAGCAGTAGATGTTGCGAAAGTCCGGGTAGAGGCCGGAGAAGAAGGCGGTGCCAGGGCGTCCTGCGGAAGGGCCGGGGGCGGGGCTCGTGACGTTGCCGGGACAGCCAATCACGCCTGGTTTTATCAGTGGCCCCGCCCTTTTACCGCACATTTCCCCTCCCCTAGTTCATTTCGCACGACGCAGCGGTTGGGAACACAGACATTTTCGGAGCTGGAGCCGCCACTGCCGCCGCCATTTTGTGTCTGTGGAGAAAGAAGCTTCTGTGGCGGCTGGAAGTGGACGGAGATCACCCGCGAGACGGCGGCGTTTCATACCCGAGGTTCCCCCTGTGTCGTCCCCCATCCCCCCTCCGCGGTCAGCATGTGGTGAAGCCGGAGCCGCGAGAGAGCCGGGGAGAGGAAGAGGAGTCGGAAGGGAGGCGGGGTATCCAGAGCGGCTTCAGCTTCAGCTGCAGCGGACCTCGGAGGGGGGCCGCGGCGCAATGTCAGAGCAGACGCCGGCCGAGGCCGGTGCTGCGGGGGCCCGGGAGGACGCCTGTCGGGATTATCAGTCATCGCTCGAAGACCTGACCTTCAATAGCAAGCCGCACATCAATATGCTGACCATTCTAGCCGAGGAGAACCTGCCCTTCGCCAAGGAGATCGTCTCTCTCATCGAGGCCCAAACCGCCAAGGTTTTTATACACCCCGCAGCCTCCTATTACTTCTAATACTCCCTGATTTTAGTGTCAGCCTCATCCCAGGTCTCGCTTCCATCCCAAGGGGGACAGTGTTCCTTCTCTCCAACCCCCCCACCCCCCTCCAACTCAGGCTCGGTCTTTGGCCCAGGCTTCGAGCATGGGCCTCTGGGGGGGAGGGAGTGGGGAGGATAAAGGGTGGAGTCCCACTTCCGCTTTCCAACTCCCTTTTTAGGCCACCGCATTGTATATCCCGACACACACACGCTTTGAATAGAGCCCTTTGGGGTGGGGGAGACTTAAAGGCAGTTTGTGGTTTGGGGAAGTAAGAGTTAACATAAGCCATTTTAATTCCCTGGGAAGTGGGAGAGTGGGTCTCCCATTTTCCCCAAGCACCCTTTTTGGTAATTGTGTTCTGTGGGTTGGAAGGAGGTGAAGGGGGACCTGGGAGCGAGCTGTTGGTGGGTGGGAATAGGGATTTGGCCCCGAGTGGAGCAGCCGCCTGTTAGGAGCCCAACATGGCGCCTGAAAAGCACATGATGCGAAAGGGAAGAGAGGAGAATCCATTCCCTGCCAGCCAGGCAGCTGCTCACTCCCGTCAGCCCCATTTTGGGGTGGGGGCGGCTAGATAAAACTTTTATTCTCCTATTGGAGGGTCTAATTTGTCCCAAAATAGGGGCAAGTGGGGTTGAGGGTGGGGTTTGGGTGGGGGGAGGAGATCTTATCCAACCTGTAGGTGGAGAACTGGCCCAGAGGGTAACAAGTACTTGCAGTTTCTCTGAAAAGTTCAGTCCCTCCTCCTCTTCCTTTTCTCTTTTTCTCCCTTCCCTGATAGCGAAGGAGTGTTTTTCTTTACCCCTTGACAGAAGTGGTCCTCTGCCACCTTATATTTCCCTGTAGTCCTCCTCTTCTGTGGATTCATATGGGAGCGATATGTCATTTAAGTAAAGTTACTGTTCAACTTAGTTACAATGAGTTTTAATAGCGTCCCAGTGCTACATTTTATTTTTCAAGCTTGTACTCACGGTTTAGTTTTTTCTAGTTGTTAGTGATTGCAATTATCAGGATGAGCCTCCTTTTAGCAGAGTGAACCCCTTTTTAAAGGCCACTTTAACAACAACCACCAATATATTGTTTAGAGACGGTTTCTGTCTAGTGTAAAACTTGAGTGGTCTGACTCTAATAAATGGTTTTGAAATGTGTGACTGGTATTATAAAATTTGTGAATAAAACATATAAAATATGTATTTGTCTTTTTTATTTACCTTTGTAAGGTGTAGAATCTGTTTCCAAGACTTATTTTTATCTACGTGGTTGTGTGTTTTAAACAAAAGTCTTTAAGTGACTTGGGTTCATTCTTCTTTAGGTTCCATCCACTCTTTTGGGTAAACCTCTTCACAAGATACACGGTTTCAGGTGGTCCTTTCATAATTTAAAGAGGACGAAAAGGAAGGGTTTTTTTTCTTTTTCCTTTTAAGGACCTCAACAAGTTTATCATGCTCAGTCTGACAGCTAAGATACAAGTTTTCGTTCACTTTTTCCTGTGAAAGTGTATGTAAAACAGCTTTTTTTTTTAAGTGTGAGATTTAAAAAGGAAGCATTCGTCATACTCAACATGCTTTTTATTGATACCACAAACATCTTGGACATGAAAACTTAGTTTTTGCCTTGTTGAAGGCTTAACTTGACATTAAATGCCTTAAAGCACTTGTGTTTTTAAGGCAAAAACATTGATTTTTAAAATCTAATTACCTCGTATCTTGGGATTTAATATTCCACAGCGCCTAATATTTAGCAGCTCAGGTTGTCACTCAAAGAACCTTGCTGGTTTTTAATGGATCCGGAAGACCTTCGAGAACCGAAAACTAAATGCTGAATATAGTGACCACATAAAACTTGTGTTTGTATATCGCTACACAGTGATGAAAATAGATGAGCTCTTTGCTGGTAAAAGACAGCTGAAATTTTGGGGGCACACGTTTCCTGGTTATTTTTGTAAAGCCAGGTTGAGGAAAAGATGTAAAAGTCACTTTGGGGGATCTATCTTAATCTGGGTTGGGATCGAGGGTGAGGGGAGGGATTTCCGTTATTTGGTAGCAAACTGGCCTGGTTTTGTGTTTTGGAGGTGAATGTTTGTGTCCTTATTCTTTAGCTTCTCTGCGTTACTAAACTTAAAGGATTCACACTTAATTTGACTCCTCCCAAGAGAGAGCAGTAGCGAAAAATAATACATAAAAGGACTTCACTTGTACAATAAAAAATTAGCCTACTTAACAGACTTTGGTGTTTAAGAGAGCCTGTTTATCTTCATAAGTACAATAATGACTAAAATGGTGTAAAACATGACATGGTAAGGTAAAGACACAGCAGTAAACCATTTGACATGTTCGTACTTAATATAGTTGACCCACATGCAGTGGGTGAACCCTTTTATTAGACAGTACCTTAAAAGAAATTTTTCATACAAAGTTATTCAAAGCTTCCCTTAGCCAACTTTTGGTTGTAAAGGTGTTATCAGAAGCAAGAGCATTTCCACACACTTGTATGGGCAATTGGTTTTATTATATATGATGGCATTGTGTACTCCAGAACTGTGAGCCTACCCTAGCTTCAGGCAGCTATGGGTAAGTGTTACTTAGGGTTAAGATTCCTATACACGTGGGGTGGGTAAATGGGGATAACCTAAGTTTTTTTTTTTTTTTTTTTTTTGTCTTTTTTTTTTATTTTAAATCATGGGTGCTCCTTTGGAGTCAGAGTTAAAACTATTATGGTGTGTCTTAATGCTCCTCAACAAGTCTGTGAACCTGCTGATGCTTTCTGGAAGCTTGCTGTGCCTTCTAAAAGCCAGTGGTGGGTAGGCATTGCAGTTGAACTGGGGCAACATTTCTTTACTTTGGAAAGGGCCACCTGTATCAGCATCACCACACTGGCTCTGCACAAATTTATAACCCCTGGTTTGTGCATGTCAGAGGAAAATATCTCGGCGGAGAGTCCAGGCTGTGAAGAAAATCTTCAGGACAAATCCTGGTTTCCAGAGTCAAGTTCAACCTGATTTACATGATTCAGCGGCTGCTCCATCCAGTTTTTCTTGTCTGAGTAACAAACTTGCAACTTCCTGCATGTTCGTGTGCAAGTTTCAGTGTTTTGCCATTGACTTCCTAGGTGAAGTGTTTTTAATTTTTGTTCATTTGGATTATAGAGAAGTAATCCTAATGATTTTACAGGTAACAAAAGCTTCATAGACTTGAACATATAAAATATGCCCATGGAAATTAGTTTCTACAAGAGGTCTAAAAACTGCTTTGAGTGTAGGCACACCGTTGTAAGTTAATATGGGTCACAAAACTGACACTTGGATTATATAAAGTAATTTTCCCTCGCCTCCTCCTTATTTTTGTCACTTAAAACACAGGTCTTTTTACCACATGAACTTGAAATTTCATTGAGTGTTAAATGAGTATATTAGGGATTACAGCTGTTGTTCATCCTGGTAATTCTGAGCTTTTTTGTGCTCAACTAAGGATTGTGAGAGTTGAGAGCTTGATTGAACACTTAAGTTTCATAAAGATTACTTCAAAAATATTTAGTATCAACAAAAATAGAGGTCTGTATTGTAGGTTTAAAAACTCATTTTTAAATAATTATTTGGTGGTAATTCATTATACTAAACTTCTCAGTTTCTTTTTATTCAGGCTCCTTCCTCAGAGAAGCTTCCTGTTATGTACCTTATGGATTCTATTGTGAAAAACGTTGGAAGAGAGTATCTCACTGCCTTTACTAAAAATCTAGTTGCAACATTTATTTGTGTGTTTGAAAAGGTACATATGCATTTAGAAACATTTGCGTTTTTTTTTAAAAAATGTGTTCCTGATTAAATAAATATTTGCTTTGTGTTGGGTTTTCTTGGGTGGTGAAATGTTTTATACTTTTGGACATTTATCGTTAGTACCATTTCAAAGAAAGAGGCTGAAGTTAATGTTTTATGTTAGATTTTTAGAACAGATTCTAGGGGTTTACATTATCCATTTAAGAATAGATGGATTTGCTTTTAGAATTGTGCTTTTTAAAAAAATTGAGTGTGTTCATTTGAACATCTGTTTCATCACTTACAAACCAGGCAAAAAGATCTGAAATCGTCAAGAGTAATTAAAATTTCATTGTTTACATTTCTGGTGTTAGGATGTTGACTGTTCTCTTGGGGGGGTAAAAAGCATAATCCCTCAGTGTCTCAACCTGTGATTGGTTCCTGAAACTTGTGTGTTTTTTTGTTTTGTTTTCTGGAAATGTTTACTTTTGTTACATTGTTCAAGGTATGTTTTAGGTGAATGTTGTTGGTATGTGTGAATGGTGGACCAGTTAATTGCTGTTGGTTATTCTGGAAATACTTTTGCCCCTACCTTAGTGTTCAGAAATTAGGCTTATTTTTCATATCTAGAGATTGTAAATTTCTTCCATAACACTGTAACATGGTGGTTTGGTTAAAGCAGTATTATGTTGAGGAGGACAAGGGATTTGCTGAGGTAATTCTCTGCCTGTCAGGCTATATCTTTCACATTGAACAAAAAGGCACTTATGAGATACTTAGGTTTAAAGATTGTTTCCTAACGTCAATATTTGGTGGTAGTTATTATATTTTAGTAGATGAACACCTGTGTGTCAGTTGTCAGATTTGTAGAATTGGAATTTTTTTTGGAAGAACTATTCAGTATTAGATTTTACATGTTTATTAGAAAATAAGTAGTTGCTATTTGAGAAATGTTTTTAAGTTCTTAGAGAAAAACAGTATATGCAGAAGAAATCTGGAAAGCTCTATATCATATAGCATTAAAATGCTTGTTAATAGAATATTGTAGACATTTGCTGAATACTGCTAACCAGAGGCTGTAGTCTTAAGGAGAAGCTTAACCAACCTCTTGGTTTCGGTTTCAGTATGTTCAAATTCACTTGGGTGTTTGGTAGCATACCTTTACTGAATCTAACTGGGCATTAACATGACAGTTGATTAAAATGACCTTGTAATAAATACATTATTATCTGAAGACTTATGAATATAGTTAAGGCTTTACTGTCTATCCTAATGTTGAAAATCTAACTCAGTTTTCCCAAGTCCTAGGTTTCTTGATGGCGAATTTTCTTTCTTTTTCTTTTTTTTGTTTTGAGATGGAGTTTTGCTCTTGTTGCCCAAGCTGGAGTGCAATGGCACAATCTCGGCTCACTGCAACCTCCGCCTCCCGGATTCAAGTGATTCTCCTGCCTCAGCCTCCCGAGTAGCTGGGATTACAGGCATGAGCCATCATGCCTGGCTAATTTTGTATTTTTAGTAAAGACGGGGTTTCACCATTGTTGGTCAGGCTGGTCTTGAACTCCCTCAGGTGATCCACCTGCCTCGGCCTCTCAAAGTGTTGGAATTACAGGCGTGAGCCACCGTGCCTGGCAATGGCAAATTTTCTAAACATTTTTACGCCATCACAAACCTGAACAGAAAAGTTATTTAAAACTAAGGCTTATCAGTGGTTAAGATTTTGTGAATTTCAGTTGTTAAAGTGCTTTCCACACCACAATATCTTGTTCCTATGTACCCAACCATATAGTATTGCTGAGCATTAGTTAGTGAGATAGTTTTGCTTTAATTTTAACTTTGTACTACTATGTAAATAATTTAAAACATTTAAGCCATCAGGTAATCAATTTTTCTAGTTGTTTTATATTTTTTAGTTTTATATTTTCTAGTTGTCTTACATTTTTTTTTCCCAGAGAAAGAGTAACTTTAGGAATATTATACTAAGCTCTAAGATGTGGAAACGTTTTGTATATAGAAAGGCTCACCTGGTTGGTTGCTTGCATGAAGGCTAGGTGAAAATGGTTTTAATTACTCTGTTTTTGAAGGAGAAATGCACCTTTAATAAATTATTACTGTTGTATATACTTACCAATGGGTAGTACAGTTCTGTATGTGAAGTAGAGCAGATTTATATAACTTATATTTAATATATAAAATATTCTATAGTAACTTAACAAGCCATAGAATTGTTCTGTTGTTCTAGGTGGATGAAAATACTAGGAAAAGTTTATTTAAGTTACGTTCTACATGGGATGAAATATTCCCTTTGAAGAAACTTTATGCCCTGGATGTCAGAGTCAATTCATTAGATCCTGCTTGGCCTATTAAACCTCTACCCCCCAATGTGAATACGTCTAGCATCCATGTGAATCCTAAATTTTTAAATAAATCGGTAAGTTTTAATATGAATAGTAAGTAACATACTTTTAAGTATCACATTTTGAATTCTTCTGCAGAACTTACTGCCAGAAAGTCAAAATAGAATACTCGGTAGTGAATTGGTTCAATTTGAAAAAAAAAAAAATAGTGTGTATATGTTTGGAATTTTTATTTAGAAATATATTCACCTTGTTTAGGTATTATGTAACATTTATTTTGGGTTTTAAATTTCTGATAAGTTTTCTGTGTGATAGGAATTTGGATCATATTAAGAGTTAAGCTGATAATTTTTACTCCCTAGCTTCCGTTTTAGCTGATACGTTTTTCTTAAACAAATTGTCTTTTCTTATAGCCCGAGGAGCCTTCAACACCTGGTACAGTGGTCAGTTCCCCTAGCATCTCCACTCCTCCAATTGTTCCTGATATACAAAAGAATCTTACACAAGAACAACTAATAAGGCAGCAGTTACTGGCAAAGCAAAAACAGTTGTTAGAACTTCAGCAGAAAAAGCTGGAGCTTGAGCTAGAGCAAGCTAAGGCACAGTTGGTAAGTAAGGGAGATTGTCATTTTAAATATTTTAAACCTGTCTAACAATAGGGAAGTAATGTTTATGTTTGAATTTTATTAACATGTTACTTTTATTAATAGTGTACTCTTTTTTCACTTTTATTTTACAAATGAGTATATTTATTAGACTATACTTTTATATCTTTATTGTAAAATTCACTTGATTAAAAACTGCATAGGCCAGGCGCAGTGGATCATGCCTGTAATCCCAACACTTGGGAAGTCTGAGGTGGGAGGATCGCTTGAGTTTAGGAGTTTGAGGCCAGCCTGGGCAACATAGTGAGGCCCTACCAAAAAAAAAAAAATTAGCCAGGTGGGGTAGTGCATCCTTGTGATCCCAGCTACTCGAGAGGCTGAGTTGGAAGGATCACTTGCGGCTGCAGTGTGCTATGATTGCTTCACTGCACTCTAGCTTGAGTGACAGATCAAGACCCTGTCTCAAGAAAACCCTCCAAAAACTACAAAACTACACTATTTCCTCCAAACAGTTTTCTGTTAGATTGCTATCTTATAAAATAGCATCTTAATTTTGTTTAATCATTACATTATGTGGACTTAATATTTCAGTCCCAAGATGGTAGGCATGTTGTGGCAAATATTTTTGCATAGTCTTTAATGTTTTATGAGCTTATGCTCCATGAACAGAAATGACAAAATTAAGGAGGCCAGGAAGATTATATCTTTCTACACATAAATGACTTTATACTAAGTTATTTTGCTTAGCATCTGAGCTTATTCGACAGTGAGGTGCAGGAAGGCAGAATTTTATAAGTTCATTAATAGCACCACTTTGGGAGAAACTAAATTTTAGGACTTAGAATTTAGCTGAAATGACTCTGATTCTTGTGCAGCCGGAGTGTAGTGATTTAGCAATTTCTTAGGAGCAGTATGGCTCAGAATCCTGAACAATAAGGAAGAGAAACAATTTTTTTTCATTCTATTTAGAGATTATATTATAAAGTCTCAAAAAATACTAGTAAGAAATAATGGGCAACTTAAATCATGGACTTTTTCTTTTCATTGTAATCTCAATTTATACATTATAAGTGTACAATTTAAATGTAGTGTTGAGTAAATATATTTATTGAATAAAGCATTATCTTCTTCAGTTGTTTGCAATTTCTTGACAATCTGCATGTTCTGCAGTGTTAACATGAACATTTATTTTGTGTTTTAGGCAGTTTCTCTTAGTGTTCAGCAGGAAACATCCAATTTAGGTCCTGGATCTGCACCATCCAAATTACATGTTTCACAGATTCCCCCTATGGCAGTTAAAGCTCCTCATCAGGTTCCTGTGCAATCTGAGAAAAGCCGTCCAGGACCATCCTTACAAATTCAGGATTTAAAAGGAACTAACCGGGATCCTCGTCTGAACAGGATAAGCCAACATTCTCATGGAAAAGATCAGAGTCACAGGAAAGAATTTCTAATGAACACATTAAACCAGTCTGATACTAAGACAAGTAAAACTATACCCTCTGAAAAACTAAATTCATCCAAGCAAGAAAAAAGTAAATCAGGTGAAAAAATAACCAAGAAAGAACTTGACCAATTAGATTCTAAATCGAAATCGAAATCGAAATCACCCTCACCTTTGAAAAACAAATTATCTCACACAAAAGACTTGAAAAATCAAGAATCGGAAAGTATGAGGTTGTCTGATATGAACAAGAGAGATCCAAGATTAAAAAAACATCTTCAGGATAAGACCGATGGCAAAGATGATGATGTGAAAGAGAAGAGAAAAACTGCAGAAAAAAAGGATAAAGATGAGCACATGAAGTCATCCGAACACAGACTGGCTGGAAGTAGAAATAAAATCATAAATGGCATTGTACAAAAACAGGATACAATAACAGAAGAGTCAGAAAAACAGGGGACAAAACCAGGGAGATCGAGTACTAGAAAGCGATCAAGATCTCGATCACCCAAGTCTAGGTCACCAATTATACATTCCCCAAAGAGAAGAGATAGGCGGTCACCCAAACGAAGGCAAAGAAGTATGTCTCCAACATCGACACCTAAAGCTGGAAAGATTCGCCAATCTGGAGCTAAGCAGTCACATATGGAAGAGTTTACACCACCTTCTAGGGAAGACAGAAATGCTAAGAGAAGTACTAAACAGGATATTCGGGATCCAAGGCGAATGAAAAAGACTGAAGAGGAGCGACCACAAGAAACTACAAATCAGCATTCTACAAAGTCAGGCACTGAACCAAAGGAGAATGTAGAAAACTGGCAAAGTTCCAAGTCTGCCAAAAGATGGAAATCTGGTTGGGAAGAAAATAAAAGGTATGATGTTAACATTTTAAGTCAAGTGTAGTAGTGTATATGTTTCAAAAGATAGTGTTAATTTAAAAATTGGAAAATGTTTATTAGGTGCTATTAGTACTTTTTTTCCATCTAATTCTTACATCTCTGTGGGTTAAATACTATTATTATTTCTATTTTACAGATAAGGAAACTGAAGTTTAGAAAGGTTAACTAATCTACCTAAGGCTGCAGTCCAGGACATGCAAGAATCAGAATTCATATCTGTTTTTGCTGATTTCATATTTTGTGCTCTTAATCATTTATTTAATTACTTTTTGTGGTTACATATGCCCATTTTAACCATATCCTTTGAAAAGAATCTTTAAATATGGTCCTGAGTATTTTTTAAAAAAACATTTCAATGTAACATACTGCTTTTATGGTTTCAGCTTACAACAGGTTGATGAACATAGTAAACCTCCTCATCTGAGGCATAGGGAGAGCTGGTCAAGCACTAAAGGAATTTTATCACCTCGAGCCCCAAAGCAGCAACAGCATCGATTAAGTGTAGATGCCAATCTTCAGATTCCTAAAGAGTTAACTCTTGCAAGCAAAAGAGAATTACTTCAAAAGGTAGTTACTATGATTAATCCCATGTAGTCATCATTATCTATCGTCTATTTTTTTGGTATTTTTTTATATTTAAAATATTTTATTTCCTTTTATCACCCCTATACAGACGAGTGAACGTTTAGCATCTGGTGAAATTACACAGGATGACTTCCTTGTTGTTGTGCATCAAATTCGACAGCTATTTCAGTATCAAGAAGGTAAACATAGATGCAATGTACGGGATAGTCCTACAGAAGAAAATAAAGGTGGATTAAAAAAGAAACCTCTCTTATCTGATGCTGAATTAACCTACTATGAACATAAAGCAAAACTGAAAAGGACACAGGTTCAGCATTCATTTCCAAGACTTGATCTCTTAGATCCTGATATTTTTGACTACCCTTTGACTGATGCCTTGTTGTCTGGAATAGAATGTGAGCCATCCAAAAGTAAACATGCAAGTAGGAATAGTGGAGCACAGTTTGACAGAAAAGAACAATTTAGTGAAAGAGCAAGACGTCTTTCTCCTATATCTGGGAGTCGTACTTATGCTGAGAATCTTTCACCCCATGAGGGCCGGAGAAGACATGACGAGCAAGTCTCTGCTAAAGGTAGAAAAAGTTAAATCAGATTATGCCTATTGAATCACACAGCAGTGAAGGGAAAATGAACAAGCTAAGTGGGGATGGATTTTTGTGACTGTTCAGATTACCATTTTTTTTCCCATTTATTTTGTTATGTTTTTTCCCTTTAAGGAAAGGGAAGGGAAGGGAGCTAATATTTCTAAGGCCAGTTGTGTGTCAGGTACTTCATTAGGTATTTTTTATATGTAATTTGATTTAATCCTCACAACAATACAATGAAGTGTATATTCTCCCTATTTTACAGATAGGAAATAAAAGAGAGGTTAAATAACTTGCTCTCAAAATGAAATAATTAGTATGTTGATAGGATGGTAATTTTTTTGTTACTCAGGTGTGTCTGACTCTAGAGGGCATCCTCTTATCTGCTGCTTTACGCTGTCGGTCTCTCCTGCCCCTCTAATGTAGTGAGATAGTTATATATTTGGATAAACATTCATACGAAAATAGAAGATTTTAAGATAACTTTAGTGAAAATAATTTTTTTCCTTTTTAAAAGGTGTGCGAGAAGAGCAGAGATCTCCATTCAATGATCGTTTTCCACTTAAGCGACCTCGATATGAAGATTCAGATAAACCATTTGTAGATAGTCCAGCATCAAGATTCGCCGGCCTGGATACAAATCAGCGACTTACAGCTTTAGCTGAAGACAGACCGTTATTTGATGGACCTAGTAGGCCATCAGTAGCAAGAGATGGCCCAACGAAGATGATTTTTGAAGGACCCAATAAATTAAGCCCTCGAATTGATGGACCTCCCACACCAGCTTCTCTTCGGTTTGATGGGTCACCAGGACAAATGGGGGGAGGAGGCCCTTTGAGATTTGAGGGGCCACAAGGTCAGCTAGGAGGTGGGTGTCCTTTGAGATTTGAAGGTCCTCCAGGACCAGTGGGGACACCTCTGCGGTTTGAGGGCCCAATTGGTCAAGCAGGAGGAGGTGGTTTTCGGTTTGAAGGTTCCCCTGGTCTGAGGTTTGAGGGATCTCCAGGTGGTTTGAGATTTGAGGGACCAGGAGGCCAGCCTGTGGGTGGTCTGAGGTTTGAGGGACATCGTGGTCAACCTGTGGGTGGTCTAAGGTTTGAGGGACCTCATGGTCAGCCTGTGGGTGGACTTAGATTTGATAATCCCCGAGGTCAGCCTGTAGGTGGACTTAGATTTGAGGGGGGTCATGGTCCATCAGGGGCTGCGATTAGGTTTGATGGACCTCATGGTCAGCCAGGAGGTGGAATCAGATTTGAGGGCCCTTTGCTACAGCAAGGGGTTGGAATGAGGTTTGAGGGCCCCCATGGTCAGTCAGTAGCTGGTCTGAGATTTGAGGGACAACATAATCAACTTGGTGGGAACCTTAGGTTTGAGGGTCCACATGGTCAGCCAGGGGTTGGTATCAGGTTTGAAGGCCCTTTAGTCCAACAAGGAGGTGGAATGAGGTTTGAGGGTCCTTCTGTACCAGGAGGTGGCCTGAGAATTGAAGGGCCTCTGGGTCAAGGTGGTCCAAGATTTGAAGGTTGTCATGCTTTAAGGTTTGATGGGCAGCCAGGTCAGCCGTCACTCTTGCCAAGATTTGATGGATTACATGGTCAGCCAGGTCCTAGATTTGAAAGGACTCCTGGTCAGCCAGGCCCTCAGAGGTTTGATGGACCACCTGGACAGCAGGTTCAACCCAGATTTGACGGTGTACCTCAAAGATTTGATGGTCCACAACATCAGCAAGCATCAAGGTTTGATATTCCTCTTGGTCTTCAAGGCACAAGATTTGACAATCATCCTTCACAAAGGCTTGAATCAGTATCTTTCAATCAGACTGGTCCATATAATGATCCACCTGGCAATGCTTTTAATGCCCCATCCCAAGGACTACAGTTCCAAAGACATGAACAAATATTTGATTCACCTCAAGGACCAAATTTTAATGGACCACATGGCCCTGGAAACCAGAGTTTCTCTAATCCACTTAACAGAGCTTCTGGACACTATTTTGATGAAAAAAATCTTCAGAGTTCTCAATTTGGAAACTTTGGCAATATACCTGCTCCAATGACAGTAGGAAATATTCAGGCATCTCAACAGGTAAGTCTGTTATTCTAAAATTGCGTTGTATGCAGATAAGTTAACCATTTTTTAATGTTTCTAGGAGGGTTTTCAGGACATAGTTTATTGTGTAGATTGGAAAGAAGTTTTTAATGTACTCTAAAGCCACATGCTAAGGAAGTGGGATGAGCATCTTTTGGGGATGAAATTTGCAACTTAAATCCAAAATTGATTTTAGCTCTTTCAGGATCTAGGGAAATATCTCAATCAAACCCCCACCTCCAGCTCTGTTTTTTCTTTTTCCTTTTTTTTTGCTTTAAAGCTTTTGAGATATTATACAATTGTGTGTCATAGACCTCTACATTGCAGAACTGTTGAGCCCTGACGTGCTTTAAGGTAGCCATAGAATTGATTGAACTGTTCTTTGACCAAGAATTTCCTTAACCTGAGTTAAATAAGAAGATCAAATTGTGTCCCTGCTTTCACAGTCTACAATTCTTTTTTTTTGGTCCTTTTTTCCTACTTTTTACCACCTTTCCAGTCACTTCAGTTAAACACAATTGTTTGATATTAATGACAACATAGCGAATAGCCTTCCAAATACACTCTGGTTACGAAACATGCACTGTTACCTGTTGGTATTCTTTCACACTTGTTCTGTATACATTTTAAAATGCATACTGAGACAACTTTAAGGCAGTATGTTTACAATTTGTGATTAATTCGGTTGGTTTTGAATGACTACTTTTGCTTGCGTGCTGAAATTCTCCTAGGCTGAGTTTTACTTCTTTTCCAGGTGCAGACATTTTCTTACTATGACAGATTTATTTTATAGTAGTAAGATTGCATGGAAGAAAATACAAAATAAGAAAGATTTTAAAAGTACATTAGGAACATTATTGATAGAAAGTAGTCCTTCTGTTCATCTCTAATGGTACGAAAAAACAGTTGGCTTGCCTAGATTTACTCTACTGTATATCCTTGAAAGAAATGATACTCTTATTGACAGATACTCTAGAATGGTACTTACTTAGTCTTGTTTCTACATTACACAGAATCGGTGGGGTTTTTATTATGTGTACTCACTACCAAAAGTCCACATGTATACTGAACAAGGATTATAAATGGATATTTATTCACATACCAGCAATATGTAGAAGTCCTGCCTCCCTCTGGACTGCAAATGCTGTATTTGTATGCCAGTATAGTTCTTGCTCCATGACTATTCTGTTTTTTAACATTCCCTTTGACATCTTTTACAAGACCTTTTACAAGATTACTTTGTAATGTGGCTATAACCATGTGCAAAGATGATGGCCAAGCAAGATGCTTACCTGCTTGGTAATTCAGAATGCTAATTAGAACAGGCTTTTGATATCTGTGGAAAAGTGGCAAGGGTTAGGAGTTCTGGCCTCAGTTTTGCTCCTAACTAGCCCTTGTGATTGTGTATAGATCATATTGCATTATGTCAGTTCTTCTATTTGTAAAATAAGGGAAAGCACCAGCAAGGTAAAGTGACTTGTGTAAAGTAACACAGCTAGTTACCTTATATTTGCATGGTATCTTACAGTTTCCTTTTTGGGGGGCTACTTTGCCTCTCTAGTAGGTACCTTAAACTTTTCAAAGAAGTTTTAACCCATTCTCAGTAACTTATACCTCTATGAAACAGATAAGGGAAGGTTTTATTGTTCCTGTTTGTAGAAGACCTAGAAGTGAAGTGATGCAGCCAAGTTATCTTTCTAAATCTTTATTTATAAGCCAGGCCTTGTGACATCTATGAATATTTTTATGTAATTAGGATGTTAAAAGTTTTACTTGAAATATAGAAAGCATGTTCTTAAAATTAAGGTTTTTCTTAAAGGTTCTGAGTGGTGTTGCTCAGCCAGTAGCTTTTGGTCAAGGACAACAGTTTTTACCAGTTCATCCACAAAATCCTGGATTTGTTCAGAATCCTTCAGGTATGTACTTTCTGAACTTTGTTTTTCAAAAGACAAATGATTATTGTTTTGTTGAATAGCTAACTTTGTGAATTTTAGGAAATGACAGTTTTGCAAAGGTATATTTAATTTAGAGAAATTTAATCTGGCTGACATATTTTTGTTCCTTTTCTAAGTTTATTTACATTGTGGATGTGTATTCATAATGACCCTATTTACAGCTAGAGATGGTTAGCGGGGACTTGTAGTCCACTAAACAAAGGGAAGGAAACCTATTGGGTGGAAACTGGGAGTGGGAGGGAAGGTATGACATTTGTGTTGAGATAGAATGAAATAAATGACAGACCTTAGAAATCTCAGTGAATACTGAGGATACTGCATTAATAAAGTTGATTAATTTTTATGTTTTTGTGGGCACTCAAATAGCAAAAAGCGGCTTTCCTAGCCAGGTTCACTGATAAGCATCTTTGTTACTATGGGGTGATGCTTAGTACTAGATAAAAGGACTTTTAAAATGGATTTTAGTTTTATTTATTTATTTATTTATGAGGCAGAATCTTGCTCTCTTACCCAGTCTGGAGTGCAGTAGTGTCATATTGCCTCACTGCAGCCTCTGCCTCCGGGGTTCAAGCGATTCTCCTGTCTCAGCCTCCCAAGTAGCTGGGACTACAGGCGTGTGCCACCAGACTGGG
Source organism: Homo sapiens (assembly GCF_000001405.40). Taxonomy (NCBI): domain Eukaryota; kingdom Metazoa; phylum Chordata; class Mammalia; order Primates; family Hominidae; genus Homo; species Homo sapiens. The sequence goes on from NC_000011.10 coordinate 83,172,586, forward strand.
CTAACTTTTGTATTTTTACGGGGTTTCACCATCTTGGCCAGGCTGGTCTCGAGCTCCTGACCTCAAGTGATCTGCCCACCTCAGCCTCCCAAAGTGCTGAGATGGCAGGTGTGAGCCACCATGCCCGGCAAAATGAATTTTAGTTTTAATATGTGGTAATAGGGAAGTACATACATTAGTGATACTTGCTTTCATTTCTGAATCATTGAAACAGCTGTTTCAGAAACATGCTTTACTGTAGTATTGAGTTAATCAGTTTACAATAAATTTATGGAGTTTTCCAAAACTTCTGAAGTAATTAGGAAATCCTAGCCAAGCTCTTTTTTATACATTAGTCCTTAAATTGTGTCAAGAAATTCAATGAATTTGGAAGCTTTTAAGTTTTAATTTCTACATGGACAATTATGACTAATTAATATTTGTTATTATTATTATTTTGTTACTATAATGAAAAGAGAAGGAAAGAATTTGGGATCTAAAGCCCAGAAGACCAGGGTTGGAATCTCTACTATGTTACTTTATAAATGCGCAGGCTTTAAGCAAGTATCTCCCCTGAGGTTCAGTTTTTTCCCTCTGTAAACAGCATATGGGCCGGGCATGGTGGCTCACGCCTATAATCCCAGCACTCTGGGAGGACGAGGCAGGTGGATCACAAGGTCAAGAGATGGAGACCATCCTGGCCAACATGGTGAAACCTCGTCTCTACTAAAAATACAAAAATTAGCTGGGTGTGGTGGTGCATGCCTGTAGTCCCAGCTACTCAGGAGACTGAGGCAGGAGAATCGCTTGAACCCAGGAGGTGGAGGTTGCAGTGAGCCAAGATCAGGCCACTGCACTTAGGCCTGGTGACAGAGTGAGACTCCGTCTCAGAAAAAAAACCAAAAACCAAAAAAAAAACATGATATGGTAGTATCAGTATTTGTCTGTTTTGTTGTTGTTTTTTTTTTTTTAGAGAATCAAATGATATAGTATATGCAAAAGTACTTTGTAACTTGTAACTTGTCAAGTGCTATATTAATGTATTTTCCTTTAGAACTCAGTTTTTATTGTTGAGCAGAGGATTTGTTATATTGGGGTTAGTGGCATGAGATGCTCTACAGAAACTACAAATTTTCTTGTTTCTTTCTTTCTTTCTTTTTTTTTTTTTTTTTTTTTTTTTTTTGAGACGAGTCTTGCTCTTGTCACCCAGGCTGGAGTGCAGTGGCATGATCTCAGCTCACTGCAACCTCTGCCTCCTGAATTCAAGCAGTTCTCCCGGGCTCAGCCTCCCCAGTAGCTGGGACTACAGGCACATGCCACTACACCTGGCTAATTTTTGTATTTTTAATAGAGGCAGAGTTTCACCATATTGGTCAGGGTGGCTTGAATCCTGACCTCAGGTGATCCACCTGCCTTGACCTCCCAAAGTGCTGGGACTACAGGTATGAGCCACTGTGCCCAGCCTTGTTTTGCTTTTACAACCTTGGGTTATATGTGTATGTGTACAGGACATAGCAGTGTCACAGAGGAAATCATAATTATTCCCCTTGTTAGGGGGTATTGAATGGGACATTAGGTGTGTCTTCATTCTTCAAGTTCTTCTTACTCTTAAAAGATGTGTCAACAGTTTTCAGTGTGCTATATTTAGCTTCTCTCAAGGTTCCTTCTCTAATTTGAAAGTGTAAACATCCCTTTTCTAGTAGGAAATATACCCATGTTCATTTTTCAGACATATATTAGTCATCTGCTGTATGCTAGGCAGTATGCTAGGATGAATTTAATAAGGTTCATCCTTCAAAGACCTTTATTTTTATTTTTAAAGTTTTTTTTTTTTTTTTAAAGAGGGTGCTCACTATGTAGCCCAGGCTGGTCTCAAACACCTGAACTCAAGCAATCCTCCCACCTCGGCCTCCCAAAGTGTTGGGTTTATAGGCATGAGCCACCACACTCGGCCTCAAAGAGCTTTATAATATAGAAAGGCTATTGATTTTTTTTTTTTGGTTTAACAAAAAACACATAATAATGCCAAACACCTCAGTTCCTTAGAAATATTAATTCATTTAACCTCATATCAATCTTAGGTAGGAACTATTATTACCCTTTTTACAGGCACGGGAAACTGAGGCATAGATAAGGAACTTGATTATGTCACACAACTAGAAAGTGGAATTTCTGGTTAAAATCCCTGGAGTCTGGTTCCACAGTTTATGCTGTTGGTTACTAGACTTGGCTGCCCTCAGACATCTGAATAGCTAATTGTGCATCTTAGGCATATAAATAGCTAATTTAAAGGAAAGTAAAGGTTAAACTAGTGAGTTAAATGTTACTGTAATTGATTATTGAAGTTGATCTCTTCATTCATGTATTCAGACATTTAGTTTGAACAGACATTAATTAGCCTACGATATATAAGGCAGTATGATAAATGTATACAGTGGTTAAGGGTAGGGATTATCTGTATGTGGATGCAAATTGAATTTCTGCCATTAAGAGGAATTTTTAGTGGTTCAGAACTTTTCTGTATAGGTGTAGTGAGATGCATCATAGTGACATACAAATACATTAAAATATTGTTTTCTTTTTTTTGAGATAGGGTCTTCTTGCTCTTTTGTCCAGGCTGGAGTACAGTGGGGTGATCTTGGCTCACTGCAACCTCCTCCCAGTTTCAAACGATTCTCATGCCTCAGCCTTCTGAGTAGCTGGATTACAGGCATGGGCTACCACAACCGGCTAATTTTTGTATTTTTTAGTAGAGACGGGGTTTCACCATATTGGCCAGGCTGGTCTCAAACTCCTGACCTCAGGTGATCCACCTGCATCACCCTCCCAAAGTGCTGGGATTACAGGTGTGAGCCGCTGCACCTGGCCTAAAATATTGTTTTCATAGTTAAAGAATCACAATTATGGCCGGGCACTGTAGCTCACACCTGTAATCCCAGCACTTTTGGGAGGCTAAGGCAGGCAGATCATGGAGTCAGGAGATCAGGACCATCCTGGCTAACACGGTGAAACCCCGTCTCTACTAAAAATACAAAAAGAAATTAGCTGGGTGTGGTGGCACGCACCTGTAGTCCAGCTGCTCTGGAGGCTGAGGCAGGAGAACGGTGTGAACCCAGGAGGTGGAGCTTGCAGTGAGCTGAGATCGTGCCCCTGCACTCCAGCCTGGGCAACAGAGTGAGACTCTGTCTCAAAACAAAAACAAAAACAAAAAAAGAATCACAATTATTAGAATAGTGCTTGGAAAAATATGAGACTGGAATGATTCCTCACCAATGAGGATTCCTTATCAAGCAGAACAAGATTGTTAGGCTTATCTTATTTATTCAAGTTATTGAAGCTTTAGTAACCATGACACCTTTTCAGCAATAGCTTGAGCTGCTTTGCAAGGGCAGTATGCTTTTTAGCAAAGGTCATAGGAGCAGGTATACTCTGAGCCATCTGATTCATCTCCCTGTTTCAGTTTTCCTGTTACGTCAGGGAGCATTGAGGTCAGGAGTACTTCCACTTAGGCTTAGTGCTAAGGGGTAATAAACTATTTCATCTATATAAAACTACTTTTTCCAGTGTACTTAGAAGATGAGGAAGAGAGATTAGAAAGGTGGAAAGTTGGAGATGGGGTGGTGCTGCATTGCTTGGGAGAAGGGAGCATAAAGGGTCATTATTTTCAGTGTTGTCAGCATTTGTTTTAGAATATATTCTCAACTCCAGTGTGGTGATTCCTCAAGCATCTAGAACTAGAAATACTATTTGACCCAGCAATCCCATTACTGGGTATATACCCAAAGGATTATAAATCATGCTTTTATAAAGACACGTGCACACATATGTTTATTGTGGCACTATTCACAATAGCAAAGACTTGGAACCAACCCAAATGTCCATCAATGATAGACTGGATTAAGAAAGTGTGGCACATATACACCATGGAGTACTTTGCAGCCATAAAAAAGGATGAGTTCATGTCCTTTGCAGGGACATGGATGAAGCAGGAAACCATCATTCTAAGCAAACTATCACAAGGGCAGAAAAACAAACACCGCATGTTCTCACTTGTAGGTAGGAATTGAACAATGGGAACACTTGGACACAGGGCAGGGAACATCACACACCAGGCACAGTCGGGGGGTGGGGGGTCTGGGGGAGGGATAGCATTAGGAGAAATACCTAATGTAAATGACGAGTTGATTGGTGCAGCAAATCAACATGGCACATGTATACCTATGTAACAAACCTGCACGTTGTGCACATGTACCCTAGAACTTAAAAGTATAATAAAAAAACAAAAAAAAAAGAAGGAAAAAAGAATATATTCTCAAGTCATGCTGACTTGTAGACCTAAATGAAAAGATAATCTTAGGGGCTTTTGAAATTAAACTTATTAATAAATTAGATTTTGTCAAATTTACTGTTGGCAGGACATCTTGAAGAAAACTTTGAAAAATGCTTAGTATAATTTGCATCTTTAAGTTCTACATTCACTTCAAAAGTGGTTTTTTTTCTTTCTTTCTTTTTTTTGTTAGGAGCCCTCCCTAAGGCATATCCTGATAATCATCTCAGTCAGGTGGATGTAAATGAATTGTTTTCAAAATTGCTAAAAACAGGAATTCTCAAATTGTCCCAAACTGATTCAGCTACAACACGTAAGTGTGATTTTATACTTAAATTTACACAAAGCTTCATTAAGTTTTTGAGATGTATGATGTAATATAATGATATAAGTTATGATAAAGGTCCTTACAATAATTGAATTCCTAGGTATAGCTTTTATTTTTGATTTTCGGTTTATAATGAAATTCTTTTAGATTTCCTAAGATTGAACTACCTTATAGTGGACATGTGTTTCAGTTAACTAACATACCTAATGTGCAGGCTTTTTACCAGTAATTGTATGTTAGATTAACTTTTGAAAAGGTTTTGAATATTAATGAAATAAATGACTTTTATTATAGATGACTTTTAAGAAATCAGAGTTAACATCACATATCAAAATAAAAAATTGTATTAGGTTCCTTGGCCAGTAAACTTGAGATCAGAAGCACTGAATGGACTAGGTGGATTTCTCTATTTGCTTATAATACTATAGTGTTCCTCTGTAGAGAATACATGGAGAATGGTATTAAGAAATTTGTATGTCTCTTCTTAATTGAAGAAGTAAGTGAAGTAACTGCTCAGCCTCCCCCTGAAGAGGAGGAAGATCAAAATGAAGATCAAGATGTTCCAGATCTTACTAATTTTACAGTTGAAGAATTGAAACAGTATGTAATCTAATTTTCTTTAAGATAAAGAGGCAGTGACTTTAATAACACTGTTATAGTGGACATTGTTACTATTAGTGCTTTCCCTTTCCCTTTATCCCTTTTACTGTTTTAACATTTAGGAAGTCTTTTTTTTTTTTTAATGTGGTAAAATATACATAACATAGTCTTTGGGAAGCCTATTTTTAAATCGTCTTTTAAAATATGTCTGCTGTACAAGTACTTGGGCCAAAGGCCACCCCCAAAAGTCTTACTCTGCTGCCCAGGCTGGAGTTCAGTGGCGTGATCCTGACTCACTGCAACCTCTGCCTCCCAGGTTCAAGTGATTCTCCTGGGATTACAGGTGTGCACCACCATACCCAGCTAATTTTTGTATTTTTAGTAGAGATGGGGTTTCACCACGTTGGCCAGGCTAGTCTCGAACTCCTAACCTCCAGTGATCCACCTGCCTTGGCCTCCCAAAGTGCTGGGATTACAGGTGTGAGCCACCACACCTGGTCCCTCAAAATTTTCATTTTTTAATCTGTGATACAGAAAACTTAGGGAGTTTAAATATTAGGTATTGATAATTCATGTATTCCTGTTTAGTTTCATTTTCTGTGTATCATCATTTTTTCTGTATTGATATTCTTAACATTTTTGAGGTTCAGAAATGAGATTTTCATAGTTCAGCATTTACAATTAAAAAAAAATCGGCTGGGCGCGGTGGCTCACTCCTGTAATCCCAGCACTTTGTAAGGCCGAGGCAGGTGGATCACGAGGTCAGGAGATCGAGACCATCCTGGCTAACAAGACCATCCTGGCTAACATGGTGAAACCCCGTCTCTACTAAAAATACAAAAAATTAGCCGGGCGCAGTGGCGGGTGCCTGTAGTCCCAGCTACTCGGGAGGCTGAGGCAGGAGAATGGTGTGAACCCGGGAGGCGGAGCTTGCAGTGAGCCGAGATAACGCCACTGCACTCCAGCCTGGGCGAAAGAGCGAGACTGTGTCTCAAAAAAAAAAAAAAATCTATTTTTCATTTTATAAGTAATGTTAATTGTGGAAAATTAGAACATACTATAAATAAAATCAAGAAAACGTACAACTCTCACTTTATGGATAACAACTGTTAACATTTGGTGCATATCTTTTCATAATTTTCTATTGTATTATAAAAAACATTTAAAGATTTTTCTAGTGAATAAATTCATTAATCCTGTGAGTACTTTATAAAAAATAAAATAGTGAATGAGTTTTTCACTCTTAAAATCATTTTTTAAATTTGAATTAGATACTATAATGTAAAATCCTTTTTTTTTTCAAAGTAATACTTTCACATAAAGGCTTTTAATAAAAGATGGCATCCCTTTCTCCTTCACCCAACACTGTACCCTAGAGGCAATCATTTTATTTTTTTAACTTTTCAAACTATTTTTTCTGCCATTTACCTCTTTTTCCTTTTTTTTTTGAGACAGAGTCTCACTCTGTCACCCAGGCTAGAGTGCAGTGGCCCTGTCTTGGCTCATTGCAACCTCCGCCTCCCAGGTTCAAGTGATTCTCCTGCCGCAGCCTCCTGAGTAGCTAAGATTATAGGCACCCATCACCACGCCCAGCTAATTTTTGTATTTTTAGTAGAGATGGGGTTTCATCATGTTGTCCAGGCTGTTCTCGAACTCCTGGGCTCAAGTCATCTGCCCGCCTCGGCCTTCCAAAATGCTGGGATTACAGGTTTGAGCCACCTATTTCTTATAATACACATAATTTTCTGTTTCTTGATTTACCACATCTGGACATAATCTCTTAACTTTCTGAAAGTGATTTAGGCTGGGCGCAGTGGCTCATGCCTGTAATCCCAGCACTTTGGGAGGCTGAGGTGGGCAGATCACCTGAGGTCAGGAGTTCAAGACCAGCTTGGCCAACATGGTAACATGTCTCTACTAGAACCTGTCTCTACTAGAAATACTAAAATTAGCTGGGCGTGGTAGTGGGCACTTGTAATCCCAGCTACTCGGGAGGCTGAGGTGGGGAGAATTGCTTGAACCCAGGAGGCGGAGGCTTTAGTGAGCTGAGATCGGGCCACTGCACTGCATCCTGGGTGACAGAGCGCGAGACTCCGTCTCCAAAAAAAACGGGCGGGGGGTGGATTTAGCTAGCTCTTGTAGTGTCCTACTAACTCCCCTCCATGTAGTTATAAGACTGTTTTTTATTATTCAGTATTAATATTGTGACTAGATGTTTATTTTGTTGCTGTAACAAAGTACCAGTGTTCTGTTATTTGCTTTATTCTATTTTTTTTTTTTTTTTTTTGAGATGGAGTCTCACTCTGTGGCCCAGGCTGGAGTGCAGTGGCGTGATCTTGGCTCACTGCATCCTCCGCCTCCCGATTCAAGTGATTCTCCTGCCTCAGCCTCCTAAGTAGCTGGGATTACAGGCATGTGCCACCACACCCAGCTAATTTTTGTATTTTTAGTAGGGACAGGGTTTCACCACGTTGGTCAGGTTGGTCTTGAGCTCCTGACCTCGTGATCTGCCCACCTTGGCCTCCCAAAGTGCTGGGATTACAGGCGTGAGCCGCTGTGCCCGGCTATTTTTTTTTTTTTTCTTGGAGTTAATAACTGCTCTGTTTGTTCACTTACTTGGTCTTCTATATATACCTGTTTCTTCCCAAATAGGGAGCCCAGAATTTAAAAAACTAATTATTTGTTGACCACAGCAAACTAATTATTGTTTCCCAATGGTATTCTAAGTTTTCTCTTTAGTTATCCATACTATTATTATTTCTTCTGTCCTTTTTTCACTGTTACACCAGAGTGGAGAAGTTGAATTATTCAGAATGCCAAAGATCTAGAGAGGTGAAATTTAACTGTTCTGCCATGTCCATCTTGACTTGACTCCAAACTAAAATAAGCTAACTATTGCCTTGTTAGCTAGCACAGGATCATTTCATTTTTAGCTAAAAGGAAATAAATAACTGGGTCAGGGCTATCAATAAGAAGACAGGCTCCATCTTCCAAAAGTCACCAAAGTTAAGGTAAAGAGGGTCAATCACATTGTTAGAGAATAATACTGATCTTTGGGTATTAACTGTTTCAGCCAGCTCTTGGTTTCACCATTGTTACAGTATGGAAAATTGAAATATTTGTAATTGGCTTTTAAAGGCCATTAAGCCATATTATCAACACTAAAGATTATTTCTTTTTCAAAATAGACGTTATGACAGTGTTATAAATCGACTGTACACTGGTATTCAGTGTTACTCTTGTGGAATGAGGTTTACAACATCACAGACAGATGTTTATGCAGATCATTTGGACTGGCATTATCGGCAAAATAGAACTGAAAAGGATGTTAGCCGAAAAGTCACTCATAGACGTTGGTACTACAGTTTAACAGTAAGTAACCCATGTGCCTCCATAGTATCTTTTAGGCTTAAATTATATCATTCTAAAAGTATATTAATTTTAATAATTATTAAAATTTAATTTTAATTAAGTAATTTAATAATTTTAATAACTGCTGGAATCTAACATTGAAATTTCCTGAATAAAATTTGACCCCTAGAATATAAACAGATTTTTTAAAAAATGAATTTTGAAGAGTATTTTTTTTTTTAAATTAAGATTAGAGTATAGCATACAGGCTTGTTCTAGCTCTAAAAGTCCAAGGCTTTGACCCCTGGAATATAAACACATTTTTTAAAAAATGAATTTTGAAGGGAATTTTTTTTTTTTTAATTAAGATTAGAGTGTAGCCTACAGGCTTGTTCTAGCTCTAAAATTCCCAGGCTCTAGGACTGTTTTTTGTAAAAAAAAAAATATACTTGAAGCTTGTCTTTTTTGAATTAGTAGTTGTAACTATAGAGTTAATGGAAAAGATCTTAATTATTAGTTTCATGTTGTCATTAGTTATATGTTTCAAAGTATAATTTTAAATAATATTAGAGCATAATGTAGAAAATAGTATACCCCTACCTTTAAATGGCATTATATTGAAGATACACAGTAAAAATTTAGAAATAAATGGAATAATCTTTTAAAAATCAACTCCTTTTAAGGACTGGATAGAATTTGAGGAGATAGCTGATCTGGAAGAACGGGCAAAGAGCCAGTTTTTTGAAAAGGTGCATGAAGAAGTTGTGCTCAAAACTCAAGAGGCTGCTAAAGAAAAAGAGTTCCAAAGTGTACCTGCTGGACCAGCTGGAGCAGTTGAGGTGAGAGAAGAACGTTTAAGTTTTCTCACAGTGGGAGTGTCCCTCACTTCCTTTATGTAAATACTCATAAACACATCACTATATTTATATCCCTGTTTTAATGATTTTAAGACTTCTTGAAAGCTCTACTCTTCAATTTTACTCTTACAATCTAGCTTTGAGTTTCATAACTACAGTGGCCAAAAGCAGTGAAATGTTTACTCTTTTTACTGGAAAGATTGACAGAATCCCATAAATGTATTTTGAATCATACTGTATATTGGACATTATTCAAACTTTTGGAACACTCATAAATTCTTTACTCCACTTAACAGTGTTTGTATATTTTTACTTAATGGGGTTAAATATGGTCTATTATGTAAATTTCATTTTATATGATTCTATTTTAGAGTTGTGAAATCTGTCAAGAACAATTTGAACAATACTGGGATGAAGAAGAGGAGGAATGGCATTTGAAAAATGCTATTAGAGTAGATGGAAAGGTAATTTTCATTTCTTTATAAGGAAGTGTTAAGATTAGTGTTTTTTTGTTGGGTTAACACATTACTTTGAAAGGAGGCGGTTCATAATAGTTTTTGTTTGATTTTTGGTCTTAATAAAAAGGGTATTGGACTTTAGTAATAGAATGTTTGAATTAGAAGGGATCTTAGCAGTCACCCGGTTCTGTACACTTTACACAGGAGGTTGCACTATTAGTCAGTGACAGACCCAGGACTAGGTCTTCTGAATCTAGTTAGTCGTTTTTCTGTCGACCCACACTATTTTGATTGTGGATTTATATTTCATCATCAAACTATACTGTGCTGAAAACAAAGCAAGTTAGGCTAGATACTTAAATGGGCCAAGAGAAGTCAGTTTTTCAGACTCTTTAAGCATAAGGATGAAAATTTGGTTTTATCCATTTTGGGACCAAATAATTTTTGTCTTCTTTCCAAAGACTATCTTCTGGCTTAAAGTTAAAAAGAAATATCAGAATAGCCCATTAGAAATGAATACGCACATATTTACTTTTTTTCTTTTTGCTTCAGATTTATCATCCATCATGTTATGAAGATTATCAAAATGTAAGTTCTTTTTGGTTACTGTATTTGTTCTCATTTGCATTAATAAATTTTACTTTTCAGTTTTTTTTTTGCATCAGAGCAATATTGTTATTTTAAACTTAATATATTGAACTGTTTTTGTTTTTTGATATAGCATTTAGGTTGTTCAGTAAAAACTGGTGCCAGATTGACAGAATTGACATATATGAATATCATTTTCTGTGATAACGCAAACAATTAAAATTTTGAAATTTATCATTCCTTGCATTTTATTCACTTGAATCATGGTATCTTTTACTAGTCCACTAGGCCCAAAGAAATGTGAGGAAAAGTGAAGATAAGGATCCTGATGGGGATACGTTTCTAGAGCTATGGGTAGCATTTACTGCTATTTTTTTTTCTTACATCTCTATTCAGCCATCTAAATAGGTATATTCTTTTTGTTGTTTTGTTCTGAGACAAAGTTTCGCTCTTGTTGCCCAGGCTGGAGTGCAATGGCGCAATCTCGGCTCACTGCAACCTCCACCTCCTGGGTTCAAGGGATTCTCCTGCCCCTGCTTCCCAAGTAGCTGGGATTACAGGCGTGCACCACCACACCTGGCTAATTTTGTATTTTTAGTAGAGACAGGGTTTCACCACATTGGTCAGGCTGGTCTTGAACTCCTGACCTCAAGTGATCCACCCACCTTGGCCTCCCAAAGTGCTAGGATTATAGGCGTGAGCCACCGTGCTCGGCCAAAATAGGTATACTTTTTAATGATCACATACGGAATCTAAAAATGATACCAGTCGTTGACCTTAAAAGTTCAAATGGTCGGCTGGGCGTGGTGGCTCATGCCTGTAATCCCAGCACTTTTGGGAGGCCGAGGCGAGTGGATCACCTGAGGTCAGGAGTTCGAGAACAGCCTGGCCAACATGGTGAAACCCTGTCTCTACTAAAAATACAAAAATTAGCCAGGCATGGTGGCGGGTGCCTATAGTTCCACCTGATTGTGAGGCTGAGGCAGGAGAATTGTTTGAATCCAGGAGGTGGAGGTTGCAGTGAGCTGAGTTCATGCCACTGCACTGCAACCTGTGCGACAAGAGTGAGCTCTGTCTCAAAAAAAAAAAAAAAAAAAAAAGTTCAAATGGTCATATTTGTAGTCTGTTTTTAAAATCAAGTAATGGAATAAATAGGTTTTTAGAGATAATGGGTTGGAGGCAATTTGGAAGGTTTATTTAGGTTGTCAGAAGACTAGTGTTGAGGGTGATGGTTTGTGGGGATTTAAAAAATCCTCAGACTATTTGAAATTAGGGTAGTAACAAGTCCCAGGATATATGTATGAGTTTAACATCTATGTAGAGATTAAAATGTAGAAGCATGTCTAATCAACTTTTTTTGGCTGTATAATGTCCTATAACTTAGCTGTTAACTGCTTAACTCACTGCTGAGTACATATTGAACGTGCAATATATATTTTATTTCTGGTTGTCTTTATGGCACATTTTGTTGGGAGGCAGGTGTTTCATTTGCATTTGGTTGTATGTGTGTTCTCTTGTTCATACAAGGGTCTTACAAGACTAAATGTTATTTAATGTGAGAATTTTGAACTTTCATCAGTACTCATAGGGCCTTTCATTTTGTAGACATCTTCATTTGATTGTACACCATCTCCCAGCAAGACACCAGTTGAAAACCCCTTGAATATTATGTTGAACATTGTCAAAAACGAATTGCAGGAACCCTGTGACAGTCCCAAAGTTAAGGAAGAACGAATTGATACACCACCAGCTTGTACAGAGGAAAGCATAGCAACACCCTCTGAAATTAAAACAGAAAATGACACAGTCGAGTCAGTTTAAATAAAATGAGAAAGGTATGTTTTTCTTTTTTAAAAAAGCTGCTGTTGGATCTAGAAGGTGAAGAATTTTTTTATGTATATATAGACATATCTATATAAATTGTCTGGCTGAGGCAGGGCCTTCAGCTATCATTTGGTTAATAAATACATTTTAGTATTTGCATTTCCTACTGCCTGCAGAGTTTCAGGTGCTTGTTGTGTGAAAGTTCTGTAGATGTGTGCAAATTTAACGAAATGAAATTGTATGTGTAAAAATGTACGATTTTTCACTGTGCAACTGTAAATTATAAATAAAAAATATTTTTGCTATTCATGGAGTGTAATATTTATGCACACCATCAAATAGTTTCTGTACTTTTTATTGGGTAAAAATGGAATTGAACAGCAACCTCAACATAAGATTTTTTTTCTAGTAGCCTCCCACTGATTAAAGAAGCAAGTTTGAGGTTTCATCCTTCAAAAGGGGGTTCCGAGAGAGCACCGTAGGGCTTTTCTCAAATAGAAAAGCCAGATTTTGAAAAAATTTTAAAGATAAAATAGGACATATTTTGCAGATATATATATATATATACACAAACACATCTCCAGGTATAGAGAACCATCCAGATGTTCACTTTTGAAAATATCTAATGATGCAAAGTTTTATTCTTGAACTTGGACACTGATGCCATCAAACAATTAACAAATATATTTAAGTACTAAAGGTGATTTTTTTTTTAAAGACTTTTTCAAATTGTCAAATGATTTAATGCAGATGAACATATTTCTATTTTAAGTAACGGGAATCTGTAAGAATGTTTGCTTGAGATATGGTTAACTTTTTTCTTTTGTTGGTTTTGACTTAGATGGACACCATGAGATGTTAATATTCATACATGTAATAAATAGAATGATGAAGAAACTTTGTTTGTACTTCTTTATTTCTTGAAAAGCTTTAGAATGTGACTTTCTTGTTGTCTTTCATCTGTTTTTTGAAACATGAACATGGTACTTGCTATGAGCCAGGCACTCTGAGACAGGTTAGTCTTTTCTGCCATTTATTGGAGATAGGCATATAAAACACTGAGTTTTATTGAGCACATAGTATGTGGCAGGCACTAGCACTTTCTACATGTATTTTCTCTGGTATTCACATCTAATAACTACATGGTAGATGGTGTCCCCACTTTACAGATGAAATTAAGCCACTCACTTTAAAATTTTTATAAGAATTTGAACGTGGCTTTGTTTCCTCTAATTCCATACAATTTCTGCAATTTTAAAAGATACCCCCAAATTGATTGTTAGGATAGAAATAAGCACACCAAACTACTGGAAGGTGGCTAAGGAAGATTCTACAAAAGTGGTGACATTTGAGTCTTGGAGGATAACCAGGAGTGGAGTCCATACTGATGGGAAGGGTATCTTTGGAAAATGAACAGCAAATGTAAAGGCTTAAAATACTTTTGTGTTTTCAAAAATTGACTTCTTATGGTTAAAACTCAGTAGTTTTGAATAGATTATGATGAGCCATTAATTTTTTTAGTAGAAATGGAGTCTCACTACGTAGTCCAGGCTGGTTTCGAATTCCTGGGCTCAAGTGATCCTACTGCCTTGGCCTCCCAGAGTGCTGGGATTACAGGCATGAGCCACGTGCCCAGCCTTTATTTTTAAGTAGTGAAGAGCCTTCTTGGTCATGCTAAGGAATTTTTATTAAACTGATGACCAGAGCAGCCACTAGAAATTTTAAACAGGGTGACATCCTATCTGCATTTAAGCTTTTTTATTTTTTTAAGAATCAAGTGAATACAATTTTAGAGATTGCTAAATCCAGAGAGGTCCAGTGGGAAAACTGGTAGCCATTGGATTTGAGTTGTAAACACGTAACAGCTGAACTTACGTATATGAACACTGCCATAGGAACTGAGGTCTGTGAATCCAAAAATGTAGGCAAAACTTCCTGTTGAACATTTTTCTGGGGAAACCACCATAGCTTTTATCAAATGCTTAAAGGTATGGAACATTCTAAAAGGAAGGTGATATTCAAACCTAAAAGTGTATCAACGGTATCCACATGGAGAAGAGGGTCAAGGATGGGGGAACAAAGACTGGTAGGTGGGAAGGTCAAAAAGAAAATGGGAAAACCAGCAATGGGAAAATTTTTTTTTTTCTTTTTTTGAGACAGTCTTGCTATGTTGCTCAGGCTGGATCAGTGCAGTAGCACAATCTCGGCTCAGTGCAGTGGCACAATCTCGGCTCACTGCAACCTCTGCCTCCTGGGTTCAAGTGATTCTCCTGTCTCAGCCTCCCAAGTAGCTGGGATTACAGGTGCCCGCCACCACGCCTGGCTAATTTTTATATTTTGAGTAGAGGCGGGGTTTCACCACGTTGGCCAGGCTGGTCTCGAACTCCTGACCTTAAGTGATCTGCCCGTCTTGGCCTCCCAGAGTGCTGGGATTACAGGTGTGCGCAGGAAGAAAATTTCAATGGACGAGGTAGTCAACAAAATGAAGTCAAGAAAATATGTAAGACTCAGAAATACTCTAACTGTTGACCTAAGAACAGCTGAGTATGGGTGCCAACACCTGGTGCAATGGGTAGTGTGGATGAGAGGTAACAAAATATTAAAAGCTATTTTTTTAAATGAAGTTTAACTCCAGAGATTGAATTGTAGTTAGACAAATAGGAGAGGCATTAGCATGTTAAGAGGAGCTCAGTGGAGAAATGGGTTGAAGATGGAGATGACCGGTATACCAGTCTCAAGGTTGTAACAAGATAGTATCAACAATAGCACAGGAGGGGCGGGGCACAGTGGCTCATGCCTGTAATTCCAGCACTTTGGGAGGATGAAGTGGGTAGATTGCTTGAGTGTAGGAGTTCAAGACCAGCCTGGGCAACATGGTGAAACTCCGTCGCTACCAAATATATGAAAAACCAGAGGGACACTGTCTGCCAAAAAAAATAAAAGCACAGGAAGGATTTAGCTTTGGAATGGAGGTGGGCCAGTGTTCTCCAAGATGGCCACTAGTATTTACAGTTGGGTTTGAGTTCAATTCTTATTTTCTCTTTGAGGTAGAAGGCCAGATGTAAGGCAGTGATCCAGATCTGCCCCATATTTGGCTGTGCATTAGAATTATAGTGAATTTAAAACAAATTTTAATACTAAATTTAGAGATGGGGCCTTACCAGGTTGTCCAGGCTGGCCTCGAACTCCTGGGATCAAGCCAGTCTCCCACCTCAGCCTCCCAAGTAACTAGATTACAGGTGCACACCACTACACCTGGCTTAGAATTAGTGAATATTAAGAGATTCCTAATCTCTGGAGAGTCTCATTTAGTTGATTCGCATTCAGGGGCACTTCTAGTATTCAAGCTCCATAGTTTTTTCTAATGAACAGCCAGATCTGGTAAATAATTCAGAAATCAACATCAACAGCATCCCCAAAGATAGAAAAAGAGTCAATACATAACACTGTTAGCTAGAAGTAGTAATCTAACACTGTAAAGTGCAGTAAGGAAAATTAAATGAAGCCTCAGAGATGATGGAACATTTTCTTTTAAATTGAATTGAAGTTTGAGAGAACAAGTAAAAGGAAAAGTATGTGTTTCCTAAAATCTAAAGATTTCATTAAGTTTATATCCTCCTGGTTTTAGTGTAATTTTCCCACTGAAAATGTCCAACTTTGATGCTTTGGAAAATAGAAAGCAATCTCATTGCAATTCAGCTAAAAATAAAAAGCTTTGGGAAGAAAAATAAGGAATTACATATAAAAAATTAAAACATTCTCATATAACAGCTTAGTATATACATATTTTTTATATGACTGACCTTACAATTTAGTACCAAGTAAGCAACCTAATGGAGGTTTACACAAAATATTCAGGAAAATCTGAGGAGGCATCTAACCATGCTGCAGGTGGAAAAATGTAGCTGCCTAAATGGAGGTAGAAATGGAAAATAAAGACTATTATCAAGAAAGACCTGCACTCTTGTAGAATTGGGAAGTTTTTTCCTAATCCTAAATGGGGTCAGCTCCCAGAGATAATGGGCATTGTGTTGAGCAGGTGGGGAAGAGTAGCTAAATAAGAGCCAAAAGGTACCCAAGGAGTACCCCTGTGAAGATTTGGGAGTGAGCACCAAAAGAAGAACAAGAATGACTGGGAAATAACAGAAAATGGCACATAGGCAGAAAGGAGTACAGACTGTCACCAATATCCACTTCGTTTTTTGTTTTTGCCTGGGGTTGGCCCTGCTCCCTTCTCTGAAACAAGATATAAAAAGCTGATTTATGATATCCTGCTTTATCACCCCACTTTAGAAAAACTGAGGTAGAAGTGGAGGACTAGTCATATTTACTAACTGGAATCATACCTTCCTTCCTACTCACAAAAGGTTCCAGTTCTCTAGAATACTGAGATGACCACTCCAGGATGTATTCTGAACCCTGTTTCACTTAAGAAACTTCTTCCAGGCTGGGCGCGGTGGCTCACGCTTGTAATCCCAGCACTTTGGGAAGACGAGGCGGGCGGATCACAAGGTCAGGAGATCGAGACCACGGTGAAACCCCGTCTCTACTAAAAATAAAAAAATTAGCTGGACGTGGTGGTGGGCGCCCGTAGTCCCAGCTACTCGGAGAGGCTGAGGCAGGAGAATGGAGTGAACCCAGGAGGCAGCTTGCAGTAAGCCAAGATTGCGCCACTGCACTCCAGCCTGGGTGACACAGCGAGACTCTGTCTCAAAAAAAAAAGAAAAAAAAATTTCTTCCATAGTCAGGCACTTACCTTGAAATCCCATGCAGTCTGGATATTGCATCTTAGCTTTTTTATTAAAATTACTCTTATTATCAATGACTTCTTGCTAAAACCAGTGTGCTTTTCTTAGCTTCTTAATCTCTTCTGGACCACACTCACTTTATTGTTTTTGAGACAGAGTCTCGCTGTGTTGCCCAGGCTGGAGTGCAGTGGCGTGATCTCAGCCACTCAGATTTTGGATAAGGATTTCAGATTTTGGATAAGGACTGAAAATCTCAGATTTTGGATAAGGGGTGCTCAACGTGTATAATGTTATACAAAATAATTTCTTTCTGATTTTCACAGTCTCCTTTGTAAGATGTCCCTTTGCCCTTTTTTTTTTTTTTTCCCTGAGACGGACTCTCACTCTGTCGCCAAGCTGGAGTGCAGTGGCGCGATCTCGGCTTACTGCAACCTCCACCTCCTGGGGGTTCAAGCAATTCTCCTGCCCCAGCCTCCCACGTAGCTGGGACTACAGGCGCCTGCCACCACGCCCAGCTAATTTTTGTATTTTTAGTAGAGATGGGGTTTCACCATGCTGGCTGGGATGGTCTCGATCTCTTGACCTCATGATCCGCCTGCCTTGGTCTCCCAAAGTGCTGGGATTACAGGCGTGAGCCACCATGCCCGGCCTGTTTCTTTTTTTTTTTCTGAGACAGTGTCTAGCTCTGTTGACCAGGCTGGAGTGCAGTGGTGCAATCATGGCTCACTGCAACCTCAACCTCCTGGGCTCAAGCCATCCTCCGTCCATGGGCTCCTTTGTTTCCAATACCATTTTTTTTCCTTTTCTTCCTCAGATTTGTTGAGTTTCTATTTATTGTTCTTTTCAAACACCAGCTAATTACTATCATCAATTTTATTTGCTATTTCATTAACTTCTGCTTTTATTTTTATTATTTTTGAGACGATTTTATTGAGAAGACTTTATAATCTTGCTCTGTCACCCAGGCTGGAGTGCAATGGCATGATCTTGGCTCACTGCAACCTCTGCCTCTCGGGTTCAAGTGATTCTTCTGCCTTAGCTTCCCAAGTAACCAGAATTACAGGTGCACGCCACTACACCTGGCTAATTTTTTTATTTCTAGTAGAAACAGGGTTTCATCATGTTGGCGAGGCTGGTCTCAAACTCCTGACCTCAAGTGATTCACCTGCCTCGGCCTCCCAAAGTGCTGGGCATGAGCCACTGCACCCGGAGTCTGCTTTTATTTTTAATTCCTTCTATTTTTATTTTGGGAGATTTTACTTTTTCTGCTTCTCTGTTACCTGTTTCTGTTTCCTCTTCTAATCCTTCCTGTCATGTGTGTATCCTTTAAGGATTTGTCACGTGCTGTCTCATTTCCTCAGTAAATTTATCTACTACATATTGTATAGTGAAAAAAATAAAACCTTTACCATTATTATGTAAGTGGCTATAAACACTATATTAATTTGGAGTCAGTCATAGTGGGTTCCAATTCCTCAACTCCTACTTGTGTGATCTTGGTCAAATCTGAGCTGTTTCTTCATCTGTAAAAATAAAAATAACAATACAGATTAAGTTGGGTATTATTTGCAAATCATTTATCACAGAAACTGGCCCACATGAATAACTCGATAAATGCCTGGTATACAAAAGGCCTCAGCTGCCCCATGTCTTGTTTTGTTTTTTCTTTGAGGTGGAGTTTTGCTCTTGTCGCCCAGGCTGGAGCGCAATTGCGCGATCTCAACTCACTGCAACCTCCGCCTCCCAGGTTCAAGTGATTCTCCTGCCTCAGCCTCCCGAACAGCTGGGATTACAGGCTCCTGCTACCATGCCTGGCTAATTTTTGTATTTTTAGTAGAGATGGGGTTTCGCCATGTTGGCCAGGCTGGTCTCAAATCCCTGACTTCAGGTGATCCGCTCACCTTGGCCTCCCAAAGTGCTAGAATTACAGGCGTGAGCCACCGCGCATGACTCAGTTGCCCCATCTCTAAAAGTGAGGGGATTAGGATGACTAATCCCAAATTCACTTCCAACAGTGAAAAACTTTATCTTCAGCCTATTAGTTCACCTGCCTGACAGTTAACTCATCAACCCACCCACACAACAGTTACTAAGCCCTTCTCTTAAATGAAATATTCTAGACATCAGAAATGCCAAGATTTTAAGATACAGTCCCTACCTTCCAGAAGCTCAGGGTCCTTTAGGGGTGAGGAAAAATTGTTAAACAGATAATTATAATACAATGGGATAAGTGATCTAATAAAAGGTTGTGGGAATTCAGAGACTTTGAGGAGCTCCTGCAGAAAAATTCAAGACCTATTTTGGAATCCTAAGTCAGGTATTTATTATTTACTAGTGAAGGGGGAATTAATGAATTTTATAAGTATATTAGTCAAGAAGTTTATTCTTTTCCTTAGAGGTAGAATGAAATATAGCCCCCCACCCTCCGGAGGCCTGGGTTAAGAGAGAATATTAACCGCTTATTTCTCCTCTACGCACGGAGAGGCTTATCTGTGTTCCACCGTTTCACGTTCCTTGAGGCACCACGAGTTCCTGCTTCCCTCCCTAGCGCGCTGTAAAGTCACAAGGTTGATAAGCAATTGCTACAAAAGCATGCATTCCCAAGGATGTAAGACATGTGGTGTAACAAATGTAAAAGAATAATTAACTGCCTTTGTTCTTGCTTCTGCAAGTAGGCTTCCTGTAGCACCAAACTCCCGCCACAAATTGCTTAAAAGGTGATTGATCCCTTTGTTCCGGGCTCAGACTTTCTGGACCCCAGTCCGACTGAGCCAGTGATCACCTTAATAATAAAGGGTTGTCCTGAATTCTGTTTGGCCTCTCCCGTCTCTATTTGTCCCGCAACACTAGCAGTATATCCTCAGGCAATTAACTTTTTTTTCCCTTGTTTCTCTCTCTGTAAAAAGGAAGAGGAATACTTATTTTGGCAGGTTATAATAAGAATTGAGTCAAACTCATTTATGTTGGCATAAAAAAATGAACAAGAAAATATAAAGCACTTAGTACAATGCCAGGCAGATCATAGGAACTCAGTAGATGGCAATTGTAATATTACAAAAGGTGATGGAAGTCAAAGACAATTTACTGTACCTCAAGAGAGTAGCGGTAGGATCAGAAGAATTTCCCAAATGTGTTCACAGACCA
Source organism: Homo sapiens (assembly GCF_000001405.40). Lineage (NCBI taxonomy): Eukaryota > Metazoa > Chordata > Mammalia > Primates > Hominidae > Homo > Homo sapiens. The sequence continues at coordinate 83,192,790 of NC_000011.10, forward strand.
AAACTGGGGGAAAAGCAGGGTAGTTTCCTGGTAAGACGAACAGCACATGACAAGGCAGAGATATTAAAAAGTAAGGTACGCTTCCAGGACGAGTTCATTATTCCTGAAGGGAGAAGGCAATAAGGGTGGAAAAACTGGGCCGAGAGGGGAATCCAGGTTGGTGATGCCCCTGGAGGGCAGGTAATTCTTACTAATTTCTGTATTTTCTGCTGCTGGCACAAAACGTGACCCATACGTTTGCAACAAATGGTGAAATAATTCATTCCTGTTGTTAAGCAATAGGGTTGTAGAAATATTTGAGCAGTAAACATGCTACAGTGAAAGGATTCTCGGATTTGGAGTCAGGAGACCTGAAGCACTCTTTTGACTAATGACCTGTGTTTTTTTACTGGTTTTACAACTTACCTGCTGCCTGGCCTTACCAAAGTACTGATATATTGAGTCTCTTGACCCATAAAACAGGGGTAACAACTAACAAGCGATTATTAAAGAGTTGGCGCTAGTAAAGTACGCAATAAAAACAGCGGCTGCAGCTGCTAAATTCTCCTTTAGGTCTTTTTCCATACTTGCGAAATGACAGGGCAACAAATTTCCTTCCAACCACCACTGAGAAAGTATACCACGTTTGCCCAAGGACAAAAAGGCCCCGCCCGGCCCGCGCCACACAGGTCACCTACGCAGAATGCAGTCCTGGGGGGTTCCACTTGTGTCGCTCAGCGATGGAGGGCGCGATCGATGACAGGCCACTCCAGAGACGGACCTAGATAGGTTCGCATGAGGCCGAGCCGAATTTCACCAAAAACCAGTTTACACCACCTCCCGATTTGTCCACACGAAAAGCCATGGAATAGCTGAGGGAAAGGAAACCGGAAGTAGCGTGGGCCGTGAGGAACGGGAAATGACCTCAGCACGTCGGAAGTGTACTCGTTTCCAAGGCGACGGCCCTGCTGCCTCTCCAGCCAAGTGGCTGGAGTCGGGAGGCTGGAAAGAGACTCCGAGAAAGTACCAGCGGAAGGCGGCCGCCGCTACGGCGATTCGCAGGGAGTAGCAGACGAAGACGGTGGCCGCCGCACTAGCCACCACGTGTGGAGGATAAACGGTCTACACGGCCATTCCGGCGCCGAGTCTAGGGAAAGAGTTAGCGACGACGGGGAAAGAAAATGTGAAGAGAGCGACCGCCGCTCCAGGGTCGCTGCAGGAAGCCTAAGTGCAGACGCCGGCTTCTCCCGCAGTGACTTGAGAAGGGTCAGTGAAAACCTCGGCCACTGCCGCAGCGTCTCTAGGGAGAGAGTTAGGGGAGATAGTGGCCACAGTCACAGCTGCTCTTGGGAGAGAGTTAGGGGAGACAGCACCTTCTGCAGCAGCGACGTGAATTTTAGTGAAGTTGGAGGCCACCAAACTACCGACTCCAGGGGAACAGCCAGAGAAGACCGAGGCCTCCGCCTCAGTGGTCCTTGGGAGGGAGTCAGTGACATTCGGGACCCGCGAACTAGTGACTTCGGGGATAGAGTCAGTGACGATCGCAGTCGCCGCTTCAGTGGCTCCTGGGAGGGAGGGAGTGTCGAAGGCGGCCACAGCGTTGGTAGTTCTTGGGAGGAAGTAAGTGGAGACCGCGGCTACGCAGCCAGCGACTCCTCTGGTGTGAGCGGCAGTGAAGACGCCAGCTACCGCTTCAGTGGCTTTTGGGAGAGAGAAAGTGAAGACGAAGGTTTCCGCTGCAGCTTCTGGGAGAGAGCAAGAGAGGACCTTGGGCCCCGTCCTAGTGACGACGGAGAAGAGGGCCGCTGCCGCTGCAGTGGCTCGTGGGTGAGAGCAAGTGAAGACCGCCGCAGCATCAGGGGCCTGGACTCAACTCCTCCCCAGAGTCGGAGGTGTTGCGCCATGCCCGGGGTGGCCAATTCAGGCCCCTCCACTTCCTCTAGGGAGACTGCAAACCCCTGTGAGTCAGACTGTCATTGGCCTTCATCTCTGTCGTATTCCTTTTCTCACTTAAGCCCGCAACAGCCTTAGCCCTTTCTGGCATTTCCTTTTCTCAGCCGTCACTCCCCCCTTTCCCTTTTTAATTTATTTTCAGGGGATACCAAAGCTGTTCAGCTCTCCCCTGTTCTGTATTATTTCCGCTTTCTTTCCTTTTTTCCATCCACACTATTCCTCCGAGTCTTCTTGCCCAGCTTGACATCAACTCTTGTTCAGTCTTAATGGACGGACCCTTTTAAGTTCTTCCTTGACTTCCCTGCAGCATTTGACCCTGTGGAGGTGACAAATTAGTACTTACTTAGTTTTCTTCTTTCACTCCATTGAGTGACCCTTTCCCTTACCGTTTTCTTTTCTTCTGCCATCTTCTTAAATGCAGCTTTTACCCCTTGATGATGCCATCATTGGTTCTCTTTTTCTTGTCATTTACTGTGACTTCAGTCCTACTGGTGGCCCTCAAATCGGTTACTCATTCAACCATCCAGTAAATATTTACTGCATATGCCTACTTTGTGCTCCGTCTTAAGGAACTTAAGAAGACAGGCACATTCTTTACCTTCTAGTGAGGAAGATAAATGCTGAGCAAATAATGACAAGTGAGATCAGTGTTATAAAGGACGGTAGAATGCCACTGATTCCAGTAGGGGGTGAGTATGGGTGTCAGAAAAAGCATTCTAATACAGAGACACACGTAACACTGAGACCTGAATTCCGTATCTCTCCTCGGAGCTGCAAACATATATATAGATATCTCCCTTCTGGAAATTTTCCTTGGGTACCTCAAGAGCAGCATGTCCAAAATGTAATTTTATATCTATATATCCTCTCTGTCCTTCAGTGTTTGCTGTCTCAACTAATGGCACCACAGCACTCAGATGATAAAGCCACACACCTTGGAGTTATCTTATTACTTTTCCCTTGTTTCACCCACTGTATCCATTCCAGTTTAGTTCATTCTAATTTTATTAATATTTGTTGAATCTTTCTCCTTTTCTTTTCCCAGTGTTCAGAGTCTCATTTTTTCTGGTCTAGACTATTGTAAACTGTATTCTTACATGATCTACCTACTCTCTCTCTCTCTCTTTTTTTTTTTTTTTTGGAGACGGAGTCTTGCTCTGTCCCCCATGCTGGAGTGCAGTGGCGCGGTCCTCAGCTCACTGCAATCTCCGCCTTCCAGGTTCACACCATTCTTCTGCGTCAGCCTCCCGAGTAGCTAGGGCAACAGGGGCCCACCACCACACCCGGCTAATTTTTTGTATTTTTAGTAGAAACGGAGTTTCACTGTGTTAGCCATGATGGTCTCCTCCTGACCTCATGATCTGCCCACCTCGGCCTCCCAAAGTCCTGGGATTACAGGCGTGAGCCACCGCGCCCGGCCAATCAACCTACTCTTTAGTCTTGCCTTTTTGCTCCCCATTCAGTAAATTCTCTTCCCTGAATTTAGCCTTGTAAACTCAGCCTTACAGCTCTCAATCATTATAATTCTTCTGTTTAAAATTCCTCAGTGATTCTCCACTGTCTGCTCAAGTCCAAGTTTTTAAAAATAAGTTTCACCATTGTCTGTTTCTTGTCTAGTTCTAGCCTATTTATCCCCTTAATACTTTAGTAGTAGGATTTGTGTGTGAGTGTGTGAGAGTGTGTGTGTGTGTGTGTGTGTGTGTGTGTGTGGTTTCTTGACCATGTCCTACTGTTCATGCTGTTTAGGCCTACTCACTGCTCCTACTTGCCTTGGCAAACTCCTGTTAATCCTTGAAGATTCTATCTTAGATGTAACTTTCCCCAGGAATCCTTCTGTGTTCCCCTTCCCTCCTACCCTGGCTGAGTTTGAAGTCATCTGTGCTTCCACAGGTTCCTATGAATATTTCCATCGTTGCTTTTACCACATTATTTTGTATTTTGTGTTTGTATCTTCTCTACTAATCTGTGAGTTCCTTGAGGGTGTCTTCATCTTTTTATCCTTATGGTAGACACCAGACTTACGTTGAGTAGATGGATGAGTGGATGAGTGAATAAATCGGGATGGAATGTAGTGAGAAAAAAGACCATAAAATTAGATGGAGCCAAATTATGGGAGGCCATAGAGGTCATACTGAGAGTTTGGGTTTTGTTTTGTAGAGTAGCAGTGACCAACCAGTGGCAGTTTAGAGTAGGGGCATGAAGTGATTAGGATAGTTGGTCTGTGTAAGATGGATTAGAGGAGTGTCTCTGTGTAAAATAAGTAGAGTGGATAGAACATCATTTGTAGGTCTGGCTGTGCTAGTTTAAAGAAGAATGAAGGTCCGGCCTAGGGATTAACATCACTGAACGTTTATTAAAGGTGTGTGTGTGTGTATGTGTACATGTGCACACCTTACAGATGCTCTCGTTCCCATTTGCCATATATCTTAATTGTTCTTCAAGGTCTTGCTTGAATGTTTCCTCCTCCTCTGTGACTTGTTTTGTTTCTCCTTAATTTTACCTGTACTCTCTGAGGACATTGCTGTCAGGTTTTTGTTTTCATTATGTATTTATCCAAATAGATTTTAATGTGTTGGCGGAAAAAAAATGTATTAAATCCATGTCCATTTTCTATCATGTTATCATAGTGCCTGACTCATGGTAGATGTTCAGAAAGGCTTTTTGAGTACAGTTATAGCAGTTTGCTAAGAGCAAAGATATAATTAGAGTATATAAAAAGATGTAATAAAAGTAAGATATAATTCCAGTGTAAAATATTATTTTTGCCCTTAAGAAATTAACATTCTGATTGTGGAGAGAGGACATGTACATAGATAAATAGTAGTACAAGGTTGCACAGATCATTTGCCAGATGTGTTGGTGAGCTGTTTTCAAAACAACTTCAGGTCAGGAATCATGCCTGTTTTATTTAGAGAATGCTGAAGTTGAACTGCTTACTCCTTCATTCTTCTCTAATAGTTATCTGTTCGTGCTTAGATACCTTTATTGCCTCTGGTTCACAATGCTTATTAATTAAATTATAAAATATGAAGCACTAAGAGTATGTGAATTAAAAATCGTGGCCTGCCATTCCTTTCTTAGTGTAAGACATAAATTAGAAATATAAGAAAGATGTTGATAAAATATATTTGCATGTATGAGATGAGGCTCTGGTGAAGTCTTTTTCACTAGGGAGGCCTTTGTTATGGAGAACAACACATGGGGCATATTTCAAAATGGTTACTTTCCCCTTCTCACTGCCAAAAACATGAGTTCCTGGCTTTTCACAATGGTAACCTGGTGAGGTTTCTGAAGGTAAAATCTATGAAAGTGTAGTGGCTCCCTAGGTAAGAGTGTGGCCCTTAGAAGTTTCTCATTCTTTGGCTAGTATGTACTCAACCTCTGGCAAGTCATCAACATTACCATGTAAGTGCTTCTACCACTTTATGGCTCCAGGACTGTATTTTTCTGTATTTGTCTCTCCAGATTTGGGGTGGCAGTTTGCCCTGAGACCTCAGTTCTCTGATGGGTCCAAGAAAAGTTGTTCATTTTCTGTTCATTCATTTTTCCCTATAAGGATGGGAGTGTCAACTTCCATGCTTTTTACATGTCAGTGTTGGAACCAGAAGTCTGTTTAAGATATTAATGACAAACATCTTTGTAGTAAATTATTTGGAAAGCCAAAGTAATTTTGTGCTTTCTGTTATATCACTGTTTTAGTCTTTTTTTTTCTTTCATAGTTTTGTAGTACATTGTAAGTAATTTGATTTTTCAATAGGTTCCAGGAAGAAGGTGCATTTTGGCAGCATACATGATGCAGTACGAGCTGGAGATGTAAAGCAGCTTTCAGAAATAGTGGTACGTGGAGCCAGCATTAATGAACTTGATGTTCTCCATAAGTTTACCCCTTTACATTGGGCAGCACATTCTGGAAGTTTGGAGGTAAGAAACTATACATATCACTAAACTGAGGTAAGTTTTAGCTATAACAGTTTTGTAAATTTAGCAAACAGGGCTGAGACCTTATGGTAGGTACTGCATATATTTTCTTTTCAGTCATAGTCAGTTTAATATTTGGGTATTCCACTTTGCTAGGGCTTTATAACAAATTATCCTAAAATTTAGCATAATAAACTAATGATTTATTTATACTCATGAACAAACCCAAGAATTTGGATCCCGGAGACAGCTTGTCTCTGCTCCATGATATCTGGGGCTTCAGCTGGAATATTAAAAAGCTGGGGCTAGATTCTTCTGAAGGCTTATTCACTCAAGATGTCTCTGGTGGTTGATGCTGGTTATGGATTAGGCACCTTAAACTTCATCCCTGTGGGCCTATTTGTGAGGTTTCTACATGTGAGCTAGTTTCTACTTCCTCACAATATGGTGACTGGGTTCCAAAGGTGAGCATAGAGGATTACTTGGAGTGGATAATAAAATGAATATGTATTCTAACATTTTTGCTTTAGTAGTGTCAGATTTTTAGAAAAGGAATGGAATGTTGCAGGTACATTTGAAGTCCCTAAGTACCCCTCTCAGGTGCCATTCCTCTGCTTCCAACTCCAGAGATAACTATTACCCTGATTTTGGTGTTTATTATTCCTATCTATGTTTTATGCTGTTATTACATATGATTATATCATTATTTTGAATGACATACATTATATAAATGATATCACATTATGTATATTATTCTTTAGCTTTTTTTTGTTCAACAATATGTTTTTGAGTTTTATCCATATGGTTACATATATGTACTCTAGTTCATTTCTTTCAGCCATGTCGTTTATTCTATTCTTAGACTGGTATCAGAATTTATCTGTTTTTGTATTGTTGGATATTTATTTGGTTTCAATTTTTAGCTAGTACTAACTGCTTAGTGAGTATTTTAATGCAAATCTGATCCTTGGGCTCTGTCCAAGGCTAACTAGCACTTTTCTCATGATTCAAGGTTATGTGTATGGGGGGCTTATTTTAGCTACATTTCCCCAGCCTATAAGCTACAATAGGTCTGTTGACAATGCATTGTCTTTTTACCCCTACCACACACACATGACTTCCTTCTGTGAGTATGGCAGTCCTGTGTGATATCTTCTTTATTTGTACTTCTTTGCTTCTTGTAACCAAATCTGGTTCAGAGACTCTCCCTCTACCAGTTTGTGTGCCTCACTTAAATGTTATTATAAACAAAGGATTTTTACTTGTGCCTTTCTTTGGAGCCTGATGGTTCTTTGTGAGCTGGTATCCGTGGGTAGGTGGTTCTCTCTGCTGTTTCCTCCCACATTCCTATTTGTTCTGCACTTTGGCAGGTTTTTTAATCTGTTTGTAGTTTGAGTTACAGATGTCTCCTAGTTTCATCTAGTTGGAGTTTTCTGGGTTTTTTTGCTCTTTGCTTTTGGGTGATTTTGGAGAGAAGGGGGAAGTACTGATTTTACTCTGCCATATTCTAATAGACATCAGGATATACCATTTATTTCATCTCTTTTCTGGTGCCCTTTCAGCTTCTCTTACTACTCTCACTCAGTCTACTTTGGTTAACTCACTCCTCCTATTGTGTAATTGTAGTATTGTTTACATTTCTTTCCTACTTTACAGTTTCTCCAGTCAGTCTTTTAAACTTCTTTGGCTTTATCGCTTCTACATAATTCATTTATTTGCTCTCTCTCCTGACTTTTGGATTATGTATTAAGTGCTTGATCATAGCTCATGCATATCTGACTGGCATCTCAAATTCAACTAGTCTAACACTAAAACTGTTATATTTTTCCCTCCATTTTGTAGTTTTCTAGGGCAATAGCCTTTGAATCATCATTGAGTTGTTTCAGTATTTCATATAATCAAAACACATTATCAGCATTTGTCTAGATGAAGGTGCAGTTCGTGTTACACATTGATGCAGTGAGAACTAGTCACTAGGTCAGTTGATTCTGCTCCATCTTTGTCTCCTGAATTTGTCCTCTCCATCCCCATAACCATGTTCTTAGATTTAATTAATTTTATTTTTTTGTGTGTGTGGTCCACCTGTAGTCCATATACTATATACAAAGCTATTTTCTCTGTAAAACTAAAATCTAATATTACTTGAGACCTTCCTTAAAACCCTGTAGTAACTCTCTGCCCTCCATAGGATAAAGTTCAAGCCATTTAACATGGTAGACTTATTTCTCTAACCTCATCTCCCATCATAATTGTTTTATGCTATAGTACTGGTGACTACCATCATTTCCCAAATTAGTCTACTGTTCCATATTATCATAGGCTTTGCACATGCTGTTTCTTTTCTTTTCTTTTTTTTTAATACTTTAAGTTCTAGGATACATGGGCAGAACCTGCAGTTTTGTTACATAGGTATACATATGCCATGGTGGTTTGCTGCACCCAACAACCAGTCTTCTAGGTTTTAAGCCCTGCATGCATTAGGTATTTGTCCTAATGCTCCGCCTCCCCTAACCCTCCACCCCCCGACAGGCCCCAGTGTGTGATGTTCCCCTCGCTGTGTCCATGTGTTCTTATTGTTCAACTTCCACTTATGAGTGAGAACATGTGGTGTTTGGTTTTCTGTTCCTGTGTTAGTTTGCTAAGAATGGTGGTTTCCAGCTTCATCCATGGCCCCGCAAAGGACGTGAACTCATTCTTTTTTTATGGCTGCATGGTATTCCATGGTGTATATGTGCCACATTTTCTTTAGCCTATCATTGATGGGCATTTGGGTTGGTTCCAAGTCTTTGCTATTGTGAATAGCGCTGCAGTAAACATACATGTGCATGTCTTTATAGTAGAATGATTTATAATCCTTTGGGCATATACCCAGTAATATATGACCAGGATTGCTGGGTCAAATGGTATTTCTGGTTCTAGATCCTTGAGGAATTGCTACACTGTCTTCCACAATGGTTAAACTAATTTACATTCCCACCAACAGTGTAAAAGAGTTCCTATTTCTCCACATCCTCTCCAGCATCTGTTGTTCCCTGACTTTTTAATGATTGTCATTCTAACTGGTGTGAGATGGTATCTCATTGTAGTTTTGACTTGCGTTTCTCTAATGACCAGTGATGAGCTTTTTTTCATATGTTTGTTGGCTGCATAAATGTCTTCTTTTGAGAAGTATCTGTTCATATCCTTTGCCCACTTTTTGATGGGGTTGTTTTTTTCTTATAAATTTAAGTTTCTTGTAGATTCTAGATGTTAGCCCTTTGTCAGATGGATAGATTGCACAAATTTTTTCCCATTCTGTAGGTTGCCTGTTCACTCTGATGATAGTTTCTTTTGTTGTGCAGAAGCTCTTTAGTTTAATTAAATCCTATTTGTCAATGTTGGCTTTTGTTGCAATTGCTTTTGGTGTTTTAGTCATGAAGTCTTTGCCCATGGCTATGTCCAGAATGGTATTGCCTAGTTTTTCTTCTAGGGCTTTTATGGGTTTAGGTGTTACTTTTAAGTCTTTAATCCATCTTGAATTAATTTTTATATAAGGCTTAAGAAAGGGATCCAGTTTCAGTTTTCTGCATATGGCTAGCCAATTTTCCCAGCACCATTTATTAAACAGGAAATCCTTCCCCTGTTGCAAAAGTCAGATTTGTTGAAGATCAGGTGGTTGTAGATGTGTGGTGTTATTTCTGAGCACTCTTGTTCTGTTCCATTGGTCTATTTATCTGTTTTGGCACCAGTACCATGCTGTTTTGGTTACTGTAGCCTTGTAGTATAGTTTGAAGTCAGGTAGCATGATGCCTCCAGCTTTGTTCTTTTTGCTTAGGATTGCCTTAGCTCTACGGGCTCTTTTTTGGTTCCATATGAAATTTAAAGTAGTTCTTTCTAATTCTGTGAAGAAAGTCAATGGTAGCTTGATGGGAATAGCATTGAATCTATAAATTACTTTGGGCAGTATGCACATGCTGTTTCATCTGCCTGTCTCATCTCTTCCCACTGGTTACCTGGTTGAAATCCAGGTCAGTCAGTACCCACTTGGTAAAGCTTTCTGTTTTCCCCCTCAATATCTCCCAACTAGTTACTGACTCCTTAGTGCTACCTCTAAATCTTATAAATTTTAAAAAGTGTATAACTTTAAATTTTATTCTCTATTAGATTTTGAGCTCTTTGAAGATACCATTTGAGTCTCATTCATCTTTTTTTCCACAATACCTAGTGTAATATCTGGCATATTATAGGAGTCACATCATAAGTTCACAAGAAATGTTTCTCATGTTGCTGAATTTGTTGAATTAAATTTACGTTTATATTTTTAGTGTCTAGCACAGTGCCTAGCAGATGTTCAATAAATGTTGGTTGGATTTTTTTTTTTTTTTTTTTTCAGACAGGGTATCGCTCTTGTTTCCCAGGCTGGAGTGCAGTGGTGTGATCTCAGTTCACTGCAACCTCTGCCTCCCAGGTTCAAGCAGCTCTCCCACCTCAGCCTCTTATGTAGCTGGGACTACAGGTGCATGTGCCACCATACCTGTCTAATTTTTTGTATTTTTGGTAGAGATGGGGTTTCACCACGTGGGCCAGGCTGGTCTCTAACTCCTGACCTCAAGTGATCCACTTGTCTTGGCCTCCCAATAGGGATTACAGGTGTGAGCCACCATGCCCCAGCCTGTTTGTTGGATTTTAACAAGCATAAACAGAAACCAAAAGATTTTAGTGCTTTTCTCTATTCCTACTTAAAGGTCATCTCCTAAGTTTTCCTTTTTTTCTTTCTTTTTTTTTTTTTTTTTGAGAGGGAGTCTTGCTCTGTCGCCCAGGCTGGAGTGCAATGGCACCGTCTTGGTTGACTGCAACCCCTGCCTCCTGGGTTCAAATGATTCTCCTGCCTCAGCCTCCCGAATAGCTGGGACTACAGGCATGTGCCACCACACCCAGCTAATTTTTGTATTTTTAGTAGAGACGGAGTTTCATTATGTTGGCCAGGCTCGTCTCAAACTCCTGACCTTGTGATCCACCTGCCTTGGTCTCCCAAAATGCTAGGATTACAGGCATGAACCACCGCGTCTGGCCCTAAATCTTTACTTGAGCACTACGTTAACACCTTTACAGTTTTTTAACCTTTCTGAATTTTCTTAAGATTTTTGATATTTATATATTGGTTGCAAGAAATAATCACTAAATTAATAATTGGTAAAAAACCATGCTTTATTGGACTTCAGTTTTTTTCAGATGAAATCTGCTATTGAGCTCCTAGTAAACTTTTCATTTCAGATATACTGTTCAACTCCAGAATTTCCATCTGGTTCGGTTCTCTTCTCTCTTCTCTCTTTTCTCTTTTCAAGACAGAGTCTGGTTCTGTTGTCCAGGCTGGAGTACAGTGGCATGATCTCGGCTCACTGCAACCTCTGCCTCCTGGGTTCAAGTGATTCTCCTGCCTCAGCCTCTTGAGTGGCTGGTACTGCAGGTGCCCGCCACCACGCCTGTCTAATTTTTGTATTTTTAGTAGAGACAGGGTTTCACCATGTTGACCAGGATAGTCTTGAATTCCTGACTTTAAATGATCCACCTGCCACAGCCTCCCAAAATGCTGAGATTACAGACATGAACCACTGCACCCAGCCGGTCAATTGATTTTTAACAAAGATGCAAATGTAATTCAGTGGAGAGCAGATATATTTTCATTAAATGATGTTGGCACAATTACACATATTCATATGTAAGAAAATGAACCTTTTATCCTAAGTGAATTAACACAGAAACAGAAAACGAAAAACCACATATTTTCACTTATATGTGGGACCTAAATATTGGGTACACATGGACAAAGAGATGGGAACAATAGACACTGGGGATTCCAAAAGTAGATAGGGAAGGAGGCAAGGGTTGAAAAACTACCTGTTTGGTAACCTGGTCACTATTTGGGAGATGGGTTCAATAGAAGCCCAAATGCCTCAGCATCATGCAGCATATCCATGAAACGAACGAACTTGGCACATGTACCCTCTGAATCTAAAATTAAAAAAAAAAGAAAATGAAGCTTGAGCCATACTTGGTACCATATGCAAAAATTTACTCAAAACAGATTGTAGATAAATGTAAAACTTATAAAACTTACAGAGAAAATAGAGAAGAAAACCTTTGCAAATCACGTACCTAAGAACTTGTAACCAGATTATATAAGGAACTCTCAGAACTCAGCAGTAAGAAAAAAAATTTTAATGGGCAAAAGACTTCAGTTGACACTTTCTCAAAGAGTACATATGGATGGCAATTAAACATATGAAAAGATGTTCAACATCATTAGCCATTAGGCAAATGCAAATTAAGACCACAATGAGATACCTGTAAGAATAGCAGAAAAAACAAAAAACCAAAAAAATGGCAATACAAAGTGTTTATAAGGATATCGAGAAACTGGAACTCCCATACATTGCTGGTGGGAATGTAGAGAGGTACAGCCACGTTAGAAAACAGTTTGGCAGTTTTTAAAATAAAGTTAAATATATACTTATTTTATGTTCTAGCAATCTCACTTCTACATATTCACCCAAGACAAATGTAAAACCAGTACATGAATGTCGACAGTGGCTTTATTCTCTAGTACCTGAACAATGCACATAATAGTCTTTTCATAAATATTGTTGAATAAATGAATGACTTACTATGATTATTATTGAGATTGAGGTTTTTTAATATTTTATTGTCATTAGTCTCTGCTGCAGGAAAATGATATTTACTTGATAAGCCTTTTAAACAAATAATATGATTATGACTTCTATGACAGTGTATCCCAATGATATGATCAATTCTTTTAAAAAGGAAGAGGTGGTAGCATATACAAACTTGAACATATAAAGACAGTAACACCGTATGTGGTACAGACCTTTAAGTACTGTATTATATTGAGATTTAGATTAATTTTTAAAAATCTTAAAGATACATTTGACTTCTCTCATTTTTTTTAAATAAACCATTTATTTTTTAGAATCACTAGAATAACAATGTTTGCTCTGATGCAAAAGCTCTGGACCCGTTTAAAGATCTATGTTTGAGATTGAAAACTGGCAGCCTTTGAGTGAATTTGACTCTTAGATCTGTTTTCTTTGGCCTGCACAGTATTGGTCAAACAGAATATTTACAAACATTGGATAAGCATTTCACTCATAGCAACCACTGACTGTAATTGAGTAGTGTCTACACCTTACAGACAAGAAATATGGTCTCCAGTTTGCCACAGTTCCCACTAGTCTCTATTGTTTACCCAGCAGTGAGGCCAAATGTTGGTTGCCATGTCACTGTGCTTGTGCTTTTGTTTTTCTTATACATGGATCTCTCATTCACTACAGTCTGCTATTTTATGATAACAGACCAAATTTAAAAGATAAAAATGTTAAAAACATCCACTTTATCACTTGTTAACATGGTTATTTTCTTAGTGTCTTCATTGGCTGCTCTGGCATGGAGCTGATATCACACACGTAACAACGAGAGGTTGGACAGCATCTCACATAGCTGCAATCAGGGGTCAGGATGCTTGTGTACAGGTAATAATATTACTTTTTTCAGTAAGTTCAATTACTTTAACATAGTTCTGTTGGGATATTGCTATTATTCTAATTATTTGACTCAATAGATTTAGTTTTATGTTCTAAACAAGAACTTACTGGATTCCACAACTCAGATATTCTGATACCAGCTATCCACTTAAACAAATGGTATGTGACCAGAAATCCTCTTATCTCTGATGTAGTTGGCTGTCTGCGTTGTTTTAAGAGATCTCACAGTCATAACCAGATTATCTCTTTTATAGCTTGCTGCTGTGGTCTGAATGTTTGTGTCCTCCAAAATAAATATGTTGAAATCTTAACCCCAAGGTGATGGTGTTAAGAGGTGAGGCCTTTTGGGAGGTTATTAGGTCATGAGGGGTTTGCCCTCATAAATGGGATTAATGTCCTTTTGCAAGAGACCTCAGAGAGCTAGCTCTCTAGCCTCTTCCACCATATGAGGATGCTGTGAGAAGGCACTATCTATGCAGAATGAGCCCTCACCAGACAGAATCTGCCACCACCTTAATCTTGGACTTCCCAGCCTCCAGAACTATGAGAAATAAATTTTTGTTGTTTATATGCTCCCCAGTTTATGATATTTTGTTATAGTAGTCCAAACAGACTAAGACACTTGGCCATGCCTAAAATTTCGTATTTAATGTATTGCCTGACCAGGGTGACACATTAATATATGGTAGGATCTAGTTTATTAGAGTAATTAATTTATTCAGTGTTTTGAAATAGACTGGAATTTGGAGGAGTACAGAGTCATATAAGCAAACAGCTGGTATTAGTCCATTCTCACACTACTATGAAGAAATACCTGAGACTGGGTAATTTATAAAGAAAAAAGGTTTAGATGACTCACAGTTCCACATGGCTGGGAAGGCCTCAGGAAACTTACAATCATGGTGGAAGGGGAAGCAAACACATCCTTCTTCACAGGATGGCAGGAAGAGAGAAGTGCTGAGCAAAGGGGGAAAGCTTCTTATAAGACCATCAGATCTCGTGAGAACTCACTCACTATCATGAGAATAGCATGGGGTAACCACCCCCATGATTCAATTACCTCCCACTGTGTCCCTCCCATGACACGTGGAGATTATGGGAACTACAATTCAAATGAGATTTGAGGGGGAACACAGCCAATGTACATCACAGTTCCTGCCAGGAAGAAGCGTGAGATTGTTTGAAGGGACAGGAGCTCTACTCAGTGAGTTACAAAACAATACAAAGCAAAATGTATGATTAAAGTTCTAATGAAAAATATAGATGAGAAGAATTGTGTAATTTAGGAGGAGGTAGAGGGATCATAAATGGAGGAAATAAAACATCAGCTAAGCCCAAAAGAGTGGGTTGATTTTAAAGAGGTAAGTAATGAGGAAGTATTATAGAGGCAGGCAATATGTTAGGAGCAAATAAAAATAATGATTGTCATTCATTGGAGATTTATTGTGTGTTAGTCTCTCATGTATCATTTCATCCAACACAAACAGTTCTGTGAGTTCCCTTTTATATAGGTTACAAAACAAATTCAGAGTGTTAAGTACCTTGCCTAAGCAAGTGACAGAGCTAGGATTTGAACCTAGACTTGTCCTATTAATCTCTATGCTATACTTCTGTAAGAAGCTCCTGAATTGGAAAATTGGGCTGTGTTCAGGGGATATACCATTATATTAGTTTTACTGAGTATAGATTATTTGTGGTGTGGACTGTTAAGAACCACGCTTGGATAGACTGGTTTTGTAAAGTGCCTCAGTAATATAATGAAGATTTTGGATTCATTTGTATAGAAAGAGAGTTTTTCCCCCCCTCCTCAACCCTGTGATTACCTGGAAAGAAAAGAGAGGTTTTGTTTTTGTTTTTGTTTTTTGAGACAGGGTCTTGCTCTGTCACCCTGGCTGGAGTGCAGTGCCCTGGTCATGACTCACTGCAGCATCAACCTCCTGGGCCCAAGTGATCCTCCCACCTCAGCCTCCCAAGTAACTGAGACCACCAACATGCATCACCTTGCCTGGCTAATTTTTTTTGTAGAGATGTCTGTGGGAGGGGGGGGTCTCCCTATGTTGCCTAGGCTGGTCTTGAACTCCTGGGCTCAAGTGGTCCTCCTGCCTTGGCCTCCCAAAATGCTGGGATTACAGGCATGAGCCACGGCATCTGGCTGAGAAAAGAGAGTTTTTATATACGTGTGTGTGTTTGTGTGTGTGTGTGTGTGTGAATATGTTTGTATATATATTTACACGTACACATAAACATCCACATGGACCTTAACCGGGGAATGAGATAATGAAAACAGTATTTCAGGGAATTATTCTAGCAAAGTGTGTCCAGGATTATTAGGATGAAGGAAGAGTTAAGAAGATCAGTTAGAGATTTTTTGCTGTAATCACTAACCAGAGAGGGTAAAAATAGGTGGTGGCAGAGGGAAAGAAAGAAAATGAGCCAAGATATCTTGCAAAGCAAACATTGACAGAGCGTAGTGAAAATTCAAATTTTGAGTCAGAATAACAGATAATTATGATGGAATGAATAGGGAAATCTGAAAAGCAAGGAAGATTGGGAGGAAAGATGTTGAGTTCAATTTGGCATACGTTGAGTTTAATGTGTCTGTAGGTCATCCAGGTAGAGAGGGCCCAGGCAGTTGAAAAGGGGGCTGGAGAAAAAGATTACAGGAATGGTAAAGTATAGAAGAGTCTCTAACTCCTGGGCTCGAGTGATCCTTCCACCTCAGCCTCCCAAAGTGCCAGGATTACAGGCATGAGCAACCACTCCTGGCTGGGACTAATCATTCTTTGAAGCCAATTACTCTGGATATGGTATAACCCATATATAGAAACTAGGCCAATTGCAAATTCAGATGGAACCTCTTTAGATGTAGTTAGAAACTTGATTTGGAGCTTAGAACTAGTCACTTTAATAATTAATTATTTTATTGAGTCCAAAACCCTGTTAACAAAGGATTCTGCTTTTGAATTAGTGAAAGTTTAATTTCAGTTTTATCAGGTTAGAATTAAAGAATTTAACTTAGCGGCAATTTATCTGTGCTCATGAAAGATGTGTCTTATAAATTATATATACATGCTCAAATCAGAATGTAAAATCAATATTATAAGTGTCTTCTAGGCAATGTTAAAACATTTTCTTGAGGCCAAAGTGGGTGGGAGTGCGTGCTGCTGGGAGTTGCTTGGAGGTTGGCAGCGCGGGGCTGCAGGCTAGCAAACCGAGCGATCATGTCGCACAAACAAATTTACTATTCAGACAAATACGACGACGAGGAGTTTGAGTATCGACATGTCGTGCTGCCCAAGGACATAGCCAAGCTGGTCCGTAAAACCCATTTGATGTCTGAATCTGAATGGAGGAATCTTGGCGTTCAGCAGAGTCAGGGATGGGTCTATTATATGATCCATGAACCAGAACCTCACATATTGCTGTTCCGGTGCCCACTACCCAAGAAGCCAAAGAAATGAAGCTGGCAAGCTGCTTTTCAGCCTCAAGCTTTACACAGCTGTCCTTACTTCCTAACATCTTTCTGACAACATTTTTTGTTGCCTTCTTGTTTCTCACTTTCATATTTAGAAGATGTTCAATGTACTGTTTCAATGTGCTGGTAACTGCTTTGCTTCTTGGGTAGAGCCACCACCACCATAGCCCAGCCAGATGAGTGCTCTGTGGACCCACAGCCTCAGCTGAATATGACCCCAGAAGCCACGATGTTGTCTGTATCCAGAATACACTTGGCAGATGGAGGAAGCATCTGAGTTTGAGACTGTGGCTGTTACAGGGATCATGTAAACTTGCTGTTTTTGTTTTTTCCTGCCGGGTGTTGTATGTATGGCAACTTGAGAATTTATGTTTCAGTGTACTGGAAACTTTCCATTTTATTCAAGAAATCTGTTCATGTTAAAAGCCTTGATTAGAGAGGAAGTTTTTGTAATCTAAAAAAAAAAACAAACATTTTCTTAGCATTAGCTGAGAATTTCTTATGTTTTGCCTGTAGCACATATGTAAGAACATACATAAGAATTTAGCTATAGATTAATAAATTGCTTGCCTTTGTATAATCTGCATCTGCATTTATGGTTTAACATCTATACTCATGTAAAGTCTTTCCTATTTCTCTATTTTTAGGCTCTTATAATGAATGGAGCAAATCTGACAGCCCAGGATGACCGGGGATGCACTCCTTTACATCTTGCTGCAACTCATGGACATTCTTTCACTTTACAAATAATGCTCCGAAGTGGAGTGGTGAGTGACTCCTGTTAATATGTGCTAATGTGTGATAATATAGATGGAATAGCATTTGGTAGTCTAGTTATCTCTTCCTGACTTTTTAGATCTCTTAATATGACTTTGGGAAACTAATTTAATTTTTCTCTCTAGCTTTTCTATCTTTAAACATAGAAGCAATAATTCAGACAAGTCTTCTCTTCCCCCCCAAAAACCAATTCAGTATTACAAAGTACTTGAGAGGTTTTGGGTTCTTCATGCCAGTTCAGAGTTTAACTGGTTAGATTACGAAGCTTCAAACGAATCTTAACCAGGTGATTGTAAATCTTTATGAATTTTTGTGTGTCTACCTATGTGTTTGTTTTGAAACTCTTACTTCATATAGTGATTTAGAAAGTGATTTATTTCTTCAGAAATTTTGTTTATTGCAATATTTAATTTTATTATGTAGTGGTTGTAATAAATAACGTAGAAGAAGAGAACTAAATATATTGAAGACATTGTGGTAAGAGTTGGTGTTTCTATAGTTTGAGAAAGAGTGAAAACTTATTAAATATTTTTTATTAACTCTGTTTATATTCTCAATGATAGTATTTGATCATTCAATCTATCCCTTTCATTTTATTGGTCAGGAATCTGTGACTGGTAAGATGACTAGTTAAGTTCGTTTTTAAAAACTATTTTATGTGACTCGTTCTTTTGAAAAGCCTGTTTTATAAAATTTTATTAGCTCATATATTCAAATTAGTGGTTGCAGTACATTTTTCTATTAAGTGTTTGCCTTCTTGTATTAAGAACAGCCTCCAATTCTTATTTACAGAATTAAGCTGCTAGGCTTAGTATTTCCCCTACAAAATGGGGAGAAACTAAGTCCTTGTGAATGTTACCTCTAGGATCCCAGTGTGACTGATAAGAGAGAATGGAGACCTGTGCATTATGCAGCTTTTCATGGGCGGCTTGGCTGCTTGCAACTTCTTGTTAAATGGGGTTGTAGCATAGAAGATGTGGACTACAATGGAAACCTTCCAGGTATTTTAAATAAAGCAAATATTTTAGTTTTTCATTGATGTAAACTTTTAAATGTTTGATCTTGTTTAAGAAATTTAAACTGTTGGTTGAGCGTGGTGGCTTACATCTGTAATCTCAGCACTTTGAGAGGCTGAGGCTGGAGGATCACTTGAGGCCAGGAGTTTGAGACCAGCCTGGGCAACATAGTGAGACCCACTCTCTACAAAAAAAAAAAAAAGTAAAAGAAAGAAAAAAGCTGGGTATTGTGGTGTGTGCCTGTAGTCTAACTTTTTGGGATGCTGAGGATTTGGGAGCCCAGGGATTTGAGGCTACAGTGAGCTGTGATTGCACCACTGCACTCCAGTGAGCCTGGGCAACAAAGTGAGACCCCGTCTCTTAAAAAATAAAGACATTGAAACCAATTGTTTTGTTAGTCCCTCACAAAACGAAGTAGTATATATGTTGACATGAATATTTTTTATCTTACATCACACCCATCTTATGTACCTTTCATTTGATTGATTTTTTTCTGGAACCATATCAGCAAAAGAGAAATTGGCAAAATTAAACATAGATTTGCTCTTCCTGCCAGCTCTTTCCTTCATCTGCTATCTAGTGTTTTTATTTTTTAACTTCACCTCTCTCTGCCCCATAGACAACTTATTTATTTTTAAATTTTTTATTTTTTTTTTGAGATAGGGTCTTGCTCTGTTGCCCAGGCTGGAGTGCAGTGGTGTGCTCTCAGCTCACTGCAACCTCTGCCTTCCAGTTCAAGCGATTCTTATGCCTCAGCGTCCTTCGTAGCTGGGTTTCAGGCACCTGCCACCACGCCTGGCTACTTTTTGTATTTTTAGTAGAGATGGAGTTTCACCATGTTGGCTAGGCTGGTCTCGAACTCCTGGCCTAAGAGATCTGCCTGCCTTGGCTTCCCAAAGTGCTGGGATTGCAGGCAGGAGCCACCATGCCTGGCCCAACTTTTTTATTTTTTAAACACTACTGCATAAATGGAGGATACTAGTTAATTTGGGTTAATTTGCTACTTCAGTTGTCTAACCTACAGTAAAGTGGCCAGTGGAGACTTAGACTCCACCTTCTTTAAAAAGTGGTCTACAAATTCTAAAGGATAGATCACAGTGAGATTGGAGTGAAAATGATACTTAAATGATACCTTAAAGAAACAAACACACAAAGGGGAAGGGCAGAATAATATGAACAGGCCTGATCAAATCACTTTGCTATTTAGAACCTCCTTAGATCCCTGTGGAGCCTCTGATTCCTTGGCTTGGCATGCTGGACTTACATAATTTGGCACCTACCTACCTGCATGGCCTCATCTTTCTATATCTTTACACTACTGTCCAGGATCATTTTGTTTTTTTCTGAAGGTCGTCTTTCAGTGTTCATTTAGTGAAGTCTTTTGGTATGAACTCTTTCAATTTTTGTGTATCTGAAAATTTATTTTGTTCTCATTCTTTTTACTTTGTATTTTGTAAGTTTTTTTTTTTAAAGTAAAATTTAAATTGAAGTCTCAAAAAACAAAAAGCCCCTCTCTCGGCGCTGCCTACGGAGGTGGCAGCCATCTCCTCCTCAGCATCATGGCCACCCTCAGACCCCTTGTGAAGCCCAGGATCATCAAAAAGAGAACTAAGAAGTTCTTCCGGCACCAGACTGACTGATATGTCAAAATTAAGTGTAACTGGCAGAAACCCAGAGGTATTGACAACAGGGTTCGTAGAAGGTTCAAGGACCAATCTTGATGCCCAACATTGGTTGTGGGAGCGACAAAAAAAACAAAGCACATGCTGCCTACTGACTTCTGGAAGTTCCTGGTCCACAACATCAAGGAGCTGGAAGTGCTGCTGATGTGCAACAGATCTTACTGTGCTGAGATGTTTCCTCCAAGAACTGCAAAGCCATCGTGGAAAGAGCTGCCCAGCTGTCCATCGGAGTCACACCAACCCCAACGCCAGGCTGCGCAGTGAAGAAAATGAATAGACAGCTCATGTGCATGTTTTGTGTTTAAATAAAACTGTAAAAACTGCAAAGAAAAACCAAAAAACAACAACAAAAAATTATTTTGTGTTAGGCTTCCTTCGCTTTTTCAGACTGCTTTCAATTTCCATTTTCACATATGGTATTATTAGTTTTTTTTTTTAGTTTTAGTCTTTCTGATGGATGTATCTCATTGCAGTTTCAAATTTACATTTTTCCTGATGACTAAAGATGTTGAACATCATTTCGTACGTTTAAAGGCTATTTGGTTTTTTTGTGTGTGTGATGTACTAGTTCAAATCTTTTGCCTATTGGCTGTTAGAGTGTGTCTTTTTCTTATTGAATCATAGGAGTTCTTTATATATTCTAGATACAAGCCCTTTGTCAGTTACGTTTATTACCAATATCTTTTCATGCAAATATCTTTCTAATCTTTCTACTTCATGGCTTGCTCTTTCATTCTTTGGTATTTTTTGATAAATGAGGTTTTAATTATTTTTTTTTTTTGAAATAGAGTCTTGCTCTGTCGCACAGGCTGGAGTGCAGTGGTGCAGTCTCGGCTTGCTGCAACCTCTGCCTCCCGGATTCAAGCGATTCTTCTGCCTCAGCCTCCCGAGTAGC
The DNA here is from genome assembly GCF_000001405.40 of Homo sapiens. Classification (NCBI taxonomy): domain Eukaryota; kingdom Metazoa; phylum Chordata; class Mammalia; order Primates; family Hominidae; genus Homo; species Homo sapiens. The sequence goes on from NC_000011.10 coordinate 83,214,023, forward strand.
TGGGATTACAGGTGTGCACCACCACGCTTGGCTAATTTTTGTATTTTTAGTAGAAACAGAATTTTAGCATGTTGGCCACGCTGGTCTTGAACTCCTGACCTTGTGATCCACCCACCTCGGCCTCCCAAAGTGCTGGGATTACAGGTGTGAGCCACCGCGCTTGGCCAGAGGTTTTAATTTTAACGTAGTCCATTTTAATAATCTCTTCCTTTGTAGTTAGTCCTTTCTGTACTTTCCCTATTTTGTGATCATGAAGACATTCCTTTATGTTATCTGTTAGAAATTTTATTTATCTTTCATATTTATATTCCCAATCCTCCTAGAACTGACTTTTCCGTGTGTAATACAAGGTAGGGGTCAGTTTTATTTTTGTATTGTCCTTTATCAAATATACTTGATCATTTTTGTTGGTCTTGTCTGGTCATTAAAAAATCCAATTGTTTCTTTAAACATGTATGATTATTTTATTTATAACCAGGTAGAGTATTTATAATAATATAGATGTTAAGAAAGAATGTGGCCTTAGGTCTAGACTGCTTGTGTTCAAATCGCTCTCATAAAATTATTTTTTATTGATAAATGTACATATTTTTGGTGTACATGTGATAATTTGATACATTCATTTGTATCAAATTTGATAATGTATAAAGATCAAATCAAGGTAATTGGGGTAGCCATCCCTTAAATATTTCTTTTATACTAGGAACATTTGAATTATTTTTTTCTAGTTATTTTTAAATACACAATAGATTATGGTTAACTATAATCACCCTACTGATCTGTCAAACACTAGATCTTATTTCTTCTACTCAATTGTATATTTATACCCATTAATCAACTTCTGTTCTTGCTCTCTCCGTGCTACCCTTCTGGCCTTTGGTAATCGCCAATCAATCTACTCTCTATCTTCATGAGACCAGCGTATTTTAGCTCCCACATATGAATGAAAACATATAATATTTGTCTTTCTGTGCTTGACTTATTTTACTTAACATAATGACCTCCAATTCCATCCATCTTGTGGCACTGACAGTATTTCATTCATTTTTGTGTGAATTATATTTCGTTGTGAATATACATTACATTTTCTTTATCCATTCATCACTGATGTGCACTTAGGTTGATTCCATATTTTGGCTATTGTGAATAGTGTGTTAATAAACATGAGAGTGCAGTTATCTCTTTGATACATTGTTTTTTTTTCTTGTGGATATATACCCAGTAGTGGAATTAACTTATAGTTTATTTAATATAAATATAGCTACTCTTTTTCTTTTTTTTTGCTTCTAGTTGCATGGAGTATCTTTTAGTCTACGTGTGTTTCTATAGATGAAGTGGGTGTTTTGTAGGCAGCCTATAGTTGGGTCATGTTTCTTTATACTCTGTGCCTTTTAATTGGAGAGTTAAGTCCATCTACATTCAGTGTTGTTATTGGTAGGTGAAGACTTACAGCTGCCATTTTGTTGCTTGTTTTCTGGTTGTTTTGTAACTCCTACGTTCCTTTCTTCTTGTCTTTCTTTGTGGTTAAGTGATTTTTCTCTGGTAGTATGTTTTAATTTTTTGCTTTTTATTTTTTAGTAAATATAGGTTTTTGCATTGTAGTTACCATGAGTCTTACATTTTATAGATATAACAGATTATTTTAAAGAGATGACGACTTACCTTAGGTCACAAAGAAAGGAATAGAAACAAGGAAAAAGCAAAATGCCCTACATGTTAACTGTTTCTCCCACATTTGGCCTTTTTGTTGCTTCTATTTACATATTTTTGGGGTTGTTTGTTTGTTTTTTTCAGATGGAGTCTTGCTCTGCTACCCAGGCTGGAGTGCAGTGGTGTGATCTTGGCTCACTGCAACATTCTCCTCCTGGGTTCAAGAGATTCTCCTGCCTTAGCCTCTCAAGTAGCTGGATTACAGATGCCCACCCCCATGCCCAGCTAATTTTTGTATTTTTCATAGAGATGGGGTTTCACCATGTTGGCCAGGCTGGTCTCAAACTCCTGACCTCAAGTGATCCACCCACCTCGGCCACCCAAAGTGCTGGGATTACAGGCGTAAGCCACTGTGCCTCACCTATTTACATATTTTTGTATTTCCTATCTCTTAACAGGTTGCTATAGCTATTATTATTGTTGTTAGATTTGTCTTTTAGTCTCATACTGGAGTTATCACACACCACAGTTACATTATTGGAGTATTCTAGGGTTGTCCATGTTTTTAATTTCACCAGTGATTTTTATACCTTCAAATGTTTTCCATTTGCACATTAGTGTTTCTTCTTCCTGATTGAAGAAGTCCCTTTACCATTTCTTTTTTTTTTTTTGAGACGGAGTCTCGCTGTCGCCCAGGCTGGAGTGCAGTGGCGCAATCTCGGCTCACTGCAGGCTCCACCCCCTGGGGTTCACGCCATTCTCCTGCCTCAGCCTCCCGAGTAGCTGGGACTACAGGCGCCCGCCACCTCGCCCGGCTAATTTTTTGTATTTTTAGTAGAGACGGGGTTTCACCGTGTTAGCCAGGATGGTCTCGATCTCCTGACCTCGTGGTCCGCCCGCCTCGGCCTCCCAAAGTGCTGGGATTACAGGCGTGAGCCACCGCGCCCGGCCCCTTTACCATTTCTTATAAGATGGTTCTGGTGATCGTAAATTGTCTCGGCTTTTGTTTGTCTGGGAAAGGCTTTCTGTCTTCTTTATTTATGTTTTGGTGTAAGGCATATTTTAAGCATATATCTTCAATATTATCCATCCAGGACCGAAGTAAGTTCTGATGCAGGAAATGAGTGAGTTTCACAGCTTTCTGAGCCACTACTTGACCCAGGAAGCCCAGCTGGCCCCTCCTCTGAGTCCCCCCTCTAAAACAGGACACCCCAACTGCTGTTGGGAACTGGGCGGCAGTCATTCTGGCTACTTCCTGCTGGTTAGGGGCGAAGAAGGGGCCCTGCAGTTGTGGTGTCCTCCAGAGGGGATCTTTTTAGGCCAGTCGGAGACCAACAGGTCAATCTGGGGGTCCTCGGTAGAAGCTGTGAGTTGAGCTCATTTGAGGTTCCATTTGTAATACCATTTGTAGCTTGATGGCCTTGATCTTGGAGGAAACAAATTTGACAAGGAGGTTAAAAATGCAAGGCCCAAAGGCAAGTAATAGTAGGATGGCTGTCACAGGGCCTAGAAAGGGGAGGAGCCCAGGTATCTATTGGTTAAACATATTCCAGGGTACTGAATGTTCAAGCTCCTTTTTCCTCTCTTAAATGTCTAACAATATCTGTAGAGGACAACAAATTGGTAATTTGTTCCCTATATTCATGTAGATAATAGCCCCAGCTTTGGCTAATATGTTCCTCCCTAATAAGGGTGTGGGACTTTTGGGCATAACAAGAAAGGCATGTGAAAAGAGCAAAGTCTCCTAATTGCAACCGAGCAGGCGAGAGTAATACCAGGTTACAGGCTGTCCTAAGATTCGTCGGATAGTAACAGACTTTGAGGACAGTCATCCGAGGCAGGAGATTGAAACTGTGAAGGCTGTGCCAGTGTCCAGGAGGAAGTCCACTTCCTGGCCCTCAGTGGTCAAACTTACCTGGGGCTCTGTGAGGGTGATGGCATGAGCTGGCACTTGCCCTGGCCACCCTCAGGCCTGTTGCTGAATCATCTGGTTGGGTGCTTCTGGCCCAGAGGGCCTTTGTCCTCTGGGGCAGTGCGCCTTCCAGTGATTGCCTTGGCATATTGGACATGGGTGAGGAGGCGGTTTGTTTCTGGTTGGACAATCTTTAAGTATCCTTGCAAACTGCACTGATAACAAGCCCTACTAGGCAATTGGCCTGCTCCTCTTTTGGTTCCCTCTGAGCCACCAGGGTCTACCTGTCTGAGAGCCAAGACTAAGGCTGCAGCCTTTTTCTTATCTTGCTTTTCCCTTTTGGCCTGTTCCTCTTGGTCCCTGTTACAGAACACCGAGGTTGCCAGGTTTAGTAATGCCTCCAAATTTTCTTCTGGGCCTAAGGCAAACTTTTGGAGTTTTCTCCTAATGTCAGCCACTGATTGGGTGATACATTTATCCTTTAGAATAAGTTGGCCTTCCAGGGAATCTGGAGTTAGGGAGGTGTGCTTTCTTAGGGCCTCCCTTAGCTTTTCTAGAAAAGCAGAGGGGTTTTCCTCTTTCTTACTGTGTAATTGTGGATAACATTGCGTAGTTCATAGGTTTTTCCTAGTCTTCCTCAACCCTTCTAAAATGCAAATTAGCAAATGCCTGTGGCTCTAATCTCCATGATTTGAGTCAGTATCCTAATGAGGGTCTACAGTGGGTACTGCCTGTTGCCCTGTGGGGAATTTTTCCTTTTCCTCCAGGGTCATTCGATCATTTACCTGGCTGAGATACCATAAATGTCCAAATTGCTGGGCTGCCGCTAAAGCTGCCTCATTTTCAATAGGACTTAAGGTCTGATCAAGGAGCAACATGATGTCCTTCCATGCTAGATCAGAGGACTGCCCTAACCCTTGTAAAACATCTGTATAGTTATAGGGATCATCCGAGAATTTCCCTAAATCTGCCTTTATTTGTTTTAAATCTGAGAGTGAGAAGGGGGCATGCAAGTAAATGGGCCCAAATTCTCATCCTACTGTTTGTGAGGGACATAGTTTGGGTGCCTGGCTTGCAGAGTTTATGTTCTCTTTCTGGGGTGCCTTTAACACTTCGGTGGGGCTGGATGAAGGAGAGTCAGTGGGGGAGGAGAGTGGGGCTGAGGGAAGAGGCCCTCAGTACGGAGGTAATTGTGGGCCTCTGTCATTTGGGCAAAGCTTGCAGGCTTGGTACAAGGCAGTATTGTCACGAAGGGCAAAGAAAGCCTGTACATAAGGGACTTCACTCCATTTACCTTCCTGTTTACAGAAAAGACTAGTTGTAGAAGGGTGTTATAATTAATACTTCCCTCAGGGGGCCAAGTTTCTCCATTTTGTAAGGAATACTGTGGCCAGGCAGTGGTACAGAAGAAAATTAGCCGCTTCTTTTTTAAGGTTTCAGGGTCAAATTTGTCCCAGTAATTCAGGATACATCTTAAGGGAGTGTCTGGTTTTCAAGGTGTGGTGCTCATCCGGAATTTTAAACAGAGGGATGTCTGCACCTCTGGTTAGTCCTGGGACTCGTCTTCCCTAAAGGCATCCCCTAAGGGTCAGGTCCAGTTGTATTCAAAGCTCATGGCTGCTTTTCCTGAGTCTTCCATCTACCGGATTTAACCATGCTTACCAGCGGGATGGAAACGTCCCTTGCCCCTGCCATGTGCCTGTTGACCACTAAGTGGGGCACAAGGACTGTTGAATTTATTGTGGTTCTTCTGCCAATGCGTCTTACCTATTCCAGGGTGGCAAGGCCTGGGTCGGGGGCACCACTGATGCTTGCATGCTAAGGACCAATTTATGTGGTCCTGGCCATAAAACTGTCCTTCAAGGAGAAATCTCTGAATTAGTGACAGGAGGCGTATAGTAAGTTTAAAGGGGGTGGTGGATGTCCTCTAGGCCAGGGCCAAGAGAACAGCTGCTGTACTTTAGCCTCTGTCCCCACTTGCCATCAAAGGAGTAAGCCCCTCTCTCAAGGCGGTACCAGTATCCTGTGTCCCAACTGACTATATTTTCTTCCCTCCAACACCAGTTATTGAATGGTCGAAACAACAATTCAATGGCTTTAAGACCTGTGCCTATGCACCACAGATTGTACTTGAGAGGCCCCAAGGAAGGGGAAAGTTTATCTGGGGAGCAATGGAGGAAATGCCCTAAGACTTCTACTATCCACATGAAAATTACCTGTCTTTAAATTGTCCTGATGTGGGGGACCATACGCTATGGTAGGGAACTGGCCCTTCAAAATGGCCATCAAATGGTGACACTTGCCTAAACCCTGGAGGGCACCATGAACAGGGATCTTCCAGGTGCCACTCCAAGAATTCAAGACTTCTAAATAGGGAGTCTTGATCCTGCCTAGTGGGAATAACCTTGCTTGCAAGATGAGGAAAGAAGTCTAGCCGGCAGACATTAGCATCCAGGAGGCAGGAGTCAGAAGATGTGGCTGTCTCATACTCAGTAACCCATGCAGGGGGAGCCTCTGGTGGGACCATTGTCTCAACCAGGATATCTGGGAGACTAAGACGTCCGCTGAGCACTCCCAGGTGTATTTTGGGACCACCACGGAAAGTGAAAGAGTTGGAACTGGTTCCAGGCCAACTAAAGCTCCCAACCCCGAAGGGTCGGGGGTTGTTAGAGAGCCCTTTTCCAGACAGCCTGACACCTGTGTCTTTAGTCTGGCGGCTGTGCTAATTGCCTTTAAGTGGCTGACAGGTGCCCAGTTTAGCCTCTGAATTCTAAGGAAGGACAGGACAGAATAGCAAGTGAAAGAGGTCCGATTGTATTCACCACGTGACGATCTAGATGCCTTTCCTGGACACTCCTGGCAGGCTCGCCAAAATGTAATGCCTAAGGTTCTTACCTAGCCATGCCAAAGAATTGGTGTGGTGGCTGACCGCGGTGAGTCACGGACTGATAGAAAAAGCTATAGGCTTTATTGAGCAGAGTGAAAGTACAAAGCTTCCACGGCATGGAAGGGGTCCCGAATGGGTAGCCCTTCTGTCTTCTTTATAGTTGAAGAAGCTTTGCTGGATTCTTGGATGGCAGGGTTTTGTTTTGTTTCCTTTCAGCACTTTGAAAATGTCTTTTTCCTTCCTAGCCTGTGTGGTTTTTCTTGAGAAGTTTTTTTTGCCAGACAAACTGGGGCACCTTTATATGTTATTCGTTTCTTTATTGTTTCTGCTTTTAAGATCCTTCCTTTGTCTTTGACCTTTGAGAGTTTGATTATTTATTATATGCCTTGGGTGGTCTTACTACGGTTGAATCTGTTTGGTGTTCTGAGACCTTACTATTTCTGGATATTTATATTTATCTCAAGTTTTGGAAAGTTTTCTGTTATTATTTCTTTGGATAAGCTTTCTACCACTTGTTCTTGCTCACTTTCTCTTGAACACCAGTAATTCTTAGATTTGGTCTTTTGAGATAATTTTCTATTTCTTGTAGGTGATTTTCATTTCTTTCCATTTTTTTTTTCTCCTATGACTGGGTATTTTCAAATAGCCTATTTTTGAGCTCACTGATTCTTTCCTCTGCCTGATCCATTCTGTTATTGAGAGCCTCTAATGAATTTGTTAGTTTGGCAAATATGTTTCTCAATTTTAAGATTTCTGTTTGATTTTAAAAATTATTTAAAATATTTTTGTTAAATTTCTGTGATCAATTTCTGAATTGTTCTTCTAGGTTTCTTTGAGATCACTAAGTTTCCTTAAAACTGCTATTTTGAATTCTTTGAGAACTCACATATTGCCATCTTGTTAGAGTCAGTCAGTAGTTTATTGCTTTGTCTGTTTGGGTAGGTTTTGTTTCCCTGTTTGCTATGATTTCTTACGGATGTACATCTATGTCTTTGCATTGAGGGATTAGTTTTTCCAGTCTTCTCTGTCTGGCTTCTTTTGGTTTTTATGGGGTATGTTTGTATAGAGATTCTTTGTAATTTTCTTGTTGATTTTCTTTCTTTTTCCAGGTAGGTCTCTGCCTCCTTTTTGGCCCTAAATGGCACCTTATGCTCAGGTTTGCCTTGACTCTAGTAAATAAGCCATCGGAGTGTAGCTCATTCCAAATTGGGGAGGTCCTAAATGGGATATTTCAGCAGTATGGGAATGCTTGCTAGCAGTTTGTGCCCAGGGGACCTGTGGAAAGAACCTTAGTATGGTGATGCTGAACAGCCACTCTGATTTGGTGTCTCCTTTGGCTTAGTTACAGAGCAGAGTTTCCAGGACTGAGGATGGTAGTCCTACCTCTCCCCTTTGTCTCTGGCTGTCCTTAGGGATATATTTGTCTTCAGGCACTCCCAGTGCTTCCTGTGGCTTGAGATAGGGACAGGTCTTCTGCCAGGGAGCCCAAGATGATAGGGAAGCTGCTTGTTTACTTTGATTTCACTTTTTCCAGTATAAAAACTGTGAGTTGGGAGAAATTTCCATGAACTTTGTGCTGGGCAGAATTGGGGGAGACATGTCTTGGATATGGAAGTCCAATTCTCTTACTGTCTGCTCTGAGTTTTTTCACTTGACTGTGGCCCCAGGACCTGTCTCATCCTCATATTTGAATTCTGGGCTATTGCTAGTGATAATCTCAGTGCTGTATATTTGTTTTTGTTTTCTTTGATAGAGCGTGAAATTAGCTTGCTTCTTCAGGGCCATTTTGGAACTAGAAACCCTCTCAAAAATTTTTATTAATTTGACATACATTTATTGAGCACATACTATGTGTTAGTTATTTGGGGTGCTGGAGATATTACAGCAAATAAAAGACAAAGTCCTGCCTACATGTGGTGCTGAGGGGAGAGACAGGTAATCATCTAAATAAATGAGCAAAATATATATTATATAGGGATATGTGTTTAGATAAATGTAAAGTAGGAAAGGAGAGAAGAGAGTATTAGAGGGCATGGAATTTGAAATAAGTCCTCAAGAAAGCCTTCACTGAGGAAGTGACAATTGGATAAACATCTGAAGGAGCTGAGGAAGCAGATTTTGTGGATATCCTGGAGGAAGAACATTTCAGGTAGAGGTAACAGCAAGTGTAAATCTCCTGAGGGAGGGATGTGCGTGGTGTGTATGAGTAATAGTAAGTCAGTAAGTTCCAACAGAAGTGAGGGGGTGAGTATTAGATGTTATGGTTGGAGAAGTAAGAGGAGCCATTAGAGGGTTTGTTTGTTTTTTCTTTCCTTCTTTCCTGTCTTTCTCATTGTGTTGCCCAGTCTGGTCTCAAACTTCTGGGCTCAAGTAAACCTTCTGCCTCAGCCTTTGAATACCTAGGACTATATGCATGTGCCACCATGCCCAGCTTTATTGGAGTGTTTTGATCACAGGAGTGACATGATCTGACCCATGTTTAAAGGGATCATTTTGAGCTGGGCATGGTGGCCCATGCTTGTAGTCCCAGTAGTTTGGGAGGCCAAGGGCGGGTGCATTGCTTGAGGCCAGGAGTTTGAGACCAGCCTGGCCAACATGGTGAAACCCGTCTCTACTAAAAATACAAAAAATTGCTGGGCGTAGTGGCACACACCTGTAATCCCAGCTACTTGGGAGGCTGAGGCACCAGAATCGCTTGAACCCAGGAGGTGGAGGTTTCAGTGAGCCAAGATTGCGCCACTGCACTCCAGCCTGTGCAACAGAGCAAGACCCTGTCTCAAAACAAAAATAAAAGGATCATTTTGCTGTTGTATTTATAATAGACTGCAGTTGAGGGTGCGGTAGTGGCATGCGTAAGAAATAGGGAGAGTAATTGGGAACCTGATGCAATAATTCAGGCTACTATTTCGGTTGGCCAGTATACAGGCAGCAAAGGTAGTGAGAAGTAATCAGGTTCTGTATATATTTTGAAGGAGCCAGTAAAATTTGTTGATGGATTAGATGTGGGGAGTAATGGAAAGGGGAGTCAAGGATGGCTCCAAGGCTTATGGGCCTGAACAATGTGGAGAGAACTTCCATTAACCGAGACGGGGAGATAATATAAGGTAAATGTGTGTGAGGAGGCTAAGGAGCTCAACTTTTGACATATGTTAGAAATGCTTATAAGACTTTTAAGTGTAAATGATGAGTAAGCAGTTAGAGGAATCTGAAGTTTCAGGGGGGCAGGGCCTAGTGTGAGGGGCAGCTGAGGGAGGATAGATTGATATGTGCCAGCAACTTGTCTTATCTGGACTTCTTTTCTGGTACTTCTTGTTTCACCTGAATTATACTGGCCACTTGGACATTACCCTGCCTCTCCATAATCAAGATATGTGAATTGGGCTTATTTCCCAAGCGGTCATTTCTTAAGTGTAAAGACTGTCTTGGTCTTTGTAATCATTGCCTCAAAGCTTGTAACAACTCCAGATTCATTCCTTTTTTTTTTTTTTTGCATGAAGTTTTAGGTTATGGCTGTCCCTGAGTCTCATCCAATATACTTTCTTTCAGGGATTCCTTAAAATTTCTTGTCTGTTCATGGCATTCTTGTTTTTTTCTTTAGTTTTTTATAGCTTTAAAAAATACCTTTTCTGTTATTTCCTGAAGGGCTATAAATGTTGAAGTCAGTGTATATACCTAGTCTGCAGTTCAATCCATTCTTCTTGTTTATAATAAAAAGAATAAATTATTATAGAAAAGTGACAAATGCATAGTGATAAAATATTATAATGTTCTTATTTGCAGAGTGACTATTGGTTTATTTCTTCCACTTCTTCCCAAAATATTAAATTTTACTTATTTATTTTACTTATATAATAAGCATTTTATCCTGTAATTATAAACTGCATAATTGGGATTTCACTTTCTAAGATAACTTTCTGGGCCTGCTCTTCGGTGACCCTCATCTGGTCTTTATAGACTCATGGTAAGTGTAACTATTCAACCATTTACTCACTGCTTTGAAGTGACTAGAAGGCTGACTGTGTAAAGAAATGCAGGCTGGGAAAAAGGTCTCTTCTCCGTGTTCCTGTCATTTGGGGCAGGGATAGTCATCTCCCTATAAGGAATAGAGCTAATGTGTTATTTCTTTTTTCAAGTTATTTTAGTTTCAATTTAAAAAATAAATTCTGCCAGGCATGGTAGCTCCTGCCTGTACTCCCAGCTACTTGGGAGGATGAGGTGGGGGGAATCACTTGAGCCCAGGAGTTGGAGGCTATAATGAGCTATGATTGTGCCACTGCACTCCAGCCTGGGTTACAGAGCAAGATCTTGTCTCTAAATACATACATACATACATAAAAATTTTAAAAAATAAAAATTAAATTAATTTTTTTTCCTTTCCTCTAGTTCACTTAGCAGCCATGGAAGGCCACCTTCACTGTTTCAAATTCCTAGTCAGTAGAATGAGCAGTGCGACGCAAGTTTTAAAAGCTTTCAATGATAATGGAGAAAATGTACTGGATTTGGCCCAGAGGTTCTTCAAGCAGAACATTTTACAGTTTATCCAGGGGGCTGAGTATGAAGGAAAAGACCTAGAGGATCAGGAAAGTAAGTAATTAAGTTATATGTTCTAGCATATAATGTGATGATGATGATGATGATAATATAATGAGTAGAATCAATGAAATAGGAAAAGATATAAGGCAAATGTTATATACGTTATATGTAAAAATATAAACATGTTTAATATATAACATATTAAAATTTATTACATATCGTTGTCTATACATTCATCTAGATTCTTTACTATGAAATATTTTAGACAAAAATGTGTAGAGGTTGGTTGCAGTGGCACATGCCGGTAATCCCAGAACTTCGGGAGTCTGAGGTGAGTGGATTGCTTGAGCCCAGAAGTTTGAGACCAACTTGGGAAATATAGTAAAACCCTATCTCTACAAAAAATACAGAAATTAGCTGTATGTGGAGGCATGCCTGTAATCCCAGCTACTTGGGAGGCCGAGGTGGGAGGATGGATTGAGCCCAGGAAGTCAAGGCTACAGTGAACCGTGATTGTACCTCTGCACTCCAGCCTGGGTGACAAAATGAGACCCTGTCTCAAAAAAAAAAAAAGAAAAAGATTAACATAATGAGCAGTGAATCACTAAATTTAAGAATAAAATATAGAGGCCAGATGCGGTGGCTCACGCCTATAATCCCAGCTACTCGGGAGGTTCAGGCAGGAGAATCACCTGAACCTGGGAGGTGGAGGTTGTGGTGAGCTGAAATCATGCAATTGCACTCCATCCTGGGCAGCAAGAGCGAAACTCCATCCTGGAAAAAAAAAAAAAAAAAAAAAAAGGAATAAAATATAGAGTTGAAGCCCTTTGGAGCTCTCTCCCTAATACCATTACCTTTTCTTCCTCCTCAAGGGTAAACTATTATTTTAGATTTTTCATTCCATTCTGTGGTTTTATATTTTAGTTATATATATGAGTTGGGGTCTCACTATGTTTCCCAGGCTGGTCTCAAACTCCTGGCCTCAAGTGATCCTCCTGCCCCAGCCTCCCCGCAAAGCACTGGGATTATAGGCATGGGCCACTGCATCCAGCCTGTATTATTCTTTATGTGCATTATTTGTTATTGTTGTATTGTTATTTTTATTTGTTTCTCCTTCAAATATTTTCCATCTGTTCAATCTGCAGATGTGGAACTTGCAGGTATGGAGGGCCAGCTGTACATCTGTACACATACATATGTACACATACACACACACACACACATACACACACACATACACACACACAACTGGAAGTACCTAACCTGATCCCTAGCATATAGGTGATGCTTAATAAAATGTCTTTAATGATAGTAACTACATAAACTGAGTCCTTACTAAAAATGCCAGACATGATAGTAAGCACTTGTAAGGATTGCATTGTTTTGTCTTTTTTAAAAATAAGATCTTCTTGATACTTGGTTACCAAAGAATTCATAATTTAACCCTCTCAATGCATCTGAAATGTAGCTATTCTCATTTTTACATATGGAAAGAAACAACCTAGAATAGCCAAAGAATATTTTTAAAATAACAAAGTTGGAAGGACTTACACGACTTGATTTTAAGACTTTTACTATAATGCTATGGTAATCAAGGCAGTGTGTAGTAATGGCAAACAGACATACAGATCAGTAAGACAGAATACAATAAAGACCAGCAAGAGTAGGGCATGATGGTGCATCCCTGTAATCCTAGCTACCCGGGAGGCTGAGGTGGGAGGATTGCTTGAGCCCAGGAGTTCAAAGTTACAGTGAGCTGTGACCACACCTCAGTGACAAAGTGAGACCCTGCCTCTAAACAAAACAAAACAAAACAAAACAGTATGACAACTATTTACATAGCATTTCTATTGTATTAGGTATTGTGAGTAACCTAGAGATTATTTAAAGTATATGGGAGGGAGGATGTGCATAGGTTTATATGTAAATATTATACCATTTTATATAAGGGACTTGGGCATCCACAGATTTTGGTATCTTTGGGGGTCCTGGAACCCTTAGGATTCCAAGGGATGACTCTATATGTGTGTGCACATACAGACTTCTTATTTGCTTCTAGTCTATTTTGCTGTTTTCACTATCTTATAAGCAGAAAAGGAGAGGTCTGTGCAACTGCAGGCCGTGAGAACAAGTGTGTCTTTATTTATTTATTTTTTTTGAGATGGAATCTCACTCTTGGCTCACTGCAACCTCCACCTCCCAGGTTCAAGTGATTCTCCTGCCTCAGCCTCCTGAGTAGCTGTGATTACAGGCGTGAGCCACCACACCTGGCTAAGTTTTGTATTTTTAGTAGAGACAGGGTTTCACCATGTTGGCCAGGCTGGTCTTGAACTCGTGACCTCAAATGATTCACCCATCTCAGCCTCCCAAAGTGCTGGGATTACAGGCGTGAGCCACCATGCCCGGCTTCTAAGTGTGTCTTTATACAAAGGGTTTTAAAGGGTTTTAAATGACCATCCCCTGTGTTTTGTGGTGATATGAGAGAGAAAGAGAGTATGGCTAAAAATTGTCCTGGTACAATACTTCTGGCATGTTTGAAGTCCTGAGGGTAAAAGGAGTAGAATGATTAGTAATAATCTCATTTTATAATTCTCTTTTTACTGGTAGTCATCAACTGAACTCATCCGATTACAACAGCCTTATATTTGAGAAAATATTGAAACCTGAAATATATGACAGCTTAAGACAGGGAAAAGAATAAACTCTTATGTTTATTGAAATGCTGAATTTTTTTATTCATAGCTTTAGCATTTCCAGGTCATGTGGCTGCCTTTAAGGGTGATTTGGGGATGCTTAAGAAATTAGTGGAAGATGGAGTAATCAATATTAATGAGCGTGCTGATAATGGATCAACTCCTATGCATAAAGGTGAGTTATGATTCCTCCTTTCAGTTCGGATACAATAGCTGCTGAGTTATTCATCTTTTAAAGTAATTATCAGTCAGAAACACATGAAACATGAAACTTTTTTCTGATACCCTAGCAGATATCAGTCTATCTTGTATGGTATATAGAATGCCTAATTTTCAATTCAAGTGTAATGTTTCTTTTATGATGCCAGATATTCATACATTATCTTATTCAAGGGTAATTCCAATAAAATTTCTATAGTGACATTGTCATGTTAGTTAAGATGTGAAATGTACTGCTAGAGAAGTTTCTTAGGATAACATTTTTAAAATGACCTATTAATTCATACTAAAATAGAAATCATCCCTCTCTCTCTCTTTTTTTTTTTTTTTTTTTTTTTTTTTTTTTTTTTTTTAGACCGGGTCTGGTTCTGTCACCCAGGTTGGAGTGCAGGTGGAGACCTCCTGGGCTCAAGTCATCCTCCCAAGCTCAGCCTCCCTAGTAGCTGGGATTATAGGCATGTGCCACCACACCCGGCTAATTTTTTGTCTTTTTAATAGAGATGGGGTTTCACCATGTTGGCCAGGCTGATCTTGAACTCCTGGCCTCAAATGATCCACTCGCCTTGGCCTCCTGAAGTGCAGGATTACAGGCGTGAGCCACCATGCCTGGCCTGATGGCAGGTGATTCTTACTAAACTCTTAGATTAAAATGATAGTAGGCTTATTAATATAATCGTGTTTGAATTGGACTTTATTTCACAAATACTTCTGGCAGTCCTCAGATCATATATTATGTTCCCATTGGTTAGGTTTTTAGCTTACTTTGTTTAATCCATAATGTATCTCAAAGTACAGAATCTAAGTGCTATGTGTACCAATGGTTTTATAAGCAAGGGAAATGAGAAGAGATGGGATGCAAAGGATGTTTTCTCCTACACAGAGAGAGGTCCACAGATTGGTGAGCTCTGTGCCCTCGATTTGGAGTATCTCACTCCATCCATTTCTGCTGGCCATCCAGGAGTTAAACTCTCTACTGTGAGATATGTGAATGGGGAGGAGGCTGAACATGTACCTAAAGTTTTTTTTGTTTTTTTTTGTTTTTTTTTTAATGTGGTTTCTTGGAGCAAAGCCACTGTATGAGTTTACTAGGGCTGATATAACAAAATGCTGCAGACTGGATGGCTTAAGCAACATAAATTTATTTTCTCAGAGTTCTGGAGGCTAGAAGTCTGAGATGAAGGTGGCAGCAGGTTTGGTTTTTTTTGAGGCTTCTCTCTTTGGCTTATAGATGACCTGCTGCCTTCTTGCTATACCCTCACATAGTCTTTCCTCTGTGCATGACCATATTTGTGTCTTGATGTCCTCCTCTTGTAAGTAAATTAGTCAAATTGGATTAGGGCCCACCCATATCACCTTATTTTTCTTTAGTTACCACTTTAAAGGCCCTATCTCCAAATACAGTTGGATTCTGAGGTACTGGAGGTTAGGACTTTAACATATGAATTTTGAGGGGAACACAATTCCTCCTATAACACATCCATTTTATAGCCCCCATTTCATATCCTACATATGTTTTTTATTGCTAATGCGCGTGTGTGGGGGTGTCATTTAGACACAGTAGGAAAAGATAGGCTCACTCATGGTGCTCATAGTACATCTTTGTGGGGACAGTAAATTAAGTTTCATTGATGGCTAGTTTTCAGCCTGTCCTAGTCATTTCTTCACCACTTGAACTGAAAGAGAAATGAGGGATCTGGAAGCAGGTTCTAAAGAGACTGTTCTACAACAACAAGGTGTTTTTAATATAGATGTTGGAAGTTGGGAAGGTGAAAGTGATGAGGAGCCAAAAGAGTTTGCTCTTCACCCTCTTTTCGTGAGTCCATCCATCAAGGACTCCTAGGGCTAGGAGTGGATCAGATGGTGTGGTGGAGGGGGATTATAAGTCGCAACAGCTGGAAAAGAGCATTGTTGGGGGACATTTACCT
This sequence comes from Homo sapiens, assembly GCF_000001405.40. Taxonomy (NCBI): domain Eukaryota; kingdom Metazoa; phylum Chordata; class Mammalia; order Primates; family Hominidae; genus Homo; species Homo sapiens. Next base: position 83,229,842 of record NC_000011.10, read on the forward strand.
TTTCTTTTTTTCTTTTTAGTTTTTGTGGGTACATAGGTGTATATGTTTATGGGGTATGTGAGATGTTTTGATACAGACATGGAATGTGAAATATTCACATCATGGAGAATGGGGTATCCATCCCCTCAAGCATTTATCCTTTGTGTTATAAACAATCCAGTTACCTTCTTTTAGTTATTTAAAAATGTACAATTAAGTTATTATTGACTATAGTCACCCTGTTGTGCTATCAGATAGTCTCACTCTGTTGCCCAGGCTTGAATGCAATGGGGCGATCACGACTAACTGCAGCCTTGACCTCCTGGGCTCAGGGGATCCTCTCACTTCAGCCTCCTGAGTAGCTGGGACTACAGGCACATGCTACTATGCCTGGCTAATTTTTTGTATTGTTTGTAGAGACAGAGTTTTGCCATGTTGCCCAGGCTGGCCTCGAACTCCTGACTCAAGTGATCCATCCGCCTTGGTCTTCCAAAGTGCTAGGATTACAGGCATGAGCCACTGCATCCAGTCCCATGCTTTCTATTTTTTGGTACCCTTTAACCATCCCTACCTCCCTCTGACTCCCCTACTACCTTTCCCAACCTCTGGTAACCATCCTACTCTTTGTGTCCGTGAGATCAATTGTTTTGATTTTTAGATCCCACAAATAGGTGAGAACATGCAAAGTTTGTCTTTGTGTGCCTGGCTTATTTCACCTAACATGATGATCTCCAGTTCTATCCATGTTGTTGCAAATGACAAGATCTTATTCTTTTTTTTTTTTGAGACGGAGTCTCACTCGGTCGCCCAGGCTGGAGTGCAGTGGCGCGATCTCTGCTCACCGCAACCTATTTCTCCTGGGTTCAAGCGATTCTCCTGCCTCAGCCTCCCGAGTAGCTGGGACTACAGGTGTGTGCCACCATGCCCGGCTAATTTTTTGTATTTTTAGTAGAGACGGGGTTTCACTGTGTTAGCTAGGATGGTCTCGTTTTCCTGACCTCGTGATCCGCCCACCTCGGCCTCCCAAAGTGCTGGTATTACAGGTGTGAAACACTGCGCCCAGCTGATCTTATTCTTTTTTATGGCGGATTAGTACTGCATTGTGTATATGTACCACATTTTCTTTACCATTTATCTGTTGGTGGACACTTAGATTGCTTCCACATCTTAGCTATTGTGAACAATGCTGCAACAAACATAGGAGTGAAGATGTCTCTTTGATATACCCATTTCCTTTCTTTTGGGCATATACCCAGCAGTGGGATAGCTGGATTGTGTGGTAGCTCTATTTTTAGTTTTTTGAGGAACCTCCAAACTGTTCTTCATAGTGGTTGTACAAATTTACATTCTCACCAACAGTGTACGAGGGCTCCCTTTTCTCCACATCCTCACCAGCATTCGTTATTGCCTGTCTTTTGGATGTAAGTCATTTTAACTGGGGGGAGATGATATCTTATTTGTACTTTTGATTTGCATTTATTTGACTATCCATGATGTTGAGTGCCTTTTCATATATCTGTTTGCCATTTGTATGTCTTCTTTTGAGAAATGTCTGTTCAGATCTTTTGCCCATTTAAAAATCAGATTATTAGTTTTTCCTATAGAGTTGTTTGAGTTTCTTATGTATTTTGGTTATTAATCCTTTGTCAGGTGGGTAGTTTGCAAATATTTTCTCTCATTCTGTGGGTTGTCTCTTCACTTTGTTTCCTTTGCTGTGCAGAAGCTTTTTAACTTGATGTGATCCCATTTGTCCATGTTTGCTTTGGTTGCCTGTGCTTGTAGGGTATTGCTCAAAACATTTTTGCCCAGACCAATGTCCTGGAGAGTTTCCCCAATGTTTTCTTTTAGTAGTTTCATAGTTTGAGGTCCTAGATTTAAGTCTTTATTCCATTTTGACTCGATTTTTGTATATGGTGAGAGATAGGGGTCTAGTTTTTTTCTTGTGCATATGGATATCCAGTTTTTTCCAGCACCATTTATTGAAGAGACTGTCTTTTACCCAGTGTATGTTCTTGTATGTTCTTAGCATCTTTGTCAAAAATGAGTTCACTGTAGGTGTGTAGATTTGTTTCTGGTCTATTAGTCGGGCATGATGGTGTGTGCCTGTAATCCCAGCTATTGGTCTATGTGTCTTGTTTTTATGCCAGTATCATGCTGTTTGGTTACTATAGCCCTATAGTATAATTTGAAATCAGGTAATGTGATTCCTTCAGTTTTGTTCTTTTTGCTTAAGATAGCTTTGGCTACTCTGGGTCTTTTGTGGTTCCATATAAATTTTAGCTTTTTTTTTTTTTTTTTCTATTTCCGTGCAGAATGTCATTGGTATTTAGATAGGGATTGCAATGAATCTGTAGATTGTTTTGAGTAGTATGGACATTTTAACAATATTGATTCTTCCAGTCTATGAACATGGAATATCTTTCCATTTTTTGATGTCCTCTTCAGTTTCTTTCATCAGTGTTTTATAGTTTTCCCTATATAAATCCTTTACTTCTTTGGTTAATTCCTAGGTATTTAATTTTATTTGTGGCTATTATAAATGGGATTACTATTTTGATTTCCTTTTTGGATTGTTCACTGTTGGCATATAGAAATGCTACTGATTTTTGTAAGTTGATTTTGTGTTCTGCAACTTTACTGAATTTGCTTATCAATTCTAATAGGTTTTTTGTGTGGGGTCTTTAGGTTTTTCCAAATATAAGATTATATAATTTGTAAACTAGGATAATTTGACTTCTTCCATTCCAATTTGGATGCCCTTTGTTTCTTTCTCTTGTCTTATTGCTCTAGCTGGGACTTCTAGTACTGTGTTGAATAATAGAGATGAAAGTGGGCATCCTTGTGTTCCAGGTCTTAAAGGAAGTGCTTTCATATTCACTATTATACTAGCTGTGGGTCTGTCATATATGACTTTTATTATGTTGAATTTGTCCCTTCTATACCCAGTTTTTGAGGGTTTTTATTAAGAAGAGATGTTGAATTTTGTCAGGTGCTTTTATCAGCATCAATTGAAATGATCATATATGGTTTCTGTCCTTCATTCTATTGATATGTATCATATTGATTGATTTGCATATGTTGAATCATCGGTGTATCGCAGAGGTAAATCCCACTTGGTTATGATGAAATGATCTTTCTAATTTATTGTTGAATTTGGTTTGCTAGTATTTTGTTGATGATTTTTGCATGAATATTCATCAGAGATATTGGCTTGTAGTTTTATTTTTTGATGTGTCTTTGTCTGATTTTGGAGTCAGGGTAATACTGGCCTTGTAGAATGGATTTGGAAGTATTCCCTTCCCTTCTATTTTTCAGAATAGTTTGAGTAGGATTGGTATTAGTTCTTCTTTAAATGTTTGATAGAATTCAGCAATGAAGCCATCGGGTCTGGGGTTTTTTTTTTTTTTTTAACTGGGAGACTTTTTATTATGGCTTTGATATCATTACTCATTATTGGTCTGTTCAAGCTTTGGGTTTCTTCCTGGTTCAATCTTGGTAGGTTGTTTGTGTCTAGGAATTTATTTCTTCTAGATTTTCCAATTTATTGGTATATAGTTACTCATAGTAGCCACTAATGATCCATTGAATTTCTGCAGTATCAGTTGTAATGTCTCATTTTCATTTCTGATTTTATTTATTTGGATCTTCTCTCTTTTTTTCTTAGTCTGGATAAAGGTTTGTCCATTTTGTTTAACTTTTCAGAAAAAGCCCAGCTGTTTGTTTCATTGATCTTTTGTATTGTTTTCATTTTAATTTCATTTGTTTCTGCTCTGATCTTTATTGTTTCTTTTCTTTTACTAATTTTGTATTTGGCTTGCTCTTGGTTTTCTTGTTAAGATGCATCATTAGATTTTGTTTTGTTTTGTTTTGTTTTGTTTTTGAGATGGAGTCTCACTGTGTCACCCATGCTGGAGTGCAGTGGTGCCATCTTGGCTCATTACAACCTCCACCTTCCGGGTTCAAGCAATTCTCCTGACTCAGCCTCCCAAGTGGCTGGGATTACAGGCATGTGCCATCATGCCCAACTGATTTTTGTATTTTTAGTACAGACAAGGTTTTACCATGTTGGCCAGGCTGTTCTCGAACTCTTGACCTCAGGTGATCCACCCGCTTTGGCCTCCCGAAGTGCTGGGATTACAGGCATGAGCCACGGTGCCCGGCCTCATTAGATTTTTTATGTGAAGTTTTTTCTCTTTTTTGATGTAGGCACTTATAACTACAATATTTCCTCTTAGTACTGCTTTTGCTCTATCTCATAGGTTTTTGTATGTTGTGTTTCCATTATCATGTGTTTCAAGAAATTTTTCAACTTCCTTCTTAATTTTTTCATTGATCCTTCAGTCATTCAGAAGTACATTAAGACATTACCCTTTTCTTGGGTACCATCTATATGTTTCTACTGTACTAAAATTGGTCATATAAAAGTTGACATCTGTTTATAATTTAATTCATGTTTCTCACATTTTATCATACTGCTTTTTCCTTTAGTTTTAATTTCATTTAGTAGATAAGCTGTGGTATTTATTATTGAGGCATTCTTTTTAGTTATTTAATAATTGTTTAGAACTATGACTTCTCCTTTTTAAACTTGGTCTTAAATCTTAATTATTTCAAGTCATTTCTTAAAAATTTCTAACAACTATATAATTTTTCTTGTTCCTTTTAAAACATTGGTCAAATTAGTCACATATCCTAATCAATATTCAATAAAAATCTTGGGTAAAATTCTCTTATTGCATTTCATTGTAGATACATTACTTAACCTCCCTCCCTCCTGTTTTTAAACATTTCCCATATGATAAAATGAAATGTTGGGCTAAATTCATTCTGTCTCGTAAAATTCAGCATTATCCATGCTCATAAATATGATTTTTTGACTCTTAATGACAGAAAAGATCAATATGTTGCCATTTTTGTCTAAAGTGGGGTTTTTAATAGAGGTCTGAGAAATCCTGAAGTTTCTGTGTTAGTGGGTTCTGGATAGGCTGTAGGAGAGAGAGAAGCCCCAGACTCTGCAGAAGCCAGCTTGTAATTTGGCAGATGGCTCTGAGGCAGAGGACAACAGAACCAGAGTTCTTAGAGACTTGCCACCTGGGCTGTAGGACTGTAGTGATAGGGTTGTTTAGTCCCTTGATATTCCTCTGTGTCCTCTCTTTTGCCAGTAATGGAGGTGGGTTCGCTTTTTAAAGCACCAAATTAACACCCAAAGTTCCTGCTCTTTGATTTATTTTGCAAGGTCATGTATACATATTCAGCACCAACCATGTGCCTGTACTGTGAGCCAGAATGAGATCTGGACCTTACTGTTAAAGAGTTACACAATTATACCATAAAAGAACTAGAGATTTCTTTTTAAGATAGGATGCAATTAATGGCCAAAAATAATTAGGTTCTTAAAATACATGTCATAGGAGTTTGGGAATAGGAATTGAGGGATGGAAGAAGTTGCTAAGGATCAAATTATTGAGGAGCTATTCATAGGGATTTGGTAATAATACCTGATGTATATATACTACTTAGTAGAGTGAAAAGCTCTTATCACATTTAATACTTATTGCAGTTTTATAAAGCAGCAGTGTGCTTTGCTTATAAAACAATCGTCTATGTTAAAGATGAGGAAATTGATGTTTAGAGAAGTCAGGTGGCTTGACTGAGGTTAGATATATAGCTAGTAAGAGCAGAGCTAAGATTGCATTTTTTAAAAGTATTCATTCACTCATCAACTCTTTAGACATTGGTTGAGGGTCTGTAAGTTGCAGCCACTTGCTGTCGTCTGAGGATATGAAGATTATAGCCCTGTCCTCACATCTTATTGTTTAATAGACCTAAACTCAAGTCTTTCTTTTAAGTCTATTCAGTTTGTTTTCTTCAGCTTCCTTGAGTTTCAAGATGGATGAAGAAGAATAGTTACAGGTTAAATGAGCACATTGTTGAGTGATTGGCTTTAGGTGGGAAGACACATAAGCAGAGTTGTGAAGGTGAAAATAAAGACAGCATGTGTTATGAGGTGAAGATTTGGACAAAGGTGGTAAACAGTTTAGGTAATTAAGTGTGGCTTTACAGGCCTATAAATTTTGAGTTGTAAGAATCAGAAGAATACATATATATCATACATCTATCATATAAATATATGCTGAAGCAAGACTTTTTGAAGTCTGTGTAGGTCCTTATGGTTAGAATGTGCTCACATTCTTGTGAAATACAAGATTGGTTAGGAGCTATTTATAGCAGGAGATAAGCACTGGATAGTATTAGAAAAGCCTGGATTCTAGTTTCAAACTACTTTTTACTAGCTGTGTGATTTTAAATAAATACATAAATAACCTTTTTGAGTTTCAGCTTTTATATCCGTGTGTAAAATTATCTGTGTGGGGCCTGAGCACAGTTGATTAAATGTTTGTCTAATGAATCAGTAAGTGAAATAGAGAAAATAATATTTGCCCAATGTACTTTTGCCAGTTACTGCAAGGATCAATACTTAACTAAGTACTCTATAATGGTACTGTCCAAAATTTTAGAAAATTGTTACTAATAACTAACTTTTTTGTGTGTAATTCCTGTTCTTTTTCCTTTTTTTGAACAGCTGCTGGACAAGGCCACATAGAGTGTTTGCAGTGGTTAATTAAAATGGGAGCAGACAGTAATATTACCAACAAAGCAGGGGAGAGACCCAGTGATGTGGCAAAGAGGTATAAATCTCTGTCTTCTTTACTCCTTTCTTTTCTCTTTAAAGTTTTGCGTATACTTTTTTGGACTCAAAAATCTCTGAAGTTTTAATGGAATTTTAGAGGACTCAATCAAATACAGATGGAATGACAATTTTCAAGCTGAATTGACAGCTGCCATTATATCAGCTTTTCTTTTTCAAGCAGTAATTCTCCACTGGGAGGTAATATTTTCCCGTTTCCTCATGGGAGGGGTCTTTGGAAATGTTGGGGAAGGTTGTCACAATGACCAGAGACCTTCACCAACTGGAGGTCCGGTCTGGGAATGCTAAATGTTCTGCAGTGCTCAGAACAGTAATTCATGATTTGTCCCATCCAAATGCCTGTAGCATTCCCTGTTAAGAAATGCTGTGTGATAAAAATAAATAGTCAACATTAATAATAGAAAAATAAGTGACTTGGATTTTGAAACATATTTTGCAATTTACATCCGAATTAAATATAGCATGTATTTTTAAACCTAGCCAGCTCATTCAGGTTAGGTTCTCAAGAAATATTTACTCCATCTATTTGTTCGTTTGGTTGTTCTTTCATTCAGCTTCCCGTATACTTACCATGTTCCAAGTTCTGTGATTAGTGGTAGAAATACAAAGGGGAGAAAACACAGTCACCGCCCTCAAGGAGTTTACAGTATTGTGGAGAGACAAATATGCAAATAAAATTCTTATTAATTCTAATCATTATACTGTATTACATGGTATGTGTAAGGTACACTAAGAATATAGAAAAAAATCTTTCTGTTTGAAAGTTGTAAGGGAGAAACTTTAATACAGAGGAAGGTAAAAGTTATGAAGGAAACTGCATGGGGACAGAATTTAGATAGAGGTGAAAGAAAAAACTTTTCTTTTGAGGAAGCAACATTTCTGTTGACACTTGTAAGCGTAAGTGTAAATGTAAGGAGGAGTTGTAAGACAACACCTTATATGTTTGAAGAACTGCATGTGGATTAGAAGGCTGGAATCTAAACTAGGAGTGTGGGCTAACAATGGCAGATGAGTCTTGACAGTATGCTCTGGTCCAATCATTTGCTAAGTTGCCATGCAACTTTTGTTTGTGAGCTCATGTTCCCTAAAATTTTGTTTATGGAATTTCTTTGATGACTTGGAGTGTGGTTTTGTTGTACCATGTACCTGGGATCATTGTCAGCTCAAGTCTATTTTATTGGTTTAAAATGGCTTTATCAAGGTATAATTGACACACAATAAAATGCATATATTTGTACGGTACAACTGATGAGTTTTGATGTATGCGTATCCTGTGAAACCATTGCCACAATTAAGATAGTGAACATATTCATCACCGTCAAAGTCTCCTGCCACTTTATAACCTCTCTCCCTTTGACTGCTCCCCAGTGTGCCCAAGTAAACGCTGATCTGCTTCCTGTCACTGTAGATTGGTTTGCATTTTCTAGAGTTTTATATAAATGGAATCATACAATATATATTTATGTCTGGCTTCTTTCACTCAACGTAATTATTTTGAGATTCATCTGTGTGTATTAGCTGTTCATTTCCTTCTTACAGCTGAGTAGAATTCCATAGTATTCCATAATTCAATTATCCACTCACAGGTTGAAGGACATCTTGATTGTAGTTCATTTTCTTCTAACAGCTGAGTAGAATTCCATAGCATTCCATAATTCGATTATCCACTCACAGGTTGAAGGGCATCTTGATTGTATCATTTTTTGGTGGTTATGAATAAAGCTGCTGTAAACATTACTATACAGGTTTTTGTGTTAACATGTTTTCAATTCTTTGGTAAGTCTATGAGTAGGATTGTTGGGCCATATGCCAAGTGTATGTTTAACTTTATAAGAAACTGCCGAAGTGCCTTCCAAAGTGGCCATACAGATTTGCATTTCTAGGGGCTGGGTGCAGTGGCTCACACCTGTAATCCCAGCATTTTGGGAGGCCAAGGCAGTGGATCACTTGAGGTGAAGAGTTCGAGACCAGTCTGGCCAACATGGTGAAACCCTGTCTCTACTAAAAAGGAAAAGTTCAGGCCGGGCATGGTGGCTCATGCCTGTAATCCCAGCACTTTGGGAGGCCGAGGCGGGCGGATCACCTGAGGTCAGGAGTTTGAGATCAGGCTGACCAACATGGAGAAACCCTGTGTCTACTAAAAATACAAAATTAGCCAAGCATGGTGGTGCTTGCCTGTAATCCCAGCTACTCAGGAGGTTGAGGCAGGAGAATTCCTTGAACCTGGGAGGTGGAGGTTGCTGTGAGCCGAGATTGTACCATTGCACTCCAGTCTGGGCAACAAGAGCGAAACTCTGTCTCCGAAAAAAAAAAAAAAATTCAAAAAATTAGCCTGGTGTGGTGGCGTGCACCTGTAGTCCCAGCTACTACTTGGGAGGCTGAGGCAGGAGAATTGCTTGAAGCTGGTAGGCAGAGGTTGTGGTGAGCCTAGATCGCACCACAGCACTCCAACCTAGGCGACTGAGCTAGACCCTCAAAAAAAAAAATTTTGCATTTCTGTCAGCAATGGATGTCAATTTCTGTTGTTCTACATTCTCACCATCATTTGGTATTGTCAGGGTCTTTTTTTAATTCTAGTAATGAAATAGGTATGTAGTGGTAGCTCACTGTGGTTTTAATTTGCATTTTCTAATGAAAAATGATTTTGAGCATCTTTTAAATATACATACTTGCCATCTGTATATTTTCTTTGATGAAGTGATTATTCAGATCTTTTGCCCACTTTAAAAAATTGAATTGTTTTCTTGATGTTGAGTTTTAAAGGTTCTTTGTATATTCTGGATACTAGTTCTTTTTCAGATATATACTTTGCAAAGATTTCCCTTTTTTACCGGTTGTATCTCGTTTTTTCATTCTCTTAATGTCTTTGAAGAGCAAAATTTCTTACTAATTTATCCTTTTATGTATTATGATTTTGGTGTCATATCTAAAGAAGTCTGATTAACACAAAGTCATAAAAATTTTCTTTTATGTTTTCTTTTAGAAGTTAGTGTTAGCTTTTATATTGAGGTCTGTGATCATTTTGAGTTAATTTTTGTATATGATATGAAGTATGAGTCCAAGTTCTTTTTTTGCATATGGATATCCAGTTCTAGACTATTTGTTTAAAAGACTATCCTTTCTCCACTGCCTTTGTGCCTTTGTCAGATCAGTTCTTGATGTATGTGTGGGCTTAATTCTGAACTATTTTATCCATTGGTCTATTTGTATATTTTTGTATCAGCATCAAATAGGTGATTGAATACTATGGGTATATCTGAAGTTTTCCATAATTTCTGGTCCACATTTTTTTCTCATGCACCAAAATGCTTGGTGTGGGTGTAGGGTTATTTTAGAGATAACTTTGAATCTAGCATAAAGTAAGCACTCAGTAAATGACAGCTGTTAAATTACAACCTAGTCGTAGACTTAATGAATTCTATAAACCTTACAACTTCCTGCATATGTTTATTACTATGTCTTTAATGATTTGCAGTATCTGGTAGGAGGTAATGTGTGTGTTTGGTTATGTAAGTATGAGAAAATAGGATTTAAGGTTTTTATGTTTAGTGAGTAATTCTTCAAGTTGTAAGAAAATATATTAAAAATTCCAGTTAGCAAAATTGCGGAAAATATGCAGGTTGCATGCAATCACAACAACTCCAAAACCAAGAGTACATTACTGGAACGTTCACAGAGATGCAGGAAAGATTAAGGAGAATTAGAAAACATGAATGGAAAGGTCATTATTTTTTCATTAAATTTCAAAGCCGTACCAAATGCTTTGGCTTGAGGAAGGGTGAAGATAGAGGGGGCTAGAGCTATATTAATAGTTAGCCCTAAAACTGGAATGAAAATGAATTCTATAATCTAAATTAGGCCAAGAAAAGGCAATAACTGTAGGTAATCAAGGAGGGTGGTTCTGGGCCTTCTATTCAGTTGAGCAGCTCTGCTTGAGAGCATACTACATATTCCTTTGGTATTGGATCTCCATTCCCAGTGTATTTTTGCCAATAAAAATTATGGAATCAGTGTTTAATATGAATAATTGTCCGTAGTGCCAAGTAACTGAGTTTCTTACATAGTTGAATATATGTCAAATTGTCACTGACCTTCAGATTTTGGCTCCTTGGCTGGTGAGTGGATTGATGGCAGGGTGTACAGAGTGTAATCCCCTAAGTTAAGTGCAAGCTGCAGTTTCAGTTTGAAGAAGATTGTGGATCTGGTTAGTTATTGATTCTTTTCTACAGGTTTGCCCATTTGGCAGCAGTGAAGCTGTTAGAGGAGCTACAGAAATATGATATAGATGACGAAAATGAAATTGATGAAAATGATGTGAAATATTTTATAAGACATGGTGTTGAGGGAAGCACTGATGCCAAGGATGATTTATGTCTGAGTGACTTGGATAAAACAGATGCCAGAAGTAAGTATGCTGCCTCTGTTGTGATTTATCCTTTCAGAAATACCACAGCCACTTTTTACCACAAATTTGGAAACTATTCTAAAGACAAATACTGCCTACAAAGTAAAATAATTTGATATTTTTGGAGGAACTAGAACTAATATAAGTTTTTGTACTAGGGTTGTTGAACATATAAAAAGTATAAGACATAATCTCTGTCCCTCAGGGGGTGGAAAGTTATATAAGAAAATACTTAAGTATTTTCTTCAGTGGATCAAGGAAACAGGGCAGGGAAAGAGACATCTCAAGGATTTCCATGGTTAGTTGGCAAATGATTGTTATAGATAATAATAGCAACAAATATTTATTGTCTACTATGTGCCAGACACTGTTGTAGTTATTGAAGTAATGGTGAACAATACAAAGGAACTTCATTCGAATGGTGGTAGTCAGGAGGGAGGGTGATAAATAATTGATAAGAAAATAGATATATAAAGTAAATAGAGTAGAGTGGTGCTATAGATAAGAAAGTCATTAGGCCTCTCTGAGGTGGTGATGTTTGAGCAGAGACCTGAGTGATGAGAATGAGTCATATTAAGATCTTGGAAGAACGTGCCAGCAGAGGGAGCAGTGCACGTAAAGGCCATTATGTAGCATTGAGAATGGTCAGTGTGGCTTGAGTAGAATCCCTAAGGAAGTGGCGACAGATTGGTCTGAAAGGTAAGCAGGGACCCAGTCAGATCATGTAGGGCCTAATAAGGATTTTAGATTTCGATTTTTATTTGTTCATTTTTCCCCTTTTTTCACTACAAAATCTCAGCATATAGATTTTATTTTAAATAGCCATTGTTGGGATTCAGGGTGGGGAATGATGTGATCTGATTCACATTTAAAAACAGTATCACTCTACCTGTTGGGTGGGTGATAGACTGGGAGGTGGAAAAGAGCATAGCATTTCAGATGGGGTATGAATTAGGTGGGAAGAGAACATACTCCATCTAACAATATAAGGTTGGATGAAGTTCCTGATATAATTATATCCTGATGCCAAGGATACTAAATTAGAATTGTACAAGAGCAGACGTAGAATATCTGCACAGATTTCCTGGGCTCCTAGAGTTCCTGATGTAGGCCTGTAACTACCAGTGATATTGGACATCTCCATTCTTGTTTTGCTTCCACCTTTTCATATTAGAGGCTTTCATCACCATTTAAGAAGAGCTTACATTAACATTCTATGTATTCCCTTTAAGCAATATTTATATATATATCCTGGTTCTTGAAAAAAATCAGCATCAGTAATACCATACTTTGTTGGGAAGATAGAGTGAAAGCCAAGCCAAGATCTTGTTTGCCTTGACTGTTTTTGCCTCCAGATTTCTGGTGTTGTGGAAAGCCCATTTTCCTTCATAGGGCAAGAGTGGAAGCAGGGAAATCAGTTAGGGGGCTATCGCTATAGTTCAGGAGAGAGTTGTTTATGGCTTGGACTGGAGTGGAGATGATGGGGATAATGAGAAGTGGTGAGATTTGGTGTATTTAGAAGAGAGAAAGATGATAGGATTTGCTGATAGATGTGGCTATGAGGTGTTAGAAAAAGAGGGTAATCAAGGATGACAGATTTCTGGCCTGGGGAATTCGGTGAATGGTAGTTAAGTTTTTTTTTTTTTTTTTTAGATGGAGTCTCACTCCGTCGCCAGGCTGGAGTGCAGTGGCACGATCTTGGCTCACTGCAACCTCCGCCTCCTGGGTTCAGGCAGTTCTTCTGCCTCAGCCTCCCGAGTAGTGGTGACTACAGGCACGTGCCACCACAGCCAGCTAATGTTTGAATTTTTAGTAGAGATGGGTTTCACCATGTTGATCAGGCTGGTCTTGAACTCCTGACCTTGTGATCCACCCGTCTTGGCCTCCCGAAGTGCTGGGATTACAGGCGTGAGCCACTGTGCCCGGCCGCACCACGTTTTCTTTATCCGGTCTTCTGTTGATGGGCATTTAGGTTGATTCCATGTTTTTGCTGTGTGAATAGTGCTGCGATGAACATGTGTGCATGTGTCTTTATAGTTTGAATATAGTGTGAATATAGTATGAATATAGTGTGATATATATTCCTTTCTGTTTTGAGTTCTTTGAGAAATCGCCAAACTGCTTTCCACAATGGTTGAACTACTTTACACTCCCACCAGCAGTGTATGAATGTTCTTTTCTCCACAACCTCCCCAGCATCTGTTGTTTTTTGACTTTTTAATAATAGCCATTCTGACTGATGTGAGATGGCATTTCATTGTGGTTTTGATTTGCATTTCTCTAATGATTCCTGATGTTGAGCATTTTTTCATATGCTTGTTGTCCATGTGTATGTCTTCTTTTGAAAAGCATTTCTTCTCTGTGAGGATTAAAATGTGTAAGGTACTTAGTGTAGTGTCTCGACATCACAGACACTGCATAAATACGTGATTTTTATTGTTTTCATTGGAAATTTCCTCTTTTGTTGAATTGAAATCTTTCTTCCTGGAGCTAATTCCAATTAATCTTAGTTCTTACCTCTGAGGACCCCATAGAACAGGCTTTACGAAACACAGACTTTCAAATATTAATGAAATTATTATATAAGCTAAATACTCACTGCTCTTTCAGTCTTTTCTGACATTTTTTATCTTAATCCCCTCTATCTTCTTACTAGTGGTTATGGTGGTTCCCAAACCTGTCTGCCCTTGAGAATTGTCTGAGGAGACATTTTTATGTATGTATGTATTTATTTATTTATTTATTTTGAGACGGAGTCTTGCTCTTGCCCAGGCTGGAGTGCAGTGGCGCAATCTCGGCTCACTGCAAGCTCCGCCTCCCGGGTTCACGCCATTCTCCTCCCTCAGCCTCCTGAGTAGCTGGGACTACAGGCACTCGCCACCACGCCTGGCTAATTTTGTTTTGTATTTTTAGTAGAGACGGGGTTTCACCATGTTAGCCAGGATGGTCTCTATCTCCTGACCTCGTGATCTGCCTGCCTCGGCCTCGCAAAGTGCTGGGATTACAGGCGTGAACCACCTCGCCTGGCTGCCCTTTTTTTTTTTTTTTTTTTTTTTTTTTTTATTGAGACAAAGTCTCACTCTGTTGCCCAGGCTGGAATGCAGTGGCACGACCTCGGCTCACTGCATCCTTCATCTCCTGGGCTCAAGTGGTACTCCTGCCTCAGCCTCCCGAGTAGCTGGATTACAGGCATGTGCCACCACATCCAGCTAATTTTTGTATTTTTAGTAGAGATGGGGTTTCACCATGTTGGCCATACTGGTCTTGAACTCCCAACCTCAAGTGATCCGCCCGCATTGGCCTCCCAAAGTGCTGGGGTTATAGGCGTGAGCCACTGCTCCTGGCCGAGAACCTTTTATTAAGTACATATTCTTGAACTTATAGGTCTGGAATGGGGCTCAAGCACATACATTTTTAAAAAGCATCCCATTTGATTCAGGTATATGCAGTTTAGAACCTGCAGCTCTAACCTGTTGATAGATAAATCATTGGTGTTAGGAACAAGAGGCTGTGATTTGCTAAGCTGGTCCTGTAAAGCAGTTTCTCAACTTCTGTACTCTTGACATTTTGGGCCAGATAATTATTTTGTTGAGGCAAGCTTTTCTGTGTGCACTGTGAGATGTTTAGTAGCATCCTGAGCCTTCACTTACTAGATGCCAGTAGCACCTCCCTGTTCCACACTCTCAAGCTGTGACAAGCAAAACTTATTCAGAGGTTGCCAAATGACCCTTGGCAGAGAACCACTGCCATAAAGGATGGAGAATTCATAGTTCTAATAGTTGGAGAATAGTTCAAAATATCTCTCAATGTACTTCCTTCTCTTACTATTCTCTTGCATAGGTACTACAAGTGACCAATCACAAAATTTGTGGCTGGTACTTTAAAATCAAGTATATTTCAGTTTTTCTAATTTTCTGTTACATAGTAGATTGCACGTGGTCCTGTAATCCACCATTAGTCCTAAAACACTGCTAGTCTTTTTTTTTTTGAGACGGAGTCTTGCTCTGTTGTCCAGGCTGGAGTGCAGTGATGTGGTCTCGGCTCACTGCAGTCTCTGCCTCCCGGGTTCAAGTGATTTTCCTGCCTCAGCCTCATGAGTAGCTGGGATTACAGGCACGTGCCACCACACCGGCTAATTTTTGTATTTTTAGTAGAGACGGGGTTTCACCATGTTGGCCAGGCTGGTCTCGAACTCCTGACCTCAGGTGATCCACCCGCCTCGGCCTCCCAAAGTGCTGGGATTAAGGCGTGAACCGCCATGCCTGGTCAATACTGCTAGTCTTTTAAAACCTTCTTGTTCATAGCGTTAATAGTCATAACAACCTGATACATGCTCCAGTAGCAGGGAAAGAATCCTCCATTTAGGTATTCCATTGCGTGCTCATTTTAGTATTCTGTTACTGATATTTATCCTTCTTTGTATATACCAACCTTCCTCCACCCCCCTCTCCAAACCATACAGACACTAGTCTAGAGGAAGAATATGCTCAAGAATACCAGCACCCAGTGGACACATGAGCTGTTATATGTCTAACTAGGTTCCTACTCAACTCTGTCTTGCAGTGAGAGCTTACAAGAAAATTGTAGAATTGAGACACCTCCTGGAAATTGCCGAGAGCAACTATAAACACTTGGGAGGCATAACAGAAGAAGATTTAAAGCAGAAGAAAGAACAGCTTGAGTCTGAAAAGTAATGTCCTTAAAACTTTAATGATTTGTTTTTAAATACCTCTCTAAATGCCATGTGAGGGTTTGTTGATCAGCAACTTTTACTTTCATCTTGCCAAAGGGTGTTAGGTTCCATCCTGTTTTTCTCCTAAGCCCTTAGATGACAAAGGAGTTAAAATTTTTAAATAATTGTGATAAAATACACATAAAATTTACCATCTTAACCATTTTTTAAGTATACGGTTCAGTAGTGTTAAGTACATTCCCATCGTTGTGCAACCAATCTCCAGAACTCTCATCTTGCAAAACTGACATTCTAACATAGTCTCTGAACATTTTCATCAGGCTACACTGCCCATTCATAAATCTGAGACTAGGTCTTGTGTTCACTGATTATAGTACCCAACAGAGAATGCTCTTGCATCTAGAGGCAGTGAGCAAGTGCATGGTTGTCTCTGCCTTTCACTTCCTGTACCCTAAATTGGCTCTCTGGACAATGGGTACCTCTCTAATAGCAGTTGGCTCTCTATATCTGTGGGCTCCACATCATGGATGCAACCAAACTTGGATAGATAATAATCAGGAAAAAGAAATAGGATGGTTGTGTCTGTGTTGAACATTTGTAGACTTTTTTCCTTTGTTATTATTCCATAAATAATATGCTACAACAACTTATTGTATACTACTATAATAAGTAATCTAGAGATGATTCAAATTATACAGGAGAATGCATATAGATTATATGCAGATACGTATGTACTATACCATTTTAATGTAAGGGACTTAGCATCCGTGGGTTTTGGTGTCTGGAGCTTCCTGGAACCAGTTCCTCTTTGATACTGAGAGACTACTGTAGTTAATAGCTGCTGGGATAGAGGATGCCTCGAGCTTCTTTCATCCTACTGTCTCTCTGCTTGTCTGTCTATCTGCTTTCCAGAATGGACAGGGAGCAGAGAGAGACAGGAGAGGGAACTTTGGATTTAATCAAACATGGGTCCAGAAAGAGAACCACACATGGATTCCCTTCTTTGTCCTCTGCTTTTCCTGCCTTTTCCTTTGGTCGTGTCTTGTTCCGTCACACTCTTAGAACTGCCTGTTTCCCTTTCCTCCACCTGTTTCCAAATCTAGTTCTGAAAGAGGTCTGCTAACTGTATTCAGAGTAACATCTAAATCTTTGATAAGGATTAATGTGGTTAAGCTGACATTTGGCTCTAGTTTAAAAGAAAGAAAATAAAAAATAATATAAGGATTAATGTGTCATTCTTCCATGGATGGATACTTGGGAATTTAAACAGATGGCAAAACATTAGGCCAAAATACTCTTTTTTCTGTTTTTTTCCCTGCTACCCTATTAACTGAAACTACCTCTTGATGTGATTTTAGACACCAGGAAGCTGTGGCAGACTGATTTTTTTGTTTTTGTTTTAAATCAGGAGCTTTCTTGGTATCTCACAAATCATATCATATAGGTGGCTGTCCACTGCCTCTATACTGTTTGAAGTGTTTTGAGATGTAGATTTTTTTTTTTTTAGTGTTAGCCTTGGTCTAAGAGCCTAGCTGAAAGTTCTTAGATTCCTTGTAGTCTAGAAAAGTACCTCATGGTGGAAAAATTATTTCCTACTAATGACTTTTTTTTTTGTATTTTTAGTAGAGATAGGGTTACACCGTGTTGGCCAGGCTGGCCTCAAATTCCTGGCCTCAAGTGATCCACCTGCCTCCGCCTCCCAAAGTGCTGGGGTTACAGACGTGAGCCACCGCGCCTGGCCTCCCTTTTATTCTTTAAATGATTCTATCACATTGGCTTCTGTTTTTCTTGTACTTCATCAGGCATCCTTCTACTTTAGGGCCTTTGCACTTGTTCCTTTTGTCTGGAATGCTTTTCCTCTAATGTCTACAGGGTTATCTCTCTTATTTCCTTCAGGGCTTGGCTTAGAAGCCCCCTTCTCAATAAAGCCTTCCCTAGCCACTGTGTATGAAATGTTAAGCCCCTCTTCCACAACATTTTATACTACTCTTTCCTGCTTTATTTTTGTTTTCTCCTTTAGCACTTATTACCTTCCAACATACCATATATTTTACTTATTTATTTTCCTTGTTGTCTGCATATCTCTATTACTAAAGTAAGGTCCAGGAAGGCAGATTTTGGGCCTTTTGTTCACCACTGTATCCCCAATACCTAGGTCAGTGCTCATTCTTAGTAGACCCTTAATACATATTTGTTGAATAAATGATTTCTTTGTTTTATTTGCCTTAAATACAATGTATGAATGCTTTCCACTACTAAAAGTAATTATTAGTTGACATTGATGATTGATTTTTAAAAAATTTTGTTTTTGATAGGACCATCAAAGAACTGCAGGGCCAGCTGGAGTATGAACGACTACGTAGAGAAAAATTAGAATGTCAGCTTGATGAATATCGAGCAGAAGTTGATCAACTCAGGGAAACACTGGAAAAAATTCAAGTCCCAAACTTTGTGGCTATGGTTGGTGTCCTTTTTAATACATTTATTTTTCTCAAGAAGTATATACAAGAGTGGCCAAGAGTACAAGCTTTGGGCTGGGGCTCTTTGGACTTGAATCCTGGCTATAGTCTTTTTTGATTTGGGCTACTCATTTAACCTTTTTGTGCCTCAACTATAAACTGGAGATGATAACTTATACTTTCTAGAGCTGATGACAGGATTAAAGGAATACACACACACACACACACACACACACACACACACACACACTCTATATGTAACTATAACTTTCTAGATACATACACACATCTGTCTATCTATCTTCAAACAGCAGCCTAGTTCATAAGTATTATTGTTAACATTGTACCATAGAAGGAGAAAATGTTTTCATAAGTAATCAATCAGAATTCTAAGACAGCTAGAGGATATGTATATTTTAATATTCTAAATAACCAAAATAAAGTGCTTTGAATGGAATCCATATTTTCTTTCCATAGGGAAGTTTCTTCATCAATCATCATGGATGAATTAATTCTGTTTGAGGCTTGTGTCACCTCAAATCTGATCTATTAATATTATAGAATCTTCCTGGCTTCTTTTTATTTTGCACAAACTAGTCATTGGTCTCTTTAATAACCACTTTAAAAATATTAAAATAATAAAACATGTTTGTTGTATAGTGTTAAAAACAAGATAGATGTTCCTTCTGACACTAAGTTCCACTCTCCAGAGGAAGCTATTGTTAACAATTTAGTACATACCATATTAGACAAAATTCTATTTATCTGCAAACATGTATGTGTATTTCTATGCATATGCAAATATAACCACTTCCTCAGTTTCTCTGGGTTTTGGTGTCTCACCAGTGGTTGATTTTCCAAGAAATATAATTAACTATAATAATTAATCTATTCTCTTCATTTTGCAACCCTCTTCTTGTACGATCTTTAGCACATGGGGAAAATTTAGTATCAGAGAGGCCAGCTGTACAGTCATGTGTTGGTTAGAGGGCTAGAGGACACAGCACCATTTATAACTCACTGCTTCCAATCAAATCTGTTACCCCTCCACCTTGTGGCAGGGACTCTGTGACTCCCAGTCTCCTCAAAAGTAGAAAGGTAAGTTGTAAGTTGTTGTTCTTCGTTTTTTCTTTTTTTGGACAGGGTGTTGCTCTTGTCACCCATACTTCAATGCAGTGGTGCCATCATAGGGCACTGTAGCCTCGAACTCCCTAGGTTCAAGTGATCCTCTTGCCTCAGCCTCCCAAGTAGCTGGGACTGTAGGCATGCACCAACACACCTGGCCAATTAGTTTTTTTGTTTGTTTGTTTGTTTGTTTTGTAAGGACGGGATCTTGCTTTGTTGCCAAGGCTAAGTTGTTGTTCTTCAGCTGCCTAGGTGGGACAATCTTTTGGGGTGGTCACGCAAGCTGCACATTTTCTTTTGAGCCATTCCAAACTGTCTACTTTAGGAATGTTTCTGTCTTTTAGCTATTTAGAAATTCTCTTTGCTTACTCAGAAGCATCTGTTCTCAGGTTGGATCTGGTTTCATACTTCACAGTTTTGCTTCCCTAAAACTTCACTCTACCAACAATGTGTAGGCTTTCAGGAGAGCTGTCTCAAGGTCCCTGTGCTCAGAGTTCATTTTTTTTTGCATTCTTGCTTTAGGTTATACCTAATTTTTGTAAATAAGCAAATGTCACTGAGCTTTCATGGCAGCTGCAACTCTGGCACTGCTTATTTTCACTTGCAAAAGCTTGAATCTCAATTTCCTCATCTTTAAAATGAGGAATAATAATACCTACCTCATGGAATTGTATTGATGTTAAATGGAATATTGTGTAGAAATCCTGAATTTGGTTTCTAGCACGCAGAGGTATTCACTATATAGTAGTAGTCATTGTATTATTTACTCCCTTTCTTTTTTTCCATTTTCTATATTACAGATGAGTTGACATGGTCAGTGGATAAATAAATGTGTAGAGCCACATGCAGCTAAGGATAGGAAGAATTTATCTGGGAGTCTAATTATATGTAATGTATAAGTAAAATGAACTTTTCGTTCAGGATTATAAATACGGAATCCTCAAGAAGCTCTGACTAAGTCTTTCTCCTGCCACCTTCTGGTCAGGACCTATGATTGCATACTACTGTACCTTAAGATCCTCGGCCCCCAACATAATCTGCAATAGTATAATTTTTACTGAGAAAAAAAATTATTCGAATAGTTTCCTAGGATAGTTTGACATATATAAAGCACTTAAATGGTTTTTTGATAACAGCTGTTTTTATAGCACTTTCTCAGATATTATCTCATTTTAGTCTGCATCAACCCTATGAGGAGGTAGAATGATATATATATTTTTGATCCCATGTTATAAATGAGAGGGCAGAGGCTCAGAGAAGTTGAGAGTCTTGTTAGAGCATACAGCTAGTGTAAGGCAGGAGCAAACTCAGAATCTCTGTCTCCACATTATATTTTTCTAATACTTCTGTGGAAATGACTATCAAATCCATACTTAAGTACTGTGTCCCCACTAGGGATCCCCACCTGTATTTCCCACTGCTCGTCAACTGGACATTTCCACCCGAAATTCCTGGTGGTGCTTGAATTAAAAAAAAATGTCCAGAACCAAGCTCAATATCAAGACCAGATTCTCTCCCCTATCTCTGCATTTAAATTAATGGCATCACTATTTTCTCAACTACCCAGTCTTGGACTCTTAATGATTAGCCATGTTTTCTCCTTTAGATCATACAAAAAGCGAGTCCATCCTGTAGGTAGGAACATGTTCTCTACTTTCACTGCTTCCCTAGTTTAGGTTTCTATATCTTTCTATCTGAACTACTGTGATAGAATTTTGGTATTTACTCCTTCCCTATCCAAATCCATTTGACTCACAGTGGTCAGCTTGATTTTCTTGTCACTCCTTGGATTGAAAATCTTCCTTACCTGAATAAGTACTGATTCTTCAGTTTGACATTCAGCCTTAACCTACCTCACCAACTTTATTTTTGTCTGTTCTCCTATATATATATTAATAGCTTATTTTTTCTTAAGCTACCCTATGCTTTCCCATCATTAAGCCTTTGTTCAATTTGTCCATATACCTTGAAAACTGCCTGTTGACTCTGTAAAATCCCCTAGGAGCCATCTCATTTATCACCCCTTTCCTAGTCTCCCTGGTCACACGTGATCTCTCCTTCTATCAAGCACCTTGTACTGGTCTGAGGGCTTCTCGTCATCTGTATCACAGCATGATTGGGCACTTACTTTACCCGCAGTACTGAAAATCTAAGTTTTATAAGATCACTTAACTTATGTTAATAACATCATCTTAGTCATCATTAACAACAGGTTTTGAGTATGTTGGGCTTAGTGTTAAGACTTTATATTCAGCAGATACCATCTTCATTTTATAAATGAAGAAATCAACTCTCAGATAAAATAAACAATTTATAAAGTTACAAAGCTTGTTAGATGGCTAGCCATGATTTCAACCTGTCTAGCCCCAAGTCTATGCTTTTAACACCACTTGTTACTGCTATTATAAACCCCTCACATTCCCTCTTTCTGTGCTTTTAAGAACATTTATTTTGAAAATTTTTCTTTGAAAACTTTTGATGATAGCTTTTTAATTTTAGTAAATTAATTTAGTAAATTAATTTTAGGGTTAATTTACTTATGAAAACTTAAAAATTGGTAAGAATTTTGTTAAAATGTTACACTATAAGTTCAAACATATATTTCAAGATATGTCTTAAATTGGAAGTTGAGATGATAAAATATAACGTAGGATATCTTCATGACCTTGGGGTAGGAAAAAAATGTGTAGACTGGACTTCATTAAAATAAGACTTCAGTTCATCAAAGATTATATGAACAGACTTGAAAAGGCAAGCCAAAGTGTAGAAAAACATATTTCCTTTCTTTCTCTCTGCTTTTCTTTCTTCTCTCCTATCTGAAAAAGAAGTTGTATCTAGAATATATAAATCAACGTGAAAAAGACAGTCCAGTAAAAAAACTGGGCAAGACTTGTGTAGGCATTTCACAAAAGAAGATATCCAAGTGGCCAATAAACATGAAATTGTGCTCAAAATCACTGGTTATCAGAAATGTAAATTAAAACCCAAACAAGATACCAATATATACCCATCAGAATGGCAAAAATTGAAACAGACGTTACCAAATGCTGGTGAGGATGTGGAACAACTGGAGATTTTATACACCAGTGGTGGCAGTGTAAATTGGCTACCACTTTGGAAAATTAATTCCTAGTGGAATTAGTACATGTTTCTTTGTGTACACAGATGGACACCAAAAATATATAATGTTCTTGTCAGCATTATTACATATATCTCTCAAACTAGAATCATCTAAAAATTCCCTCAACAGTAAGAATCAATACATTTTGCTATATTCATACAATGGAATATTATATAGCAATGAAAATGTGTGAATTGCTACTCTACACATCACCACGAATGAATTTCACAAACACTATGCTGACTAAAAGGAAACAATATGAAAGAACACATACCGTGTGATTACATGTAGTCCACAAATCAGTAAGATAAATCAAGTCAGTAGTGCCTAGGAAGGGGCAAATGGAGGCTTCTGGGATACTGGTAATGTCTAATCTCTTTATCTCAGTCATGGTCACAGGGGTGTGTTCACTTTGTAAAAATTCATCAAGCTGTACCTTTTTTTTTCTTTGTGCTCTTTGGTATATATATTGTACTTAAAACATTAAATTTAAACTAATATTTTAAGTATAATATATATTTAGATATATACTTAATACATATACTTAAATATAATGTAATAGCTTTGGCAGAGCTGTCTGTCCAGAGAGAGAGTTATGTAGCACTGAACTCATAGCTTCTGTCTCCAGAACCAGTATTATTCAGGAAGTCCTTGATCTACAGCTTTGGGCCATGTTTGCTAATCAAGAGTGACTGACCGGGAACCGGTAATATTCCATGGTTACCTTCCATGTTTCACTTAACCTTATTTTCTACCTACAAAGGTCTGGAACAAGGTTGAACTTTGATGTGGTCTCTGCTGGGCTTCTCTCTGACCTATGACATCCTAGCTTATGTACCTAGAGTGGCCCATGGAGCAATATGAGGACTTCAGTGAGTTTATCCATGTTCAACTCTTAGCTTGGGGAAGTTCTAAAAGTTTGTGATTTCCCTTTCTTTCTCTTTGTTTATACCCTACTTTTTTGGGGGAGAAGGGTTAGTTTTGACACTGTTAAGAAGAGTCTGTACTGGTAAGCAAGAAGGTGGAATTCTCTTATAGTTTCATATGCTGTCTAGAATTTCTCAGAGTGCATAGGCTTTTTGAAAAATAAGAATTCCATATATCCCAGCAGTAATTTGTAGATCCATAAACTCTTTCAACAGTTTTATATGTAGAATTTTAATCTGTTCGACAAACCTGTTCTTTCAGGGCAAAAAAATACATACATTTTCCCCACAAGGATTTTTGTCTAATTTTGTTGTAGTAATAGACTGCATTTACATTTAGAATTGCTTTTGGTGCCTAAGCATTATGATTCATGTATTTAGTATCTTAATATACAGTTCTATTGAGTTTAGGAGAAAACATGTATTGGGGAGAAATATATTTCTTGGCTATGATGTAAGATAAAGAAACGAGTAATCTTGGTGAAAAATGTTCTCCAAATGCAGAAACTTTTAGAATTGGGAGATTTGGAACCTTCAGTGAACACTTATGGAAGGCCTGTTGAATGCCAAGCACATATTTTCTTTTGAAGTTGTATTTTAAGACTTGGTTTGATAGAACAAGTTACATATTTGGTGTTAGGAGGGACTTTGGAAAATTTGGAATCCTCTTCTAATACATAAAAGGTAAAGAAAAATAAGTATTGCTGTCTTTGGAAGTCTTTAATTAATTTTTTTGAGACACTATCTCACTCTGTGCCCAGGCTGGCATTCAGGGTCATGATCTTGGCTCACTGCAACCTCCAGTTCCCAGGCTCAAGCAATCCTCCAGCCTCAGCCTCGTGAGTAGCTGGGACTACAGGCATGAGCCACCATGCCCAGCTAAATTTTTTTGTATTTTTTTGTAGAGAGAGGGGATTGTTGTCCAGGTTGGTCTCAAACTCCTGAGCTCAAAGTGATCTGCCCACCACAGCCTCCTAAAGTGCTGGGATTACAGATGTGAGCCACCATACCCTGCCTGTTTCTGGAAGTCATAACTCTATTAAAGCACTAGGAAATTGGCTACATCTGACAAGTAGCCACCTCTTCCCCCTAAATTTTCTATATTCTTTTTCTAGTTCCATCTAGTTGGATTAGGTTAAACTCCTGCCCCACCTGAGTGTTTTTCTTTTTTCTTTTCTTTTTTTTTTTTTTGAGACAGGGTCTTGCTCTGTAGCACAAGCTGGAGTGCAGTGGCGCAGTCTTGGCTCACTGCAGCCTCTGTCTCCTGGGTTCAAGCGATTCTCCTGCCTCAGCCTCCTGAGTAGCTGGGATTACAAGTGTGCAGGACAAGCCCAGCTAATTTTTGTATTTTTAGCGGAGATAGGGTTGGCCAGGCTAGTCTTGAACTCCTGACCTCAAGTGATCTGCCTGCCTTGGCCTCCCAAAGTGCTGGGATTATAGGCGTGAGCCACCGCACCTGGCCTCATCTTTAAAATACTGGTAATGCTACTTACTACACTTGATTTTGTATGTATAGTATGAAGAACAGTTGTATCATATGCTAAGTCCCAATCAAAGGTTTGTTATTTTTCTTCAGACTAGCCGCTAAACTTTTTTTCAAGAGACCATCTGTATTACCCTATGCCCACAAACACCTGGCCACTGTAAGAGAAAGCTAGAAGTTTATCCTACTCTCAAGTTTGCAGCTGAGGGATATGGGAGGGACCAGATGCATGGTTGTTTTTCCAGGCGGTGTTGGATAATGGCAGCTTACTTACGTGTTCACACACTATTGAGTTAAACTAACTGGACTCATTAGAAAAGGTGTGGGCAGGAACACCTTGGAGAACTAACTCCAGCCATGGGCTCTCCCCAGGGATATGCACCTTTTGCTGTTCTTGGAGCCTCTGTGTTCGGAGCTGGCTTGCCTAACTAGATGCAGAGCATGTTTGATTAGAAGAATTACTCAAAGATGATTAATATCTAGTGACCATCCATTGTGTTTCTAGCCCTGCTTGCTCCTTCCCATGGTATTTATTGATTTTTCTGTGCTGGGTCTTAAGAATACCAAGATGGATAAGAAATATTTAGAAACAGTGAGACCAGGAGACCAGGCAAAGTGCAAAATGAGACTAGAGCAGTAGAGGGATGCAGTACAAAAACAAAAGAGGGAAGCGGGGAAGCTAGGGAATGATTCGCAGCACTATGGGACTGGCAAAAGAATCCAGAAGATGACATACTAACACTTGCAGTTACCAATATGTTGTTAAATATTAGTGTCTGGGGATCTGTTAGGTAGAGATAAAACTTAATGAGATAAGACGGAAAATTGGCTATATCTGACAAGTAGCCACTTCTTACCCACTAAATTTTCTATATTCTTTCTCTAGTTCTTAAGGTGCCTCCTAGTGATATGATTCAGCACAATATAATGCACTGTTACTTCACATTTGGGAATTTATTCACATAAAATCCTAAAAGAAATTTAATCAGAGTTGAAAATACTAGCATGGTTAATTTTTTTTTCTTTTGAACAGGCAATGTAGAAAGACGAAAATGTGTGCTAGCATGAAAATTGTATTTGACCCTCTTTTCCTTTGCTTATAGGAAGACAGCGCTTCTTGTGAGTCAAACAAAGAGAAGAGGCGAGTAAAAAAAAAGGTTTCTTCTGGAGGGGTGTTTGTGAGAAGGTACTAATCAGTGAAATAACTAAATTGACCTGCTAGATTTTTCTCTTTCATTAAAAAAATTGATATAAATGTGAGTCTATACAAACTATCTCAGAATTACTCTGATATGCTTCTGTTCCAATTCTGATGGCAGAAATGTTATATTAAAGAGATTTAGAGATTTTTTAAATGACACGGACTCAGTTGTGCACCTTCTCCCGATATTCTTCTTATATATCTCTACACAGGCAAGTCAAGAGATTTATGAGTAATTAATTTTACAAGTATTCACATAAGCTTTAAAATATTAGCTGGTATAGTAATCAAAAGAAATCTAGTTCTAGATATTAAAAATTATTAAAAATTCAATTATGGTTCCACAATAGAATTATATTTCTTTCACTTTCTAGAGAGTACCTTTCACTTCTAGTGTGGATATGTTTAAAAAAATTTTTTTTCAAATGGCGTAACTGCAAGCTTTTTAAGAATATAGAGAAGAGGCAGATTGGACAGGATAAGAAACACTTGGCTTTATTTTTTCCTCTTTTTCTCCTTGATCTTAAAGATTAGTAGTGCTTGGCCAACTAAAAAACAACTATGGCTTTTCAGTTCAGTTCTGACTTCAATTCCCTCTTTTTTCCTACCCCCCTCTCTTTTCTCTTCTCTTCCCTCCATGAGCTAGCAAAGATTTATAACTCTTGGGTCCAGCTGTGTAGCTCTTGTCTCCCCCTGAAGATCTGTCACTGGTTTTGGGCTTCCCTGGCAGCAGCCATCTCACCATTCCATAGACTGCCCACCCTTTGGACCCTTGCATATACTTCATGTGGACGCTAAAGTCATTTTGACATGGTATCATCAGAACTAGTTTGCTGTGACAAGAGTGCATTTGATTGCTGAAACCAGTTCAGCAGGTTAAGGGTCTGTAAACAAGTGTTAAAAAATGAACTTTGGCTTCCAAGGTTAATCCCAGCTCTGCATTGTTGTGTAATCCTAGGCACAACTACTTAATCTCTTTATATAAAATATACCTACCTCATATGGCTGTCATTGGGAGAATTAAGAGGTAGTAGAGGACTTGGAACAGATCTTATACAAAGTGCCCAATAAATGTTGACAACTGTTATTACTATAGATTGAAAGCCACAGAAGAACTAAAAATAGTGAATATAAGGGTTATTAAAAGGATAGGTGAGTCATTTTTTAACACTTGCTTACGGACCCTTAGCCAGCTGAACTGGTTTCAGCAATCAAATGCACTCTTGTCAGGGCAAACTAGTTCTGATACTAGGTCAAAATGGCTTTAGTGTCCATGTGAGATAGATGCAAGGGTCCAGAGGGTGGGAAGTCTGGGGTATGGTGAGAGGGCTCCTGCCAGGGAAGCCCAAAACCAGCGACAGATCTTCAGGGGGAGACAGGAGCCACAGAGCTGGCTCCAAGAGAGTCATAATTCTTTGCTAGCTGGAGGGAAAGGAAGAGAAAATAGAGGCAAGTAGGAAAAAAGAGGGAATTGAAGTCAGAACTGAACTGAAAGCCATAGTTGTTTTTTGGTCAGCAAAGCACATTTATTGGGCACTTTGTGTGAGATTTGTGCCAAGCCCTTAACTATCTCTTAATTCTCACAAGAGCCATATAAAGTAGGTATATTTTATAGAGAAAGTAGTTGTGCCGAGGATTATATAATGCTGATCTGGGATTCCAACCTTGGCAGCAAAAGTCTGCATTCTCTTAACCATTACTGGGATTTCAAAACCATTTATCTTCCCTTCTGGGACTACAGACAGCCTTACTTTTCCCCTCTAACTTGATGCTAAAGTTAATCCCAACCCTGGAAATAGTTTGTTGTACTTGCTCCAGTTTTCTCTAATTTCTTCCTGTACCAGTGAGGTAGAAAACACCAGAATAGTGTTGTAATAAAAGCATACACACCCTGTGGCAGAGGTTCCCTGGTTGTCCTCCAAAATCCATTCTCCCTTCTTCTGTAGTGGGAAGGATTTATGTGGTCTGTGGCCGCGCAGGATAAGAACTAACTTCCCAGCTTGCCTTTGCAGCCAAGAGACCAAGTTGTGTTCAGAAGGATGTGAGCAAAAATGTTACGTAAAACCTTAGGGTCATGGCTATAATGCCACCTCTTGCTCTTTTCTTCTTCTGGAATGTGGATGTGGTGGTGAGTCAGCCACTGGACCTTGTGAATGAGGGCAACACCAGGATGGCAGAGCAGTAAAATAAGGAGCAAGGGCCCTGACACCATGGAGCTGACATATTAGCCCTAGAATGCTTACATTGGACTGTAAGAGAGAAATAAACCTAATCTTATTTAAGCCACTGCTATTCTGGATCTTGTTACAGCAGCTAAATTAAAATTATAATACAATTCCCAAATTGTGTATATTTATTCATAAATCATATACCTATATTATTGACACATTTAGGTTAATGAAACAAAAAAAAAAGGTTATTAAAGAGATTTAAGTTATTTTGTTCCTATGACTTAGTAGATTGTCCATCTCATGAGAAAGAGTACTCAGGTTGAACCCTACTAGTATATTGAGTGACAGCATGAGAGGGTGAGATTTGGAGTTAAAGACTTGAGTCCCTGTGACTTACTTGCTGGGGGACTGTGGACAAGTTACTTCACTTGGCTAAACTTGTTTCTTCAGCTGTAAAATGAGGATACCATCTACCTAAGAGGAGAGCTGTGAAAATAGGTGAGCACATATATGTTATTTAGCATATTTGCCCTCATATAGTCAATGATAGCTATTTTTTTTCAAAATAGCAATCAGTAGTTTCAGTGATAATGACTACAGCCTTTCCCACTGCCCTTTTTTTAAATATTAAAAAATACTTAAAAAATAAACAAGTGTTACATATCCAAATTCTTCAAGTTTGACAACATTATAAGCTTTTAATTGTTTTTCCAATAGGTGAGGGTTTTTCCTGACTCTTGCCAAGTCCTTACATACTCTTGCCTGGCCTATTTTGTCACCAAAGCAGTATGGATAGGCAGGTTAGGATCTACACTGTGGCTATAAACATGGTGAAAGTAGCTAATCCTTGTGGAGGCTTCTTACCACTCATAGAAAATGCCTAAAAGGTGTATTACGCTCACTCAGTATGAATGCAGTATTTTCAGCATACCCATAATTAAATATTTAAAATATTAAAAAGTTTGGATTAAGGTCAACTGAGATTTATGAGTATCATTTATTCCACAGGCGTTTAACAAGTACCTCACATGTGTCTAGAGGCCTTCTGAGAACTTGTAGTTTAGTGTAGGAAAAAGATACGTATAATTGCTGTTTCATAGTGAAGTGCAAGTGCTGGAATAGAGGTATAGTTTTAAGGCATATAGAAACACAATCCTCTCATCCTTATTTCATATATTTCCATCACTGAAACAAAAATTTACCTGAACCCCAGAACCACCATCAAAATGAAGTTTCATGGAAAGGATATAGGATCTAAAAGTAATGGGGACAGGGTATGGTATGCATATTTCTATTCTTCTGTTATTGGATACAAAGCACTTTGTTTGCTAAACCCCTACAATGAGAAAGAACGCAGATCTATTTAATATTTAGTGGCTGTATAACCTGGGAATAAGTATATTTATTTGTTGGGGCTTGAGAAGGTCCAATAAATGGCATACCTCCTTTCCATTCTGGGTTGTGAATATAACTAAGATGAAGAATGAATAAACTAATATAGAGGCCTAAAAAACACCTTTATTTGCTGATAAAACTATTGGAGAAGTTTTTTTTTAGGAGACAGGGTCTCATGTGTTGCCAGGCTGGAGTGCAGTGACTATTTATAGGTATGATCATGGTACACTTTAGCCTTGATGAACTCCTTGGCTCAAGCAATCCTGCTGCCGCAGCCTCCCAAGCAGCTAGGACTATAGATGTGTGCCACTGTGCTCAGCAAGAGAATATGGGTTTCATCTTAAGGCCAGTAAGCTTCTTATCACTGAACTCTAGAACTGGACAGATTTACCCTGTCTCAAGCATTGCTCTACTGGGCCAGGCCTCATCCTGCAGAGGCAGAGCCTGATCCCATAGAAGCAGAACAGAATGAATGTCTCTTCAGATGGGCTGGTCCCAAACAGGAGTGGGGAGGAAGTGGGCTAATTGCACCTTGTTTCTCCTTCCAGATTTACAATTGGGCAAGTCACTTTACCTAGGGCAGAGTGGATAAGGGGATGAAGAGTGACGACAGTGTTATGCTACTGGAGCTTCCTTCACATGGAGGAAAGACGCATTCCCTCTTAATATTTTAGAATATTTTAAATCTTAACAAACCAATAATTTACTTGTTTATGTCTCTCTCCTTAAGATTGTCAATTCAATGAGAATGAAACCATGTTCATCTCTGTGCACACAGGGACTAGCATGCTGTTTGGCATATAGCAGGCAGTCATATTGGTTAACTGAACAAATGCAGTATACTTTGTTACAGTGGACTTTAATATATATGGTAACTTATTAATTGACTCAGTGAAAATTAATCTATAATATACTAAGAACTCTCTTAGGCAATAGAGATAAAAATGAATCAGAATGTAACAGGATAATGTCAAGGTTTTTCTTTTGAAAACAAACCAGCAGTTAGATTTTTGAGGAAAATATAGTTGGAAAGCCTGACTCTCACTCACTGGACCATATGGACCAATCTCTTGACTGCTCTATACTGCAGATTCCCTGTTTATAGCTAAACAAATGACAAGGCTATTTTGAATAATGATTGTCAAACTTTTATAGCTATTACCAAGGCATTATGAACTCAAAATGTTTACTTTCTGGTCTTGTCTTCTTGATCTGGGTAAGACTGAAGAACTAAGATGAAAAGGATATTTTAAAATTTCTTTGAAATTACATATGATTTACTAATAGATATTACTTTGTAAGAAAAAATATATCTAATAACAAAACAAAATACGAATTTAAATTTTCCTATGAGTTTCTTGAGAGTAGGTACTAGATATCAATGTTTGCTGAATTGAAGTCATTAAGAAAAGCTTTGTTTTATGTAATAAATTTAAGATGGGTTAACTTAAACTACATTAAGAAGCAGGGATAAACTGGTTTTTGAGTATCAAATATTTAAAAAATACATGTAATAATCAGAGCTCAATATTTAGCAACTCTACAGATTTCATATTAAGTGTTGTAATTTGCACTAAAGCACACATTTATTTATTTAGGTAATGGAGTCTTGCTCTGTCACCCAGGCTGGAGTGCAGTGGTGCTATCTCGGCTCACTGCAAGATTCTCCTGCCTCAGCCTCCCGAGTAGCTGGAATTACAGGCATGTGCCACCATGCCTGGCTAATTTTTGTATTTTTAGCAGAGACGGGGTTTCACCATGTTGGCCAGGCTGGTCTAGAACTCCTGACCTCAAGTG
The DNA here is from genome assembly GCF_000001405.40 of Homo sapiens. Lineage (NCBI taxonomy): Eukaryota > Metazoa > Chordata > Mammalia > Primates > Hominidae > Homo > Homo sapiens. The sequence goes on from NC_000011.10 coordinate 83,261,306, forward strand.
ATCCACCCGCCTCAGCCTCCCAAAGTGCTGAGATTACAGGTGTGAGCCACCGCGCCTGGCCTATCATTTTAAAATTTATTGTTTTAGTTCATTACCAAAAAGAAATCAATCTCCAACTATATGGTAAGTCACTTTGAAAACCCACACAACTTTGTTGTAATAATCTTTCATTTTATAGAAAAATGTAATTATGCAATGGTTATCAGGAAAGTTAATTCAGTAATAAATATGTAGGCTAGGGAATGGTTTACAAATATTCAACCAATACCCACAAAATCCTGTATGATTTACACAACTGTTCAAGCAAACATAAGAAAACTCTGGTTCAATTTCTATTAACTATCAAAAGGACAAAATGCTCTTCTATCTCAAACCAGGTCTGAGTGACAGCTTTTCAATATAATAAAGACACACACCTGCACTCACACACACACAATAAAGACACAGTATCTCTTCTCATTCTAAAACACTTCCTCTTTTAGTCCGTATACACTTCGAATAATCTTGTGTAGTAAATTTTTGCTGCAACTGACAATGTTCAAAGTAAATCTCTCCCGGTTTGGTGTTCTAAGAAGCCAACAGCCACAGCAGGATGAGCATTAATACTACTTCCAGAATCTATAAAATCCCAATGCTATTGCCAGGCAAGTAAACACCGAAGCTGTGAAAAGAAGAAACTGTGTTATAGGTCTTGTATCTGTAATTATTTTGCAGAGATAAAGAGAATAATGTTATCTTTAAGTGAAGAGCAAAAAACAGGAAATCCAACCAATTTTCTATCCTATGTTTTTTATTCCCTAGACAATTAAGTATGAAAGACATTCTTAAGGGCAGCCTTAATGCCTAATTCTTCTTAAAAGCACCTGTATATTAAAATGTAAATTATGTCATTTAGAAACCTATAACCTGTATTTAAAATCATTAACGCTAGCATTATTGACTACTTTAAATAATTATAAGCTCTAATTTCAGATCTCATGATAAATGAAATCTTTCTTATATTAAAAAATTACGTAGTTAGGCTAGTAAAATATACATATATCTGTGAGAAGAGAATTTTAATTGCCTTTTCAGTACATTTTTAAATAATTTCTCATAATTCTTAATAAAATTTTAATAAAAACTCTTTAAACTCAATGAGGTAGAAGAAAAGGCAGAAAAAGCATTAGGTTTTTAAAATAGTTAATATACTACCTGTACTTTAGCTTACATCATTTTGGATAAAAAAAAATTCAGTTTTCCCAGCTTTTAGAAGGTAAGTCTGAGTGAGGCCTTTAGGGACTCCCTAGTCTCCAGTTTGTTTAAAACACCGATGAATGAATTTTTAAAAACAGACAAGTGAGAGATGAATGGAAAACTTTTATGAATAAAGACACAAGAAATTAGCCTTTCAAAGTAAAGTTATTCATAATGTATAAACCCATTTGTACACCACCCCATTTGATCCTACTACTTACTGAAACTTGGTTAATGATAAGATCATTTTCTCAGTTTTAAGAAATGGGATTAGGCATCTCTAAGAAATATAGAGAAGTAATAACACTAAGAGTTTCTTGTCTTACAGCCACTGGGCAATTATATATTCTCCCATTTGATCCTGCTACTATTTGCTGTGTGTCAAGTACTATGCTACTATGCTGAGCAATTACACACACTACTTTATTTAACCATGAGATTGGTGGTATTATCCCCATTGTACAGATGAGGTAATACACCCAGTTACATCGCTAGCAAACAGTGGAGCCGGGATTTAAGACTAAGTGTACTTGACTCCAAAGCCATTTTTTTTCTCTTAATAAAAAAACACACACACAAAATTTGTGATCCTTATTATATACTGTGACACTTGAAAGACTCAATCTGTCATTTATTTGAGTCACATAGTGCTATCTAAGTGGTTACATCCTCTGCTGATTCAACAGCTGATAAATTAAGTTTTAGATAACCAAATGAACACTTATTGTGAGGTGAAGTATACTCTACTTCAGTAGAGTATACAATCGTTACTGCATTTAAGTTTCTCTCTCATGTCTTGCTGCTGTTATTTCAGCTTTTATTTCTCATGGCTGTTGTTGCAGTAACAACAACAATTGGAGCCATCTCCAATTTCTTTTAAGTTTGCTGTTTATCCTCTATACCCTGTCTAGGGAGACATTCTACATATATGTAAAATGCTTAGGTGAGCATATGCCTGGTACATTTTAAGCACTCTGTAAACATTAGCTTTCATTATTTATCTGCCACGAACAAAATCTGCCACATTATCTACATAGATTAAATGGAAATTGCCATTATTCCTTGGTGGCAGTGTTCTGGGTCAAAAGGTGGCGTCTGACCCACGATGAACCATTCAGACTCCTTTCTGAGGATTTTAAAAATTGGAACTAAGGAAAGAGGGCAATCTCTCCTGATTAGTGAAAGTGGAATGATAAGAGTCTAGGTGGTAATGTTTCCAACCTATGGAGAAAGCTGGTATGAGAAATTGAGGCACACAGTCACAGATTTAAAGAGTAAGTTCTGATTCCAATTATGCTTGTAGGTAGGCTATTTTACTTGTGCCCCATCCACGGTTCAGCTGATGGCTGGGGGCTCCATCTTCAACCCTGCTGGCACCTCAACATCAGTAGTGACTGCCCAGAAAATGACTAAGAGTATAAATCGGCAGTTTTCTTTTAGACAGCAATTTGTTAATATCAAAAATCTTAAATGTGCATATCTTTTTGACCCCAAATTTTAAATGTACATAGCAAGTTGTTATATAGAAATACTAGCACAGGGCCACCAAGATATGTGTGTGTGTATGTGTATTTACTCAAACGTTAACACATATATATGGCTGTTCAATACAGTATTGTCCTTAATAATAAAAAACTGAAGGGAGAATGCCTGTTAATAAAGGACTGGATACATAAATTGTGGCATTTTCATATAGGGAATACTGTGCTTTCTAATAAAAAGATGTCTGTGTGGAAAGAAATAGGACATTTGGTTAAACTTTAAAAAGTTGTAGACTATAAAAAATACGTGATCTAATTATTTTTAAGAAGTATATAAGATGTTTATATACAGAAGAAAAAGCCTAGAAAATGTTTACTACTAATAGTAAATACACACGGGGAGGGGCTTTCACTTTTTCGGCTTTTGAATTCTATGAATAATTTATAATGAAATTCTGGGTTGAAAATTCTTTTCTTTAAGAATGTTGAATATTGGCCCCCACTCTCTTCTGGCTTTGTAGAGTTTCTGCTGAGAGATCTGCTGTTAGTCTGACGGGCTTCCCTTTGAGGGTAACCCGACCTTTTTCTCTGGCTGCCCTTAACATTTTTTCCTTCATTTCAACTTTGGTGAATCTGACAATTATGGAGTTGCTCTTCTCGAGGAGTATCTTTGTTGGAACCAACCCAAATGGCCAACAATGATAGACTGGATTAAGAAAATGTGGCACATATACACCATGGAATACTATGCAGCCATAAAAAATGATGAGTTCATGTCCTTTGTAGGGACATGGATGAAATTGGAAATCATCATTCTCAGTAAACTATCACAAGAACAAAAAACCAAACACTGCATATTCTCACTCATAGGTGGGAACTGAACAATGAGAACACATGGACACAGGAAGGGGAACATCACGCTCTGGGGACTGTTGTGGGGTGGGGGGAGGGGGGAGGGATAGCATTGGGAGATATACCTAATGCTAAATGACGAGTTACTGGGTGCAGCGCACCAGCATGGCACATGTATACATATGTAACTAACCTGCACATTGTGCACATGACCCTAAAACTTATAAAAAAAATTTATAATGAAAATACATTACTTTTTATAAAAGGAAAGAAAAAAGACAAGTAATAGTTGACTAGGGCATTCTTCCTAAATCACTGGGGCCCTGTAATTGGGTCAGGTCAGATGGTACTTGAGGAGCTCAGTATGTGACAAATAATCTAATTTTGGGATAGTGTCTATGCTGAATCAGTTGATTCAAGGTAAGGTCATCTGTCCCTCCTCCAGGTTTTTAATGGGCTTATATCTAATTTATTGATCTTTTTTCTCTAACCTCTTTCAAATCTTTATGGAAGAACATAAGCAATAAAAAGAAAATTTTCATTTTTTTTTCCACTGTGGAGTACCACAGTTTATCCTTCTATCATTTTCTGCTTGTGTTTATATATTTCTTTTATATCCACATGCTTTTTCTATTAGTCAGCTGCAGAGTTGCCTGCTAAACTTAGATTCTGAAGGGTAACACATCTGTGAGGATGACAGAAGCTTAACATTTAGAACTGTCCAATACTACACCCTATATGTTCCTTCCTTTGGCTGCGTCTAATTTGTAATCTGCTATAATAAAAATTATAAGTATTAAAAATAAAACCCAAGACTCCAAAAAATATATCCTGAGACTGGAACCTTCTTTAAGCACTACAGGGGACCAAGCAATAAAGGAGCCTTGTTATCTAGCTCCTCCTTTTTTTCCTGTGCCTGCTCAGTTACCTTGATAGGTAGAACTAACAGGAAAATTAGATGACAGCAATTTCTTTCTCTGACAGTCTTACCTGCAAGATAACGAATTGTCTCAAGTTTGTTAGATTCCATCAGTGTTTTTAAGGAAGCAATTTCAGCGTCAATTTTATTACTGGTCTCTGAAATAATACTTTTGGTTTGAGTATCCTGTGGTAAACCAGAATAAGAGAACTTAATTTTGTCCCTATGTATTAAATGGACAAAAGCATTTACATTATAAACCCTCACTTATGGGCTAATTGTGATATAAAAGTCTTAGTTGGGGAAACATTAAAAGCATAGTGGTGTAAAAAAATTTGAAGTGTTCCAAGATGGCCAAAAGGGAACAGCTCCACTCTGCAGCTCCCAGCGTGATCAACGCAGAAGACGGGTGATTTCTGCATTTCCAACTGAGGTACCTGGTTCATCTCATTGGGACTGGTTGGACAGTGGGTGCAGCGCACGGAGGGTGAGCTGAAGCAGGGTGGGGCATTGCCTCACCCTGGAAGCGCAAGGGGTCAGCGGATTTCCCTTTCCTAGCCAAGGGAAGCCATGACAGACTACCTGGAAAAATGGGACACTCCTGCCCAAATACTGCACTTTTCCCAAGGTCTTAGCAACTGGCAGACAAGGAGATTCTCTCCTGTGCCTGGCTCAGCGGGTCCCACGCCCACGGAGCCTTGCTCACTGCTAGCACAGCAGTCTGAAATCGAACTGTGAGGCAGCAGACTGGCTGGGGAAGGGGCATCCGCCATTGCTGAGGCTTGAGTAGGTAAACAAAGTGGCAGGGGAGCTTGAACTGGGCTGAGCCCACCACAGCACAACAATGCCTACTGTCTCTAGACTCCACCTCTGTGGGCAGGGCATAGCTGAACAAAAGGCAGCAGACAACTTCTGCAGACTTAAATGTCCCTGTCTGACAGCTGTGAAGACAGCAGTGGTTCTCTCACGACAGCGTTTGAGCTCTGAGAACGGAGAGACTGCTTCTTCAATTGGGTCCCTGACCCCTGTGTAGCCTAACTGGGAGACATCTTCCAGTAGGGGCTGACACACACCTCATATAGGCGGCTGCACCTCTGGGACAAAGCTTCCAGAGGAAGGATCAGGCAGCAATATTTGCTGTTCTGCAGCCTCTGCTGGTGATACCCAGGTAAACAGGGTCTGGAGTGGACCTCCAGCAAACTCCAACAGACCTGCAGCTGAGGGTCCTGACTGTTAGAAGGAAAACTAACAAACAGAAAGGAATAGCATCAACATCAACAAAAAGGTCATCTACACCAAAACCCCATCTGTAGGTCACCAACATCAAAGACCAGAGGTAGATAAAACAACAAAGATGGGGAAAAACCAGAGCAGAAAAGCTGAAAATTCTAAAAATCATAGTGCCTCTTCTCCTCCAGAGGATTGCAGCTCCTTGCCAGCAATGGCAAGAAGAAAACTGGACTGAGAATGACTGATGAGTTGACAGAAGCAGGCTTCACAAGGTCGGTAATAACAAACTCCTCCAAGGTAAAGGAGGATGTTTGAACCCATTGCAAGGAAGCTAAAAACCTTGAAAAAAGATTAGACGAATGGCTAACTAGAATAAACAGTGTAGAGAAGACCTTAAATGACCTGATGGAGCTGAAAACCATGGCACGAGAACTTCGTGATGCATGCCCAAGCTTCAACAGCTGATACAATCAAGTGGAAGACAGGTACCAGTGACTGAAGATCAAATTAATGAAATAAAGCGAGAAGACAAGGTTAGAGAAAAAAGAGTAAAAAGAAACGAACAAAGCCTCCAAGAAATATGGGACTATGTGAAAAGATCAAATCTACGTTTGATTGGTGTACCTGAAAGTGGGAGAATGGAACCAAGTTGGAAAACACTTCAGGATATTATCCAGGAGAACTTCCCCAACCTAGCAAAGCAGGCCAACATTCAAATTCAGGAAATACAAAGAACATCACAAAGATACTCCTTAAGAAGAGCAACCCCAAGACACATAATTATCAGATTCACCAAGGTTGAAATGAAGGAAAAAGTGTTAAGGGCAGCCAGAAAGAAAGGTCAAGTTACCCACAAAGGGAAGCCCATCAGACTAACAGCGGACCTCTTGGCAGAAACCCTACAAGCCAGAAGAGAGTGGGGGCCAATATTCAACATTCTTATAGAATTTTCAACCCAGAATTTCATATCTAGCCAAACTAAGCCTCATAAGTGAAGGAGAAATAAAATCCTTTACAGACAAGCAAATGCTGAGAGATTTTGTCACCACCAGGCCTGCCCTAAAAGAGCTCCTGAAGGAAGCACTAAACATGGAAAGGAACAACCAGTACCAACCACTGCAAAAACATGCCAAATTGTAAAGACCATCGATGCTATGAAGAAACTGCATCAATTAATGGGCAAAATAACCAGCGAACATCATAATGACAGGATCAAATTCACACATAACAATATTAACCTTAAATATGAATGGACTAAATGCCCCAATTAAAAGACACAGACTGGCAAATTGGATAGAATCAAGACCCATCAGTGTGCTGTACTGAGGAGACCCATCTCACGTGCAAAGATGCACATAGGCTCAAAATAAAGGGATGCAGGAAGATGTACCAAGCAAATGGAAAGCAAAAAAAAAAAAAGCAGGGGTTGCAATCCTAGTCTCTGATAAAACAGACTTTAAACCAACAAAGATCAAAAGAGACAAAGAAGGCCATTACATAATGGTAAAGGGATCAATTCAACAAGAAGAGCTAATTATCCTAAATATATATGCACCCAATACAGGAGCAGCCAAATTCATAAAGCAAGTCCTTAGAAACCGACAAAAAGACTTAGACTCCCACATAATAATAATGGGAGACTTTAACACTCCACTGTCAATATTAGATAGATCAACGAGACAGAAGGTTAACAAGGATATCCAGGACTTGAACTCAGCTCTGCAACAAGCAGACTTAATAGACATCTACAGAACTCTCCAACCCAAATCAACAGAGTATACATTCTTCTCAGCACCACATCACACTTATTCTAAAACTGACCACATAATTGGAAGTAAAGCACTTGCACTCCTCAGCAAATGTAAAAGAACAGAAATCACAACAAACTGTCTCTCAGACCACAGTGCAATCAAATTAGAACTCAAGATTAAGAAACTCACTCAAAACTGCACAACTACATGGAAACTGAACAACCTGCTACTGAATGACTACTGGGTACATAACGAAATGAAGGCAGAAATAAAGATGTTCTTTGAAACCAATGAGAACAAAGACACAACGTACCAGAATCTCTGAGACACATTTAAAACAGTGTGTAGAGGGAAATTTATAGCACTAAATGCCCACAAGAGAAAGCAGGAAAGATCTAAAATCGACACCCTAACATCACAATTAAAAGAACTAGAGAAGCAAGAGCAAACACATTCAAAAGCTAGCAGAAGGCAATAAATAACTTCTGCTGCTTCTTATCTCTTTCAGAGGTAAGAGATAAGAGACACAACAAACCCTTAAAAAAGAGATAAGAGACACAACAAACCCTTAAAAAAACAATCAATGAACCTAGGAGCTGGTTTTTTGAAAAGATCAACAAAATTGATAGACCACTAGCCAGACTAATAAAGAAGAAAAGAGAGAAGAATCAAATAGATGCAACAAAAAATGATAAAGGGGATATCACCACCGATCCCACAGATATAGACTACCATCAGAGAATACTATAAACACCTCTACACAAATAAACTAGAAAATCTAGAATAAATGGATAAATTCCTGGACACATATACCCTCCCAAGACTAAACCAGGAAGAAGTTGAATCTCTAAATAGACCAATAACAGGCTCTGAAATTGAGGCAGTAATTAATAGCCTAACAACCAAAAAAAGTCCAGGACCAGACAGATTCACAGCCAAATTCTACCAGAGGTACAAAGAGGAGCTGGTACTATTCCTTCTGAAACTATTCCAATCAACAGAAAAAGAGGGAATCTTCCCTAACTCATTTTATGAGGCCAACATCATCCTGATACCAAAGCCTGGCAGAGACACAACAAAAAAAGAATTTCAGAGCAATATCCGTGATGAACGTCGATGCGAAAATCCTCAATAAAATACTGGCAAACCGAATCCAGCAGCACATCAAAAAGCTTATCCACCACGATCAAGTCGGCTTCATCCCTGGGATGCAAAGCTGGTTCAGTATACACAAATCAATAAACGTAATCCATCACATAAACAGAACCAAAGACAAAACCACATGATTATCTCAACAGATGCAGAAAAGGGCTTCAACAAAATTCAACAGCCCTTCATGCTAAAAACTCCCAATAAACTAGGTATTGATGGAACGTATCTCAAAACAATAAGAGCTATTTATGACAAACCCACAGCCAATATCATACTGAATGGGCAAAAACTGGAAGCATTCCCTTTGAAAACCGGCACAAGACGAGGATGCCCTCTCTCATCACTCCCACTCAACATAGTGTTGGAAGTTCTGGCCAGGGCAATCAGGCAAGAGAAATAAAGGGTATTCAATTAGGAAGAGAGGAAGTCAAATTGTCCCTGTTTGCAGATGACATGATTGTATATGTAGAAAACCCCACTGTCACAGCCCAAAATCTCCTTAAACTGATAAGCAACTTCAGAAAGTCTCAGGATACAAAATCAATGTGCAAAAATCACAAGCATTCCTATACACCATTAACAGACAAACAGAGTCAAATCATGAGTGAACTCCCATTCACAATTGCTACAAAGAGAATAAAATACCTAGGAATCTAACTTATAAGGGATGTGAAGGACCTCTTCAAGGACAACTTCAAACCACTGCTCAGTGAAATAAAAGAGGACACAAACAAATGGAAGAATATTCCATGCTCATGGATAGGAAGAATCAATATTGTGAAAATGGCCATACTGCCATCCCCATCAAGCTACCAATGACTTTCTTCACAGAATTGGAAAAAACTACTTTAAAGTTCATATGGAACCAAAAAAGAGCCCGCATGGCGAAGACAATCCTAAGCAAAAAGAACAAAGCTGGAGGCATCAAGCTACCTGACTTCAAACCATATTACAAGGCTACAGTAACCAAAACAGCATGGTACTGGTACCAAAACAGATATACAGACCAATGGAACAGAACAGAGGCCTCAGAAATAACACCACACATCTACAACCATCTGATCTTTGACAAACCTGACAAAAACAAGAAATGGGGAAAGGAGTCCCTATTTAATAAATGGTGCTGGGAAAACTGGCTAGCCATATGTAGAAAGCTGAAACTAGACCCCTTCCTTACACCTTATACAAAAATTAATTCAAGATGGATTAAAGACTTAAATGTTAGACCTAAAACCATAAAAACCCTAGAAGAAAACTTAGGCAATTCCATTCAGGACATAGGCATGTGCAAGGACTTCATGACTAAAACACCAAAAGCAATGGCAACAAAAGCCAAAATAGACAAATGAGATCTAATTAAACTAAAGAGCTTCTGTACAGCAAAGAAACTACCATCAGAGTGAACAGGCAACCTACAGAATGGGAGAAAATTTTTGCAATCTACCCATCTGACAAAGGGCTAATATCCAGAATCTATAAAGAACTCAAATTTACAAGAAAAAACAACCCCATCAAAAAGTGGGCAAAGGATATGAACAGACGCTTCTCAAAAGAAGACATCTATGCAGCCAACAGACACATGAAAAAATGCTCATCATCACTGGTCATCAGAGAAATGCAAACCAAAACCACAATGAGATACCATCTCACACCAGTTGGAATGGCAGTCATTAAAAAGTCAGGAAACAACAGATGCTGGAGAGGATGTGGAGAAATAGGAACGCTTTTACACTGTTGGTGGGAGTGTAAATTCGTTCAACCATTGTGGAAGACAGTGTGGCAATTCCTCAAGGATCTAGAACTAGAATTACTATTTGACCCAGCAATCCCATTACTGGGTATATACCGAAAGGGTTATAAATCATGCTACTATAAAGACACATGCACACGTATGTTTATTGAGGCACTATTCACAATAGCAAAGACTTGGAACCAACCCAAATGTTCATCAATGACAGACTGGATTAAGAAAACATGGCACATATACACCACGGAATACTATGCAGCCATAAAAAAGGATGAGTTCATGTCCTTTGCAGGGACATGGATGAAGCCAGAAACCATCATTTTCAGCAAACTATCACAAGGACAGAAAACCAAACACCGCATGTTCTCACTCATAGGTAGGAATTGAACAATGAGATCACTTGGATACAGAAACATCACACACTGGGGCCTGTCGGGTGGTGGTTGGGTGAGGGAGAGCATTAGGACCTAAGGTAAAATGATGAGTTGATGGGTGCAGCAAACCAACATGGTACATGTATACCTATGTATCAAACTTGCACGTTGTGCACATGTACCCTAGAACTTAAAGTATTAAAAAAAATTTTTTTTTAAAAACACTATAAACTGACGAATTACATTCCTTCTGCTTTCATATTTGGAGATCATCTTTTAGGGGTATGACATACTGGGCATATTCTAAAAACCTCATAATAACATATTTATACCTGAATACATAAGATGATAAACTAAGAAGCAAAAAATTAGGTCACAGAACTATCATTTTATGTGTGTGAAGTCCTTAGGATATTATGGTTAAAACTTTAAATATATTCTGCAAATGGAAAAAAAAATAACCAGGTGTATAATATGAACTGGCGCCAGTATTAAAGGAACTGGCATAAATAACCTGATGGGTAACACTGATACAGGTATAGGGGACAAAGGGTAGGGAGGACAGATGAGACCTAGAGCACAGAAAGTAGTTGTAAAAGATTTTGCTGATTTCCTTGCTTATCTCCTTTATCTGGCCAAGAAGTAAGGGAAGAGAATAAGATCTTTGAAAGAACAAATGTGACCTTCTCTTCTATTAAATTATGAGCAAGAGTGACATATTTTCTGTTAGAATGTGGACAAATGGCTTTGAACTTTTAAGAAAAGGACAAGGCTGAGTCAGAAAGCTGGGTTTTACTCAAGCCACAGAGATGAAGTCATGATTACATTGTAGGATTACTGAGAAGGAGAGCAGTAGTTCCAAGTTAGGGATTTAGAATCCAGGTTCTTTTCCCTAGTGACACCACTTATTAACTGTGGGACCTTAACCCCTCTGTGCTTCATTTTCCAAATTGTTAAAATGGGAATAATAGTGCCTACCTCACAGAGACTGAAATGAATATTAAGTGAATTAACAGATATAAGTAAAGCATGTAAAATGGTATCTGGCACATTAAATAAACACTAAATATTAGTGTTTATATGTTATTAATATATAGCTTTTTTAAAACCTTAAGATAATTATTTAACTGAACCTAGGCACTCATTTAAGTACCAATTATGAAATACCAATAGTGAATCTTTGTCTTTTAAAAAATAGTTATTTTCTTTTTTTTTTTTTTGTTTTTGAGACAGGGTCTTGCTATGTTGCCCAGACTGGTCTTGAACTCCTGCCTCAGCCTCCCAAAGTGCAGGATTAACAGGTGTGAGCTACTGTGCCTGGCCCAAAAAATAGTTATTTTCTATTATAGAAGTAATTTAGTTTAAAAAAGCACACTATGTGGAAATCTTGATTCTTACTTCAAGGTCATGGCTCATGGGCGACCATCTACCTGGTGCCAGGTTCCCCAAAAGTGCTGGTTAACTATAATAGCTATGAGGAAGCCAGAGACTCTACAAGGGTAGTTTTTAAAAGTCTAAACTTATAAACTGGTACACATAAAAGCAGTTATACAAGGCACAAGAACTGTACAAAAGAGACATTTTTACATATTACTTTACCTTTTTTGTAAATTCTGTAGTTGTTTCCATAAGTTGCTTTTCTTGATCTGTAAACTATAGGATATGAAGCAGCAGGAAGTTAAAAAAAAAGTCTAAAAATAAAAAAGGAGTAAGTAACCAAGAAAGTACATTTAAAAGAACATTACCATATCTGTTACTCTGCTCCTTTCTAAGTTGATATCCAGTTTATTATCTGCTCTGATTCGACTGGTTTCATGCTTTAAAGAAAGCAAAGATATTTAAAAAATGATCTTGTAACGAATATTTGTTCTGAAATTAACAGCTAGAAAAAAAATTCACTTACCATTAGTTGTTGCTTAACTTGGTCTAATTCAATTTTCATTTTCTAGGTACAGGAAAGATCACATGCAATTAGCATTAAACCAAGTCTATATTATGATTAAAAAAATCTGAAACCCTAGATTACCAAAATTTGGACAATCTATGGATTTCTAATACAGAATTGATAAGGAAAAAAATCTTCAAAAGAAACTAGTAAGCCACTGTATTCAGAAAATAATTCTTATGAGCAAAATGCATTTGTTTTTATATTATACTTTTAAAAACTGATTTTCTAAATTTAAAAATAAGCTATAGTGGATAACATAACTTAAAATTCTGACTTAATTACAGAAATATACTTTTAAGTCACAAAGACATTTAGTACAGGATTAAATAAAATAGAAAATGCCGTATTACTCTCAGCTCTGAAACCATTATATACAAATTTTATATATATAGCTCAAAGATTTTGTTTTATGTGGTTTTATATGTATAAAATGTAACTCTTATTCTCTTCAGTATGCAAAGCACTATGATTTATATAGAAAAAGATTAGGTATGGTTAAACAAATAGTATGTTTTTAAATCTAAAAACTTATTGTTTACTAACCACATGGAATTATTACTTGGTCTTATTAACTTATTCCTTAAGTAGGATGCTTATTATGAGATCAGTTATTTTATAAGTAATAAATTAAAATTTGTATCACCTCATTCTCTGCTCTCAGATTTGCAAATTCACTTTTCTCTAGGATGACCATGTCTTTCCTGATAGCATCCAAATGAGCCATTAGCTGTTGTACTGTTATTTCCTAGAAAACAAAATAAAAATAACCTAGTGATCTATAGAAAGCCATCTTTTTATTTACAGAATTGTTTTCATGAAATTTAAATGAATTTGTTAACATGCTACAAGGTATAATGTTGACTGGTTAAGTAAATATGAAACCTACATATCTGAAATATCAAAATGAAAAGAAAGAGATTCAAGGAAGAAAAAAAGGATTTCCTAGTGAAGAGAGATAAATTTGTAGGCCTTTGAATGAAAAGAATCTCAATAAAATGCTTCCTTAGACCCTAAGAGTTCCTCAAAAAAAATAATGTTTTGTTCTTATTTTTTGAATACCCAGATGGAAAGGGTTTTATCTCTTATTACTTTGATTTTGAGAGATTTTCTACCACTGGAAAATTCCATGGTATTGGATACGACTCAGAAGTCAGGCAGTAAAACAAAATAGATGTATAGTTAAAATAATTGCCCTTTGTCCGCACAACATAACCAATTTTGTTTAAATTCCTGGGTATCCTCCCTATTATTTGGCACTACAAAGAATATGTGAAAGGTAGCACTTACCTGATAGATTTATAAGCTTTTGCCTCGTTAGGGAGGGACAATTTTGTAGAAATGATTTAAGACAGCCTTACAAAGAAAATATAACTGTTACAGATTGAATATCCCTAATCCAAAAATCTGAAATCCAAAATCTGGAACTTTTTGAGTGCTGACATAACACTCAAAGGAAATGTGCATTGGAGTATTTTGGATTTCAGATTTGGGATGCTCAACTGGTAACTGTATTGCAAATATTCCAAAAAAAAAAAAAAAAATTTGAAATCTGAAACAATTCTGGTCCCAAGCATTTCAGATAAGGGATATTCAACCTGTAGCACTAAACTTCTTAAAATCAGGTAGCTTGCTAATTTCTCTATCCTTTACCAAAAGAAAAAGCAGATGAGGTATAACCTTATTAAGGACTCTGTATAACAGTTTAGAAATAAAACAAGAAAGCCCAAAAAAGAGTGTGAGTTCTGGAGTCAGGCTGTCTAGGTTTGAACCCAAACTCTGCCATTTACTGTGAGATGCCAGCAAGTCATTTAACTTCTCTGGTCTCCTCATTGGTAAAATGGAAATAGTAACAGTACCTGGTACAACTTAAAGAGTTGTTTTGAGGATTAAATGAGATTATGTACATATAATGCTTAAGACAGTACTTGGCATATGGTTAGCACTGAGATGTTAGCTATTATTATTACCGATGGGACAGGGATCTAATGGCTGAAGCAGGATAGTCTAATGCTAATGTATTAATGTGGAGGAAGTTTGGACTTCTTATAATACATAAAAGTTTTTAACTGTGTACAACAGACATTGCTGACTCATGCCTTTTCTAACCCTCATATATTACTGGGGAGGGTTGTTCATTTTCTTTTATTCAGTTCTGCTTGACATATTTTATGAGAATTAATTCAGAAGTCACACAGATGTGGCCTCTAGGGGCTGGCAGTCGTGTTTGCCCCAAATATCACTATAAAGGAATTATATGACATTAAAAATAATGTATTCTTATTACTGAGATTACATAGAAGTTGGAAAGCTAATTACAGACTTCTTGTGGTGTCTGAACCTGAAAATAAGGGATTGTACTGTGGCCTTTTTGAGACAGAGCCTTGCTCTGTCACTCAGGCTGGAATGCAGTGGCGCAATCTTGTCTCACTGCAGCCTCCACTTCCTGGGTTCGAGTGATTCTCGTGCCTCAGCCTCCTGAGTAGCTGGGACCACATGCACCCACCATCATGCCTGGCTAATTTTTTTGTATTTTTAGTAGAGACAGGGTTTTGCCACGTTGGCCAGGCTGGTCTCGAACTTCTGACCTCAAGTGATCTGCTCACCTCAGCCTCCTGAAGTGCTGGGATTACAGGCGTGAGCCACCACACCAGCCTTAATGTGGCTCTTAAGAGCCTCTTTTTACCTCATTCTTCCTTTAAATACAGACTCAAAAAGCCTACAAAACTGCACAGGTGTCCATCTGTAACAACTTTAAATGTACACATAATCCATTGTTAAGTAGCTAAATCTATTAAAAGTGTGATTTTTTTAAACTACTATGGAGCCATCAGAGAATATTCAGATTTTAATCAAAATCACAATATAATCAAATTTTCAGAATAAGACTTTATTATTTTATTTTTTCCCCCTCATCCTGCTAGCTGACTTGTTTTCATATGGCCCTTTCTGAAGTGATCAAGTATGCAGCTTAATGGCCTATGACCCTGAGCCTTAGCTTCACCCTTCATGACATCTCTGTGCCTTATTCTATACTAGAGGTGGGGTCAGCAATTGAATTAGGTTCAAGAACAGAACAGGATTATTTAACTTCAGACAGCAGTAATAAAAAAGCCAAAAGTTTAATAGTGATATTTCTATACTCAATCCTACCTCTTGTATATAGGATTAAATGGTCCTGGCAGCACAAATATTCCTCAAATCACAGCTTTATTTCACTCCCTATATTATAGGTAAACTTAAAAATTTAAGACAAAATTACTTTATTAAAAGTATCAGTAGCTCCATATAGCTCTTTCAGGACAGCTCGGAGCTTAGGAGTAACTAATTAGATGTTTGGCTTTTTCTTTAGTGGATTTAGTAGTCTGTTATGATCCTAAAAATGCATGTACAAACTTAAAGGTAAGTTAAATGTAGGGATTGAATGTTTCAATTTTAAATGTCTAATTAATTGGACATTTGTCTACTATAATTGGAGATTACAGTTTTAATTTTTGTTTTTTTCTTTTTTTGAGATGGAGTCTCTGTCACCCAGGCTGGAGCGCAGTGGTGCAATGTTGGCTCATTGCAACCTCCACCTCCCCAGTTCAAGCGATTCTCCTGCCTCAGCCTCCCGAGGAGCTGGGATTACAGGTGCCCACCACCATGCCCGGCTAATTTTTGTTTTTTTTTTTGTTTTTTCAAGTAGAGACAGTGTTTCACCTTATTGGCCAGGCTAGTCTTGAACTCCTGACCTCAAGTGATCTGTGTACCTCAGCCTCCCAAAGTAATGGGATTACAGGTGTGACCCACGGCACCTGGCCATAGTAGAAATCTGTAAGATCTTTTGATCTACCATGACCCTTTAATGAAATTTTATGCAAAATATTCTAATTTTATATAAGAAATCCTGATTTTTCTCTGTGCTGTAAAATACTTATCTGAGGAAGGAAGCCTAAATTTGAAAAATTAAAATGAAAAAAATATAACCATAGGAAGAAAACAGATTCCTAAACATAATACATTATTTCATGACTGACAGAAATGAATTATTATTCCAGTTAAGTTCATTTAGTTTATTCAGTCCTTTATATAAAATTATTGCTTTTTGTCCATACCACCACAGTGAAAACTCTTGCAAACTACTCAATTTCTCTGAGCCTGTCTTCAGTGGCCAAATAGAATTCTGCTTACTTTTCAAGGTTATTAGAGATTAAATAATATACGAAAAGTACATAGCATTGTGCCACTTACATGTTAAATTCTTATGTTTGACTTTAAGGATTTTTATATTCAGTTAAATTAAGGCGTCTTAGCCAGGGAATTTATAAAGTCCCTCCCAGCCAACTAAGTCCTTTCCAGCTATGTCTGTGAAAATTAACCAATGTGTATGTATAGCAGCAATAAAATATACTGAATATATAGAAAGATTAGCTCTTCTGTGGTGAGCTTTCTAGAGGGAAAAAGTTGTTTCACAAACAATCTACCACCACTCATGAATAACACAATATAATGATCTCATCCCATCAAAGATTTGGCAAAATACCATTCTCTGTTACCACAATATTATTACAACTATTCTAACTATTCAGTCTCTCTAAATACTGACTTTATTCAATGTTTTTTTTTGTGGTCCCTTTAGAGAGAACAAGGAAGATATAAGCATGTTTGGAAGGTCAGTAGGTAGACAGAGACATAGTTATGAAATGATTGTCTAATGAAAGTATCAGAAGTGATAGTAATCAGTGTATTACCTGTTGAGCTTGAGTGACCATCTCTTTATAGATAGTATCCAGGCTGACATTTGATAAAGCAGTTAACGCTGATACAATTGTTTCTGCTTGTGTTTTGTCAAATCCTGTAGGCAGCAAATAGGTATTTTATTTTTTTTAAAGTGTATATCCTTATCAAAATAGACAGCAAGAGTAACTCCTCAACATTTAAATTGTTATACTCTTTTAAATAATGGTTACAATTAAAAAATTGACAGATAATACTAAATTACTCTCTAAAAGAACTCTACAACTTTAGGCCGGGCATGGTGGCTCACGCCTGTAATCCCAGCACTTTGGGAGGCCGAGGTGGGCAGATCACAAGGTCAGGAGATTGAGACCATGCTGGCTAACACGGTGAAACCCCATCTGTACTAAATATACAAAAATAGCCAGGCGTGGTGGCGGGCGCCCGTAGTCCCAGCTACTCGGGAGGCTGAGGCAGGAGAATGGTGTGAACCTGGGAGGCAGAGCTTGCAGTAAGCCGAGATCGCGCCACTTTACTCCAGCCTGGGCAACAGAGCGAGACTCTGTCTCAAAAAAAACAAAAAAAAAACAAACAAAAAAACAAACTCTAAAATTTTAATTCTCATTCTGTATCTCCCCACATCTACATTAACACTGGATATGACTTTTTTTTTGAGTGTGTAATTGGCATAAAAAATTGTATTGCATTGTTATTTTAATGTTACTTAAATTTGCATTTCCTTGGTTTGTAGAGAGGTTAAGCATTACATATACTTTTTGTTATTTATATTTATTTTTCTGTGTTCTGCTTGTTTATAGCATTTGCCCACCTTTTTCTGTAAAACTGCTTGTTCTTCTTTTACATTTAGCTTTTCATCTATCTGAAATTTAGTTTTCAATAAGGGGATCTAATATATTTTTTCCCAGTGGCTAGTCACTTATTATGTCTCATTTATTAAATAGTCCTTCCTTTCCCTAATTTGTAATGCCTTCATCACATATTAAATTCATGTCTGTGTCTCTTAATACCATTTTGTTCTATTAGTCTATTCCTTTAATATCACATAATTTAAATTACTGTTTTGATATCAGGTAATTTTTTGTGCTTTTTTTTTATTTTTTAATCTCAAACATTTGTACTTCCACACGGACTTTAGTTTAACCTAGAAACTCTAGTTTTTTTTCACTTAATTGGAATAATTCTGCACATATTATTTCATATGCTTTTTTCAATTAACATATCTTGAACATTCCCCATATCAGTAAATATTTCTCAAACAGTATCATTTTTAGTGACTATAAAATATTTCATTGTATGGATGGTACATCTATTTAGTTACTTTTGATTGTTCATAATAGTGATATTGTCTTAACTAGGCATTATGAGTGCTATTAATTTTCTTCTTTCAGGAGGTATCCATGTTTCTCACCATGAGTTTCCAAGTCCTGAACCAATGCATGGGTATCAAAAGTTAATTTCCTTTGTTCTAAAGGAGTTATATCCACTGGCCGCCTATCATATCCCTCCTTGGTTGTGGTAGTGAAGAACTCTGAAAGAGAAGACAATTTTTTTCTTTTGTAGTAACTGATAGCTTACAAAGCTACTTTAGCTTACAAAGCATTTTCCCCATCCATTTATAATATAGTTCCAGCTCTTCTAGTTTTGTCATCTCACCCAAGTTAATTGACTCCTCTGAGCCTCTCTTTTATCTGAAAAGTCTCTGACGTTCTTCTGTACACACCAAACATTCAATAAATGTTTCTTTTCCCTCCTTTGGTATTCAGAAATGTTAAGAGTCAGTATAAACTTGTAATAAAACACACATCAAATGCTTTGGTTATCACCACCTCAGCTCTAATTACTGAAAAGCAGAAACTGCACAATTCAATTCTTCTCTGTGCTCAGTAATAGTCTTTCAAAGAGCTATGAAAATTTTTTACACTTAATCCCTGTTTAAAGTAGCTTTCCATACTCCCACTCACTTATATATCCACAGTTTATTTCCTACGTAGTTCTCAGCTCCAACATGAAATTATCTTATTTGCTGTTTGTATCTCTGGATCAGAATGGAAGTTCCATGATGCTTTGACTGTGGTTTTCACTACTGTATCTTTAGCACGTAGAACAGTGCTTTGGCACATAGTTGGGCCACCAAGTTTTACTGTTGATTCAATCAATGAATTTGATTTGAAATCATGGACGTATTTACTGGTATCAACATAAGAACCCTAAGAAAAATTTCTCATTTCTGAAATAACCCTTCTTGTCCTATTTCAATAAATTCCCCAAGTTTTAACCTAGACACAGTAAAGACCTTTTCTATATATTGCTGATGAATTTATTACAAGGTGCCCTGCCCATAAACAACTTTTGGGAAGGTGAAGGAGTTACCTTTACAGAGCCAATGGCAGAATTAGGATTCAGACTCAGGTACTTCTGACTCCAAATCTTACACTCCATGCTGTCTCTCTTATGTATCTTAAGTCACTTAAAATATCTAGATATTTAAAAGGCTGCAACTTCAGGCATTATTTTTCCACTAGTACTGTGTAGGACAAATGTGATTCCTTCTTTATATCCTTCTAGCCTAATGAATATTGATTGAGTGCTAGAACTTGTGCCAGGCATAGGGGATAAAATCATAAGCAAAACCAGACATAAATGATATTCTCACTGATTTTATGGACTAGAAGGCAGGAAACAGATATTGTTTTTTTTAAAAAATCTAACAATAAACTCTAAATTCAAATGATAAAAGATTCATTAAAATACTCCAAAAAATTCTATTTAACTGAAGAGATAAAAGCAAGTAGCTGTAAATAAAGGTGGAGCAATTTTTAAAAACACACATATTAGTACACTGGTCAGTAATCTTTTTCACTTGAATGTCATCTAGAAGGGTAAAGAACTATGCCTTTGTGTGTAAATATCAGACCTAAGGTAGGAGAGAAAAAGAAAAATTAGAGGAAAAAGGGGCAGATTTCAGTAGTTTCAATAACAACTGCATTAGGAGTAATGATGGTACTCTTAGTTACATATTCCTGATTAGAAGTTTATTTGGATTTAGAAAAAAAAAATCAGTAATAATATTTAAATAATATTTTACTGTTTTCACATCTATTACCCCATCCTTAAAATTCTCATTTTATGGATGAGGTAAATTGAGGCTCAGGGCTAAGTATGGATGCTCCTCAGCTTATAAAAGGGTTATGTCCCAATAAATCCATCATAAATTGAAAATATCCTAAGCTGAAAATGCATTTAATACACCTAACCTGCTGAACATCACAGCTTAGCCTGGCTTACCTCAAGCTTGTCGAGAACACTTACGTTAGCCTATAGTTGGCCAAAATCATCTAACACAAAGCCTACTTTATAATAAAGTGTTGAATATTTCATGTAGACACCCAGATGGGCATTTTGTAAACACGATGGGATGCAAAAACAAAACCCAAAAACCCTGGCAATACTAAGTATTGGTTGTTTGCCCTTGTGATCAATGGCTAACTGGGAGCTGCGGCTTGCTGCCCCTGCCCAGTATTGCAAGAATACTGCATTATCGTTAGCTTAGGAAAGGATCAAAATTCAAAGTACAGTTTCTACTGAATGCACACTGTTTTTGCACCATGGTAAAGTCAAAAATTTTTAAGTTAAACTATCTTAAGTTGAGGACTGTCTGTAATTAGTCTGAGATCTTATGGTCTCATAGCTAGGCAGATTAGTACAGTTCCTCTGACTTAGTCAACAAACACTCTGAATACCAGCAGCTTCCTGCTAAATTTGGGATAGAGACCAAATACCTTAACAAGCCAATAAATCTTTGTAGGGTGCAGCTCGTCTCATGTCCTACTATGCTCTCTCTGGTCCTCTGCTTTCAAGGGCTCTTTGATTTTAATTCCACAAACATGCCATGTGCTTTCCCTTCTCAGGGCCTTTGCCTAGCCCCTGCCCTGTTCAGAAAGCTCTCCTTTTCTTTGCCTGCTCATGTTTATCCTTCAGAGCTCAGTCTGAATGTTTCTTCCTCTGGAAAGCCTGATGACTCCTTTAGGTTATGTCTCTCTCATGATGGTTTTTCATAGTACTGCACAGGATTCTTTTGCAAACCCTCTCATAATTTACACATTTATGTGACTCTCAGTTGTCTCCCCAAGAGACCAGCAGTCAGCCAACTATAGCCCATAGACTACCACCGCCTGTTTTTCTAGTTTTATTCATTAGAACTAGATAGTTTTATTAGAACACAGCTCATTCATTTATGGATTAATCTATGGCTACTTTCATGCTACAGTGGCAAAGCAAATAGTTGTGACTGACCTTACAGCCTACAAAGCCTGAAATATTTATTAGGCTCTTTACAGAAAGTTTGTCAACCCCTGCACTAAACTATACAGTCCTTGAGAGCAGGGACCACATCTGTTCTTGCTCACTACTGAATCCCCAATGCCTACACAATTCTGGATGCTCCATAGATACTTGCTGAATGAAAGGCACTGTGCTTGGCATTATGTATACACAATGATGAATAATACAAAGGAGAAGCATTTGGCCCTCCTTGAGAATAAAGGATCAAGAATGGCTATTTGGATGATGGTAGAACTATATTAAATCTGAGAGAAGTTATCCAGACAGGATGAATGAAATCAGCAAAATCTAGGCATGGGCTGCCTTTGCTATTCTCTTGGCTTCTATTTATTATGGGGTTAAGGAGAGCTGAGAATACAGAAGGATATGTAAAACATTATTCCTTATATGTGCTCAAATATTCACATAATATTTTGCTTAGTCCTCCCAATCCTATGAGGTAGGTATTGACACCCACTGGCAGTAGAACTTTGGGTTTCACTCCACTTTGGAAGCCATAAGGAACTGGAAAAACCATTGGATATTCATAGTAGGGTGTCATAATCACTATTCCAACTGTGTCATGGGCAGTTCAGTGCATAAGCACTCATTAAGAATGTCTTTACAGGCCGGGTGCAGTGGCTTATGCCTGTAATCCTAGCACTTTGGGAAGCCAAGGCAGGCGGATTGCTTGAGCCTAGGAGTTTGAGATCAGCCTGGGCAACGTGGGAAGATTCTGTCCCTACACAAATTACAAAAACTAGCTGGGCATGGTGGTGTGTGCCTGTAGTCCCAGCTACTTGGGAGGCTGAAGTGGGAGGATCACCTGAGCCTGGGAGGCACAGGCTGCAGGGAGCCGAGATGGCGCCAAGGCACACCAGCCTGAGTGACAGAGACCCTGTCTCAAAAAAATAAAAAATAAAAATAAGTAAGTCTTTGCAGCCATATTAATAGGTAGGGGAGATGAAGTGCCCAGAATCAGTGTTTCCAGCTCAAAGTGGAATAACAGATCCTTAATAATTTGAAGAGTTTTGTACAGACTTAAACATCTGTACAAAACCCCAAACCTTTCCTTTCATTGTTACTACTTTTGTTTCTTTGATACCTATCTTGTGGATTTGTTTGTTCGTAATAGCGAGATACAAACTCAAGAGTTTAAAGGTTTAACCAGTTTCACAAAACTACTAAGTCATAGATTGTGGATTGGAACTCTGGCCTATCTTGCACCAAGCTCCTCTTTGCTGGAAAAGGTCAAATTTTACTTTTGAAAAAACAACCAAGCAAACATGTAAAGTGTTGTCCCATTAAATTTAAGCTGCAAGTTTTATATTAATTTACTGCTAATTTTACAGCTGAAACACTTCAGTGTATAGCCAGTTACTTTTCTGTCAGGAATTCAAAAGAACAGGCATTAACAGCATATATTCTTACATGCTGGTCTACTAACGTGCTACACTAGTTGCACTAGAATAACTAAGGTCCTTCCATTGGTCAGAGGTCAAGGTTTTCAAATCCCTTGATTATTGACATTATTAGGCAAGTTTAAACTACTTGTATAAAATAAACATTCAATATTTGTTTAGTGAGGAAGGACACAAATCCTACTAGTTGTAAGAAGAGATTTAAGGTTTCTCCAAGAACACTCAGATTCAAGTGGGATAACTTTTATGTTAAAACATTAACATGTACTTATGGTCATTTATTTCCCAGTATGATATACACTTCAAAGTTCATTCTCTAAGAACATTTAATTTTGTTTTCATTTGGATATGTAAAAGTCAACAAAGATGGCAGCTGGATGACTTCCTGGAGTTCAAAAGTGCTACCTCCTTTTTGTAAAATCCATCATAATGTGTATGTATGCTAAACACTCAAATACCTAACAAAAGAGACCTTGTGAATGACCCTGGCAGCTAAACAGCAATCTCACAGATGGAGGATCAACAACTGCAGTTTTGACTGCAGCTGTTACTGGTGTGGATTAAAATGAAACAATGAGCAAAATAGCACAAGTAACAATATGGAGTATAAATAACAGCGTAGAAGTGTTTGGGTACCGAATGGCTCAGCGTACCTGGCACTGAAGATTCAAGAAGGTGAACAGAGATAAGAGGTGCCTATTCGCCTATTTTGTGGACAACCTTAAAACGGTTTAAAAACTGGGAGGGAAGTTAAAAAACTGGGGGTGAAAAACAACGACGACAACAAAAACCTAGCCCTAGAAACATTTCTCTGAATAAAGTTAGATGTCTTCAGGACACCCTGTTAACAGGGGTGCCAACAGGTTGGAAACTTGTGGGTTCCAGTATTCACTTATTTTCCCAAAGTCTACAATGTGACTGAAATGTACTGAGAATTCCAGTGAGAATAAGGCAGACGTGGCCTGAAATTTATGATGCTGTCTACCAAAAACCTGGGCTCGAGGCCAGCACCTAAAAAAACAAAATCAAAATTTGATCAGGCCACAAAAGAAAACAGGACACCCTCAAACACAGATTACCTTACGTTGGCTCCTGACGAGATTACTAGCCTCTTGTCACCAAAAAACGGAAACAACGGCTGAGAAAGAAGCCGGGCGCGAAGCCCAGGCCTTCAAAGGTTCGCTTTAAGAACAGAAAGGCAGTGCTTTCCTCAGTCCTCGCCCCTTGGGGCGAGCTGGGCAAGTCGGGGCAGCAGGCAGCGGCGTCGCCCAGCACAAGGCGTGAATCCGGGAGGAGGGCGTGGCACCTTCTCTTCCCGTTCGCTCGAGCAGGCGCGACCCCACGGGCATCGTCTCCCTAGAGAGCACTCAGGCATCTATGACACGACGCCTTGCCTCACCTCTCCGCAGGGCCGGCGAGAAATGCCCGCGGGGCCTTGAAACCCAACGATCTCCTCTGCCTTGGGAGAGAAAGAGCCGCCAAGCCTGGCGACTATTCATGTCCTCAGAGTTTTCCGGTGGGAGGGAGGCGGAAGACGGGGTAAATCTCGCACAGGCTTTCGGGCAAGGTAGTTCTGGCACCACAGGAATGCTGGGAATTGTAGTTTTCGCTCTGTCACAAGCTCACCTCCCAGCGCAGGCGCCACCGTGGTCCCACGAAACTGGGTCTCTTCACAGACAGACCCACAGTTCGCGAGCATGGCTCAGCGCTGCCCCGCTTCTCCCAGCGCCCCTTCCCGACCTTTGAACGCCTTCACCGCCCTAGGAAAGCGAGATCTTGTCAGAGAACCTTCCGGCGCCTGTTTCCTGGCAGTGGGGCATAGTCCAACAGCTGGCTCCCCCAAGATAGCCAGCGGCCATTACGCGCTTGGGTC
Organism: Homo sapiens; assembly: GCF_000001405.40. Taxonomy (NCBI): domain Eukaryota; kingdom Metazoa; phylum Chordata; class Mammalia; order Primates; family Hominidae; genus Homo; species Homo sapiens. The sequence goes on from NC_000011.10 coordinate 83,286,347, forward strand.
GGGGGAGATGGAGTCGCATTTAGCCGCACAGCAGCCTGGAACCTGAAGTTTTCGGCCGCTGAGCGTTCTGGGTGATTGCGTAGTGCGAGGGCCAACGAAACCTTCTGGGAAGTGTAGTCCAGCAAGCCGCTCACTTTTCGTGAGGCGTCACATCCTGCTGCTTCACCCTCTGGTGCACGGGAGGACCAACTATTTCAGTCGGTATGTCCTTTCTTTAGGGAAGCCGAATTCCTCCGTTTCTAGGAGAAATTCCTTGAATTTTCACCATTTATCCTTCTCAGACCTCAGTTACTCAAGACTGCTCCGCATAGTAAAATGCTGAAAGCAACAATGCACAGTAGTTGTATTAAAATGCACTAATACTCATGAATATTCTCTGTAAGTTGTAAAATGGCACACAGTTGTGCGGTGTTAGTGGCTTACTCTCTCAAGATTCTAAACAATTACGGCTAGGTTTCTATCTATATGTATTCAAAGCTTTGTGAGAGTCAACTAAGTAACAAACACCATTTCTAAGGCCCGAAGCACATTGAAAGAACAAAACTTGATTCCCGCCAACAACTGCTTTAACAGACAATTCATGAAGAGGAAATATAAATTGCTATTTAAAACACTGGGATGGCTGGGCGTGGTGGCTCATGCCTGTAATTCCAGCACTTTGGGAGGCCGAGGCGGGCAGATCACCTGAGGTCGGGAGTTCGAGACCAACCTGACCAACGTGGAGAAACCCTGTCTATATTAAAAATACAAAATTAGCCGGGCGTGGTGGCACATGCCTGTAATCCCAGCTACTCAGGAGGCTGAGGTAGGAGAATCGCTTGAATCCTGGAGGCGGAGGTTGCAGTGAGTCGAGATCACACCATTGCACTCCAGCCTGGGCGACAGAGTGAGACTCGATCTAAAAAAAAAAAAAAAAAATTGGGAAAAAAGTTTGATCTTACCAGTTTCAAAATACAAAACGCAAAACCTTAGGGTATATCGAGGTTAGGGGTCCCAATGATCCCAACAGGATGTAAGCATAGTACTCAACAGGTGCTTTTTCAACCCATGCCCCTCTGTCCGTCTCCCCCTTTCCTCATCTAATGATCCTCAATGCCTGTTGTTTCCACGTTTACCATCATATATTCAATGTTTAGCTCCTACTTATAAGTGAGAACATGTGTATTTGGTTTTCTGTTCTTGGCATTAGGTTGCATAGGATAATGGCTCCAGTTCCATCCATGTTGCTACAAAGAGTATAATTTCCTTATTTTTATGGCTGCATTATATTCCATGGTGTATATGTACCACATTTTCTTTATCCAGTCCACTGTTGATGGGCACTTAGGTTGATTTCATGTCCTTGCTATCGTGAATGGCACTACAATGAACATACGGTTGCATGTGTCTTTTTTTTTTTTTTTTTTTTTTTGGCTTGAGGCAGGGTTTTGCTGCGTCACTCAGGCTGGAGTGCAGTCGTGCATGGCTCACTGCAGCCTCAACTTCCTGGGCTTAACTGATCCTCCTGCCTCAGGCTTCCAAGTAGCTGTGACTACAGGTGTGCACTACCACAACTGGCTAATTTTTGCATGTTTTGTAGAGATGGGGTCTTGCCATGTTGCCCAGGCTGGTCCAGAACTCCTGGGCTCAAACTATCCACCCGCCTAGGCCTCCCAAGTGCTGGGATTACAGGCATGAGCTGCGGTGCCCAGCTCTGTGTCTTTTTGATGGCATGAATTATTTTCCTTTGGGTATATACCCAGTAGTGGGATTGCTGGGTTGAATGGTAGTTGTATTTTAAGTTCTTTGAGAAATCTCCAAACTGCTTTCCATAGTGGCTGAACTAGTTTGCATTCCCATCAACAGAGTATAAGCATTCCCTTTTCTTCACAGCCTAACCAATATGTGAATTTTTTTTCTTAATAATTGCCATTCTGATGGGTGTGAGATGGCATCTCATTGTAGTTTTGATTTGCATTTCTCTAATGATCAGTGGTGTTGAGGATTTTTTCATGTTTGTTGGCTATTTGTATGTCTTCTTTTGAGAAGTGTGTGTTCATGTCCTTTGCTCATTTTTTAATTGGATTGTTTTATACTTCTTGGTTTGTTTAAATTCCTTATAGATTCTGGATGTTAGACCTTTGTCAGATGCATAGTTTGCAAATATTTTCTCCTTCCCATTCTTAGGCTATCTGTTTACTCTGTTGGTAATTTCTTTTGCTGTGCAGAAGCTCTTTAATTAGGTCCCACTTGTCAGTTTTTATTTTTGTTGTAATTGCTGTTGGGGACTTAGCTATAAATTCTTTTCCAAAGCCTGTGTCAAGAAGGGTATTTCCTAGTTTTTTTTCTAGAGTTTTTATAGTTTGAGGGCTTACTTTTAAATCTTTAATCCAGCTTGTGGTAATTTTTGTATATGGTGAGAGGTAGGGGGGTCCAGTTTCATTCTTCTGCATATGGCTAGCCAGTTATCCCACCACCATTTACTGAATAGGGAATGCTATCCGTGTTGCTTATTTTTGTTGATTTTGTTGAAGACCAGATGGTTTTAGGTGTGTGGCTTTATTTCTGGGTTCTCTATTCTGTTCTACTGGTCTATGTGTCTGTTTTTGTAACACTACCATGCTGTTTTGATTAGTTTAGCCTTATAGTATTGTTTGAAGTCTTGCTTTGTTCTTTTTGCTTAAGATTGCTTTGACTATTCAGGCTCTTTTTTGGTTCCAAATTAATTTTAGAAGAGGTTTTTCTAGTTCTGTGAAAAATGATGTTGGTATTTTGATAAGGATAGCGTTAAATCTGTAATTTGTTTTGGATAGTATGGCCATTTTAACTGTATTGATTCTTCCAACCCATGAGCATGGAATATTTCTCCATTTATTTGTGTTGTCTCTGCTTTCTTTCAGTAGTGTTTTGTAGTTCTCCTTGCAGAGATCTTTCACCTCCCTGGTGAGATGATCCTGAGTATTCCATTTTCTTTGTGCCTATTGTAAATGGGATTGTGTTCTTGATTTGATTCTCAGCTAGAACATTATTGGTGTATAAAAATGCTACTGATTTTTTGTGCATTGATTGTGTATCCTGAAACTTTACTGAATTTGTTTATCAGTTCCAGGGGCCTTTGGGAGAGTCTTTAGGGTTTTCTAGGTGTAGAATCATATCGTTGGCAAAGAGAGATAGTTTACCTTCCTCTCTTCCTATTTGAATATCTTTATTTATTTCTCTTGCCTGATTGCCCTGGCTGGGACTTCCAGTACTATGTTGAATAAGGGTGGTGAGAATGGGCATCCTTTTCTTGTTCCAGTTCTCAAGGGGAATGTGTTTCCAGTTTTGGCCTTTAGCAATTTAGTAATATATTTATGAAACTCCAAAAAGTAAATAGCCAGAGTTTCACTTCTTCTTTTTTTTTTTTTTTTTTGAGACAGAGTCTTGCTCTATCACCCAGGCTGGAGTGCAACGGTGTGATCTTGGCTCACTGCAACCTCAGCCTCCCGGGTTCAAGCAATTCTCCTGCCTCAGCCTCCCAAGTAGCTGGGATTACAGGCATGCGCTGCCACACCCAGCTAATTTTTGTATTTTTAGTAGAGGTGGGGTTTCGCCATGCTGGTCAGGCTGGTCTTGAACTCCTGACCTCAGGTGATCCACCCATCTCGGTCTCTCAGAGTGCTGGGATTACAGGCAACTGTGAGCCACCGCACCTGGCCTAGAGTTTCACTTCTAAGAAGCTATCCATAGTAAATAATCACATCTGTAGCTAAGATTTTTGAAAAGGATGACTATTGCAATGTTATTTATAGTAGTGAAAAATTGAAAATAGTCTAAGTATTCAAAAGTGATTAAATAACTTGCAGAAGTGTCCCAATTTGGAATATTATGCAAGAATTTAGTATTTTTAAAAATAATCTTAGTGACAGGAAAATCCTTAATACATGTATATACATAATTATAATTCTGTATAATTCTTATATACAGGATTATAATTATAATTATATACATGATTATAATTCTGTTAAATGATAGGATCCCTGCTTGGGAGGAGCTAACAGGCTAGTGGAAGATACAGACCAGTAAGTGTTATCACAATATTTTACTTAACTTAAGGAATTATTATGAAAAAAGTGGATCTCTTTATATATTAATTCATGTTACTATTATTTATATTAACATAAAGCTCTCTCTGTAACACACATATACAGTGTTGATTATGTTCTCTTTGATGGAAGTGGCAATTAGATCCAGGGATTCTTAATCATTCTCTGAGGCTGGCTGGAACTATATCAAGTGAGTGCAGGAGCTTGGGTCATCCATAATCTACCATGCAGGCCAGAGAAGCATAGGAAGGAAAAGCAGGAATAGCAGATGAAGTGAGTCCAGATAGTATTCAGCTAATAGATACAGCTCCTCTCTGAGACCTCCTAATGCTCCTGTGTATTTTCAGATTCTCCTTGGTTGCTATTGTTTCTTTGTTAAACATCTTAATTTATAAAAATATTTTTCCATAAATTTGTTAATGTTTTCTCATGTTTGTTGAGAGGAATAGAAAAGATGATGCATCTAAAATACTTAGCACTGGACCTGGCATATACAAGCACCCAATAAACAATAATAATACCTGCTTACTCAGAGTTAGGAAATAATTTCCATGGGTGTCTCATGTTTCTGTATGTTTTACAAATGGAGGTCTTCTCTGCCTTTTGTTGTGGCAGTTTTGTATAACGAACAACCTTAGGAAATATAGCATCTCTCTCTGGAGCAAAAGGCCTCATGCTTACTGCCTATTATAAAAGATTTGTGTTCTCATAGGTCAGGGTTCCTCTCTGTAATGCAATGTACTGTACGTGCTCAGGCATCTACGTAGCCCCAGCTGCATCATCCCCATGAACTTGGGGCCAAGGGGAGCTGACACAAATATGCCGATACTCGTGCTGCTCGCTGCACCATCAGTAATTGGGTTCTTTGTTTCTAGCAAGGAGTCTCATATCTTCTACCAGCATCCATGCAACCATGACAGGATAACTTGATAGCCTGCTAATAGGGTAAGATCTCGGACCCTTCACAATATTATTCTTCTCTGGACTTTTAAACATTTTTCATTTTTCCAGTTTTACTTACAGAAATATCTGAGTGCCAGCTAGGTTTAAGGTTAGATGTGAGGAATGTAAAGAAAACCAGTTCAATCCAACAACTATTCAAGTTCTTACTACGTGCAGGGATTTCTGCTAGGATACGCAAGGATTGCAAAGATTTCTGCTCTCCAGTAATTTGTAATATATTAATAACTGAGAGAATAGAACAAGCATTTTAATAGCCTTCAACACAGAGCTTTAATAGGTTAGTGTCATGTAAATGTTAAGAAAATAATAAATCCTATAATTCAGTTGAAGGTTAAATGCTTTTTGATAATGGTTATCAAGAAGAGATAGGATTTGAACCTTAGGGGTTTTAGTTAGTAGAGGTTGTAAGGCAAGGGGTCCAGGAGAGAGGATTGGAGTGAGCAAGTACAATTTACTCATCGCTTTGCTCCTTCCTACTCAGGGACTTTGCATATGGTAAAGCATCACTACTCAACTTGGAGCTCTTTCTCCTCTTTATCTGGCCAATTCCTTTATATCTTTCAGATTCCAGTTTAAATGGTGACTTTTTAGAGTAACTCTTTAAGAAGTCATTCCCACTCAAACAACATGCAGATTTGGTACTTTTGTTATGGACTCATACAGCAACCCAGCCTTCCCATGTCTCTGCACTTAATATTTGTTTTCTCCATTATGGTAGAGACCATATGTGTCATGGTGTCTCCAGTGCTTATCATGCCTGGGCCATAACAAGCTTTTGGTAAGTGTGTGTTGAATGAATGAGTGAATGTTCAAAATATGGTCATAGTTTGGTGAGGAAACTTCGTAGACTGGGGCATAGGAATTATATGAAGACTGGGTGGAATTGGGGTGAACAAAATGAAAAAGGTAGAATAAAAAAGACTAAGGAAATTGAATTTCATACAGTGGACTTGCAGGAGATTTTGAAATTTTTTGAGCTAAAATAGATAAAAATCAGTTTGAATTTCTTTCTAGAAAATAACTATTTGCCATTTGCTAGTGTAGGCAAATGAATCCTTTCCTCTTCCAATGTCTGATGAGATGGCCTGGACATGAGAAATGCTCCCCTGCTGAAAGCAGCCTAGTTTATCTAAATCTCAAAGGCCAACAGGGTAGCAGGGAAGTGGGTCCTGGTTTTTTTCATTGCAAATAACCACTTTTTTTTTTTTACCTTTATAAGCTCCCATTTAAAACACAGCTTACACTCTTTACCAACAACATGTATGAAGCCACTACTTATTTTCCTATTTTCCATTAATTCAAGATAAGTTACTGTTGGTGAGTGGGAGATAAGCAGTGCTGATTTAACAGTAAGCTGATAAATTTACAGGGGAAGGCGAAGATACTTGCCAATTTCTTCAGTGGTTTCCAATTTCATCTCCAGCAATGATACAATTTTTTGAGGCATTTTAATATGTCCAAATCCTCTTGAGGACCCCATTGCTCCAGTACTCTTTCCTCTGATGTTTAGAGGTCTGGGGTCCCAGCTTGGGCACAATTGTATCAGATGACCAGAGATCACCCAGGACTACGACTATAGCTCTGGTGACTTCACGGAGAGAGAATGCAGCCTGGACCACTCACATGTGTCAGTCATTTTCTCTTGGAATAGGTGATGTGAAGGAATCTCGATGTGTTTTAAAGCCTGTGAATGAGGCATTGAGAAAGAGAGAGCTCTGGACCAAATGGGTTTCATTTTCTTCCTTAGCTTACTTGGAGCTCTTGCCACTAGGGGGAGGATGTGAAAAGAACCAAGGACAATTCTTTGCTTCTTTGCTCTCATCTCTGAAGCTGAGTCAGAGGGCCCATTGTCACAAAAGCTTTGTGTAGCTTTATGTTAATTTCACATTTTGCATGGCTGGAAAGTGACTATCAGCCCGTATTCCCTGAAAATCTGGGGAAATTTTTTTTTTCCTAATTATACAGGGAGGCTGGCAATGACACCCGATTCCGAGTTTGCCCATTAAAATAAATCAAAGAAAAGAATGATTAAAAGAATGGTAGAAAAGAAGAAGAAAGAGCTGTCAAAACATTATATACTTTGCAATGTTACATCATAACCTGGTGTCTCTCATCGATTACTCATTTTTTCTTTGAATGACTATTGAACACTATTTATGGTGCCAGGCACTGTGCTAAGCCATGAAGATATAAACATAAAACACAGTCCTGCTCTCAGATTGTCAACAGTCTATTGTAATAAATATTATGATGAAGGGTAGTATAGGCTGCCAAGGGAATGCATAAGAGAGGCTTATATTACCCTAAGCAGGGATCCGTCGGAAGGCATTAGTTTGAAAGGATGTGTGAAAGACAGTTTGGTTAAATGGATTTGGTGAATGGTGGTGTGGAGTACGTTGTGTGGAAAAGGCAACAGCACTTGCAAAAGCCGGGAAGTGTGTGTGAGAGAGCCTGGTTCATTTGGGAATGGAGAGAATGGCTGGAGCAATGGGTTAAGGGTAGGGAAATTCAGAAGGTGAGGTTGGAAAAGGTGAGGCTGGCCTTCAAGGTCTTTTTTACTTTATCCATGAGTAAGAGGAATCACTGAAGGGCATTAGGCTAGGGAGTAGCTTTGAAAAGAAAGGTGGCCAGGCATGGTGGTTCACCCTGTCATCTCAGCAGTTTGGGAGGCCAAGGTGAGAGGATCAGTGGAGCCCAGGAATTTGAGACCAGCCTGGGCAACATAGCGAGCTCCTGTCTCTATAAAAATTAAAAAAAATTAGCCGGGCAATGGGACACATGCCTGTAGTCCCAGTTACACAGGGGGCTGAGGTGGGAAGATCTCTTGAGCCCAGGAGGTCAAGGCTACAGTGAGCCCTGATTGCACCACTGCACTCCAGCCTGGGCAACAGAGACCCTGTCTCAAAAACGAAAACGAAAAAATGAAAAGAAAAGGAAAAAAACCAAAAGGGTGTTTGCCTGCCCTTTGCTGAGTCCTTCAGCGGTCAAGGCTGTGTATTTCACCTAGATTCCCTGTCCTAGGTACTGATCTGGAAAACCCTAGACATCTGCCCCTTTCCTGGTCAGAGAAGACCCCTGGCCTGGCAGAGCCTACAGCTCCAGCCTCAAGGTACCTGATTGGAGAAGTCCTCCTCATTGTATGACTTGGCTGCCTTGGACCTCACTGGGAAAGACTAGGGAAATAGGATTTTGGGGTCTTGACTTTGGAATTCATTTTCCGCACTGGGGTATAGCAGAGCTGAAAAATCTCACTAAACTCTCAGCATGGTCTGTATCCTTCCTGTCTCCAACAACAAGGTGGGGCATTCTTCCTCAAAAATTCTTCACATGTAGGTGTTGCCTCATCTCTTATCTCACACACATGAGCTCATTTGAGCTCTTTGGCAACTCCGTGAGCTGGGTACCATTGCTCCTGTTTCATAGATGGGAAAACAGGTTCAGAAGGCTGAAGTGACTTGTCCCAGGTCACAGAGCAAGTACGTGGTAGAACTCATAATCGATTGTGCTGCACACTGCATAGATAAGTCACCCCTGTTCCTTCCACCAATTTATTTTAACTGGGTACATGGCACAAATTGTGAAATTATGTGTACTCTTAGGGACACATCATCCCTCATCCTCCAAGAAACTGTTAGTACAGAAGTGACAAATGGGTTTCATCTTCATGCCAATACCCTTCAATTGACCGTGGCTGCTTAGAACAAAGTGATGAGTGTTGTGAGGCCATATCTTGGTGCAGCAGTAAAGAATACATGATTGATTGGTAGTATCTGATATGAATGCAGGAGAGAAAGGGGGCAGCACATATGCCATTTCTAGATTATATATTCCCCTTAGGCTGCCATAATCCTGCACTGGCCATGACATTTCCACTGACTCCCACCTTCATCCCAACACCCATTTTGCTCATTTTCTCTTATTCCTTCCCTTCCTTGCTGAAATTGTTCCCACCCATTTAACAATAGCTTCAACTTACTGAGGGTTTAGTGGGTACCAGGCACTTTGCGTATATTATTTCTAATTCTCCAACAATCATGTAAGGTAGGTAGAGACAAAAACAAGACTTAGAGGGGTTAAGTAGCTTGTTCAGGGACATACAACAAGCTGGAATTTCAACCCTGAAGCACATGGAAAACTTTGCATTTTTATAATGGGTAATGAAAACCTTCATATTCACTGTTTGCTTTGAGCCTCACAACAGCCTCGGGAGGTAGTTTTCTGGGTTTGCAACTGAGGGAGCTTGAGGCTCAGGGGAGAGGCGCTGATTATTTAGTGACATAGTCACAGCTCCTGACTCCTACCTCAGGCCTTTTCCTGCTACTACCTTAGGCTCTGGGGAAGAGCCCTTGACTCCACAAAGCTATCTCTTAAGAACTGATCTATACTACTGTGGGGAGAATTTGGGGGCCCTTCATTGATTTTACTCCTGCCAGCCTTACCCTGTTTTCAGCTCTTATCATCAAGAAGGTCTTTCTTTTATTGTTAGCTCTTTGTGTAATTTAGGTCATTTCTTTAAAAAAATTTGTTGAGAAATTCACGTCACATAAAATTAACCATTTAAACGTGAACAACTCAGTAGCATTTAGTACACTTACAATGTTGTGCAACTACCACCTCTATCTAGTTCCAAAATATTTCCATCACTCCAAAGTAAAATTCCTGACCTATTTAGCAGGTTTTTCCCCTTCCCCACTCCTCTCAGCCCCTGACTAACACCGATCTGTGTTCTGTCTCTATGGATTCATCTATTCTGGATGTATCACGTAAATTGAATCATACATGTGACCTTTTGTATATGGCTTTTTTCATTTAGCAAAATATCTTGGAAGTTCATTGTGTTGCAGCATGCATCAGTACTTCATTCCTTTTCATGGCCAGTATTCTATTGCACACAATCAGTACCATGATTTGTTTATCCATCCATTCGCTGATAGACATTTGGGGTCTTTTTACTTTATGGCTATTATGAATAATGCTGCTATGAGCATGTGCATACATGTACTTGTCTGAATATATTTTTTCAGTTCTTCTAGTATCTATGTAGGCGTGAAATTGCAGGGTCATGTGGTAATTTTACATTTAAAAGGCCCACTTCTGTTTGTTTGATCTTACTGGATGTAGATGTACATGTTGATCATGAAGAAAGCCAGCCTTTTCTGAGCTATATAATTTTGACATCTGGCTTTATTTGGGAAACTTTTAAACCAGGGTTACCCATTACAGTTACAGTTTCCCTGAGGGAAACCCTAAAATAGGCATTTAAAGAAATAGTAGTTCTTTCTTATCACATCCATCCTATGTGCCAAGGAGAGTGCTAAGCACTCTTTGGACATGAGTTTTAGTCCCCAGAACAACATTGCCTAATGGTAATTATTATACCCCTTTTACAGATAAAGAAGCTGAAGTCTAAAATGGTTAGAGAGCTTGTTCAGTGCCATGTAGCTTCTAGTGGTGGGATTTGAAGCTTTGGATGTCTGACCCCAAAGAACATCTTTCTGCTACACCAAGCAGTCTTCCTCAAGAACTTTCTAGGCTGCTGCTGTCAGCTATGTTGTTGACCTTTTATGAGAAATTACTAGCCAGCTTTTGCTGTGAGATTTTTTGCAATAAAAGCATAGCATTTATCAGGATCACTTTGATTGGTAAATGCAGAAATCATAAAAGGGGAATATAAAATAATAACTGTATAGGGATAGTTCAGGAAATCCAAAGGCAGTAATGCATGAAGGTCTCAGAAAGGATTGGAAGTGGAGCTTGGAAAGTTTCTAAGAACCAGGGAATTTTCTATCTCCATCTCTTACCCACGCTTCTCTCCGTGTCTGCTGCCTTATTTCTCTACATTGATTGGTTTTCTCTGATATCTAGTGCATGGGATAGAAAATGGTATGCCACAGTGTCTGCATTTATATCTCCCCTGTTCAAGGGAGTAGCCAGCTGAGTCTGGCATCACTTAGTTCCAATTTCAAGTTGCCAGGGAAGGGACTTCTATTGGCTCCACTTAGATTGGTCACTGAACCTTTGACTGAAGACTATGGCTACATAGCAGGTCCACATTATACATTCGTGCTAAGACCATTTGGAGGGAAATGGATTGATAATCCTTTGCAAAATAGGTGAACATTCATTGGTGGAAGACCCAGAGATGACAAAGCGTATCCTCTCCAGCTTTCACGAGAACATCTGTGAACCAGACATGAGAGAATTTGAAATGGAGAAACTGCAATACTCTAAGCTGTTATAGGCAGAGAGGGATGTCTGTGAAACATTGGAAGTAGCCTGTATAGTAGAGGACCTCTGGATAGTGTAGGAAACTTCTAAAGGTGGTACTTGCATCTGGAAGTGGTGTTCTTCTCTCTAGAAGGAGACACATGCAACACTGTTCAGCTCCAGAGCAGCTGCAGAGATGCCAGCAGGACTGTGAACCTCTTTTAACATTTTATGGTCATTTGCATTGGTATATTAGGAATAACAGCCACTAGACCCATTAGAATATTGAGGTAGTAACCCAATTCACACTTAAGGTATGAACTTGGAACTGCTACAAACAGACAGACTAAAAATTCTCAAACTCTCAAAACTGGAAGGTGGCCATTAAAGGCAGATGTGTAGAATGTGGGCCCTCTGAGGCCTAGAGAAGGATTGTAATGCAGAATCAGGATGACAAATGGGGACCTTCTGGACAAGAATGGGGCAGAAATGTGCCTTTAGACATACCTGAAGGTATAGCTAAGGATCAAGGATTTCACCATTCCTGAAGACCCCCTCCTACTCCACTGTGGTGGTTATAATTGGTTTTATTAATATGTATACTTAAGGTTAAATAATTTGCATAGTAGTGTGTATGGAGGTTATTCCATAGCATGGGCTTGTTTAGTCTCAACTTTTTTGCAGGCATTATAAGGTTCCAAACTTTGAATTTTACAGATAAGATTGTGTTGTCCAGAATGGGTAGAGCAGATACACAGCTTGCCGTAAAAAATGCAATCTGAATATAGCTTTTTTCTGTATTTAGGGCCTTGAGAGAGACACCACTTATGTTGCCACCTTGGTCAAATCGATGCCAAGATGACAGCATGGTTTTTGACAAGACAGCAGGCTCTTGAGTTGATAGGCATGTGCAAAGAGCCTAATCCTCCTGGCTTAAATTATTGAGACAATTGCCTTAGACAATACCCTTAAACTTAGCAGCCCAGCCAGTACAAAAGAGAAATGTCCAAATCTTTATCCTTTTGGAAAGGAAGGAACTAGAAGACATTCTCATCTGATTCTGAAATATGAAGTCTGTGGCCCTAGAACATAAGCAGATTCTTCACAGAAATTTACAACAAGGAGGAGCAAATCTTGGAACCAGTCTTCCCTTTGCCTACCAAATGATCAAACTGTAATTATCACATTTACGGGCTAATTGTTCCAATTGTAGCAGAATGAGGTGCTCCAGCCCTCTTCTGCAGACACAAATAGAATTGCTATGAAGATGGAACGATGCTTCAAGAACAGCTTGCTTTGAGCTAGTTCTTTTTATAGTGAATCTAGGGTCAGGGAAAGGTGCTGTGTGGGCACCCCTGAAACTCTTCCCTCTTCTCTCTGCATGGCCGGACCCTTTGAACACCCACCTGCAGACACAGACACAGACCCCAAGTAGCACCAATTGTGACCCAAGACCTTAGGGCTTAAAGTTGTTCTTATCAGATCCCTGAACTTGGACAGGAGTTGGTATTTCTCAGATATGCCACAGGGCAGATGATGTGGGGAGTTTGGCTTGAGATGCTTTTACAGGGCAGGATGAGGACAATAATCCTTCAATAATAGGGTTACCAGGAGAGGAAGAGAGGAAGGAAGGAAGCGAAATATCACATGGTGAGCAACTACTATGTTCTAGGCACTGTGCAGCGCATTTCCTTATATGTCATTTAATTAGGCATCAGGGTCCCAGGGAATTAAAGCACAGTGGACAGAAATGACAGGGTACAATGTTTGGGAGTCAGCCAGGTAAGCAGTCTTTATGTGGGTGTGCTGAAGTCCTGACCTTATAGTCTTTGGCTTCTGCCTCTGGAGTAGGAAATAGCAAGGCAGATGCTAATCAGGAGAGCCACTTGTGAGCCACTGGAGAGAACTTAGACAAAATAGTGACAGGGAGATGAGCCCAGGGGAGTTCAGAAATTATTTTTTTCTCCCTTGAGGTGTAGAGTGTCATGGAAAGGAGGTGAGGGCAGGGGAATGGTGAGAAATGAAGCAGGAGCAAAATCCTGAAAGGCCTTGTATGTTACAAAGAAAAGTTTGGACTTTCTCCTGGGATTTTAGAAAGATATAGAAGGGTTTTAAGGATACAATTTCATTTGGAATTGGAATCTCGTCTTGGCTGCCCAGTGGAGATGGGAAGAATAAGATGCAGGGTGAGAAGGTTGTTGGTGGAGAGCATGCTACATGCTAGAGAGATAGTATCTTGTCAGGAATTTTTTAGTTGCTAGTGACAGAAACTTACGTTGTTAACCAACCGCATTTTGGTTGCACAAACTTCCTCCTCTATAGATACATGGCAGCATGGTTGCAGACGCAGTCTGCCTTCAGGAACTACTGGAACAGGGGCTTGACCATGACCACGCCTCTTGCCATCTCTCAGTTGTACTCCCTTCTCCCTGCCAGCTCTGCCAGGTATAGAGTAGTGGTTGAGACGATGGGCTCTGGAGCCAGAGGGTTGTTGTTACTTACTAGCTGTGTGACTCTGAGCAAGTCACTTAACCTTGCTGCACCACAGTTTTCTCATCTATAAACAAGAATGATCATATCGTTTACCTCCTGGAGTTGTTGCGAGGACTAAATGAGTTAATGCACTTAAAGGGCTTGGCACAGTCCCTGGTGCATAGAAGGTGCTTAATAAGTGTTAGCTGTTATTGGTGTTATTTATATTATTTGAATGCAGACTGTCTTTTTCCAGATGGTAGGAAAATAGGCTCTGACAGCTCTTAAATGTTACATCTGACTTCAGGTACCAGAGACATACTGACTAAATGTTTCCTAGTTCCAAGTCCAAATATCTGAAGGGAAAAGACTTGGAGGCCAAGTTGAGTTTGATTCCACTCTTGGCCCAATCAACCTGGTCAAGTGGACAAGTGCCATGATTATTCCACTTTGATCTGTGATCTTATAGATAGATACAAGGATCACCAAGATGAGGCCCTGGCCAGTCTAGAGGGTGAAGAGGCAGGATCCCCCCCTTCCCCAGATGATGGGTGTTGCGAGGGAGGCACTCACCAAATCCAGTAGACATTCACATTTAGAGGGCACCTGCCAAGGCCTTTGAGACCTGTTCACTTGGGGCATCCTCTATAGGACAGGCTTGATCAGTAGATGTAACAAAGGAGTATGGAAATAGGGATGCATGGCTGCTGGGTACCTGGTCAGCCCTCTGGCCCTACGGCCCTGAGCTCCTACTTGACAATTGGCGCCTTAGCCCTGGTCCCTAACCAGCAGTTCTTCAGTCCTGCTCCCTCAGTGCTTGACCATTTCTCCTAGGCAGGCTTCCTTTTTTCCTTTATTAGAGGGCCTGGTCTGTACCTTCTGATACCCCCAGACCCTTTTGCTGTGGTTTAAAAACCAGATCCCACTCTCTTACCAATCCCATCTTCTCTATCTGGGTGGGTTAAAGGTGAAGGTAGAAATAGGATGCTCTGTCATTCTCTGCCCTTTTTATCCTCCAGGGCCTCATTTATACCAAACCTTCTCAGTACCCTCTTGGCTCAGTGACATTTTCCTGTACACCAACCTGTCAATAGCTGCGATTCAAATTCTGTGCTCAACGAAATTCCAAATCAGTCCAGGTCTTGGACCTTTAGGATCACTTGAAAATAGTCAAAATAGAGAATGTTAAAATTTGTAAGTGTCAAGAGTCTATAATACAGATGTAGAACAAATTAACCCTGTCTCTAGTAATTGGTTGAAGGCTTTTGGTGCAGGTGACATTTATCGGAGCCATGGAGGGTGGGTAGGATTTTGACAAAGCAGGAGAGTGATATGGAAGATTAGAGTGAGGCATGGGGATGGGGACAGGGCAGTTTGTATTTTCAGGGTGGGGAAGGTCAGATGTGCCTGAAGCTCAGGATGAATGGAGCAATTAATGGGAGATAAAGCTAGAATGCTACAAAATTCTCAGAACCCCAAGGCAGACAGCATTTTCCTTCCAAGGAAAATGTGGGTAACACTTTTGAGGGTCCCATGCATTGTTGTAAGCAATGAGTGAGAAAGCCTTTATTATGAAGGAACAGGCTAGAGTCAGTGGAGCATGTGTGTATTTTGTTGTGCTCGTGGAAGTCAGCCTGAATGTGGTGAGCCTGGTTTTTTTGTTTGTGGTAGATTTCAAAATCCATCACCTCATAATATGTTTACTGGTCCCTGGTTTACTTTCCAGAAGGTGCTCAGAGTAATGCTCATGAACACTTGTGGACCAGAGATGAGCTGCCTTCCCAAAACGTAAGCATCTCCCATTTAAAACTTGCAGAAATATCAGTGTCTTCCATTTAAACCATCTTGGATTCCCTGTCTCTGATTGATAAATTATTTGATTACATGGTTAGTTGCTTCATTAGACTGTAAACTCTAGGAGGGCAGGGACCCATTCACATCAAGACTGTCATGTATTACAGCATCTGGCCCAGGGCCTGGAGCAGAATGAGTTCTTAATATAGCTTAGGTAAGCTAAGCTGCACTGGACTTTGAGAGTTTGAGTGTGGGAAAGAACTTTGAAAGGTAGAAGGCCAGGAACAGTTTGAGAGGGTGTGAAGGGGTCAGTCAGGGCAGTGCGATTAGAAATAACAGAATCTGTTCTACCTGGCTAAGCAGAAAGAGGTTTATGAAAAAGTATTTGTAGCTCACAGAATTGCTGGGAGAGTTGAAGAAACAATCTAAATTGACCTTCTAGAAATGGCTTCCCAAAATCACACTGCACAGTTGCTGCCTCTGCCAAAATCAGGAAGCTGCACTATTAGGAAGTTGCTGCCCCAGTTCTCGGCTCCACAGCCAAGTCAGTTTAGCTCTGATCTGTACAAGATAATTCTTGCCTCCTGCTATGGCTCTTTCCCCATGCAACTCGGTTCTAGCACTAGACTAGTGCTTCTGATTAGAGAAACTGAATCACAGTTTCTCTAATCTAGGTGACATAATCTAGGTAACAAAAAGTTTGGAAAATAGCGTATTTAGTATTGTAGTCTTCGTGTGGAACACCAAAGAGGGTCTCGAATAAATCAACTCATGGTTTCTGGGGCTGCTAGGAAGCCTACAAGGATATGGGTTTAGGCATAGGGGGTGTCACTCATCCATTCAAGTGCACATTCTCTGAGAGCCTACTGTGTCCAGGGCCTGATCAAGGAGAGGTGCAGAGACACAGTCCCCACCCTTGGGACACTGACAGTCCAAGGGAACAATGCAGACATGGTCAGGAAGAAACTATCATGCCTGTCTCAGAGGATGGTTGAGGATATTGCTTCAGATAGGAGCTAAGGAACGCTCTCCAACTCATCACCAGGGTACGAGGGGTGCAGATCCTGGCAATGGATGTGGCTGGGCCTACCAGCATGATACTGAACCTTTTAGGCAAAAGCTACTCTCTCAAAGATTCTCAGAGCTGGAAGGGGACTTAGAAGTTAGTTAATCCAACTGTGATGGCTGCACAAACTTTCTCCTCTCTAGCATCTCTGAAGAGTGATTGAAGTTATTTTTAGCTTTTATCTAGATTCTTGGTTTATTTTTTAGTCTTTAGGTTCTCCTTTTACAGGTCAATACTCTGTGGCAGGTTGTCTCCCAGATAAAATATGCAAACAGGTGTAAGAAAATTTAGTAACAGCGAGTTTAAAAATGTTAATGAAATCAGGACACGAAGGAATTGCAAGAGTTTAGTTCCCACAGCAGCTTAGTTAATATGCTAGGTTTTTGAAGCTGTGAACAAATCTGTGAGGTTGAGCTGTGAGTCTCCTCTGAAGGATATGAGATGGGAAGATAATCATCACAGGAAAAACGGCCGAGGGGATACCACCTTAATCAGAAGGAAATGTGTGTAGATGAGCCTCCCTTTTAACAGGGCACTAATTGCTCCCGCTTTGTTTATTTTTGTCTCCTTGATATAACTGTGTAGAGTCTCTGGGCCCAATTCCAAGTCCATATCCAGGCTCCCAGTGGTCCTTTCCTCCTTCTGATGAGCCTAGAGCTAAGCTAAAGGTGGCTGCCATAAAGCAGGCTTTCCCAAATGCTGTGCCAGCTCTCCTAGCCACCAGCAGCTGTGAGGGAACTGCCTGTCAGCTGCTTGGCCATTGAAGGTGGTGAGCGAACAAGACAATGGAACATTTATTAAAAAGACAGGTAGTAATATGCAAAACAGATGTGTAAGCCCAGCTCTAGGGATCAGGGAAAGTCAAGGCTTCTGCTCAGGGGAAAGGAGGGGTCCTCAGCACAGCTGGGCAGAATGAGCCCTGGGGCAGGAGGGACATTCAGGATCCAGGGCTGCAGGAGTAGGACCTTGTAGCTCCTCAATGTGTTGCTGCACCACTAAGTTTCTCTTGGAAGTCTTTGGATCATTCTAGGGACCTGCAGGACACAGATGGCATTCCTTGGCTGGGATTTTTGAAGCAACTTTTTAATGCAGGGACTATTTGCAAAGGTGTTGGCAGAGACACAACACTAGGAGCCATTATCACTCTGAGGCCTGGGGAGATGGTGGTCTTGGACCCTGGTTAGAAGTTGGAGCTGTTTAAAGGCTGCCTGACAGGAACTGTGGCCACAGAGGAAGGCAGACATGGTGGGATGGAGTGGGTGGGGGAATAAATACCATGACCTTTCCCTCCTGCAGTCTTCAACCTCCTGCCAGTTGCCCCATTGGCTGGAAGCTAGAGGGTAAGGGACCCTGGGAATGCACTCATAGAGATCAGCCCCACAGTAGAGGAGAGGAGAATGGAGAATGGATCAGGGGCCAAGGGGCCAAGGGCAAGCAGAGAATAACCGGCAAGGTATTCTTGAGTCCTCTCTCTCCCAGATGTCTGACTTTCCTTCCTCTCCAGCCAAGTTCCTGAGGGAATCAGATGGACTGACTCAGTTAACTACCATTGTCCCTGGGGAGAGGCAGGAGGTGCTGCTTATAGGCTTGTGCTGGTAGCTTGTCTGCTGCATGTGGGGCTCCCCATCTGTCTAGACCATCTTGCCACACAACTCACCCTCACCGGGAAAACTCTGCTGTCTGCCTCTTAGAAGAAGCAAGGGGTGCAGTAGGACCCACAGACTCAAATACTGCTATTGAAGTGCTTTAATTGAGCAGGGTCCTTTCTGTCCCTTATATATTTTGACTCCAAGCTTGGTCCTTCTCTGGAACTATCCCCAGTAATCTCATCATATTTTGGGCTATGATTATATAATCAATATGATCTCACTTGTTTTTTTTTTTTTATCTTTCAGGAATTCCCTAAAAGTTCTGATTTGGTTATGGGTAATCTTTTTTATTTTTAGTGTTGCTACTAGTATGTATATATCTCTATATATCTCTATCTCTATATATATCTAACTGTGACAGGTAGAATAATGACTCCAAAGATATCCACATCCTAATCCCTGGGACCTATGAATATGTTACCTTACATGGTAAAAGGGATTTTGCAGATGTGAGTAAATGAAGACTCTTGATATGAGGAGATTACCTTGGATTATCCATGTGGACCCGAGGATATCTATGAGGGAAAGAGGGATGCAGGAGAGTCAGAGTCGGAAAAAGGAATGTTCAAGGAAAGCAGAGGTCAGAGTGATGTGAAGATCCTGGCTTTGAAGATGGACTGCAAGTGGTTTGTAAAAACTGGAAAGGGCAAAGAAATTAATTCTCCCCTAGAACCTGCAGAAGAAACACAGACCTTGACTTTAGCCCAGTAAGACCCATTTGGGACCTCTGACCTCCAGAACTGTAAGATAATAAATTAGTGTTGTTTTAAGCCAATAAGTTTGTGGTAATTTGTTATAGAAGGAATAGGAAACAAATACACTTACTATATTAACTCTTCTAACCCTCAAAACAATCCTTTTCTTTTTTGAGACTGAGTCTTGCTCTGTCACCCAGGATGGAGTGCAGTGTTGCAATCTCAGCTCACCGCAACCTCCACCTCAGCCTCCAAGTAGCTGGGATTATACAGGTGTGTGCCACCACGCCCAGCTAATTTTTGTATTTTTAGTACAGATGGGGTTTCACCATATTGGCCAGGCTGGTCACGATCTCCTGACCTCAAGTGATCCGCCTGCCTCAGCCTCCCAAAGTGCTGGGATTACAGGTGTGAGCCAACACGCCCGGCCAAAACAACCCATTTTGAAAATGAAGACACTGAGGCTCAGAGGTTTAAACAGTTTGCTAAGGTCACATAGCTGGTAGATGGTAGAGAGCTGAGATTTGAACCTAGGTAGTCTGACTCTGGTGTCTGGGTATTTACCCAATGTACCCAATGCCTCTCATGTTAATTGGTTTATTATTTTTTTCAAAATATCTTTTCCTGCAGTTTTACAAAATTTTAAGAGGGAGGTAAGTTTGTTTTCTTAGTAGGTATTTTGGTTTCATTTTGGCGTATTCCTCATGAATGCCAAGATTCCACTCTACAAACCACCACAGTTTCATGGTTAAGAATGGAACTAAACCAGTCTTAGTGTTGCTTCTTACTAGTTGAGTGATGTTGTGGAAGTTATTTAATAGAGGATTAGTGTTCTCATTTTTAAAAGTGGGATAATAATCGTACTTACCACGCGATTGTTTTAAAGTGAGATAATGCATACAAAGCACTTGGCACAGCATTTGACACAGAGTAAGAAGGTGGTATTTATTGAGCTATTACCTAACTAATAATGATAGCATTACTAGAGCTAATAATATAATATTAGCATTATTTTTATTTACCAGAAGTGTATACTTCAGGCCCGCTCAGTCCAGTTCAGATTCTAAAGCTTACACAGTGGGAGGGAGGGAGAGGCTTATCTGGCATAATGCCCTTTCCTCAGATTCTAGAATATTGGTAATAACAGGCGTGGGTCCCGGCATGTCATTAGAAGAAAGCTGGCAGCAGCCTCACTCTTGTGTGCCTTTCCACCATCTGAAGCAGAGACAAAGGACACTTATCCAAAGAGAAAAATTAGATTAGGCAATTTACCAATTCATGGAATTCATTCAGTTGTTTCTGTCCTTTCCTTTTCAAGTAGCTGTGTCCCTATCTGCCTCCTACAGGCAGTACCTGGACAGGTCAGCCTGTGTGTCTGCAGAACTCTCTACTGCTGGGGGACCCTGTCCAGGATCACTGGATTGATGTCACTGGAAGTGAAGGTAGAGGGCTGTTTCTTGGTTCAGTTAGCTGATTTAGCTACAGTTCATTTCCCTTCTAATTTTGGGCTTGACAAGGCAGACCTGAGGGGAAAGACAGGCAGAGGCAGCTTTTGATGTCAGAGCTCTCCTACCTACCTGCCCCTCTCCTGCCTATCCTGTTCTATGCTCTCCCCCAATCCTACAGTAGAATTATCAGAGGAAGAGAGGGCGTGATTGGCAGCTGGGAGGGAGCAGCCATCAGAGCTATGCCTCTCTCATGGAGCACCTGGAGAAAAGAAGATTCTAGCTTTTCCAGCCCATGAACAGCCCAGTGCTTATCTTCCACTGCATCCAAAAGGGAAGCTGGGGGTGTAGTGGAGGGTGGGCTTCTACTTTTTAAGAAAATGCATTTTTTTTTATTATAAATGTATTGCTTCCTTAGAAATAAAAAGGTATGAAAATGTATAGAGTTCAGAATAAAATTATTCTCTAATTCCTTACCCTGAAGATGATATTGTTAACGGATTGGTGCACTTTCTTTCCAGTGTGTTGCAGCTTAATTTTCTCACTTATCATTATGTCTTGGACATTTTCCCAAGTTTGTACATAGAATTCTATTTCATTCTTAATAACTCAATAGTATTACAGGGTATAGGCATAACATTATTCATTTAACTGGTGCTCCTATTAATGGATACTTTGTATTCTTTTTTTGTTATTATAAACAAAACAAAGCTGTACTGCACATCCTTTTAGATACTTCTTAGTGCATGTACGTAAGAATGTCTATAGGAAGAATCCCTAGAAATGGAATGGCTGAGTCAAAGAGTTTGCATATTTAAAATGTTGGAATGTATTGCTATATTGCCCTCTAAAATGTTTTAATAATTTACATACTCTTAGGTAGGTGTTCTTTAACTTTCAAGAGCCCTTACCAGTATGCAATATGTGAATTGCCTGACATTTTGACAACCTTCAATAACCTCTTTCAGTGAAGCTCAATATACTTTGTGTGCTTGGTACAGATACTATGGTAGGCATGGGGTGTTCAAGAATGTCTGAAGGTTGAATAGTACTCCAAACCTAGCCTACAGTGTGTGTCCTATGAAGCCTTGAAGTTAGGCATTGTACTCTCTTCTCTAGCTACAAAAGTCCTGGATGGCATCTTCTTCCAATAGAAGGCTATTTAATCTCCATGGAAAATTTGTTGTTTTGTGTGGCTACCATTATCAATAATCGCAGATCATCTGGATGAATTGCTGCAGCTTCTACACCAGAACTTGCTCCTTCATCTTATACTTTTTTGTTCTGGAGACAACTTCTTTCCTTAGAGGAGTTTTTGAGTAGGGGAAGAGACAAGTACAGCCATAGCTCAGAAATAATGTGGTTTAGTTCCAGACTAACACAATAAAGTGAGTAAAAAGAATGTTTTGGTTTCCCAGTTCATATAGAAGTTATGTTTACCTTATAAACTCTATTAAGTGTGCAAAGCATTATATCTACAAAAGTACATACCTTAAAAGTACTTTATTTGCTAAAAAAATGCTAATGATATCCAAACCATCAGCTACTTGTAATCTTTTTGCTGGTGGAGGGTCTTGTCTCGATTTTGGTGGCTGCTGACTGATCAGCGTGGTGGTTGCTGAAGGTTGGAGTGGTTGTGGCAATTTCTTAAAATAAGACAACAGGCTGGGTATATTGCCTCATACCTGTAAATCCCAGCACTTTGGGAGGCTGAGGTGGGAGAATCTTTTGAGGCCAGGAGTTTAAGACCAGCCTGGGCAACATAGTGAGACCGTGTGTCTACAGAAAATAAAAAGAAATTAGCTGAGTGTGGTGGTGCATGCCTATACTACCATCTACTAGGGAGGGTAGGATGGAAGGGTTGCTTGAGCCCAGGAATTCAAGGTTGTGCCACTGCACTCCAGCCTGGATGGCAGAGTGAGATCCTGCCTCAAAATATAAAACAAAATAAAATAAAATAAAATAAAATAAAATAAAATAAAATAAAATAAAATAAAATAAGATAAAATAAAATAAAATAAAATAAAGTAAAATAAAATAAAATAAAGTAAAATAAAATAAAATAAAATAGTAAAATAAAATACAAAAATGAAGTTTGCCACATCAATTGAACCTTCCTTTCGCTGAAAGATTTCTTTGTAGCACATGATGCTGTCTGGTACTATTTTAACCACAGCAGAACTTTTTTCAAAACTGAAGTCAATTCTCTCAAAGCTTTCTATTGCTTTATTAATATTGTTGTTTCAACAATATTCACAGCATCTTCACCAGAAGTAGATTCCATCTCAAGAAATCACTTTCTTTGTTCATCCATGAGAAGCAACTCCAACTCCTCATCCATTCAAGTTTTACCATGAGATTGCTGCAATTTAGTCACAGCTCTCCAGTTCTTTTTGAAACAGTCTTACTCTGTCGCGCAGGCTGGAGTGCAGTGGCACGATCATGGCTCACTGCAGCTTTTGCCTCCTGAGCTCAAGCAATCCTCCCACCTTAGCCTCTTGAGTAGCTGGGACTACAGGCACATGCCACCATGTCCAGCTAATTTTTGTATTTTTTATAGAGATGGAGTTTTGCCATGTTGCCCAGGCTGATCTTGAGCTCCTGGGCTCAAGTGATCCACCCCAAAAAGTGCTGGGATTACAGGCATGAGCCACTGTGTCCAACCTGGGCTCCGCTTAACCCTTCAAAGTCATCCATGAGGATTGGAACCAACTTCTTCCAAACTCCAGTTAGTGTTGATATTTTTACTTCCTGCCATGAATCACAAATGTTCTTAATGGCATCTAGAGTGGTGAAAACTTTCTACAACGTTTTCAATTTACTTTGCTCCAATCCATCAGAGGAATCACTATCTATGGCAGCTTTGGCATTAGGAGATATATTTCTGAAATAATAAGACTTGAAAATGGAAATGGCTCCTTGATTCATGGGTTGCAGAATGAGTGTTATGTTAGCAGGCATGAAGGCAGCATTAATCTCCTTGTATATCTCCATCAGAGCTCTTGAGTGGCCAAGTGCATTGTCAGTGAGAAGTAATACATATATATTTTTGAGATGGAGTCTCGCTTTGTCATCCAGGCTGGCATGCAGTGATGCAATCTCAGCTTACTGCAACCTCCGCCTCCCAGGTTCAAGTGATTCTCCTGCCTCAGCCTCCCTAGTAGCTGGTATTACAGGCATGCACCGTCACACCTGGCTAATTTTTTTTTGTATTTTCAGTAGAGATGGGATTTCATCATGTTGGCCAGCCTAGTCTTGAACTCCTTACCTCAAGTGATCCACCTGCCTTGGCCTCCCAAAGTGCTGGAATTACAGGTGTGAGCCACCATGCTTGGCCTGCAGTAATATTTTGAAAGAAATCTTTTTTTCTGAGCAGTAGGTCTCAACAGTGGGCTTAAAATATGCAGTAAACCATGCTGTAAACAGATGTGCTGTCATCCAGGCTTTGTTTTTTCATTTCTAGAGCACAGGCAGAGTAGATTTTACATAATTCTTAAGGGTCCTAGGATTTTCAGAATGGTAAATGAGCACTGGCTTCAACTTAAAATCACCAGCTGCATTAGCCCTTGAGAGTCAGTCTGTCCTTTGAAGCTTTGAAGCTAGGCAATAACTTCTCTAGCTATGAAAATCCCAAATGGCATCTTCTTCCAATGGAAGGCTATTTTATCTATGTTGAAAATCTATTGTTTAGTGTGGCCACTGTCATCAATGATCTTAGCTAGATCTTCTGGATAAATTTTCATAGCTTTTACATCAGAACTTGCTACTTCACCTTGCACTTTTATGTTCTGGAGACAACTTCTTTCCTTTAACCTCATGAACCAACCTCTGCTAGCTTTATACTTTTGCAGTTTCCTCATCTTTCTCAGCCTTCATAGAACTGAAGAGAGTTAGGGCATTGTACTGGATGAGGCTTTGGCTTAAGGGAATGTTGTGGCTGGTTTGATTTTCTATCCAGATCACTAAAATTTTCTTCATATCAGTGATAAGGTTGTTTTGCTTTCTCATCATTTGTGTATTCACTGGAGCAGCACTTTTAATTTCCTTCAAGAACTTTTCCTTTGCTTTCACAACTTGGCTAACTGGTGTAAGAAGCTTGGCTTTCCACTTATCTTGGCTTCCAACATGCCTTCCTCACTAAGCTTAATCATTCCTAGCTTTTGATTTAAAGTGAGAGATGTGCTACTTTTCCTTTCACTTGAACACTAGAGGTCATTGTGGGGATATTAATTAGCCTAATTTTAATATTGCTATTTCTCAGGGAATAGGGAGGCCCAAGGAGAGGGAAAGAGTTGGAGGAATGGCTGGTCAGTGGAGCAGTTAGAACACACACAACATTTATCAACTAAGTTTGCTGTCTTATATTGGTGCAATTCATAGCACCCCAAAACAATTACAGTAGTAGCATCAAAGATCACTTATCACAGATCATCATGACAAACATAATAATAATGACAAAGTTTGAAATATTGCGAGAATTACCAAAATATGACACAGACACGTAGTGAACATATGCTGTCAGAAAAAATGGCACTGATAGAC
Organism: Homo sapiens; assembly: GCF_000001405.40. NCBI lineage: Eukaryota > Metazoa > Chordata > Mammalia > Primates > Hominidae > Homo > Homo sapiens. The sequence continues at coordinate 83,311,244 of NC_000011.10, forward strand.
TTGCTCAACATGGGGCTGCCATAAACCTTCAATTTGTAAAAAAACACAGTATCTGTGAAGTTCAGTAAAGCAAAGTGCAATTAAATGAAGTATGCCTGTAAACCAAAATTATGATAATGTGCCAGGTATTAGGATATGAATAAAATACTAAGAGATCATGGGAAAGAGAGTAACTTCCTTTTTGGGGTCCTTCGAAGGAGGCTTCCCAGAGTAAGTGGGCCTTGAAAAATGAGGAGTTCTCAGCATGAGAACTCCTGATAGGGAATTCATGTGCTCTCTGGGGAGTGCTTCTGTTGATCTGTAGTTTGATTGGGAGGAGTAGAGAGAAATCAGTCAGGAGGGGTGGGTCACATTAGGAAGGACCTCAAATGCCATAGAGAGGAGGAAAAATTTCAGATGAGATGGAGGAAAGGCTGGAGAGCAGAGAGCCTGGAGCCCAGGAGAATGATTAAGAGACTGTGCAGAAGGTCAGGCAGATGTGATAAAGAACAAGATCAGGCTGATGGTGCTCAGGAGAGAGAGGGGAGGGCGGAGGAATTGGAGACTGTTTGGATGCATTCCTTTGGTATCTCAGACTCATCTTGGATTGGTCAGATTTGGACCTAGAGGCTGTCATCTGGGGGCAAGTTTATTACATTGGATGGCTAATAAAACTGTATTGATTCTGTTTTGTTTTGAAACAAGAAATCCCCCTGCTGGGAGAAATGTCAATCTGATGTGCCGGAAGGGAATGAGCAATAGAACTGCTTGGATTGTCTTAACTGAAAACTGCTGTTTCAGTATGACAGGGGATTGTGCTCTGTGCTGGGCCAGGCTCAGACCTTTATTAGATTATAATTCTCTTCTTGATTTGGAGCCCTGACACTGACCTGGGTTAGACATTGGAGAGGATGCAGGGTTGGGGAGGGGTGGAACCAAGGTGCGTGCAGGAAGCCTTGTGAAAGACAAAACCTGGAGTTAGTGTGGACACATAGTGATTCATTCGTTTATCCATTCATTCATCAAATCTATATGAGATTTTACCCTGTGCCCAGGAAGGCACGGACCACTGGAGATGCAAAGCTCTTGTTCCCCAGGAGCACCTAGTCTAGGAACCAAGGGAGAGAAAGCTTGCAAATGGGTTGGTTTGGCACTGTCAGATCTAGTCTTTGATAAAAAAGTGGATTGGAGTTTAAGATGTTTGTCCTTGGAACCCTCCTCTTCTCCCCTTTTCTCTATCCTACCCCTCCCCAGGCTTCCTCATGGTGGTGGATTTGTGTACCATTCTTATTCACAGCTGACCACTAGCTCAGCCCCATTAAAGCATCAGCTGATGATCAGAGAATTTCTAATAATAGCTTAAGGGATGATCCATCCTGAGCTTTCTTTTCCAATGTGTGTGAGAGAAAGCCCTGGCTTAGGCTCTGGTCCCAGCCTGACTGCTCACTAGCTTTGTGACTTTGGAAAAATCATTTAGCCTTTTCTGAGCCTCATTAATCATAATTCCTGCTCTGCCCTCCTCATGGGATGGTTGGAAGGCTCAACAGGATGTGGATATGCTTTGAAAATTGTTGAGCTCAGTACAAAAGCAAGAGCCTGTAATTACTCCCTATGCTCTCTGTTGCTCAGAGACAGATATCTAGATTATCATGTCAGGATCCTCACAATTCACAGGATGCCCCTTTCTTTACCCCAACTCTTAAGGGAATAAACATACCACACCTTGGTTCACCTCCTCTCAGTCAAAGGTAGTGAACTCTGGGGCCAATGGGGTTGGACTTATTTTCCCCTAGATGATATCTATATGAAGGGCAAGGTGAGTGAGATTTAAAAAGGAATCACTAAAAATTTCTATGTCAGTGGCAAAATAAGAGTGGATAGATAGGCTGAGACCAAAGCAGGAGAGGTTAGGTTAAACACTGGGAAGAACAAACATGGTGTTTGGAATTGGGAGACACTGGACTCTGCAAAGTTAGTACTTTTTAAGACCTGGGCGTCATCTTTTCTGACCAATTGTGTGACTTTGGGCAAGTTACCAAGGTCACTCAGGTATCATTTACTAGTTATCAAAGGTCTCTAGGCTTTATTTCTAAGGATTGCACTGAGCTAACATAGTGCTTACACTAAAATGTGAGCTGAATTGAATCTCCTTTTCTGGAACTTATTCTGATATGAAAGATGGAGGCAGCTTAATTAGTATAATTTTGGGGGCAGTGGGATAAGTTAGGGAGTTAGAATCCTAGTATTCTGCAAAGCCCTCATGGAGAATTCACATTTCAGATTGCATGAAAACTTGGTCAAAGTCTAGTTAGTAATTGTGAGCTGAACATAGCTGTTCAGTTGCTGAAATGCCATTATTTGTGTGCAGTTGGAGGAGGAGAAAGGGACATTTGTCAGGCTATGTGTAAGTATCTTGAGCTCTTCCCTACAAAAACCTATGACAAATATAAAATTTTATTTAGGAGGCTAAAGGGAAGTAGTAAGGAGTTAAAGAAGTCTGGCTTAAATAGGAGAAAGCTGAATTTACTTGCCACTCATAAACATGTCTTCACAGGAGGAAAATGAAGGCTGCAGTTGATTATTCACATTAGAAGGAGAAGTTCCTGTCCTGTCTCTCATCAAGAAGATGTCCCAAGTGGAATGGTTTCTTGATGAGGAAGCCTTCCCAAAATTTCCTATGTGGAAACCTTCCCAATTTGCAGTTGTTGAGTGACATCGACATGATTGTCAATGATGATGATGATTACAATGATGGTGGGAATATATACTATGTGCCAGGCCCCGTGCTAAGTACTTTACTGATTATCTCCCTGAGATGATGCATTACTACCACATGATGCATTATTAGCTTCAATTTACAGGTGTAGAAACAGAGGTTGGTGAAGGTAAAAGCTTGTTCAAGCTTACCTTTCTAGTAAATGAACAGGCTGGGCACAGTGGCTCACATCTGTAATCCCAGCACTTTGGGAGGCCGAGGCGGGAGGATCATGAGGTCAGAGGTTCAAGACCAGCCTGGCCAGTATGGTGAAACCTTGTCTGTACTAAAAATACAAAAATTAGCCTGGTGTGGTGGTGCATACCTGTAATCCCAGCTACTTGGGAGGCTGAAGCAGGAGAATCGCTTGAACCCAGGAGGCGGAGGTTGCAGTGAGCTGAGATCGTGCCACTGTACTCCAGCCTAGGTGACAGAGCAAGACTCTGTCAAAAAAAAAAAAAAAAAGCACACACCCAGGCAGTCTCATCCAAGAGCCAACAAGTATATATTGCCTCGTAATTTGAATTAGTTTCTAGCTCCTGCTTTAATCATTATCTTAAGTTATAAGATATTTGAATTAAATTGAAGCAGTATACAGAGATTTTCTTTACTATTGCTATGTCTGAGTTTTAAACTTCCTTGAAACAATTCTCTGAGCTTTCAAATAAAGGTATCTTACTGCTTGCAAGTTACCTTATTGTCAATTTTTTGGGAACAAACTCTTAAGGCAGACACTATTATTCCCTTTAACAGATGAAGAAATAGAAGCTCAGATAATTTAAGTCAGTGCTCCTCAAACTTATATAATCTGAGGGTCTTGTTAAAAGCAGGTCTGGGGTAGGTCTTGAGATTCTGCAGTTCCAACAAGCTCCTAGGTGCTGTCGAGGCTGCCGGTCTGGGGACCATCCTTTGAGGAGCGAGGAGAAGTAACCTGCTCAGGATGACATAGCATATAAGAAAGAGATCCTTGGCCGGGCGCGGTGGCTCACGCCTGTAATTCCAGCATTTTGAGAGGCCGAGGTGGGTGGATCACGAGGTCAGGAGATTGAGACCATCCTGGGTAACACAGTGAAACCCCGTCTCTACTAAAAATACAAAAAATTAGCTGGGCGTGGTGGTGGGCGCCTGTAGTCCCAGCCACTCGGGAGGCTGAGGCAGGAGAATGGTGTGAGCCCGGGAGGCGGAGCTTGCAGTGAGGCAAGATTGCACCACTGCACTCCAGCCTGGGTGACAGAGCGAGACCCCGTCTCAAAAAAAAAAAAAAAAAAAAGAGAAAAAGAAAAAGAAAGAGATCCTTGAAGCCTAGTTTCTTTTTGTTGTTGTTGTTGTAGTATTTATTTATTTATTTATTTAGAGATGGAACCTCACTCTGTCACCCAGGCTGGAGTGCAGTGGGGTGATCTTAGCTCACTGCAACCTCCACCTCCCAGCTTCAAGCAATTCTCGTGCTTCAGCCTCCTGAGTAGCTGGGAATATAGGTGTGCGCCATACTCAGCCAGTTTTTTTTTGTATTTTTAGTAAAGACAGGGTTTCACCATGTTGGCCAGGCTGGTCTCGAACTCCTCACCTCAGGTGATCTGCCCACCTCAGTCTTCCAAAGTGCTGGGATTACAGGCATGAGCCACTGCACCTGGCCTGAAATTTTTTTTTTTTTTTTTATTGTTCATTCTTGGGTGTTTCTCGCAGAGGGGGATTTGGCAGGGTCATAGGACAATAGTGGAGGGAAGGTCAGCAGATAAACAAGTGAACAAAGGTCTCTGGTTTTCCTAGGCAGAGGACCCTGCAGCCTTCCGCAGTGTTTGTGTCCCTGGGTACTTGAGATTAGGGAGTGGTGATGACTCTTAACGAGCATGCTGCCTTCAAGCATCTGTTTAACAAAGCACATCTTGCACCGCCCTTAATACATTTAACCCTGAGTGGACACAGCACATGTTTCAGAGAGCACAGGGTTGGGGGTAAGGTCACAGATCAACAGGATAAGAATTTTTCTTAGTACAGAGCAAAATGAAAAGTCTCCCATGTCTACCTCTCTCTACACAGACACGGCAACCATCCGATTTCTCAATCTTTTCCCCACCTTTCCCCCCTTTCTACTCCACAAAACCGCCATTGTCATCATGGCCCGTTCTCAATGAGCTGCTGGGTACACCTCCCAGACGGGGTGGTGGCCGGGCAGACGGGCTCCTCACTTCCCAGTAGGGGCGGCTGGGCAGAGGCGCCCCTCACCTCCCGGACGGGTCGGCTGGCCAGGCGGGGGGCTGATCCCCCCACCTCCCTCCCGGACGGGGCGGCTGGCCGGGCGGAGGGCTGACCCCCCCACCTCCCTCCCGGATGGGGCGGCTGGCCGGGTGGGGGGCTGACCCCCCCACCTCCTTCCCGGATGAGGCAGCTGGCTGGGCAGAGGGGCTCCTCACTTCCCAGTAGGGGCGGCCGGGCAGAGGCGCCCCTCACCTCCCGGAAGGGTCGGCTAGCTGGGCGGGGGGCTGACCCCCCCACCTCCCTCCCGGATGGGGCTGCTGGCCGGGCGGGGGGCTGATCCCCCCACCTCCCTCCCAGATGGGGCGGCTGGCCGGGCGGGGGGCTGACCGCCCCACCTCCTTCCCGGACGAGGCGGCTGGCTGGGCAGAGGGGCTCCTCACTTCCCAGTAGGGGCGGCCGGGCAGAGGCGCCCCTCACCTCCCGGACGGGTCGGCTGGCCGGGCGGGGGGCTGACCCCGCCACCTCCCTCCCGGACGGGTTGGCTGGCCGGGCGGGGGGCTGACCCCCCCACCTCCCTCCCAGGCGGGGCGGCTGGCCGGGAGAGGGGCTCCTCACTTCCCAGTAGGGGCGGCCGGGCAGAGGCGCCCCTCACCTCCCGGATGGGGCGGCTGGCCGGGCGGGGGGCTGACCCCCCCCCACCTCCCTCCCGGACGGGGCGGCTGGCCGGGCAGAGGGGCTCCTCACTTCCCAGTAGGGGTGGCGGGGCAGAGACGCCCCTCACCTCCCGGACGGGGCGGCTGCCGGGCAGAGACGCTCCTCACTTCCCAGACGGGGTGGCTGCCGGGCGGAGGGGCTCCTCACTTCTCAGACGGGGCGGTTGCCAGGCGGAGGGTCTCCTCTCAGACGGGGCGGCCGGGCAGAGACGCTCCTCACCTCCCAGACGGGGTCGCAGCCGGGTAGAGGCGCTCCTCACATCCCAGCCGGGGCGGCAGGGCAGAGGCGCTCCCCCCATCTCAGACGATGGGAGGCCGGGCAGAGACGCTCCTCACTTCCTAGATGGGATGGCGGCCGGGAAGAGGCGCTCCTCACTTCCTAGATGGTATGGCGCCGGGCAGAGACGCTCCTCACTTTCCAGACTGGGCAGCCAAGCAGAGGGGCTCCTCACGTCCCAGACGATGGGCGGCCAGGCAGAGACGCTCCTCACTTCCCAGATGGGGTGGCGGCCGGGCAGAGGCTGCAATCTCGGTACTTTGGGAGGCCAAGGCAGGCGGCTGGGAGGTGGAGGTTGTAGCGAGCCGAGATCACGCCACTGCACTCCAGCCTGGGCACCATTGAGCACTGAGTGAACCAGACTCCGTCTGCAATCCCGGCACCTCGGGAGGCCAAGGCTGGTGGATCACTCGCGGTTAGGAGCTGGAGACCAGCCTGGCCAACACAGCGAAACCTCGTCTCCACCAAAAAAATACGAAAACCAGTCAGGCGTGGCGGCGCGCGCCTGCAATCGCAGGCACTCGGCAGGCTGAGGCAGGAGAATCAGGCAGGGAGGTTGGAGTGAGCCGAGATGGCAGCAGTACAGTCCAGCTTCGGCTCGGCATCAGAGGGAGACCGTGGAAAGAGAGGGAGAGGGAGACCGTGGGGAGAGGGAGAGGGAAGAGGGGAGAGGAAGAGGGGAGAGGGGAGAGGGGAGAGGGAGGGGGAGAGGAAGAGGGAGAGGCGAAGCCTAGTTTCTTAACAGCAGCTTGTTTCTAAGGTGTGGTATTGGCGGTACTGGCAATGCATGATTGCCCTTTGTCTGGTGGGACAGGCAGCTGGACAAGTATCTGGACTTGAGTCTGGCTCTGACTGCTCTGCCTCTTGTCCATGCCTTATCCCCTCTCTGAGCTTCAGTTTCTTTCTATGTACAAATTTGGGGTTAAATTACATAACTTCTGAGATCTCTGAATACTATAGTACCATGGTAAATTATGAGGAGAAGTGCCAGGATGCAGGCAGAACCCTGGATGGAAAGACATTTCCATGAGACAAGAAGATTAAAAGGAGTCACCTTAGAATGCAGATCATTTCTAGGCAAGCTCCCTGTTCAGGATCAGTAGAGAAAATATTTTATCTCTGTGAAAGGGAATGATTAATGTGCCCCAGGGTGCTGATTTTCTCAGGGACTGTGAGTTAGCACCAGAAACCTGGGTAGCTGCGTCAGACTCTCCAGACTGTGCTTTAAACAGGAGGGAGACAGCAGCTATTGGATCTCTGTCAATCTGTGTGACTTTCCTAAGCTTTCAGCCTTGTCTGGAAAGGTGGGGACTTCCTTCTCATCCACTATTCTAGGGCAGAGCACCTTATCTTACATTCAAGAACCTTACAGTAGATGGGCATGTTCATTGAGGTGTGTGTATATAGTAAGTGCTCAAGTTTTAAAAGCTCTCTTGTGAACAGCAAGGTGGTTTTTAAGGAACCAACAATAACCCAAACAGAGAACTTTTCTGTCGAATTTATTCCTCACCAGGGGTACCTGGAAAAGTAGCGTTGACTCTCCAGGACTGAAGCCAGATAGGAAAGGTGTTTACCTCAGGACAGATGCCAATAAAGAAAGAGGGTTAATGATGCTGATTATCGCAACTACTCTTTTTTATCTCATTTGATACACAAAACTACCCTATGGGGTAGATATTATTAAGCTCATTAAGAAACAGAGGCTTTGGAGGTTAAGATGCTTATCCAAGGTGACAGCTTGTGAGTGGAATTTAAGTGCTCGTCTGATTACCCCAAAGCTCTCCTACTCTTTCCATTCTGCTACACTGCTTATCCTATAAAACCATTTCCAAGAGAGGGGCTGAGGATCACATTGGAGAAGTCATGTTTGTCTGGAGAGTTGACCTTGGACCTCAAAAGATAAGATACAAGCAGAAAGAATAGAGAAGTAAGGAGCAAAGGTGGGAATAAGCTGAGGGAGTCCAGGACTTTAGCTGTAAATAGGGCCAGGAAACCCAGAACTCTGATAAAAGACCATGTAAAGGGCTTATCACCTTCCTGGTGCTGCTTGCTCAAGATGTAATAGTGTTTCTGGGTTCAAGGTAAGCTATTGCTTTTTGGCTCTAGATGAAGCTGCAACTTCCTTTGCGTTAATTCACCCTGGTTAGCTATGGCTTCATTTTAGCCCCAAGGTGCATGTATCTCTTCTTTAGCCGTGGCTTTCCTCCCTCGGACTCTTCCTGTCCTCATCCTTCATCTGATCATCAAGATGAAATATAATCCTCCTGGAGAGTATGAGTGCATGCCTTCTTGAGATGTGTATAGGTTAATCACAAGAGACAGTCATTTCATCTCTCCTGGGCAGAGTTGACCTAGTTGGATAGACTCTCTCAGCCTGGTTTTCCACAGTTCATGATGCAAGGGTCAGGGATAAGTTTTGACATGAGAAAGCTCTGATTCAGAGAAAAGAATGCACAAGTGTATAACCTATTCATCATTTCATCCACAATAATAATTGTATTCCTATGTACGTGATACCGTGCTACTCCCTAAGATGGGTGGGGATAGGTAGAAAAAAGAACACAAAAAAGTAGAAGACTAGTCCATGCCAAGGAGAACTTTTCTACCTAATTGAATATTTCGGTATAAGAAGAATGGGGAGCATATGTGAGGTTGAGATGATCAAATTTAATGGCTGAAGTGCTCGTTCATTTGAAATATCTTTATTAGATGTCTCTTATATGCCAAGTACTTTGCAAGGCACAAGGTAAGCCAAACAGTTATTCCCCAAAAGAAGCTTAGTTCTAGAAGGAGACGTTTACAAACAAGTGAAAAGGTCATTGCAAACCTTTATTGGGTGTTTGCTAAGTGATGAGCACTATACTGGACTTTGCCTTATAAGTTTTCCCTTTGATGTGTTTATTGATATACAATATTATACACATTTATGGTGTACATGTGAGTATTTGTTACAGAATGTGTAATCAAGTCAGGGTATTGGGGTTATTCATCACTCTAAGCATTTATTATTTCTATTTGTTGAGAATATTTCAAGTCCTCTCATCAAGCTACTTTGAAACATGCAATACATTGTTGCTGATAACAGTCACCCTAATCTACTACTGAACATTGGAACTTCTATCTTAAAATTCTTTAATTTTTAATTTTTGTGGGTACATAAGAGATGTGTATATTTATGGGGTACATGAGATATTTTGATAGAGGCATACCATGCATAGTAATCACATCAGGGTAAATGGGGTATCCATCCCCTCAAACATTTATCCTTTGTATTACAAACAATCCAATTGTATTCTTTAGGTATTTAAAAATATATAACAAATTATTTTACACTGCAGTTACCCTGTTGTGCTATCAAATACTACATCTTATCCATTATATCAAACTATATATTTGTATCCATTTACCATCCCCACTTCTCCCAACCACCACTGCCCTTCCCAGCCTCTAGTAACCATCATTCTACTCTCTATCACCATGAGTTCAATTGTTTTAATTTTTTTTTTAGCTCCCACAAATAAGTGAGAACTTGCAAAGTTTCTGTGCCTGGCTTATTTTGCTTAATGTAATGATCTCCAGTTCTATCTGTGTTGTTCCCAGTGACAGGATCTCATTCTTTTTATGGCTGAATACACTCCATTGTGTAGATGTATCACATTTTCTTTATATATTTGTCTATTGATGGACACTTAGGTTGCTTCCAAATCTTGGCCATTGTGAATAGTGCTGGAGCAAACATGGGTGTGCAGATCTCTCTTTGATACACTGATTTCCTTTCTTTGGGATGTATACCTAGCAGTGGGATGGTGGATCATTTGTAGTTCTATTTTTAGTGTTTTGAGGAACCTCTAAACTGCTCTCCATGGTAGTTGTAATAATTCACAGCCCCACCGGCTGTGTACAAGTGTTGCCTTTCCTCTGCATCCTCACCAGCATTTGTTATTGCCTGTCTTTTGGATATAAGTCATTTTAACTGGGGTGAAACAATATCTCATTATAGTTATTGCATTTATCTGATGATCAGTGATGTTGAACACCTTTTCATATACCTGTTTGCCATTTGCATGTCTTTTGAGAGATGTCTATTCACATCTTTCGCCCATTTTTAATCAGATTAGATTTTTCCCCAAGAATGTATATCTTCTATCTCTATCTAACCATATGTTTGTACCCATTAACTAACCTCTCTTCATCTCTCACTCCCACCCACACATCCTTTCCAGCCTCTGCTATCATTTTACTCTGTACCTCCATGAGATCAACTTTTTAGCTCCCACATATGAGTGAGACTATATGATGTTTGTCTTTCTGTGCCTGGCTCATTTCATCTGACATAATGACCTCTAGTTTCATCCATGTTACACAACTAACAGGATTTCATCCTTTTCTATAGCTTAAAAGTATTCCATTGTGTATGAATGCCACATTTACTTTATCCATTCATCTGTAGATGGACTCCATATCTTTCCTTTTGTGAATAGTGCTGCAATAAACATGTGAGTACAGGTATCCCTTTGAAGTACTGATTTATTTTCCTTTGGGTAAATACCTAGTAGTGGGATTACTGGATCATACGGTAGCTCCATTTTTAGTGTTTTGAGAAATCTCCGTACTGTTTTTCACAGTGGCTATACTAATTTGCATTCTCAACAATAGTGTATAAGTTCCCTTTTATCTGCATCCTTTCCAGTGTCTGTTGTTTCTCGTTTTTTTTTTTTTCATATAATAACCACTTTAACTGGGGTAAGATGGTATCTCACTGTGGTTTTGATTCGCATTTACCTGATGATTAGTAATGGTAATCATTTTTTAATATACCTCTTGGCCATTTCTATGTCTACTTTTGAGAAATGTCTATTCATGTCCTTTGCTCATGTCTAAATGGGATTATTTCATTTTTTAATTGAGTTTTTTGTATGTTTTGGATATTAATTCCTTGCTGAATGAATAGTTTGCAAATATTTTTTCCGATTCAACAGATTGTGTCTTCACTGTGTTGTTTCCTTTGCTGTGCAGAAGCTTTGTAGTTTAATGTTGTTCCATTTGTCTATTTTTGTTTTTGTCTGTGCTTTTGAGGTCTTAGCCATAAATCTTTACCTAGACCAATGTCCTGAAGTGTTTTCCCTATGTTTTCTTCTAGTGGTTTTATGATTTGGGGACTTACATTTAAGTCTTTAATTCCTCTTTTGTTGATTTTTGTATGTGGTAAGAGATAGGGATCTAGTTTCATTCCTTTGCATACGGATATTTATTTTTCCCAGCACCATTTATTGAAGAGGGTATTCTTTCCCCAATGTATGTTCTTGGTGCCTTTGCTGAAAATCAAAGTAAACATGTAAATATGTAGATACGTAGATTTATTTCAAGAATCTCTATTCTGCTCTATGTTTCTGTTTTATACCAATATCACACTGTTTTGGTTACTATAGCCTTGTAATATATTTTGAAGTCAGGCAGTTTGATACCTCCAGCTTTGTTCTTCCTCCTCGAGATTGCTTTGGCCATTTAGACTCTTTTTTGGTTCCACATGAATTTAGGATTCTTAAAAATAAGTCTCTGAAAAATGATATTGGTATTTTGATAGGGATGGCATTGAATCTGTAGATTGCTTTGGGCAGAATGGTCATCATTTTAGCTATATTAATTCTGCTCATTGAGCATGAGATTTCTTTCCATTTGTTTGTGTCCTTTTCAATTTCTCTTATCAGCAATCTGTAGTTTGTCTTGTAGAGATCTTTCACCTCCTTGGTTAACTTTATTCTCAGGTATTTTAATTGTTTGGTAGCTACTGTAAGTGGGGTTGCCTTCTTGATTTCTTTCTCAGCTAGTTCATTATTGGTGTATAGAAATGTCGATTTTTCTATGTTGATTTCATATCCTGCAACTTTACTGAATTTATCAGATTTAAAAAAACTTTTTTTTTGGTGAAGTCTTTAGGTTGTTCTAAATGTAAGATCATATTATCAGCAAAGAGGGACAATTTGACCTCCTCTTTTCCAATTTGGATACATTTTAGTTCTTTTGCCTGATTGCTCCGGCTAGGACTTCAGTACTAACTTGAATAGGAGTGGTGAAAGTGGGCATTTTTATCTTTTTCCAGTTCTTAGAGGCTTTTAGCTTTTCCCCATTCATTATGATGTTAGCTGCGATTTTGTTGTGTATGGCTTTTATTATGTTGAGGTACATTCCTTCTATGCCTAGTTTGTTAAGAGTTGTTTCTTTTTTTAAGAATGAAGGGATTTTGAATTTTATCAAATGCTTTTTCTGCATCTGTTGAGATGATCATATGGTTTTTGTTCTTCACTCTGTCCTTGTGATATGTGATGTTTATTGATTTGCATATTTTAAATCATCCCTGCATCCCTGGGATAAATCCCTCTCGATTGCTTTATATTATTTTTTGATGTGCTGTTGAATTCAGTTTGCTAATATTTTGTTGAGGATATTTACATCTATATTCATCAGGAAGATTGGCCTGCAGTTTTTTCTTTCTTTCTTGTGTCTTTGTCTGGTTTTGGTATCAGGGTAATGCTGGTAGAATGAGTTAGAATTCCCTCCTTTTAGATTTTTTGGAATAGTTTGAGGAGAACTGGTGTTAGTTCTTCCTTGACAGTGTGGTAGAATTTGGCAGTGAAGCCATCTGGTCCTGGACTTTTCTTTGTTGGAGACTTTTTTATTACTGCTTTAATCTCATTACTTGTTATTGGTCTGTTCAGGTTTTCTGTTTCTTCCTGATTCAATATTGGTAGATTGTGTATGCGCGGAATTTTTTCCATTTCCTCTTGGTTTTCCTGTTTGTTAGTGTATAGTTATTCAAAATAGTTTCCAATGATCTTTCGTATTTCTATGATATCAGTTGTAATGTCTCCTTTTTCATTTCGGATTTTGTTTCTGTAGTTATTCTCTGTTTTTCTTGATTAGTCTAGCAAGTGGTTTATCAATTTTGTTCATCTTTTCAATTTTTCATCTCATTGATCCTTTGTAGTTTTTTAATTGATCATCTGTAATTTTTTAAAAGTCTCTGTTTTGTTTAGTTCTGCTCCGATCTTTACTATTTATTTTGTTTTGCTAATTGTTGGTTTAGTTTGTTCTTACTTTTCTAGTTCCTTGAGGTGCACCAGATTGTTTATTTGAAATCTTTCTCCTTTTTTGATGTAAGCCCTTATTGCTATAATATTTCCTCTTAGCACTGTTTTTGCTATATCTTATAGGTTCTGGTATGTTATGTTTTGATATTCATTTCTTTCAAACATTTTTTGATTTACTCTTTAATTTCTTCCTTGTTCTAATGGTCATTCAGTAGCATGTTGTTCAATTTCCATGTATGTGTACAGTTTCCAAAGTTTCTCTTGTTAATGATTTCTAGTTTTATCTATTGTGGTCTGAGGAGGTATTTGAATATGATTTTGATATTAAAAATTTGTTCAGACTTATTTTGTGTCCTATCGTATGGTCTGTCCTGGAGAATGTTTCATGTGCTGATGAGAAGAATCTTTATTCTGTAGCTGTTAGATGAAATATTCTGTATATGTTTGTTAGGTCCATTTGGTCTAAAGTGCAGTTTAAATCCAATGTTTCCTTCTTATTTTTATTTTTTACTTGTGCTTAATACAACGTAACCAATATTTCTTTGTTAAATTTCTGTCTACATGATCTGTTTAATGCTGAGAATGAGGTGTTAAGTCTTGAAATGTTACTGTATTGGAGTCTATTTCTCTCTTTAAATCAAATAATATTTGCTTTATACGTATGGGTGCTCCCATGCTGGGTGCATAAATAAGTCTATGTTTAAAATTATTATATCATCTTCCTTAATTGATCCCTTTATTATTATATAATCACTTCTGTGTCTCTTTGTCATGTTTTTATCTTAAAGTCTGTTTTATCTGATATAAGTATAGCTACTCCCTCTTGCTTTTGGTCCGTTTGCATGGAATGTCTTTTTCCATCTCTTTACTTTGTCTATATGTGTCTTTAAAAGTGAGATGAGTTTCTTGTAACCAGTAAATCATTGGGCCATTTTTTTAAACAAAATTCATTCACCCAGTCTGTATCTTTTAAGTGAAAAGTTTAATCCATTTGCATTTAAGGTTATTATTGATAGGTGCCTTCTGGGACTCCAGAAATTCTAATATTTGGTCACGTTATGGTGTCCCATATGTTATTTAGGCTTTGATCATTTTTTTTCTTTATTTTTATCTGACCGTGTTACTGCAAAAGACCTGTTTTCAAGTTCTGAGATCTTTTCTTCTTCTTGTTCTAGTCTATTGTTGAAGTTTTCAAATGTTGAAATTTAAAAAAACCAATGTTTTGAATTATTTTTCTAGGATTTTGTAAATTTCTTTTTCATTGATATCTATTGCTGAAGAATTATTGTGTTCCTTTGGAGGGGTCATATTTTCTTATTTTTTCATATTTCTTGTGTTTTTACATCGATGTCTGCACATCTGGTGTAACAGTTGCTTCTTCCAATTTTTTGAATTTACTTTTGTAGGGGAAGACTTTTTCCTGAAGATGTTTCTATGGTATTGTTTAGATAGGGCACTTTGGCTTTGATACTGAATGCACATAGTAGTCTAGTCTTTGTATGATTTCTTTAGCTGTAAATAGTGTCAGTGGTATCTGTGATTTCCTTGGTAACTTAGGGTGTGATTATTAGTGGAGGCTATGATGAAGTTTTGCTGAGGACTGGAACAATGGGAAGGCCAGTCTTTGGGCCCCAGTGGTGGCAGTAGTAGGCTGAGCATTCTCGTCCTTGGGCCTCCTGAGCGGCATATGCTGGCACTGGTGTTAGCAGGTCTAAGTGGGCTGATTCTTGGGCATCCAAGTGGCTTGCTCAGATGCTGATAGTGTCAGCAGTGAGTTGGGTGAGTGGATGGGTTCCTGGGCTCCTGGGCAACAGGTGTGGTGTGAGTGATGGCACTGGCAGTGGCAAGATAACCATCTGTGTCTCGAGTGATGTGTGCTGGTGATAGCAGTGGCTGTGATGGGCTGGACAGGCCACTCTGCAGGCCTGCAAGTGGTGTATGCAAGTAGGTGCCAGCTGTGGTGGTAGCAGCAGGGTGGGTGGACCCAACTTCAGGCCCCCAGCAGGAGTGCTCAGGTGCCATTGGTGATGGACTGGGTGATCCCCAGGTCCCTAGACTACATGCTCTGGCATGAGTGGGTGGATGTGGGCAAAGCCAGGCTGGGCAGGTGGGGGACTGTCTCTGGGTACACTAAAATGTGTAATGGCTCCACTATTGGAGGCCGTAGAGTGACTGCCTGTGGCCTGCACCTTGGCCCAGGTGGCAGCAGCCAGCCATGGCAGTGATGCAGGTGGGGAATGTCAGTGGAGCTCCAGGAATGTGGTGATGCAGGTGCTGTTGAGCCTCAGGGCAGTGTGTGGTCTGTTGGTGGTTGGGCTCTCAAAATGGCACCATGTTATAGCTGTTTATGACTCAAGGTGTGTGGGGGGCTAAGCATGAGCTCCCACTCTGGAGCAGTGCCTTTGTGTGCTCCCCAGGCAGCTCTCTATGTCAGTTTCAGGCCCACAAAGGTTAAGAGCTTCTCCTGTGACTAGGATTGTGGTAGTCCACAGTGGAAATGTGGACCACTGCGGTGGTCTCTCAGTTACCCTTTCCCCACACTGGGGAGTCTCTCCAGGCTTCCAGCCAGTCTTGCCTGAGCAGGCTACCTCACTTCCCTTTCTGCCTTGCTTTAGGTATTTCCTGTCACGTCTCAATTGAATTCCAGTTTTCTCTCTTGGACAATCTATTTGAAGTGTGATTATCTACTCACTATTTTGGTTCTTTCTGAGGAGGCTGAGTACAATATGCCTCAAGTCAGCTGTCTTGAAGCCCCTCTTGGGCTTTGTCTTTTGAACTGAGGGTAAAAAGATGAATAAAGACAAAAACATAATCCTTTAACAAGATCATATATTAATAGTGATGACAACCATGTAAATATATTTTAATGTCCATATGAAATGTGATCAATAGAAGTGTAAGCCAAATACTAAAGAAACTCAGAAAAAAGAGAATGTAAGTCTGTATTGTAGGAAGTGTGTGTGGAAGGTGGGAAAGGCCAGGGAAGAAGGAAAATTTGGAATGTGATGATGGAAGAATGAACATTTTCCATATAAGCAAGACATTACTAGTAGAGGGAGCAGCACTTGAATTGTCACAGGGCGTTTGGAGCCTGCAAGTAGCTGTCTAGGTTTGGGGTAAACAAGATGCAGTGGTGAGAGATGAAGCTGGATAAGTGATCAGGGGCAAGATCAAGAAAAGCCTTGTGGGCCATACCTTATGGAAGTTAAATTTTATTTAGTAAACAATGGAGGATAACTGAAGCATTTTCAGAGAGAAATGAATTTAATGGTTTTGAAATTTAACAGGAGGGTGAGACTCGAGGCAGGAAGAACTGTTAGGGGGCTATTTTAACAATTCAGGTAAGAGACAATGGTTTGTCAGTAGGCATGGGGAAGAAAAGGAAGGAATCAAGTCTAGAAATATTTGGGAATTCATATTTTCAGTACTTGGGTATGCAGGGTGAGGGAGGAGAAAGGATCTAGAAGATTCTATGTATTTTACTTGGGCATTTGGGTACACGGTACTGCCATTTACTGAGATTTGGAAAATGGAAAATGTGATGGTTAATTTCATGTATCAACTTGGCTAGGCTATCATATCCAGTTGTTTGGTCAAACACCCATCTGGATGTTGCTGTGAAGGTATTTTTTAGATGTGATTAATATTTAAATCAGTAGACTGTGAGTAAAACAGATTACCCTCCATAATGGGAGTGGGCCTCATCTAATCAGTTGCAGGCCTTAAGAGAAGACAGAGGTCCCACAAGGCAGAAGAAATTCTGCCCCCACACTGCCTTCAGATTCAAGATTATGAAATCAACTCTTCCTTCAGTCTCCAGCCTGCTGGCCTGTCTTGGACATATCAGACCTGCCACTTCCCACAATTATGTGAGCCAGTTCCTTAAAATGAATCTCTCTATGTACACATCCTATTGGTTCTGTTTCTCTGGAGAATCTTGACTAATGCAGGAGGATTTCTTTTTGTTCAGGTTTGTAGTTGACAATTGCTTTGCTAAACACAAATGTGCCCGAAGGACATTATGTTAAGTGAAGTAAATCAAGTGCGGAAAGATAAATGCCACATCTTCTCCTTCATATGTGGGTGATAGGGTTTGGCTTGTCCCCACTCAAATCTCATCTTGAAGTATAATCCCCATGATCCCCACGTGTCAAGGAAGGGACCCAGTGTGAGGTGACTGGATCATGGGGGCAGTTTCCCCCCGCTGTTCTCATGATAGTGAGTTCTTATGAGATCTGATGGTTTTATAAATGGTTGACAGTTCTTCCTTCACATGCCCTGTCTCTCTCTCCTGCTGCCTTGTGAAGAAGGTTCCTCCTTCCCCTTCCGCCATGATTGTAAGTTTCCTGAGGCTTCCCCAGCCATGTGGACGTGTGAGTCAATTAAACCTCTTTCCTTTATAAATTACCCAGTTTCAGGAAGTTCTTTATAGCAGTGTGAAAATGGACTAATACAGTGGGAGCAAAAAAAAAAAAAAAAAAAAAAAAGAGGGAGAGACACCCCGTAGAAGTAAAGAGTAGAATTGTGGTTGTGAGAGCATAAGAAGTGTTGGGGGAAGAAGGATGAGTAAAGGTAGGTTAATGGATACAAAAAGTAGAGCTAGAGAGAGTGTGATGTCCAGCTTCCAAATGGGAACCTTTGTAGCACCAGTGACAAAAAAGAGAATTAAATATAGGTGATGCTGAGAAAGGCAAGAAGACTTTTGTTGAGGAGTGTGTCCAGTGCCACACCATGGAAAAGGGAGGCTAGCACAAGACTGCGTCAAATCTTCACGGTATCTTTGGGCAGAAGACAGATCAGGATGCTGGATTCTCTTACACAGATGCCAATAAGAATAAAGGTACCACCTAGGGAGAGGATGATGTACTCACTGATGGAGTATTTGGAGAATCCCAAGAAGTATATCCCTGGAACAAAAATGAGCTTCACCAGCATTAAGAAGAAAGGCAGAAAGGGTAGGCTTGATAGCTTATCTCAAAAAAGCTGCTATGGAGTAAGAATTGGCCACTGCCTTATTTATTACAAAACAGAAATGTCTCATAACTTTTTTATGTATATTATAAGTTAATAGATTTCATAAACCAGAATTCAGATCATAAATGACAGAATATTTTTTGATGAGCAGTCCTGGTTTAACTAAAACTGACTTGTGGTTAAATGAATATGCTTGCCTTTTTAAATTGTAAAAGTAGTTCTGATTCAGTAAATGCTATCACGGTTTTCCACTTCTAAAGAGAGGATTGAACTTCGCTGGTAATGTTCAAATGTTCACAAAGATGGTGAATGCCATCTTAAAAATCTATTGGAAATTGGTTTTATATTTAGATTTATGTAACTGGTTATACGAATATATTTAAATACTGGGGAAATTCCTTCCCTATCTCGGAACCAAGCAAGATTCATCTGTGCTTTGTGTTCATTTGCCTCTTAAAGGCAAGGGCTGAAGATGAGATAGCAATGTCTACTTTACATTTTTGGTCTTAACTGTGCCAGTCTAATTAGAATTCCCTGTATCTAAAATGGTTTCTGTTACTCATTGAAAGGCATTTTAGTGTGGTTTATGTGTAATATCAAATAAAGAATATTTAACACTTAAAAAATTACACCTAGATAGGAGAAGTAAGTTCTAGTGTTTTGCAGCACAGTACAGGGTGACTATGGTTAACAATTTAGGGCATACTTTCAAAAAGCTGGAAGAGAGGATTTTGAATGTTCACAACACAAAGACATGATAAATGCTTGAGGTGATAAATATGCTAATTACCCTGATTTGTTCATTACACATTTATTGAAATATCACTCTGTGTCCCATAAATATGTATAATTATCCTGTGCCAATTAAAAATAAAAGAAAAAAAGAAATGGTTTGCTGAAGCAAATGCTGAGGATTTTTAAAAGAGAAAATAAGTGTTTATTTTTGTTGTTTATGCCAGGGCGTGTTGTGGTTCGATCAATGTTGTTTATTTATTCCTTTGAATTGTTGGACAATGTCACTTCTAGGCTTCTGTTGTTGTATATTAGAGAATGTGGACTATCCAAATGTATAATTCTCACTAGTAATGAAATCCACCATACACTGGAACTTACTATTATTTTATTGAAGCTAGAGTTGTTGGCTGGTTTCTTTGGAATTTATGCAGATGATTTGTACTTGTAAGGAAGTACTAGAAATGCTTCTCAGAAATACGCAGCACTTGAGTTCAATACTAGCACTTTAATTTCATCTATGGAAAGAGAAGTGTGTACTTTACTGAGTCATAGGAGGTAGTAGGATGGATGAGATTCTCCTACAAAACTACAACTGGAGAGGTCTGGAACAAGGAGAACTTTGCATTATTTCTTGAAGCTTTGCTATTTCTTTATTCACTTCGTTTCCTGAAGAGCAAAGCTTTGGAATCAAACAAATATTGGTCCTCCACCAACTGTGTTTGTGCCTTTGGGCAGGTAAATTCATTTCTCTGGGCCTCAGTTAGGGTTTTTCAAAGATTCATTAAGATGTTATTTATAAAGTGCCCTGTCCAGGGCCTGGTGCAGAGTTGGCTCTCAAGTAATGGAAGCTATTTTTATTATTCTTTAAATTTATTTGTTTCCTTATAGGCTTTCAAATTCCGGATCTCCTAGGATAGTTACATACGCGCTATCTGTTGGAACTTGTAGAATTTTCTCCTGTCCGAAGTGGAGTTGCAGATTCTCAACCCCTGAATTTTCTCAAGAATGAAGGGAACTGACAGGAAGTAGATATGATATCTTCATGAATAAATGATTCTAGGTGAGGAATAAACCTTGTTTTATGAGGAACAAAACTATACCAGCAAGCATATCTCCCCCATTTCTTCTTTACCCAGTCAGCTCTATTCATTCTCCAAACCCAGGTCACTATCGTCTTCTAAAGGTCTTTATTGTCCTCACCAGCCCTTCCCTGAATTTCAGTGCCATCCTCAGTACTCCTAAGAGACATCTCCAGGGATCAGCGTCATGTTGTATTTTATGACTGGTGGCCCTGGAGTTATTCTATAGGTGGTCCTTCTTGACAAGGGAAGGTGGCTTTACATGAATTAAAACCATCTGTTCTCATCTTTGTATTCCTGTCTAATGGGGAGCTCTTTAAATGGAAAGGAATACATTCAATTTTTTATCCCCTAGTGCTTAACACAGTGCCTGGAACATTGTCTATGGAAAACATGAGTGATGGATGAATGAATGAAAATCTGCAGTAAGATACATTCAGGACTATGTAATAAATATTCTTTTTCATCATTCACTGTTCTCTATCATGTCTGCATCTCCTCCAATTACTGCTGACGGCACGGCAATCTAAATGTAAAATTTATCTGAGAGTTCTGCAAGTCCATCCCCAGGCTCTGCCCATCACAGTCAGATTCAATAAGGCAACTTTCTGTGTGCATAAGTAGGATGAGGTAGGGGGGCAGTGAGTAGAAATGTGATTAGTTTTTAATGAGGCTAATCGTTCTGAATATGAAGTTGGTTTGCATTCTCATTAGCAATTTTCATAAATTGTTTGAAATGCTTGCCCATAAAGTCAGGATTGCAAACTTACAGATGAATCACTTCTACCTTGGCTTCCTGTTGAGTGGAGATTATTAATTGCGTCCTTTCTCATCAGAGCTCCCCACACAACTGCAGCCTTTATTTTTAGAACACTATCTCTTGCCAGCTCCTATCTGAACCAATTCTGCTTTAGTCTAATCAGGGAATATGAAGTTAAATCTAGGGCAAAGAGAAGGGAAAACCTAGAAAACTGAGTCAAGAGTCCTGTTGGATACAGTTTCAAAACTCCAACTTTGGAAAGAAGTCATTGTAGGAGATCTACAGCAGCCTTCTGGTTATAGAACCCATAACTCCTTCTCATACCCCACTGGCTCTTCCTGGCCACAAGTAGGAACCCTACCTGCAGAAGCTTTAGCAAGCATTTGTGCCAGTGTACTGCCAAAGTGCCACCCACTCTATCACCTTTAAACCTTGGGCCCCTACCCACCCAGAGAGGAGCCACCATTCAGAATCTGTCTTTATGATTCCTTTAGTTTTAGTTACTGATAAAACGTATGCATTCCTAAGCAGTATCATGCTAAGTTTGTTAGAATCTAAACTTAATGCAACATGCATCATGCTGAATGTTTTTTCCTGTGACTTGCTTTCTTTCATTCAACCTGCTTTTGAGATTCATTCATGTTGATATATGTAATTGTAAATCATTCATTGTCTTGGCTAGTGGAATCCCACTGTTCGGTTATACAGGCCCTCAAGTCTTTTTTTTTTTTTTTTGAGATGGAGTCTTGCCCTGTTGCCAGGCTGGAGTGCAGTGGCACGATCTCAGCTTACTGCAACCTCCGCCTCCCAGGTTCAAGCGATGCTCCTGCCTCAGCCTCCCGAGTAGCTGGGACTACAGGTACATACCACCATGCCCAGCCAATTTTTGCATTGTTAGTAGAGAAGAGGTTTCACAAAGTTGGCCAGGATGGTCTCGATCTCCTGACCTCGTGATCTGTCCGCCTCGGCCTCCCAAAGTGCTGGGACTGTAGGCATGAGCCACCGCACCTGTCCATAGCCCTCAAGTCTTTAGTCCAAATTCCTGGGGCCAGATGTGTTTGCAAATACAGACTTTTTGCTTTTTTCCATAAAGGTAATAGGATATTTATTCCATCAATAACATGGCACTCCCAGTAGGGTCTGGAGAAGCATTTTCTGATTAAACACATGAATATTTCTCCTTAAAATATAGAAAATATTCACACTAAATGGAATAATAAAGACACTAAATAACCTCATGTTAGTTCATGTTGGGCTTTGCTGCCAAATGAGTTATAAAATCACTTTTAGCTTTCAGAGTTTAGGAACTGTGGGCCTATTTAATGATTATTTTTTCTATTCTGTCTTTGATGGAGATATTTGGTTGACTTCCAGTTTTTCATTATTACAAGTAATGTTACTAAAACCATCCATATATGGCTGCCTCCCTCTAGGAGACTCTTTGAAGACAGGGACTGGGTCTTATTCAGCTTGGTATCTTCATGGCCTAGCACCCAGCCTCAGTAAATATGTTTTGAATGAATTAATAATAGACACTTTTCCCTTCTTGAAAATTATGGAGCTCTATTTCAACCACAAAAATTAGTCTGAAGATAGAAGCTCAATTCACCTATACCTTTAAAAAACTACCACAATAAATCACATAAACAAAATCCCCAAGCAACTCTAGTGGAAATTACCTCTATTGTTCATTAGACAGATTACCCTCAGGTGTCTCTCTGTTAAAACAGTGAGGCCTTTCAAAGGACATTCTATTACTTTTTAAGTATAATATTAGTATAAATTAGGTACTGCCAACTCCCCTCCATACTCACCTTGGCTTCAGGGGCTATTTGAAGAGTCAAATACAAGACCAAGAGATGGGGAAGTGGGGAAGTAGCCTCTGAATTTATTGGACAAAATCCTACACTCCATCAATCACAGTCTCTACCTGTGATTCAGATGGCTCAAGAGCCCTTGCTGGATGCAGTTCCATTCCCACTCAGAGACCCAGTGAAGGAGACCAGCTACAAAAGCAAATGTCACATGGTCTTAGCTTTAGGGATAGGCATGGCATACCCTTTCTCATCCCTGGACACAGGCTTATTTTTCTCTTTGCAGGATTTGTTCTTAACATTTTTGCCTAAAGATTAAGAATATCTATCAATCTCTAAATAGAACATTGCCACCACTTTAAGGGTTTTTTAAAAAATAATTATACTAAGTCAAAAGAAAATGATAATGTCTGGGGCTGTAGCGAACTGGATGTTTCAAGTCGCTGAGAAGGTTGCATCACCATTCATTGGACATCATTTCATTCAACAAACACCCTGTATATTAAGGCTTTGCTGGTGCTGAAGATGTTAAAGGCAATTGGGACAAAGTCCCTGTTACAGTTAATTTTATGCGTCAACTTTTCTGGACCACAGTGCCCAGATGTTTGGTCAAACATTATTCTGGTTCTCTGAGAGTGTTTTTTGATGAGACTTACATTTACATCAGTGGACTTTGAGTAAAGTAGATTGTCCTCCATGATGTGGGTGAACACTATCCAATCAATTGAAAGCCTGACTAGAACAAAAGGCTGACCTCTCTAGTGAGAGGGTGTTCTGCCAGCGATGGCCTTTGGATTTGAGCTGCAACTCTTTTCTGAATCTCCAGCTTTCCAGCCTCCCACATCAGATATTGGACTCACTAAGCCTCTACAACTGTGTGAGCCAGTTCCTAAAGTGAATCACTGTACACACACACATTTATATATGTGTGTGTATGTATATACACACACACATTTATATATGTGTGTGTGTAACACATTTTGTTGGTTCTGTTTCTCTGGAGACTCTAATACGGTTCCTTTTCTCAAGTACCTCAGTGTCTCTTAAAACAGACATGCAAACAAGCCATTTTAATCCAGTGTGAAGACTGCTCTAAGGGTCATCTGTACAGGAGGAAGTGGCACAAAATAGAAATTCGGAGTGTGGCAATGGAAGAACATGCTCAGAAGTTAAGAAAAAGCAACAATATGCCTGTATGCACCAGTGGACAGGCTCTCCTTAGGAACAAGGACTGGAATGGGCCTCATTCTGCACTAGAATCCAGTGCAGAAAACAAGGCAAACAAACACTGAGGCAACACTCATATCAAACCCAGATGAAACTGGCCTGCTTTAGAGAATTTGAGAGCTGGAGGGAGCTTCAAGTACAGGAGTAGGCTTCTTGTAAACATCCATGACTAGGATAGCCTTCTCTAGGTGGCACTCCAGGGCTTAATCTCATTTTGAATATTTGTTAAAAAGCACCGACATTTAGTACACTTTCTCATTGTCTTGAATCCACTGGTGCTTGAAAGCAAGGGTTTATTCTTATAGCTATGATTACGTAATATAAATAAATGGGCTTAAAAAAGCAAGAACCAGTAGTCCATTAAGATACAGAGTCAGTAGAGAATTCTGCCCCATTTTCTGCAAGAAGTTTTGGAGAAAAACTAAAAATAGACACTGAGAATGAAATGATAGAAATGTGAATCAAAAAGTCACACCTCTAGGCTAGAGACTGATTCGGATTGGAAGAAGATACCCTTAACCTAATTGTGATGCAGTAACTGTAATTAGGTTAAGGGAAATGTAGAGTGTTAACATTTCAACCGCACCTAGATCTATATCAGTTTTCCAAATGGAGATGTTGGGTAGAGAGTGGGCATTGCTTTGAGAGTCTTATCCATCATAAGGATAGGTGACAGCATGGTGTGGAGGCTGGAAGGAGTATTTGTCTTAGTTTGGACCCTTTTGAGCTCCTTTCCCACCACTCAGGTGCCTGTTAGCTCCCCCAAATCCTCATATTTACCTCCTGTCCAAGGGCTCTCCCTGTGCTGAGCTCTTTGTCTTGCTTGGCTTTCATCCATGGCCTACGGCAACAGTTGCCCATCAACTCCAGCAACACTCCTAGAAACCTGTCTCAGATCCAATACCTACACTCTGACAGAAGCAATTTTTAATGACATTTCAAAGTAAATCGAATGGAGCTTGTAACAGCAACATTACATTATTATACCTTGTGTAGTCATGTTTTCAGAGCCTGTGGTATATGGAAAGGCCTTTGCTTGGTAAACTACATCCAATCAAAAATGTCAAGATGTCAAAAAGAAAATTCAATTTGCCTTCAACATTCAGTGAAAATGGCATCTATCATGCCTACAACACATGTATGGAAGTTCAAACTGCACAGAGTTTACGCTGATCTCAGAGTGTCCACATATGTGTGTATGTGTGCATGTGTGTGTTGGTGAGGTCGAAAATAACTCTGGTATGTCACCACCAACCTCTTCTCATCAAGGCATCATATGTTAGGATAAAGTATTGGCAACACAGTACGAGTTTGTTTTATCTATGTGACAATTAAGACTTGATGACAGAGAGTTTTGCAACTAACTGGCTGTTTGCTCTTACGTCACTTAATCTCTTGGAGCTTCCAGGTCCTCATCTTTAAAGTGGGATACAGGAATTGCCTACCTCACATGGTTTTTGCGGGGATGAAAAAGATAACGCTTGTGACAGTGCCTAGTCTAGCATTCAAAGATCATCATAATTGGGTCATTGATGCCCTCATCTTGTCTTGTGCTCTTCCCCTAAGCAACCCCTTTGCTCCATCCAAGCTGGTGGGCCATAACACCTCCCACCTGCCATGCTGTTGCTCACTTTGTTTTCTCTTCCTAGGATGCTCTTGTTTTTTCTGAATGTACGAGGAATATGAACATTTCCAAACCCAGCTTGAATCTATAGTCTTCATGAAGCCTTCTTGAACTATGTTAACTTTGATGATTGCTCTTCTTTTGAACTCATATGAACTTCTGTAAAACCTTAAGTACTTAAGTATTTAACACAAGCCTCTTGGACTGCTTCACATTTTATGTGTGTGACAAAGATGATAATATTTTCAAAGTAACTCCTGTTGCATTTTTACCTGTTATGAATTCTGTTTCTTTTCCCCTAGTGTTTTCTCTAATAGGACTAGACTAAGAGGTTGAAACGAGGGGAGAAGGCTATAACATAACATGAGGAGTGTCCCTTCTGGGAGGTAAGAGGAAATTTGGAAGACCTTCTGGTACTGGGTGGAAGAGGTGAGAGAGAAGAAGGGAGGCAAAGTTCAGATGCAAGTCACCTTCTATATAGTGTCCTCCAGTTTCTCTTTAAGATAAACTTGTGTGAGTGTGGCCAGCAGAAGTGATGCTGAGGCAGAGGGCAGAGCAGGCCATCCATACTGGCAACCTCAACACGGCTGCAGAGGCCTCAGAGGTCCAGTAGTTCCAATGAGAGCCAGGGTGGGGCTAACCCAGTGAGCAAGACATCAGTCTTCAATGTCAATGGGAGAAAGGCCCATATGGAGCATAGAGAAAGAACAGGGCTCACAAACATGCTAAGGAAAGGGCTGGATATCTCAGAGTAAATATTTGCTGAGGGAGTTCTATTTGAATATCCTTTTCTAGAGCTTCAGGTGAAATAACAGTGATCAACATAAAATAATCTCCAATGGTTGAGTTTCAGCTCTCACAAGTCTTGGGCCTTGGGTGTGTGTGGTTTTACACAGTGCTCCTTAAATTTTCTCCCCACAGGCTCACCTGAATATGGTGACCTAGAAGTCTCTGTTAAACCAGTGAATATTTCTGAACACTCATCCAGGAGATTTTCTATTTGACAGGCTTCATTTATGTGAATAGCTGTGCCATGCTAAAGAATTGAAGGATGATAAAGAATACTGTTGGGAAAAATATTCACAAACTATGCATCTGACAAAGGTCTAATATCCAGAATCTGATAGGAACTTAAACAAATCAACAAGCAAAAACCAAACAACCCCATTAAAAAAAGACATTAACAGCCATTTCTCAAAAGACAGTCAAGCAGCCAAATAAACATATGAAAAGATGGCAACATCACTAATCATCAGAGACATGCAAATCAAAACCACAATGAGATACCATCTCACACCAGCCAGAATGACTATTACTAAGAAGTCAAAAAAATAACAGATGCTGGTAAGGCTATGGAGAAAAGAGAATACGTATACACTGTTGGTGGGAATGCAAACTAGTTCAGCCACTGTGGAAAGCAGTTTGGAGATTTCTCAAAGAACTAAAACAGAACAACCATTCAACTACTGTGCACTAGTATGCAGCTCCAGGGCCACATGATAACTTCTGGATCCCCTTGGGAACAGATCACAGGGAACTAAGGCTCATCTATTAGGTACCTCCATCTGCCATTCTATCCTACTACCTCTGCAGTGTCACTATTGAGTATCTGCCCAAAGGAAAATAATTCATTCTATCGAAAAGACACATGCACTCATATGTTCATTGCAGCACTATTCATGATAGCGAAGACGTAGAACCAATCTAGGTGCTCATCAACAATGAATTAGATAAGGAAATATTGTACATATACACCATGGAATACTATGCAGCCACAGAAGAGAACAGAATCATTTCCTTTGCAGCAACATGGATGGAGCTGGAGGATGTTATCCTAAGTGAATTAATGCAAGAGCACATGTTCTCACTTACAAATGGGAGCTAAACATTGAATACACATAGACATAAAGATGGGAACAATAGACACTGGGGACTTCTAGACTGGGGAGGGAGGGAGGAAGGAGTGGGCTGAAAAACCACCTATTGGGTGCTATGGTCACTACCTGGGTGACAGAATCATTTTTACCCCAAACCTCAGCATCATGCAATATATCCATGTAACAAACCTGGATATATTTAAATATTTAAATTATTTAGCAAAAACAAGTTAAAAAAAGAATACTGTTGGGGCTCAGACTATGATATCCCAAAGTATGGCACGTCGGCTTACTGAGTATTTTAAACTGAAGGGAATTGAGAAAACTGCAGAAACACAAAGGTCACTCTATGACCTTCTCCTACCTTTCTCCCCTGAAAACCCTCATGTAACAGGTGTCTCTCCTATACTCAGAGGAAAGAAATGTCGCACAGAGACTCCAAGAAGAATCTGAACAAACTGGCCTTGCTAAGTTTCCCGTAGTTTATTAGTATTAGATTCTCTTTAAGTTTCCCTTTATTCTCCAATTGTACTTTTGCCCAACTGTCCATAAAAATAGTTTTCCCTGGGTTGTTGGTTCCTTGTCACTTAAAACTTTCACTAAACAATTTTGTTATCCTTTTCTCTTGTTAATCTGTCTTTGTTATAGGGGTGTCAGCAATGAACCTTGTGATGGGTGAGGAAGAGATACTACTTTTTCTCCCCTGTGATGTCAACCTTTGAAAATCCTGGTTGGTGGCAGGGGTGGGGGAGAATGTGTAAGAAATGAAACTGACATTCTTTGGATGAGTTTTTTTAAGCATAAGAATACTATAAAATTATGTTCTGAATAGCTCATTTATTTTGTAGGTGCTCCACTCTGATGATAAGGAAGCTCTAGTGCTGAGGACACTTAGCGATTTCATGAAATGGCTGTAACAGTAGTAAAGTGATATGGGACTTACTTTCATAAACACAGAGGGCAGAGAAGGAAGGATCTGGAAACCTGGGGGAAGAGGGGTAAAAATGAAAAGAATGGAGACCATAGAGAGGCTCCTCCTAATATTTATGTTGTGGGGCAGATTCTGATATCATTTTTTTTCTGATATAATTTGATCTTTTTCTTCTACTTCCATTCTTAATCAACTCTCATATCATTCCCCCCATACCTCTATTTTTAGGTTTGTATCTACTCTTAATTTTTGTATTTCTGGATCACGGTGTTTTCCATATCCCCAAATACTTGTTTGAGTATATTTCATACAGCTTAGAGTTTTGTGTTACGGGTTTCTTCAGTTTTATAGTTGGTTTTTGGAGAAAGTTTTCAACACAGTAATGCTTTGACTTGTGTTTTGTGATTTTTTAAATAGTTTTATGTGGTTGTGGTTTGCTTTCTATCTATGCCAAATCATTTCATGAACAGCGATCCTAGTTTGAGAACATTCTCTTACGTCTTATGTCAATTATGCCTTCTATGCAGTTTCTTTTGTGGAAAAGGGA
Source organism: Homo sapiens (assembly GCF_000001405.40). Lineage (NCBI taxonomy): Eukaryota > Metazoa > Chordata > Mammalia > Primates > Hominidae > Homo > Homo sapiens. The sequence continues at coordinate 83,339,823 of NC_000011.10, forward strand.
AGGATTGGTAGGTCTTATTTCTCTTTTGTTTCTGTAGTATCCTTAATTTTTTCCTTTTATTTCCTTACCTACTTCTTATTGTCTTGTATTCAACTAATACTACCATTTTTCTTTGTACCTGCTGCTCCCCACAAAGTAACCATCTTGGGGCTGCCTCATCTGGTTTCACACTTTTTTTTAACTTTTATTTTAGGTGTGGGGGCACATGTGAAGGTTTTTTACATAGGTAAACATGTCCCTGGGGTTTATTGTACGTATTATTTCATCACCCAGGTATTAAGCCCACTACCCAATACTTATCTTTTCTGCTTCTCTCCCTCCTCCCATTCTCCCCCCTCCTCCTCAACTAGACCCCAGTGTCTATTGTTTCCTTCTTTGGGTTTTACACATTTTCAAGCCCCTTCCCTATAATTAGTGCCATAAGCTATCAAGGCCCAGCCTATATTCAGTATTTTGCCATTTGTTGTTGGACTGGCACTTTCTGGAAGTGCTTCTGTCTACATGTTATCCAAGTTCTTTGCTCCTCTCTATTCTTTTTCATGAAATCTCTTAAACCTCTCCCTCTTCACTCCTTGCCCTCACAGGTTTTCAATGGCAGAAGAACCACGGTAGTCCATTATAATTTTATTCCCCTTTACTTACAGATAACTTGAAGGTCATGATGTTCTGTTTTCTAGTTATGCTGACGACTCAAATCAGGTATGGTTTTATTCATTCTCATTGTCAATTTTGTTTTTTTGAGGGGCGGAGTGGGATTGGGAAGAGTGTAGGGGAGATTCAAATCAGACGGCTGCCATTGTTCTCCAAACCCAGAATATCCTGGGCAGAAGACTGCTCTGATTGAAAGCTAATTCAAAGAGAGTTATATATAAATATGTTCCCCAAGATCTGAGCTCCAAGTGTATGCCTGATTGGCCCTCAGTTCATTCCAGTGGTGAACTGAGTTCTGCTGTTTCAAGATGAAATGTTAGGTTTTTGTTTTCAAATGCTATACATTTCCCCTGTTCCACTTCTACCAAGCAAATAGTTCCCCCACTTGGCATTTATTTTCCTTTATCTTCTTTTAGGTGTGCCCTTGTTGAGCTCTCTTCAGATCCTTCCTTCCTAACTTCCTTCCTAAAACAATACAGTTGTCAAAAGCAGGTCATGATCTTTGTTCCTTCACTGATCTGATGCCAACCTTGAGGCTCGTGGACCCTACATCCTCACTGAAGACTGTTTGATGGCTGGGGTTTCTTTCTTTTTTTTTTTTTTTTTTTTTGAGACAGAGTCTCACTCTGTCACCCAGGCTGGAGTGCAGTGGCACCATCTCGGCTCACTGCAAGCTCTGCCTCCTGGGTTCACACCATTCTCCTCACTCAGCCTCCCAAGTAGCTGGGGCTACAGGTACCCACCACCATGCCTGGCTAATTTTTTGTATTTTTAGTAGAGATGGGGTTTCACTGTGTTAGCCAGGATGGTCTCGATCTCCTGACCTCGTGATCCACCCGCCTCGGCCTCCCAAAGTGCTGAGATTACAGGCGTGAGCCACCGTGCCTGGCCAATGGCTGGGGTTTCTTAATTAATGAATTATCACACTGATACAGAAACTTAAACTTACAGACTTGATTTGTGTTTAATTAATATAGACTTATTTGTTTGTCTGACCTGGAAATGCATTTTGTACATTTTTGACATATTCCCAAGGCCAAAGACAAGAGAAATGTAAAAATAATAATTTAGAATGAACAGCTTCCGATCACTGCAAACATAAATGATGGCTCTTGGCATTATTATTTACATTTCAATACAACCATTGCTGTAGGATACCCAGCACAATTAAGCCTCTAGGGACACATTCAACCAGCGCACACTTTTTGCATCAGAAAAATCGAATCAATATACAGTGAGTTTCTGTATTAACATGAAATTTAGGAGGCATTTATGCTAAGCTCAAAAATCTAATTAGTAGTTTCCTGTTTAGAGGATAGTGCCTGCTTATTACATTTTCAGTTCATCTGGATCTGTAATCAGTTCTCAGGCTTGTTTTCCATTCAAATGGTAACAGTTTACCTTTCATCCCCAACTCTCCACATAAGGACTCAGGAACCAAATGTACCAGAAACAAATGGCACTGAGGATTCAAAATGAGGACTTTAATTAAAATGCTTAGGTCCCTACTTTCACGTGCGTCTGTGTGAAGAGACCACCAAACAGGCTTTGAGCAACAAGGCTTGTTTATTTCACCTGGGTGCAGGTGGGCTGAGTCCGAAAAAAGTCAGCGAAGGGAGACAGGGGTGGGGCCATTTTATAGGATTTGGGTAGGTAAAGGAAAATTACAGTCAAAGGGGGGTTGTTCTCTGGCGGGCAGGTGTGGGGGTCACAAGGTGCTCAGTAGGGGAGCTTGTGAGCCAGGATGAGCCAGGAGAAGGAATTTCACAAGATAATGTCATCAGTTAAGGCAGGAGCAGGCCATTTTCACTTCTTTTGTGGTGGAATGTCATCAGTTAAAGCAGGAACTGGCCATCTGGATGTGTACGTGCAGGTCACAGGGGATATGATGGCTTAGCTTGGGCTCAGAGGCCTGACATTCCTGTCTTCTTATATTAATAAGAAAAATAAAATGAAATAGTGGTAAAATGTTGGGACGGCGAAAATTTTGGGGGGGAGTATGGAGAGATAATGGGCAATGTTTCTCAGGGCTGCTTCGAGCGGGATTAGGGGCAGCGTGGGAACCTAGAGTGGGAGAGATTAAGCTGAAGGAAGATTTTGTGGTAAGGGGTGATATTGTGGGGTTGTTAGAAGAAACATTTGTCATTTAGAATTATTGGTGACGGCCTGGATACGGTTTTGTATGAATTGAAAAACTAAGTGGAATAAGAGAAGGAGAAAAACAGGTATTAAAGGTCTAACAATTGGGAGGACCCAGGACATCTAATTAGAGAGTGCCTAAGGAGATTCAGCATAGTCCTGCCAGCAAAGATTATTTGTTTACTTTAAGAGTTAAGAGTGGCAGTTTGGGGATAGCACCAGGAGATATCAGCTGTGATGGCTTGGAGAAACAGCGTAAACCGGCAGTGTAAACAAGAGCAGGGCATGTATGAGTAGTTGAGAACAGCGAATAGGAGTATGACTAGACAGAAGATAGTAGGGATGACAAGTTATTTGGGGCACAGTACAAGTTGGTCTGGTGTCTGGAAAAGGTGGTGTGTAGCCCAGGAATAGTCAGGGAAGCAGATAATTTAGTTAAAGTGTCTCGGCCTAATAAGGGAACTAGGCAGGTGGGGATAACTAAAAAGGAGAGCTTAAAAGAGTATTGTCTAGGTTGGCACCAGAGTTGGGGAGTTTTAAGAGGTTTAGAAGCCTGGCCGTCAGTACCTACAACAGTTATGGAGGCAAGGGAAACAGGCGTTTGAAAAGAAGGTAATGTGGAGTGGGTTGCCTCCGTATTAAGAAGGGGACGGACTTACCTTCCACTGTGAGAGTTACCCAGAGTGTCTGTGATGGTCCTGTAGGCTTCCGAGGCAATCGGGCAGTCTCAGTCTTCAGCTGCTAAGCTGAGAAGATCTGGGAATGAGTCAGTCAGAGACCCTTGGGCCAGGGTTTCAGGGGCTCTGCGAGTGGCTGCCAGGTGAGTTGAACAGTCCGATTTTCAGTGGGATCCCACACAGATGGGACATGGCTTAGGAGGGATCCTGGGCTGTGGGCATTCCTTGGCCCAGTGGCCAGATTTCTGGCACTTGTAGCAAGCTCTTGCAGGAGGAGATTCTGGAGGAACCCCTTGCAGCTGCGGTTCAGGTGTTTGGAAGTTCTTGTGTGCTGGAGATGTGGCTGGAGTTTGTCTCACGGTGGAGGCAAGGAATTGCAACTCAGAAATATGTTGCTACCTGGCTGCCTTTACTCTATTATTGTACACCTTGAAGGTGAGGTTAATTAAGTCCTGTTGTGGGGTTTGAGGGCTGGAATTTAATTTTTGGAGATATATTTAATATTGGGAACAGATTGGGTAATAAAATAAAATGTGTATTGAGAATAAGATGGCCTTTTGACCTTTTAGGGTCTAGGGCTGTAAAGTATCTCAAGGTTGCTGCTAAAGGAGCCATAAACTGGGCTGGGTTTTTTATATTTGATGAAAAAGAGTCTAAACGCTGATTTGGGAGAGGTCGGGTATAGAAAAAGGAGCATTAACCTTGACTACGCCTTTAGCTCCAGCCACCTTTTTAAGAGGAAATTGCTGGGCAGGTGGGGGAGGGCTAGTCGAGGAAGGAAACTGTAAGCTGGACCGCGTGTGAGGAGGGGAGATGATAAAAGGATTATAGGATGGAGGAGCAGAGGCTGAGGAAGAATTGGAACCTAGCTCAGCCTGGCGAGGAGGGGAGAGGTCAGATGGGTCTGTAGAAAAGGAAGATTAGAAAGACTCAGCGACGCTTGGGGTTGGGACCGAGGGGGCAGGTGGGAGGGAAAGAAGGAAGATTTGGGATGAGTTGCATTGGGAACAGAGACTGGGGAGGGACCGATACGTAAAAGAATGCCTGGACATCAGGCACCTCAGACTGTTTGCCTATTTTATGACAAGAATTATCTAGATCTTGTAGGATGGAAAAATCAAAAGTGCCGTTTTCTGGCTATTTAGAGCCATTGTCAAGTTTGTATTGGGGCTAAGCGGTGTTGCAGAAGAAAATAAGATGCTTAGATTTTAGGTCAGGTGAGAGTTGAAGAGGTTTTAAGTTCTTAAGAACACAAGCTAAGGGAGAAGAAGGAGGAATGGAGGGTGAAGATTGCCTATAGTGAAGGAGGCAAGTTTAAAGAAAAGGGTAGAGACACGGAGAAGGGGGTGGGGAGCAGCCCTGGGGTGCAACGTGGGTGAGCAGCCAAAGCAAGCATCCCTGTAATTGACTTGGCACCAAGGAAACGTGGATGAATGATCAAGGCAGGCATCCCTGTGGAGATCAGACACCAATGGAATGTGGGTGAATAATCAGAGAGGCGTCCCCACAATGATTAAACACCAAGGGAAGGCCGCCTTCCCGAGTCCGTGACCGGCACCGGAGTTTTGGGTCCATGGATAAAATGTGTCTCCTTTTTCTCTACCAGAAAAGGAAAGGAATTGAAATTAAGAGAAGGGAGAGATTGAAGTGTGGCGCCAAGATTGAAAGGAGAAAGAGGTTGAGGGACGGAGAAAGAGGTTGAGGGATAGTGAGAGAGGTTGGAGAAGAGAGTAAAAAGAGGCCGCTTACCGGATTTGAAATTAGTGAGATGTTCCTTGGGCTGGTTGGTCTGAGGACCCGAGGTTGTAGGTGGATCTTTCTCATGGAGCAAAGAGCAGGAGGATGGGGGATTGATCTCCCAAGGGAGGTCCCCTGATCTGAGTCGTGGCACCAAATTTCACACGTGTTCGTGTGAAGAGACCACCAAACAGGCTTTGTGTGAGCAATAAAGCTTTTTAATCACCTGGGTGCAGGCAGGCTGAGTCCGAAAAGAGAGTCAGCAAAGGGAGATGGGGTGGGGCCGTTTTATAGGATTTAGGTAGGTAGTGGAAAATTACAGTCAAAGGGTTCTTTGACTGGCAGGGGTGGGGGTCACAAGGTGCTCATTGGGGGAGCTTTTGAGCCAGGATGAGCTAGGAGAAGGAATTTCACAAGGTAATGTCATCAGTTAAGGCAGGAACAGGCCATTTTCACTTCTTTTGTGATTCTTCAGTTACTTCGGGCCATCTGGATGTATATGTGCAGGTCACAGGGGATATGATGGCTTAGTTTGGGCTCAGAGGCCTGGCAATGATCATAGGTGTATTAGTCAGGGTCTCAAAAGGAACTACACCACATATTCATATTATAATTTTGGGAGGGTTTGCAAAGATGAGGGCAGGAGGAGTGAGGGGTACGTTGTAACGGCTGATGGTTAAATTTTCAGAAATTTTTGCAAACAAGTTGTTAAACATTACTAAAACGTAAATTTTTAAAGCAGAATTAAATAAGTTATATTAAAAATAAAGGTAATAAATATTCAAAACATCATTTCCTAATTACTGTTTACCTTCTACTATTATATATGTTCTTGGGGGTATTTAACTTCTATTATATCGCTATGGTAGGAACATTATATAACAGTATGATACTGTGCGTCTTTTCCCAACTTCATGCTCAACAACATGCCATTGATACCTTGAAATCAGCCAAGGTAGGAGTATTTACACCACAGAAATTGTCAAATTCTGCAACTCAGGGCTCCTTCTTCCAATCTTGCCCCCGGCCCCCAAGGAGACCCAGTTATTAGGTTGGTGCAAACGTAATTGAGGTTTTTGCCATTGAAAGTAATGACAAAGTAATATTAAGTAATATTAAAACATTTACCAGCAGGAGCAAGTTTAGGAAATCCACAGGGATCTTGCAATGCTCCAAGGCTGTTAGCACCTCCAGGTCCAAAAAGATGATAAGAGGGAGCAGTTATCAGACTCCGGAAGAAAAAGGTTATGAAGAAAAATCACTTCAACAGGCACTATGACCTCTTGGGTGAAGAAACATCACTAACCAGAAATGACCCTGGAAAAAGAGAACCAGGAGAGTAAATCTGACCTTACTCTCCTCTCTGCTTCTAGGACTTTACTTTCCCACCTCCCCTTCCAAGGTCAAACAAAACAGATGTTAGAGGAAAGAGGAGCTCATACAGTTCAGTTCCTGGAGCAGAGAGAAGGATGGAGAAGGGCTAGAGAGTAGGGCCTGAGGGACAGATGGAAGATATCTAGACTAACAAAGTAGTGCTGTATCTGGCACATAGTAGGAGCTCAGTTAATATTTTCTATTATTATGGTTTAATTCAATAAAAATTTATTAAATATTATGCCAAATACCTTTCTCTCAAGGAGTCCACAGTCCAGTGCAGAGGTGTATAAATAAATAAATTCCACATCAGTGTACAAGGTACTATTATTGTGTAGGAGGCCAAGCCGCAGACAAAACCCCTCAGACACTGAGTTAAAGAAGGAGGGGCTTTATTCAGCTGGGAGCTTTGGCAAGACTCACGTCTCCAACAACCGAGCTCCCTGAGTGAGCAATTCCTGTCCCTTTTAAGGACTCACACCTCTAAGGGGGTCCGTGTGAGAGGGTCGTGATCGGATTGAGCAAGCAGGGGGTACGTGACCGGGGGCTGCATGCACCGGTAATTAGAATGCAACAGAACAGGACAGGGATCTTCACAGTGCTTTTGTTCTGCAAATAACCAATTAGTTCTGGGGTCGATCTTTAACTACCAGGCCCAGGGTGTGGCGTCGGGCTGTCTGCTTGTGGATTTCATTTCTGCCTTTTAGTTTTTACTTCTTCTTTCTTTGGAGGCAGAAATTGGGCATAAGACAATATAAGGGGTGGTCTCCTCCCTTAAATGAAGAAAGATATGTCTGTTTTTCCCATTAGATGACAAATACCTATAAAGTAGAAACTATTAAAATGATCAATGAATATCTGCCTGTCAAATGAATGTATTTTTATTTCCCCTCAGTGCCCAACATTGTTTCTTGTAGAACCTTTAAAAGCTTGCCTTTAAGCTTCAGTAAGCAGGACCAGAGCAGCCTTTAGCCCATGGTAATTTTTCCCTACTACCAGGGCAAAAACCTTCACAGTACTTTGCTCAGTGTCCCATGAATTACAGTATTTTTCACTCAGACTCATGAGAGCTGAAACTATTTCAAGCTCTATGTGATCACCAAGGATTTTTCCCTCTATTCATTCAGTAGTTCTTATCCTGACCTCACTTAGTTTTATTAGTTTTCTTATACACATGTGCTGATCAGTATTCAGCTACAGACCCAAGAGGGATCCTCTCTAGCTCTCTGGACAGGTCTCTCCTCTAGCTTTCTTGTGACCTTCAAACTCTAACCACTTTGGCCTCCCTGGATTTCCCAACTCCATCTCCTCATCTCAGAAAGTATTCTGGTTCTGGCTTGGTTCTTCCTCCCTGCTTTCTGCTTGGAAACACTCTCCAGTCTGGGGCAATCACAAGGCTCATGTTATTTGTGTCCTCTTTCTCAGAGGAATCACTGTTGTACGTTTTCTGAGAAAACCATGTTTCTTATATTTTATCAAGTCCCTGCTACTTCTCTATTCCTGTAGAACAACTTGTACTGTTTATCTGCTTTCAGCCTTAACCAAATGCTGATTCTTCTTTTATCATATTTGACAATGTCTCTAATTTCACACATATCAAGGAGCCCTTGTGAATGGGACTAGTGCCCTTAGAAGAGTGACCCCAGAGTGATCCCTTGACCCTTCTGCCATCTGACAGCCATCCACAAGGAAACAGGTTCTCACCAGAAACCAAACCAGCTGACACCTTTATCTTGAACTACCTACCTCTAGAATTTTGAGAAATAAGTTTCTGCTGTCTACAAGCTACCTAGTCTATTCTATTCTGTTATAGCAGCCCCCAGTAGACTGAGGTCTATTTGGTTCCTAGAGAGGGCTTGCTTTCTGGCTTGTAGACAACTATCCTCTTGTGCTCACAAGAACCAACAACTGGGCATCCAACATAAAACGCCTCCAATACTAGGTTGTGAGTGCCCTGGCTGTGTAAAACTGATCTTTTCCTCTAGCCCTCCCTGTATATTGAGCCTACCAGAAACACAGCTGCATTCATGAAAGGAGGAAAGAAAGGAAGGAGAAGCTTCTTTTGTATGGTTTCTGAGCTGGAGTTAGGATATTAAAAAATGTTAAATTAGATGAGATTGTACAGCTTTGAAATAGAATGGGCAGGGCTTTCTAAAACCAGGGATCAACAAGGAGAGCTTTGGGATATATCTAAACATGAGTTGTTGAAAAAATATTTTATTCTTTACACATCAGGAGTCAGCTTATTTAATAACCTGGCTACATGTGTGCCCCTCCTTATGAAGCAGGAGTGCTGAGATCTGTGGTAGAGTATGGTAACGGGAGCAAAATGTTTAGGGTCAGACCAAACTGTATTCCGCCCAAGCTAGCACTTGATAGATGAGTGGCCTGAAAAAATACTGCATTGTTTTCTTATCTATACCATGGGAATAATAATCATCTCTACTCTATTTAATATGGATATTGTAAGAGTAAAATTTGATAAGATATGAAAGCCAGCATTTAAACTGTATGATCTAAAACTCATAATAAGATTTATACTGATATTCATGGTAACATTATTACACTGCTGAAAATGGGAAACAACCAAAATTGTGTGAAAATAGAAGCATGATTAAATAAACTGTAGCATATCTTACAACTGAATGTTCATTTCTGTACACACCACACACACACACGCAGACTTCCACCTTTTCTCTTCTGAATGCCCATTATGGTATGTATGCATTTGTCCCTTGACACCATTAATGAGTAGGATCACCAGGCAATAGAGAGTCATTCAGTTCCCAGAGAGAGGAGACTTACTGAATAAAATCAAAATATAGTTGCATTAGAGGCCTTTAAGACAGCTCAACTTACTACTGTTGTGTAAAAATGAAATATCTCATGAATCATGGAGACTTGCAACTGCCCCCAAATTCTAATTTTATACGAGCTATTTCTCTTCTAGAAATCATCAAACCATACACGGTGCTGACACTGAAAACATCTGTCTTTGATGTTTCACTTGGCCCGTTTTTTGAGTGTTTCTAAGAAGCAATCTGTCGGGTCAGTTCAGAGGGGTATAAATTCATTTTCTCATGACATAACCAGAAATACTTTCTGCACCGCCAGTCATCACATCCCATTTCTCTGTCACCATCTGTTGCATTGCCTAGCCCAGACTGCTTTCGTACCACAACCCTGTCAGCATTGGGCATACTCGTCAGTGCTATAAATACAGATTCTGATTGTTACTGTTTGGGGGAGAAGTCTACTCATGATAGGAAAGCCACGAAAGTGAGGTCATGGATCAAGCCATTATGAAGTCAGGGGTCTTATCTCCTAGCACTTTAATAGCCAGCAAATGCATCTGTTTCTGTAATCCAGCTAGTGGAGGATTAAGCTGTAAGTGCTGGGGACCCTGACCCTAACAATGTTATCTTTCTCCCAGAGCCTCTGATACCTTTAAAGTAGCCAATCCCAAACCTCACCTGCTTTTGAACTCTACTCATTGTCTTACTGGTAATGGGCTTCCCAGCCCCTCCTTATTTGCTAGTGTGACATTTGTAAAATGTAGTGGTTCACTTCTAGGAAAATGTGAAGAAACACTGTCCATGCTACTCAAAGTAATGTCAAAAATAACTCAAGTCTCTTACTTGCATGTAATTTTTTAAAATCCCCCTTTATTCTCTCCTATCCACTGCCCTCCCCTCTTACACCTGGTCCCTTTTATTTCCTTTAACCCTTCCCCCCAGTTCTTCTGGGCCCCCTCAGGACACACCTTGTTGAATTCTGCTCCCTCTCCCCTCCCTTTCATATTCTTCATAAGAAAGGCCAGAAACTGGTGTGGCAAGTATACCTCTGCTCCAGGACAGGGAAGATAAGTTGGGGGCTTTCCCACTTTAATGGATGCAGCTAATCCCACCAGCACCACAGAGTGATCAGAGCTCTGCTCCAGTGTAGTCAATAGGTAACGACAGCAGCCATTTTGAATAGCAGTCCCTAGTTCAGGAGGAACTATCTAACGAGAATGTTAGCGTTCTCCTTGGAGTTGCTGGTTGAGATCTATGGTCTTAGGTTGCCCATAAAGAGAGACTCCATCTCCCCATCCTTCTCTGGCTGTGATCCAGGAGGGCAGACAAAGGGTTGTAGGAAGAATGGGAGGCAGCAGAGGCTTCTGTCAGGCCAGGACTTTCTAGCAAAGCCTTGCAGGATGGTTCTTTCAGTGATAACTTGCTTCTAGCAGATTGTGTCCATTGTGTTAAACCTAACAAGTCTCTTTTGTTTTTTGTATTTCCCATCTGAAGACAAGTTTTAATTTTATTTCTGAAAACCATAAAGTAGTATGACGAACATATCTAATCAAAGATGATACAGCATTTTTTTTTGAAATGGAGTCTTGCTCTGTCGGTCAGGCTGGAGTGCAGTGGTGCGATCTCTTCTCACTGCAACCTCTGCCTCCCAGGTTCAAGTGGCCCTCCAAATGGCTGAGACAAAATTGCCTATGTGGCCATTTAAAATGGTGTCTTTGAAGAACATTGAATGACATGAGGGAAATGCTCACAAAAAAATAAACAGGTTACCAATTGCATAAAGTGTTACAGCATAATCCTGCTTGCTTAAAGAGAAAAGACATGCACCTGGAAAAAAATGTTAGCCACTGTTTATCTCCAGAGCTGTATGATTTTTTTACTTTTATTTATTCCTTTATATATTTCCAAGGGTATTATTGTTTTAAGCAAAAGTTAAAAAAATAGGTAAAACATACCCCTGAGAATGAGCAGCTCTCCAGTGGCCCACAGGTGCTCAAGGAGATGGCCATTCAAGCTCCCCTGTGCCCTGCACTGCTCCCAGACTCCCCAGCTCACCATCATGCCCACCCTCATCTCTGACTAGCACCTATTCCCAAGGCCTTAACTCGGCCTACAGCCTGAACTTTCGGGGAGACATAGATAAGGAGGATGGTTGAGCAGCAGCTATGCAGAGAGCAAGGAAAGGGAAAGGAGAAAAGGGGGCAGCTGCACTCGTTTAGGTAGAAACTGACAGCAAGATGTTCTGGGTCACATCCGCTTCTGTAGGAGGTAGAATAAAGCATCTGTAGAAGCCTCTTTAGACATAAACTCAAGGGCATTGCGGCACAAAGCTAAATTTGGCTGCTGCATTTCCATGGGAACAAACATAGTTCTAATCTTAATGCCTTGTTTTTTAATGAAGGGCAATTTGTGGGCAATATGGTCATCTTCAATAAGCCTGTAAACGTTTGCAGAAATCAAGGCTGGTAGCCAAGAGACCTTGGTGAACACACCCAAGTGTGGAGTCTGGGTCTTTAGTCTTGCAAGCTTAGAGCCCAGTTTTGTCAGCTCACCAAATAGCTTCATCTCTCAGGTATGCACTCATCCAAATAAGCTCATAAGAGACTGATAACATGAATGCAAATTCAATCATTGAAAAATCAAAATTATGTTAAGTATAGAAGTACCATATAATCCAGCAATTCCACTCTTAGCCTGTTCTACTCAGTAGCCTATTGTCTGGATGTACCACATTTTTAGACAATAAAAAGAATGATACATTGTTCAACATAGATGAAACTTGAAACTTTTAGGCTAAGTGAAAGAAGCCAGACACAAAAGGCCATACGTTGTATGATGCCATTTATGTGAAGTGTCCAGAATAGGCAAATTCATAGAGACAGAAAGTAGACCAGTGGTTGTTAGAGGTTTTGGGGAAGAAGGAGTTGGGAGAAACTACTAACCATTACAGGGTTTCTTTTCAGCATGATGGAAATGTTCTGGAATTAGATAATGGTGGTGGTTACATAAACTTGTCAATAAGCTAATGAATTGTACACTTTAAAAAGGGAAATGTTATGGCCAGGTGCGGTGGCTCACGCCTGTAATCCCAGCACTTTGGGAGGCCGAGGTGGGCGGATCACGAGGTCAGGAGATTGAGACCATCCTGGCTAACACAGTGAAACCCCATCTCTACTAAAAATACAAAAAAAATTAGCTGGGTGGCGGGTGCCTGTAGTCCCAGCTGCTCGGGAGGCTGAGGCAGGAGAATGGTGTGAACCCGGGAGGTGGAGCTTGCAGTGAGCCGAGATTGCGCCACTGCACTGCAGCCTGGGCGACAGAGCAAGACTCCATCTCAAAAAAAAAAAAAGGGAAATTTTATGTTATGTAAAATTTTATATATGTTTTATGTCAATTTTTTTAAAAAAATAGAAGAATGGCTGCTTAGAGAGCAAACTCGTCTGATCAGCTCACCCCCCAGGCCCTCATATGAGAAATAAATCATAACCAGAATATTTGAGAAGCACGGATTTTGAGCAAGGGGGGATTTGTATGAATTTAGTGCATTGTAGTAATGATCTGTCCCTTGGTGTGGTCCTGCCCACCACACAAACAGAACCACCTGGTTGGTACATAAGGTGCCCATGCATCTCTTGCTTCCTCTCTCGCCATGTGACGTGCTGGCTCCCCTTTGTCCTCCACCATGTTTGTTAGCTTCCTGAGGCCTCACCAGAAGCAGATGCTGGCACCATGCTTCTTGTATAGCCTGCAGAACCATGAGCCAAAATAAACCTCTTTTCTTTATAAATTACTCACTCTCAGGTATTCTTTCATAGCAATGCAAACAGACTAACACAGATATAGAATGCTCTAGTGATGTGGCTACACAGGCAGTTTTCTTTCCATAGTAATGGATCTGTCTTTTCAATATAGTTGTGCTTTCAAACACAGGTCTCTGACCTAAGTAGAGGCATCAGCAGCCTCTAAGAGGCTAAGCCAAGGCCAGACAAGTGTGACATTCTGCATTAGATGTTATTTCCCATTTTGTACAACCCATCTTCTCATTTTTCTTTCCTTCTTTTAAAAACTTTAATACTTATGGAAATCATATCTGTCAATTTAGATGCCTCTCTTACAAAGAACTTTCATATGAATTTGGTTTGTATCATCTCTGCTTAATTCATCATTCTCACACTCTCTCTGCACTCCCACCTTGCCACATCTTTATCTTCTCGAATTCATCTGTGCCTCTCTCACCAAAGGATGTTTGCAGAATTAACTGCAAACATTATATAGCATTTCAAGGCTCTGAATGGTTTCACTTTTTTTCTTACCAATTAAGGAAATAAATTTATTAAACTATAAGAAAAAATAGTTTGAAAAAAATCCTTCCCTTTTAAATATTGATGAAAACTTCTCAAGAGTCTTACTTAACATTGCCACCACAGCCAATTGCAAGTAGAGCTGAAAAAATGTTCAACTGTGTCATTTTTCCCTCACCCACTTCTATGCCTTCCTTTCCATCTTTTTTAGTTGTTGGTAAGTTAGAAAATTTTATGTTGCCCAAAAAATTCCCACAGCCATTTTGAAGTAGTCAGGGTGCCATTTTAGTCTAGTTGCAGAAAATTAAAACATCATATATATCTTATAGTTGAATCCTTGCCTGTGTTAAAATATTTTCTACCATCTTTTCTCAATTCAGAACCAACTTGTATCACCATAACAACTTATATCCTATAATAAGCAGAATCATTAGAGGAATGACAGGAGAGGCTAGGTTGCTATTTGTCTTTGGGGGAGGAGAGGGATATCAGTAAAATATGTATCTCCTCATTTCATAATCTATGTCCTACTAAGTTAGGCTCAGAAATTTTAGAACCATTTTCCTACTTCAACTCCCAGTTAGTACCATGACCCTTTATTATCAAATGTTCCTCTTTCAATCACCCAACATCTCTGTGTCAAAGATCATAGAAGTGGTGAGGATTTCTTGTTTTAATCAACACAGCCTTCCCTGCTACTCTTTACTCCACTCTGACGACAACCTGAACATTTTCTGTGTTCTACTTCATTGTATCCTAACATTCATTTGTTTTACTTAATTACCTCTCCTCCTAGACTGCAGTATTCATGAGGGATGGAACTATGTCTTATTTATTGTTTTAGTTCTTACTCCTAGAACAGAGGAGGAGTTCAGTAAATAACTATTACATGGAACAAAAGAATTACTGGATTTAGAAGGTGTAGATTCCAAGAACGTCAGAGGTAACTCAAGTTTAAAAATACTTGTGAACTGGCCACATCATTTGTAGAACATAGGCAAAGAGTAACTGTGCAGTAACTGTATAACTGGCCCAAGCAATTCAAGGCCATAATGCAGCAACTCCAGTCATTTTTTCCTAAACTTTCTTATTAAAAAATTCATACCTAAAGAAAAGTTACCCAAAAAGTGTTATAATGAACATGGGTATACTAATCAGGTAAATAACAAAATGTTGACAGTTGTTAGTATTTAGCCACATTTGCTTTATCTCTGTAAAGACATGTAGGTGTTTTAAAATAACTGTCGTGTTTAATTAAAAAGACAGTCTTCTTAGAAAGCACATCTATTAAAGTGTTGTTCCATTGCTCACGGAATGGAGATCCCTCATGGAGGCTTTCAAGGCCTTTGTGATCTGAATCATATTAGCTTCTCGTGTATCTGTTGCTGCTCTTCCACTTCATACACTTCTCCAGTAAGGCTGGACTGCTTTAAATTCTAGGATCAGCAACCAGTTTTCTCTCTCCTCCCTTTGGGTCTTTGTGCATGCTATTCCATTTGCCTCATATACTCTAACTCCATCTCTCTTTATCTGGCTTGTTCCTTCTTCAGTTCTTAACTTAAATATCTTCTCCCTCCTCCAGGAAGTATTTCTGACACCCTCAGGCTGTTTAGGAGCACCCCACAAGCTGCTTCCCCTGTACCCTTATCAGAGCTTTTAAAACGTGGCACAATCCCCTCTCCCCCTACCTAGTCCTGACCTAGATGATAAGGACCATATGCCTTTATCTCTGCATCTTTCATACCATGCCAGGGCTTTCCACATAGTAAGTGTTCAATGAATATTTGTTGAAATGATAAATTCACGAAGAGGTCCTAGACTAGGTTGGCATTATAGGATCCGAGAAACTGGATGCCCTTGGCAAATTCCTTTTTTGGCCTTAGTTTTCCCATTTGTACTTGATGACCTTTAAGGTTCTTTCTAGCCCTCAAACTTCATTATTCTATAGTGTAGAAGGAAAAGCTTCTAGAGCCACGAAATACCAAGCAGTTTCTATGGCAACCCCAAAGTTCTGTTGGCTCAGACTTGCAGAATGTCAGCCTGAATGCACCAGACTAGGAGATCCCAGAGGCCCTTCCTTCTCCCAGAGGCCACCCAGAGGCACATTATATGATTGGTCCTCTCCTCCTCTTAGCTGGCTCCTCCATCCCAGGCCTATTCCTGAGACTCCCAAAGATTTAACAAGTGGTTGCTATAGAAACAGCATTACTCCTAGACATTTTTATCTCTGTGTGCCAACTACTCCTGAATATGCAGGTTAACACCTGGTGAATCCAGGACAGGCTTCTAATAAAAGCTGACTTAATGTGTGGGGAACCAGGAAATAACAGTAAGTATAACATATGGCATTTGTAGTGGGTTTCACTTAATACCCGCTCATCTGATTCTCATGTCAATGGGGGGAAGTGATTACTAGTATCCCTATTTCATAGATGAGAAACTGAAACTCAGCTCAGAGAATTTAAGAGGCTTTCCTGTAGTTACAAAGTTAGAGTGGGATTGTTACGGAGGCAGTGATTCAAAGCCAAGTCTGATTTTAAAACCTGTGTTCTTAACCACTAGTAGTTACTGCCTCATAATTCAAGCAGATATCAGTAAGATCTTAGTGCTATAAGCTTGGAGAAAATGAGATTCCAGGAGCTAATCAGGTATCAGGGCCTCACCAGCATTCCAACCTCCCAAATCTGAAAGATAATTTCTGACTGACTGGAGCTGGTGCTAATGCCCTATTGGATAGGTAAGGCAGAACTGCAGGATGCACCAGGCACTAGCAGAATTCAAGGTCATAGGGTTCTTTTGTGGACAGCTACACCCTCCTAAAGTCCTACCCTCTCACCTTTAGTTCATTGAATTGTCACAAAAGACCCATGAGAGGCAGGGCAAGGGTTATACCCATTTTTATAGATGACATTGAGGCTCAAAAAGTGACTTGCCTAAAGCTAAGTAGCAGTAAGTGGCTAAAGAGTTTGTTCTAGATATTCTGACTGTAATTCAATGCCCCAAGCACTAAAATTTTAACCATCTTTAGTCACAGAAGGCATGGCTAGCATAGATGTTACATGAATAATGGTTACCCATTTATTGAGACCTGTGTGTCTAAGAGGCTGGAAAGTTAAGGGACTCTCCTAAGATTAAATATTCTCTCCCATCCTCACAACAGCCTGTGGAGTAGATACTACTGTTCCCATTTTGCAACGTTGCCTCACGCCTGTAATCCCAGCACTTTGGGAGGCTGAGGCAGGTGGATCACGAGGTCAGGAGTTCAAGACCAGCCTGGCCAACATGGTGAAACCCCATCTCTACTAAGAAATACAAAAATTAGCCGGGTATGATGGCAGGCGCCTGTAATCCCAGCTACTCGGGAGGCTCAGGCAAGAGAATCACTTGAACCCCGGAAGTGGAGGTTGCAGCGAGCTGAAATTGCACCATGGCACTCCAGCCTGGGTGACACAGCAAGACTCCATCTTGGGAAAAAACAAGAAATGAAAAGAAACTGAATTCAGACAAGTTAAGGGACTTACCAAAATGATACAGTAAGTAACTGAGAGAAGCTGAATTTCAACTCAGACATGTCTGATTCTAAAGCCCAAGTGTTATTTCAGTTAATGTTTATAATATCCTCTACAAGAAAAGTAGACCTGGAAAGAATAGCAACAATTTAGTTACTCTTTACCTTGCTCACACCCTGATAGATTCCTCAGCTTAGTATGCTCTCACTTACCAAATCCAAACCCTCCCATCTGCATCAGCCTGCTGGCTGTGTGTGATGCAAAATAATAACAGCTTAAAGATTGGACATTGTTTTTCTTTGACCTAAGAAACTCCCAGTGGTAGGTAGCCCAGGGCTGGCATGGTAATTTCAGAATGATCAGAATCTCAGGCCCCAACTAGCTCTCTTCTCTGTCATCCTTATGGTGTGGACTTCATCAGTTGAGATATCATCAATCCCATAGGATCATTGTAAGAAATGAAGGAGAAATAGAGTGACTAATATTTAATGAACACTTATTGTGCAACCCAGTCACACCTAGCTGCTTCACCTAGCTGCAAGAGAGGCTGGTAAACACATTCAACAGGACCTTTTCTTACTGAGGAGGAAGGGAAGAATGGCTGACAGAGCAAGGAACTAACAGTGCTAAGCACACCATTCTTCAAGGCCTAGCATTAGTTCCATCTCTCCCTTGAAGCCCTCCCGACCATCAAAGCTCAACGTGTGCTTGCTCTTCTCTCAACTCATATCACATTTATCAATATGGCTTTTAGCATGTACTGTATTAGCTTCTGAATTATTTGTGTATCAGATATTACAGGCATGATAGATAATAGGGAGCCAGATAGATGTATCTGGATATGGATACAGACATAGATATGAACATAAATAGATCTAGATGTAGGGGCAAATAAAGATAAAAACAAGCTTTCAGATCAGTAGCACAGTGATTCTAAAAAAGTACAGACTCTGGAGTCAAACACATCCAAGTTCAAGTCCTATCTTTACCCTTAATGTCTGTGCAAACTTGTGGATTAATTAACCTAAGCCTCCATTTCCTAATCTGTGAAATGAAAGATCACAACTGTTACCTCCCGGATAGGGCTCTTGTGATGGCTAAATAAGATAATGCACGTGAAGAACAGAACACTATTTCAGGAATATAGTAAGTGTTCATTAAATATTAGCCACTCTATTTCTCTTGCATTTCTTACAATAATCTTATGAGATAGATGATATTATCCCTACTTTAAAAACAAGAAAGCGAGGCTCAGGAAAGTTTAAAAATCTGCTTAAGGTAACAATGCTAGTGGTGGTACTACTGAGACATGAACCCAAATCAAACCTCAAATCCTCAGCTCTTAATTCAAGACCCTGTCTTCTGTCTCTTCTTACCCTTGCCATATCTAATACTTAGTAGGCTTTCTGTAATTGTCTGCTGTAACAGATTCAAATGAATCAGCTGTCTTTCTGTCTTTTGCTTTAAGGCCTTCTAAGCTGTTATCTCTACTGCACATTGAAATACAGGAGAGAAAATATTTTTAATTTTCAGGATAAGGATCAATTTCATATTAAATCCATATAGGGTGGAAAATATGATTGGATTTTATATAGAAAGAAATTAGCTCAGGGTGGCCTTTTTGACTAGGAGAAAAAAATACAGAAAATTAGATGCATCTAAGTCAAACATTGAGCTGTTCTCCCTTGGAGATGAAATTTAGCCTTCCAGCTGCCTACTTCATTTGCTCCAGGTACAAAATAATTTGAGTCTTTTTCTTACTAAAAATCAAGATATTTTCTTTCTTTCT
Organism: Homo sapiens; assembly: GCF_000001405.40. NCBI lineage: Eukaryota > Metazoa > Chordata > Mammalia > Primates > Hominidae > Homo > Homo sapiens. Next base: position 83,358,795 of record NC_000011.10, read on the forward strand.
TTCTTTTTTTTGAGACAGAGTCTCGCTTTGTCGCCCAGGCTGGAGTGCAGTGGTGCGATCTCGGCTCACTGCAAGCTCCGCCTCCTGGGTTCACACCATTCTCCTGCCTCAACCTCCCGAGTGGCTGGGACTACAGGCGCCTGCCACCACGCCTGGCTAATTTTTTGTATTTTTAGTAGAGAGAGGTTTCACCATGTTAGCCAGGATGGTCTCAATCTCCTTACCTTGTGATCTGCCTTTCTCAGCCTCCCAAAGTGCTGGGATTACAGGCATGAGCCACCATGCCCAGCCGGACTCAAGATATTTTCATAAGCAATAACTCAATTTTGAGAGATAATTATCCTTGGGGAGGGAGGATTAGGTACATCCACATATATTTCTAAAAATTGAGATATGCTCAGTCCATTGTAACTGATAACAGGAGCGGGAGGGCACTCCTACTGCACATGCTGAGCTGTGATAGACAACAGATTCAATTTCCTTTGCAATCCTCTAAGTTGGGTCCTTTACAGTGGTGCAGCATGAAGAGTCTTGGGCTCAGCATCAAAACTGGGCTGTGCGGGAGGCGGAGCTTGCAGTGAGCCAAGATAGCGCCACTGCATTCCAGCCTGGGCAACAGAGCGAGACTCCGTCTCAAAAACAAAAACAAAAACAAAAACAAAACACACAACTGGGCTGTGGTTCCAGAGTTGGGTATACAACTTGCCCATTTTGTGTTTCAGTGTCAGCTTCAATAAAATGAAGGGAGTTGGACTATCTGACTGTTTAGATCTCTTCTAGCTGAAACAATATTTTCTAAATCTAAAATTCTGGACATTTGCAAAGGATTAAGTAAAGCATATTAAATGTTACAGGTCTCATTCTATTTGTTTTATCTGCTGAATTTGTTTTTTTTATAAGGCATCTTTTTGCTTTCACTTTTTTCCCTTCTTTGAGGGGGTGTTCTTAGAGTTCGTACTCTGCAGAATATTACATGTTGTTGACTTGCTGATTAATCTTTTAAAAAAAATTTAACATCTATATGGTGTTTTACACACTCCAAAGCAATTTCACTGTCATTATCTCACTCAGTGTTCACAATTAACCCCTGACTGGAATGATATTATTGATGCAATGGAAAATGAGTGGGTTTGGGAGTCAAAGATCCTGAGGCCAAATTCCAGTTCAACCCTTGTAAGTTAACGGAACTTGGGAAAGTTCCTTAACTTTGCTGAACCCTCCAATTTCCTCATCTTGAAAACCAGGAAGATGGTAACAATAAAATGGGTTTTTAGGTAAAGCACTTAGCAGCCTAATAGCTCAGCTTTTCCTTTAGCTTAGAAGAAAACTGGGAGGCCAGAAAGGTAAAGGACTCTCCTAGGTTAACAGCTGCTTGGGACAATCAAACTAGAGGAAGATAAGAGGTGAATCAAATTTAATACACCTGCAAAAACTGCATTTTGTTGATATGGTTTGGCTGTGGCGCCACTCAAAGCTCATCTTGAATTGTAGTTCCCATAATCCCCATGTGTTGTGGAAGGGACCAAATGGGAGGTAATTTAATCATAGGGGCAGCTACCCTCATGTTGTTCTCATAATGGTGACTGAGTTCTTACAAGTTCTGGTAGTTTCATAAGGGGCTTTTCCCCTTTTGCTCCTTCTCCTTTCTGCTATCACATTTGCTTGCCCTTCAGCCATGAAGTTTTCTGAGGCCTCCCCAGCCCTGCAGAACTGTGAGTCAATTAAAACTCTTTCCTTTATGAATTATCCAGTCTCGGGCAGTTCTTTATAGCAGCAAGGGAATAGACTAATACATTTGGTTTTCTCATACTTTTGTGTGAAAAATAAGGAACGGGTGCATTTAATAACTGGAAAGGGACTGTGGAGAGTGCTAGTTTGTGTAGGGAGCTCAGGAATTCTGAAACTTCTGGGTGGCCCTATCATTCATCCTTGCATCTAGTGAGCACTGAAAGCGCATATACTGTTTGCAAAAAGATCTGCTAGACCTCCAGGAATAATTAAAAAAAAAAAAAAAAAGGTGGGAGGGATCTGGAAGTTATAGCAAGGCCCTGAAGGCACAAGATTTTTCTTTTCTCTGTACTTTGCTGAGGTGAGGGAGTCCATCAGGCTAATGGTAGATGCTGGGTAGATTCTTAAGTCATTGGTTTATTCAGAAACTATGTTGGATACTATAGGCACCAGTTCTTGTCCTCCTCAAGTTGCTGATGGTCTAGAGCGGACAAGGCAATGACCCAGGAAAGACATGAATGCTCAAACAGAGGGATAAGAAGGGTGTTAACAAAAAAACCATGAGCTCTCTGGAGAAAAAGGGGAGAGCTGTATTTTCTTTTCTTTCTTTCTTTCTTTCTTTCTTTCTTTCTCTTTCTTTTTTTTTTTTTTTTTTTTTTGAGACAGGTTCTTGCTCTGTCACCCAGGCTGGAGTGCAGTGGCACGATCTCAGCTCACTGCAACCTCTGCCGCCTGGGTTTAAGCGATTCTCCTGCCTCAGCCTCCCGGGTAGCTGGGATTATAGGTATGCGCCACCATGCCTGGCTAATTTTTGTATTTTTGGTAGAGACGGGGTTTTGCCATATTGGCCAGGCTGGTCTTGAACTCCTGACTTCAGGTGATCCACCCACCTCAGCCTCCCAAAGTGCTGGGATTACAGGCATGAGCTACCGTGTCCAGCAGACAGCTTTATTTGCTTTCTTTCTTTTTTTTTTTTTTTTTTTTTTGAGACAGAGTCTCATTCTGTCGCCCAGGCTGGAGTGCAGTGGCGTGATCCCGGCTCACTGCAAGCTCTGCCTCCCGGTTTCACGCCATTCTCCCGCCTCTGACTTCCTGAATAGGTGGGACTACAGGCGCCCGTCACCACACCTGGTTAATTTTTTTTTTTTTTAATTTTTTTAGTGGAGACGGGGTTTCACCGTGTTAGCCAGGATGTTCTCCATCTCCTGACCTCGTGATCCACCTGCCTCGGCCTCCCAAAGTGCTGCGATTACAGGCGTGAGCCACTGTGCCCGGCCCGACAGCTTTATTTTCTATAAAAAGCAATCTGCAGATTGGGGAGATGCAGCCTCCAGGGTCAAGTGAAAGCATGCTCAGAGGAGAGGTCACGAAGTAGGAGATTATAAAGGCAAAAACTTCAGAGTAGACGAAGAGAGTCAAGGGAGTAGGAAACAGAGTATTGATTGGATGATCTTTAAGCCTAAAGTCACCAGTCTCTCTTAATTGGTTGGCTGGTTCCAGGTGGCTGGTTGGTGCCAGGTGACCTATTTGTAGACAGTTGGGTAATTTCCAACAGCTTGTATCTCTGCACCAGCGTCAAAAACTGGTTTGGCTTGATTGTAGAAAACTTTTTTTGTAGAGAACTGCATCTGTAAATACAGTTTCTACACTTTTACAGTATCTTTCCGAGAACAGAGAGTATGTGACCACTTTCTCACCCATGAGGCCATGGTCACCTCATTCTGTTTTAACTTTGAGCATCTCAGTTAGCCACAGGAGTCTATTTTGTCTGTCACTAGGTGCATACTTTAACAAGGGAAAGTGCTTCTGTCTGGGAAGATCACATAGACTTCCCAGAGAAAGTGATATTACAGCTGAATCTTCAAGGCTTAAGAGAAGTTTACCAGGCTGACAAGAAGAGAAGTCTTTCCAGTTAGAGGTGAGACAAAGCCTAGAGTATTTAAGGAACCACAAATAGTTAGAAATTTTTAGGGAAGAAGAAGAGGCAAGACTAGAGAGACAGGTGGTCAGGGTAAGATCCTAAAAATTTTAAATAGAATATTAAATTACATTACCCTATATGTAAGGAGAAGCCAGTAAGGTTACAAAAGAAGATAATACATCTACTGGGCCTCTCTGAGAGATCCTACAGACCACCACTCAGAAATGGACTCGGGTGTGTAAGAGTGGGAGCACGGTTTAGGAGGAACAACTGGAAGATTAAACAAATGCAAATTAATTGAAAATTCTAGTCACCCGAATGGTACGTAATTTTTAATTATTTTCCATACAAATTTAGAGGGAAATAATGCACTTTGCAAACACATTTCTATTTTGAAGCAGCTGTGGTTTAGTAGGCTGAACTTGAAACCAGTTTACATTCTGGCTTTATCACTTATAATCTACATCACAACAGGAAAGTTCCTTAAATTCCCTGCCTTAATTCCATCATCTGTAAAATAGAAATAATGTATCCTATCCGTAGGGTTGTCATGAGATTAGGATAATGCACATAAGGGTTTCTCATTCAGTAGTTAACCTGATATATTTTTATATAAATGTTTTTATTTTAATTTGCCAAATTAAGAAGTCAACTCTCTGAACATATTTAAATATGACTTAGAGTGTTCAATCTATAACAATTTGATTTGCACATGACATTCCAAAAACACATTTATTCCTTAAAATGAGACTTGATAGCATCCTCTTTGTAGTTTGTCTGTCCCTAAAGACAAGATTCTTAAAATGGTAGGTGGGAGAAAGAAGAAGAAGGAAACTAGGCAGGAAACTGTTAAATCACTAAATTATATGTTTTATCCTATCATTTGAATCATATGGTGACACTTAACCTTTCTAGCTTTCCTTTGATTTTTCTCTTTATCGCTCCAGTCACCTCAGACAAACCAATTAAATTTCATAAACCCTTTAAGGATTAAGTGTTCCCAGCATAGCCTCACTTAGAATTTCAAATGAGATGCTATCTTCTCAGAGCTTACTCAATTGTTCCTTTATCAACTCCTGTGATTTCCTAATGTCAGTCATTCGGCCAGCCTTATTAGGTAATTTCTATTCTTAGTGGGTAGTACAAAGAAGAGAAAAAGACAAATGTTTCAGATGTGGAATTAACAGTCTGGGCTCTGTGCAAAGCCTCCTGCAAAAAGGGCTTTCTCTCTCTACAGTCGAATACCATCTTACAATCTACGAATCACTTTGTAGTTTTTAAGGTGCTTTTAGAGACACTACAGTTTTTGATCCTCACACAAACTCTCAGTGTATGATAACCAGTATCTTACAAATGAGGAACTGTTGCTTACAAAAGGTTTGTGACCTACTTAAAAAATTCAGAATTAGCAACAGGCATGATTGGTACTTCAACCCAGGTCTCTCTGACTCTTAAGTCCAGTCTCCTGAAACACAGTGGTGTGAAAAACTGAGCCTGAGAGACTTTAATGAAAAGTCAAAATATTGTAAATTTATTTAAAGACCTATTGTAACTGATGCAAATGTATGAGCAACCTCTTCTCTGGTAGAAATGAAAGTAGACTTCTTGAGTTACTATAAAATACAAGTACAACTTAGAAATGTGTCTCTGTCTACGTAATTACAGTGTGTTTTAAAGTTTTAAAAACTGTATTTATTCAATACATGTTTATTGAGGGCCCACAAGTATCCCACACCATTGTATGCACTGGGAATATGGCAATGAATAAAACAGGCAAAACTCTCACTTTAAGTGAGCTTACATTGAGGGGGTAGATAAATAGAAAAAAAAGAAACTGATAAATGCTGTTAAGAAAAATTAAGCAAGATAAAGGATTATAGTATTGGAATGCTGTGATTGTTAATGTTATGTGATAGTATTGGAATGCTATGATTGTTAATGTTGTGTCAACTTGAATGTGCCACAGGGTGCCCAGATTGAACATTATTTGGGGGTGTGTCTGTGAGGTTGTTCCCGATGAGATTAGCATTTGAATCAGTGGACTCAGAAAAGTTTCCCTCCCCATGTGAGTGGGCATCACCCAATCCATTGAAAGCCTGAATAAAAAATAAAATAAAATAAAATAGGCAGAGGAAAGAGAAATGCATTCCCTTTGCTTCCTGCCTGCCTACTTGAATTGGGACATCCGGCTTCTCCTACCCTTAGACAGGGATTTACTCTGGTTCTCAGGATTTTAAACTTGGACTCGAATTACACACTGGCTTTCCTGGGTCTCCAGCTTGCAGGCAGAGAATTGTGGAACTTATTAGCATATCTTTTACCCCATTCCTTTCTTTGAAAGTATTGTCAATGAAAAGAGTCAAACTCTGTAAAATATTTAAAGAGGCTTATTGTGAGCCAAATATGAGTAACCAAGGTCCATGACACATCCCCAGGAAGTCCTGACAACATGTGCCCAAGGTGATTTGTTTACAGCTTGATTTTATACATTCTGGAAGGAAGAAGTTACAGGCAGATATCAATCAATGCACATAAAGTATACATTGGTTCAGTCCGGAAGATGGAACAACTGGAAGCCAGGGCTTCCAGGTCATAGGTGGATTTAAAGATTTTGATTAGCAATTGGTTGCCAACAATAAAGAGTTGTTACTATCCGAAGACCTTTCTAAATCAATAGAAAAGATTGTCTGAGTTAAGTTAAGGGTTTGTGGAGACCAAGGTTTTTGTTATATAGATGAAGTCTTACAGGCAGCTGCCCTTAGAGGCAATAGATGGCAAATGTTTTCTATTCAGACCCTTAAAAGGTGCTAGACTCTCTGTTAACCTCCTCAGGATTAGAAAAAGACCTGGAAAAAACGGGAGGTTCTCTACAGAATGTAGATTTTCCCCACAGGAGACAGCTTTGCAGGGCCATTTCAAAATATGTCAAAAAAATATGTTTTGGGATAAAAGACTTCCAGTTTTTTCAAGGCCTGCTATCTGCCATGTGATGCTACCCTAGAGGCAGTTTGGAATTTGGTAACTTATTGCTACAAAGAGTCTGTTTTGTCAGTCTTAAGATCTCTATTTTGTGTGTGTGTGTGTGTGTGTGTGTGTGTGTGTTTGTTTCTTTGAGACAGTCTCTCACTGTGTTGCCCAGGCTGGAGTGCAATGGCATGATCTTGGCTCACTGCAATCTCTGCCTCCTGGGTTCAAGTGATTCTCCTGCCTCTGCCTCCTGGGTTCAAGTGATTCTCCTGCCTCAGCCTCCCAAGTAGCTAGGACTACAGGCATCCATCACCAGGCCTGGCTAATTTTTTCTTATATTTTTAGTAGAGAGGGGATTTCACTATGTTGGCCAGGCTGGTCTTGAACTCCTGACCTCATGATCCTCCCACTTTGGCCTCCCAAAGTGCTGGGATTACAGGCGTGAGCCACCTTGCCTGGCCAAGATCTCTGTTTTAATGCTAATGCTGCTCAGTTGTACCTGGATTCCAAAGGTGGAGGAGATAACAGGCATGTCCAAGCCCCACTTCCTATCATGGCCTGAACTTGTTCTTCAGATTTATTTTGGAATGCCTTTAGCTGAGAGGAGGGTCCATTCAGTCAGTTGCAAGGGTTAGAATTTTATTTTTGGTTTACACTATACAAATTCAGAAAAGGGCACTCAACAACAAAACAAACATACATATCCACTAGGAATGAACAAATGTCTTCTTTTTTTTTTTTTTGGAGACAGGGTCTCACTCTGGAGTGCAATGGCACAATCTCGATTCACTGCAACTTCCACCTCCTTGGTTCAAGCAATTCTTGTGCCTCAGCCTCCTGAGTAGGTGGGATTACTGGTGTACACCACCACACCCAGTTCATTTTTTTTTTTTTTTTGTATTTTTAGTAGAGACGGGGTTTCACTATGTTGGCCAGGCTGGTCTTGAACTCCTGACCTCAAATGATCCACCTGCCTTGGCCTCCCAAAGTGCTGGGATTATAGACATGAGCTACTGTGCCTAGCCATTTTTTTAAATCAAAGAAAAATATTTCAGATAAAGTCATTTTTGTGCCAAGCACAGTGGCTCATGCCTGTAATCCCAGCACTTAGGGAGGCAGAGGCACGAGGATCACTTGACTCCAAGAGTTCAAGATCAGCCTGGACAACAGAGTGAGACCCCATTCTCTTTATTAAAAAAGTCATTTTTGTTACCTTCTATACTCATCCTCTAAAAAGAAATCATTATGAATTTGGTTTTAACCCTTCCAGTTTATAATTAATTATTTTACTAATAGGTGGAATCATATGAAGTTTCTGGTAGTCAATCACTTCTGACTTAAGAGAAACAACAACTCTACATAGCTCATTCTACTTCCTATATATGATCTGCAGTCACATCATAAACTGTCATATTTCTATATATACAAATGTTATACTGTATTATTTTACAACTTACTTTGTTACTCAAAAGTTTGCTTTCGAGATCCATCTGTGTTGTTACATATATAACTAGTTTCTTTTAACAACTGATTAGTACTTATTTAGATGTTTTCTTTTTAATATGTACTTAGATTGTTTCCAATTTTTCTCTATAACAACTGTTTCTCCTATATGCATGGGAGTACAGAACTTACTCCAGAGTGTCTAGATTTGAATACTTGAGTTGTAAATTACAGTAGTTGTATTAAGTTATAAATTATTGTTGTGCAGGTTTTAATCAATGCCTTCTCCATTGATTAAGAATCTGTAATGATTTAATTATCCTTCTCTTCCTGGTGCAGCAAGGAAGACACCCTTGCAAATGGACAGTTTCTCTATGGATGTAAATTTATCTTACAAAAGGGTAACTTTTCAGAGCTTTTCCTGTGTCTACAGTTTCTCAAAATAACCAGTTCAAAATAATTCTTATGCCAAAGAGGCATATCTGGGGCAACATATTCTGGTCTTCTACAGTCATATTTGGAGCAGTGTGTCCTGAACCCCATCATTACACAGTTTCAGTATTTTCAGCTTGTCCTAATCTGCACCAGCGGTAAATAAGAGTTCACATTTTCTCAGAACTTTACCAATACTCAGAATTGTCAGATTTTTTAATGTTTTTTTAATTTGATGGGTGTAAGTCACCCTATTTCTTTTTTATTTTGCTGATCAGTAGTGTAAGATACAATGAATGTTTCTCTTCAAAGGTTTAGCCTGTTAACTTCCTTGTCCTTTGTTCTCAAACTCAACTTTCTCATTCTACATGCCTCCTTGCCTCTGGTTACTATAAACAGCCTACCCCCTTCCCATCAGCTCTAATCAATAACTCACATCTGTTCCCTTGGTTACCTGCACCCATTGTTCCCCTGAAACTGCACATCTCACCAATGTACCCCACATCCCCCTTCCCTTCCATATTTAGAAAAATATTTGCAAGTAGCCAATCGGGTCAGCTCAGATTGTGCGGTCCGACCGCATCCCATGAGGGAGTGACACAGAGGTAAGGGCTGCGTGTCAGAGATGAGAAAAAAACCCTGCTCTCCTTTGTTCCCTGTGCTCTTGCAATCTTGATTGACATGAGTGGCACCCTTCTGCAGAAGTAAATTGCCTTGCTGAGAAAACGTTTGCCTGAGTGCCGGTTTCACTCTGTGGCACTGAGCATTTATTCTTAGAACATTTTTATATCCAACAGTAGTGAGGCTGAGATCATTTTATTTGTTCATGTTCATTTTGTGTATTTCCTGTTTCTATCCTTTGCATCTTTGTAAAAAAAAATGGTTTGTTTTACTCATACATTGGAGTTATTTTTGACTCTTGTCATTTATATAGGTTGTAATTTGCAAATTTCTTCTCCCCTTCTGTTTGTCTTTAACTGTTTATCCTTTTTTTCATACAGAAGTTTTTAGTTTTCATAGAATCTTATCTTTTCCATTGTTGGGAGGAAAACTTTTTTCCCCTTCCAATTTAGGCCCACTGGTTGGGGGCCTGCAAATTAACTGACAATGGGCAGAGATTAACAGGGGGAAAAGACAGTTTATTTACACTGCAACTGAGAGTTGCTCAATAATGAGTAATTCACTGAATAGCCAGAGACACAGTTTCTACCCCAATTTAACAAAGTTGGTAGCAGGGCCAGTAGTTAAAGGCTTCAGTGGGAAAGTATGGAAGTCTCTGGCATTTTTATGCTAATAGAAGTGGGCAATCTGTCTCCATGGCAGTTTAATTCACAGGAAAAATCCTTGCCACAAGGAGTTAATGACAGTTGGATTTGTGGGAGGCTCTGCTTTAGTCAGATAAGGCAAGTTCAGATAAGATTTCTTTCTGCATCTCAAATGTTTTCACTTTAAAATAATCTTTGTACCGACCCTGGGGGGGGGATCTGAGTGGGTCCCCATAACATTATAAGTTACACTTATTGTCTAAGAAATGTTTCCCTACCTGAAGTCTTAAAGATACTTCTAAATTTTCTGCTAATAATTTTAGCAGTTTGAGCATGATATGCCTAGGTGTTTGGGTTTAATAAGCTTCTAAGAAGTATAAGACTTTAAGTCAGTGTTTTTCATCAAATTTGGGGGATTTTTGTCTATCATTTCTATAAGTTTTGTTTTTTTCTGCCCATTCTCACTCTTCTCTTTCAAACACTACAATTACATTTATGTGAATCACTTGGTATTGCTCCACATGTCCCTGAAGCTGTGTTTATATTTTTTAATTAAATTAACTTTTTGTTTTGTGAACCCTGAATATCTGAGACAGATCTCAGTTAATTTAGAAAGTTTATTTTGCCAAGGTTGAGGATGCATGCCCGTGACACAGCCTCAGGAGTGTCCAGGGTGATCAGAGCACAGTTTGGTTTTATACATTTTAGGAAGATATGAGATATCAATCATCATATGTAAGATGAGTATTGGTTCAGTCTGGAAAGGTGGGACAACTCAAAGTGGGGAGGGAGCTTCCAGGTCATAGGTAGATAAGAGACAAATGGTTGCATTATTTTGAGTTTCTGTTAAGCGTCTGCAAAGGAGGCGATCAGATATGCATTTATTTTAGTGAGCAGAGGGGCAACTTTGAATACAACAGGAGGCAGGTTTGCCTTAAGCATTTCCCACCTTGACTTTTCCCTTTAGCTTGGTGATTTTGGGGCCACAAGATTCATTTTTCTTCCATAGTTTTTAGGTATCACCATGCTTCACTCATTTTTTAATTTTTTTTTTTTTGGTAGAGAAGGGGTCTTGCTAGGTTGCCCAGGCTGGAAGTTTTTATTTCTCCAGGATAAATGCCTAGGAGTATAATTACTGAGTTACGTGGTAGTTACATGTTTGATTTTATGAGAAATTGTCAAACTGTTTTTCAAAGTATCTGCGTCATTTTAAATCCCCATCAGCAATGTAAGAGTGGTATAGTTTCCCACATCCTCATCAACCACTGGTGTTGTTACCAAATTATTTTAGCCATTCTGATAGGTGAGCAGTAATATCTCATTGTGATTTTAATGTGCCTTTTCCCTAATAGCTAATGATGTTAAATATCTCTTCATATGTTTATTTCCTATCATTATATCCTCATCAGTGAAATGTCTATTTATGTCTTTTGCATATTTTTTAATTAGATTGTTTGAGTTTTATACTGTTGAGTTTTGAGAGTTCTTCAAATAGTCTGGACACCGCTCCTTTGTTACATATGTGGTTTACAAATACTTTTTCCCAATTTGTAGTTTATCTTTTCATCTTTCAAGCAGGGTTTCCCCCAGAGCAAAAGTTTTAAATTTTGATGAGGCTGAATTTTTCAGTTTTTGCCCTTAATGAACCATACTTTTTATCTTAAGTTTAAGAACTTTTTGCCTAGCCACAGATTCTAAAGATTTTCTCCCATTTTTTTTTCTAAAATCAGTATACTTTTATACTTTTTCTTTAAGTCCATCATCCACTTAAGTTAATTTTTGTGTTAAGTTGTGGGGTTTAGGCCAAGGTTCATTTTTCCCTCCTATGGATATCCATTGTCTCTAACATTTTGTTTATTTGTTTTTTATTCTTTTTGAGATGGAGTCTCGCTCTGTCGCCCAGGCTGGAGTGCAGTGGTGCCATCGTGGCTCACTGCAACCTCTGCCTCCCGGTTCAAGCAATTCTTCTGCCTCAGCTTCCTGAATAGCTGGGACAACAGGCGCCTGCCACCATGCCTGGCTAATTTTTTGTATTTTTAGCAGAGGCTGGGTTTCACTGTGTTAGCCAGGATGGTCTTGATCTCCTGACCTGGTGATCTGACCTCGTGATCTGCCCGCCTCGGCCTCCGAAAGTGCTGGGAGTACAGGTGTGAGCCACCACGCCCAGCCTGTTTTTTATTCTTAATAAATTTTGTTTTAATCTCAGAGGTACAGAAAAACTGTGAAGATAGTACAGTGTCCCTAGACCCTGCACCTAGTTTCTCCTTTTTTTTTGAGACAGAGTCTCACTCCATCACCCAGGCTGTAATGCACTGGTGTGATCCTCCGCCTCCTGGGTTCAAGCAATTCTCATGCCTTAGTCTCTTGAGTAGCTGGAATTACAGTCATACACCACCATGCCTGGTTAATTTTTTATTTTTAATAGAGACAGGGTTTCACCATGTTGCACAGGCTGGTCTCAAACTCCTGAGATCAAGTGATTCGCCTGCCTTGGCCTCCCAAAGTGCATTACAAGCATGAGCCACCACACCAGGACCTAGTTTCTTCTATTATTAACATCTTACATTAGTATGGTATATTTATCACAATTAATTACCCAATATTGATACACTATTATTAACTAATGTCCATGTTTCATTCAGGTTTCCTTAGTATTTTTTTAACCTAAAGTCTTTTTTCTGTTCCATGATCTCGTCCAGGATAGCACATTGCATTTGTTCTTACATATCCTTATACTCCTCTTGAATGTGACAGTTTCTCAGACTTTCCTTGTTTCTGGACCTTGACAGTTTTGAGGAGTACTGGTGAAGTATTTTGCAGAATGCCCCTCATTTGGAATTTGTCTGAATTTTTTTTTCATCATTTGACTATAGTTTCTGAGAGGCTTCTGGGAGGAAGACCACCGAGGTAAAATGTCATTTTTTTACATCATATCAAAGGTACATGATTTATCACTGTTGATATTGACCTTGATCACCTGGCTGAAGTAGTATTTTTCAGATTTCTCCACTGTAGTTACTCCCTCTACCCCTTTCCATATTGTACTGTTTGGAGTTGAGTCAATTAAGGAGTGGGGATTATGTTCTACTTTGTGTTTGTTTATTAGAGACAAGGTGTTACTCTGTTGCCCAGGCTGGAGTGCACTGGCACAAATGTGGCTTATTGTCACCTTGAACTCCTGGGCTCAAGCAATCAATCCTCCTGCTGAGACTACAGGTGTGCACTACCATGCCTGGCTAATTTTTTTTTTCATAGAGATGGGGTTTTACCATGTTGATGAGGCTGGTCTCAAACCCCTGGCCTCAAGTAATCTTCCCATCTCAGTCTCCCAAAACACTGGGATTATAGGCATATGCTACCACACCTAGCCTCTTTGTTTTTTATTTTTATTTTTTTCTTTTTCAGATTGAGACAATTTCTATTGATCTATCTTCAAGTTCATTGACTCTTTCTTCTACCATATTTAATTTACATAAAGCCCATCCTGTGAATTTTTCATTTGAGTTATTATACTTTTCCATTCTACAATTTCTGTGTGATTTTTTTTGTTTTTGTTTTCATTTATTTGGTGAGAATCTTTATCTGTTAATTCATTAAGATTATATTTTCATTTAGCTATTTAAAAACTTAGTCTGCTAAATGCAACATCAGGGCTGTCTGAGGTTCAACTTCTGTTGGCTTTTATTTTTATTGACTGTGAGTCACTTTTTTCAGGTTTTTTTCCATATCTAAATTTTTTTGTATTGAAGACTTTGTGGATTAGACATTGTCAAGATTCTGAATTCTATATCTTTCTGAGGAGTGCTATTTTTTTCTCTAGAAGGTAACGTAATTAGTGGTTAATCACCTTGAATTTTTATAGGTTTAGTTTTATGCTTTATTAGGGTAAATCTGGGGAAGCCCAAGGTTTGTCCCAAGCTCCTCTCTCTTAGCAAGACTCATGCTTGTTATGGCTCTATTTTAGACTTTGTTAATTCAATTCTAGAGTAGTCCGTGCTCTAGGGTATGGTCCTTATTCCAAGGAAATTGTCTTCCTGGTGTCTCAGCTATATTCTCAGAGTGTTAATGAGGTTTCTCTACTCTGGCTACAACAAATTGTCAGTGTCCTCCAACACTACTTGACCTCTAATATCTCTATTCCACTCTCTAGCCTATAATAGCCACTCTTTGTTAAGTCATTCTATCCTCTTTCTGCACAGTCTCAGCACAGGTCTAGGTGAAAGACTAAGAGGGAACCCACACATAGATTTCCAAAGTCCCTCATCTACTCAGTTTCCTCCTCTCTAGTGCCCTACACCAGACAATTCAGGTCTTTTACTGCCTCAAATTCTAATCTCTGCCTATTCAACTCAACAAAACTACCATTCTGTTTCAGCTCCAACTCACTGACCTACAATCAGGAAACTATCCCCAGGGAGAGAACCCAGAAGATGATAGGTAGCACCTCATGAGATTTCCTTCTTTCAGACATCAGACTTGCATGGTCAATTGTCCAATGTTTGAAACACATGCTTCATATATTTTGTTCAGTTTTATGGGTATTTATGGTTGGAGGGCTAGCTAGTACCAGCTACTCTGTTACAGACAGAAGCAGAACTCAGCTATTATTTTTTGAATTTTTTGTTATGAGATAATTTTAGACTTATAGAAGAGTTGCAAAAATAGTGTGAAGAGTTACCTAGCTTTCCTTAGTGTTATATCTTATCTAACTATGGCACAGGTATTAAAACTAAGAAATTAACATTGTTAACAATACTATTATTAAAGTATAGACTTTATTCAAATCATATCAGTATTTCTACAAATGTCCTGTTTCTATTCCAAGATCCCATCCAGGAACTCACATTACAGTTAGCCACCATATCTCCTTAGTCTCCAGTCTGTGACAGTGCCTCAGTCTTTCCTTGTCTTTCATAACCTTGTGGCTTCAGAGACCTGGTCAGTTATTTTTAGAATGTCCCTCCATTTGGAATTTTCTGGTGTTTTCTCATGATTATATTGCAATTATATATTAATGAGAAGAACATCACAGAAGTGATGTGCCCTTCTCAGTGTTTCATATTAGTTGGTGCTTTTGTCTCAAATGTCATTGCTAGTGATGTTAAACTTGATTATGTGGGGCTGGGCACATGGCACATGCCTGTAATCCCAGTGCTTTGAGAGGCTGAAGCAGGAGGATCGCTTGAGGCCAGGAATTTAAGACCAGCCTGGGCAACATAGCAAGATCTCATTTCTACAAAAAAAAAAATTTTTTTTTAAACCTGGTTAGGTTGTTAAGGTGTTTTCTGCCAGGTTTCTTCACTGTAAAGTTATTATTTTTCCTTTCATAATTAATAAATATTTGGGGGAAATACTTTGAGATTATGCAAATATCCTGTTTCTCCTTAAACTTTAATCCACTAACTTAGCATCTATCTGTGGATCTTGTCTGTGGTTCTAACAATAATTTTTCATTTCCTTCATTTATTCTACATTTATTTGTTGGAATTCTTCTTTTTATTTTTTAAGAGATGGAATTTCACTATGTTGCCTGTAGAAGTTTGGGGTTTTCCTTCCATTATTTTCTATTTATTCATTTAATTTACTATTTTTTAATTCTTAATTTTTGTGGGTACCTGGTAGGTGTATATATTTATGGGTTATATGAGGTATTTTGATACAGACACACAATGCGCAATAATCACATCAGGTAAATAGGGAGCCAATCACCTCAAACATCCTTTGTGTTTCAAACAATGCAGTTATACTCTTTTAGTTATTTAAAAATGAACAATGAAAATTTTTTTTACTGTAGTCTATACTATAGTTTTTTTACTTTTTTTTTTTTTCTTTACTAAGTGAGAACATGTCATGTTTGGCTGTCTGTGCCTGGCTTATTCCACTTAGCATAGTGACTTCCAGTTCTATCCATGTTGTTGCAAATGACAGGATCTCATTCTCTTTTCATGGCTGAACAGTTCTGCATTGTGTATAAGTACAACATTGTCTTTATCCATTTATCTGTTGATGAACACTTAGGTTGCTTCCAAATGTTAGGTATTGTGAACAGTGCTGCAACAAACATGGGAGTGCAGATGTCTCTTCAACATACTGATTTCCTTTCTTTTGGGCATATACCCAGCAGTGGGATTATTAGATCATATGATAGCTCTATTTGTAGTTTTCTGAGGAACCTCCAAACTGTTCTCTATAGTTGTTGCACTAATGTTCATTCCCACCAACATTTCACAAGGACTCCCTTTTCTCCATATCCTTGCCAGCATTTGTTATTGCCTGTTTTGGATGTAATCTATTTTAACTAGGGTGAGATGATATCCCATTGTGGTTTTGATTTACATTTCTCTGATGATCAGTGATGAGCACCTTTTTATATATATCTGTTTGTCATTTGAATGTCTTCTTTTGAGAAATATCTATTCAGATCTTTTGCCCATTTAAAAATCAGATTATTAGAGTTTTTCCTATAGAGTTGTTTGAGCTCCTTGTATATTGTTGTTATTAATCCTTTGTCAGATGGGTAGTTTGCACATCTTTTTTTTTTTTTCACTATTTGGGTGCCTCTTCACTTTGTTGTTTCTTTTGCTGAGCAGAAGCTTTTTAACTTGATGTGATCCCATTTGTCGATTTTGCTTTGATTGCCTGTGTCTGCAGGGTATTGCTCAAGAAGTCTTTGCCCATTCCAATGTCCTGGAGAGTTTCTCCAATGTTTTCTTCTAGTAGTTTCATAGTTTGAGGTCTTAGATTTAAGTCAGTAATCCATTTTGATTTGATTTTTTATATGGCAAGAGATAGGGGTCTCATTTTATTCTTCTGGATATGGAGATCTAGTTTTCTGAGTATCATTTATTGAGGAGATTGTCCTTTCCCCAATGTATATTCTTGGAATCTTTGTAGAAAATGAGTTCACTGTAGATATATGGATGTATTTCTGGGTTCTGTATTCTATTCCACTGATCTATGTTTCTGTTTTCCTGCCAGTACCATGCTGTTTTGGTTACTATAGCTCTGTAGCATAACTTGAAGTCAGATAATGTGATTCCTTCAGTTTTGTTCTTTTTGCTTAGAATAGCTTTGGCTATTTGGGGTCTTTTGTGGTACTGTATACGTTTTAGGATTTTTTTTCTATTTCTGTGAAGAATGTCCTTGGTATTTTGATAGAAATTTCCTCAAATCTGTAGATCGCTTTAGGTAGTATAGACATTTTAACAATATTAATTGTTCCAACCTATGAACATAAATATCCTTCCTTTTTTGTGTCCAGTTCAATTTCTTGCATCAATGGTTTATAGCTTTTATTGTAGAGAAGTTTCACTTCTTTGGTTAAGTTTAATTTCTAGGTATCTTATTTGTAGCTATTGCAAATAGAGTTACTTTCTTGATTTCTTTTTCATATTGCTTGCAGCTGTCATATAAAAATGCTACTGATTTTTGTTTGTTGATTTTGGTATCCTGCAACTTTACTGAATTTGTTTATTAGTTCTAATAGCTTTTTGATGGAGCCTTTAGGTTTTTCCGAATAGAAGATTATACTGTCTGCAAACAAGAAGAATTTGACTTCTTTTCCAATTTGGATACCCTTTGTTTCTCTCTCTTGTCTGATTGCTGTAGCTAGGATGTCCAGTATTGTTGAATAACGGTGGTGACAGTGGGCATCCTTGTTATGTTCCAGATCTTACATGAAAGGCTTTCCATTTTTCCCTATTCAGTATCACACTAGCTATGATTCTGTCATATAGAGCTTTTATATGTTGAGGCATGTTACTTCTAAATCCAGTCTTTCCAGTGTTTTTATTATGATGGGATGTTGAATTTTATCAAATGTGCTTTCAGGATTAATTGAAATTACCATATGGTATTTCTCCTTCATTCTGTTGATATATCACATTGATTGATTTGCATATGTTGAACCATTCTTGCACCCCTGGGATAAATTCCACTTTTTAATGTATTGTTGAATTCAGTTTGCTAGTTTGTCGTACTAGCAGTACTAAGCAGTACTGGCAGTACTAAGAGGGAAATTTATAGCTATAAGTGTCTGCATTTAAAAAGAAGAAAAACTTCAAATAAGCAACCTAATGATGCATCTTATTAAAGAACTAGAAAAGCAGCCAGGTGCAGTGGCTCCTGCCTGTAATCCCAGCACTTTGGGAGGCCGAGGTGGGCAGATCACTTGAGGTCAGGAGTTCGAGATCAGCCTGACCAACATGGAGAAACCCCATCTCTACTAAAAATACAAAATTAGTCAGGCACGGTGGCACGTGCCTATAATCCCAGCTACTCGGGAGGCTGAGGCAGGATAATCGCTTGAACCTGGGAGGCAGAGGTTGCAGTGAGCCAAGATCATGCCACTGTACTGCAGCCTGAGCAACAGAGCGAGACTCTGCCTCAAAAAAATAAAATAAATATTTCCAGAAAATAAATTTCTTGGACATATACTACACCTGTGCCTTTTCCACATATACAAATGGGAATATATTATTCATATTGTTAAGCTGATTTGTTTTCCACCTAATTCACCCTGGAGACCTTCTCCAGCCACTCATATGCACCTACTTTAATGGCTATTTTGCAATCTACTGTGTGATTGTACCATAACTAAATCCATTACTTTTGCACCTTTTCATTTTTCCCCATTTTTTAAAAACTATTAAAAGTAATACACTGGGCATGGTGGCTCACACCTGTAATTCCAGTGCTTTAGGAGGTAGAGGCAGGAGGATTGCTTGAGGCCAGGAGTTCAAGACCAGCCTGGGCAATATAGCAAGACACTGTCTCCACAAAAAATAAGAAAAAATAATTTTAAGAGAAAAAGGTAGTGTTGCAGTCACTTTTATATGTGAATAAGTCTGTAGAAAGACTTCTAATGGTGAAACTGAGGCTTAAAGTATGTACATTTGAAGTTTTTATGGATATTAGTACATTTCTCTTTAAACTATTGCAACAATTTAGTTTCATTGTTAGTATATGATAGTACCTGTTGGTTTTTTTTTCCCTCATCCTCACTAATACTGGGTGTTATCAAACTTTAAAATTTTTGCCCATCTCATAAGTGAACACCACAAATAATTTTTCTAGAAATAACTCAAAGAGCCTTTCTTGGTTTCTGACCAAATGCCTTTATTTTCAGTGTATTTTCTTGAGCATCTTCTCAAAACATTTTACCTTTAGATTTTTCTGATTATTTTAATTCTATGAATTTTCACCTCTGAATCAACAATCTCCATTATACAGAGATACCAAAAAAGAAATTCAAAAGCAGGATTTTGACCCATTTTACTGTAGGTAAACTCCCTCTTATCAATGAGTTATGAGATACCTTAAGTTGTCATTTTCAGTGTGTGTTACTCACTACAGTGAGATTCAATGTCAGAAAAAAAAATTCTGCTTTCAGAAACAGACAGGAAATATGGGATAGACATTCATTCCTAGGACAGGAGATAACAAGGCAAAGCCTTCCAGATACTGGTGATGTTCCTTAAGGATTTTATATTTCCTCTTCAGAGTTTTTAAATAGATAAGGTTTTAATATTGTATTCTACTTTTTCTTAGAGAAAAGACCTGGATTTCTGACAGCAAAAATACTTCTTATATTGGCATAACTCAAAATCTTTCCCATTACAAAATATATTAAGACTGGAAGACATTGAAAGGGTCAAGAAGAATAAAAACCGTGGAAAATTAAGAGAAAAAAAAGAAAGCTAGCTAACATTATTCAGAACACCTATTATTTCTCAAATGCTTTACATACATTATCTCTTGGAGTCTTCACAACATTTCATGAGCTAAATCTCCTTTTATATTTTTTAATTGATTTTTTTGGCGATGGGGCCTCACTATGTTGCCCAGGCTGGTTTTGAACTCCCGGACTCAAGCTCTCCTCCTGCCTCAGCATCCCAAATTGCTGGGATTACATGTGTGAGCCACTGCATCCAGCTCCCATGAGATAAGTTTTACTGTTCAGGTATTAGTTTGCTAGGGCTTCCGTAACAGGGTACCATAGATTGGGTGGTTTAATCAACAGAAATTTATTGTCTCACTGTTCTGGAGATTAAAAGTCCAACATCAAGGTGTCAGCAGGGTTGGTGTCTTTCCCCTTGGCTTATAGAGGACTGCCTTTCTCCCTGTGTCTTCACACAGACTTCCCTCTATACCTGCTTGTGCCCAATTTTCTTGTAAGGACACCCATCACATCGGTAGGGCCCACTCTATTGACCTTGTTTTAGTTTAATTACTACTGTAAAGGCCCCAATCTCTAAATGTAGTCACATCTGAGGTCCTGGGGGTTAGGACTCCAACATCTGATTAGGAGAGGACACAATACAGCCCATAATAGTTCACATTTGGATTCATTTTGTAGATAAGAACATGGGGGCTCAGAGAAGTTAAATTGTGCCTCAAAAGTTATTCTGCTGGTAACTGTCAGGGCTGAGATTGGAATTCAGGACATCCTGTCACCTTTCTTCAGAATTAAACTTTGTCTTCTAAAGGCAGTCATGAAGTATGAAAAGAATAAAGGGTCTAAAGTTCTAAAATGAGTTAATAAAAAGACAAGTGCTTTCAAATATGAATATTATTTCATGACTATATCAGTCATAATTATTAGTCGCAAACAACAGAAAAATCTGTCTGGGTTAACTTAAGCAGAAAATAAATTTAGTAGAATATTGAATAGCTGACAGACCTAATGGGGAAGTTAAGAAATAAGGATTGGAAAATAGAGCAGAACCAAAGAAAGCTAAACAGCCAGAACAATGACCAAATTATGCCCAGTCAAGTTGGTACAGGCACTGTGGCCACCAAACACTACATACCTTTGATGCCCTTGTCTCTATAACCCAGGATGAATTCAGATCTGCTTCTTTTTATTCACTTGCTTCAGACAAAGTCCCAAGCTGAGGTATCTGGTTAGCCCAGCCTTAGGCCATACCTGTTCTCTGGCTGCCAGGGAGCTGAAAGCAGGAAAATCTACCATTTCAGCTTCTAGACTAGGTATTAAAGATAGGAAGAGTTTTTGGATATGAGGTAGCATAAATGTAAACAGCATAAATGGGACTCAAACTACACAGTTTTAGTAATGATCAAAATGGACCATAAACCAAATATTTATTATAAGCATTCCACAAAAAAAAAAGAGTGCCAGGTTTGATCTTGGTAGATGACACTAACTACATTTCCAAAAGTCAGAGCATAAATATGAGCTATGAGCTTGAAGAGAGAGTGTGATGTGGAGGCCAGCAGGCCTGTATTTTTAGAAAGTATATTGAATTTATATTCTCATGTCTGTACACCTATCTGATCTAACACTCCAGAAATACGTATTTTGGAAGCCATGTATAACGCCATGAAAAGTGCAATCTGTCTTTAAAAACCAGATATTCATTCACTGACAAGCATTTATTCAATACACATGCTAAGCACTAGAAATAAAACTATCAGCATTATATAGCCTTTGCTTGGGGAGAGGTTACTGTAATGTGAGGTGGAACATTCAAGTATTACAGATGAGGTCCAAATGAAGGATTTGGAGAGGTCACCAGAGGGAAAGGACTTGTGAGTGGCAGGGGCTGTATTGAAAAGGCAGTTTATGAATGGGTTCTTTCACTCTGGTATATACATCAAGGCTATGGAAAGAGATAGGGCTTACCAATGCTATAGACTGAATATTTATGTCTTCCCAAAATTCACAGGTTGAAACCTAAGCCTCAGTATGAGGCTATTTGGAAGTGAGGCCTTTAGGAAGTGATTAGGTCACAAGGATGGAGCCCTCATGAATGAGATTAGTGCCCTTATACAGAGACTCCAGAGAACTCTCTTGCCTCCTTCCACTGTATGAGGTTACAGTGAGAAGATGGCCATCTATGAATGAGAAAAGAAACCCTCACCAGACACTGAATCTGCCAGCACATTGATCTTGGACTTCACAGCCTCCAGAACTGTGAGGAATAAATTTCTGTTGTTTCTAGGCCACCTGGTCTATGGTATTTTTGTTATACCAGCTGAAACAGAGTAAGACAACCTCTTTTACCACATGAAAATGTTCAGAATATTCCACCTTAGGCTTTTATGATGTCTTGAACAGTGAATCATGGATAACTGTCAGTTTTTTGAAGGCTGGAAACAGGTCTAACTCAAAATCTCACAAGAATCTCAGACATAGTTTGTACTTGGAAAACATTTTTCCAACCAAATGGAACAAGAATATGCTCTTCCCAGCTTTAGAGCTCAGTTTTCTTCACTATTAAATTTAAAATATAGACTAAACTTGGTGATTTCTGAGGTCCTTGCTGGTGCTATAATTCTATGACTCCAACTTACATACCTTTTTAGAATATTCAACTGTAAAGTTCAATTCAAGCCATTCAAATTTTTGCAAATTAATTTATTATAAAATTGTGCATCCCAGCTGTTGAGATTTTGAGGGCAGCCAACTTCCCAGTCTGATGGGAATAGTCAATTCAGTTAAAATGCTTACTTTTATGACCTCAGGCAGTTACAAATCTCATTGACTGATCTTTAGTGAATCAAAGGCACAGGTTCATCAATCTCTCTAATCACAGGAAAAACAAATTATGGTAAACATGTGCCTTGCGATCATTTATGAAAAAGCACTTTGCAAATATAATGTGCTACCAGAATGTGATTTACCACATTATTGCTAATAGGTAGGATGCTATAGAAGAAATCTGGGATAATATAAAGCAAACTATTATCAGTGTTTGTAACCAAAAGGTGAGATTAAAAGACACTGTCTTAAATTTGCATTTCCATCATGTTTGAATTTAAAACAATGAACTTATATTGTATATCAGGAAAACCAGTTAAGGGAAAAGATAAGTCATGTGCCTTATTCTGTGTGTAGAATTATTCTGCAGTAATAGTAACAACCTTTTGTCCCTGGGCTGGGAGTTACCTGGTATCCTGATGCTGCCATGTGCTAGCTGGGTGACAATAACCCAGCCACCTAACATCTCAAAGATTGTTCCTTTTTGTGTGAAATAGGGATAGAGTTGTCTACTTCCCAGAGCCAGATAGAGAACTTAAGAGATGAATCTGAAAATACAATAGCCTAAATAAATTCAAGGAAACACTATTATCTTACTGGATCTTTCCAGCAACCATGTTACTTTTGGCTGGATTTTGTATTTTCCAATTTGTGAATGACACAACAAAGAGCTAGGTAGGTTAAGTAAATGGTTTCAGATAATAAGCCCAGTTAGCCCAGACGTTTATTTTCCATTTGCATAGAAAATGAATGTTTTATGCATACATTTGTTTGCCCAGGGCTAGGATATTACTTGCATATGATGTTCTTATATAATTAAAAAAAAGAATACAACCTTCAAAGAAGAAAATCTCAGCTAACAAATCTATCATTAACAAAATAGTTTTCATCATCTTGGGCAGCAGTGAAGAAAGAACCATGAATCCGTGCCCTATTGAAGCCTGCCAAATGTCATTTTCCTCAGCTTTATTTATCTCTATAAAGCAATTAAATAGGCAGAAAAGATGAAAGAAAAAAATTAACTCATTTCAAACTAAAGCAAGCTATATTCTTTGCACTGTCTTTTCCCTTCCCCCAAACCCCACTTCAGCTGCAGCCTGTAGAAATGCTGGTGAATACTCAACATGTGGAGGCTGTGTCTCACAGTTCACAGTTCCTAAAATGACAAATAGTGCACAGGTTGTCACTGTGAATGGCAGATCCAAAGACCTGGGGCTCAGCTGTCTCCATCGTTCAGAAAGGAATTGAGAGTTATTTCTATACCAATCTAGGCAGGCCTGGCTGGCTCTGCCACCTGCCAGCTGTTTTACCTTGCATTTGACTTGTTTGAGCCTCTATTTTCTCATTGGTAGAATAAATTTATTTATATCTACTTCATAGAGTTGTTTTAAGAATTAAATGAGATAAAATATATAGAATTAAATGAAATTAAGAGGAAAGTACAAGCAGGGAATTTGGCATATAATAGGTGCTCAAAAGCTGCTTGCTGCCTGTGGTACAAGGGCTAGGTGCCTGGACTCTGAAACAGGCAGCCTGGGTTTGAACCCTGGTTCTGCCATTTACCAGTGTACACTTGACCAAGTCATTTGTCCCTCTGCACTGCCTCTATACAAGTATGTACCATGTTAGTGCCTAGAGTTGGTTCTGGGCAAGATGGCTGAGTAAAAACAGCTCCAGTGTGCAGCTCCCAGCAAGACCAATGTAGAAGGCAGGTGTCTGCACTTCCAACTGAGGTACTCTGTTCATCTCATTGGGACTGGTTAGACAGTGGGTGCAGCCCATGGAGGGCAAGAAGAAGCAGGGTGGGGTGTTGCCTCACCCAAGAAGTGCAAGGGGTCAGGGAACTCTCTCCCCTAGCCAAGGGAAGCTGTGAGGAACTGTGCCATGAGGGATGGGGCTATCCAGCCCAGATATAATGCTTTTCCCATGGTTTTTGCAAACCCGCAGACCAGGAGATTCCCTCGGGTGCCTACATCACTAGGGCCCTGGGTTTCAAGCACAAAACTGGTCTGCCATTTGAGTAGACACTGAGCTAGCTGCAGGAGTTTTTTTTTCATACCGCAGTGGTGCCTGGGACCCCAGCAAGATGGAACTGATTACTCCCCTGGAAAGGGGGCTGAAGCCAGGGAGCCACCCCCATGGAGCCCAGCAAGCTAAGATCCACTGGCTTGAAATTCTCGCTGCCAGCACAGCAGTCTGAAGCCAACCTGGGATGCTCAAGCTGGGTGGGGGTAGGGGAGACTGCCATTACTAGGCTTGACTAGGAAGTTTTCCCCTCACAGTGTAAACAAAGCCACTGGGAAGTTCGGACTGGGCGGAGCCCACCATAGCTCAGCAAAGCCACTGTAGCCAGATTGCCTTTCTAGATTCCTCCTCTCTAGGAAGGGCATCTCTGAAAGAAAGGCAGCAGCCTCAGTCAGGAGCTTACAGATAAAACTCCCATATCCCTGGGACAGAGCACCTGGGGGAAGGGGCAGCTGTGGGCGCAACTTCAGCAGACTTAAACATTCCTGCCTGCTGGCTCTGAAGAGAGCAGCAGATCTCCCAGAAAATTGCTTGAGCTCTACTAAGGGACAGACTGACTCCTTAAGTGGGTCCCTGACCCCCGTGCCTCCTGACTGGGAGGCACCTCCCAGCAGGGGTAAACAGACACCTCATACAGGAGAGCACCGGCTGGCATCTGGTGAGTGCCCCTCTGGGATGAAGCTTCCAGAGGAAGGAGCAGGCAGCAATCTTTGCTGTTCTGCAGCCTCCACTGGTGTTACCCAGGCAAACAGAGTCTGGATTGGACCTCCAGCAAACTCCAGCAGACCTGCAGCAGAGGGGCCCGTTAGAAGGAACACTAACAAACAGAAAGCAAGAACATCAACATCAACAAAAAGGAGGCCCATGCAAAAACCCCATCCAAAGGTACTCAGCATCAAAGATGAAAGGTAGATAAATCCACAAAGATGAGGAAAAAAAACAGCTCAAAAATGCTGACACTTCCAAAACCAAGAATGCCTCTTCTCCACCAAAGGACCACAACTCTTCACCAGGAAGTGAACAAAACTGGATGGAGAATGAGTTTGACAAATTGACAGAAGTAGGCTTCAGAAGGTGGGTAATAACAAACAGCTCTGAGCTAAAGGAGCATGTGCTAACCCAATGCAAGGAAGCTAAGAACCTTAATAAAAGGTTACAGGAACTGCTAACTGGAATAACCAGTTTAGAGAAGAACATAAATGACCTGATGGAGCTGAAAACACAGCACAAGAACTTCATGAAGCATACACAAGTATCAATAGCCAAATCGATTAAACAGAAGAAAGGATATCAGAGATTGAAGATCAATTTAATGAAATAAAGCATGAAGACAAGATTAGAGAAAAAAGAATGAAAAGGAACAAACAAAGCCTCCAAGAAATCTGGGACTATGTGAAAAGACCAAACCTATGTTTGATTGGTGTACCTGAAAGTGACGGGGAGAATGGAACCAAGTTAGAAAACACCCTTCAGGATATTATCCAGGAGAACTTCCCCAACCTAGCAAGACAGGCCAACATTCAAATTCAAGAAATACAGAGAACACCACTAAGATACTCCTCAAGAAGAGCAACCCCACAAGACACATAATCATCACATTCACCAAGGGTGAAACAAAGGAAAAAATATTAAGGGCAGCCAGAGAGAAAGGTCAGGTTATCCACGAAGGAAAGGCTATCACACTAACAGCAGATGTCTCAGCAGAAACCCCACAAGCCAGAAGAGAGTGGGGGCCAGTATTCAACATTCTTAAAGAAAAGAATTTTCAACCCGGAATTTCATATCCAGCCAAACTAAGCTGCATAAACAAAGGAGAAATAAAATCCTTTACAGACAAGCAAATGCTGAGGGATTTTTGTCACCAACAGGCCTGCCTTACAAGAGCTCCTGAAGGAAGCACTAAATATGGAAATGAAAAAATGCTACCAGCCACTGCAAAAATATACCAAAATATAAAGTCCAAAGATACGATGAAGAAACTACATCAACTAATGGGCAAAATAACCAGGTAGCATCATGATGACAGGATCAAATTCACACATAACAATATTAATCTTAAATGTAAATGGGCTAAATGCCCCAATTAAAAGACACAGACTGGCAAATTGGATAAAGGGTCAAGACCCACTGGTGTGCTGTATTCAGGAGACCGATCTCACGTGCAAAGACACACATAGGCTCAAAATAAAGGGATGGAGGAATATTTACCAAGCAAATGAAAAGCAAAAAAAGGGGGGGGGTTGCAATCCTAGTCTCTGAGAAAACAGATTTTAAACAAACAAAGATCAAAAAAGAGAAAGAAGGACATTACATAATGGTGAAAGGATCAATGCAACAAGAAGAGCTAACCTAAATATATATGCACCCAATACAGGAGCACTCAGATTCATAAAGCAAGTTCTTAGAGACCTACAAAGAGACTTAGACTCCCATACAGTAATAGTGGGAGACTTTAACACCCCCCGTCAATATTAAACAGATCGAGACAAAAAATTAACAAGGATATTCAGGACTCGATCTCAGCTCTAGACCAAGCTGACCTAATAGACATCTACAGAACTCTCCACCTCAAATCAACAGAATATACATTCTTCTCAGCACCACATCACACTTATTCTAAAACTGACCACATAATTGGAAGTAAAACACTCCTCAGCAAATATAAAAGAACAGAAATCATAACAGTCTCTGAGAACACAGTGCAATCAAGGTAGAACTCGGGGTTAAGAAACTTACTCAAAAACCGCACAACTACATGGAAACTGAACAACCTGCCCCTGAATGACGACTGGGTAAATAACAAAATGAAGGCAGAAATAAGTAAGTTCTTTGAAACTAATGAGAACAAAACCAATAAGAACAAAGACACAACACAAAGAATCTCTGGGACACAGCTAAAGCAGTGTCTAGAGGGAGATTTATAGCACTACATGCCCACAGGAGAAAGCAGGAAAGATCTAAAATTGACACCCTAATATCACAATTAAAAGAACTAGAAAAGCAAGAGAAAACAAATTCAAAAGCTAGCAGAAGACAAATAATTAAGGTCAGAGAGGAACTGAAGGAGATAGAGATATGAACAACCCTTCAAAAAATCAATGAATCCAGGAGCTGGTTTTTTGAAAAGATTAACAAAATAGACTGCTAGCCAGACTAATAAACAATAAAAGAGAAGAATCAAATAGACACAATAAAAAAAGATAAAAGAGATATCACCACTGATCCCACAGAAATACAAACTACCATCAGAGAATACTATAAACACCTCTACACAAATAAACTAGAAAATCTAGAAGAAATGGATAAATTCCTGGACACATACACCCTCCCAAGACTAAACCAGGAAGAAGTTGAATCCTTGAGTAGACTAATAACAAGTTCTAAAATTGAAGCAGTAATTATTAGCCTACTAAGCAAAAAAAAAAAGCCCAGGTCCAAACAGATTCACAGCCGAATTCTACCAGAGGCAGAAAGAGGGGCTGGTACCATTCCTTCTGAAATTATTCCAAACAATAGAAAAAGAATGACTCCTCCCTAACTCATTTTATGAGGCCAGTATCATCCTGATAACAAAACCTGGCAGTGACAAAACAAAAAAAGAAAATTTTAGGCCAATATCTCTGATGAACATCAATGTGAAAATCCTCAATAAAATACTGGCAAACCAAATCCAGCAGCACATCAAAAAGCTTATCCACCACAATCAAGTCGTCTTCATCCCTGGGATGCAAGGCTGGTTCAACATATGCAAATCAATAAATGTAATCCATAACATAAAAAGAACCAATGACAAAAACTATGTGATTATCTCAAAAGATGCAGAAAAGGCCTTTCACAAAATTCAACACCCGTTCCTCAGTGTTGCCCAAGCTAGCCCTCCAGCCATCATCATGCTACTGCCAGACTCCAGATGTCTAAGGCACTCCTTGGCTCCCACAAGCTCTCTTCTAGTGCCTCATCTTCCTCTGGTTGCCTCTCGACTCCCCACTTCCCCAGTTTCCCTCATTACCCCCACACCTTCCACCCTCTCCTTCACCCTCAAAAATAATTCATGAAGTTTAGATAAATCAATCAGAAATGTATAGCATTAAATTTTATAATAAAGGAGAAAATTAACAAAATGTCTGATTTTAGAATTATAAAAGGCACAACAAAGATTATTAGCAGATTTCTCAGCAGAACCCGTACAAGCTGGGAGAACATGGAATGATATAGTAAAAGTGCTACAAGAAGAAAAAAAGAAAACTGCTGGCCAAAAATACTATACTCAGCAGAGTGATCCTTCAGAAGTGAAGGAGAAATAAAGTCCTTCCCATACAAGCACAAGCTGAGGGAATTCATCACCACTAGACTGGCGAAGATCTTAAGTAACCAATAACATTGCACCACAAGGAACTAAGGAAAAAGGGCAAACCAAACACAAAATTAGTAAAAAGAAGGAAATAATGATCAGAGCATAAATAAATGAAAGACTAAAAGAAATAGAAAAATCAACAAAAAGAGCAGTTGGGTTTTTGAAAAGATAAAGAAAGTAAACAGCTTTTAGGTAGACTAAGTAAAATAGGAGACTCAAAATCAGATGAAAAAGGAAACAATATGGCTGAGTGCAGTGGCTCACACCTGTAATGCCAGTACTTTGGGAGGCCGAGGTGGGCAGATCACCTGAGGTCAGGAGTTCAAGACCAGTCGGGCCAATATGGTGAAACTCCGTCTCTACAAAAATGCAAAAATAAGATTAGCCAGGCATGATGGTGGGTGCCTGTAATGCCAGCTACTCGGGAGGCTGAGGCAGGAGAATTGCTTGAACCCAGAACACGAAGGTTGTGGTGAGCTGAGATCACGCCATTGCACTCCAATCTGGGCAACAAGAGTGAAACTCTATCTCAAAAAAAAAAAAAAAAAAAAAAAAAGAAAAAAGACAAAAGAAACAACTGATAACATAGAAATACAAAAAATCATGAGAGACTATCATGAAAAATTATACTCCAACAAATTGGATAACCTAGAAAAAAATAGATGAATTTCTGAACACACACAACCTACCAAAATTGACTCATGAAAAATAGATAATTTTAACAGACCATAATGAGTGAGAAAATTGAATCAGTAATAAAGTCTCCCATCAAAGAAAAGCCCAGGACCTGATGGCTTCTTCTTCTCAAACTATTCCGGAAAATTGAGGAAGAAGGAATACTTAGAAACTCATTTAATAAAGCCAGCATTACCCCAATACGAGAATCAGACAAGGACACAACAAAAAAAGAAAACTACG
This sequence comes from Homo sapiens, assembly GCF_000001405.40. Classification (NCBI taxonomy): domain Eukaryota; kingdom Metazoa; phylum Chordata; class Mammalia; order Primates; family Hominidae; genus Homo; species Homo sapiens. Next base: position 83,388,350 of record NC_000011.10, read on the forward strand.
GGCTAATATCACTGATGCATATAGATGCAAAAATCTTCAACACAAAATTAGCAAAGAGAATTCATCAGCACAATTTCAAAGATGATTCACTGTGATCAAGTGGGATTCATCCCAGGAACGCAAGGATGATTTAACATATGCCAAGCAGTAAATGTAATACATTACATTAACAGAAAGCAGGGCAAAAAATATATGATTATTTCAACAGATGCAGAAAAAGGATTTGACAAAATGCAACATTCTGTCATGATAAAAATTCTCAAGAAATTAGGTATGGAAGGTCTGTATCTCAACACAATAAAGGCCATAATGACAAACCCATAGCTAACATCATACAGAACAGAGAAAAGCTGAAAACTTTTCCTCTAAGATGCAGAACAAGACAAGAATGTTTCTTGTCTAAAAAAAATCTAGACAATCTGAAGAAGTTTATCTCATATAGGTGGTGAATAGAACGGTGGTTACCAGAGACTGGGGAGAGTAGGAGGGAGAGTGGGATAGGGAGCGGTTGGTAAATGGGTACAAAGTTATATTTAGAAAGGAAAAATAAGTTATAGTGTTTTATTGCACAGTATGGTGACTATAGTCAACAATAAGGTAAGGTATTGTATATCTCAAAATAGGTAGTAAAGAGGATTTTGAATGTTCCCACCACAAAGAAATGATAAATATTTGAGAGGATGGATATGCTAACAATGCTGATTTGATCATTTCACAAGGTATGCATGTATTGAAACATCGCATCGTACCCACAATATGTACAATCATATGTCAATTAAAAATAAAAATAAACAAAAAAGCACACAGAGAATAATTTATGTGGAAGCACTTTGTAGAATGCAGCAGAATTTATGAGGTAGTGATTATTATGTTAAGTGCAAGAACTGAAGAATAAATAAGGTTTCAAGATCCCCTACAATCCTTATAGAGAAGCTGAGTTTTGCTTTCTTGACCAATGTCTGTGCCAACATATATGTCTGGAAGAAAGAACTGGGCAATTTGAAGCTTTCTACAAAAGTTGGCAGGACTTGGGGTGAGCAGAAAATTCATAGAAAAACTGGCCAACTGCAGTTACTTTTGATTCACAAAGCCATGGATGGTCTTTGTTGAAGGGAAGCTACGGGTTGGAAGCCGTTCTATAAATAAGCATACGACTTCCAAAAACCTGAGGGGCTGAGGAGTCACAGTGTGGTGCCTACAAAGTCAGCCTCAGCCACCTTCACCCAGGGAGTATGAGTGAATGTGACAAGTTGGTGGCCTGGATGTTGGCGGAAATGACATGGCTACTTCCAGAAAGAAAACTACCTTAACCACCAAGAGTCACGGGGAGTCCAGCTTTCAGAATTCTACTCATGGCTCATTGCTGGAACAGAACTGACAGCACTAGCTAGCAGCTGCTAAAACCCATCATTGTCTTCTTTGGCCCTGAAATCAACCTACAAAACAGCCTTTCACAGGGAGTACATTAAGTACTGATGTTCATAGTCCTTGCATGCTGGGATTCCAAGTCTTATAATTGCTTAGATAGTATGATTCTGGGAGCAATAGCTCCCACAAAGATAGAATTCATGACTATCTAAATCCAGTACCACCAATAGATCTGAGCACCCAAAGGTCCGGTCTGGGCTGCATGATTTAGAGGGCCCCACTCTAGTTCTCCAGTGTCCAAGCTCCTCCCCACAGGGTAAACAGCCTTCTAGATCCTGTTTGAGAAACCTCAGACTCCTGCATTCCCTGTCTTACTGCCTTCAGGGTCTGCACAGGCCTGTTCCCAGGCCCATTCTCTGGAGGACTGCACAATCAGTGTGTGCTGCCCTAGTCCTGAGGAGTGGCTAAGGGATGGCTGTTTTCAGGGAGGAGAGAATGGTAGAGCTTGGACGTGCAGTAGGGATGTCCATACTCATGTGTGAGAAGCCCCTCAAAGTGCTGAATGGAGCCAAGGGTGAGAAAGACAAGGAGGACTGGCTTGGTGAGGGAATGGGGGGAAGAGGAATGGATAGATATCCATTGCTTATCCATTCATCAGTTGATGGATTTTTGGCTGTTTCTACCTTTGGCTATTATAAATAATGTTACTGTGAACACTTATGTACTGTTGCTTAGTGTTCCAGGGTCTCAATGAATCACAGTTTATCTTTTGCTCTATTGAGGGAAACATAAGTTTCTCTTGTCCTCTTACTAACTAAAGTTTGCAATTGTAAGTATGTCCTCTTGCGCACATTTGGAAAAAGTTTATCTTGAGTAGCCACCTTTTAAAAATGAATGACAGTATTTTTTACTGTGGTAAAATACATATAACATTTGTCATTTTAAAGTGTATAATCCAGTGAAATTACATGCACTCATAACGTTGTGCAACAATCAGCAATATTTCAAGAGTATTTTCATCACCCCAAGGAAATCCTGTACCCATTAAGAAGTTACTCCCTATCTCTCGCTTCCCTCTGGTCCTAACAATCACTAATCTTTTTCTGTCTGCATAGATTTGCCTGTTTTGGAACATTTCACAGAAGTAGAACCATACACTATCTAGTCTTTTGTGTCTGGCTTTGTTCGCTTAGCATGTTTTCAGAGTTCATCCATATTGTAGCATGTTACTTCCAATGTGGTATTAGTAGCTGTGGTGGACTGAATGTTTGTGTCCCCCTAAAATTCATATGTTGAAATCCTAACCTCAATGTGATGGTATTAGGAGGTGGGACCTTTGGGAGGTGATTAGATTTTGATGAATTTAAGATGGTGGAGCCCCCGTGATGGGATTGGCACCCTTATAAGGAAAGAAAGGGACACCAGATCTTCCTCTCTCTATAAAGATACAACGTGAAGGAGGCGGTCTGCAAGTCAGAAAGAGAGCCCTCACCAGGAACTGAATGGCAGGCACCTTGATCTTGGAATTCCCAGCCTCCAGAACTATAGGAAATAAATGTCTGTTGTTTAAGACGCCTAGACTATGGTATTTTGTTGGAGCAACCAGAATTCACTAAGGCAGTAACTAATGAAGTATTTACACTTCATTTCTTCTTTTCCTTCTCTCTTTTTTTCCAATTAATAAACCTTATTTTTTAGAATAGTTTTAGGTTCATGGCAAAATTTATTAGAAAGTGCAGTGTTTCCACACACCTCCCTTCATTCCTTTGTGGCAGAATAACATTCCATTATATGGATATATTTTATTTTGTCCATTTATCAGTTGATTGACATTTGGGCTGTTTCTGCTTTTGGCTATCATGAATGATACTGCTATGGACATTCATGTACAAGTTTTTGTGTAGACATACATTTTTATTTTTATTGAATATATATCTAGGAACAGAATTGCTGGGTCATATGGTAATGCTATGTTTAACTTTTTGAGGAACAGCCGAACTGTTTTCCAAAGTGGTTGTACCATTTTGTATTCCCATCAGCGGTGTATGAAAATTCCCATTTTTCTGCACCCTTGCTAACACTTGTTATTTTCTGTTAAAAAATTACTATAGCAATCCTAGTGTGTGTGAAGTATCTCATTGTAATTTCGATTTGCATTTCCCTAATAGCTAATGATTCCAAGCATCTTTTCATGTGCTTATTGGCTATTTATGCTTTTATGAGAAAAAATCTATTCAAGTTATTTGTCCATTTTTTCTTTAATATTTTTATTCTTTGCAAATACTTTATAGCAATAAACATATAGAAGAAAGTCACCCACTGCCTTACTAACCCAATGCATAATAAATGTTTTTGTGTTTCCAAGTTTCTCGTCTATACACATATTTAAAATTCTATTTTAAAATCATGATAAAGTATATGTAACACAAAACTTACCATCTTGACTGTTTTTAAGTGTACAGTTCAGGGGAATTAAGTACATTCACACTGTTGTACAACCATCACCATTATTCATCTCCAGGTTTTTTTTCATCTTCCCAAACTGAAACTCTCTATCCATTAAAAACTGACTCCCCATTTCCCTCTCCCTGTAGCCCTTGACCATCACCATTCTACTTTGTGTCTCTATGAATCTGACTTCTTTAGATACCTCATATAAATGGAATGATACAATATTTGTCCTTTTGTGACTGGCTTATTTCACTTAGCATAATGTCTTCAAGGTTCATCCATGTTGGATCAGGTGTCAGATATTCCTTCATTTTTAAGGCTATATAGTGTACCACATTTTATTAGCTAACAATAGTTCTATAATTCTACAAATTTTAGATTCTCTTGGGATTTTTTGTGTAGACACATGTATCATCTGTGGATACTGACAGCATTGTTTCTTCCTATTTAAATCTCCAAGCCACTCATGGCTCCAGATTTCCTGTTCTCCTTTTCCCCATATACAGATGGCAAAGCCAAATTCTGCTAACTAACCACAGCTATGTTGTGTCTGGAGCCTTCCCCACAAACCCAACAGCTGCTCTCCTCAGTGGGAGAATCCTGTTGTAGTTGTGCTGCCATGGACAGGACCCTGCCTGGCCAGGCCCTCCCTAGGGAGAGCTAGCTTTCATCTTTGGCCCCCTCTCTGCTCTCTGCACCTCAAGTTCATGCCAAACCCTGTGGCTCGCTATTCCAGGGACACTTCCTGATTATTTCTACCTTTGCTCCTATGATCTCCCTGGCTGGAATAACCCCCATTCCACCTCCACCAGTTGAAATCCCAATGTTTCCATGGATTATGTTAAATAACATATTCTCTCTAAAGGTTTATTCAAGTTCCCTCTTGCCTCCTTAAATCTGGATGTGATCTCTCAGAAAATGGCATAATGGAAAGGAATAGAATTAGAGAAAGATTAGCTCAAATGCAATTCTATTATGGTTCTAACCCATAATAGCTCTGTGATCTGCCCAAGCTATGTGGCTTAGTTTCCTTATCTGTAGAATCAAACACTGATGCTTCCTGTAGAGGGTTTTCTTGAGGATGACTTGTATAACACAGTCAAAGGACCTGATACTAAGTAAGTGTGCAGTAAGTATTGGCTCTTCTCCTCCCAGTCTTCACACCAGCATAATCACTTGCACCTTCCTGAGGCACTTGCCCCACCCAGCTTTGCATCATGGACCCATGTGGGCTGGTGTGATCCTCATTCCAGGTGTGAGTGTTCTCTTTCTTCTGAAGGAAGAGAAAATAGGCCTCAGAGCCTGATGAAACTTGTTCTCATTATGGCACACAGTTACCAGCTGTGTGACCTTAGTTTACTCATCTGGCAATGGGAACTTTCATGAGGTTTAAACTACATAAAATATGTAAGAGATTTGCTCACTGCTTGGTACATAGTGTTTGGACTATACATATTTGTTTACCTGATTTGAAATAAATAAAATTCAATAACCTACTCTTTTCAGAGTCAAATCTGTGCTTTTATAAGCAGTACTGGACAAGGTGTCACATCATGCACCCTCTTATCTGGGCACTGCTGATGACCTCAGCAATGCAACAACATCTGTGGTGGAACTTGCCACATCTCCTAATTCCTGACTTAACCTCTGGCAACTGTAGAAAGTTAAGCAGTCATTAGAATGGTTGGCAAATTATCTTCCTTCCAATTAATCCTGCCAATCACCTTCTGAATGTGTATGCTCCACACCGTGTGGAACACACTGCTGAAATTTCCTGGTTGTGGGCCTCTCCCCACAATCATGCTTCCTACAGACACTGCTAGACGTTTTTAAAAGAAGGGTGATTGGGGCCAGAGGCTGGGCTTACAGAGTGAAATGGGCATTTGCTGTCAGGACATGGAAATATTTTGTCTTTCCTTGACAGCTATCATTTCCTGAATACCTTCCTCAAATCAAATCAAAGAAAAACACTCTGAAGGCTTGATACTTGTCTCCTAGAGATTGAGGCCACCAGGACTGAGACCTGGCTGATGTCTTTAAAAATTCCAAATAGAAAAAGTGGCTGGAGGGCAGCAGAGTGGAGAGAGTGAAGGTCTTGGACATCCAGGACCTTCCTTGGGCCAAAGCATGAACCAAAATTAGTCAGAATTACAAAAAGTGGAGAAATCCACATTTATAGTAGGAGATTTTTATCATACCAATATCAGGAACTAATAGAAAACAGATTAAAATTAGTAAAAGCTGAAATTTTGAATCACACAGTTTAAAGCTTTATCTAATACAGGATGACAAATTTTTTTCTGGAAAGGTCCAGATAGTAAATATTTTAGGCTCAGCGGGCTGCATATGGTCTCTGTCACAACCACTCAACTCTGCCATTGTAGCACAAAAGCAGCCACAGGCAACATGCAAATGAATGGATGAGGCTGTGTTCAAATAAAACTTGACAAAAGCAGGCTGCAGGCTGGTTTTGGCCCCAAGGCCATAATTTTCTTTTTTTTTTTTTTTCTTTTTTTTTTTTATTATACTTTAAGTTTTAGGGTACATATGCACATTGTGCAGGTTAGTTACATATGTATACATGTGCCATGCTGGTGCGCTGCACCCACTAACTCGTCATCTAGCATTAGGTATATCTCCCAATGCTATCCCTCCCCCCTCCCCCCACCCCACCACAGTCCCCAGAGTGTGATATTCCCCTTCCTGTGTCCATGTGGTCTCATTGTTCAGTTCCCACCTATGAGTGAGAATATGCGGTGTTTGGTTTTTTGTTCTTCCGATAGTTTACTGAGAATAATGATTTCCAATTTCATCCATGTCCCTACAAAGGACATGAACTCATCATTTTTTATGGCTGCATAGTATTCCATGGTGTATATGTGCCACATTTTCTTAATCCAGTCTATCATTGTTGGACATTTGGGTTGGTTCCAAGTCTTTGCTATTGTGAATAATGCCACAATAAACATACGTGTGCATGTGTCTTTATAGCAGCAAGATTTATAGTCCTTTGGGTATATACCCAGTAATGGGATGGCTGGGTCAAATGGTATTTCTAGTTCTAGATCCCTGAGGACTCGCCACACTGACTTCCACAATGGTTGAACTAGTTTACAGTCCCACCAACAGTGTAAAAGTGTTCCTATTTCTCCACATCCTCTCCAGCACCTGTTGTTTCCTGACTTTTTAATGATTGCCATTCTAACTGGTGTGAGATGGTATCTCACTGTGGTTTTGATTTGCATTTCTCTGATGGCCAGTGATAATGAGCATTTTTTCATGTGTTTTTTGGCTGCATAAATGTCTTCTTTTGAGAAGTGTCTGTTCATGTCCTTCGCCCACTTTTTGATGGGGTTGTTTGTTTTTTTCTTGTAAATTTGTTTGAGTTCATTGTAGATTCTGGATATTAGCCCTTTGTCAGATGAGTAGGTTGCGAAAATTTTCTCCCATTTTTTAGGTTGCCTGTCCACTCTGATGGTAGTTTCTTTTGCTGTGCAGAAGCTCTTTAGTTTAATTAGATCCCATTTGTCAATTTTGTCTTTTGTTGCCATTGCTGTTGGTGTTATGGACATGAAGTCCTTGCCCATGCCTATGTCCTTAGACTCCCACACATTAATAATGGGAGACTTTAACACCCCACTGTCAACATTAGACAGATCAATGAGACAGAAAGTCAACAAGGATACTCAGGAATTGAACTCAGCTCTGCACCAAGCAGACCTAATAGACATCTACAGAACTCTCCACCCCAAATCAACAGAATATACATTTTTTTCAGCACCACACCACACCTATTCCAAAATTGACCACAAAGTTGGAAGTAAAGCTCTCCTCAGCAAATGTAAAAGAACAGAAATTATAACGAATTATCTCTCAGACCACAGTGCAATCAAACTAGAACTCAGGATTAAGAATCTCACTCAAAACCACTCAACTACATGGAAACTCAACAACCTGATCCTGAATGACTACTGGATACATAACAAAATGAAGGCAGAAATAAAGATGTTCTTTGAAACCAACGAGAACAAAGACACAACATACCAGAATCTCTGGGACGCATTCAAAGCAGTGTGTAGAGGGAAATTTATAGCACTAAATGCCCACAAGAGAAAGCAGGAAAGATCCAAAATTGACACCCTAACATCACAATTAAAAGAACTAGAAAAGCAAGAGCAAACACATTCAAAAGCTAGCAGAAGGCAAGAAATAACTAAAATCAGAGCAGAACTGAAGGAAATAGAGACACAAAAAACCCTTCAAAAAATTAATGAATCTAGGAGCTGGTTTTTTGAAAGGATCAACAAAATTGATAGACCGCTAGCAAGACTAATAAAGAAAAAAGAGAGAAGAATCAAATAGACGCAATAAAAAATGATAAAGGGGATATCACCACCGATCCCACAGAAATACAAACTACCATCAGAGAATACTACAAACACCTCTACGCAAATAAACTAGAAAATCTAGAAGAAATGGATAAATTCCTTGACACATACACTCTCCCAAGACTAAACCAGGAAGAAGTTGAATCTCTGAATAGACCAATAACAGGAGCTGAAATTGTGGCAATAATCAATAGTTTACCAACCAAAAAGAGTCCAGGACCAGATGGATTCACAGCCGAATTCTATCAGAGGTACAAGGAGGAACTGGTACCATTCCTTCTGAAACTATTCCAATCAATAGAAAAAGAGGGAATCCTCCCTAACTCATTTTATGAGGCCAGCATCATTCTGATACCAAAGCCGGGCAGAGACACAACCAAAAAAGAGAATTTTAGACCAATATCCTTGATGAACATTGATGCAAAAATCCTCAATAAAATACTGGCAAACCGAATCCAGCAGCACATCAAAAAGCTTATCCACCATGATCAAGTGGGCTTCATCCCTGGGATGCAAGGCTGGTTCAATATACGCAAATTAATAAATGTAATCCAGCATATAAACAGAGCCAAAGACAAAAACCACATGATTATCTCAATAGATGCAGAAAAAGCCTTTGACAAAATTCAACAACTCTTCATGCTAAAAACTCTCAATAAATTAGGTATTGATGGGACGTATTTCAAAATAATAAGAGCTATCTATGACAAACCCACAGCCAATATCATACTGAATGGGCCAAGGCCATAATTTTCTAACCCTCTGACCTAATGGGTAGAGAGAAAGTTTTGTACCCAACAAATAAAAAATATACATTTTAATCAAATACCCATGGACCATTTAAAAAATTGACCATGTAAGAGGAGCAAAGAAAGCTTCATCAAATTTTAGAGTCAATAGCCTATCACCATTTCTCTAATCTCAGTATAATTAAATTAGAAATAAAAAGTATAAAACTATACTTTGTTTTTTGTTTGTTTTGTTTTGTTTTTGAGACAGGGTCTGTCTTTGTTGCCCAGGCTGAAGTGCAGTGGCACAATTATAGCTCACTGCAGCCTTGACCTCCTGGGTTTAAGCGATTCTCCCACCTCAGCCTCCTGACTAGCTGGTACTACAGGTGTGTGCCACCATGCCCTGCTGTATTTTTGTATTTTTGTAGAGATGGAGTTTTGCCATGTTGCCCACGCTGGTCGCAAACTCCTGGATTCAAGAGATCTGCCCACCTCAGCCTGCCAAAATGCTGGGATTTCAAGTGTTAGCCACCATGCCCAGCTAAAAATATACTCTGAAACACACCTCTAAACAGAGCTATCATACTATCTTATTTATTTGTTGTTTTATTTATTTTTAGTTGAGAAATAATAATTGTGCATATCCATGGGGTACACAGTGATGTTTCAATACATGTATTGTGATCAGATCAGGGTAATTAGCATATGCATCATCTCAAACATGTATTATTTCTTTGTGCTGGGAATGCTCAGTATCCTCCTTCTAGCTATTTGAAAGTGCATGTTATTGTCAACTGTAGTCATCCTACAGTAGTATAGAACACTAGAACTCACACATCAAGTGTAGTAGTAAAAGGTTTATGGAAATTTAAGTGCCTGTCAACAGAAGAATTGATAAAAAAGGAAAACTATGATATATGTGTCATACAACAGATTATAGCAGATAAAAATAACTGATAGAAATTTAAAAAATGAGAAAAGCAAGTTACAGAATTTTAAATATTTATATAATTCCTGGATACATGCAGATATGGTTTATGGATATTATGGAAGAGGATAATAATAAAGGCTTTTCATATTGATCCAATTGTGTGTTTGTGTCCCAAGCTGAAAACACCCATATGTGCTAAAGTGGTATGACAAATCATCCTCTCCAAGTCTGTGGCTTCTCTTTTTTTTTTTTTTTCTTTTTTGAGATGGAGTCTGGCTCTGTTGCTCAGGCTGGAGTACAGAGGTGCAACCTCTACCTCCTGGGTTCAAGCAGTTCTTCTGCCTCACCTAAGTAGCTGGGGTTACAGGCACATACCAGTACACCTGGCTAGTAGAGATGGGGTTTCACCATATTGGCCAGGCTGGTCTCAAACTCCTGACCTCAAGCGATCCACTGGCCTCGGCCTCCCAAAGTGCTGAGATTACAGATGTGAACTGCTGCACCTGGACTGTGGTTTATCTTAATGGTTCGTTTTATTTTAATAGTAACTTTTAGAAATAATAATTTAAAAACGTTATGTTGTTGAATTTATCAATATTTCTTTTTGTATGTGAGTGTCTTGATGAAGAAATCCTTCCCTGCTCTGAGTTCATGAAAATATTTTCCTGTGTATTCTATAGTATATTCTACATAGGAGAATATATATCCATATGTGTATATATAACAATACAGTATATATTTATAGACATGAGAATAGATATAACTTCATATATTAAATACATATAACTATGTAAAAAGGTATATTTAGGTCTTTAATCAAAGTAGAATTGATTTCTATTTTGATCATTTTAATGTATCTACAGTGTTTTAGTTTTACAAAATGTGTGTATATGTATATATTTATTTTTCTACAAGATTTCTAATTCCTTTTCATGGCCATCTTTAGTCTGTTATGATATCATTTTGTTTTCTTTTTTAATAAATGAAAGTTATTTTATTAGTTTCTTTGAGCATTTTAAATATATTTAAGTTTCTGTAAAATTTAATCTTTAAAAAAATTTATCTGGAATTTGTGTTTCCATTCCTGACTTTGTTCGCTGTTTTGTCAGTAGGTTTGTTATTTTGATTTACAGGCTAGTTTTCTTTAAATGAGGGTGTTTTGCCTTGTTTTTTGTTGTTGTTTGCCTCTTTATCCCCTTCTGTGCTTAATCTGACTTCCTTGTCCAGTAATTTTGCAATTTCTTCCAATTGGCATCCTGGAAATGCCAGTATAGAATAAGGCTTTGTGATGGAATCTTGATTCTCCTATTCCATAGTGATACGTGGAATAACACAGATTTAGTCACTAGTGGTTCAGTTTTTGGATTAGGACTGGTCTATGTCCTCCCTCCTATTTATTAAATAAATTAATATTTTTAATAAATAAATATTATTTATTTACGTTCTGGTGCCCAGGCTGGAGTGCAGTGGTGTGATCATGGCTTGCTGCAACCTCGAACTCCTGGGCTCAAGGGATCCTCCTGTCTCAGTCTCCCAAGTAGCTAAGACTACAGGTGCATGCCATTACATCTGGGTTTTTTTTTTTTTTTTGGTAGACATGAGATGTCATTACATTGCCCAGGCTGATCTCGAACTGCCAGCCTCAAGCTGTCTTCCTGTGTTGGCCTCCCAAAGTGTTGGGATTACAGGTGTGAGCCACTGTGCCCAGCCTTTTCTTTTATCTGTCATTGCTATGTGTTTGGAGGAGAGGGGTGTATCAAAGCATGAATTTTATGAATGTATGTAGCCAGTTTTCTTTGTTCTCTTATTTGACTGTTTCTTCTACCATACAGACATCCTCTCTCTTCTCTGAGACTCTTGATGATGGATATGAGAAATTTTTATTTTATCATTTTTATTTTTATTTTTCATTTTTCGTATTTTATTTTTATTTTTCATTTGTTCTTTCAATCTCCTTATCTCTTGTACCATGTCATTTTTTTTTTTACCGTCATGTTCCCAGTGCACCATGATTAGTATATAGTAGGAACACATCTCTGCATCTTGTTTGATCACATATTTGGTGAACAAATGAATTAATGAATAAACATTTATTGCATATATACTGTAAGCCAGACACTGTGCTAGACTTTGAGAATTCAGAGATGAGCAAGGCCAGGCATGGTGGCTCATGCATATAATCCCAGCACTTTGGGAAGCTGAGGCTGAAGGATCACTTGGGGCCAGGAGTTGGAGACCTGCCTGGGCAACATGGCAAGACCTTATCTCCACAAAAAAATAAAAAAAAAATTAGCTGGGCATGGTAGTGCATATCTGCAGTCCTAGTTACAGGGGATGCTGAGGTGGTAGGATTGCTTGAACCCAGGAGGTCAAGACTGCTATGAGCCACGATTGCACCACTGCACTCCAGCCTGAGTGACAGAGGAAGACCCTGTCTCTAAAAAAAAGAGAAGAGCCGGCCCCTGTTTTCACCCTTGTGAAACTGACAGTTCAGTAGGAGAGGTGTCATGCACATAGATAAGTGACTTCAAAAGCTAAGGGAGTATGGCGGAAGTTGGGACTAAGTAGAGAGGAGGTATAAAGGGGGCTTGCTCAGGTCCACTCTGGAGGGAGTGAGGCTATCAGAAAATGGTAGGAGATGATGCTTGGGCTGAGCCTTGACAAGTAAACAGTTACTAATGAGGTAGACAAAGTGGGAAGAGGCTTTCCTGAACCCCCAATTGAATACAGGTCCTATTTTCTTGTTATATATATATTACTAAGGTAAATATATATAATATATAATAATATAAATTACTTAAATAAGGTAAATGTTATATATATTTACCTTTAAAGATATGTGTGTGTGTGTGTGTGTGTGTGTGTGTGTGTGTGTATATATATATATGTATATATATATATATATATATATATATATATATTTTTTTTTTTTTTTTAAATTGAGATGGAGTCTTGCTCTGTCCCCCAGGCTGGAGTGGAATGGTGTGATCTCAGCTCACTGCAACCTGTGCCTCCCAGGTTCAAGCAATTCTGCCTCAGCCTCCCAAGTAGCTGGGATTACAGGTGCCCACCACAATGCCCAGCTAAGTTTAGTATTTTTAGTAGAGATGGAGTTTCACCATGTTGGCCAGGCTGGTCTTGAACTCCTGACCTCAGGTGATCCACCCACCTTGGCCTCCCAAAGTGCTGGGATTACAGATGTGAGCCACCATGCTCAGCCATTAATTTAAATATATATCAGTGATTACTTAAAGTCTGTCTCTCTTACTATATACTCCACAAGGTTAGGATCATCATCTTGTTTCACCATTGCATCTCCAGGGCTTGGCTTTTAGTAACTATGTAATAATATCTTTGAATGAATGAATGAATAACTTCTAGGCGAAAAAGTAACAGGCAGAAACATAAGTGGTAACAAATCTGGCAGGTTTGAGGAAGGCAAGCTGGTTACTAAGACTGTAGTGAATATAGGGAAGTAGGGTTGATGTAACTGCAAAAACCTTGTCAGAAACCATGCAATGTGAAAGATTGTATGGCCCTCTTGTTTAGGATTTGAGGTATACCCAGCTTATGCTGAAATTGGCTTTAAAGCAAATCATGTGACTCATGATTTTGAAAATAAGTAAGTTTCTGAGGAGGTTTTGTTATGAAATATTATATTTTAAATCTGCTTTTCTCTGTTATGTTGATTATATTCACTTACTAATTCTACAGATATGGATTGAGCATCTACTATGTGCCAGTCAGACACTGTGGGTGACCCTCATTCATAGGAACATGATTCAATGTGGGTGATATTCTTAGGAACATGAAACAGGAAGTGATCCTGCCCTAAAAGGGCCTACTCTCTAGTAGGTGGCAATATAAGTAAGAAAGCAACTACTTGCCAAAAAATATTGTTCAATATGGCCAAAGCTTCTAGATCCAAGTACCAGTTTTCAGGAAATGGAGAAGATGGAAGAACATAATACTCCACCATGGGGATTCCATCAGTAAAATGTAGACTGTGGGGAATTTATAGAATGAACAATTCCATTTCTTCAACAAATAAATTGCAAGGAAAAAAACTGATGGAGATGGAATCTGTAGAGTAAAAGAATCTCAGAGACATAGCAACCAACTGCAATGATGGAATTTATTTGGATTCCTGATTCAAACAAACATAGTGCTAAAAAACATGACATTTATGAGATATTTAGGAACGTGAACTTTGACAGAATATTTAATGATTAAGAAATTATTCCTGCCGGGCACAGTGGCTCACGCCTGTAATCCCAGCACTTTGGGAGGCTGAGGCAGGCGGATCACAAAGTCAGGAGTTCGAGACCAGCCTGGCCAATATGGTGAAACCCCATTTTTTCTAAAAATACAAAAATTAGCTGGCTGTGGTGACGGACACCTGTAGTCCCAGCTACTTGGGAGGCTGAGGCAGGAGAATCGCTTGAACGCAGGAGGCAGAGGTTGCAGTGAGCCGGGATCGCACCACTGCACTCTAGCCTGGCAACACAGCGAGACTGTCTCAAAAAAAAAAATTATTCCTAATTTTTTAGTTGTGATAATTATGTTAAAGAGTCCTTCTCTTTTTAACATACATAATGATATGTACACATGAAATAATGTGATGAAATGGTTTGATATTTGGGATTTGCTTTAAAATAATGTAGTGGGGAGGGATATGGATGGGCATCAAAATGAAGCGAGATTAGCCATGAATTCATAATTGTTGAATCTGAGTGATGGGTACATAGGAATTCATTACATTATTGTGTTTAGATGTTTGAGCTTTTCCATGATAAAAAATTACAAAAAGACAAATTACAAGATACTCTTTGAGTTCAGTAAGACTGGAGTAGTTATGGAAATACACAAAATGTTCATGTGACTCAGACCAGAAGGGACAGAAGACTTCCTAGAAGAGAAGTGTCTGAAGCTCTTCATGCCCAGTTCTTATGGACACCAGGTTTCTTCCTCCAGTGCTGGGAGACAATTACAATCTCATCCTCAGACATAGCTGCAACTTTCTCCAAAGCCCATGGCCACGTGTAGCCCTAGCATGCTTGGTGCTCTGTCTCTGGCTCACTCTTCTCCTATAGCCTCCCTTTAAACTCAAGATTACAGTATCAGGCCAAGGTATATTTGCCTCTTTGGCTTTGAGGCAGAGCAGGCACCTAGCAGCAGCCTCTTGGTTGGAAATAGACTGGCTTTGGGTTTTTAAAATTTATTTATTTAATTTTTTTAGAGATGGCGCCTCATGGTGTTGCCTAGGCTGGATTCAAACTCTTAGGGTCAAAGCATATTCCTGCCTCAGCTCCCCTAGTAGCTGTGTGTGCATGCATGCATACATGTGTGTGCATGTGTGTGTGTGTGTGTGTGTGTGTGTGTGTGTGTTTAAACAAGGAGATCCATAAGCCACTACTGTTAGCTGTACTAAACCTACAGAAACCAGACTCAGAGATGAACCTTAGAGATTATCCAGAACAACTCTCTAATTTTTAAGGGTGGGATAATTGAGACCTGGAAGCTTGTAACACTTTGCCCAAGTACCCTTACCTTCCTAGCAGTGGGACTTTGACAGAATGCAAGGGATTTGCTTTGTCTTGTTTTTCTCTCTGTTACATTTCTCTCTATGCCTCCCTCTCTAAAAAAACAGCTGCCTGATTTCATAATATGCATATTCTCATGTTACAGGCTCTGAGAATAGTTGTAATTCTATTTAACAGAACATTTCTTAAATTCGAGTACCCTCCCATGCCCACATTTTTGTTGAATACCTATTGTCCTTGAGAATTTGTGCTCTACAGCGAACACTTTGGGGGCTCCTAGTCTACACTTTATTAGTTTCTCATTCCTCCATTTATCTATCCCTGATCTCCATTGCTGTGAGAAGCAAAGAAGGAGTTGTAGCGGTTGGCAGTCGGGCCCCTTCCCCCAACAAGGAGCTCTTCTTTTATCTGCGTTTTTCATCTGCTCTTCCCTGCAGCAGAAGCTTTTCAGTGTGGACGTTTCTCAACTGGAATGGGAGCACATGGTTTGGGTAAATGTAATTAGCGTATTCCTAGGGAAATACAATGAGCTATGCAGAATCCAAGTGCTTTGCATGCTTAGAGAAACATCATAAAATATGTGCCCAGTACTTTTCTCCTTATTGAAGAAAAAAAAGCAGATGGGGATTATGGTAATTAAAATGTAGGATCATTAAAAAAAATAGGGATAATGGTCACACTTCCTGGTTTTGTGTTCCTTCAGTCCCAAGCATTTGAAATGCCTTTCATAGGTGTGAATAGCTATGAAGAAATCTGCTGATCAGAGGATCCCAAATAAGAAAAACTACACAAAAGCCCCATAGTTATAATCCCTATTAAGGACCTCAGGGAGGGAGGCAGCAGGAAGATGGCACTATTTGTACTGTCTGGGAGAGAGCAGGTACCGACCTGTGCCAGGGTCCTTGTGTGGGCTGCAACTTCTCCCAAAACACCAGCTCTCCAGGTGGAAGACAACCTATAAGGGGCACATCTGAGAGCTTTGTGACCTTGGCAAGTCATCTTAACTCCTTGGATTTAGATTTCTCCTTATAAACTTGAAATAAAGAATTTTAAAGATACTTTGTGGTTCTAACTTTTCTTGAATTGAGAAGGACATTGGAGACATAACAACTACATTTTATGTGTTGTGTCATATGGTTTTGTTTTGTGTCCCCACGCAGATCTCATCTTGATTTATAATCCCCAGGTGTTGATGGAGGAATCAAGGGCAAGGCGATTGGATCATGGGGGCAGTTTCCCCCAGGCTGTTCTTGAGATAGTGAGTGAGTTCTCACAAGATCTGATGGTTTTATAAGTGGTTGACATTTCCTCCTTCACATGCTGTCTCTCTCCTGCTGCCTTGTGAAGAAGGTGCCTGCTTACCCTTCGCCACGATTGTAAGTTTCCTGAGGCCTCCCCAGGCATGTGGAACTTTGTGTCAATTAAACCTCTTTCCTTTATAAATTACCCAATTTCAGGGAAGTTCTTTATAGCAGTGTGAAAATGGACTAATACAGTATGTTATCTCATTGTTTTCTCCCACAGCAACTTGGGATGATAAGGGCCCATCATCCACAATTTCCTGATGAGGACAGGAAGGTTCAGAGTCCTTAGCTGATTAGGATTAGGCAGCTATTAAGTGATCAAGTCTGAATTTGAACCCAGGTCTGTCTGAGTCACTACATTATACTTTTTTCACCTCAGGAAATAATGTTTCCCTGGGTCCTAAAGATTAGGAACATGGAAATGCCAGTGAATTTATTAAGCACCTACAGTTGCCGGCCCCTGTGCTATGAGGTGGAAATATGGTGGGAGCCCTGATGTAGCTAACAGCCCTGAGAGGTTTGAAGGTGCGATTGTTAAGGTTCTTCTTTGTGGCTAAAGAAGAAATACAAAAATACACTTTGATCTACCTTAAACTTATGCAGCCCTCTACAATTTCCAGGTTCTTCAGGTTCATTTTCTTATTGTGATCTTCACAATAAGTGAGAGAGGAAATATTATAGACAGTACTAGCCCCATTTCCCAGATAAGAAAACTGAGGCTTAGAAAAGTCGAAGCATGGCCGGGCACGGTGGCTCACGCCTGGCCTGTAATCCCAGCACTTTGGGAGGCCTAGGCAGGTGTATCACCTGAGGTCAGGAGTTCGAGACCAGCCTGACCAACATGGTGAAACCCCTTCTCTACTAAAAATACAAACATTACTTGGACATGGTGGCACATGCCTGTAATCCCAGCTACTCGGGAGGCTGAGGCAGGAGAATTGCTTGAAACCAGGGGGAGGAGGTTACGGTGAGCCAAGATCGTGCCATTGCACTCCAGCCTGGGTGACAGAGTGAGACTCCATCTTAAAAAAAAAAAAAAAGAAAAGAAAATTCATAGCAGAACATGAGCCTTCCTAGGCCATGTCCAGTGCTCTTCTATTACACAAGGCAGCCTTTTGCATTCAGTAGAAAATTGTAATTACTGTTGAATTCAGCCAGTAGTTTTTTTGTTTTTTTGTTTAGCTGTTTTTTTATGTGGTGCCAAGTAGCTTTGGTGGCAGTTTTCATTTTTCTTTGGCCTTTGTAGGCATAGAAAGATCTGCCTGAAACGTCCCTGGGCGGAGGCCCACTCTCACTGTTTGCAGACTTCTGGGCTGATGTCTTACAACACAGGCAGTAGTAGTGGCCCCAACTGTCACTGCCTCTTAGCAAGGCCACATTGTTTTGAATAGACATACCTCTAGCCCAGTTCAGCCTGCATCCACACATGGTGTCCAAAATGGTCCCAGCTAGGGCCATAATTTCTGGACCCTTCATTCAACCCACCACTCTTTTCCAGGACTGGGCACCATGCTTGAGGAGAGGCACACATAAGTGGAAATGAATTGGGATGCATCCCAGTGTCCATGCTGGCTGAGATGCAACTGAGGGGACTACAGAGGTTTTGAGAAAGAAACACATAGATGGATGAGGGAGGAGGCAGTGAAAATAAATATTGATTGAGTATTATGTGTCAGGCATTGTACTAGGGTCTGGAAATAGAGCAACATTCTTGCCCTCGTGGAGCAAATGCCAAATAATAGAAATAATAACTTAGTTTTTCCGAGAGCTTATCTCAGCCAGACATTGATCTGAGAGCCTCATATAAATAACCACATTTAATCTCCCCAAATCCCCTATGAAGTAGCTATTATTATCATACTCATTTTGGGGGTAACAAACACTGAGGCACAGAGGTAAAGAACTTGATCCAGATCTTCTTTTCCAGAGACAGGGTCTCCTCTGTCACCCAGGCTGGAATGCAGGGGCATGATCATAGCTCACCACAGCTTCAAACTCCTGGGTGCAAGTGATCCTTCCACCTCAGCCTCCTGAATAGCTAGGACTGCAGGTGCCCATACCACCATCGTCAGCTAGTTTTTTGTCTTGGCCAGGCTGATCTGAAACCCCCAGCCTCAAACGATCCTCCTGCCTCAGCCTCCCAAAGTGCTGGGATTACAGGCGTGAGTCCCCACACCTGACCTTGCTCCAGATACAATCAGCACAAGGCAGCTGGAGGCTGATCCTGTGCTTTCAGGCTGCAACATCTGTGTGCTGAGCCACCACCAAGCACACTGCCTTTCTAGAGTCTAAGGAAGCAGCTATAGTGTGTAAAATCTTCACACACGTAGTATGATCCTCACAATAGGTCTACAAGGTAGGTTTTAATGCCACCATTTTATAAGTGAGGAATCTGTGGCCGGGGGAGATGAAGGGATTTGCCCAGCAGGTTAGTGTCCCACAGCTTGACCTGCAGCCCACCACAGGACCCAGACAGCAGGATCTCCTTTGTGCTGTAATTTAAACACTCTCTGCAGTGATCACATATTGCTTTAATAACTATAAAACAGTATTAAGGCAAAGAAAATGGCTTTTCCTTTTGTTTTCTATGGTTACCTTTCAGCAGTGAGGGGTGCCTATATTTCAGAGATAGCATCCAGGATGCTTTGTGATCAGGTCATCTTGGAGAACAAGGTGCTCTTTCTTTCTTTCTTTTCTTTTTTTTTTTTGAGATGGAGTCTCACTCTTCTCACCCAGGCTGGAGTGCAGTGGCACGATCTCGGCTCACTGCAACCTCTGCCTCCTGGGTTCAAGCAATTCTCCTGCCTCAGCCTCCTGAGTAGCTGGGATTGCAGGCATGTGCCACCATGCCCAGGTTATTTTTGAATTTTTAGTGGAGACAGGGTTTTACCATTTTGGCCAGGCTGGTCTTGAACTCCTGACCTCAGGTGATCTGCCCACCTTGGCCTCCCAAAGTGCTGAGACTACAGGCATGTGCCACCACGCCTGGCCTTTCATTTCTTTACTTGCAATTTTATACTTGTGAATTATGTGATGTGGAGAACTCAGCAGTGAAATTTCTGGAGGCATCAAGAACTATCTCAGCATTTCTGGTCAGGGCCACTCACGGATGTCTTTCCTTCTGTGTGCCCTGTGGGGTGCGTGAATCTCAGATACAACACATTTTTCTTCTCAGTTATCCACATGTCTTAGGGCAGATTGCCCTACCTTGAAAACAACATTGGCTTGACCAATCATATCCTTTTTTCTCACTCCACATTTTGGTAATTAGCCCTGAACATTATGGGGTGGTGGCGGCAGGTTATAGATTTTGTAGCTTTTAGAGCTGGAGAAGGTGAGAGGTCATTTGGACCAACTCCCTTGCTTTACAAGACAAGGAAACTGGGGAAACTGAGGAATTGGAGGGGGCATGACTTGCTTATCCAGCAAGTAGTGGCTTTTTCCGCTATCTACACTTCTTAGCTCTCTTAGTCCAACTCCTTCTTTTAAGAGATAACTAAACAGATGTTAAAATGCATGTGACTTGGTCAAGGCCAATAAGTGGATAGTACAAATGAACTAGAAGCCAGGCCTTCTAGCTCCCACTTTCAGCAGCTGTGAAAGGGAAATGGGGAAGCACAAGTGAGGGAGTGGGGAGAGTGGCGGAGAAGGGAGAATGCCCCAGAGGTGCTTTAGTGAGGAGGCTTCACAGGGACAACTGGGGCTCAGCCCCAAGGGGACCAAGGAACTGTGTTAAATTGCCTCATCTGGAGTCACCATCCCACCCAAACTGCATGAACAGATATTTGTCCCAATAATGGGGAAACCATGTCCATAATCAGTGCTTTGGCCAGAAATAGCTCTCTCATTTCCTCATCTGGAGTTGGAGAAACTGGAGTATTTTTCCAGACTCTTGTTCCTCATTGGTTGAAGATGATTATTCCTGGCTGGTGCTTCTGGGCTGCCCTGTATGAGTGGAGCAAGCTTAGTGTCCTGGAGAAAGCCTGCAGGTGGAGAAGTAGAGGTGCAGGTAGAAAGCTGAAGTGTTCTGCAAACTATGTATTGCAGCTGCTTGTGGACTCAAAAGTGGCCCAAGGGTATGTGGGCTGGAGTCTCGTAGTGTCTGTTATGGAATGTGGTTCAGATTGGACCCAGGAGATAGCAGAAGCCTTCCCTCTCTGTGATGCACCAAATGCTCTGTTAAGTGCACCAAATGCTTAGTATGAGTCAATTATCTTGGGGAAACAGATGAAGGGACTGAAGTATGCATCTGGGGTGATGAGGGGCAAAACAGAGAAAGTTGCACAGACCCAAGAGCTGGATCATGAGAGCAAAAGCCTCAGGAATTGCCCAATCCTGAACAGAGCCTCATATACTTCCATAGGGTAGGTGACTAGGTCTCTAAGGGGCAACTCAGTACATACACAGCCCTTCTGTGCCCACTCCAGGCATTGGAATGAGATGTGTGGGAATAGGCGAGGTTTTCTCCCACCAGAATAAGGACTCTAGATGTAGTCTCATGGCCCAGGCCTGGCAGCAACTCCCCTCTCCTCTGCCCAGAGCCCACCTGCTCTTTGAGGTCTGTGAGCAGTTCCAGGCCTGGGCAAGCTCACTCACCATTTCCAGGTGTCAGCAGGGCACTTGAGGCTGCAGGTAACTTTCCAGCTGAGATGACCCTTCATGTCAAATGATTTTATGCCACACTGACAAACAGGTATTCATAGTGAAGTGCCTTAGGAAGGAGGCAATGAGAGCTATTTCTGGCTAAAGCACTGATTATGGACATGGTTTTCCCATTACTGTGACAAATATCTGCTCATGCAGTTTGGGTGTGATGGTGAGAGAATAAACTTGATTCTCTCTCTTTCTTTCTTTTTTTTTTTTTAAAATTAAAGTCAAGGAAAGGCTGCTAAGAGCCCAGAGGAGGAAGCTGGACAGAGGAACCCAGTCCCTTTGGGTTCGTTGTGTCCCTCAGCTACCAGGGCCAAAAACAGTGGCTGACACAGCTGGGCTGGTGAATACTTGGCCTCTCTGCTCTTGGCACAGTGGACAGGGACACAGATGCCATGCTGCCAGCTCTCCTGGTATTTTATCATCATTTCCTTCTCTGTCAGTATCAGTATCCAAACAACTGAACTACTATCCAGAGAAGCAGAGAGAGGCTCTGTATGCTAAACAAGACGGTGTGTTGGACTGGGAGGCAGGGGATCTGCCACTAACTGGCTCTCTGGGCCTTGGGGTCCTCATCTCCAAAGCCAGGGAGAAAGACTAGAGGGTATCTGTCTCCTTTTCCACATCAGGAGGTGATGGTGTCTCATTTTATTTTTATTTTTTCCCTGGGAAGGAAATCTGAGATTGAAGTTCTACTGTGAGCTAAGGTTTTCTCATTTACTTTAGCAGTTACTTTGGCCTCTCTGAGGTTGTTTTCTCATCTGTAAAGTGAGGATAATAAAGCCTGCTGTTTCTAGCTCAGGAGGGTTTTGAGGGAAAATCAGGTGAAACGATGATTATAAAAATGCTCTATAAACTATATAATGTTTTATTAATTCATCCATCCATTCATTCATATGATTAATGAGCATCTATGCACATGGTGGTTCCTGAGAACCAAACAACACATGTATAGATGCAGTCCCTGGCCTTGACGGGGTCTCAGTTTTATGTAAATGGAGACAAAAAGCACGTAGATTACTGTGACTCATACTAAAATAGCTATGAGAGCACAGAAGACCTGGCAGCTCTCAGGGGCAAGCTGACCCACACACCTAACAGGAGAGTGACACACATATCCAATCCACAGCCATTTACAGAATTTGTGCTCAGTATGTGTGTATCTGTCTCCTGGTTGAGGCCTGCACTTACCTGGCTCTTAATGTCACTGCCTTTTTTTCCCTCCTGTCTCCTGTTTCTTGATAAGTCTGTTTTTGGCAAGCCCTCCTTCCCAGGCCACAGGGACAGAGCAGGTGTGCTGTTCCTTCTTGGGCAAACATCCCACAGAGGGAGTGGGTCCAACTTCCCAGGCAGTACAGGCTGTTCTTAAGTGCACACAGCCTCAGGGACAAGTCAGCCAAGCTTAACATGCTTCTTTGCATATATATTGTTTATGAAGTCATAGCATGCCATGGAATAAAAGACCAGTGATCCTAACATTCCCTTTCTCCTCATGAAGTGCAAAACTCCCTTATATCTACTAAGTATATAAGGAGCTGGGCACTGGCCCAGCCTCATGGCCACCAGCACTTTTTTCCAGATGGCAGGAAGCAAGCCTGCAGGAGATCAGAGGAACTGTCTCTTTAAGAACCTTTGAGCTTGTGGGAAAGGGCATATCAGTAGTGACCAACAGTGAGACTGCCCACTGATGACTAGTCTGAGGGGTGATCACTGCCCAGAAGAGAGAAGCCTTCTAAGATGCCTTTCTTTCTCATCCTGGTCACTTCTGGAAGTGTTGCTGTATCTCTTCTACTCATCTTTTTCCCCCAAAGACCCCAGAAGTATTCCTGTGCCTTTTGTTTTTGTAGTAGAAACTCTCCGAACCTTCATGTTACTGCCTAACCAGGTAAACTGGGGCTCTCTATCTCATCTGCAAATGTTCTGATTGATACCCGTGGGAAGTGAAGTTCTTGCAGCTAAGAGGCTACTCTGTTTGCATGTAGACTTTCACTCCCACTAATCGAGTTATTTTTAACGCATTATTAGTTATTGCTTACCAAGAATTAGGTCTATTTGATCCTAAACTGTTTATTCCAATTGTAGTTATTGTTATCATGTAATTCAATATAATAGGTAAACTGATGAAATAAAGCTTATTTTCACAAAAACTAAGCAGCATTTTTTAAACCTTCAATAAAAATGAGGAGTTTATAAAAATTGATATCAAAGGTATAGGTGAAACAACTGGACACGATATAGTAAAAGTTGTACCTGTCACTTTTGTCACATCCCATTGGCCAGAACTTGTTTCCATGGCCATGTTTAGTTGCTTGCAGGCTGGAAAATGCCTAGGAGGCCACATGCCCAGCTCAAATCCAGGTTTCCATGACTTCAAGAAAGATTGGGAAAAGAGATACTGGGGACACGTAGCACTCTATATAAAGGTACTTTTTTCTATGATTCACTGATTTGATCAAAATTTTTTTTGACTAACTAATGGATTATTGGCCCAGATATCCTCAGATAAGAGGATTCTTACTGTATGGCTACTTTCCCTGAACTCTCATCATACTCTTCACTGGTTTAAGTCCTATTCCGCCATTGTTCATTCATTGGCATTTTAATCATTTATTTATTCCACAGATATTTATTGTTGTACGAGGCACTGGACACTGAGGAAACAGGAACAGGCAAGGAAGACAGGTCTAAGGTATTTTGTTAGAGCAGTACAAGAGGTCTAAGACATCATCTATAAAATAAGAGGGTTAGATTTAATAACTGCAATGCTTGTCACTATACCATAATTCAAAATGCTTACACTCCTATTACCAGCTTCCTAGGGCAGAATTTGCTGGGTTTTGAGTCATGGGACGTTGCAGCCATGGTCACTGCTAAAGACTGGAAGTAAGAGAGGCCAGTGGCTTCAGAGGTGGTCTGGTCTGAGATCTGTGCCTTAGGGGAAGGGAGCCCTGAGTAACTACACCAATCAAATCCTTTCTGTCAAGGAATTTGAAGGCACTCAGTGAGACACAGAGGACAGAGAAGCTCAGAGTTAGGCAGAGAAGCCAGTGACAGAGCCATGAGGCTTATACAGGAGTGAGGGAACAAGGAGTTGCTGGGAGAAATAAAAACTGAGGAATGAGGGGTGCTGTTGGATCATTAGAAGAGTTGTGGTATCCAGAGTGACTACGGCTGGGATGGGTCCCTTTGCTTCCTTATTTCCCACATGACAGTTTAGGTAATGTATGAGCTCTTGGCAATTTATTTAATATCTTCATAGTGCTAGGCACTATTCTAGGCATTTTATAATTTGTATATAGGCACTATCTTTTATTTTATTATTTTATACTTTAAGTTCTAGGATACATGTGCAGATGTGCAAGTTTGTTACATAGGTATACATATGCCATGGTGGTTTGCTGCACCTGTCATCTACATTAGGTATTTCTCCTAATGCTATCCCTCCCTTTCCCCTGCACCCCCCAACAGGCCTGGTGTGTGATGTTCCCCTCCCTGTGTCCATGCGTCCTCATTGTTCAACTCCCACTTATGAGTGAGAACATGTGGTGTTTGGTTTTCTATTCCTGTGTTAGTTTGCTGAGAATGATGGTTTCCAACTTCATCCGTGTTCCTGCAAAGGACATGAACTCATTCTTTTTTATGGCTGCATAGTATTCCATGGTGTATATGTGCCACATTTTCTTAATCCAGTCTGTCATTGATGGGCATTTGAGTTGGTTCCAAGTCTTTGCTATTGTAAATAGTGCTGCAATAAACATACGTGTGCATGGGTCTTCATAGTAGAATGATTTATAATCCTTTGGTTATATACCCAGTAATGGGATTGCTGGGTCAAATGGTATTTCTGGTTCTAGATCCTTGAGGAATCACGACACTGTCTTCCACAATGGTTGAACGATTTTACACTCCCACCAATGGTGTAAAAGCATTCCTATTTTTCCACATCCTCTCTAGCATCTGTTGTTTCTGACTTTTTAATGATTGCCATTCTAACTGGCATGAGATGGTATCTCATTGTGGTTTTGATTTGCATTTCTTTAATGACCCGTGATGATGAGCTTTTTGTCATATGTTTGTTGGCCTCATAAATGGCTTCTTTTGAGAAGTGTCTGTTCATATCCTTCACCCACTTTTGATGGGGTTGTTTTTTTCTTGTAAATTTGTTTAAGTTCCTTGTAGATTCTGGATATTAGGCCTTTGTCACATGGACAGATTGCACAAATTTTCTCCCATTCTGTAGGTTGCCTGTTCACTCTGATGATAGTTTCTTTTGCTGTACAGAAGCTCTGTAGTTTTACTAGATCCCATTTGTTGATTTTGGCTTTTGTTGCCATTGCTTTTGGTATTTTAGTCATGAAGTCTTTGCCCATCCCTATGTCCTGAATAGTACTGCTTAGGTTTTCTTCTAGGTTTTTATGGTTTTAGGTCTTACATTTAAGTCTTTAATCCATCTTGAGTTAATTTTTGTAGATGGCATAAGGAAGGGGTCCAGTTTCAGTTTTCTCCACATGGCCAGCCAGTTTTCCCAACACCATTTATTAAATAGGGAATCCTTTCCCCATTGCTTGTTTTTGTTAGGTTTGTCAAAGATCAGACAGTTGTAGATGTGTGGTGTTATTTCTGAGGCCTCTGTTCTGTTCCATTGGTCTATATCTCTGTTTTGGTATCAGTACCATGCTGTTTTGGTTACTGTAGCCATGCTTATGGTTTGAATTCAGCCTCCAGCTTTGTTCTTTTTCCTTAGGATTGTCTTGGCTATATGAGCTCTTTTTTTGGTTCCATATGAACTTTAAAGTAGTTTTTCTAATTCTGTGAAGAAAGTCAATGGTAGCTTGATGGGGATAGCATTGAAACTGTAAATTACTTTTGGCGGTATGGCCATTTTCACAATATTGATTCCTCCTATCCATGAGCATGGAATGTTTTTCCATTTGTGTCCTCTCTTACTTCCTTGAGCAGTGGTTTGTGGTTCTCCTTGAAGAGGTCCTTCACATCCCTTGTATGTTGGATTCCTAGGTATTTTATTCTCTTTGTAGCAATTGTGAATGGGAGTTCACTCATGATTTGGCTCTCTGTTTGTCTATTATTGGTGTATAGGAGTGCTTGTGATTTTTGCACATTGATTTTGTATCCTGAGACTTTGCTGAAGTTGCTTATCAGCTTAAGGAGATTTAGAGCTGAGACGATGGGGTTTTCTAAATATACAATCATGTCATCTGCAAAAAGAGGCAATTTGACTTCCTCTTTTCCTAATTGAGTACGCTTTATTTCTTTCTCTTACCTGATTGCCCTGGCCAGAACTTCCAATACTATGTTGAATAGGAGTGGTGAGAGGGTATCTTTGTCTTGTGCTGGTTTTTAAAGGGAATGCTTCCAGTTTTTGCCCATTCAGTATGATACTGGCTGTGAGTTTGTCATAAATAGCTCTTATTATTCTGAGATGTGTTCCATCAATAGTTTATTGAGAGTTTTTAGAATGAAGGGGTGTTGAATTTTGTTGAAGGCCTTTTCTGCATCTGTTGAGATAATCATGTGGTTTTGGTCATTGGTTCTGTTTACGTAATGGATTATGTTTATTGATTTGCATATGTTGAACCAGCCTTGCATCCTAGGTATGAAGCCAACTTGATCATGGTGGATAAGCTTTTTGCTGTGTTGCTGGATTTGGTTTGCCAGTATTTTATTGAGGATTTTTGCATCGATGTTCATCAGGGATATTGGCCTGAAATTTTCTTTTTTTTTGTTATGTCTCTACCAGATTTTGGTATCAGGATGATGCTGACCTCATAAAATGAGTTAGGGAGTATTCCCTCTTTTTCAATTGTTTGGAATAGTTTCAGAAGGAATAGTACCAGCTCCTCTTTGTACCTCCGGTAGAATTCAGCTGTGAATCCAGCTGGTCCTGGACTTTGGTTGGTTGGCAGGCTAATAATTACTGCCTCAATTTCAGAACTTGTTATTGGTCTATTCAGGGATTTGACTTCTTCCTTGTTTAGTTTTGGGAGGGTGTATGTGTCCAGGAATTCATCCATTTCTTCTAGATTTTCTAGTTTATTTGCATAGAGGTGTTTATAGTATTATCTGATGGTAGTTTGTATTTCTGTGGGATCAGTGGTGATATCCCCTTTATCAATTTTTATTGTGTCTATTTGATTCTTCTCTCTTTTCTTCTTTATTAGTCTGGCTAGTGGTCTATATATTTTGTTGATCTTTTCAAAAAAACCAGTTCCTGGACTCATTGATTTTTTGAAGGGTTTTTCATGTCTCTATCTCCTTCAGTTCTCCTCTGATCTTAGTTATTTCTTGTCTTCTGCTAGCTTTTGAATTTGTTTGCTGTTGCTTCTCTAGTTGTTTTAATTTTGATGTTAGGGTGTCAATCTTAGATCTTTCCTTTCTCTTGTGGGCATTTAGTGCTATAGATTTCCCTCTACATACTACTTTAGCTGCGTCCCAGAGATTCTGGTACATTGCGTCTTTGTTCTCATTGGTATCAAAGAACATCTTTATTTCTGCCTTAATTTCATTATTTACCCAGTAGTCATTCAGTAGCAGATTGTTCAGTTTCCATGTAGTTGTGTGGTTTTGAGTGAGTTTCTTAATCCTGAGTTCTAATTTGATTGCACTGTGGTCTGAGAGACTGTTTGTTATAATTTCCGTTCTTTTGCATTTGCCGAGGAGTGTTTTACTTCCAATTATGTGGTCAATTTTAGAATAAGTGTGATGAGATGCTGAGAAGAATGCATATTCTGTTGATTTGGGGTGGAGAGTTCTGCAGATATATATGTCCACTTGGTCCAGAGCTGAGTTCAAGTCGTGAATATCCTTGTTAATTTTCTGTCTCATTGATCTGTCTAATATTGACAGTGTGGTGTTAAAATCTCCCATTATTACTGTGTGGGAGTCTAAGTCTCCTTGTAGGTCTCTAAGAACTTGCTTTATGAATCTGGGTGATCCTATATTGGATGCATATATATTTAGGATAGTTAGCTCTTCTGGTTGCATTGATCTCTTTATCATTATGTAATGCCCTTCTCTGTCTTTTTTGATCTTTGTTGGTTTAAAGTCTGTTTTATCAGAGACTAGGATTGCAATCCTTCCTTTTTTGCTTTTCATTTGCTTGGTAAATATTCCTCCATCCCTTTATTTTGAGCCTATGTGCATCTTTGCATGTGAGATGGGTCTTCTGAATACAGCACACCAATGGATCTTGACTCTTTATCCAATTTGCCAGTCTGTGTGTTTTAATTGGGGCATTTAGCCCATTTACATTTAAGGTTAATATTGTTATGTGTGAATTTGATCCTGTTATTATGATGCTAGCTGGTTATTTTGCCTGTTAGTTGATGCAGTTTCTTCATAGAATTGATGTTCTCTACAATTTGGTATGTTTTTGCAGTGGCTGGTACCAGTTGTTGCTTCCTTCAGGAGCTCTTGTAAGGCAACAATAAGCATGTAAAAAAATGCTCAACATCAGTGATCATTAGGGAAATGCAACTCAAAACTACAATGTGATACCGTCTCATGCCAGTCAGAATGGCTATTACCAAAAAGTCAAAAAGTAATAGATGCTGGTGAGGTTGCAGAGAAAAGGGAGCACTTATACACTGCTAATGGGAATGTAAATTAATTCAGCCACTGTGGAAAGCAGTCTGGAGATTTCTCAAAGAACTTAAAATAGAACTACCATTTGACCCAGGAATCCCATTATTGGGCATGTACCAAAAGGAATAGAAAGCACTCTATCATAATGATACATGCGTGTGTATGTTCATTGCTGCACTGTTCACTGTAGTAAAAATGTGAAATTAACCTAGATGCCCATCAATAGTAGACAGGATAAAGAAAATATGGTACATATATACCCTGGAATACTACATCGTCATAAAAAAGAACAAGATTATGTCCTTTGCAGTAACATGGATGGAGCTGGAAGACATTATCTTAAGTCAATTAATGCAGGAACAGAAAACCAAACACTGCATGTTCTCATTTATAGGTGGGAGCTAAACATTGAATACAGATGGACACAAGGGAACAATAGACACCAGGGCCTAATCGAAGGTGGAGGTTGGGAGGAGACTGAGAATTGAAAAACTACCTATCGAGTACTATGCTTAT
Organism: Homo sapiens; assembly: GCF_000001405.40. NCBI lineage: Eukaryota > Metazoa > Chordata > Mammalia > Primates > Hominidae > Homo > Homo sapiens. The sequence continues at coordinate 83,417,834 of NC_000011.10, forward strand.
TAACTGAATGACAAAATTATCTGTATACGAAACCCCCACGACATTCAATTTAGCCATGTAACAAACCTACAGATGTACCCCTTGAACCAAAAATAGAAGTTGGAAAGAAAAAAATAAAATAAAATTTGTGATCTTAAATAATCTATAGCCAGGCTTTACCGATAAGAATCCTGTACAGCTTGGGTGAGGGAGTGTTCTTTTGGGATGAGGTCATGGCAAAAGGACTCAGGACCAACTTGAAGAGGCTTCCATCTGACAAAGATGTGAGGATTTAATCATCAAGAAGAATAATGTCTACAATTGGTTAGAATATATCATTTATGTTTAAAGCCATAATTATGATACTTTAGAAACATTTTTAGTTATTTATGAAGGATGCTCTTTCTTCCACATATTTTACCTAAAGGTAACAGAAAATTGATAGGACATCTGTTTTTATAGAAGTATCCACTTAATAAACGAAGAAATGATACAATCAGAAATCACCATTTTGCAGCTTCAAATGATATAATAGATCTAGTCAATGATCATCAATGTTACAAAGAGAAAGATAAGCAAGACAAAATGTTCTTTCAAAGGACCTACAGAACTTCGCTATAACCAATGTAACCCTTTAACACATAGTACTTAAGTGCCGCCAAGTTTCAAGTCTTGAATGGGAGAATACGGTTTTAAACATTTAAACACATGGATGGACCATCACCTACTTTGACTGAGTTGTCAATTTTTTGAAAAAGGAGCACTCCTTGAGATGAAATCACTTCCCTGTAACGTGTAACTGTACAATTCAAATATATCTCCTGTACTCTGAAGGCCCAGTTATTTGGGTGCACAGAAATCTCAATGTGCTTCCTTTATGTGCTTCACAGGTAACAACCCATGCCTACCCATTGGGTAACCACCTGGTGTCCAGAGCCATTTGGATGACAATTTCTTGCTCTCATTGACTCTTCCCCTAGGCACATAAACTCAGCCTTAAATGATAGAAATAAACGGGTTGAGAAAGATGCTTTAAAATACCCACAAACATCAGCTCTTCCTCCTGCAAGTCTTAGTTGGGGCAGCAGCAGAATTATGGCATCTAGACTTTCTGTAAACCCAAGAGTAATGAAACAATAGCAGTTTATTACTTATAGTCATGAGGTATACTCAGAGCCACAGATGGGAAGTAACCAGGCCCTTGGTGAAAAATAAAATCAGGCTTTTCCAGAGGAAAAAACCCTAGAAAAACACATTGCACATGTCCTCTCTCATTATTGATATAATGAAGTTTATCAGTTCCCTTCAATTAATGATGTAGGTGTCCGGCATCTGAGTCCAAGCTAAGCCATCCTATCCCCTGTGACCTGCACGTACACATCCAGATGGCCAGTTCCTGCTTTAACTGATGACATTCCACCACAAAAGAAGTGAAAATGGCCTGCTCCTGCCTTAACTGATGTCATTATCTTGTGAAATTCCTTCTCCTGGCTCATCCTGGCTCAAAAGCTCCCCTACTGAGCACCTTGTGACCCCCACACCTGCCCGCCAGAGAACAACCCCCCTTTGACTGTAATTTTCCTTTACCTACCCAAATCTTATAAAATGGCCCCACCCCTGTCTCCCTTCGCTGACTCTTTTCAGACTCAGCCCGCCTGCACCCAGGTGAAATAAACAAGCCTTGTTGCTCACACAAAGCCTGTTTGGTGGTCTCTTCACACAGACACGAGTGAAATTTGGTGCCATGACTCAGATCGGGGGACTTCCCTTGGGAGATCAATCCCCTGTCCTCCTGCTCTTTGCTGCGTGAGAAAGATCCACCTATGACCTCGGGTCCTCAGACCAACCAACCCAAGGAACATCTCACCAATTTTAAATCGGGTAAGCGGCCTCTTTTTACTCTCTTCTCCAACATCTCTCACTATCCCTCAACCTCTTTCTCCTTTCAATCTTGGCACCATCTTTCAATCTCTCCCTTCTCTTAATTTAAGTTCCTTTCCTTTTCTGGTAGAGACAGAGGAGATGTGTTTTATCCGTCAACCCAAAACTCTGGCGCCGGTCACGGACTCGGGAAGACAGTCTTTCCTTGGTGTTTAATCACTGTGGGGACACCTGCTTGATTATTCATCCACGTTTCAGAGGTGTCTGATCACCATGGGGATGCCTGCCTTGATCCTTCACCCTTAGTGGCAAGCATGGCTATTTTGGGGGGCAAGCCCCCCCAACCCTTGTCTCCATGTCTCTGCCCTCTCTTTTCTCTCCACTTTCCTGGGGGGCAAGCACCCCCTACCCCTTCTCTCCATATACCTACCCCTTCTCCACTTTCCTGGGGGCAAGCACCCCCCACCCCTTCTCTCCATGTCTCTACCCTCTCTTTTCTCTCCACTTTCCTGCGGGGCAAGCACCCCCCCCCACCCCTTCTCTCTGTGTCTCTACCCTCTCTTTTCTCTCCACTTTCCTGGGGGCAAGCATCCCCCACCCCCTTCTCTCCATGTCTCTACCCTCTCTTTTCTCTGGGCTTGCTTCCTTCACTATAGGCAACCTTTCACCCTCCACTCCTCCTCCTTCTCCCTTAGCCTGTGTTCTCAAGAACTTAAAACTGCTTCTAAATCACAGCTGACCTAAAACCTAAACACCTTATTTTCTTCTGCAATGCCGCTTAACCCCAATACAAACTCGACAATGGTTCCAAATAGCCAGAAAACGACACTTTCAAATTTTCCATCCTATAAGATCTAGATAATTCTTGCCATAAAATGGGAAAATGGTCTGAGGTGCCTGATGTCCAGGCATTCTTTTACACAGCCGTCCCTCTCCAGTCAATGTTCCCAATGCAACTTGTCCCAAATCTTCCTTCTTTCCCTCCTGCCTGTCCCCTCAGGCCCAAACCCAAGTATTGCTGAGTCTTTCCAATCTTCCTTTTTTACAGACCCATCTGACCTCTCCCCTCCTCCCCAGGCTGCTCCTCCCCAGGCCAAGCCAGGTCCCAATTCTTCCTCAGCCTCTGCACCCCAACCCTATAATCCTTTTATTACCTCCCCTCCTCACACCTGGTCTGGCTTATAGTTTCATTCCACTACTAGCCCTCCCCTACCTGCCCAGCAATTTCCTTTTAAAAAGGTGGCTGGAGCTAAAGGCATAGTCAAGGTTAATGCTCCTTTTTCTTTATCTGACCTCTCCCAAATCAGTTAGCATTTAGGCTCTTTTTCATCAAATATAAAAACCCAGCCCAGTTCATGGCTTATTTGGCAGCAACCCTGAGATGCTTTACAGCCCTAGACCCTGAAAGGTCAGAAGGCCGTCTTATTCTGAATATGCATTTTATTTTATTACCCAATCCACACCGAATATCAAATAAAGCTCCAAAAATTAAATTCTGGCCCTTAAACTCCACAACAGAACTTAATTAACCTCACCTTCAAGGTGTACAATAATAGAGAAAAGTTATAATTACTTGCGTTTACTGTGAGACAAAACCCAGCCGCACCTCCAGCACACAAGAACTTCAAAATGCCTAAGTCGCATGTGCCTAAGCCGCAGCAGTCAAGCATTCCTGCAGGACCTTCTCCATCAGGATCTTGCTTCAAGTGCCAGAAATCTGGCCACTGGGCCAAGGAATGCCCACAGCCCAGGATTCCTCCTAAGCCATGTCCCATCTGTATAGGACCCCACTGAAAATCAGACTGTCCAACTCACCCGGCAGCCGCTCCCAGAGCCCCTGGAACTCTGGCCCAAGGCTCTCTGATTCCTTCCCAGATCTTGGCTTAGTGGCTGAAGACTGATGCTCCCCGATCACCTCAGAAGCTTCCTGGACCATCACAGACACTTTGGGTAACTCTTACAGTGGAGGGTAAGTCCATCCCCTTCTTAATCATTACAGAGGCTACCCACTCCACATTACCTTCTTTTCAAGGGCCTGTTTCCCTTGCCTCCATAACTGTTGTGGGTATTGACAACCAGGCTTCTAAGCCTCTTAAAACTCCCCAACTCTGGTGCCAGTTTGGACAATATTCTTTTATGCACTCCTTTTTAGTTATCCCTGCCTGCCCAGTTCCCTTATTAGGCCGAGACATTTTAACTAAATTATCTGCTTCCTATGCTACAGCCACACCTCATTGCCACCCTTTTCTCCAGTTCAAAGCCTCCTTCACATCCTGCTCTTGTATCTCCCCATTTTAATCCACAACTATAGGATACCTCTACTCCCTCCTTGGTGACCGATCATGCACCCCTTACCATCCCATTAAAACCTAATCACCCTTACCCCACTTAAGGCCAATATCCCATCCCACAGCACACTTTAAAAGGATTAAAGCCTGTTATCACTTGCCTGTTACAACATGGCCTTTTAAAGCCTATAAACTCTCCTTACAATTCCCCCGTTTTACCTGTCCTAAAACCAGACAAGCCTTACAGATTAATTCAGGATCTGCACCTTATCAACCAAATTGTGTTGCCTATCCACCCCATGGTGCCAAACCCATATACTCTCCTATTCTCAATACCTCCCTCCACAACCCGTTCTGTTCTAGATAAACCTAGCTGACCCCATAAATCCTAAATCCTTTCCCCACTCCCCTTTCCATTCCTTAAAAAACAGCCCTAAAAGCTGCTCCCACACTAGCTCTCCCTAACTCATCCCAACCCTTTTCATTACACACAGCTGAAGTGCAGGGCTGTGCGGTCAGAATGCTTACACAAGAGCTGGGACTGCACCCTGTAGCCTTTTTATCCAAACAACTTGACCTTACTGTTTTAGTCTAGCCCTCATGTCTGCATGCAGCTGCTGCCACTGCCTTAATACTTTTAGAGGCCCTCAAAATCACAAACTATGCTCAACTCACTCTCTACAGTTCTCATAACTTACATAATCTATTTTCTTCCTCACACCTGATACATATACTTTCTGCCCCCTTCCACTACCTCTCAGCAAGCCGAACTCATTGCCTTAACTTGAGCCCTCACTCTTCCAAAAGGACTGCACGTCAATATTTATACTGACTCTAAATATGCCTTCCATATCCTGCACCACCATGCTGTTATATGGGCAAGAAGAGGTTTCCTCACTATGCAAGGGTCCTCCATTATTAATTCCTCTTTAATAAAAACTCTTCTCAAGGCCGGTTTACTTCCAAAGGAAGCTGGAGTCATTCACTGCAAGGGCCGTCAAAAGGCATCAGATCCCATTGCTCAGGGCAACGCATAGGCTGATAAGGTAGCTAAAAAAGCAGCTAGTGTTCCAACTTCTGTCCACCCCCAAAATTTTTGCTGCCCCAACACTTCAATACTATTTTATGTGATTTTTCTTATTAATATAAGAAGACAGGAATGTCAGGGCTCTGAGACCAAGCTAAGCCATCATATACCCTGTGACCTGCTTGTATACATCCAGATGGCCCAAAGTAACTGAAGAATCACAGAAGAAGTGGAAATGGCCTGTTCCTGCCTTAACTGATGACATTACCTTGTGAAATTCCTTCACCTGGGTCATCCTGGCTCAAAAGCTCCCCCACTGAGCACCTTGTGACCCCCACCCCTGCCAGTCAAAGAACAACCCCCTTTGAGTGTAATTTTCCACTACCTACCTAAATCCTATAAAACGGCCCAACCCCTATATCCCTTTGCTGGCTATATCCCTTCACTGGCTCTCTTTTTGGACTCAGCCTGCCTAGACCCAGGTGATTAAAAAGCTTTATTGCTCACACAAAGCCTGTTTGGTGGTCTCTTCACACGGTCGTGTGTGAAAATCATTTTTTAATTTAATCTACACAATGAATTCTATGACTCAAGTGCTATTATTATTTAAACTGCCTTTACAAAAATCATAATTGAGGAAATTATGACAGTGGAAATTATGACAACCCCATCTTCCTTCTAACCTCTAAACTGTCTTTGTCCATTCCTGGGCATAGGCCTTGGGAAAGAATTTAGTTTATAGTTTAAATTCTGAAACAAAATATTGCTAATAGTCTTTTCCCAAAAAAAACCCCTTCTTGCCTGAGGACCAGTCTGTCTTTGTCAGACTAACAAATCAGCCACAAAATTAGAGATTGTGGTTCAGGGGCCATGCAGCCTCTGGCTGTAGGAGTCTGAATCTCCCCAAATTGCTCCTGGGAATAACATCACTGTTGCAAAACTTAAGATAGGTGCTTGAGATATTTTGCAATCCCGCAGCAGATAACACCACTCAGGCCAATAATCTGGCTCAACCAATTTGGCGATCCCACCCAGGAACAGAAGTCATCAAGAATAACTCACTTCGACCCCCCTATGATTTCATCTTTAAACCGACCAATCAGCACTCCCACTTTTCTAGGCCTTACCTGCCAACTTATCCTTAAAAACTGATCCCTGAATGCTCTGGGAGGCTGATTTGAGTAATAATAAAACTGGTTTCCCACACAGACTTCTCTGCATGAATTACTTTTGCCATTGCAATTCCCTTCTTAATAAATAGGCTCTGGGTAGGCAGCAGGAAAGGTGAACCCAATGGGCAGTTACATTATATTTTATAAATGAAGAACCTGAGGTTTAGAAAGATTAAGTAATTTAGCATAGGTAGTACATGTAATAAATGCTGGAGTTGAAATACAAACACAGAGAAATTCCAAAGCTGATATTCTTTACCATGACACTAATATAAGGCAGAAGTTTTAAGAGTGGTTGAAAAATGCTCACAGTCAACTTGGAAGAAAGACAGGTAGGAGTGATACATATACATGGAGATTGAGGAGAGGCTGGAAAGAAGACAACTGGCAAAGAATGTCACATTGGCAAAGGCAGGGAGGTAGGCGTTTACATAGAGATTTAGGCATAATGGGTTGAAACTATTTATAGAGTTTAGGGTGATAATAATGAAAAGCTAAGAACCAAAACTGTGGAGATTATCAGGTTGTTTCTCATTTAGTTGAAAGTGCAGGGGGAGGGAAAGAATTATCAAGCTTAGTCAGAAAAACATCTCTTAACCACGAAATGCAAAGACTTGAAAAACAAACCCTAAACTACAAATGTCAGAGAGTACTTCACTCTGAGATTTGAATCCAAATGCCATTAAAAGTTTATTACTTCCTGAAGAAATGCAGTCATTGAGATGTTGATGGGTGAACTTTTACTTAAAAAGGTTATTCTGAAATGCTGTGGTTCTTAATGGAGTTTTTTTTTTAAACCATGCTTTCTGATAGGAAACTTAGCAACCAGGGACTTTGCTCACCCTATACCCTTGAGACACTACTGTCCTCCAAATGTTGTAGGACTTTCTGCTTTCTCCTTAGTTCAGCTAAAAATGGGGTTCTTGTCACATGACCAGGAAGGATGAAGCTCATGAATACATAGAAGTGTGCAAAAAATGGAATTTATTGGGTGAAAAGGAAAAAAAACAAAACTAATCTCACAGATTGGATTCCCAGGTGACCACCCAAGAACAGAAGAGGCCAGGCTCCTCCCCACTGCAAATGGTGTGAACTTCCTGAGGCTCCACCCCAGTTTGCACTCCTCCCAGTGCAGGTTGGTCAGAGGTTCTCTGGGGACCTCTTTTTACTTGGCTCTCTCACAAACTTCCTTTACTTGGATTATGCTTAACTATCCTTCAAAGATCAACTCTGGTAGAAAGAGCATTGGAGGGATCCAGATGGTAGACAGATCACACACATTTATTCCTGGAAACTGAGCCATAGCCCTGCAGACTGCCTTTCCATCATTCATATTAGAAGCCATGGCCCTGTTGGCAAGGGATTTACAGAGGAAGGAGAATGTCTGAAAACTGTATTTCAGAACACCAAACTGGAAGGGGTGTTCTCTGGGTCAATACCTCCCTAGGGGTTGCTGTAAATAATAAGTGATCTCAAGTCCTTTCTAGAAAAATGGCTCAGAATAGGCTACTCAAAATATGGTGCCTTCATGTATTGAATATTTTAAGCTGAAGGAATTTGAGAAACAGCAGGTTTTCTCTCCTGAAGCAGGTCATAAGACTCTCATGTGAGAGGTGCCCTTCCTATACCTGGAAGAAAGGAGCATCCTTATCTCCGAACATGCCAAGAATAATATGAACAAACAGGCCTTGATCAGTTTTCCCCAATTTACTACCCTTAGCTCATACCCTTTTATTTTATCACTTTCTACTCCTCACCAAACTTAGTGTAAAAACACTCAGGCTTAACCATTTCTTCAGATCTTTATTTCCTTGTGAAGACTCCCATGTTATGTAAAACTTATATTAAATAAATTTGTATGTTTTTCTCAATAATATTTCTTTTGCAAGTCCAGTTTACAGGGCCCCATATGGAGAACCCAGGAGGGTGTACAAAGAATAATTTTTTCCTCTACTACACCAGTATCTTCCCAAACCCAGCACACACTAACCATTTACTTACAGAAGTCCACTCAGATGAACCAAGACATCAATCTTCTTGTCTTTAAGCAATAATTATTTTAGCTCACAGTGGTAACACTGGTTTACCTGTGATCATCGGAAATCTTGATTGACAGTTTGCCTTTGGTTACCAAAAGATGAAAAGAAAAATTTCTAATGATAAAATAACACAACAAAAGTGAAATACTAATAAATAAATATGGCAGACATTTTTGTGTCTTCATTTTGTTGATAAGGAAGTTGAGACTCAGAGAGCTGAATGAACTTGTCTAAGCTAGTAAGTGAAGCTGGGACTTGAACTCAGAGCATTTGATTCCAAAATATGAGCTCTTTACTGTTATTTAACTGTTATTATGAGGGGAAGGAGCTTCTACATAAACCACAGGAATAAGGGGAGGATCCTCAATAAGAAGAATTAGAAAAGTAAGTAAAACTATAATTATGGGAAGAATTAGAAAAGTAAATACAACTACAATTATGAGTCTAGATTGAATTAGATGGCTTCATGGTTCTAAGAGTCTCAAATGACTTAAAGTCTGAATATGTTCAGGTTGGGCATGGTGGCTCATGTCTGTAATCCCAGCACTTTGGGAGGCTGAGGTGGGTGGATCACATGAGGTCAGGAGTTCGAGACCAGCCTGGCCAACATGGTGGAACCCCATCTCTACTAAAAATACAAAAACTAGCTTGGCTAGGTGGCAGGCGCTCAGCTACTCAGGAGGCTGAGGCAGAAGAGTCATTTGAGCCTGGGAAGCGGAGGTTGCCCTGAGCTGAGATTGCACCATTGCATTCCAGCCTGGCTGATAGAGTGAGACTGTCTCAAAAAAAAAAAAAAAAAAAAAAAATCTATCTATCTATCTATCTATCTATCTATCTATCTATCTATCTATCTATCCTATCTATCTATCTATCTATCGATATAGATATTGATAGATAGATAGATATATCTGAATATGTTCAGTTAAACCAACTGTCAGATCAGGAACAGTCATTCTAGGAAAGTTCTGTTGATTGACAGTGGCAGCAAGTGTTGTAGACAGAGCCCTGGACAGGTAATCAGGTGAGCTAGGTTCTTCCTCAACTAACTAGGTGATCTTGGGAAAGTCACTTCCCAACTGGGGCTCCCTGGACTTCAGTTTTTCTATTCACAGAATAAAGGGATTTTCCAAAAACAATTCTTGGGAACAACATCAGATCTGTGGTATATTGTATTAGTTATCAATGCCTGTGTAACAACCCACCTCAAAACCTAGTGGCTTAGAGTATCAACTATTTATTATTTTTAAAGATTCTGCAGGTTGCTTGGCTTCAACTATATTGTTTTGTATTCTGTATGGTCTTGGCTGGATTCTCTTACCTGGTTGTATTCTGCTGGGAAATTGGTTGGGGTTAGAACATCTAAGAAGGCTCCACTTACTCAGCTGAGGTGGCTGGAGAGGCTGGTGACTAGGTAGATTTCTTTATCCAATAGCATAGTTAAAGTTCTTACATAGCAGCCAGTTGCTAAGAGAGCAAAACAAGAATCTGGCAGGCCTCCTAAGGGCTAGGTCCAGAACAGACACAGCATCACTCTTGCCACGTTCTACGGAACAAAGTAAATCACAAGGCCAGCTTAGATTTTAGGGGTGGGGAGATGGACTGTTGATAGGAGGAGCAGCCTGTGCATATAGGGATGAGAGAAATTGGTGGTGGCCAATCCTGGAGACAATCTACACACACTATGAATAAAGAATTCCATGGTCATGTAAGTGTAGGAAATCTGGGTAAAACGCAATTAAGAAGGTTTCTTAGCAGCAAATCTTATTAGAGTTGTTAAAATGCTCATCAAAGTGCCAAGAATAATGTAAAGTAAAGGCAGTAAAAGAAGGGTTACAACTTTTAATTTCTAGCCTAACTTCACCCTTCCTGACCTTCCTGCCCAGATCAATCGATATGAGAGAAGAGGAAAAAAATGTAGCTAGCCAACCAGGAAATATTTATGGTTAAACTGGCTACTATACACAATTGCAGTCTTTGAGAGATGTAAAATGTCTCCAGGAAGTTGCAAAGGACCTGGACCAATTTCAGTATTTTTTCCATCCTTCATGGAAACAGATACTTTTCTTATTAAAGCCTTCTTCTGCATTAATAGGGACTCTGGACTTGTTGCTGAGCAAATGATTTCTTTCTGCCTTCAGAATCAGATTTTTAATGAGTTGCAATTATAATTGTTGTGGGAAGATAATGAAATCTGGGATGACTTTTCAATTTATGTCTCATATTAAGCAACTGGCATTTTATTAACTGTCTGGTCAGCTCAAAAGCACAAAGATGACCCAACAGAGTGGCTGATGCTCTGCAGAGACGGTGTGTGTGTGTGGAAGCAGCCTCATGTGGAAGAAATGAACAGGCTCTGCAACCTGCCTGACCTGGCTTTGAAGTCCTTTTTCTCTGCTTACTTCTTGGGAATCCTTGGGGAAGTTACAGAATTTCTGTGAGCCTCAGTTTTCTTATCTATAAAATGAGGATTAAAAGTACGTAACTTCTAAAGGTTTTAGATTGATTAAATGTAATATTATATGCTTATCTTTTTATTCCAATCACTCATTTAACAAATATTTAGTTATTGAGTGCCTAGTGAGTTGCAGGCAAGGTACTATGTGCAGGGTAGCTAGTTATGTGGGGAGCAAAGAGAAACTTCCAGGCAGAGGGAACAGCAAATTCTAAGTTTCTAGCCTAATAAAGAACTTAGTGTGTTTCAGGATCTGATACAAGAATGATCAGCATACAGTGAGGGGAAAGCTGATAAAGTAGGCAATGGAAGGAACGTGTAGGATGTAGGTAAGAAGCTTCAACTTTACTAAGTGCAATAGGAAGGCATCGTGGGATTCTGAGTACAGAAAAACATGGTCCAATTTACAGTACTCAAAAATCACTTCAGCTCCCTCTGTAGATTGGATTGAAGGTGAGCAAGAGTGGAGAGGAGGGAAACAATTAGGAAGACATGGCATAGTCCAGGAAAGAGTTGATGTTGGCATGTGCTGGGGTGGTGGTAGTGAGAATAAATATAAATTGACAAAATATTTATAGTTGAACTGGCAGGACTTGATCATGGACTGGATATAGAAAGTGAGAGAGATAAAGGGGTCAAAATTAATTTTTCTGGGTTTTGGTCTGGAAACTGGGCAGGCAGAGATTCCATTTTCTGAGAGGGGGCAAGGGCAGGTTTGCAGTGGGTGTCAGGGAGAGCTTCAGTGTGGGCATGCTATGTTTGCAAGAGAACCAGTTTAAGATGCCAAGTAGTTGACTAAATGTCTGAGACTAGGGACAAGATCTGAGGTCTTGGCTGCAGATATGAGCTTGGGGTTGTTAGCATACAGACACGGTTTAAAGCTGTGGCACTGGGTGAGATCAGAGAGGAGAAGGGCAGGAGTGAGTCTTGACCTGAATAAGATTGAATAAAGAAGAAGGAGCTAGTGGCAGAATGAGGGATGGCCAGCAGGGTGGGGGAAAAACAAAAGCATGGTGCTGAGGAAGCTAAGAGAGGAAGGAGAGTGTTTGTTAGAGGAAATATTTGAATGCTACAGAGAAGGTGAGCATGAGGAACAGTGAGTGGTCTGCCCATTGGATTTAGCACCATGGTGTGGTGTGGGTACTGGAAGAAAGAATGGGAAGTAAGGAAGTAAACGTAGTACAAATTGATACCTCTTTTGAGAAAGTATATTAGGAAGAGAGGAATGGAGGAGGTGTCTTAGAAGGAGATGTGAGATCACAGGAAGTGCAGCAGGTATTCTTGGTTGTTTCCAAAATACCCATTCTCCCCTTCTTCCTTATTGCTCTGTTTTGGGACAGCAGGATGTTTAGTTAGAAAACTGTATTTCCCTGCCTCCCTTGCTATTTGGGGAAACCAGTGAGATGTAAGTAGAATTCATTGGGTGGAGTTTGTATCTAATCTCTCTTAAAGGGACAGACTCAGTTATCTTCTTCCCTCCATATTTCCTAGATGGCAGACATGATGCCTATATTGTGTCAGGCCAGGTTTCACTAACAGCTGAACAGGCAAACCTCTAACAACTGTTTCAGCACTGACTGAGTGGTTAAGTTAAATATTAAAAGCTGAAAGAGTCAGTACCCTTATACAAAGGCTGGAATGTAACAAAAACCCACCAAGAGTTTTGCCCAGGCCTTTCTTGGGCCTTGAAGTATGATGAGATAATGAAGGAATTCTTAACAAGACCCGTTTAGGATTAAACAAGTTTTATTGAGGGTCTGAAGAAACTCCCAAGACCTCTAAAAACAAGTTTTATTGGGGATCTAAAGGAAATCCCCAAACCTCCATGATTTAGCAGGAGAGAAGATTGCCCCCAGCACCTGGATCCATCCAGATTAAGTAAATTTACAGAGGCTCCAGAGGAAGGTCTTCAAAACTCAGACCTTAGTTATTCACTCGTGTCCATATGAAGAGACCACCAAACAGGCTTGGTGTGAGCAACAAGGCTGTTTATTTCATCTGGGTGCAGGCAGGCTGAGTCTGAAAAGAGGGTCAGTGAAGCGAGATAGGGGTGGGGCTGTTTTATAAGATTTAGGTAGGTAAAGGAAAATTACAGTCAAAGGGGAGTTGTTCTCTGGCGGGCAGGAGTGTGGGTCACAAGGTGCTCAGTGGGGGAGCTTTTTGAGCCAGGAGAAGGAATTTCAGAAGGTAATGTCATTAGTTAAGGCAAGGACTGGCCATTTTCACTTCTTTTGTGGTGGAATGTCATCAGTTAAGGCAGGAACAGGCCATTTAAAATTCACTTCTTTTGTGATTCTTCAGTTACTTCAGGCCATCTGGATGTATAGGTGCAGCTCACAGGGGATAATGATGGCTTAGCTTGGGCTCAGAGGCCTGACATTCCTGTCTTCTTATATTAATAAGAAAAATAAAATAGTGTTAAAGTGTTGGGGTGGTGAAAATTTTTGGGGGTGGTATGGAGAGATAATGGGCGATGTTTCTCAGGGCTGCTTTGAGCGGGATTAGGGGTGGCATGGAAACTTAGAGTGGGAGAGATTAAGCTGAAGGAAGATTTTTTGGTAAGGGGTGATATTGTGGGGTTGTTAGAAGGAGCATTTGTCGTATAGAATTATTGGTGATGGCCTGGATACGGTTTTATATGAATTGAAAAAAGAACAGAATAAGACAAGGAGAAAAACAGGTATTAAAGGACTAAGAATTGGGAGGACCTAGGACATCCAATTAGAGAGTGCCCAAGGAGGTTCAGCATAGCCCTGCCAGCAAAGATTTATTTACTTTAAGAGGGTGTTAAGAGTGGCTATTTGGAGATAGCACCAGGAGATATGAGCTGTGATGGCTTGGAGAAACAGTGTAAACCGGCAGTGTAAACAAAAGCAGGGCATTTATGAGAAGTTGAGAATGGTGAATAGGAGTATGACTAGACAGAAGATAGTAGGGATGACAAGTTTTTTGGGGCACAGTCCAAGTTGGTCTGGTGTCTGGAATGAGACTGGGGCCTAATAAAAAGGAGCGTCTATACAGGAGCTCAAATGGGCTGTACCCTGTAGCATTCTGAGGACAGGTCCGAATTCTGAGAAGGCAAGTGGTAAAGGTATTGTCCAGTCCTTTTTAAGTTGGTGGCTGAGCTTGGTGAGGTGTGTTTTTAAAAGACCATTAGTCCGTTTTACCTTTCCTGAAGATTGAGGACCATAAGGGGTATGAAGGTTTCACTTAATACCAAGAGCCTGAGAAACTGCTTGGGTGATTTGACTAATAAAGGCCAGTCTGCTATCGGAGTGTATAGAGGTGGGAAGGCTAAACTGAGGAATTATGTCTGACAAAAGGGAAGAAATGACCGCAGTGGCCTTCTTAGACCCTGTGGGAAAGGCCTCTACCCATCCAGTGAAGGTGTCTACCCAGACCAAGAGGTATTTTAGTTTCCTGACTCGAGGCATGTGAGTAAAGTCAATTTGCCAGTACCGAGCTTGATGCGTAGGGAGGGGAGGGGGGGCCTGAGAAATCCCTGAGGAGGAGTAGAATAGCAGATGGAACACTGAGAAGTGATTTCCTTGAGGACAGATTTCCATGATGGAAAGGAAATGAGAGGTTCTAAGAGATGGGCTAGTGGCTTGTAACCTACATGGAAGAGGTTATGAAATGACGACAGAATAGAATGGGTCGGTAAGACTAGAAAAGCAGCCCAAAGTAGCTGCATGGTCTGCAAAGACTTTTCCGTATTTTATTCAAATAGCACCTCATCAGCAAACCTTAGCGAATATTCAAACTCGGTTTCGACAGTCTTCTGAATCCCAGTCAAAACATTTCAACGTACATCACTTCATCTGATCCCCCCGCAATAGGCCTGGCAGTGACTTGGGGCTGGAACCAGTATCCAGTACCTACCACAGTGCTTGGCACATGGTAATAGCTCAGCGAACTGCCATCATTTTATAAAGGAAGAGACAGGCTGGAAGGAGATATTTTCCTTGGTCTAAGAACCATTTGCCTTGTGTGGGAAGAGATTGATAAGTGGAAGTTTCAATGGGGGAGTGGGAGGGAGTGACCAAAGTGAAGAAGAAAAACTGACCGTGAGGGACAGAAGTTGGAACGCTAGCTGCTTTTTTAGCTAACTTATCAGCATAAGCATTGTCCTGAGCGATGGGATCTGATGCCTTTTTGATGGCCCTTGCAGTGAATGACTCCAGCTTCCTTTGGAAGTAAAGTGGCTTTGAGAAGCGTTTTTATTAAAGAGGCATTAATGATAGAGGACCCTTGTGTAGTGAGGAAACCTGTTGCATGGTGGTGCAGGATATGGAAGGCATGTTTAGAGTCAGTATAAATATTGATGTGTAGTCCTTTTGCAAGAGTGAGGGCTTGACTTAAGGCAATGAGAGGTAGTGGAGGGGGGCAGAGCTGTAGCCTCAATGATAGATGTGGAAGATACAATGGCATAGCCTGCCTTTGCTGGTGAGTGGCGATTAGGCCTGTTGGAACTGCCATCAATAAAGCAAGTGTGTTCACGGTGAGGAACAGGAAAGAAGGAAATATGGGGAAATGGGGTGAATGTCAGGTGGATCAGAAAGATACTGTCATGGGGGTCAGGTGTGGTATCTGGAATAATGTGGTAGGCCCAATTGAAGTCTGGGCCAGGAACAATGGTAATTGTGGGAGACTCAACAAAGAGTGAGTACAGCTGAAGGAGCCGGGGAGCAGAAAGTGTATGTGTCAGGTGTGAGGAAGAAAATAGATTTTGGAAGTTATGAGAACGGTAGAGAGTGAGTTGAGCATAGTTTATGATTTTAACGGCCTCTACAAGTATTAGGGCAGCGGCAGCCACTGCACGCAGGCTTGAGGGCTAGGCAAAAGAGTCAGGTCAAGTTGGATAAAAAAGCTACAGGGTGTGGTCTTGGTCCTTGTATAAGAATCCTGACTGCACAGCCCTGCACTTCAGCTGTGGGTAATGAAAAGGGTTGGGATGAGTCAGGGAGAGCTAGGGTGGGGGCAGTCTCTAAAGCTGTCTTCAAGGAACAGAAAGAGGAGTGGGGAAAGGATTTAGGATCTATGGGGTCAGCTAGGTTTCCTTTTGTGAGTTTATATAATGGTTTTGTTAGGATGGCAAAACCAGGTATCTAAAGTCGAAAGTATCTAACCATGCCTAAGAAGGAAAGGAGTTGTTTTGTAGAAGGTGTTGGGGTTTGAGAGATCAGTGGGACATGATCAGCAGGGAGAGCATGTGTGTTTTTATGAGAATTATGCTGAGATAGGTAACAGATGAGGAAGAAATTTGGGCTTGACTGAAGTAATGGGAGCTGTCTGTGAAGCTTTGTGGCAGTACAGCCCCGGTAATTTGCTGAGCCTGATGGGTGTCAGGGTCAGCCCAAGGGAAAGCGAAGAGAGGCTGGGATGAAGGGTGCAAAGGAATAGTAAAGAAAGCATGTTTGAGATCCAGAACAGAATAATGGATTGTGGAGGGAGGTGTTGAGGATAGGAGAGTATATGGATTTGGCACCACGGGGTGGATAGGCAAAACAATTTGGTTGATAAGATGCAGATCCTGAACTAACCTGTAAGCCTTGTCTGGTTTTACGACAGGTGAAATGGGGGAATTTTAAGGGGAGTTTATAGGCTTTAAAAGGCCATGCTGTAGCAGGTGAGTGATAACAGACTTTAATCCTTTTAAAGCGTGCTGTGGGATGGCATATTGGCATTGTGCGAGGTAAGGGTGATGAGGTTTTAATGGGATGGTAAGGGGTGCGTGATCAGTCACTAAGGAGGGAGTAGAGGTATCCTATACTTGTGGGTTAAGGTGGGGAGATTCAAGGGGAGGATGTGAAGAAGGCTTTGAACTGGGGGAAAAGGCAGCAAGGAGGTGTGGCTGTAGCCCAGGAATAGTCAGGGAAGCAGATAATTTAAAGTGTCTCAGCCTAATGGGGAGGTCGGGATAACTGAAAAGGAGTGCTTAAAAGCGTATTGTCTAAGTTGACACCAGAGTTGGGGAGTTTTAAGAGGTTTAGAAGCCTGGCCTTCAATGCCCACAACAGTTACGGAGGCAAGGGAAACAGGCCCTTGAAAAGAAGGTAATGTGGAGTGGGTAGCCTCCGTATTGATTAAGAAGGGGACGGACTTATCCTCCACTGTGAGAGTTACCTGAAGATCGGCATCCCTGATGGTCTAGGGGGCTTCTGAGGTGATCGAGCAGCGTCAGTCTTCAGCTGCTAAGCTGAAGGAGTCAGTCAGAGAGCCTTGGGCCAGAGTTCCAGGGGCTCTGGAAGCGGCTGCCAGGTGAGTTGAACAGCCTGATTTTCAGTGGGGTCCTGCACAGATGGGACATGGCTTAGGAATCCCAGGCTGGGGGCATTCCTTGGCCCAGTGGCCAGATTTCCGGCACTTGTAGCAAGCTCCTGGGGGAGGTGGGGTTGGTGGAATGCCTGGCAGCTGCGGTTCAGGCGTTTGGAAGTTCTTGTGTGCTGGAGATGTGGCTGGGGTTTGTCTCACAGTGGAGGCAAGGAATTGCAACTCAGAAATACATTGCTACTTGGCTGCCTCTACTCTATTATTGTACACCTTGAAGGCAAGGTTAATTAAGTCCTGTTGTGGGGTTTGAGGGCCGGAATTTAATTTTTGGAGCTTTATTTAATGTCGGGAGCAGATTGGGTAATAAAATAAAATGCATATTGAGAGTAAGACGGCCTTCTGACCTTTCAGGGTCTAGGGCTGTAAAGTGTCTCAGGGTTGCTGCTAACTGGGCCATGAACTGGGCTGGGTTTTTCGTATTTCATGAGAAAGAGCCTAAATGCTAATTTATTTGGGAGAGGTCGGATAAAGAAAAAGGAGCATTAACCTTGACTATGCCTTTAGCTCCAGCCACCTTTTTAAGAGGAAATTGCTGGGCAGGTGGTGGAACAGAACTGTAAGCCGGACCGAGTGTGAGGAGGGAAGGTGATAAAAGGATTATAGGGTGGAGGAGCAGAGGCTGAGGAAGAATTGGGACCTAGCTCGGGCTGGCGAGGAGGGGAGAGGTCAGATGGGTCTGTAGAAAAGGAAGATTAGAAAGACTCAGCGACGCTTGGGGTTGGGACTGAGGGGACAGGCAGGAGGGAAAGAAGAAAGATTTGGGACAAGTTGCATTGGGAACAGAAACTAGAGAGGGACCGATTTGTGAAAGAACGCCTGGCCATCAGGCACCTCAGATCATTTGCCTATTTTATGACAAGAATTATTTAGATCTTGGAGGATGGAAAAATCAAAAGTGCCATTTTCTGGCTATTTGGAACCACTGTCAAGTTTGTATTGGGGTCAAGCAGCATTGCAGAAGAAAATAAGGTGTTTAGGTTTTAGGTCAGGTGACAGTTGAGGTTTTAAGTTCTTGAGAACACAGGTGGATCTTTCTCACAGAGCAAAGAGCAGGACAGGGGATTGATCTCCCGAGGGAGATTCCCCCCTCCCATCCAAGTCAGGGCACGAAAATTTCACTCGCGTCCATGTGAAGAGACCACCAAACAGGCTTTGTGTGAGCAACAAGGCTGTTTATTTCACCTGGGTGCAGGCAGGCTGAGTCTGAAAAGAGATTCAGTGAAGGGAGAATAGGGGTCGGGCCGTTTTATAAGATTTAGGTATGTAAAGGAAAATTACAGTCAAAGGAGGGGGGTTCTCTGGCGGGCAGGAGTGGGGGTCCAGGGTGCTCAGTGGGGGAGCTTTTTGAGCCAGGATGAGCCAGGAGAAGGAATTTCAGAAGGTAATGTCATTAGTTAAGGCAAGGACTGGCCATTTTCACTTCTTTTGTGGTGGAATGTCATCAGTTAAGGCAGGAACAGGCCATTTAAAATTCACTCCTTTTGTGATTCTTCAGTTACTTCTGGCCATCTGGATGTATAGGTGCAGGTCACAGGGGATATGATGGCTTAGCTTGGGCTTAAGAGGCCTGAGAGTTATAGATTAGAAGTTAATCACTTGCGTCTTTAGAGGCATACACACTTAAATGTAGACGTATAGCTTAGAAGGTACATAAGCTCTGGAAAACTTTGTAATTTTGAGTTGGTCTGGCAATATTTTCCAGGCCTTCTTTCTGTACCTGGTTACAGAAAAAAACTCCCCTCTTTTCCCAGTTCATCTGCATCTCATTATTGGGCCATAAGAATAAACAGCCTGACCCTCGGTTTGGTCCAGGAACAATATGAAGCAACCATGAGAAGACCTCCAGGAGAGAAGCGCCAGTTAAGGAAACAGAATAGAAAGATTGGGAAGTAAACTAGGGCATGAAAAATATTTTTAGAGATGAGATACCAGAGTATGTTTGCATGTTGGTGTGAGCCAGGGGCATGATGGCAGGACTGCAGCCCTTGAAAAGGCCAGAGTAGAGAGATCCTGGGCATATGTTGATGACTTGGCCTTTGACAGGCTGCTGCAGAGGGTGTAGGACACTTCCAGTGCTCCTTTCCTGAGGAAAATACCTGTGGCAACTCTCACATTCCATTGCCCTTTTCATCCTTTGTCCTTTTCCCCACAGACTGGAAACTTCTGTCTCTTCCTCCTCAAAGTCATTCCTCACACTGCTGCCACAGTGAGCGTTCTAAAACGCACATATGATTTTTAAAACACTGAGGAGCTCCTCATTGCTTACAGGATGAAGTAACATCCTTGCCTTGTATTTAGACATTCTCTCCTTGGTCTTTTCAGCTTCCAGTCTTCAGCATTTCCTAAGCATTCTATGTACCAGGCATACCTGGCTGTTTGCACGTCCCTAAAGGTGCCTGTATTTTCCCCACTATATGCATTTCTTCATACTTTCCCCTTGTCCTATACCCTTCTTTCTTTCTCTTTGCACAGATTTACCTTCAAGGAGCATTCTCTGCCTACTCCCACTCCAGGTTCCCACTGCAGATTCTCCTTAACTCTGTGAGCTGCCCAGAAGTCTCCCATAAAATATATATTCTTGACTAAATTAGCTGGAGTTTATGGATCAGAGATGCCATATAAAATATAATTTTGGCCAGGTGTGGTGGCTCACGCCTGTAATCCCAGTACTTTGGGAGGCTGAGGTGGGTGAATCACCTAAAGTCAGGAGTTCAAGACCAGCCTGGCCAACATGGTGAAACCCTGTCTCTACTAAAAATACAAAAATTACCAGGCATGATGGTGGGTGCCTGTAATTCCAGCTACTATTGGGGAGCTGAGGCAGGAGAATCACTTGAACCTGGGAGATGGAGGTTGGAGTGAAAATTATATATATTATTTTATATAATACAGTTAGTCCCTTGCAATAATTTCAGACATTCCCTTTAAGCAAAGATTATTCTCCTCAGGTGAACATTCTGTCCCTCAGGTTTCTGACTGCAGTTCTGCTCCTTGCTAAGACAGCCTCTGGGTGATCGGGGCCAGGTTGTGGCTTACAGTGTCCTCTTGGCAGTGGGAAGGAAAGAGTCCTTTGGATTCACGTGGTGTCCTGAGATCATTCTGGTTGCTATGACAGTGTCTTTTGTTTCTATGACAACATCCCTTGTTGACTTGAGGGATGCTTGCCCTACTGGCATTTGTATCTGAAATCAAAACTGGTATTGCTTGCAGCCCAGTTTCTCTAGGTGTGGCAGAGGCTGCAGTGCTTCCTGGCTACCAATCTCACTCTCCGCAGAGCCTCTCATGTTCCCCATTGGTTTCAGGTTGGGGGTGGGATGGGGCGTTGGAGTAGGGCTCAGCCTTCTCTGCTAAGTCACCCCTTACCACAGGAGGTCCCATGGTTGGAATGCTGGCTCTCAGATTCAGCCACCTTCTGGTTCCCATTTTTAGGGCCCATTGGGGACTCCCAGGTTCCAACATATCTTACAGAAAGAGCAGCTCAGGAGAGCTGAGCTCTGGCTGTCCCATTCTGACCATGCTGTGCCACTGAGTTTTACTCTGATGTGGCCAATCCCCAAGTTCTTATGGACATGCTAGGGTATCTGGCCCACAAGATGAGACTTCCTCTTTTTTTTTTTTTGAGACAGTCTTGCTCTGTCGCCCAGTCTGAAGTGCTATGGCACAATCTTGGCTCACTTCCTCTCAGGGTTCCAGATAGGTCAGAGGGCTCCTGACCATGCCCTAATTGTTCTCCTCACTTATAGGGTTTCAGCCCAAGGAGAGAAACTGGAACAGTTTGTCTACCTCCCGACCTTTTTTTCCTTTCTTCTGTCCACCCTCTGCCTTCTGTAGCCTTGGATTATAAGGGATGGGCTTCTCTTTTACTTCTTCTATTTCATGGTATCTTCCTTTTTCCCTGCCTGTAGGAATTCTCTTGCCTCAGCCTCCCGAGTAGCTGGGATTACAGGTGTGTGCCACCATGCCTGGCTAATTTTTGTATTTTTAGTAGAGACTGGGTTTCACCATGTTGGCCAGGCTGGTCTTGAACTCCTGACCTCGGGTGATCCACCTGCCTCGGCCTCCCAAAGTGCTGGGATTACAGGCATGAGCCACCGCACCTGGCCTTCTACCTCTAGTTTTATGGCTCTCTAATCTACATTATAGGGAAAATTCTATATCAAGCTGATATGTTAAATGCACATAAAAATTTTAGACTTTCAGACCTATTGTCTTGCTTTCAGCAGCTATTATTTTTCTTTACATTTCTTCTTCAACAATCCAACTTTCCCTTTGCCCATCCCTTTCCCCACCTGCTGCCAGCAAAGGTAGATAACATGGCTGACTGGAGAAGTACGTGTAATGTACATGTAAGTCTATATTAGTATTTTCAAGTATTTTCTACCTTTCACTAAATAATCCTGACACAAGCAGCATGATACACAATTCATAATTTGCCTGCAGATAACTTAATCTTGTCTATTTGCTAAGGCCTTTCCAAGTATTATCCAAAAGGGAGTTGATTCAGAGCACAGAGAAAAACAGATGGGACCAGTGCATTGGCAGTGGCAGGAAGGCAGGAGGCTCAGGTCAGGTTTGATGAGCGGAAGCTAACCCCACACCTCCTGATGCCGTGGAGTGTTGCAAACCACCTGGAACCCAAGTGTCACCTGTGGAGACTGCAGGAAGCAGAGGCAAGGGGGGGTTGACAATCGTAGGTCACTGGATAAACCACTGCATTTGACTGAGTGGATCTACACACGAGTAGGGTACTTTATGAGGAAAACTGAGGGCTGACTTAATAACAATTCAAAATGATGCTACATAAACAAATTTTTACCTTCGGATTTTTTACTACAAACATTATCTCCCTCTTAAGTTGGCTTTGTTGCCCTTTATATCAATTATTCACTAGTTATTTTTCCATGCCTCAGATGTGTGAAACCCTTAAAGAATTACAATGAAGATGTTTACCATCAAGTGTGGAAAAAAGTAGCGTGAGCCTGAGATAATCAAGAGACCATTAAATGTCAGAATGTGAGAGACTTGAAGCCTCTTGAAGACTCTTTTTTCTTTTTGTTTTGAGACAGTCTCGCTCTGTCGCCAGGCTGCAGTACAGTGGCACAATCTCAGCTCACTGCAACCTGTGCCTCCCGGGTTCAAGCGATTCTCCTGTCTCAGCCTCCCAAGTAGCTGGGATTAGAGATATGTTCCACCATGCCCAGTTAATTTTTGTATTTTTAGTAGAGACAGGGTTTCACCGTGTTGGCCAGGCTGGTCTTGAACTCATGACCTCGTGATCTACTTGCCTCAGCTTCCCAAAGTGCTGGGATTACAGGTGTGAGCCACTGTGCCTGGTCTCTTCAAGATTTTCTTAAGCAGAGGGTCCTGTACTGGATCTGCTGAGTCAGAAAGAAATAAAGAGATGAAAAATGATTGGCCTCAGGTTTCTCATTGTTGGAGTAAGAGTTTACACACAAGTCAGAGGAAGAGGCTTGATTGGTCCATGTGGTGATGAGTTAGACTAGAGATATCAGTAGAAACTCATGTTTAGCTTAATATAGATACAGATGGTTGCATATATAAATGTTTCTATATTCACCAGTTACTATACACATATTCATTACCTTGCTCTGTCAACTGAGAGGATCTAGAGGAAATAATGTCCCATTAGCAAAGAACACACCTAGTACCCAGATTTTAATTTTTAATAACATTCTCCAATAAAAAAGCCTTGGAGAAATGGCTGACTCTAGGATTGGTAGGACTGGGCAAGAAATATACAAAATAAGCCTGAGCCTCTTGTAGTATAGAAAGTAAGAAAATGCTCAAAAAATCCACAATAGTGGGAGTATGTCAAAGGAGCATCAGAGTTAACTGAAAAAGCTCTCAATGGACAAAGCTGAAACAATTTGTATAGCAAAATAAAGTAGTTCTGGATTATAATACTATCAGATAAACTAAACTGCAAAACTAAACTAAATAAACTATAAAACTATCAGATAAATATCCAAGAATCCCTCTTGATAGAAACAAATTATTGAATAAATAGAGGCAAATGGACAACTCTTCCATACAGAAAAGTTTCAAATAATTCATGTAGCTACTTTGCACTTGTATTAGTCCACTTAAATACTGCTGTAAAGAACTGCCCAAGACTGAGTAATTTATAAAAGAAAGAGGTTTAATTGACTCCCAGTTTAGCATGGCTGGGGAGGCCTCAGGAAATTTACAATCATGGCGGAAGGGGAAGGGGAAGGGGAAGCAAGACACCTTTTTCACAAGGTGGCAGGAAGAAGTGCCAAGTGAAGAGGGAAGACCCCCCCTATAAAACCATCAGATATTGTGAGAACTCACTCACTAGCTAGCACAAGAACAGCAGGGGGCAACCACCTCCGTGATTCAGTTACCTCCACCTGGTCCCTCCCTTGACACGTGCGGATTATTTGCATTACAATTCAAGATGAGATTTAGGTGGGGACACAAAGCCTAAAAATATCAGCAATCAAGGATGAAAAGCATGACTCCCTACTCATTAAATGTGGGCTTCACACAGTGACTTCTTTCCAAAGAGTACAGTATGAAATGGAGGAAAAAAGAGTAACTTTACAGTAGAAAAACTTGAAAAACAGTACCTGGGCCAGGTGATCAAGGTTAGATCCACAGTAATAGTCGTGGACCCTTGATGTGGTAAGAATGGCACTTATCTACCCAAAACCTGTAATATCAGTCTAATCATGAGAAGAACATCAGGTAAATTCCAGTTGAGAGGCATTCTGTGAAATACCTGACTGGTATTTCTTAAAACTGTCAAGGTCATCAATAACTGAGAAAGTGTCAAAATGAAAAGGAGCCTAAAAAGACATAACAAAATATCACACAGTTCCCTGGTTAGAACCTTGGAAAAGTGTAAATGCCAAAAAAAATCAGAATAAATCATAGTCTTCAGTGAATAATGATATACCAACATTGGTTTATTAATTGCGACAAGATATTAACAATAGAGGAAACTGAGTTTTGGTGTGTATGGAAAGTCTCTGTACTACTTTTGCTTTCTTAATGTAAATCTAAAGCTATTCTAAAATAATGAGTTTTTTTAAAAACATGGCATGATGGGGAAAAAAATCACTGATAAATGGGAATCATTTTTTTGTATCTCTCATGTGATAAATAAGTTTAACTCTCTAAGCCTGTTTATCATTTTCACTTGCATCTGTGTGAAAAGACCACCAAACAGGCTTTGTGTGAGCAACAAGGCTGTTTATTTCACTGGGTGCAGGCAGGCTGAGTCCGAAAAGAGAGTCAGTGAAGGGAGATAGAGGTGGGGCCATTTTATAAGATTTGGGTAGGTAAAGTAAAATTACAGTCAAAGGGGGGTTCTCTGATGGGCAGGAGTGGGGGTCACAAGGTACTCAGTGGGGGAGCTTTTGAGCCAGGATGAGCCAGAAGGAGTTTCACAAGACAATGTCATCAGTTAAGGCAGGAACCAGCCATCTGGATGTGTACGTGCAGGTAACAGGGGATATGATGGCTTAGCTTGGGCTCAGAGGCATGACATTCCTGTCTTCTTATATTAATAAGAAAAATAAAATGAAATAGTGGTAAAGTGTTGGGACAGTGAAAATTTTGGGGGATGGTATGGAGAGATAATGGGCGATGTTTCTCAGGGCTGCTTCGAGCAGGATTAGGGGCCGCTTGGCAACCTAGAGTGGGAGAGATTAAGCTGAAGGAAGGTTTTGTGGTAAGGGGTGATATTGCGGGGTTGTTAGAAGAAACATTTGTCATGTAGAATTATTGGTGATAGCCTGGATAAGGTTTTGTATGAATTGGAAAACTAAATGGAATAAGAGAAGGAGAAAAACAGGTATTAAAGGTTTAAGAATTGGGAGGACCCAGGACATCTAATTAGAGTGCCTAAGGAGATTCAGCATAGTCCTGCCAGCAAAGATTATTTATTTACTTCAAGAGTTAAGAGTGGCAGTTTGGGGATAGCACCAGGAGATATCAGCTGCGATGGCTTGGAGAAACAGTGTAAACCGGCAGTGTAAACAAGAGCAGGGCATCTATGAGTAGTTGAGAATGGTGAATGGGAGTATGACTAGACAGAAGATAGTAGGGATGACAAGTTATTTGGGGCACAGTCCAAGTTGGTCTGGTGTCTGGAATGAGACTGGGGCTTAATAAAAAGGAGTGTCCATACAGGAGCTCAAATGGGCTGTACCTTGTAGCATTCCAAGGACAGGCCTGAATTCTGAGAAAAGGAAGTGGTAAAAGTATTGTCCAGTCCTTTTTAAGTTGTTGGCTGAGCTTGGTGAGGTGTGTTCTTAAAAGACCATTAGTCCGTTCTACCTTTCCTGAAGACTGAGGACTGTAAGGGATATAAAGGTTTCACTTAATACCAAGAGCCTGAAAAACTGCTTGGGTGATTTGACTAATAAAGGCCAGTCCACTGTCAGACTGCGTGGAGGTGGGAAGGCCAAACCGAGTAATTATGTCTGACAGAAGGGAAGAAATGACTGCGGTGGCCTTCTCAGATCTTGTAGGAAAGGCCTCTACCCATTCAGTGAAAATATCTACCCAGACCAAGAGGTATTTTAGTTTTCTGACTTGGGGCATGTGAGTAAAGTCAATTTGCCAGTCTTGGGCAGAGACAAATCCCTGAGCTTGATGTGTAGGAAAGGGAGGGGGCCTGAACAATCCCTGAGGGGTAGTAGAATAGCAGATGGAACACTGAGAAGTGATCTGCTTGAGGATAGATTTCTATGATGGAAAGGAAATTAGAGGTTCTAAGAGATGGGCTAGAGGCATGTAACCTACATGGAAGAGGTTATGAAATGATGACAGAATAGAATGGGCCTGTGAGGCTGGAAGGAGATATTTTCCTTGGTCTAAGAACCATTTGCCTTGTGTGGGAAGAGATTGATAGTTGGAAGTTTCAGCGGGGGAGTAGGTGGGAGTGACCGATGTGAAGGAGAAAAACTGGCCGTGAGGGACAGAAGTTGGAGAGCTAGCTGATTGTCTAGCCACCTTATCAGCATAAGCGTTGCTGTGAGAGACAGAAGTTGGAAGGCTAGCTGCTTGTCTAGCCACCTTATCAGCATAAGCGTTGCCTAGATCAATGGGATCTGACACCTTTTGATGCCCCTTGCAGTGAATGACCCCAGCTTCCTTTGGAAGTAAAGCGGCCTTGAGCAGAGTTTTTACTAAAGAGGCATTAATGACAGAGGACCCTTGTATAGTGAGGAAACCTCTTGCATGGTGGTGCAGGATATGGAAGGCATATTTAGAGTCAGTATAAATATTGACGTTTAGTCCTTTTGCAAGAGTGAGGGCTTAACTTAAGGCAATGAGTTCAGCTTGCTGAGAGGTAGTGAAGGGGGGCAGAGCAGTAGCCTCAGTGATAGATGTGGAAGATGCTATAGCATAGCCTGCCTTTGCTGGTGAGTGGCGATTAGGCCTGGTGGAACTGCCATCAATAAACCAAGTGTGTTCAGGGTGAGGAACAGGAAATAATATGGGGAAATGGAGTGAATGTCAGGTGGATC
This sequence comes from Homo sapiens, assembly GCF_000001405.40. NCBI lineage: Eukaryota > Metazoa > Chordata > Mammalia > Primates > Hominidae > Homo > Homo sapiens. Next base: position 83,444,526 of record NC_000011.10, read on the forward strand.
AGAGAGATACAGTCATGGGGTGTGGTATCAGGAATAATGTGGTAGGCCCGATTGAAGTCTGGACCAGGAACAATGGTAATTGTGGGAGACTCAACAAAGAGTGAATACAGCTGAAGGAGCTGGGAAGCAGAAAGTATATGTGTCAGGTGTGAGGAAGAAAACAGATTTTGGAAGTTATGAGAACTGTAGAGAGTAAGTTGAGCATAGCTTGTGATTTTAAGGGCCTCTGAAAGTATTAGGGCAGTGGCAGCCACCACACACAGACTTGAGGGCTAGGCAAAACAGTAAGGTCAAGTTGTTTGAATAAAAAGGTTACAGGGTGCGGTCCTGGTTCTTGTGTTAGAATTCTGACTGCACAGCCCTGCACTTCAGCTGTGGGTAATGAAAAGGGTTAGGATGAGTCAGGGAGAGCTAGGGTTGGGGCAGTCTCTAAAGCTGTCTTTAAGAAATGGAAAGAGGAGTGGGGAAAGGATTTAGGATCTATGGGGTCAGCTAGGTTTCCTTTTGTGAGTTTATATAATGGTTTTGTTAGGATGGCAAAACCAGATATCTAAAGTTGAAAGTATCTAACCATGCCTAGGAAGGAAAGGAGTTGTTTTGTAGAAAGGATTGAGGTTTGGGAGATTAGTCAGACATGATCAGCAGGGAGAGCACGTGTGTTCTTATGAGAATTATGCCGAGATAGGTAACAGATGAGGAAGAAATTTGGGCTTGACTGAAGTAATGGGGGCTATCTGTAAAGCCTTGTGGCAGTACAGCCCAGGTAATTTGCTGAGCCTGATGGGTGTCAGGGTCAGTCTAAGTGAAAGCGAAGAGAGGCTGGGATGAAGGGTGCAAAGGAATAGTAAGGAAAGCATGTTTGAGATCCAGAACAGAATAATGAGTTGTGGAGGGAGATATTGAGGATAGGAGAGTATATGGATTTGGCACCACGGGGTGGATAGGGAAAACAATTTAGTTGATAAGGCTCAGATCTTGAACTAACCTGTAAGGCTTGTCTGGTTCTAGGACAGATAAAATGGAATTGTAAGGAGAGTTTATAGGCTTTAAAAGGCCATGCTGTAGCAGGCAAGTGATAACAGGCTTTAATCTTTTTAAAGCACACTGCAGGATGGGATATTGGCGTTGAGTGGGGTAAGGGTGATTAGGTTTTAATGAGATGGTAAGGGGCTCATGATCGGTTGCCAAGGACGGAGTAGAGGTATCCTATACTTGTTGGTTAAGGTGGGGGGATACAAAAGGAGGATGCAAAGGAGGCTTTGGATTGGGAAGAAGGGTGGCAATGAGATGTGGCTGTATCCCAGGAATAGTCAGGGAAGCAGATAATTTAGTTAAAGTGTCTCGGCCTAATAAGGGAACTGGGCAGGTGGGTATAACTAAAAAGGAGTGCTTAAAAAGTATTGTCTAAGTTGGCACCAGAATTGGGGAGTTTTAAGAGGTTTAGAAGCCTGGCCATCAATACCCACAACAGTTATGGAGGCAAGGGAAACAGGCCCTTGAAAAGAAGGTAATGTGGAATGGGTATCCTCCATATTGATTAAGAAGGGGACGGACTTACCTTCCACTGTGAGAGTTACCTGAAGCTCGGCATCTGTTATGGTCTAGGGGGCTTCCAAGGCCATCTGGCAGCATTAATCTTCAGCCCCTAAGCTGAGAAGATCTGGGAAGGAGTCGGTCAGAGAGCCTCAGGCCAGAGTTCCAGGGGCTCTGGGAGTGGCTACTAGGTGAGTTGAACAGTCCGATTTTCAGTGGGGTCCTGCACAGATGGGACATGGCTTAGGAGGAATCCCGGGCTTAGGAGGAATTCCTTGACCTGGTGGCCAGATTTCTGGCACTTGTAGCAAGCTCCTGGGGGAGGTGGGCCTGGGGGAACATCTGGCCACTGTGGTTTAGGCATTTGGAAGTTCTTGTGTGCTGGAGATGTGGCTGGGGTTTGTCTCACAGTGGAGGCAAAGAATTGCAACTCAGAAATATGTTGCTACTTGGCTGCCTCCACTCTATTATTGTACACCTTGAAGGTGAGGTTAATTAAGTCCTGTTGTGGGGTTTGAGGGCCAGAATTTAATTTTTGGAGTTTTATTTAATGTTGGGAGGATATTGGGTAATAAAATGTATATTGAGAATAAGACGGCCTTTTGACCTTTTATGGTGTAGGGCTGTAAAGCATCTCAGGGTTGCTGCCAAATGAGCCATGAACTGGGCTGTGTTTTTATATTTGATGAAAAAGAGCCTAAATGCTCTCCAATTTGGGATAAAGAAAAAGAAGCATTAACCTTGACTATGCCTTTAGCTCCAGCCACCTTTTTAAGAGGAAATTGCTGGGCAGGTGGGGGTGGGCTACTCATGGAATGAAAATGTAAGCCTGACAGGGTGTGAGGTGGGGAGGTGATAAAAGGATTATAGGGTGGAGGAGCGGAGGCTAAGGAAGAATTGGGACCTAGCTCAGTCTGGCAAGGAGGGGAGAGGTCAGATGGGTCTGTAGAAAAGGAAGATTAGAAAGACTCAGTGACACTTGGGGTTGGGACTGAGGGGACAGGTGGGAGGGAAAGAAGGAAGATTCGGGACAAATTGCATTGGGAACAGAGACTAGGGAAGGACTGATGTGTAAAAGAAGGCCTGGGTGTCAGGCACCTCAGACCATTTACCCATTTTATGACAAGAATTATCTAGATCTTGTAGGATGGAAAAATTGAAAGTGCCATTTTCTGGCTATTTGGAACCACTGTCGAGTTTGTATTGGAGTCAAGTGGCATTGCAGAAGAAAATAAGGCATTTAGGTTTTAGGTCAGGTGTGAGTTGAAGAGGTTTTAGGTTTTTAAGAACACAGGCTAAGGGAGAAGAAGGGGGAATGGAGGGTGGAAGCTTGCCTATAGTGAAGGGGGCAAGCCCGGACAAAAGAGTAGAGACACGGAGGGAAGGGGTTTGGGGGTTCTTAACCTCCAGAAAATTAGGAAAGGGGTCAGGGCGTGGAAATAAGGGGTTGGGGTGCAGAGATAAGTGGTCAGGGAGCAGAAATAAGGGATCGGGGTGCAGAGATAGAGGTTGGGGCACAGATATAAGTGATCAGGGCACAGAGATAAGGGGTCAGGGCGTGGAAATAAGGCATTGGGGGGTTCTTGCTCCCCCAGAAAAGCAGAGAAGGGGTAGAGACAGGGAGCGAAGGGGTCGGGGGTTCTTTCCCCTCCCCCAGAAAAGCGGGACTTGCCACTAAGGGTGAAGGACCAAGGCAGGCGTCCCTGCGTGGTCAGACACCTCTGAAACGTGGGTGAATAATCAGAGAGGCGTCCCTGCAATGATTAAACACCAAGGGAAGGCTGCCTTCCCAAGTCCGTGACTGGCGCCAGAGTTTTGGGTCCGTGGATAAAGTATGTCTCCTTTGTCTCTACCAGAAAATGAGAGGAATTGGAATTAAGAGAAGGGAGAGATTGAAGGGTGGCACCAAGACGGAAAGGAGAAAGTGGTTGAGGGATAGTGAGAGAGATTGGAGAAGAGAGTAAGAAGAGGCCGCTTACCTGACCTAAAATTGGTGAGATGTTCCTTGGGCTGGTGGGTCTGAGGACCCGAGGTCATAGGTGGATCTTTTTCACGGAGCAAAGAGCAGGAGGACAAGGGATTGATCTCCCAAGGGAGGTCCCCCGATCTGAGTCATGGCACCAAATTTCACTCGTGTCCGTGTGAACAGACCACCAAACAGGCTTTCTGTGAGCAACAAGGCTGTTTATTTCACCTGGGTGTAGGCGGGCTGAGTCTGAAAAGAGAGTCAGTGAAGGGAGATGGGGTGGGGCCATTTTATAAGGTTTGGGTAGGTAAAGGAAAATTACAGTCAAAGGGGGGTTGTTCTCTGATGGGCAGTAGTGGGGGTCACAAGGTACTCAGTGGGGGAGCTTTTGAGCCAGGATGAGCCAGGAGAAGGAATTTCACCAGACAGTGTCATCAGTTAAGGCAGGAACTGGCCATCTGGATGTGTACGTGCAGGTAACAGGGGATATGATGGCTTAGCTTGGACTCAGAGGCCTGACAATTATGTGGAGGTGATAATGCCCACATCACAAAGTTGTAATGGTAAAATGAGATAATACACCTTAAGTTCTGTGCCCAGCACAGAGAAAGTTCTTGGTAACTTCTTTTCATTCCTTTTTCTTCCGCCTCTCTCCCCCTCCCCCATTGTCACATAAGGCTGACACAGTGCTTTTGAGTAGCTTCACTTTGAGAATAGTCCATCCACTCTTAAAAGTCTTCTGTTCCTCCTGTCATCTGACAAGCAAATTCCTGCATTCATACTTGCTGAGAAGTCCTTCCAGATGCTATCATTGGCTTTTGGCAGAGTAACTCATTCCCAATGTGGAGTGTCAGGGCAGGTGACTCAGGTGGTAGGCAGGTGGCTGTCTGCTTGCCCATCAGGCCAGCTTTCTGGCCCTTTCCTAGTAATCACTGCTCTCCAGACCAGAGCCTTCGTTCACTTTCACCAAGCCCGTCTGGCTAGCAGTAAAGGACACTGAACTAGGCAAGCTGAGCCTGAGTGTGAGGCCAGCTCTGCCTCCAGCTGTGCAGTCATAGGGGCATCACTGCTTTCCTGGGCCCTGATTTATTCACCTTTAAAATGGGAAAGTAGCCAGGTGCACTGGCTCAAGCCTGTAATCCCAGCACTTTGGGAGGCTGAGGTGGGTGGATCACCTGAGGTCAGGAGTTCAAGACCAGCTTGGCCAACATGGTGAAACCCTGTCTCTACTGAAAATACAAAAATTAGCCAGGTATGGTGGTGTGTGCCTGTAATCCCAACTACTTGGGAGGCTGAGGCAGAAGAATCACTTGACCCCAGGAGGTGGAGGTTGCCATAAGCTGAGATCCCGCCATTGCAGCCCAGCTTGGGCTACAGAGGGAGACTCTGTCTCCAAAAACAAAATAAAATAAAAAATAAAATAAAATGGGGAAGTAAATGGCCTTGTCTCTTTCAAATGGTTGTCATAAAGATCAGTGACTAACTATGATTATGACAACTGAGACTAGCTGAGTGCTTCCTGTGTAGCATGCAATTTTCATGGGTTTCTCACAACAGCTCTCTGAATGTGAGAGAGGCAGGTGCTGTTGTTAGTGTCACGTTTCAGTGAGAAAATTTGTCCTGGGAGATGTTAAGTCCCTTATACAAGATCACATGACTAGTAAAGAATGGAGTCAGGATTTGAACCCAGGTCTGCTCTTAGGTCAGTGCTGTGACTCATGACATTGTATTGTCGCTTTGTCATCCTTCACATTGCAAGCCAAGGATTGCCTCCTCAGTCTGTACAGTGGAAATAACCAGTCCCGTGTTTAAGTCTATTGATCAAGTATTTTATAGAATTTTGCAACCCACCTCTCCACCTTGGAGTTGTCAGAGATTGGCTGGGTTTTTAAGTTTAAAGATGATGCCACCAAGCTATTTGCTTACTATCAGAGATATTCCTTTTCCTCCTTTTCTGCTATTTGCTTTTTTGTTTTGTTTTGTTTTCATCATTGAAGTTAGTGGCTCTCTTATCAAAAAATATTTCTCTCCAATCTATTTTCTTCATAGTTGATTTAGTTTTGTAAACCATGTGTTGCAGATTTTAACATGCGTGGAATCACTGGGGAATCTTGTGAAAATGCAGAATCTGATTCAGTAGATATGGTTAGGGCCTAAGATTCTGCATTGTAACAAGCTCCAGGTGATACTCATGCCTCTGGTCCCAGATCACATTTAGAGGTGCCCATTCATGGAGACATAGGACTGGGTGATGTTTCTAGTGTTTCAGAGAGCTCTGTGAGCAGTTAACAGAGGGGAAGGGGACATAGAATGTGGGTATAAACGTCTGCAGGCTCCCAAGGTAGGCTGGCACCAAGGCCAAACTCTTGCCCCTGCTCTGTGATGCTCTGTTTCCAATGGAACATAATTACAAAACAGAACTTTCCTGTCCCAGGACACACAGAACATACTTTTGTTGTGCACCACATTATAATGTGATAAGGGAGTCAGGCAAACCAGTCATTAGGGACTGCACTAGAAGTCTCTTCTTGTGGACTTGCTTCAGATTATTGGGTGAAATGCACAACTTCAATAATGGTAGCCCGGGGGTTGTTGCACTATTCAGTCTCATTTCCTTTTACAGTCAGTAACTTATCCCTGTGCATTGATCCCTCACTCCAGGAAAGTGCTGAGCCACATTTCTGACAGTGTTGACCTTTGTCTGAAATGCTGGACAAAATTTCAGGGAGTAAGGTGATTAACTAAAAATGGATTTGGAGATTATCTATGGGTTTCAATGTCAAGATCATCTCTGACACTAAACAACTGAGAAGTTGTTCTGTAAAATACCAAGGCAATTATAGGCTCAATACATCAATTTTTCTCTTTCAACCACCCCTCTTTCTAAGTCTTGTTAAGATGTTTCCTGGGTTGATAAAATAGGAACATACTTACCTCATAAAGTTGAAAGTTGAGTTTAACCTCCCCTTTAGTTCCTATTGCATGTTTTTGATTTAAGCATCCAGGTCAGGAAACTACCCCTTCCAAGGGAATAAAACCCTGCTTATGATTCTAAGTAATGTGTGTAATGCTTGAAATTATATCAGAAAAGAAGGCCTCATTGCACCATTTTGCTTTGAAGCAGATCTTTGATGCATCGAATAGTCTGTGTATTGCAGAGAAAACAGAAACTCTCCATTGCTCTAGTTTCTCCTGTGAGTACCTGGTTTGTCCTTCATCCTGACCAATTACCCAAGTTGTTTCTTGCTTCCTGATAATTCTTGCCACTTGTTAGGAATGGCGGTTCTGGATGACTAACCTCCCCATATCTTCTGCCTACCTTGCCTACCACTCTTTGTTCACCTGGCAAGTTAGTCTGTGCTAACCTGTCATCTTCACCTCTCCCCCAGGGATGGGGTGGGATCCCAACTGTTATTGGTAGACAATTCAAGTGGCCAGTGGGATTGGGTAGGGGTATCAGGAGGCTGACAGATTCAGGAACACCACAGAAGAGACTTAGTTTTGCCATACAGGCTCTTCCAAGGGTATGAGCAAATGAGCAGCTGCACATCTGATTTCTGGATGTCAACGTCACTTGTTTGGAGTGGAGTCTTTATGCACTTACTGGTCTGTTTTAGAGCATCTGTGTTTTAACTATCTTTTTAAAATAGGTTTCTGCTACTAGGTTTACATTCCTTGAAAAGACAGAGAGTGCTCTGAGCATTTGTTATTTCATTTTCTACTTTACCATCTTAATAGATCCTGGCTCCTAGCAAGTGTTTATTGTTTGCTGACCAAATGTGTAAGGAATGATAACTAGATAAATAAATAATTTAAAAAGCCAGCTTTTTGGAAATGTTTTCCTTGTGTGGTAATTTTAATTAAGCATGTTAGTCTTTCTTTGCATGAAATGTTGGGTAAATACTCCCAGTTTTAATGAATTAATTGAACCCAGTTTCATATATGGCACATTTTCTATAAACTTTTTTGTTTGTTTGTTTGAGATGGTGTCTTGCTCTGTCACACAGGCTAGAGTGCAGTGGCACGATCTAGGTTCACTACAGTCTCTGCCTCTCAGGTTCAAGCGATTCTTCTGCCTCAGCCTCCTGGATAGTTGGGATTACAGTTGCACTCCACCTGGCTAATTTTTGTATTTTTAGTAGAGATGGGGTTTTATGATGTTGGCCAGGCTGGTCTTGAATCCAGCCTCTATAAATTTTTTTTGTTTGATTTTTGAGATGAAGTTTTGCTCTTGTTGCCCAGGTTGGGGTGCAATGGTGCCATCTCAGCTCACCACAACCTCCGCCTCCCAGGTTCAAGCAATTCTCCTGCCTCAGCCTCCCAAGTAGCTGGGATTACAGGCATGCAGCACCACACCCAGCTAGTTTTGTATTTTTAGTAGAGACAAGGTTTCTCCATGTTGGTCAGGCTGGTCTCGAACTCCTGACCTCAGGTGATCCACCTGCCTTGGCCTCCCAAAGTGCTGGGATTACAGGCGTGAGCCACCGCGCCGGGCCAGCCTCTATAACTTTTTACTCTGAAGAATTTCAGGTAGTCAAGAGTGTTTATCCAAATGTTGAGGAAAAGGACTGCAGACTAGAAGCCAGATTTGTTGGCTCAAGTAAATTAGGATGAGTGATGTTATAAGAAACCAGTTGGGAAACCAAGTGGAGAGAGTTCCTCACCACAAGGGTTATTCATACCAGAAGGGCCAGATGACGGAGCATGGTGGCATGCACAATTTCTGCTGAAAGGTTACTAATGATATCAAAGACACAGGTGTGGCTTGCAAAAATCCAACAATCCAATTAGGATCCAACCTTTTAGCTTGTTGGTTTCATATTTTTGTTAGAGAAATCAACTGTTCTCTCTGAGGGACTAATTCTGTTACTAAGAAACTGTTCATTGTAATTTGCTATGAAGAGCTATAAGAATTTGAAATTTTTAATGCCTGCTTAAAAGAAAGTATTTTTCTTCCTTTCCTCGTCTTTCAGATTGAAATAGAGTCGATTATGTTTTGCTAGAATGAAGCCTGTTCTGTATCTTTGGCTTATGGTATGGATGTTAGTTTTCTGCTGTTCAAAATTCACACAGCTCATCCTTCTGAAGTCTTGAAGAGGAGTTGTTACCTAATTCAATCGTCTACACAAGACAGGGACCCAGAACTGGAAGGACAGGCCTTAAGCGGGTGGGAGAGAACTAGTGTCTCTCATGGGCCTTGCTTTTTGGGCTTTGATCAGTTTAGACCAGTGAGGTTCTACTGATGCCTTATATTGAGATGTGAAGCATGTTGCAAATCATTTGTCCTTTGAAGTTTACAATTAAGGAGTAATCAAAGCCACACTGAGTCATTTCCATTTGTATTCTAGCCTGTGATGGAGACAGTAGGCACCTAATGTAGCAGGTGCTGAGTCAAGCATGGATACAGCGCCTCTCAGGTGTGCTGCAACAGAGGAAAGGGTCTGACGTCTGGTCTAGCTATGCTTGAGGGACTCCTGGGAGGCTGGGGAAAGATAGCCTGTGTCTTTCATGTCAGCAAGCCAGGGGCTGCGCACTAAGCTCCTACCATAAATCAGAATATCTTTTATTTCCCTTTTGCTATCCCCAGGCTTTAGCGAAGTTTACCCACGTTTTCTAGCTTTGTCCTAAGAGTGCTAAGGGGCATTAGGGACAAGGCCTGGACTTGATGCTTTGGCTGTAACACTAGAGAGGGAAGGGGATCAGTCTAATGATAGCTATGGTGCCTTCTGAGATGTCCCTAAGGGAAAGGTGACAGAGAACAGAAATTGGGGTTATTATCTATAGAACACATCCTCCCTTGACAACTTTAAAGATGACAGGTCTCACTGTGGCTGCCTGTACAGATGTTACCTAGCTTTGTGCCTTGGTGAGGCTTTTAAATTCTGTCACTGGGTGTATGGCCTCAGAGTATCTACAGAGATCACAGGTTCATAACTAGCCCCTCTTAGGTTCAGAGATGTGTCAGCCACTTCTAGCTTTTGAGACTTCTAGCATGATCGTGGTTTAAAAACTGTTTTGCAGACATGAAACAGGACACAGAGAAAAGCTGAATGCTCTTCTAGCTTCTTATGAACACATCCATTATTGAAGTGAATCTGGCTTTGTGTACAGTTGTCACCATTAATATTAAACCAGGTGAGACTGTGCAAATGTTGAAAATTGCATAATTGTCAAAATTTGAGGTCCACACGTCTTGCAGCCTCAGTCAATGTCTTCTTATACCATGTCTGAGAGTCTTTGTTCACTACCCAGCACCAAGGACAGCTTTAGGACACCTGGCAGATTCCTGATGGCCAGGATGGTATGAACAACTAGTCTGGCTTCCCAAATGGCTGATTCAGTTATATGGTAGTTTATCATGAAACAAAGCATAATCCAAAGCAATTGCTTTGATGCAAAATTTCATCTCTTTCATGAGTAGAATTTGTTTTGGTTCTCTAGCTGTGAAACCTGGCTAAATGTCAATATGACAAGGCATGTATTTAACCTGAAGTGAAAAATTTAGAACATTATCTGGCAGATCCAGATTCCCAAACCCAACATTTTTGATATGGTCAAATCTTTGGAGCTCCAGGGTGTATAAGACAATGATACCTCCTCCCCAGTTTATGCCTTTCTTTGCATAATGTTTCAGATAAGAAAAAAATCATTTTTCTGTATCCTTAATATCTTCTGGAATCCCACAGTTTGACACTGGGAAATTGATTTTTCCCCTCACATAGCTGTGAGCATCTTTAAAAATCTATCTTTTAATACATTGTTCACTTTTGGAAAAATCCCGATTAAAAGCAGGCAAGATGGTAACCAAATATTTAAGAATATGCAAAAACAGCACTTTCACTTCCTCTCAGCAGTGCCAATACTTCTCAGGGCATACCCACCCTAATTGCATTTTAGCTCTGGAATCAGAGACAAAATTGATAAAAATAGACATGAGTGATTCTATTCCTTATGAAATAAGACAAATTATGCTTTGGGAGAAAATCATTTGCCATAAAGTATAAAATGTTTTAATATTTATATCTTATAATAAAACCATGACATGTTTATAAACACTCTATCAGGCATTTTTACAATGGGGCCACCCACCGCTGACAACTAGAAACGCAATAAATATGCACAGACACACTGAGTATGAAATATACATCTTGATTTTATAATCGTGTGTGCTTTATTTTTTACACAAATGGAATGGAAGTGTTGAATATTTACACTTAACAGGAGTGTAAGCTGTGCAGTGTCTCTGTAAACTCCAGCCTAGGCAAGGAGTATTCCCACCTCCCTCCCATCCTGTGCTACAGCTCGGTGGAGAAACATCCTGTCAGAGAGAAGCACAAAACTGTCATATTGAAAGGATCTAACGGGTACAGCCTGGTGCACTCAGAAGTTAAGAAACACTTAGGAAACACAAACTCAAAAAGGAGAGAAGAAAAGTCTGCCATCCCATTGGGAGTCAACCTTGCCACTTGGTTGTCTGTCCTCATGAGTTGCTAGGGAGATACTATACTCTTTAGATGATCTTTGTCTAAATTGTCCGCCTGTCTTAGCTTTGTCCTCAGCTGTTACAAGAAACTGCACAGCTGTACAAGAAATGATTTCCAAAGCACAGGTTTCAGTGAGGAAGGATATTTACAGACTTGAGTGTGTGTGTGTGTTTCCAACCACAGTCATTCATACTCAATGTAACGTGTGTACATGGTATACATACCATATATACCATACATACACAGAAGTAAAATGTATATCACAGAATTCTGTAGGGAGTCCCCTGGCAAGTCAGCTGTCACAGGAGGTACTCCACATGCTTCAAGGGAATTGATCTTTTTCCCTCTAGGAGTAACAAATTAATGTGATCAACTTAGGAATTAGCCTGAGTCCTTGGCTTAAATATATTTGTAGGAATTTAGGCAGGACCAAGACAGGAAAGAAGAGATTTCATTTCACCAGCAAGTCCATTCAGTCTCACCAGAGCAATCACCAGCTGAAAAGCAGAGGGGGCTTCACATAAAAATGGGAAAAAGAAAGCTTATGAATGGGAAAAAAATGTCTCTCTCCAAACCAAGGTGATGGCATGGCTTCAATGAGGAGGAAGAGGTTTGCTATCAGAATAATTGGGGCCAGAGTCTGCCTTTATTGAAAGAAAATGTCCTCAGAGCCATGCGGTAGTGCTGGGAGTGGGCTCGCTTAGGAGCAGTGTTCAGGCAGAGGCACTCAGGCGCCGGCAGGGCCCACAGCACATGCATCATCGCTGCCAGGGCAACGGTGCAGGCTGGCTCCGGGAGGCGGGCTGGAGCAGGCTCCAGGTCAGGGCCTCACGCTCAGCTTTACTTTCTGGGCTGAGTAGGTGAAACGGCGACCTAAAGTATTTGTGTCATTAGTCCAGTGCATGGACTTGCTGTCTGAATCAGCCATGAGCCCTTTAGAGGACAGAAAAATCAATACAGGGATGTACGGGAGAAGATGATCAGAGATTTGAGGAGAGGAGAAAGGACAGAAGAGGAATAAGAAGGGCAGAGAAACAGAGACTAAAGGAGAGGTGGACAAAAAGAGAAAGGGAATAGAGAAGGATTATAGGAGAAAGTCAACAACTCAGAGATGGTGGGAAGGAGGAATAGGAAAAGGAGAGGAACAAAAAAAAAAAGAGATGGAATTAGTCGGAAGTAGAAGGAGGAGGAGAGTAAGGAAAAGAATGAGAAAAAAAGTAGAGTCTCGAGCCAGAGGTTGGAGAGTTCTTTCCTGGCTCGGAGTCCTGAAGGGCCGGCAGTAGGATCTAAGACAGCGCACAGAGGCACCCGAGTGCAGCTTTGTGAAGACAGGCTCTTTAAGCAGACAGAGCCAACCCAAGAATTTGGGGCTGGGAAAAAAGGCCTGCAAATAAATAGCCAAGAAATCCCGCAAAAGGCCTGCAAATAAATGGCCGACAATTCTGTGGGAGGAGAGCAAAAAACAAATGCCTCTGCACTTAGCTGACAAATGGAATTTTGATTTTGGTAAAGCTGAGACCCCCGTGGTGCTACACATTGTACCAGAGCATGAAAAATAGCACCAGTTACACGATCTGGCACTTTTCTGAAAGGGCCCAGCATGTGTGAAGGTGACATTGCACCCCCAGCAAGCCTTCAGGTTGGAGAGAGCTCTGGACAAAGTTTGCAGTGTTAGCACCAGTCTGGCCCCAGGCTCCGAGTGCATTTGCACCAGATGTAATCTGGGTAACTTTCATGCCATTTCCATACAAGTCATCAGATTTGCTGCAAAATACACCAGTTCATTGGAGCCATAGAGACATCAACATTGGGAAGTGCAAGACAACACAACAAATGGAGGTGTAAATTCTATTGGAAAAGACCCTCTCACCAATTTGCTTGGTGATTCTTCAAGCAAATATATATGTATCTATATATTTATATAAATCTACATAAAAAAATCAGTGCAAATGCCAATTCTAATCTGAAAGCATCTACACTAGGAAAATAAATAGTTATATTACTACAAAACCAAGGGTTGGTGGTTCAATTTGATTGTACTTAGCCACAGCAACACTAGTAAATGGAAAGCACATCACACGACCCGCGAAAACATCTACTCATTAATGACAGTCTTTTAAATAAATGGTTGCATGCTCAGTTGAGAAACCAAAGAAGTTATCGTGGTGGCCTAAAAATAGAGCTGGGATCAGGAATGGCATTCTGGTGTCAGAAAACTTCTGGGAGCAATATTGATGAAAGTAGGCCTTGACCTGAAACTGGCGAATTGCAGACATGGACATATCTTTAACATTTTGAGCAATCTAAGGAAGTCTCTGGAAATTTAACTTTCATGAGAGGGAGAATGCATTGCTAGCCCTTCCATTGGCAAAGGAAGCCTCAGGACTATGGGAAGATGCATAATTTTGCATTTCTGTTTTGTTTTGGTGACTGTAGCCAGGCAGACAATGATGTTTAGCGTAAGATGAACAATGCCTGTTTTTGGAAAGAGACTCTCATTCTAAGCTCCGATGTTCTTACTGTGAAGAAGCCCCATCACTCTGATGGCTCTATCTCTTGCTCTCCTACCCAGCCTACATGCTGGTTTGCTGCACAGTGTGGCAGAATCCCTGCCAGGTCTGGATGTACCCCAGAAATAAGGCGATGGGGCTTAGTCTGGGCATGCACAGAACCCAGAGTAGAGTGGTTATTATCACTGAAAAGTCTCTCCCCAAACACCATGGGCAAAAGCAATGCTGATGTCGCCATCCACTCTAAAGTGGGAAACCAACTCTTCTAGTTCAGTTTATAGGCTTTGGGAGGTTTCTTTTTTTAAATCATCGTTATTATAATTGTTAAAAAATAAACTTGGTCCAGGTGCAGCTCCAAGAAAGGCAGTTCAGTTGGTTGAGCTCAAAGTCATTAATTGTCTTTCCTTGTGACTCTATCTCTTTGCTCTGTACATAGAAACAAAAAAGTCTGCACCCCCTCACCCCCAACCAGACACTTCTCTTCTCTCTCTTCCTCAAAGAAATAGTGCATCTAGGAACAGATCTCTCATTGGCTCTAGTACCATCTCTGGATGTTACAAAACTCTCAGTTACTCTGTAAAACAAAAAGGTACTAATCCTAATTACTCATTGTTGGCCAAAATGCTAAATGGTCCTTTAAGAATTGTATGTCAGTAACTAGGAACAAAGTTATTCAACTATTTGCATGGCAGGCTCAGGTTATTTAACTAGAGGAAAGCAAAAACTTCCCTTTAGATCATTTGCATAAGTTTGTCTCTGAAAAGCCATCAGCATAAAAAAATGCATTAACCAAATGTCTTCCAAAAATATCCATGAGGGCAACTCATTAAGGGATGTGCTGCATGAGAGTGTATCACTAATGTGGAAGGGAGGTAAGTGAGGAAGAAGTCTTTGTCAGACTTAAAAGGAACTCAGATGCTCTTAACAGATCATTGGCAACAAAAGGGAGAGTGCAACTTTCAGGTCTTGAATTTGATCATCTGCTGATGTTGCATACATTTAGTCTTTCAATATTAGTCTTTACAAAATATTTCACAAAACTTTTTTAACCTATAGAAATTTGTTTCTATACATTTAATATATTTTTATTGTATAAATTATTCTCATCTTTAGTGCCTTCTTTCAGTTTATAAATGGCAAAATAGGCAATCAACAATCATAAAGCTAATCCCAGGTGGAATCCCCTCCTGTCAGTGAGGTTAGTCCTCCATACACTTGCAAATTTTATGAAATTCTTGTCTTTGCAGATGCCAGTCAAAAAACTACACACTTATCCTTCCCTGATAGTATGTCATCTCCAAAGGGATTCCTTTCTTTTTTCCTTCTTTCTTTCATTTGCTTGTTAAGAAATCAAAAGATGTGCATAGTTATAAAATTCAAAGTGTACCAATTACAGATGTGGGTAATGGGAAGGCTGATGAGGTTCGAGTGCTGGCAATTTTTCTTTAAAGCAAAAGACACAGAGAGCTCTGCAGCTAAATCAGCTCTGGACATCTGCTGGGGTGAGGAGGCTCTCATCTCATCTCTTGGGCAGAAAGCCCGTCAGAGGTTCATCCCTACACCTGGCACTTTGAGCAAACCAAAGCCTTCCTTCATACTGCAATGTCTTTTCTGTCCCACCCTTTGGCCCCTCTGTTTCCTTCATGGCTTCATACAGTTTGTGTTGTACATTCGTAAGAATTCACATTGACTGCAAAAACATAAATGCAACAAAAACATAAAAGCCTCCAAGTAGTATGTTATATATATTTTGTTCTTCTAAATGCTCTTCTGTCGTTGTCAGAGGCGCAGTAGCTAATTTATAACTTTTCCTTTGAGGGAATCCAGATGAAAGGCCCAGATTGCTCTTCAATAACAAGCTTGCATTGGTTATATATATCTTCTAAAGTATCTCCTTGGACAATAGCTGTAACAAAAGCAAACACACCCAGAATTAGAAATAATTTCCTGGATGGTGAAGAACAATCATCACTTACACATTGGAGGCTCAAATCAGTAGCAGATGACTCATCAGGAAGCTTCATATCATTTTTCATTAGTAAGAAGAAGCAGAAAATTCATATAAGCAAAGTTACATTCATGATTTTAAGAAATGCTTTCAATGGATATCCTGGATCAGTAACAAATGATTCACAGTCTTTGCACTTTCTACATGTCTGTCTGTAGTACTGGACAATTTATCACTCATCTATTTAACCAATATTTTATGGGTGCCTACTCTGAGCCAGGCACTGAGCTGGGCAATGATCAATTTTCAGACTGAGAGCTCCCTATTTAGAAAAGAAAACTGGCCTTACAGTCTGTATATTTACTTATTTTGGCAGCAGCAGAAATTCAGATATTGTAGACACCGAGGAAATAATGAAGATTTTAGAGGGAAGTTTAGTTAGCCTCCCAACCCTCAAAGCCCTTAATAGGAAAACCCATTAATTCCCCAAATCTCTGGTAACTTGAGATTTTTACCATACAGAGCTATTCATATTGAGAATACCATAAGTCCACTATTTATAAGAAACATAAACAGGAAGAAATATAAACAAACTGCTCAGTTGTGTATCTCCTAAAACACTAAGTCACTTGGAGTAGATTTAAGTACATTTTATTGTCTCATTTGAACAAAAGTTATCTTGTAGAAAGATTTCCAAAACACATCAGTATTATCCATATGACACTAGGTCTTAAAAATAAATTACTACTGAAAGATGATTTAGATATTTAAAAACAATCCTCAGAATATATTATTGTATTGTATACAAAATATAAACCACTGTCAAAATGTACACTTTTGTTTCTCCTACCTGGATGTTCTTTTAGGATGAAACACAGCTCGTATCTTGGTTACTGACAGAAAGATTACTTAATATTACCTGATTCAAGATATTTACAAACTGCTAAGGCACTGACACTTTCTATATTCTGAATAAGGTAAAAAATAAAACATCTAACTTCACATATGGTAATCCAGGAAGAAAGTTCTTGGGTTTTTTTTTTTTTTTTTTTTTTTTTTGAGACAGAATTTCACCCTTGTTGCCCAGGCTGGAGTGCAGTAGCACGATCTCGGCTCACTGCGACCTCCACCTCCTGGGTTCAAGTGATTCTCCTGTCTCAGCCTCCCTAGTAGCTGGGATTACAGGTGCCTGCCACCACACCCAGCTAATTTTTTGTATTTTTAGTAGAGACGGGGGTTTCACTATGTTGGCCAGGCTGGTCTCGAACTCCTGACCTCAGGTGATCCACCCACCTCAGCCTCCCAAAGTGCTGGGATTAGAGGCATAAGCCCAGCTCGAAAGTTCTTGTTTTTAAACCTCCGGGAACCAGGTGTAAGGCAAATTTCACAAAGTCTGATTACTCAGTGTTCTATGAAAGTATATAGGAATACAGAACTCAGAACTCAGGCTCTCCAGAAGAAAACCTCTATTCCCCTTCATGTTTCCAAGGAAACATTTAAAAAGAAAAAAAAAGCAGTTTTGGTTGAGACTTGACACAGTGAACTGAAACATGAGGAAGTTTTAAGCATCTTGTTCAGGTGCTGCTGATAGGGACACTGATGAAAGCTCATGGAGCTGGGGACGGACGCCTCCAAGCTTCTTCTCAAGAGTAACTGCTTTGGACACTGACCATTTTGAGCCCTAAAATTTTGTTTTTCAAGTTTTCTGATGATATCAGGGAGATAGTTTAATGAGGTAGCAATGCCTCAAATCCTTTTCATGGTAGGAGATAGCTCAGGGGTATCTCCTGCCCATGGTTTTGGGTAGGGCTGGTGGGAACCTGGGAGCTGGCTGCAGCTGAACTCTCAGGAGAACCCAGGGTTTTACATCAAAATGGGTGAAGCAGAGGGATACTCCTTGTATATGAAACAGATATTAGGGATTCTCAACAGGAAGGTTTTAGGGCACAAGTACACCAGGCCCAGAACCCTCTCTGTGCCAAATGTCAGACAATTTATCCCCTTTCTCACACTACCAGGGTAAAAGTGAACTTACCTGTAAAATATTCTCCAAATTCTTGTTCTAGCTTAATTGCTCGATCATAGGTTTTCTTGGCTTGTTCCTCTGTTAGACGCTTATTCATCTCCCTGGGAAAATGAGGGTTTGTATTAGAACATAAAGGGAATATTCCAAATCCTAAAAAATTAAAATGTATGGCAAAAATAAATCCTACAGAAAACATAGTGTAATCTTAGCAACAGGTTTTTAGTCTTCATTCAGGACTCCTCTGTGCTGGAATAATTTCAGCAACAAGGACTCACGGCCAGAAAGCTCATTCTCTCAAAGGGCAGTCTCTTGGTCCCACATTGGATTGAAGCCAAATATGTCTCCTTATGATTTGTAGTCACTGGTCCCTGTTCTGCAGGGACCTAATATCCTCCATGGTAGGCCCTAGGATATTTAAGTAAAGTGCTTAAGTGTGTCTTGAGGCTTCTACTTCTTCAGAATAAACTGTCCTATTGCTTCATCTATCCCCTCATTGGATGTGATTTCTAAATCTGAACTTTCCTGACCACCCTTTCTTGGAGTTTGTTCTAGTGTATCTCAGACTTTCTGAAATGTGAGAGTAGAATGGTAGTTATCAGAGACTGGGAAGGGAAGGCAGGAGGGGAGATGAAGAGAAGCTGGTTAAGGGGTATAAAATGCAGTTATAGGAATATTTCAAAATAGCTAGAAGAGAAGAACTGTAATGTTCCCAAAACATTTCTGGTGATGGATATTCCAGTTACCCTGATTTGATCATTACACATTGTATACAGGTATTAAAATATGACATATACTCCAAAAATTTGTACAACTATTATATATAAATTTTTTTTAAAAGGCTCAAGGATAAATCAAGGTGGGAGAGAAATGAAAAATTCTTGAATTCTCTCTAAAACCTAATCTATTGATTCTTAACTACTGGCAGCTTTATCTTTCCGGGTCTTCCAGGTGTTAAAAAAAAAATGTCCTGCCAAATGCAATTTGGTTGGCTGATCAGGATGCATCACAGGTGCATGTAGAATTTCTGAAATCATTACCGTCTTGCATGCTGCTTAGGAAGCCAGAGATTTGGGTCTGGAACATCTGGCCTTAGTCAATTCCTTTCGAGAGCAAGTAACAGAGGCAAGAAGGGATGTGCTTAAGGCTGTGTATTTAACGAAGAGTAATCTGGGGTAAGAACTCAAGGTTTTGGTTTTTTAAACCAATTTTCAGTTAGACTTCCTATTATACCAAGACTTGATATCTTTCAAAAGAGGCTATTTGGAAAAAAAAAAAACAATATATTGACATTAGACATTAATGGCTGAAATACAAAGTAGTGAGAATTTCCTGAACTCTTGTTGCTAAACTCATCTTGTCCTGAGGGGTGTTATGTATAATTTTTCTTCCAAACAGTCTCAGCTGTACATGCTGTGAATGGATGTTACTCGTGGGTGGAGAAGATGCTGGGCTAAACCAAGGGACACTCTTCAGAGAAAGATAAATATTTGCTCCAGATGTCAAGAAATCATGTGGGCCAGGCACAGTGGTTCACGTCTGTAATCCCAACACCTTGGGAGGCTGAGGCAGGTGGATCACTTGTGCTCAGGAGTTCAAGACCAGCCTGGGCAACAGGGTGAAACCCTGTCTCCACAAAAAAAATACAAACATTAGCTGGGTATGGTGGCACATACCTTTAGTCCCAGCTACTTGGGAGGCTGAGGTGGGAACATGGCTTGAGCCCACGAGGTCATGACTGCAGTGAGCCATGATGGCACCACTACACTCCAGCTTGGGCTGGACAGAGCAAGACCCTGTCTCAAAGAAAGAAATCACATAGTTCTGGATCATCTTCGACCTGCCTTCCAAGAATTCTGTCTTCTCTGAATTCCCTTTTTACTGATTACAGCAATGACTTAGTTTAGGTTTTTATTCTCTGACCTGTGAATTTATTTTGTCTCCTTGACTGATCAGTAATTCTTTGAGGGCGAAGACCATGGCTTGTTTGTCAGCATGTGGCATGGAGACTGATTCAACATTTATTTGTTGAATGAATAGATGAGTAAATGAATGAATGAATGAACAAATGGGGAGCTAGATAAACATAATTATAAGATAGTTGAAGACAGAAGTAAACACAGAGCATCATGGGAGCAGGAAGGTAAAAGCAGATTGGAAGTGGCAGGGTGAAGGGAGATTGCCACATGGAAAGGGAACAGAAGTCAGATGGTGGCACAATATAAAAAGAACATCCCTTTCATACACATCTTTGATTTTATGCTCCTCTGAAGAGTCAGCTATGTATGTGCT
Source organism: Homo sapiens (assembly GCF_000001405.40). Taxonomy (NCBI): domain Eukaryota; kingdom Metazoa; phylum Chordata; class Mammalia; order Primates; family Hominidae; genus Homo; species Homo sapiens. Next base: position 83,464,282 of record NC_000011.10, read on the forward strand.
AATAAGCTCTGTGATTTGATGTGGATGATGCACTTGAGAAATAATGTGTGTGATGATGTATCAATGTGTAAATGTGACAGCTGTCATGCTTTTGTTCCGGCTGACCTAGCATTCACTACTCTCTGGGGAATGGGCAATTCATGGCAGCTTTGCTCCTGGAGTAAAAGCCTTGGAAAAGAGTGAACTGTAAAGTAAACATCCAACCTTTAGTAGGTAGATTGCATTGGTCTGAATGTCACCATCACTGCACTTGAGACCCATGAATATGGCTGCAGCAAATTATGTCAGATTCACTGTCCTTATTGTGAAGTCCAGCCTTTAGTACATTTAACTTTCCTTGGTGATAAGTGGCTGTGACAGTGCCCTAAGGCATAACTAAAATAAGTCATCTCATAGTTGTGGAAGGCAGTAGACCTTCTCCTATGGAATGCCAGATGGGACTGTCTCCTAATATTGCACCGGACCAAATGTGCCACTGCTGTCGTTCCCTCAGGCCTCATTCCCCTGGGAAGCCATTTATCCCACTGAGTGTTTACAATATGAAGATTTATTTTTCTATTTCTGAAACAGGCCTTTAAGATGGCTGTTCCCAGGAAGTAAGGACTATTTTTCTTCTCATTAATGTTAGCATTACTTATATTTATGAGGCTCTTGACAGATTATAAATCAATTTTACATCATGAAATTTGTACTTGCTTAATTCACTTTGTGCAATGCCCGACATAGTATCCTATACAAGGAGAAATTTAATACATGCTATTGGGGATGATAATATTAAGAATCATTATTTTATCATTAGTACATATTTTTCCATGTGCCAGCCATGGGAAAAACTCTTTATATTATAATTTAATACCTAAATTCATGGGGCTGAAGGTACTGTCAGTGACCTCCCGATCTTACTTTTTTTATCCTGGTAAGAATCCTTGTCCATTTTTTATATATGGGACTATATTCTGCTTTCAAGGTACATCTCTGGCTATTTCCCCAGAGCTCAACTATGTATTTAACTTAATTCTCTCAGGCTGCCACTCCAGCTGCTGCAGTTTGCTTTGCTTCTTTGTCTTCAGAGGAGACACAGAACAGTTAATATCCTCTGTAAGCAATTGCTTTCACCACTGGGATTAAATAATTTCTGTTTCTTCGGTCCTTCCATAAACATTATTTTCCAGTACTCTGTGGTTCACTCCTGAACCCTGTCAAACACTATGGTCTTGAGGCCCAGATGAAGGCAAAATTTGATCAAGGCCCTCATGACAGACACATTGGCATTATCTCTTGCACTGTCATGGAAGAGGTACTGTTTATGTGTTTTATAATGATAAAATAGTTTTATTCCTTTATAATGAAGTAATTTTATATCTTTTACAATAATAATAGGTATTATTTATTGAGTACTTACCATATGCCAAAGAGTACATGAACAGCTTTACTAAATTCCTAATCTTGTTATTTAACCTTTATACTAGCTCTATGAGGTATTTATTAGTATGCCTCGTTTCGAGGTGAGGAGCTAAATCTTAGAAAGGTCAAGCAATTTGCCCAAGGTTACTTAACTGATCAGTGGCAAAGTAAAGAACCAAATCTTGCCTGATCAATTTTCAGGTCCCTGCTGGTAGCCCCTTTTCTGGTTACCTCTATCTACTGTAGCTTCACCTTTGTGAATGGGAGTTGCCTATACTGACTTTACAGTCAGATCGTGAATGTCTGCCCACTTTGTTTAATGATTCTTGAAAGAAGTTATTTCACAAGTCCTTTGGAGGGGAAAAAAAAAGAAAAAACCCTGAGTGCACAGGTATGAAGCTACTGGTTTAAGTTACAGATGTTTTACTGCCACGCCACTAAGAAAACTCTATTAAGAACGATGTTCTATGTATGTAAAGTTTTAATTAAGGAACATCAGAATTCTATTAGAGAACCAAGGAAAATGCCAATGAAAAAAGTCTCAAACGTTGTCTGCTCTCTCTATAAAAAATCTACACATTTAAAAAGATTTACTTATAGACCTGCCTCAGAAGTATGAGACAATTAAAAAATGATTGCTTCCTATCATTTGGAAAACAAAAGCAAACCAAAAAACCAAATCAAGCCAAGCTATCCTCAAAACAACAACAACAAAACCTCAAAAACTAACAAAGAAAACAATCCGTGAAGTAAAACAATAAAAATCAGGAAACATTATTGAAGATGTTTTAAGGAATTACTATTATTGTTAAAATGAGGGATGTTAAAAAAAGAAATCACTGACATTATGTTTCTAGTTGTTTAAAAGAACTTTGATATATCTTCAAAAAAAGAGAATGCTGAAAAATCAACAATGGCATTTCCCATTTGTAAGCATTCCCAGCAAAATCCTGTTAGTAATTTTCAGTATAATACAGAACAGGGAGTCAGTTGGATGAAGGCCTCCAATGCCCTCTACTCACATAAGAGGTTCCAGAGACCTGGGTTTTATGAAGATGGCAATGGGATAGAGCTGGGCAACTTGTAACCGCTTGATAGCATTTCCTGATACATCAAGTATACAGTGTTTGCCCTGGTAGAAAGAGAAGAAAAATATGAAGTTAATATAGGAAGCATGGCCATAATCCAACAAAAGGAAACTAATGTATGTAGGTTTTAGAGGAAGGTAGGGGATGCTGGATTTCTAAAGTCAGAAAAAGATCACTGCAAAGAGTAAATAAAAATCGATATATAGGGTCATCATTGAGTGTTTACAATAACTAATACTAACTAGCCCCTTACAAAGTGTCTGCTACTGGACTGGACATTTTACATATGTTCTCTCAGTTAAATACCTGATGTAACACACAAAGATGACATGCAGCCGTATGTTATGTGACTGAGTCTGTTCTCATGAAGTTTAAAAACCATCTCTGAACACAATTGTCAGAAGAAATTCCCAAATCTCTGAGGTAGGTATTATCAGCTGCATTTTACAGAAGACTCACACTAACTAACTTGCCCAATAGTTTAGTGCTAGGAGCATGCAAACCCAAGTCTGGAGCACTAACAGAATTGTTGGTTGGAAAAAATAGACACCTCATTGTCTCACCCTGCCCAACATTCGGTGTGGAAGATTGAGAATAATGTGAATTTTTCCAAGTACTTGTACATATCCTGTCTGCAAGGTACTCAGTCTAGTGGAGGGCAGACACAAAAATGGTTAACTTAAACATATGGTTGGTTGGGTGCAGTGGCTCATGGCTGTAATCCTAGCACTCTAGGAGGCCGAGGCGGGTGGATCACCTGAGATCAGGAGTTCGAGACCAGCCTGACCAAAATGGTGAGACCCTGTCTCTGCTAAAAATCCAAAAAGTTCACCAGGCATGGTGGTGGGCACCTGTAATCCCAGCTACTTGAGAGGCTGAGGCAGGAGAATCACTTGAACCCAGGAGGTGGAGGTTGCAGTGAGCTGAGACCGTGCCATGGCATTCCAGCCTGGGCAATAAGAGTGAAATGCCATCTCAAAAAAAATAAAAACTATATGTATATATATATATATATATATATATATATATATATATATACACACACACATATAAAATATATAATTAAAACATATATATATATATATATATAAATTAAATGCGGGTTAAATGCCAAGAGAGAAAGGCTTGCATGAGGTATGTAAATTTCTTGTTTGTTAACAAATAAAAATGCTATTACATTATAGCACACCTCATTTAACTTGGCTTCCACCACAATGAGTGCTCAGAGCAAGCAGCTGCTTTATAAAGCATTTCTGGATATGCAGATACATTTGCCACATCATATTCTACCTCCTGGAGAGAAATGTCCTCATTACCCTGAGGCTAGAATAACTTTATGCAAGAAGAGAAAAAAGGCACTTTATGCAGATAGGAACAATACTAAATCAATAATAAGGGCTAAAATCTCATCTATAATGTTCACATGAAAATGAATACAGTCCAGTGAATACTTGAAGTCTTCTTATCTGAGAAACCCACTAAGATGGTTCAAGCCGTTATTACTTAGGTAATAGATTTCAAGTTTTCTATCTGTGAAGTGCAGCAGCCACATAACATGTATAAATGCTGGTTGATTATTCACCAGTCAGAACATTTCAAGTTAACAACATGAACAAAGAGGAAAATAGGTGCAATTATCCAGGACAGTTTGACTAGAACCAGTATTCATTTAGTTGATAGAACTGAACTTTTGAGAGGGAGGAAAATAGATGCAACTTCTTAGTGTATTCTTAGATAGACATCAAAATTACTTAATTCTTTAGCGGTACATTGAGAAAGGTCATGGCAAATCAAATCAACCCAACAAATATCTTCTCCTATGATACTGGTTCTCTGTGTTCACAGGAAATAGGATCCCTCTGTAGGCAGATTGTGTAGCCACACCCAGGTGCCTTCCTATGGTACCCTCTCTTGAACATTCTTCTCTTTTCCATGCCCCTGAAGTTACCAGCAAAAAGATAATAGCAGCATCTACACCTCCTCTAAGCTAGAACTTCTGCGAGCAAAAGGCTGGGCAGCCCTTCTCATCTATCTTCTCTTCTACCATGAGGATGTCAAGTTTTCAGAGAGAGAGAAAAAAAATAACTTCCTCTAACAAAATAATTCAGGAATGCTATCCCCTTGGTTTACAACTAAAGTAGTAAACCTGCCTTAATAAAATCAAGGTTGTGTATTGGGGCCTCAGATAGTGAGTCAAAGACAAAGCCCTCTTCCTACTTTTTCCAAGTCAGTGAGAATACTTTATTGAAATTAGAACAAAGATTAATGACATTGCTCTAAGGTGATTCTCTGCTTGGATGTTTTAAATTATTAAATCAAAATTTACAATTGCAATCAAGAAAGAGTAATGACCAAAAAAAAAAAAAAATGCAGTTTGCAACCTAGAAACCTTCTTCAGGGGAGGTGTAAGAAGATTGGTGAACATACTCTTTCTGCTACAAATCTCACAGACTGCACACTGGTTCCATATAAATTGTCATTGTACTGGCCGGCTTCTATAAACTTGTGCTCTTGGATATCTTTCTCCATTTGTTCTCTGGAAATGACAAAGTGATAGTCTCTGCCATCCACCTCGTAGTCTCGCTTTGGCCTCGTAGTATCTTTATAAAACAAAAAATGATAAAATTAAGGTGCATTTATACCCATAAACTTGCTTTACACCTATATTCTCCACCACATCCTCAACATTGATATGTAGAAATATGTAGTATGAAGAAATATGACATAGTAACAGGTACTAGTCTTACCCTCCCACCATAAGCAACTAAAAAACTGGACAAAATATATGAAACAACTGTTTTCAGATATCAGACAACAGGAAGTACAGGGCTGTAATCTTTGAGAAAAGAGAAACATATGAGAGAGCATTCACCCCACCTCTCTACCTAGAGGCCATTTCCAAATGGAGAGTTTAGACATCACATGGTGCTAGAAGACACGGGAGTTGAGTCAGAACCCATGGAGATCCCAGAAAGGCCACATTTTAAAAGGTTACTCTAGACTTACTCTACACCCATCTTCACAAAGTCTAAAACCATGTCACAAATGGAAGAAGCTGCTGTGTCAGTAAATTATCACCTGTCAGAACAAAAACTTAACATTCTATAAAGGACCATAAAATTCAGACTCTCAACATATATAAAATAAGATAATCACAGTTAGATAGGACTAAAAATCAGCAACTCTAACCATTTCACCTAAATTTTTTGGTAAGAAGAGAAGGGGAAAGCAATCTAGCAATATGAATAAAAGCTGTTAAAATATTTTTAATCTTTGACTCACTTATTTTTTCCTAGAAATATGTTTTTAAAAATGATCAAAACTTCAGATACAGATTTATCCTTAAAGATATTCATTATATTATTTTATAAGTAATAATTATAACACAATTACGATGATATTTTTGTCACAATTCATAATAGTGAAAAATAGGGAAAAACCAAAATGTTCATAAAGAATGATTAATTGGGATATAATAATCATTTGAAATAGTTATATAAAATTTTAAATAAGCAAAAAAATCATCACAGAGAAAAAATGCATGCATAGAAAGAATAGATGGAAATGTACAAAAATATTAACAATGATGTTATCTCTGGGTATTGTGTGGGATTTTGTATACTTCTAATTTTCTCGTTTAACTTTCTTTTTAGTGTTTTTGAAGTTTTGTACAATGAACATCTATTGACTATCACAAAATGGTTCTATTAATTCAAAAAAGAGAGAATATGCAAGGTGAAAGGGAAAGCAGAAAGAATGCTTAAGTACCTTCTGTTTTCTTTCTCTCAAAAGTGGAGGAGCAAGCTGGAAGCTTGCTGTAAACGACCTGGAGTTTCATTTGCTCCTTCCTGTCTGAAGACTTTCTCAGGATATGTTCTATGGCAGGATCTCTTCCCAGAGCCCTTGCTGGGAATTGTTTCATGAGATACAGCAATCATCCTAGTCTTTTGGCCATGTACTGGACACATACAATTCCTGCTATTCTTAAGTATCTCATGTAAAATTTGCAGTACTGGAATGTTAGAGACACTTGAAAGCATCAGGCTTAAAACACATAGAATGGAAGAGAAATATTTGTTGGTATCAGATGTAAGAGCTCCATTATCTAATAAATTAAAATTTCCTGATGGACCTGTCTACATACGTAGAAGGTCTGCATGCATTTCTGTTTGACAGAGTCGGGGTGTAGACGGGGTGAATGAGTGGAGAAAGTATGGTAGGGGTGGGGAGGGGAAGAGGCAGAGCAGTTAGAATCTAATAAGGCTACAATCAGAGGGACCAGAAGCCTGATGATAATCTATAATGAGAAGAAAGTAGTTTAAAGTCTGTAATGGCCTAGAGGTCAAATTGAAGTGTTACACATTTTCTTGTCTTCACCCTCCCTAAACCTGGGACTGTCAACATGGGAAAGCCTATTGGGTTTTGGGATTGACATATGGCCCTAAGTCATCCTGAGAGGATTTTAATATATGGCTTTGTTTCCGATCTCTTCCATCCTATAAAAAATAATGTTTCAGTGGCATTTTGATCAATCTATGAAAACATACTGATGCCTATCATAAATCCTATGCTGTTTTAAATGGTTGGGGGCCACAAAAATTCATCCTGCCTTTTAAGGGGCTACAATCAGTTTAGAGAAAACATTATTATTTTTATTAAATACAGAATGACACACGGCAGCATAAATGAAAAGTGTTAGGCAAATAAATTAAATAAGGCACTCAGCTAATCGGAAATGGTTGGTATTTGAATTACTGGAGAGACTACTGGAGGATGGAATTACATTTTACCATCTCATAAAGAAATCCAAGCTCTTTTTGTTTTTCCTAGAGGAAAGAAAAATGACACTTACGAGGCACACAGGAGCCAAATTTATCAGGGAATTCAGATATCAAGTCGTCATTGATCCGATCCTTCATGGGCCCCAGGATAATCACCGGCCGGGTGTAGTTTACTGCAGAATGGGAAAGGAAGATGTAGGTAAAGAGAAAGAGTTGGAAACAACTGCAAAACTGTCCTGCAAGGGTGATTCTTAATTGCCAGACAGTAAGAGATGCTAAGGGCATTACTTCACTGGATAAATTACTCATACAGCCTTGCATAGGGAAATTGATGTTTAACACTCAGGAGATTGGCAGTGCCTACTTTCTGGAATCTACTAGCAGGGAAAGGCAATTGCAGTATCTGTTGATGAAAAGAAACATTTGGAGGAGTTTTGCTTACTCTCTGGCTCTGCCTACATAATGTCAAAACAACTGAATTTAGTCAACTGAGTGGGAGAAAAAAGAATCCAAACCAGCTGTTTGGCTATTGTTTAGATATGACTATAAAAAGTAATTGTTAGTAGTAATAACATCTTATGTTTTCATGATTTCTTTTCCCCAGATCAAAATACTCTCTATACTTTGCTACAGTTTCTAGATTTCCTTGTATCTGGGATTAGAAGGAACCTGAGAGTTCATTGGGTACAAGTCCCCATCTGATGCTTGAATTCTCTCTGCAGTATCCTTGTCAGTAGCAATTAGCCTCTGTATAAATGCCTCCAGGAAAAAGCAGCAGCTTACAGATAGCCTACATCTTAGGCAGATCTGCTAGAAAGTCATTCTCAATACTGAGCTGACATCAGTCTCTCAGGAGAATTTATTCACCAGTCTCGTAGCTAGTGCTCTTTAGGTAATTTGAATGTGTTCCTTCCCATTGAGGACCACTCATCTGGAGGGCTGCATCCTTCTCTTAGGTGCTATTAGTGCCCATACTCAGCAGGAAGTTGTCTGTTTGGTGATAGGGTCAAAGAGAGAGAAAGTGAGAGACAGCGTAAGAGTAAGGTACGGTCTCAAGACAACAGAGCATTAAGCCGAGTTTATTCTCCTTAGTCCTTCACTCTTTCCCTCCTTCAATGATGTCACCTCTTATGGCCCAGAAATTAGGAATGAAAGCGTGCTGGGAAACTTACTTTCCTGCCTTGTAACAGGCTCATAGGAAAGAATGAGGTCTTCTTGTCCTCCTGAGAAGAGAAGGAAAGAAAACCACAGTGAACTAACAGTCATATATTACAGAGACAAGCCCTGCTCTGAAACACAGGAAACAGACACAGCTCAGAGTTAATTCTCCTTGCTCTTTCTCCTTGAACCATTCAAAAATAACTTCATCCTCATAAAACTCTTTAGCACCATTTTAGTATCAGATTTTCACAGTCATAACTCTAAGTAATAACTGGTTGCTAGCTATTTGCTGCAGGGCAATGACCTGTGAGACTTCTTTCTGTCTGGCATTGAGAATGGAATGCCATGGCCTCTACACCAAGCATTACTACTTAAAAGGAAGCCATTTAGTTCAAGGAAAGGGTCCAATTCAATAGATGGCTGCTACATAATCAGAATTGCTGTACCTTTTATTTCATCTTCTATTTTATTTCCCCAAGAAGCACACTGTTCAAAAGCAAGTATATGCTTATTTCATTTATGATATAAAAACTTCATCAGGACACTCAGGGTTTTACTCTAATATTAATTCGTCAGGAAAATGCTGTGGGTCAATTAATGAAGATCAAAAATTGAGGTGTGTCCTACATCATTGGTTATAATTGCTGCTAAACTGTGCGTTGAAACTTCAGATAGAGAACTAAGGAAGACACAGTAGTAAAATGTCAGCCCCTCCAATGTCATCTGCTACAAGCCTTCTGACTCAGGGTGGACCTCAAGTCAACAAATAACCATAGAAAGTAAATTGGTTTTTGCCATTTATTTTTTCAATCATCTATTTTATATAATTGATGAATTAATTGGTCAGAGGATTAGCTCAATTTCACCTGCAAACCCGGAAGTGTCTGCATTTTTTTTTGCATTGACTAACCTTTGGAACAGCAATAGGTTAGGGCTGTTGAAAAGAACTTTCTGTCTACTAGAAGAAATAGTGGAGCAGAAGTGGAATATGAGGTAACTTCTGAAACCAAAGGGCAATTCACCTTTGCTGTATATCCTCACCACCCACCCCTGAAGCACATTCATAGTCTATCAATGCCAGGTTTTCCTCCTTCAACAGCCACAGCACCACAGAAAGAGAGGTAATTTCATAAGAAGAGTTAATATGATCGACTGTTTTGATAATGAGACTGATTTGGGGAAATTGAGCAATATGTGGGTATAGCTGCGAAGTTGGATGACTTCCTTGGAGGCTGGGTAGCTGGAATGGGATGGGGATAGGAGTGTCTTACTTTTTCAAGTGTGAGAAATGGCCTCAGGCTGAAGTCATATCTTATCTCAGTCCCAAGGAGGGCCTGGGCTCAGAATGGCGCCACCATGCCAAGCTACTTCTTAAGGGTACAGAGAGTGGACCTTGATGCTCCTCCTAAGTGGTATGTACCCATGGCCACCCCAGAAGTGTTCAGGGGACTCTGCCACATTGGTCAGGGGTTTGGTCAGTGAGGAGTCAGATTCACTATTTCTTGTACTCAGGAAAAGAATGATTCCCTTTGAATAAACTACTGAAATGTACAGAGCCTAGGCCAAAAAACATGAAGGTGATTGATTACTAACCCCCAGTTATCTAAAGCCTGAGCGATGTAGAGGGTATACGCATTCAAGGTTTTAGTTTAGTATTACTTCATCAGGAAAATGCTGTGGGTCAATTAAAGAAGTGTAAAAATTCTTGGGGAGAAAGTATAGTTTTAATGATAGAAGCATCGTAGACTAACATTGCAATTTTAGACTATAACTTTACAGGGGAAATCTTCAACAATTAATGTGCAAGGGAAGAATTCTGACCATGGGATAACAAAAGCTTTAAATGTCAGGTAACTCTTGGACCTCCTTATTAGGCTGGGAGTTTCATAAAGGCGAGAACTGAGTTTTATTCATCACCATGTCTCCAGTGCCCCATTGAGTGCTTAACATAAAGAAAGATGTCAACAAATTTGCATTCTGATTTCAGTCATGGGAAACAGGATGAGTGATGAGGCCAACGGTAGGTTCTATTTTGTGTTTCTGTCAATATGGTCATTTAACTTTGGAAAGCATCGTTTTCTCTAAATAAATAGAGCACATCAAGTTCCCATAAAAATCTCTTCCCAATGGCTTTGCAAATCATTCTGATGGAACGTTCTAAAGGCAAATCTTTAATAAGATATTTGATGTCAGTGTGTATGATTGCGATTCAGACAACTAGGGCAAAGCATAGCTTTGATTAATTTTGTTCAAGAGTTCTCTATCTCTGTCTATCCATCACTTCTTGGTTTACTTTTCTATGAAAGGCACTGGTTCTGGTTCTGGTTCAGAGCAGTAGTGTTGGTAGACAGCAATGGCAGCATCCCTTATGTCCGGGCCACCCCAATTCTCAAGACCTTGTGGCAATCAGGTACTGTGTAATACCCAGGAAGCCTGTGGGGAAACCCGTGGAGGTGGGCATGACATAATTGCTGTGAATTCAGCATCTTAAACTAATTTTTACTTCCATGTCCAAGAATGAAAAGCCCTATGGGTAATGAGGAAGAGACAAAGGGAAAGAGAAAAAGCCACTGTGATGAAGGAGAGAAAATTCATGTCTTTGTGGCACTTTGCGGGCCTTGAGGGGCTTTCATACCCACTGGCTTTTATGTCTCACAGGCATTGCTTGAGGTAGGTACTCTGATGATCCCCATTTTACAGATGAAGAAGCTGAGGCTCAGAGATGTTAATGAGCCCTGATTCCTCAGCTAGTAAGTAGTGGAGTCAAGATTTAATACTGCACCTTTTTCAACTCTTGTGGAGTATATTGCACTGTCTTGAAACAGTGAGAGAAGCAGAATTCTCTGTGGGGCAGGGTGGGTGGGTGTTGAGGTAAAGCTAACAAATGAAGAAAAAATTGAAGAGAGAGATAGGGGCTGAAACCAGGTCGGGGTTATTAAGAGGCCATCAGATACTCTGCCTCTAAACACAAGTTCTCTCTCTTTTCTTTTCTCTCTTCTTTTTTTCTTTTCTTTTCTTTTCTCTCTCTTTCTTTCTTTGTTTCTTTTTCTTTTGCTGTTGTGTCATCCCCATAAAATAGTCATCCTTAAGAGTTTTTCTATTTTCTGCTCAGGAGGGGTTGGCACTTCAAAATAACAGCTGACAAAAAGGTACAAACTATTTCTTGGTTTTGTTTTGGCAACTGTATGGCTGAAAGTGGGAGAGCAGCACAGAGCTGTGTGTGGATGTCAGCAGCTGCCAGAGACTTCGCAGAGGGTTTTGTCACAGTCGCCACAAAACACTATGTGTTTAAACTGGAAGCCAGTCACAATGAGAGACCCTAGTAACCTTTATGCTAGAGAAAAGCAAATTGCCATTCTTTAGGAATTCCTGGAAACTAGAAAACAGAGATGATGGAGTTGAAGACCAGTGGCAGTACGTTTAATGCTCAAAATTTTGTTTTTAGTGCCTGCATATGATGATTTTTAAGAACTAATTAGGTTCTTAGAGTCATAGAATGCTAGTGCTAAGAAAGGGCTTAGGGTTCATGTGCTTCATAGATGGCAAGTACATACCACACACTATTACTCTCTGTGATCTTGACAGGCATCACAAACTGATCATTGCCGGGATTACTGCTGAGCCTCAACATGGCCTTAGAATACTTTTCATTACAACTCTTCAGGCAGCTACTGCCAATTGGTTCGAGTTTGAACCTTGATTAAAATTTATTTGCCATTTCTATTCTAATTCAAGCTACTCATTTTACATAGGAGAGAACTGAGTCTCAAAGACTTTAAGTAATTTGTTTAAGGTCATATAGTAAATTCATGGCAAATTGTCTCCATAGGATGTTCAGAAGATGAACTTAATATACGTACAGTCCTTAAAATCAGACTTGGTGCATAATGTTATATAAATGTTGTTGTTTGTATTAACTTTATAGGTAGTATGAAATGGTTGAAAGTTACTAGGTAAAATGTCAGGCTTGGATTACAAACTACAGGGAAGAGTGAAAAATGAATGGGATTCAGAATTAAGAGGTCTTGGTTGGATTTGCAGTGCCACTACTTTAATAAGGCAGGCAGCCTCTTGGAGCTTCGGCTTCCTCATATGGAAATGGGGCTATTAATGTAAAACATGTCTAATAAATAGTTTTGTTGCAGAAATTAAATGAGATAATAGATGTAATGAAAAACTGCTTTATAAAGACTAAAGGAGTAAAGACATCTAAGGGCAATAGTTGAGAATAATAGAGTAAGGTGAAGAATATGCACCATTTTGACTGACTCCAGTGGAGAAGTTTTGGGTCTCCTGATCTCAACACGTTAGTTTCACTCAGATTAGTTCTTCAAGATCCTTGTTTTGAAAATCCTACTTAACTGGTGAGCACTAATGGGTTGGAAGGATAATTATCAGCTTGCACACATCCATGATGATGTAAAGAGCTTTACTGAGCTTTGAGGAAGGCATGTCTTCAGCTTTAGAAGCTTGCATAGTCCTCAATATACTTGCCTAGTATTTACCACCTCCTAATACATGGGTGACTGTAAGGTATTATACAGAACAGCCAAAAATACAAGGCTGAATTTTACTACTTTATTGACATAAATCTAGAATTAGCCTATAATTAAGATAGTTTTGAGGTGGTGTTTTGCACAATTAGACAATGTACACTTTATCAGCTGCAATTTTAGCTGGTGCTAAATATAGTTGGAAAACCTATTTTATAATGCTTGAGATGATGCAGCAAAGATCTGAACTATTTATTAGAAATTGATGTTTGTGTGTATCTATGTGTGTGTGGCCTACCTCAGGAAACATGTAAGACTTTGAAGTAAGGTTGCCACGATGTGTAACTCCAGGATACAGTGTGAATGGTGTACTCCAGACTGTGAAACACAATGGATTGTGAAACACAAGGGCCTAGGTCTTTGTTTCTAACTCTGAATTATTACAATTATTTAGCCATTTTGTTCCCAGAGTGGATATGGAATGGTAAAGTATAACAGTGAAATACAACACCTGGATATTGGTGAAAAGAGGGGTTTTTTTTTGTATTTGTTTATACTATTTTTAGTCATAATTACAGCAAAAGCCAGGAATGCACTAGAAAAATGCAGCCTATTTTGACTTCAAAGTTGGTACCTCCTGGAAAATATATTTGTTCCAAACCTGTGTGTCTTTTTTCATGGCAGTGCTCTTTCTGGGAAGTTCCTTCCTCATCTTGCCTAGCTAGCAAGTTCCTCATCTTTCCAAAGCTCAGCTCAAAGCTACTTCCTCTCTGAAACTACCTCTTATGCTCCCACTATTCTTGAGCCAGACATCAATCTATCTTAGTACCTGTCACACTTTGTGCACTTTTTCATTTATTTATATCTCTCTCCTACTATTATGTGTGCTGAGATCTAGAGTTAGTTGATATTCACAATGGGTCTCATGGTATCCAAGAAGAGGACCTCATGTATAGTAGGTACCGAATGAATAAATAAACATTCCTCTGGAATTCTTCATATTTCCATTCTGGAGGAATACATGTCATTTTTCTCCTCTGAGCTGTGATAAAGACTCTTCTTACTTTTGTTCATTTGTAAAGAAAACAAACTGAGTGGCTGGCCTTCTGTAACCTTGGATGAGACTCAAGCCAATAGAGATAATTAGATTCCATATTTGCCCTACTAATGTCATAGAATCCAGTTCCAACTCTTCTCTCTTCTCATAGATAATTTGAGATGCCTGCAAGTGTTTCCTTTATTCATTCAATAAACATTTATGTGCAACTAGTATTTAGAGTAAAAATAATTATTGATGTCATCTTAGAACATCACTCTAAAAATCTGCCAAGTAGTTGAAAGTCTTGGGCCAGTTTTTATAACTTAATAATTCTGGGAAAAATATTCCCACCTCTGAAACAGAGAAGAGAAGCCTTTAAAATACTCTATAAAAATGTGATTTTTATAAGAAAAGGTAGTTCTTGTATAGTATATATTTTCCATTAAAAGAACTGAAAGATAAAGCATGATGCTTTCTTTTTCGATACCTGTGTCTACTGGATGGAAGCACAACACTTGAAAATTGAAAACTGAACATCAAGGAAACTAGTGTCATTGGTCTTCCTGGAACCCAGAAAATAAGTTATATTTTTCTACGTACTAAATTGAGGGCAGCTTAGGTGTTATTAACACAAGCTTTGGTCAATTCTTCTTGGCTTAGTTTCTTGGTTTAAAATAAAATGAAAAAGGGGAGAGGCAAATTTTTTTTCTGAAATTAGGATAATAATAAAATTATAAAAGTATAAAGAATGTAAAAATGTTGACATGTTACCGTGTTGATAACAAGAACCTTCTGAATTCTTCCATCAACAAGAATTGATGGAATTTCTTCTATCAATCAATCAATAAAACTTTCATCAATAAGAAAATTAGGTGGTTCCTATATCAATCTAACGTTTGATTGACCAAGGGTATCTCATTACAATTTTCTTCATTTTATTCCTTGGTCTACATCTTCCTTCTCTGAGCCTACCTCCATCTGCCATCTTTCCACTTTTGTGCTGCTGCTCCTACTTGCCACCCCTCTGATTTTCCAAAGCCTTTCTTAAAAATCCAAATTATGTGTTGTACCACTGTTTGGCCTTCCACCTCAAAAAGGCATGGTTTTGTAAAGTACCATGCTATAACGGGGGGGGGAAAACCTCAAACAATTCTAGTTTTCAATTAATACAATACTCATTCAAACAAAAGACAACACCAATTTCTGCCTTAGCATCTGTGGGTCACAGGTATTAGGCGTGCTTTTTGGGTAACCCATTTCACTAAGGAATATAAATTAATCTCATAGAAATCATAAGAATCCTAGTAAAAATATGTATCTATGTTAGTCACCAAAAACCAGTAAGTAAGTAGGTGGTAAAAAACCATGAGGACTGATCAAAAGGATGTGATCGGTGTTTGGTGGATAGTTTCATACACTAAGCAAATGGCTTGAGGTGACCAAACAAAGACCAGAAATAACTTTTAAATAGTTACCTACCTTTTCAGCTAAGTTTTCTGATCTAAGAAGACTTGGTCACATTTAAAAAAATTAAGTTCCTTCAACATTAGAGGATGAAACTCTTCCATCAGTTCCCCAATTATCAAAAAAGTAAAGTTAGAAATGTCATAGTATCCTATCTTAAAAGATTAATCAAAGAGAAAGTGATGTAAAAGATTCAAACCTGATTTTAAAGGAACACTTTATTTATAAATGCTTTTCCTATAAAGGGGAGCCAAGAACAGAAAGGAAATGGCAAAATAAGAAGGAAAACAATACCATGATGATTTTCCACCTCCTGCTGAGAGTTTCAATTATTTTGGGGGTTACAATGTAAAAATCCACCACGTTGAACTTTTTACACACCTTCTCTGTGAGAATTGAATCACTGAGTCACAACCAACTGAGGTTGGAATTGTTTATTAGCAAGACCACTACTACTTGCACAAATCACATAAGGGTGCACTGATGGCTCTAGTGTCTTTTTTATCTTTCCACATCCAGTGATTTCATTTCAAGCCATTTGCTTTGAATACAGATGATAAAAGGTAGCAATTGAAAAACAACAACAGAAATCTGAAATGACCACCACAGGCAATGGGGCAATTGCAAAGAAAATAACCGCAAACCAAAGCAGTAACTTACGGTAGCTACTTTCGCTATCGCTGGCATTAGAAGAAACATGTTCTGCAAGAACAGCACAGCAAATTAAAGAGATACCAAGCATTGAAGAGCAGCCAGAACGGAAAGGAATACACTCATGCAAGGCTACCAGAAATGTGAGCGAAAGGCAAGTAAAAGCCGCAGAGGAGGCTGCATTAAGAAAACTCAGATAAGATAAAGAAGATGAAAACTTTATCTCCATTTTACAGGAACCCGCTGCTTGATTGCTGTTTCTTCTTTTTAGCAAATGAAGAAAGTATCTTTAATTACAAAAAATGCATAATGTCAATTTAGGCGATTAGAAAAATACTATGACCCATTCATATACCTCTGACTTTCAAGATTTATGTGACAATGACTAGTATGTCTTGACTGAGTGTTTTCTTGACTATAAATTCAGACGCTTCTGGTGTGTAGGCAGTGTTTTCTTGCAGGCTTTTTTATTTCTCAATTTTAGCCTTTAAGAATTTTGCTGGAACGCTGCTCAAATTGCTAATTGATCCCTGGAATCCCTTGAATTTTATTTCTATTTAAATAGTTCCTAAACACATTCTCAGGATGAAAAGGAATTCTTGAAGATCTTTTCTGCTTCAGTGAGTGAGTTGAAAATCTTTGAGGAAGATGTGAGTCACTGAATAATATTTTACGAATCAGCTCAATAGTTCCTTGTTTTTATTTTAGGATTCTTGCTTGGATAGCTATTGAATACTAGTGGCATGGAACAGGCAGGAGATAAATGGCCTGATACACGGTACAGGTTCTGGCTGAAGTATGTTTTTTTTAAATTCATGCTGAATGACTTGCTTGCACAGCAATACTCCAAATTGTTTTTTCATACATAGTTCACCTAACTTAACAGGGATGTGTTGGTTATATGCCAGAATTTGAGCTCTTATTTCTAAAATCATTTTCGCTCATCCATACTGCTTGTTAAGTTATAGATGATACACTCATCAGTCTATGAACTTATTTGTATATTACTTTAATTAAATGAAGAACATGTGACTATTTGATTTCTGAAGCTCACTATAAATAACATCAGTTTTTTAAAAAGTGACAATAGTTATACATTTTTAGAAAGAGAAAAATAATATATAAAATTATTCTCTAACAATAAAAAAGTGCTTTGATATCATACATTCTTGCCAATTGGATAGAGTAGTTTTAAAGCATGAAACTAATGAAAACCAAAGCATGGGTTAAATTCACACAAATCATTTCTCTTTGTGTTGGTCTGTGATCAGAACTGCATTACTAATTTGGGCACATGTTTTGCAAGTGCAAAGAGGCAATAGGGAAAGAAGTGTGGATGAACCTGTGCAAATCTGTTTTCTGTTACTAAAATGAAAGTCAAGGCACATAATCAATAATAGTGCATTTCATGGAGATTATTATCTTAAGTGCCTTGAATTGGGTAAGACAGGGCTTTTTGTTGTTGTTGCGAAGTTTTACTTTTTAAATTTGTTCAATTTTTAAAGAGCAAACAAACATTTGCATATTCTGGATTGAAATGGTGTCCTATTTCTGACACTCCAAAAGCCACTACTTTTTAGTGATATTTATTATTAACAATATATTAAGATGTTTCTTTTCCCTCTCAAATTGAAAGTTTACAAATTCTCTCTGGTGGTGCTTGATGCTGTCCAGATAATGCTGAAATCAATATTTAAACTTCAGCCACTAATTCAGGAAAAATTTTCTATCATATTCCATATAGTAACTCAAAAATAAAGTTTTCATCTTTAAGATCAGTACTCTTGATCAGATTTTTAAAAATATAAATATCTTTTAAAAACTCTCCAAATGAACAATTTGAATTATGAGGAGTATCAATACTCAGGGTTATAGAAAGAGCCCTTGAAAACAAAGTCCAGTTCAATGCAATTTTGTTTTATACAAATAAACAGCTTCTAAAAATATTGCCCATAGCTGTTAATTTAAAACAACAAAACAAAAAAAATTAAACATGTGATACAGTTGCAAAAGACACAAAACTCTGTTCTCATTTCATTGGTGCCTACACAATGGGGTTAGTTATTAAAGAGGAAAAATCATAATGTAGTATATTAAGACACAGGATAATTATTTTTTAGTTGCTTAGTGCAATCAGATACAGACTAAATACATGAACAATTAGAAAATGTAAAGGCTTAATATATTTTCTTTTTCACTCTATGCTATAAAGTGAAGACCTGATTTTATAATGTAGCTAATAAATCACTGATAGGCATATTATTACATATCCAAACTTTAAACATTTCAAGCAGGATCACCGCAAGTCAGAAAAAAAAATCAAAGTTAATAACAAATAAATAAATACTCATGGAATCTCCAGTAGCTTAAAATTTGCTTTTAGAGAATGCATGTTCCTTTTGACTACGAAACAGCTCCTTTACTAACAGCAAAGTGCAACCCAATTATGAGATTTGACAAGGTCATTAAATATTTCCATGTGAAAAGGCAGAAGAAAGAACATAAAGTACATTTCTGTTTTGCTGTTCTAGAACACTTAGCTCACCCTTTCTTTCAACATGGTTTCTTGCTCTATGGAGGTATTAAGCGGCAGAGCAAGTGATGCTATGGTGGGCATCAGGACCATGTTGATAATATCACATGGTCAGAAAGGGATGGTGTTAACTGCAACAGAAGTTAGAGTGCCTGATACATTTTGCTTTTAAATGCTGACATGCAGAACAAAACGATCGAAAGTTACTTTGTAGGAGCATTCACAGCTAGGTAACAAATAAAACTCGTATCTTGTGCATGCTAGGAGTGAAAGGCCCTCAGGAAAAGGAACAAAAGCCAAACTCAAAAGGAAAGGAAAAGAAAAGAAAAGTTACAGTGACCATTCCTGGAAACTTACTCAGAGTCTTTGTTCCATAACCGTCGTCACCTAATCCGGGGATGTCCTGCATGGAAGTCCCCAGAGAGAGCAATGAGAGAGGAAGAACAGCCACGGAAGAGGAAGGAAGAAGTCAGTGGAGTTGAAATGAATACTACCATGACAGACCGTGCTGCCTTAACAATCTGGATCCCATTCTCTCTTCTTTTAAAAAAACTTTCACCCCAAACTCCTTGAGCTGAGATTCAAGAAGGAAATTTCTGATTTGCAGAGCAACTCAAGGTTTAAACAAAAGATTGTAAGAAAAAAAAATTCAGCAAATGCCAATTTTTTGACCATGGTCAATCACGTTGCCACAGAAATGTCCCACTTAAGGAATAAACTTCTCCAAATTTCATAGCAAATTCTAAATGATATCCACCATTACAAGCTCAGTGCTCAGAAAGTGTTTAGTGTTTTGGGGGAGGGAAAGAGTGAGCAAATGTGCTAGTTTATCTTTAAATCAATAAAGATAATTTAATTGTTCCTAACATTCCAAAAAACATATGTGGCAATGGAATCCAATATTTCTTCTCAGAAAATAATTTGTCTCAAGACTTAGAGGGTTGCATGATAGAAAAGGCAAACCGGACCCAGTCCTGGTCAAAGATAAATGTTGGTTGGGTGCAAGTCCCAGTTTTGGCAAGTCTCTCTCCAATGCCTTCTGCAAAGAAGAGCCATGTGAAAGGAGGGATCCAGACTGTAGTCAGACGCTGGTCACAGTAGTAGACCTGCCCTGCCTGCCTGCTGTGTTGTTTGCCTAGGTGTGTGGCGTGGGAGAGCCTACATCCTGCGTGTTGCCTGTGAATTTTTTTTCTCTTATGTTGCATGTGACATTATCTTTCAGAATCTACTTACGTTCAGGATCACTGGTTTCCTGCTCACTCTGCTCCTTGTTCTTGTAGAATGGGAATTTTCGTGAAAAGATGAAGCTCTTTTTACGCTTGTCATTGAATGACTGTGAAGGAGAAAAGGCATGGGGCAAAAACAGGGGACGTCTAATTGTTGTCACACTCATGCTGACAAAACAACTAGTTTGTAAAAGCACAGAGAGCTGTAGTGACGCAAGTGGATAATTCTAAAGTGGTGCCAGAGAGTTCTAAAGGTCGATTTTATTTTCAAGGAGTATAAATTCTGAATGGTGGCACCTTGGAAAAATTGTCTCCTAAGCAAAAGACTGGTTACAGATAAATGGTGATGGAGGGAAAGAGTCTTAAATTAGAAGGAGAAGACCCAGAATTTTTTGAATTTTTTGTGCTGGCTCTACGTCTTGCTAGTTCATCACCTTAGAAAGGGAATTGAATGTCTCTGAACCTCAGTATGTTCATCTGCAAAATGAGGACAATGATAGCAGCTCTTACGTTGTGAGACTCACAAAAGACAATGTAAACATAAAGTGCTATACAAATGTCTTATCACCATCAGGTAGAAAACGCTTTATTGGAGAAACTGGTTTTCTTCTTAGTGTCTTGATGTCTTTTAAAATAATTTGAATTTGAGTTACTTCTGTTTAGTTTTAATTAAATTAAAACTGCACAAAGAAGTATGTAGATTTATGGTATAATTACAGACTGACACATGAATATATAATCATTAGAATACAACATTTTTATTCAAAAGAGATTTTTAACAATAATTAACAATAATTTAGCCCCAAGCCCTCATTTTATAGACAGGGAGCCAGAGGCACAGAGAAGTTGTGTCCTATACTGCTATCACAGAGCTAGTTGGTGACAGCCATGAGGCAATCAACCAAAATCTGTTAAAATTGCTGCTAAAGGGGTATTAACTTGATATTAACTTAACTTATCAAAGGAAAAATGGCAGTCACTCTAGATTCTGATCAGGTAAAAAAAGTAAGAATGACTGTCTTTAAAAATTTTAACTAAACTATTCCATTAGCTTAAATGAGGCTGAATTAAAAATAACACATAGATACATAATACGATACAGGCATTAGAATTTATTCATTCAAGTGGATATCATGTGCTTACCTAGAAGACTCCCTAAGGAAATTCCATTAATTCCACTGCTGCTGTTCTTATGCAAATGTTTTGTGGGGTTTCTCTTTGGGAAATGTGTTGACAGTCATTTTATAAGTTATTGGCCATGCAGGTCTTACTAATTTCATATTCATATATCATTAAAAAATATGTTTCATCAGATTGACTACTACCCTTGTTTGGCTGATTTGGCTCTGAGGGTCTTTCAGCTGCTGAAAAAATTAAAATCACTCCCCAAGGATCAAGATTTGTTACCACACGGCTATTGAAATGAAGGTGCCAAAGACTCTGAAGGCAATTTGAAAACAGGTATTCAAAAACATTTTTGGCAATGGAAGCTGTTAAGAATAAATGTAGAGCAGCAAGGTGACCCTTAGAAGGAAAGGACACCTGTTTGGATGTGCGCTTTTGTCCCATTGCTGGGAATGAGTCCTGTGCCCTTATGGATTTGAAGCTTGACAAAATGGTATAAATAACTTATCTTCTTTGTATACTCATACATTCCCATATCAAATATCCATTTTGGTAACCATGTTCATTTAGGAAACATTAAAGTACTGAAATGTTGGTGCTGTCACTCGGTAAGTAATTCATTACTTTTTTAGGTAGTAGAAACTTTCAGCAAAGTAGTAGAGCTCAATTGTATGCCCATTAATAAGGTTTTATGAAAAATAATGAACCAAATAATTAATAATTTCTGAAATTAGGGGACATATACTTTACATTCAAGTACTAAAATTACATTCTCAGAGGGAAAAGAGGTATCACTTCAGAATTTATTACTCTGCTGACAGCACCTATGTTCAATATAGTTTTATCATCAATTGTAATTTAGGGTTGGTGTCCAAAAACAAGGTTGAGAACTGCCCCCAAATTTTCCTAGTTAAAAATGATAGTCCTTAAAAGAATACTAAATATTCTTGCATCACTCCAGTTTCATGCCACTTTTACATTTCAAGCATATTTAAACTCCAGTAACTGAAAATAAAAGAAAAAAAATCATGTAAGAATTAATGGCATGTGATACTGCAAGGTATGTTAGACATTTAACTTCAACATCACCAATGACTTGTCATGCAAAAAAAAAAAATTACACATTTTCATGCAAATACAAAACAATGCCAAGAGGAGTAAAGCCTGGGGTGAAAATGTAGACAGAGAGGGACAATGCAGAAGGCTTTGAGGGCCCAAAATGGGGCTGCATGCAAGCCACATCATTTAAATGGTCTCAAGGGTCAAAGGAATATGAAAATGTGTTATCTGTGATTAATTCTTTTATGTTTCAAAGCAAGGACTATAATGTGTTAACATTTCCCAAGTATGAAAATGTTGTGTATCATGAATCATCTGATTGGGACATAATACTACTAAGCATCACACTTTACAAAAGAACAGAAAATACACACTAATACTTTAAGAATAAAAGTATCTAACATGTCAGTCTTATTAGCAAAAGCCATTTCAGATTGGAATTAAAGAGAAGGGAATGGAAGTATTGGTGGTTACATTTCCTTACATTTGTGGACAAAAAAACCAAATCACAATTTCAGTTCACATTCACAGACTTAAAAGTCACATGTTTAGGATCTTAGCTAAACATTTCAACTATAAGAGAGACTATATGTGGTTTATAATGCTTTAACAGTATTCTTTATTTTTTATTAGACATGTGTAATACCATTATATAAGCTTTTTTGCTGCTGTAATTTTTTTTCTTTTAATATAGAAAATGAAAATCTGTTACACGAGTGCTAGGTGAGAATAATAAATTAGCAATTCTGCTATTATTTGTAGAACACATTGTTCTGAAGCAACTGATGGCTGATTTACAGCCCTATTCTCAATTATACTTGATCAATGATATTCTTTGTCTCTCTAGTGACAGTATCTTAGCTCTAGATCCATTGCTTTCATAGCAGGAAACATCTTTAAATAGACACTTTGAAAATACCAATCAAATGTGGCATGGGGCAAGCTGGCAAATCTAAGAATTCTATTTTGGAATTTGACCTAAAATGTTGAGTTCTAACTATTAAAGATGATAAAACAATAACTAACAAACATTTATTGAGCACTTATGTGCCACATTTGGTTCCAAAAGCTCTACATGAGTTAATCTCCATGCTAACTTCATGAAGTTAGTACCATCATTATTCCCATATTACAGAAGAGGAATCTGAAGTGTATAAATCTTCTATTACTTGCCCCAGAGTCACACAATTGGTGAGCAGAGAAGTCAGAAATTGAATTTGCAAATATTCCTGGTTGCAAATATCACTGTTTTTAAGAGCATGACAAGTTTCTGCAACTTAAGCCTGCTTCAAGTTTATATTTAAAATTATTAGTGCTTGACTCTCTTAAGTGATATCACAGTGTGTTCTTCCCACAGCTTGATGCTTGAAGATTATTTATTTAAATCATCAGATGCTATTGGATTCAACAACATCATTTTGGTTATCCTGTTACAATTTTTGTGATAGTCATTCATATTTTTTGGACTTTCTTCAATTTTTCTTTTTATGATAATGTAAAAAAGGAAAGAATTTAAGTGTGACAGGCCATGAACGGCAATTAAAAGGTAATTGCCCATTAACTGGCAAATCTGTGGAAACAAAGGTAAATTGTGGTTGCTTAGAGCTGGGGATAGTGGGCACAGAGATTGGGAAGTGGCAGCCAAGGTTTTTTTTAGGGGAGATAAAATGTTTGTTATACAATTAGATTGCAGTGATGGTGGCATAACTCTATGAATATACTAGAAAACATTGAGTTGTATACTGTGAGTGAATTGTATACTATGTGAATTATATCTCAATAAAGCCATTTCTTTTTAAAAAAGGACCCTCTCCCCAATCTCATAGTATGGACTGAGAAGAAACAATTGTAGCCGGTTTCTAATTTTATTTGGTGTAAATAATTTTTATCTTTAATTGAATGAGAGTAAACCACTCATTCCAACCCTCGCAATCAATTAGATCTACATGTCTTTTGTTTATCTGATTTTGTTTTGTCTCTGTTAAATGAATACCTTTCATGTTGTGACAGACATTAGAACACCCATACTAGGAGTCACTATTACTCAGAAGTCTCCAGGTTGTTAGGTCAAATGGCATGAAATTGCCCAGCCTGACTCTGAGATGTAATGGCATTGGTGAACTGGCTTAAGATAAAATACATGCTTCATGAAAGAAGGAAACAAAACAAAAAACTCAAATTATTTTCCTACTCAAATCTCATGTTTTTAAACACACATGAGTGAATCTTGACATATTTTATCTTTCTCATCCAGAAAACCTTAAAACTAGGGACATGTTTTACTTTTTCTCCTCATCTTCCTGTTCTTATTTCTCAAGCTTTAAAAAAGTTTCATAGTTCTAAAATGTCATCTTAGTAATACAGGTGTTCTCTGGGCAGAATTTAGGTTTAAATTTATACTGAGCTCAGATACGTCTTTTCTGTGACCCCCTTATTGTTTTATACATGCTATTTTCCTCTCCTTGTTTCTCCTCTAAAATAATTGTGTTCCCCTGGGAAAGTTGTTACTGTACATTTGGGCCACTACTTTGTATTATACAAATCTTATTTTCACACACATAAAAAGAGAACTTTGAAAACAAGTGAGGTAAAAGAACAAGTAATAATGTAACAAAGAGGGGTTAAGGGAAAGATAAGAGTTGGCTTGAGATATATCTGCTTACAGAAATGTGTCTATGTGAATGCACGTATACATGTGTGTCTATAACATTGCCTAATTAAAAAAAGATTACTTCTGCAAACCTAATGAACTAATGGATGTAGGCATTGAGTATCAGTAGCTGCTACAATCACAAAGAGACAGTCAGATGTTTCACGCCTTCTGATAAAAGAATAAAATATTACAAGGTAGTCTTGAAAACCTCTATTTACTCCCAAAACAAAACTCCCTCAAATGAATCAGAATCTAACCAAACCTCTGGATTGAACTACCAGTTTACAGCAACAAAGAGGACAGAGAAACATGGTAATTCCTACTATAAAAATGCAATCAATCAGCAAAATCCAAAATGTGGGAAGCTCTACAAGACAAACTATCTGATTTCATCTATATAAAATTGCAAGAAACCAATAAAAAATGGCAGGAAAACACATAGATCAGAAGAAACTTTGAGAAGGATCAACCAGTTACAATGTATAGACTTCATTTTGATCTTGATTCAAACAAACAAATTATAAAACAAAACAAAGCAACAATTACAACAACCAAACCCATCTGTGATACTTATGAGCCAATTTGGCCCTGAAAAAATACTGGATACTTGTTGATCCACTAATTGTCAATTTTTATGTGTAATAACGGCATTATGGTCATGCCATATTGCAATATTAAGAGCTGAAAAAATCTGATGCATTGGATTGCTTCAAATTAATATGGGAGGGATGTAGTACTTATGTACCCCCTGAGTATATTGTGAAGGTAGATCTGTAAAGAAGCCTCGAACTTCACTTAACAGGTTTATTGCTGGTTGTGATACAGGGATGACAATTCTGAAACCATTTGGTGTGTGCTGTAGGGTTGAGTAAATGAGTAAACACATGGATGTTGTTGGGAACCAGGGTTGTCACTGTGAAAGAAAGGTGAGATACAAACGTGGTACGGAGGAAGGAGAGGAAGACTCTTAAGATGGTGACCAGTAATTAGAGGCATGAGATATAAACTTAGGATTTTCTAAAAAGTTTTATTTCTTCTCTATCCATTAAAGGAGCTTAGATGTAATGAAACCCTAACAGCAAAATGCACATTCACTACTCAGATTTTGTCTTCTGGATGCCATTTTCCACAAAAGAACCTAGAATGTTTTAGAGAAATGGCTCATTCCAAGGCTGGAGCAGAGAAAGTATAAGGTGAGTCTGAAACATTTCGTGGGGCTAGAAAGTAAGCAGTATTAAATATAAACATGACACCAAACACAAAACAAATAAACAAAACCTAAAATGAATGGTAGCATATGAAAAGACACAAACAAAACCTGGATAATTTGAATATTAAAATGAATAACGACAGTAATAAAGTATAACACATTCAATTAAAAAAATTTGAGTTCACTCTGATTACCAAAAATACATAAATGATGTAACTAAAAATGGGATAAAAGAAAAGCTCTTCTTTAGAGTATGACTAATAATTATAGAAGGAAGGATAAAGTCAGGAAATCACCATTTTGTAATCATCACTATAATAGTCAAGTTAGGGAAGAATCATCTGTGGATGCCTAAAGCATTGGTTGAAAGTTTGTTGGGGAATAGGATATTTATCTCTTCCCAGATTATTTAATTATTAAAAAGAGGGGAAAAGATACCTTTATAGTGGAGAAATCTGGTAAATATCACCTTAATCAAGTGATCAAAATTAGCATCGCCAAATTGTGGGACAACATGACACCATGGGCCTCCTGATGGAAAACACTGAGAAGTACACAACATCACTTCTGTAGTATTTCTGCCAAATATGTCAATGTCATGAAAACTATAAAATATGTCAATGTCATGAAAACCATAAAAACTAAGGAATCATTCTAGATTAAAGGAGATAAGGAAATAGGACCAACAGAATGCAATGTGTAGTCCTGAGTCAGAAAAATAAAAAGTCATATTTTCTACAACTTTCTCTCAATTCAGCGGATTATACCAACATGAGTTGGTAATTGTTGAAGCTTAGTAACAGGTAAAATATATTCATAATTCTACTTTTTCTACTTTTTATATGTTTAAAAATTTTCATAATAAGGATAAGAAAAAAGATGAATTGTAAAGCACTTAATGCAATGCCTTAAAAATACTTAATAAAAGTAGCTAATAGCAGGAAAAATGTTTGTTTCCTTTTTATAGTTTTTTTTCTGTTTTTTTTTTTTTGTTACTACTTCAAATCTAACACCAGGAATAAAAACAATTCCAACTCGCATGAAGCACAAGGGGCTACCTGTACCTAGAAATAAGAAAAAGAAGCAGATCAGAAAAGTAGGGAAAAATCAAATCCCAACGACTATCACTTGTAGCCTAGTGAAGGCTGAGAACTGGGTTCATTATTTATGAAACTGTGGGAGCTAATCCTCTTTTGATCTCAAAAAATGAAATTCAATTTAGAGTTCTTTGCTTAGGAAGAAATCAAAATCACAAGATGCCAATCATTCTAATTAAGTTCTGTGAAATGGAATCCCAGATGAAACCTGTTTTATTTTTCCCCCATTTATGTTATTTCTAAGACTGATCATGCTAAATAAAAGCACATCACTCAGTCAGCAGTCTAAGTTGGGGAGGCTCAATTCCAGTAAAAAGCTCAGGTAACCAAAGGGCATAGAGACCAAGCCCAGTATAGCTAAGGAGTAGCTGAAATTATATGCTGGATTTTACGATGACTCTAATGCATATAGTAAGTAGGATGTTTTCCTTAACGTTGAGGCCCAAGACATCTACAGCATCACTTTGTCTGAGATGTCATACTTATTTCTCCCAAGGAAATAGAGACCTTCTCTTCTCTCTCATCTTGCACCCTTCTCCAGCCACCACTCAGATCTTTCTGCTTCTCCTTACAGCAAAACTCCTCCAAAGTTATCCCTTCTTCTCTTCCCTTCTGAACTTACTTCAATCACACTTCAAATATCGTAACATCATCTACACCAGAGGTCAGTGACCTGTGGCCCATGAACCAATCCAGCCCACTATGTGTTTCTGTAAATAAGGTTTTATTCAAGGATAACCATGCTCATTCCGTAGGTACTACCTATGACTAGTGCTACAGCAGCAGAATTGAGTATTTGCAGCAAAGATCAGATGGCCTGCAAAGCCTAAAATATTTACTCTCTGGCCCGTTACAGAAAAAGTTTCCTGGCTACTTATCTAAACCACTTTATTCAGGGCCACCAATGAACTTCATGTTGCCCAATCAAATGTTGATTCTCAGGTCTCATCTTACTCTGTTGATCTTCCCATTAGACATAGTTCATCATATCTTTCTTCCTGAAACGCTTGCTTCCTTGAACTCTGGTACACCTCCACATTTTCATTGTCATCCTACCCCATATAGCATTTGTCCTCAGTCTGTTTTGCTGGATCCCTCTTCATCTTTCTGGTCTTTAAAAATTGGGGGTATTTGGACTCAGTTTTTGAGTCTCCTCTCCCTCCCTCCCCAGCTAGGAGCCTTCCCTGTCTCCAGCTTGAAACTTTCCCAGAGTTCCAGACTCATATATCCAATTAATTGCCTACTCACTATCTTTACTTAGATATCTAATACATAGTCTTCAAACCAAACACGTGGTCTTCTCCACAAACCCTCAACAAGCAAATAAACACCAAGCAAGCAGACAAAAACCTTGGTCCTCCCTCAGTCTTGTTCAACTTGGGAAATTCTAACTCTTCCAATTACGCAGGCTGCAAACTTGCAGGGACGCCTCTCTTTCTCTCATACCCCACATCCAATTGGTTAATAAATCCTGTGTTCTCAGCTTTAAAATACACCCATAATCTGACCACCTCTCACCATCTCCACCACTACTACCCCAGTCCAAGTCACCACCATCTCTTGCCTGGAGCATGATATTGACCTCAGCTGGTGTTCCTGCTTCCACCTATTCCTGCTGCACTTTATTCTCCTTACAGCAGCCAGGGTGATCATTTAAAATTGTAATTCAGATCATGTCATTCTGCTCGAGATCCTCCAGTGACTTCCCACCTCATTCAGAATAAAACCCAAAATGTACAACATGGCTGGAAAGGCTCTCCATAATCCAGCTCTAGCTACCACTTTGATCTCCTCTGCCACTGTGCCTTCTTTGCCTCACTGTCTTCCTGCCACATTGGCCTTGTTGCTTTTCCTTGAATCCTTAAATTCAAGATTTCCTTGAATCTTGATTCAGGGACTTTGCTCTTGCTGTTCCCTCTGCTTGTAATCTTCTTCCCTTAGAAGGCTGATTCCTCACATCGTTCAGAGTTCTACTCACATATTCCCCCTTATCAGTGAGGCTTTTTCTGACAGGCCTGTCTAAAATTGTGCTGGCCCTATTACTATTTGCCTTCCTTTGTCTTTTCTTTCTTTCCTTCCTTCCTTCCTTCCTTCCTTCCTTCCTTCCTTCCTTCCTTCCTTCCTTCCTTTCTCTCTCTTTCAACATTTATCACCATCTGCCTGCATACACATTTGTTTATTTTCTGTTTTCCCCATGGAAATGTAAACTCCCTGAAAATAAGAAATGTGTTTTCATCCACTGCCATCTCTCTGGTGCCTTAGAACATGTACATATAGTATATACTCAATAAATATTTGTTGAATGAATACATGCTCCAACTCCTTTTGTGTTTCCCCACATTCTGGCCTTTATTGCTCTCTATTTTTTATCTTTTACTTGACTGTCTTCTACTAAACTGTAGACTGGCTCCTTAAGTAAAGTGCTTATTTTTACTTCATTTACTGATTATTTTCAATATCTCCCTAACCTAGTACCTGGCAGAAAGTCTGCTAGTGAATAAACAAATCAATGATCAATGCAGAAACTGGCTTATTTGTAAAAAAGTGGGAGGATTTTCAAGTTGACCAATTATTCATCATGTGTGGAGCTGTTCTTAGGGAGGGACTTTAACAATAATAGAACTGTCAACTAGGACCTGGAGAAGCTGAACAAATAATATTCAATCTAAAGAGAATGTGATGTTTTCCAGTGTTAAGCAATAAAGCCAAGGTATCAAAGCAGAATGTTTCTGTGTACTCAAACCCCATGTTTCCTATGACTGTCTACCATAAATCCTTGTCTGGTTTTATGAACTAAAGAGACCTGATCTTGCCTCATTAGAGTCTGCCTACTGTGGCTCCTGCCACCTGGCCGCTGTGGATTAAAGACCTGTCACATCATCAAGCTGCTCTGGCAGGTATTACAGGAACTCAGAGCTGAAGCAAATAAAACTGCTATCTGAGTTTCACTTTAAGTCCTAATTATTTATAGACTAACCAAAATGAATTGTACTGATAATTACCATTTTTAAAAACAGTATTGAATAGAAGTTTCATATTAACCAGAAACACTCAACTAAATGGCACACTAGATTATTTCTTGTAAACCCGCAAATTTAGTTTATGCCAGCTCCACCACCATCCCAGGATGCAGGAGCTGTCCTAGCTCTATTCTCAAATTACTCCTCTGCCGGGCTCTTAGGTACTTACCTGAGGCTATTTCAGAAACAGTGACTGACTCTACGTCCCACAAGATGAAGGAACAACTACCATGTTTATGGCTGTTTTTTAGGTTGAACTGCCTATTTCTTTTTTTTTTTTTTTACACAATATCCTCAAATTTGTATGGATTTTTTAGTTAAAACAAATGATTCCTGTCAACCTTGCCCCAGACTGCAGAGACACCCAGTTCACCATCCTTAGCCCTTAGTGATGAGGTGAGAACTCTAAAGGCTTCTAGGTGGAGCTCCCTGCCTACCAGTGCCTATGTTTGAAAAGGATGTCTCCTGAAGTTGAGCAGGGCACAGACTATGTGGCAGCCCTGTACTACCATAAAGAAAAGGAATTTTATTGCAAGGATACTAGAAAATCTCATCAAATCTGAGGAACTGTAGAACAACCAAATGAGATAGGCCACATGCAGCTAAACCACATGAAGAACTAGAATAGAAGATTCAAATGCAATCAGGACACTCACTCTATCTCCTGGAGTGTTTGTTTGCTTTATTTTTCTCTCCCTACTGATCAGACCCTTTTACATGGTGGCAAACACAGCTACCACTGAATCCTAAGCTCCCTTTCTTATAGTTTCTAAACCAGTGAGTGACTCTAGCACTCTTTGGGTTCAAGCTAAAAAATCTCAGGGAAGATCTCTGATGTGCTCAGAACGGATTAGATGTTCAGCTCTGTGTCATCTAATTATGACAGTGGTGGCAGTGGGCAGGGTCTATGTGGACATAAAAATTACTTCGCCGTGGTAGATGTGTGTGTCTGTTGGAGTGGGGGAGGTATAGGGAGAGGTATTCTCCAAAGAATGACATGCTATTATCAGAAAAACCTGAGACATCAAGCAGAGAATACAGTGAGTGCTTGCCATGCTTTTGTTTATCTACTTCAGAATTGTAATTGACAAAAACAATCTAATTTTGGACTGCCCTTCCACTCCACCTCATGTTTATCCTGCTGAAGTACTCTATCTTCAAAACTGAGCTTAAGGGTCATCTCATTTTCTCAACTTGAAGTTGAGTTAGTATCCTTCTCTAAGTTGTCACAGAACTCTATATACCTGTTTTTACCCATACCATAGTACTTATGACATATTATTCTCTGTCTGCTGCTATTAAAGAGGAAGATTGGTGAGGTTAGAAATTGTCGTACCCATTTATTAACATAGTTATAATAACTATGGCTCTCCCCAAAACAATATTTTCAGCTTAGGCTGCTTTCCTGAACCTCACTCTCATAAGTCCAACCTCTCACTCATGCCCACCTGGATGTCCCATAGCTAAAACTGCTTCAACAAATGCTCTGGAGCAACTTGGGAAAGAATAAACTTTGACTCAATTCATACCAAACACCAAAATTATTAAGGGATAGATTACAGATCTAAACACACAGGCTTAAACTGTACAATTTCTAGAAGAAAACATACAATATACTTATAATTTGAGGTAGGCAAAGATTTATGGATAGAATGTAAAAAGCACAAATGATAAATAAAAAAGTTGTTAAACTGGACTTCAGCCCAAGTTAAAAATTTCTGTTCTTCAAAAGAAGTCATTTAAAAAATGAAAAGACAAGTCACAAAGTGGGAAACAATGTTTGCAATATATATATCTGAAAAGTTTTTATTCAAAGTATTTTTAAAGTCCTACAATTGAAAAATAAATAGAAAAACCAATAAAAAATGAGCTAGAGACTTGACTGGATATTTAACATAAGATATATATATATATATATAAGTGATCAGAAAGCATATGAAAAACATCATTAGTCATCGGGGAGATGCAAATTAAAGCCAAAGTTCACTTGATACCCACCAGAGTAGCTAAAATTAAAGACTGACAATATTAAGTGTTAATAAGACATGGAGCCCTTGCAACTCTCATTTAAATTGGTGGAAATGCAACATGATACAGTTACTTTGAAAAATAGTTTGGTATCTTCTTGTAAATGTAATCATATAACTAATGTATGACTTAGAAATTCACTCCTAGAAAATTACCTAACAGAAAAACATATGTCCACAAAAAGGTATCTTTACAAGACTGTTCACAATTACCTCAAACTGGAAACTACCCTAATATCCATCAACAGGTAAATTAATACATTGCGGTATATTCATACAGTGAAATGCTACTCAACAATAAAAAGGACTGAACTATTGATGCAGGAAACAACATGGATGAACCATAAAAGCATTATAGAAGGCAGACACAAAAGAATACAGATAGATAATTCCAATGACTGTAAGTCCAAGAACAGGCAAAACTAAGCTATGGTGGTAGAAATCAAATCAGTGGAAGAGTTAGGAAGGATGTCTAATCCATATATTATCATGGTTGTAACCATGACACCTCCCAAAACTGTATTTCCAGCCCATGCTAGTCTCCTAAATATGTATAGATTAATCTTCTATATCTTGTCTCAGGAGGTGGTTTTAGAAACTCTTTTCTCTTTGTCCATCTCACAAACACTTAGCATTTTTAAGGTTATGCTTAGGTGTTCTACCCAATGTTGTCACAGTGAATGCCACTTATTTTTATATATTTCTCTCCTATCACATTATGATCTAATAGCAGGTAACATGTTACTTTCATTTTGGTATCTCTGGGATTGAGAGCATGACAGGTACTCAATACTCACTGAATGAATGCAGGAACCAAAATGTTGAGCAATGATTTCTACTATGAGTATGGAGAGAAAATGTGGGCAAAGCAAAACAAAACAAACACAACAAAATAACTGAACATCTGGTGAAAGGGGGGAGAAGTAATGGAAGAATAAGAACCATACCGGCTGGGCGTGGTGGCTCACGCCTGTAATCCCAGCACTTTGGGAGGCCAAGGTAGGTGGATCACCTGAGCTCAGGAATTCGACACCAGCCTGATCAATATGGCAAAACCCCGAAAAATACAAAAATTAGCTGGGTGTGGTGGCATGTGCCTGTAGTCCCATCTACTCAGGAGGCTGAGACAGGAGAATTGCTTGAACCTGAGAGGCAGAGGATGCGGTGAGCCGAGATCACACCATTGCACTCCAGCCTGGGCAACACAGAGAGACTTCGTCTCAAAAACAAAAAACAAAAAACAAAAAACAAAACAAAACCCACATAGTTTCTTTTTATTGCATTTCTCTGCAGTTATCTCAGATTTGTCTTTTTTTCATGAATTTAATCTCATAATTCTTATGCTCAATGATCTCATTTACTTCTAGCTGCCTTTTATTACTAGTAATAAAAATGAGGTGGCTTAGCTATTTGCTTGTATGCATTTTTTCATAGTGTCACATTTTCAGCTCTATCTATTGTCCACAATTCAATAATGGAAAACTTTTAAAGATTTCCAGTAGCATTAATAACTCCAATAAAATCTACCATTTAATTTTTCTTTTCTAACTTTTTTCCCAATTAACCTTTACTCCCTTTCCTAACTAAAAGCTTAATTTATTAAAAAAAAAACAACAACAACTTTTTTCCATTAACAAATGGAAGCTTCCCTTTTTAGAAAAAATTCAAAGGGAATTGAGGAAAAAGTTATCATCTTATTACAGAGATACAAATATCCCTTAGTATTATTTCTTCATTTTAAAAAAATGTATCCTGTTTAAATTTAGTTGTACTATACTTTTCTGTATAATTTTAATTCCGATTTTTAAGTTTACTATTTCACATAATGAAGTGTTATGGGCATAGACTTTGGAATTTGGCTGTATGACTTTAGAAATATTATTTAATCTCTGAGCCTCAGTTTTAGGTATTTAAATGTGATAACATATTAATAGCTCTCACCATAGTTGCTGACACTATAGTTCAATAAATAGAAGCCAATTTTAATAGTAATAGACACACTTTCCCAATTATTAGAAAATCTTTAGAAGCATCAGTTTTAATGAACATATAACAATGAAATGAAATTAAAACTCAGTAACATAAAGGAATTTGGAAAATTCTCAAATGTATGGAAATTAAGCAACACTCTCCTAACTAACCAATGGATCAAAGAAGAAATCACAAGAGAAAATGAAACTACTTTTAGATGAATGAGAATGAAGACACAAGATACCAAAATTTATAGGATGTAGCTAACACTGTACTTAGAGAAAAACTTATAGCCATATATGTCTATACTAAAAAAAGATCCAAAGGAATAATCTAATCTTCTACCTGAAGATACTGGAAAAGTAAGACCAAACTAAACCTAAAGCAAGGAGAAAAAAAAAAACAATAATAAATATTAGAACAGAAATTAATGAAACAGAGAATTTTAAAAATTGAGAAAAATTAACAAAACAAAGTGGGGAAGAAAAATCTTTTTTTTTTTTTGCAAAGATTGATGAAATTGATTAACCTTAGCTAGACTGACCAAGAAAACAAAGATTTACATTGCAAACATTAGGAATAAAAGAAGAGATATTATTATTGACCTTACACAAATAAGATTTAAAAGGGAATACTATGAACAATTATATGCCAGTAAATTAGCTAACTTAGATAAGATGGACTAATTCCTAGAAAGACACAAACTACCAAAATTGAATCAAGAAAAAATTAAAACGCAGAATAGACCTATAACAAGTAAAGAGATTGAATCAGTGATTTAAAAAATTATCCACACAGAAGCCCATGCCTAGATGGCTTTCCTGGTGAATTCTATTAAACACCATTTAAAAAAGAATGAAAGCCAATTCTCACAAAGTTTTCTAAAAGATAGAAGAGGAGACATTTCCCAACTTATTCTATGAGGCCAGTATTACCTAGATACCAAAATTTGACAAAGATATCACGAGAAAAGAAGACTACAAACCAAGGTGTCTTATAAACATAATGACAAAATAGTATTTCAAGTGAATTTACTGCAGTGGCTTAACATTCCTATGTTGTTTGTTGTTTTCCATTTTCTTTGTAGTCTATATTGCAATGAATATACCATTCAGTGCATTTTGGATTATTTTCTTGGGATAGATTTCTAAAGGTTAAATTATTGAGTTAAAAATTATGAATAGTTTAAAAGTTTTGACACACTGCCAAATTGCTTTCAAATAATCTGTACGAATTGACATTTCCACCAGCAACCATTTATTCGTAATTAATAACTGGTCCCAAGAATGTATCATGATTGCTTTTTTTTTCCCTTTCAACACCCTCTACACTCTCCGTATTGCCTCCTTATAAGGTAAGTCTTCCTGCCCTCGAACATCAGACTCAAAGTTCTTCTGTTTGGGACTCGGACTGGCTCTCCTTGCTCCTCAGCTTGCAGACTGCCTATTGGGGTATCTTGTGATCTTGTGAGTTAATACATAATAAACTCCCATATATATATATTATATATATAATATCATATATATATTTCCTCTAATAGGATATATATATTTCCTCCACTAATAGGAGATATATATATATATATATATATATATATATATATATATATATATATCAGTTCTGTCCCTCCAGAGAACTCTGACTAATACGACAGTCAAGAGCTCTGCTTAATTCCTTTTGCTGGTAAAATAACCTCCCTATCTTGCTCCCTATTCTACTTGGTGAATAATGATCTATTCTTTAATATTTAGCTCACATGTCCCCTCTTGCTTGCATATACTCCCCTCCATAGCAGAACTTATCCTGCCTTCCTCATGCCCCTTCGGTACTTTGCATGCACTGTCACATTGCCTTAGTAACTTAGAAATCTCTGTCATTGAATTGTGAGGTTCTTTAGTATTGTAGCTCCAGTTCCTAGCACAATGCCTGGATTATGCATGTGTTCAGTATATATTTGGTGCATGAATAAATGGATGTAAGTATCTAGGACGGAGGATCCTAGAGTAATTAGGCAAGCCTTCTAACAAGGTGCCGTCATTCTGAACACAGGGCTTTGGCAGACTAGGTTTAGTATTAATTTATTTGCTAGGATTCAAAGTATTCCAGCATGGATATGAACATGACCTTAAATTGGGAATATGAGAGAAGTATCAGAGAATCAAATCCCAAAGATGATGTTGTTGCACTGTATTATCCACCACGGCTACATTTCTTCCAACATCCATCCTGCCTTGCAAACATCAAACTTTGTGTGGTCACTGGGTCATAGGTCCAGTTTTTGGAAAAAACTGAAACAGCTTTCTTCAGGTTCATTAAAGCTGATGGAGCTTTTATGCTACTGTCAGCTAGGGGGGTTATTTGTTCATTTATTTATTTATTTTATTTACTAATTAAGTTATAATTATTATTCCTTTATTAATAAATTTATTTATTGAATGCCTGTATGTCCCACTATGTGTCAAGGCTTCCACTGAGCCCTTAGCAATTTTATCTTCATTTAGATATTCATGTTTGGAACTAGTGCAAGAGATGATAAAATTTAATAATAGATTCTGAAAGTGTCATTTTCTTTGCCAATTTGTGCATCATTCTGTGTGGTAGATTCCACAGGAAATTGCCAGCTTTGTGACTCCTATTAATTATTTCATAAGCCTAAAATTGTATAGGATTTCATCATTAAGTTTCAAAATACTATGGCTTATACTACAACTCAAAGGGTCAGAAAGCAAAACAAAACTAAGTAAAGAAGAAAAAACCTTTATTCCCTACTTTGCTCACTTTACAGTTATTCTCACCAATTGGACATGTTGAAATTATTTTTAAATTCCCATATGTTAGATAGAGAAATGGGGCTCAGAACATACGTTGTTGGTCACATTGCTAATTTCTTGATTTCTATTTTTTTCTGTTTTTCTTTTCTTTTTTTTTTTTTTGGATATTTTCTAAAATTCAAAGGTTCTTGTCAATGCCTAGAGAGCTACCTAATCCCTCACAATATGGCTGTCAGCCCACAATGGCCACAGTAGGTTACAGGAGCAACCACTGGCAGGAAAAGCTCTAGGGTCCATAGATGGAAGTCCGACTAACTGATCAGTGTTGGGCAGGGAGAATGGCTTTCAGAATCCAGTGAAGCCCACCAATGTCCACAGGGAGCCAAGAATCAGACTGAGAATGAGGAGACCTGGTTCTCCAGTGCAATTTGAACAAGTCATTCATATATCTGGGCCTGTTTCTTCATATATAAAAGACAGTGCATAGACCAGTTGATCGCTGAGGATCTCTGAGGTTTCTTTCATCTCTACCATTCTCAAATCCTGAAACCTCATTCAAGGTCAAGCTAAAAGATAAATTCCTTTTTTCCCTTTTCTATTTTAGCATTCTCTAAATGCATTGCTAATTGAGGGTATTATTTTGTTCCTGTGATTGTTTCCCCCCAAATCCAGAGACTGACATAACAGTTAATAAAATCCTAATGTGAGTGAAAATTCTGTCTGGGTTATCTTTAATGAATTTAATTGAGCACCCACTAAGTACATATCACCACATTAGGCCCCTTCTCTGACTATCCTGATCCTTTCCTTCCTTTAACCACAGTTACTCAGTTTGGACTTAAGGGTTCTCTAATTGCTCTATTGATGCTAGTTTTTCGTTTCATCTTCAGCTTAACCCTGTAAGGAGGAGGATCTTATCTTAAAATTTTCTTTTGCACTCTTCAAGGTACCCCAGAATAATGTGTGGAACCAAATAGATAAAAAGTACTTGTCAATAATAATAGCATTTGTTGGTAACATTTGTTAAATGCTTACTCATATAGCGGATACTTTTATAAGTGCTTTACATGGATTAATCATTCTAAGTGCTTTCCACATATCAAGTCCTATTAAGTGGCTACAAATAGTGTTCACAACTTATACATAAGGAAACTGAGCTAGAGAAAGGTTGAGTCACTTGCCTAAGGGTTTACACAACTAGGAGTCACAAGCCAAGATTCATACCCAAGCAGTTTGGCTCCAGAGTTGCGCTCTTATCTATTATACGATACTACCTTTTCTGTGATTGCTTGCAAAGATTCCAAGTGTGCATTTTACTCTGCTCTCAGTGGATAGCCACAATAACTACTGCTGAGAACTTCTCCAGGCAAATTACTTCCTATAAAATTTTATACCTTATTTCTAAAATATAATCTCTATTTTTTTCAAGTGATTCAAGCAATGAGATTTTGGTGATCAATCCCCAAGGGCTATGACACCACTGAATACTTTTGATGGGTATGAAGTAATATGCTCATTTGCAGGGAGCATGTCTTGCCTCAATTTCATTTCTTCACTCCCAGGAATGCCACTTCTTCTGTAGCTTCCCTAAGGGCTCCTCTCCTCTTCTGGTAATCTCTCAGACTAGTCTTTACTGGCTGGTCTTACATACCTATCCTAAAGGTTATGTGACTCCATGGGGCTGGCCAAAACCTATAAGCTGATTTACCCTTACCTGTGTAAGGAAATTACCCTCACTGAGATCCATACGTTGATTACACCAATTTAAAGTTACAGGATCCCCATTCTTTTTCTGTTTCCATTGCTGTCTCCCCAGTACTTCTGAAGTTACTCATTTCTCATGAACTTTCTCTTGTTAGAAGGCTTTCCTAATTACTGTAGATAATTAGGAAATAATTATCAGATAGTTACATCCATTTATGCATGTACCTAATATATTTTGAGCACATGAATAATCCAGGCACTGTGCTAGGAACTGGGGCTACAATAAGCTCTAAAAAACCTCACAATTTAATGACAGAGATTTCTAAGTTACTAAGGCAATGTGACAGTGCACGCAAAGTACTCAAGGGGCATGAAGAAGGCAGGATAAGTTCTGCTATGGAGGGGAGGATAGGCAAGCAAGAGGGGACATGTGAGCTAAATATTAAATAGACCATTATTCACCAAGTAGAATAGGGAGCAAGATAGGGAGGTTATTCTACCAGCAAAAGGAATTAAGCAGAGCTCTTGACTGTTGTATTGGTCAGAGTTCTCTGGAGTGACAGAACTAATTAGGATATATATATTTATATATATACACACACACACCCATTTATATATATATATATATATATATATATATATATATATATATATATATATATATAGATAGATCTAATAGGATATATATATTTATACACACACACACATATATTATTAAGTATTAACTTACAAGATCACAAGGTCTCACAATAAGGCATCTGCAAGCTGAAGAGAAAGGAGAGCCAGTCCAAGTCCCAAAACTGAAGAACCTGGAGTCCGATGTTCAAGGGTAGGAAGCATCCAGCATGGGAGAAGGATGTGGGCTGGGAGGCTAGACCAGTCTAGTCTTTTCACATTTTTCTGTCTGCTTTATATTCTAGCCATGCTGGCAGCTGGTTAGATGGTACCCACACAGATTAAGGGTGGGTCTGCCTTTCCCAGCCCACTGACTCAAATGTTAATCTCCTTTGGCAACACCCTCACAGATACATCTAGGATCAATAGTTTGCATCCTTCCACCCAATCAAGTTGACACTCAGTATTAACCATCACAAGTCTACCCCTTGTCAACTTGAACCCATACACATCTTCTGAGATTATATATAATCTTCAAATAAAGACAATAATAAGGTCATAATTACACCTAACATAATACAACTATCCTTCGTACAACCAGAAATGCACCAATCTCCAACCCAAATACTATTAAAGTTAACAATACTTCTATGCTGATGTGAGGTCAATAAATCTTATGTCACATGATAAAGGAAAAAGGAAATAAAATGAAGATATTTTCTTAGTACAGGTTACATGCACAAACATGTTTTTAACAAAAGAAGGAGGAAATCCTTATGACAATTACACTCCTAGTTTCTGCAGCTGGTCATGTGGTCATAGCTGGTATTGATGACTTCTTCTACTACCCATTCAGTATTCCCTTTGCCTTCAGCAAGCACCTCAGCAGGTCATGGTTTTTTTCCTGGTAGAGTGACCTAAACCTTGATTCCTAAAGGGCCTGGGCTATCCCTTCCTGGATTGGGTTATTGTAGTTTCCCACTGACCTTAATCACAGGGCACAGTAATACTAAGAGACACCCTAACGAATCTCCTGTATTCCATGCATACTCTTCCTTACCTCCATTATGAAGTAGTAGACTGATTTCATCTTGACAGTCTGGGTCAGTCACCCCAGCCAACACTGTAACTTCCTTTTTAGCCTGCTGACTTAAAAGTAGGAGGAGCCCAAAGTGTCCAGGTGGCAATCTTAACTTCCCATTTAACAGAATCGTTGTGTCTCCTGGTGGCAGCATTCCTCCCTCTGGAACTAAGACTACCTAGGCCAGCAGACTATCTAGGCCAGCAGAATGTAATGTTGTGGGAGGAGGAAGCAAAAAATTTGCTAGTGGATCACTAGGAGTGATGGTGAGTGGTGCCGCTTCCACTTCCACCCGTTGATTCCTGGACCCGTGAATCCTGGCTATGGGAGAAACAGTACCATATATTAGTTGCTGATTCAGAGCATACGTGGCCTTCTGGAGAACTTTGCCCCAGCCCTGCAAAGTATTGTCACTTAGTTGGAGTTGTAATTGTGACTTACAAAGCTATTTCACCATTCTATCAATCCAGTTGTTTCAGGATGATGGGGAACATAGTAAGACCAGTGAATTCCATGAGCAGCCACACTTCTTTAGCCATAAAGTGAGTGCCTTGGTCAGAGGCAATGCTGTGTGGGGTGTGTGTAACAATGTGTGTACCATGACAGTGGATAAGGCACTTCATGAGTCCACAGATGGTAGTCTTGGCAGAAGCATTGTGTGCAGGACAGGCATACCCATATCCAGAGTAAGTGTCTATTCCAGTGAGGACAAACCTCTGCTCTTTCCGTGATGGAAGAGGTGCAATATATATATAACCTGCCACCAGGTAGCTGGCTGATCACCCTGAGGAATGGTGCCATATTGAGGGCTCAGTGTTGGTCTCTGCTGCTGGCAAATGGGGCACTCAGCAGTGGCTGTAGCCAGGTCATCCCTGGTGAGTGGAAGCCCATGTTGCTGAGCCCATGCATAATCTCCATCCCTGCCACCATGGCCACGTTGTTCATGGGCCCATTGGGCGATGACAGGGGTGGCTGGGGAAAAAGACTGAGTGGCGTCCACAGAACAGGTCATCCTATATACTTGATTATTAAAATCCTCCTCTGCTGAGGTCACCCATTGGTGAGGACTCACATGGGATACAAATATCTTCATGTTTTTTTACCTCTCAGAGAGGTCCATCCATATACCTCTTCCCCAAATTTCTTTGTCACCAATTTTCCAATCATGCTTCTTCCAAGTCCCTGACCATCCAGCCAAACCACTGGCTACAGCCCATGAATCAGTATATAATTGCACATCTGGCCATTTCTCCTTCCATGCAAAGCGCAAAACCAGGTGCACTGCTCTAAGTTCTGCCCACTGGGAAGATTTCCCTTCATGGCTGTCCTTCAGGGATGTCCTAGAAAGGGGCTGTAGTGCTGCAGCTGTCCACTTTTGGGTGGTATCTGGATATCGTGCAGAATCATCTGTGAACCAGGACCCAGTCTTCTCTTCCTCTGTCTACTGATCATAGGGAACTCCCCATGAGGCCATTGGTGCAGGGTGGCAGGAGTGGAGACCATGGACATTTGAGCCACTTCATCATGTAACTTACTTGTGCCTTCAGGACCTACTTGAGACCAATCATGTATATACCACTTCCATTTGCTGATGGAATGCTGCTGTGCACGGCCCACTCTATGGCTAGATGGGTCAGAAAGCACTTAGTTCATGATTGGCAGTTCAGGTCTCATGGCAACTGGATGACCCGTAGTCAAACGTTCAGTTTCCACTAAACTTGGTCCTAGAATTTCCAGCTCGCTCACAGTGGGCCATCTTTTAATCCATATTTCAGCTAAACAAGCAAACAAACTACTAGAACCTTTTCTAAGTCCCTGAGCTGCAACATTAAATGCAGAGTCCCTAGTGGGCCCAAATCAATAAATTCAGCCTGATCCAACTCTATGTTCCTTCCACCATTATCTCACACCTTTAATATCCATTTCCATGCCTGTTCTCCAGATTTATGTTTATATTCAAAGCATTGATTTTTGAGTGTAGTGCACCTCCTCATGGGTCACACTCTCAACCTCCCTCTAGGCACCAGCCAGAAGTTTAGTCTAGTTATAGGTCTAGACGCAAATAGGGGTGTTGGAGGTGGCTCCTGAGGAGAATCAACATTATCTTGCCTGGCACCTGCCTCAGGGGAGGCCATCACATTTGCCTCAGGCAGCACAGGGTTTATCTCCTCAGACAAATGTGGAAAGGCTGATGGCAGCATGGGTTGGGAGGGGATGTTGACACTACTGGGGATGGGGAAGCTGTTTCTTCTGGCAAAAAAAGGTTCATCAGAATTTACAAACTTAGTGTCCCCAGCTTTATCAGGGTTCTCTCACACGTTTCTATTGTAAGTTGCAGGGTCCCATTCTTTTCCAATCAATGCCCTCACTTTAACCATAGACATCTGATGAGACTGTGCATGCACCTTTCATTGCAGGTCAGCCACTCGCATGATAAGAGTTTGTGCCTGTTTTTCCACAATTTCATCTTTCACATAGGAGATGAGACTCTCACTCAGGGCAATCTTAGCAATCTGAGGCTCAGTGTCTGCCTCTGAAGCTGGGAGTTAGAATCCCTGGGTTCATCCTTTTCTTTCATCACTTTGTCTACTGAACTTAGGAGCAACCAAGCAGCTTCATTATGTTCCTTGGTTCTCCACATATGGTCAAAAGTATTATGTATAGAGTCAATAAACTCCTTGCCTCTCACAAATGGTGAATCAGGAATGTCAAATGCATTTATTTTGCATAACTCTCTAAACAGTTCATGCCAAGGACTATCAGTGTTCTCCATGCTACTAGAAGTAGGGTCCTTAGCATTTTTGGGTCTAATCATACTAAGAAGCCAATTCCAAAAACCCCCAAAACTAATGAAAGAACTCCATCCTTAATATTCTGTTCCTTTAGAACCACTCCTGGTACCAAAATCTGTATTAGGGTTCTCTAGAGGGACAGAACAAATAGGATATATATATATATACACACATACATATATCCTATATATATATCTGTATATATATACACATATATATACCCTATATATATATATCCATATATATACACATATATATCCTCTATATATATATCCATATATATATCCTAAATATCCTA
Organism: Homo sapiens; assembly: GCF_000001405.40. Lineage (NCBI taxonomy): Eukaryota > Metazoa > Chordata > Mammalia > Primates > Hominidae > Homo > Homo sapiens. The sequence goes on from NC_000011.10 coordinate 83,507,545, forward strand.
AAGATATATATCCTAAGTATATATATCCTATAGATATCTATATAGATATCTATAGGATATATAGATATATATAAATAAATAAAAGAGTTAAATGGGGATGTGGTGGGAATCACCACCCCTGCATCTTTTAAGTCCTTGATGGTGGCACTAATCTCCATAATCCCTCCAGGGATGCGATATTGTTTTTTATTTATATTTACATATATATTTTTATTATATATATATATATATATATATATATATATATATATATATGTATATATGAGTTTAACAAGTATTAACTCACAAGATCACAAGGTCCCACAAAAGGCCATCTGCAAGCTGAGGAGGAAAGACAGCCAATCCGAGTCTCAAAACTAAAGAACATGGAGTCAGATGTTTAAGGGCAGAAAGCATCCAGCAGGGGAGAAAGATGTAGTCTGGGAGGTTAGGCCAGTCTAGTCTTTTCACATTTTTATGACTGCTTTATATACTAGCCATGCTGGTAGCTGATTAGATGGTACCCACCCAGATTAAGGGTGGGTCTGCCTTTCCCAGCCCACTGACTCAAATGCTAATCTCCTTTGGCAACACCCTCACAGACACATCCAGGATCAATACTTTGCATCCTTCCATCCAATCAAGTTGATACTCAGTATTAACCGTCACAACTGTTCTTTGATAACTCAAATTGTGTCTTTTTCCCATTTAGAATATACATCTTTTTTTTTTTTTTTGAGACAGTGTGTCAAGCCCAGGTTGGAGTGCAGTGGCACGATCTCAACTCACTGCAAACTCTGCCTCCCGGGTTCACGCCATTCTTCTGCCTCAGCCTCCCGAGTAGCTGGGACTACAGGTGCACACCACCACGCCTGGCTAATTTTTTTTTTTTTTTTTTTTTTAGTAGAGATGGGGTTTCACCAGTTAGCCAGGATGGTCTCGATCTCCTGACCTCATGATCCACCTGCCTTGGCCTCCCAAAGTGCTGGGATTACAGGCGTGAGCCACCATGCCTGGCCAGAATATACATTCTTAATACTAGCAACTAATACTTATTGAGCTCTCCTCTGTGCCATTGTCACAACATACCTTCTTAAACATTTTGCACTAATTATCTCATTGAATCCTCCCCATAACACTATGACATATACACATACAGGCAAACACACACACACAAACACAACACAAATACCTTTTTCTATATAAATCTACAATACAAATGAGAAAACTGAGGCTTAGAGAGATAACATAATTTTGCCCAGCCGGCAAGTGGCAGAACTGGGATTCAAACTCAGCTGTCTCGGACTCCAAAGACCAAACTTCACTACTGTTTTGTTTTCGGTTTGGATTCTTCCAGGGCTTAGCAGTTGCTGAGTACACAGTAGTTAATTGCCTAAGCAATGTTGGCTGACGGAAGAATTGGTTAATAGCTGTTGTCTGCAGTAGAGGAACAGATGCTGTGACCTATTACAGGCAGGAAGGGAGAGCTCAATGACTGTTTCATAATATAGTTTGTTCAAATGTAGTCACGTGATGTTACGGGGTGAGGCCAGTGTGGTTATATGCTCCCAGGCATTTGTTAAGTAAGGAAAGTGCACAAGGCAGGGACAAGAGTCCAATCCTGGTGTCAGACGGGCCAGGCACACTGCTTCTCTATTAGACACATTTTCTTTTTGAGAGTCCTTGCTAATAAGTTTGATTCAAATCACTGGCCATCTGACCTTGGACTAGTTATTTAACTTTTTTAGGATTCATTTTCTTCATCTGCATCATGAATTTAATAATAATGCCTACTTCACATTATCATCACCACTTGTAATGAGGCTCAGTGGTAACTTGTTCAAGGTCACAAATCTAGAAAACAGGAAAGTCCTAACTGGAACCCAAATCTCTCCACCTACAGAGCATATTTTCCTTCCTCTATCACAAGTTACTTTCAGAAATGCAGTAGCTACGTGCCTACTTCAGAAGACAAAATTCACAGTGCTTTTTTCCTTTTTGACTACTCATGGTACTCCATCTCTCAGACTTATGGTACCCCATCTCTTATGGTACTCCATCTCTCAAGCCATTTCTTTTGTCTAAGTCAAATTAACCTTGCTCGCATTTCAAGACTGAATCAAGAAATATACCTTGTGAGTTAGTGTATGTTGTAAGTAATGGGTTATAGACAAAGAACATCCAGGTTGAATAGATTTATTTGGAACAGTTTCTACTTTTGATACAACTCCCCCTTAATATACTGTTAAAAACTCACAAGGCATATCAGAGATGTCTTGGGAGAAAGTGCAAGCTGAAAGGGCTGAGAGATGTGAGACCTGGGCGTAAGTTTTGGTTCATCTCTTCATTCATCAGTTATTTCTTGAGCGCGTAGTATGGAGGCTCACACTAGGGGACGGAATATAGCTGTGAACTAACACACACAAGATACTTTGCTTGTGGGGCTTAATGTCTAGTGAAGGCCAATAGGCAAATATTTAAGCTATAAATGTGGTGCAAATCAGAGGCAAGATTCCTGGCCCTGGCCTGGGTCCTCCTTATCTATGTGAGCTTAGGAAAGTCACTTTTGCTCCCTGAACATCAGCTTCCTTTTCTGACCATCAGGGAGTTAAGTGAGATGACCCTGATGGTTCTTTACAGCATTCAGACTCTATACTAGGAAGATGTTCTTTCTTTCTACCTCCCCTCATTCCCTCCCTCCCTCCCTCCCTCCTTCAGATAGGAGAGGGTATTCAGCTTTACCCCCTTGGATGTTGACTCAGTTTCAGGAGCTGACAGTGCGCTCTTTACCCCCCACCATCTGATGTCACTCCAGACTCAGAGAGTAAGAGGTCACTTGCAGCATTCATGTCCTAGGAGTGATTGAGGGCAAACCAACAAATCAAGTGCAATAATAAACAGCATTCATTATAATGTTGTGACTGATTGAATAATTCTCACTTCTTCCTACTTCAATGAAAAGAGGGGGAACTTGCAAATAGAGGCAAATCCATTACAGCTGAGACTCCTAGCCTGTAGTCCCGTTTTAGCAGGATGCATCACGGGGATTAGGACTCTCGCTAGGGAGTTTGGTCATGCAGTAGGAGAGTGGAAGGGTGGGATGAGAACACAGGCCCCTTGTTTTCTGTCTCAGGCTCTTCGGTATAGCTCTCACGGTGTCTCCCATCTAAATATTTCCTTGAGGTATCTTTCAGATGCTAAATGCAAGTAGACTGTGTTTTCTATGACAAGCAGGGCCAGTCAGAGGAGTGAATCACATTTACAATGTGAGAGCATGTGAGTGGCTCAAAAGTTTCTGAACCATCCGTTTTTTTTTTTTTTTTTTTTTGGAAGGGAAAAAGCAAACATTGCTTGCTAAACTTGGAATACTAGCTGATAAAAGTATATATCCTCACTTGGCTAGGATTTAAATTCCTCCAAGATTTTAGAGATAAAAGCCATGAAGATACATAAACACACTTCAAGGAAATAAAACACCGCAAACTGCCCTCCAATACTACGTTTTGAGAAAAAAAAAAAAACCCTCTCTGTCTTCCTCTCACTTGCTCAAACACACACACACAGACACACACACACACACACACACACACATTCTTTTCTATCTATGCTGAATTCATAGCCCAGCAGGTTCATTCTTATTTCTGTACTAGACACTAGTGATCACCGGGTGAGTCTGTTACTGTAAACCAATTGTCACTTTAAAGCCAGAGAGAACATGCTATTGTTTTCCTTCAATGCTTCTTCTGCCTGGGGAGGAATTTTTGCACCTTGATTGGACATGCCATTCACATAACAATTGCATTCCACTTATGAGTAAATGCACTTGCAGTGCTTAGTACGGTGCCTGGAAAATTGTGTCTAATAAATGACATTTTTACGGTCTACTCATTCTCAAGTCTCATGTCAGTGGAGCTCACCCTAGTAGAAGATAATTTATTTGACAGCAATATCCACTATGTGAAGATTTCAGAGAAATGGGGTGCTGTTACCTCCATCATAGGCTATTATAGTGCTAAATGGAACCACGCATGAAAGGGGTTAGCATGGTAAATGGTTAATAAATGATAAGTATTTTTATTATTATTAGATAAGCATTGATTGTTTTTGTCAAATATTACACTCAGCCCTCCAATAGCAAAAAGTGCCTGTGTAAATTAGAAAAAGCTTCCCTCTCTGGGAAGAGGGAATGTAAAAGAAGCAAACTTTTTTTTTTTTTTTTTTAAAGAGCCAGGGTCTCATTATGTTGCCCAGGCTAGGCTCAAACCCCTGGGCTCAAGCAATTCTCTCACCTCAGCCTCCCAAGTAGCTGCGACTACAGGCAGGAGCCACTGCACCTGGCTTAAAAGCTTACCATTTCTTATGCTGGCTGTTGTTGAATGGGATGTGTTGCTGAGTCTTATTTCCCTACGTGTGTCCCTTAGGCAGCAACATGGCTATAGTAAGCATAGGGAACACAAAGGGAAGAGCTCACAGTGTGCAATAATTGCTATGTTGGAAATTTGTAAACAGTTTGTGAGGGCACCACGGAGGGAGCCAGGGGAAGCTGGGTGGGGCAGCTGGAGACAGCTCAAAGGCACCATTTTAGCGAATTAAAGAATGAGTAGGAAATTGTTAGGTAGAGAACTAGCAAAGCACAGTTCAGGCAGAGGAAAGGCCTGCCCAATGGGGAGGTGCAAAGCCACCCCTTCTGCCCTCTTCTCTCCCCCAATCCTGTGTGACTGAGCAATGGTGAGAAGCTGCACTGATAAAGAGTAGGATTTGGAGAGGGCTGGAGCTCAGAGAAATGGTGGGAAATACATTCGAGACGCAGTTCTGGCTTGGATTGTGAGGAACACCTTAGTTACAAACAGTAATTCTAAATATCTACTCCTGTTCAAGAAATAAGCAATAAACGAGTAATACAAATTTTTCTACAGAAATCACATGTGCAGTTCAGAAACTATTCTTTCATCATTTAACCAGCAACTTTATACTGTATTTTTATTTAATTATTGCATCATTTTATTTATTTATTTATTTATATTATACTTTAAGTTTTAGGGTACATGTGCACAATGTGCAGGTTTGTTACATATGTATACATGTGCCTTGTTGGTGTGCTGGACCAATTAACTCGTCATTTAACATTAGGCATATCTCCTAATGCTATCCCTCCCCCTTCCCCCCACCCCACAACAGGCCCTGGTGTGTGATGTTCCCTTTCCTGTGTCCATGTTTTCTCATTTTTCAATTCCCACCTATGAGTGAGAACGTGAGCTGTTTGGTTTTTTGTCCTTGCGATAGTTTGCTGAGAATGATGGTTTCCAGCTTCATCCATGTCCCTACAAAGGACATGAACTCATCATTTTTATGGCTGCATAGTATTCCATGGTGTATATGTGCCACATTTTCTTAATCCAGTCTATCATTGTTGGACATTTGGGTTGGTTCCAAGTCTTTGCTATTGTGAATAGTGCCGCAATAAACATACCTGTGCATCTATCTTTATAGCAGCATGATTTATAATCCTTTGGGTATATACCCAGTAATGGGATGGCTGGGTCAAATGGTATTTCTAGTTCTAGATCCCTGAGGAATAGCCACACTGTCTTTCCACAATGGTTGAACCAGTTTATAGTCCCACCAGCAGTGTAAAAGTGTTCCTATTTCTCCACATCCTCTCCAGCACCTGTTGTTTCCTGCTTTTTAATCATCGCCATTCTAACTGGTGTGAGATGGTATCTCATTGTGGGATTTGCAGTTCTCTGATGGCCAGTGATGATGAGCATTTTTTCATGTGTCTGTTGGTAGCATAAATGTCTTCTTTTGAGAAGTGTCTGTTCATATCCTTCACCTACTTGTTGATGGGGTTGTTTGTTTTATTCTTGTAAATTTGTTGGAGTTCATTGTAGATTCTGGATATTAGTCCTTTGTCAGATGGGTAGATTGCAAATATTTTCTCCCATTCTGTAGGTTGCCTGTTCACTCTGATGGTAGTTTCTTTTGCTGTGCAGAAGCTCTTTAGTTTAATTAGATCCCATTTGTCAATTTTGGCTTTTGTTGCTATTGCTTTTAGTGGTTTACACATGAAGTCCTTGCCCATGCCTATGTCCTGAATGGTATTGCCTAGGTTTTCTTCTAGGGTTTTTATGGTTTTAGATCTAACATTTAAGTCTTTAATCCATCTTGAATTCATTTTTGTATGAGGTGTAAGGAAGGGATCCAGTTTCAGCTTTCTACATATGGCTAGCCAGTTGTCTCAGCACCATTTATTAAATAGGGAATCCTTTCCCCATTTCTTGTTTTTGTCAGGTTTGTCAAAGATCAGATAGTTGTAGATATGTGGCATTATTTCTGAGGGCTCTGTTCTGTTCCATTGGTCTATATCTCTGTTTTGATACCAGTACCACGCTGTTTTGGTTACTGTAGCCTTGTAGTATAGTTTGAAGTCAGGTAGCGTGATACCTCCAGCTTTGTTCTTTTGGCTTAGGATTGACTTGGCAATGCGGGCTCTTTTTTGGTTCCATATGAACTTTAAAGTAGTTTTTTCCAATTCTGTGAAGAAAGTCATTGGTAGCTTGATGGGGATGGCATTGAATCTATAAATTACCTTGGGCAGTATGGCCATTTTCATGATATTGATTCTTCCTACCCGTGAGCATGGAATGTTCTTCCATTTGTCTGTATCCTCTTTTATTTCATTGAGCAGTGGTTTGTAGTTCTCCTTGAAGAAATCCTTCACATCTCCTGTAAGTTGGATTCCTAGGTATTTTATTCTCTTTGAAGCAATTGTGAATGGGAGTTCACTCATGATTTGGCTCTCTGTTTGTCTGTTGTTGGTGTATAAGAATGCTTGTGATTTTTGTACATTGATTTTGTATCCTGAGACTTTGCTGAAGTTGCTTATGAGCTTAAGGAGATTTTGGGCTGAGACGATGGGGTTTTCTAGATATACAATCATGTCATCTGCAAACAGGCACAATTTGACTTCCTCTTTTCCTAATTGAATACCCTTTATTTCCTTCTCCTGCCTGATTGCCCTGGCCAGAACTTCCAACACTATGTTGAATAGGAGTGGTGAGAGAAGACATCCCTGTCTTGTGCCAGTTTTCAAAGGGAATGCTTCCAGTTTTTGCCCATTCAGTATGATATTGGCTGTGAGTTTGTCATAGATAGCTCTTATTATTTTGAGATACGGCCCATCAATACCTAATTTATTGAGAGTTTTTAGCATGAAGGGTTGTTGAATTTTGTCAAAGGCCTTTTCTGCATCTATTGAGACAATCATGTGGTTTTTGTCATTGGTTCTGTTTATATGCTGGATTACGTTTATTGATTTGCGTATGTTGAACCAACCTTGCATCCCAGGGATGAAGCCCACTTGACCGTGGATATGCTTTTTGATGTGCTGCTGGATTCGGTTTGCTAGTATTTTATTGAGGATTTTTGCATCGATGTTCATCAGGGATATTGGTCTAAAATTCTCTTTTTTTGTTGTGTCTCTGCCCAGCTTTGGTATCAGGATGATGCTGGCCTCATAAAATGAGTTAGGGAGGATTCCCTCTTTTTCTATTGATTGGAATAGTTTCAGAAGGAATGGTACCAGCTCCTCCTTGTACCTCTGGTAGAATTCGGCTGTGAATCCATCTGGTCCTGGACTTTTTTTGGTTGGTAAGCTATTAATTATTGCCTCAATATCAGATTCTGTTATTCGTCTATTTAGAGATTCAACTTCTTCCTGGTTTAGTCTTGGGAGGGTGTATGTGTCCAGGAATTTATCCATTTCTTCTAGATTTTCTAGTCTATTTGCGTAGAGGTGTTTATAGTATTCTCTGATGGTAGTTTGTGTTTCTGTGGGATCGGTGGTGATATCCCCTTTATCATTTTTTATTGCGTCTATTTGATTCTTCTCTCTTTTCTTATTAGTTTTGCTAGTGGTCTATCGATTTTGTTGATCTTTTCAAAAAACAAGCTCCTGGATTCATTGATTTTTTGAAGGGTTTTTTGTGTCTCTATTTCCTTCAGTTCTGCTCTGATCTTAGTTATTTCTCACCTTCTGATAACTTTTGAATGTGTTTGCTCTTGCTTCTCTAGTTCTTTTAATTGTGATGTTAGGGTGTCAATTTTAGATCTTTCCTGCTTTCTGTTGTGGGCATTTAGTGGTATAAATTTCCCTCTACACACTGCTTTGAATGTGTCCCAGAGATTCTGGTATGTTGTGTCTTTGTTCTGGTTGGTTTCAAAGAACATCTTTATTTCTGCCTTCATTTCGTTATGTACCTAGTAGTCATTCAGGAGCAGGTTGTTCAGTTTCCATGTAGTTGAGCGATTTTTGAGTGAGTTTCTTAATCCTGAGTTCTAGTTTAATTGCACTGTGGTCTGAGGGACAGTTTGTTATAATTTCTGTTCTTTTACATTTGCTGAGGAGTGCTTTACTTCCAACTGTGTGGTCAATTTTGGAATAGGTGTGGTGTGGTGCTGAAAAGAATGTATATTCTGTTGATTTGGGGTGGAGAGTTCTGTAGATGTCTATTAGGTCTGCTTGGTGCAGAGCTGAGTTCAATTCCTGGATATCCTTGTTAATTTTCTGTCCCTTTGATCTGTCTAATGTTGTCAGTGGAGTGTTAAAGTCTTCCATTATTATTCTGTGGGAGTGTAAGTCTCTTTGTAGGTCTCTAAGGACTTGCTTTATGAATCTGGGTGCTCCTGTATTGGGTGCATATATATTTAGGATAGTTAGCTCTTCTTGTTGAATTGATCCCTTTACCATTATGTAATGGCCTTCTTTGTCTGTTTTGATCTTTGTTGGTTTAATGTCTGTTTTATCAGAGACTAGGATTGAAACCCCTAGTTTTTTTGTTTTCCACTTGCTTGGTAGATCTTCCTCCATCCCTTTATTTTGAGCCTATGTGTGTCTCTGCACATAAGATGGGTTTCCTGAATACAGCACACTGGTGGGTCTTGACTGTTTATCCAATTTGCCAGTCTGTGCCTTTTAATTGGAGCATTTAGCCCATTTACATTTAAGGTTAGTATTGTTATGTGTGAATTTGATCCTGTCATTATGATGTTAGCTGGTTCTTTTGCTCGTTAGTTGATGCAGTTTCCTCTTAGCCTCAACGGTCTTTACAATTTGGCATGATTTTGCAGTGGCTGGTACCGGTTGTTCATTTCCATGTTTAGTGCTTCCTTCAGGAGCTCTTGTAGGGCAGGCCTGGTGGTGACAAAATCTCTCAGCATTTGCTTGTCTGTAAAGTATTTTATTTCTCCTTCACTTATGAAGCTTAGTTTGGCTGGATATGAAATTCTGGGTTGAAAATTCTTTTCTTTAATAATGTTGAATATTGGGCCCGTCTCTCTTCTGGCTTGTAGAGTTTCTGCCGAGAGATCCGCTGTTAGTCTGATGGGCTTCCCTTTTGGGTAACCTGACCTTTCTCTCTGGCTGCCCTTAACATTTTTTTCTTCATTACAACTTTGGTGAATCTGACAATTATGTGTCTTGGAGTTGCTCTTCTCAAGGAGTATCTTTGTGGCATTCTCTGTATTTCCTGAATCTGAATGTTGGCCTGCCTTGCTAGATTGGGGAAGTTCTCCTGGATAATATCCTGCAGAGTGTTTTTCAACTTGGTTCCATTCTCCCCGTCACTTTCAGGTACACCAATCAGATGTAGATTTGGTCTTTTCACATAGTCCCATATTTCTTGGAGGCTTTGTGCATTTCTTTTTATTCTTTTTTCTCTAAACTCTGCTTGCTTCATTTCATTCATTTGATCTTCCATCACTGATACCCTTTCTTCTAGTTGATCGAATTGGCTACTGAGGCTTGTGCATTCGTCACGTAGTTCTCATGCTGTGGTTTTCAGCTCCGTCAGGTCCTTTATGGACTTCTCTGCATTGGTTATTCTAGCTAGCCATTCGTCTAATCTTTCTTCAAGGTTTTTAACTTCTTTGCCATGGGTTCAAACTTCCTTCTTTAGCTCGGAGTAGTTTGATCTTCTGAAGCCTTCTTCTCTCAACTCATCGAAGTCAGTCTCTGTCCAGCTTTGTTCCATTGCTGGTGAGGAGCTGCGTTCCTTTGGAGGAGGAGAGGTGATCTGATTCTTAGAATTTTCAGTTTTTCTGCTCTGTTTTTTCCCCATCTTTGTGGTTTTATCTACCTTTGGTCTTTGATGATGGTGACGTACAGATGGGGTTTTGGTGTGGATGTCCTTTCTGTTTGTTAGTTTTCCTTCTAACAGTCAGTACCCTCAGCTGCAGGTCTGTTGGAGTTTGCCGGAGGTCCACTCCAGACCCTGTTTGCCTGGGTATCAGCAGCAGAGGCTGCAGAACAGCGGATATTGGTGAACAGCAAATGTTGCTGCCTGATCGTTCCTCTGGCAGTGTTGTCTCAGAGGAGTACTCGGCCATGTGAGGTGTCAGTCTGCCCTTACTGGGGGGTGACTCCCAGTTAGGCTACTCGGGGGTCAGGGACCCACTTGAGGAGGCAGTCTGTCTGTTCTCAGATCTCAAGGTGCATGCTGGGAGAACCACTACTCTCTTCAAAGCTGTCAGACAGGAACATTTAAGTCTGCAGAGGTTTCTGGTGCCTTTTGTTTGGCTATGCCCTGCCCCCAGAGGTGGAGTCTACAGAGGCAGGCAGGCCTCCTTGAGCTGTGGTGGGCTCCACCCAGTTTGAGCTTCCCAGCTGCTTTGTTTACCTACTCAAGCCTTGGCAATGGCGGGAGCCCCTCCCCCAGCCTTGCTGCCACCTTGCAGTTTGATCTCAGACTGCTGTGCTAGCAAAGAGTGAGGCTCCATGGGCGTAGAACCCTCCAAGCCAGGCGCGGGATATAATCTCCTGGTGTGACGTTTGCTAAGACCATTGGAAAAGCGCAGTATTAGGGTGGGAGTGACCTGATTTTCCAGGTGCCATCTGTCACCCCTTTTCTTGGCTGGGAAAGGGAATTCCCTGACCTCTTGTGCTTCCCGGGTGAGGCAATGCCTCACCCTGCTTCAGCGATGCCTCACCCTGCTTCGGCTCATGCTCGGTGCACTGCACCCGCTATCCGACAATCCCCAGTGAGATGAACCCAGTACCTCAGTTGGAAATGCAGAAGTGATTTGTCTTCTGTGTTGCTCATGCTGGGAGCTGTAGACTGGAGCTGTTCCTATTCGGCCATCTTCTAACCAGCAACTTTAAGTGTCTGAATTATATATCCCAAAGAAGCAGAGCTGCACAGTTGACAGAAAAGTCACAAAATCTACCCATCAGAGTCTTAGCATATATATATGTATATATTTGTACTTACTATGATGTGAGATGAAATTAAAAATGGTAAAAATGAGAATTAACGATAAATAAATAAAAAAAAGAAGTTTGTTCCTGGGGTTTCTCAGCTCGTAGATTTAAAATAGCAAATTCAGTGTGGGAGGGGGCTGGACTGAGGGGCTGCTCCATACAGCTATCTGCTGACAGTGCCAAGAGAGTACAGCTGAGCACTGTGCAACTAGGCAAGAAAACCCATCAAGTGTGGGGGTCAGGAACTTAAAACACAGTGCAGAGAGAGCAGCCACAGAGGGTGTCTGTAGTATAACTGAGGTCCATAATTATTCATTTAATGACTCCAAGGTGTCAGTCTCAGTACTAGGGGCTGGGTAAATGGTATGGAGTAAGACCCAGATGGGGCCTTTGCAGTGGTTCTGCAGCGGGGTGTACTGTAGAGAAACAGTGGTGAGAGAACTGAGTCTTCCCTAGCACTCAGCAGGTGCAACTCCAAAATTTCCACACAGCAGCCACAACCACGATTACATTGTGGAAGAAGATTTAGTTTTACTAAAGTATCACTAATCACATTAATGCTGTAATTTTGAATTTTATTGTTACAATATACCACTATTACATATATGGTGTTTAATTTGTAAATTTATTTGAACATGATAGATGATATAAGAGCTATAAGGTATTTGCCCCTAATTTTGTGTTTTTTATGTATTTAGGTAACATCATTATAAAAAGATTTAGTCAACACTTGGGGGCATGGGTGCCCAGAAATATTATTTTCTTTAAAAGGGGACCCTATATTCTTCACCTCATGGGATTCTTGTGAAGATTTAATGAGAAAAATTGTTCTATTTAGCAAAAACACCTGGCTTATATGTAATCTTCAAAAAACATCAATTGTATTGTTATCACATTTAAAAAATACTAATCAAAGTCAAATTCTTTATTTGCCAAATGTGAGCTTTGCCTATTACTGCGAAGGGCATAAACACAGAAGTTCAGGCAGCTCATGGGATGAGCTGGGTGATGGGGAGCTTTTACCTGCAACAAAGCAATCATTCCATCCATTGGCAATCGTAGATTCATATCTGTCTTTTTCTGACTGTCATTTGGGCTTAGACTCCACTTCACCTAGAGCCATTAGACTTGGGAGGTGTTCACAGAATCCTTCTCTATGAATAAGGAGTGACCAGGTTTGTCATTCACATTTACCTCATGCCCCAAATTCATTATGGTATTAATTCTTTGGGCAGGTGAGCACAAGTCAATTACAGAGCAAAATGGTGGCTTCTTAGGGCCTTCCAGGAAAAACCACCACATCAAGAGTGTTCAAACAGGACGTGTTAGTAAAATCTTTACAAATGTTCATGAAGTTGTCAAAACATAAAAGGCGAATGGCATATCTGCAAACTTTTTACTTCTTTTCAAGTGAGATAGGCTTTCACTTATATTGACAAGTGCTTGTAATAAATTTGAGACAGTAATTGGAAAAGTTCTCACTTTGTAGTTGTGTCACTCAGATTTCTCAGAACTCTGTGAATGAATGGAAACTGCATTACGGTTATCACTACTAACAAATAAAAGATGTTTCTCATAGCTTCCCCATTGTTGCCTATGTATACCAATAGCCCTGGAGTCATGGAAATTATTTTTCTCTTTTTCTCTTACAGGGATTTCAAGTGCACAGAAAGGGAAAAATCATAATCCTTAGTCATGATATACCTTTCATTGCTCATGCTTTCACATTAGGTGGCAGGTTCATGGTGCTTACTGCGTTGTCATAGATAGAAAGATAGCTAACTAGCTAGGTAGGTAAGTAGGTAGGCAGGTAGATAGATAGAAAGACAGACAGACAGGTAGGTAGATAGGTAGGTAGGTAGATAGATAGATAGATAGATAGATAGAAAGAAAGACAGACAGGTAAGTAGGTAGGTAGATAGATAGATAGATAGATAGATAGATAGATAGATAGATAGAGTGGGCTACACATGGATGTTTTTCTTGAGAGGTATACTTTTGATTTGACTCAATAGCCTTCATGCTATGACTCTTGTGTAGCTCGCATCTTAATGAGGTAAGTTTAACCCTCTTACATGTCCCACTTTACATAGGAGTAACTGGTCTGTCTCAGATGACACAGCCAGTGGCATAGCTGGGATGGCAGTACTAAGTTTGTTGACTGCCTAAGAAGAATAGATCATGTATCGAGACTGCCAACTTCAAAGGAAATCCAAATGTTTGCCAGACCATTTAATGTTTGCCAAGAGCATGGGCAAAGGCTCAGGCGTCCTTGTTTTCCCCCAGGCCCTAGAACAGTGCTGAACATGAAAGACGTCTTGTAAACCTTCACAAATTAAATGGAACTGTATACTAAATAAATATTCATGGACCTCCAAAGAACAGTGTCTGGCTGTGTGACTGCACACAGGTCACTTATTTCCTCTGACCCTGCCTCTTTATTTATCAAATGGGTAAGGTACAAAAGTGCTTTGCAAATACAAGGACTTATTTTCCAGTATCCACAAAGAATTTTAGTCCTGGGGGAGAAGTGGATTTATCACAGCCAGCTTTCTGGTTTTAACCTGGCAATCAATCTAAAATTAGTTTCAATTTTAAAAAGTTTACTTTAGTGACAATTTTTTTTATTCTGACCTGGGTTGGTTTTCAGTTTAATTTGGTGGTTATTCCAGTATCATGTATAAACTGCCATTGATTTCTGATAACACGTAGCAATTACTTAATGCTGCAGACTTGATTTACCAGGTAAGGCAAATGTGTTGGAGTGAGGTGTTGGTGAGATGCCTGCTAGAGGATAGATTTAAAAGCATACATACAATTTTAATTTCCGGTCTGGACTCTGCCAAGTTTATTTCCCTTCCACTGTCCTCCTAGTGGGCAGTTACTTTGCACCATTCGCCTTTTACCCCTTCTCTACCAATTCTATTCAGGGTCCCCCACATGTTCATGAATGACATTTTTAACAGTCTCCCCTACATGCCATTGCCATCTGTGGGCTCCCTTCAATTCCTAGGATGTAGGCTCTATGATTTCTCCCCTGAGTCATCCCACCGTCCTTCCCTAGGTGTCTCCCTACTCCAGTCCCTCCCAAGTCCCCACCATCCATCCTCCCAGCAAGAGTCAACCTCTTTATTTACAAACACAGCCTGTCACTCCTCCATCCAATAACCTTGAAGGGCTCCCCAGTACCCAAAGAAGAGCCTCTTCAAAAATTTTAAAGGAATACTTAATGCCCTCTGTTACTGGGCCTCAAGCTATGTTTACAACCTTACCACTGCCCCATTGTGTGTGCCCATTGAATGGAATACTCGCTGGTCACCAGATACCCTCTATTCGTTTACTTTTGCTCCTGCTGTTTTCTAAGTGTTAAAGTGCACTTACTCCTCACAGAGTTAGCTAAAATGCTACCTTTTCTTCGGACCCTTTCTTAATTGCTCTCACATGGAGTAGGCTCTCCCGCCCATTTGAATACCTGTTAAGACTCTATTCATGTTTTGCTAAACTTTTTTGCCTTATGCTATAGCTGTGTGTATATGTATGTGTGTGGTGTGTACCAAAAGAAAGTCTTGGGATGGCAGAGGTGGGGTCTTATTCATCTACGTCTCCACCCAGTGGCCAGAGCGGTATCCAGTGCATACAGGAAACTCAAAACCTATTTATTGAAATAAAAGGAAGTAACACTCAGATCAAGAGAACCTTCCTCTAAAGGCAACAATAAATTATTTGGTTCTGCATTCACAACCTATAGAAAAAAAAAAAGTGATCTGTGCCTTCTAATTTACATGATTTTTCTCCTAATACACCATGTTCTTTCTTCTCACATTATTTAATTCAATACTTATTGGTTGAGTGCCATGAACTATTTTAGGCCCTAAATAATTCATAGTCCTGGCCTTCAAGGAACTTGCTATCTATTCTCCAGAGTTTATTATTATAGTTGAAAAATCACATCTCAGAAAGAGAAGCTATTTGCTCCAGGTCATGTAGTCAGAAAAGTTAAGAATAGGATAGTCTAATTTTAGAGCCCCCCCCCCCTTTTTTTTTTAATCAAAATGCAAGGTAATTAGGTATTTTTATAAATATTAAGAACATATTGGAAGCTGTTGCTGAAACTCTTTTCAGATATTACACGTGCTATTATTTTTTAAAAAAACCTTTTTACCCACATATAAACACAATGTATAGTTAAGAGGCAAGATATACTCTTTTTACTTGCTAAGAGTCTGGCAATAATTACCATAGTGAGCAAGTCAGATGACTGGACATTCACTTCTGCATCTTTATCTTTCAGTGTTGATGTTTTAGCTTTGAGATAGTTAAAAACTTTTGCAAAGTGAAACCTGCAAGCTCAACGGTATGACTGTAGGCCTATTACTACAGAGTCAGATGAAAGGAAGTCCTATAGTGAATCAGAATTTATTCTTTAATAATTCCCAAAGTAGAAATGGGTTGAGCTAAATTTTCTGAATAATACTTACCTTGAATTAATGATGAAAAGAAGATTTAACAAAAGCTCAGTGTTATCTGATAAAACTATACTTGTTATTTATATTACATAACCACATATTATACAACTCCTATTTATATTACTTTAGTCTTACCATCAGTACTTGAATGGATAGAATTAGCTATGCTACTAACATCTGGAATTAGTTCATATGTAAAAATCTTCTAAAGAATCAATTATTTTGATTTGCTTGCACAATAACAATATGTAATGCAGGGCCCAGCTCTGCCACTTACTAGCTGTAGGAGCTTGGGTAATTTATCTATCCTTTCTTAACTTCAGTTTTCTCATCTGCAAAACGGGCATATTTATAATATTTACCTCACAGGGTTACTGTTAGGAGCAAATGAGCAATGGTTATAAAAATAATATGTAGAAAATAACAAATCTACAGATGTTCAGAATAACTGGTATCCTAAATGAGATGCAATGGTTCTCCAAAGCAGTAAGCACTGATCAAGTGTGTTCTTCTAGAAATTCCTGTAGGTAGCTACACAAGATAGCAGAGAACTCAGAAACCATCTGGATTTGCAGCCAATGGCAGGGGCAGGGGGCGGGGTTTAGAATCAGTCCTGCTGCCAAGCTCCATCTTCCTGCCCATTAGAGTCAGCCAGTGGTAACTTCTCTCCCCAACTAAACAAGCACAAGGTCAAAAACACCGTATGCAAATGCACACAGGGCAGTTTTGGCAACTCTCCCTTCTTCCTCTGTGCAAAAGGAGATTTGGAATCTAAAGAAAAGAGTAGTGTTAGGAAGTTGCTCATTCTAGCCTTATAAGGGTGAGAGTTTAAGAGGTATGTGCTTGTGGGTAGGGGTGGGCAAAAGATAGACTAATATTTCTTAGTACTTTACATATATTGTATCTTTTAATATGATTTCTATTTTCACATATTAGGCTTAGATAAGTTATGATAATTGATAGGAGTTGGTTATTCTGTCTGATTCCAAACTTTTCCACTGTGCCTGTGTATCTCAAATTAGTAGCATGCCTAACAAAATCTCTGGGGAGCTTGTTAAAATGCAGCTTTCCTGCCCCCATCTCCAGAGATTCTGATCCTGCAGGACAGGGGTTGAGCCTGCTCACCTCCATTTTTAATAAGCACCTCAGCTGATTCTGATGTAGATGCTGCAGGATACACTTTTTTTTTTTCCTGCTGAAAATTTTCTGGTTTCTTCTCTCCACAGCTACTCTATGGTCCTGGGTCAGGTCTTTTCCATGTCTTACCTGAATTACTGAAATGGATCCCTGCCCTCTGGGGCTGCCTCCCTCTGGAAATTTATTTCACACCACAGCAAAATGATCTGCTAAATTCTAATCTAACCTCTGCTGAATTCCTCCCAAGGCTTTCCACTGCCCTCAAGATGGAGGACCTTCATGACCTGGTTTCCAACTTCTCTGCGTTATCTCTGGACACTTGAAGCTTTGTACTTATGCTTTGCACTTACGTAATATTAAGCTTCCTTGGCTTCCCTGAGCACACCGGGCTGTTTCCTGATTTCTGCCAACAACACTCTTTTCATCTTTTTACACCTGATTAGATTTTACTGATTCTTCAAGGCTCATTTTGAACGATATCTCTTTTAGAAACTGAAATATATTGTAAACATGAGTATGTGTGTGTGTGCACTGTGAACAGATTTTTCAGTTATAAATTATAATACATTTTGTATATAAGGTTGCAGATTAACTTGACAGTTTCAATGGCAGTGCTTTGTGGACCCAAGTGGCAGAAATGCCTGTGCACAAAAATACATAAGGAATGTAGTTTATTCTCCACGCCATTCCACAGAATAGCAGTTTCGTCATCAGCAACTTGAGACAAATAGACTATGAGGAATACATAAAATAATATGAACTTTTTCATCCCAAAATGTTCCTTGAGTTCCATCGGCTTTCAGGGTTTACATAGGACACACCTTAACATGTCTCAGACATGGAGACTTGACTGGGGTTTCCTCTGAGAACCATTTTCAGAAAAGCCACTAGCACATCTTGATCAGACAGTTATCTGTGTGCTGGCTCAGGTGGTTCTCAGTGGACAAGGGAACTCAAGGTTTGGATAGATGTGATTATCACATTCAAAAGAAAACATAACAAGTTATAAAGTGTCTCCACGTTGGGCTATTGAAGCTGCAAAATTCCCTGGACATATGCCTATCTTTGTTCTTTATACATAAAAATATAAGACCAGTTAAAACCACACTGCATGCAGTATAGGGAAAGAATCCGAGAGGAAAGGTGAGCCAGGAAGACCAGTGAGGAAGGTGTTAGAAGGCTTGGAATAAGAAAAGTAATAACAAAGACATCAAAGAGTAGCCTCTTCTGAGTTTATTCACCTTGAGGGCAAAGCCTGCCTTCCTGATGCCCCCTGGAGTGCAGCAGTATGGCTCTCCTTCCACCTCTCCTCCATGGATCTGTAGATCACCTCTGGACATTTGAGATCTTTGCCTGGCTCTGGCCATTCCAAGACCGGCTCCATTAAAGAGCTTTCTTTCGAGGGCAGTAATGACATTTCTTTTGTCAAAATGTCACTTTGAAGCTGTGACAAAATCAATCCCTATAACTCACTCTGGTGAAGCAAATAAAATTCCCATCTTGCTAACGAAATACTGACTGTCACATTGATTTTTTGATAAGTGACACAATAGTAGGCTCTGCTACCAGCTCTTTGTGTGTCCTAGAGAAATGAGTCTCAGTTTCTTCATTTGTAAATTAAGTCAATGGCCATATGGAAAGTTCTAAGAATCTATGAAATAGAAATGAGATTTCTCAATGCCAGCTGCAGTTTGATTTTGGGAGTTTGCTATCAACCTATCCCTGTAGCTTCTGCCCCATCCCCTCTCTCATAATCAACATCTGCTCTTAAAGGGAGCGTAAGGCTTTGGAAAAGGAAATAGAATATTACTAGGAACAGTCGGGACAAATGTCCAAGGATGATAGTCCTCTCTGATCTCTTTAGAAATGGTTTCCTATTTTGCTTTCCTATTGCCACTTTTGAGTTCAGGTTTTCAGAATCTTACACCCAGAATACTGTAATAGCTTTCTCAAACATTTCCTATTGCCAGTCTCTCTCCTCCAACCTTTCCTTCCCACAGCTGCCAGACTGATCTCTCAGAAACCCACTTCTGAACATTCCATTCCCTTTGCTCTATGTGTTGAGTAGCTAGTATGTTTAAGGTAGACATCGTGCTAGGTGCTGGGGCATACAGATGAGTAGATTCAGATCTTTGCCTAGAAGGACCTCATAATGCAGCCTGTATAGGCAGTGATATAGGTACCTTCAGGGCATTAGCCCAGAGAAAATCAACCTGGTCTGGTTGGTCACAACCCTTAAAATTCTTTATTGCTTACAGGATAAAGTATAAGTTTCCTGGAAAATTTTAGGCATCAAAACTGACTTGAGTCTAACTTTCCAGTTCTGATTCTTTTCATTCTCCTTCACAAATTGTTCCCTGTAATGAAAGTGAACCATGTTTTATTTCATACTTATTCTGTATCTTACTCCTAACCCCAGTCCCTATTTTCCTAATCCTTCAACGCCCCCTAATTCAAGCTGGAATCTCCTTTTCTGCACTGAAAACGTGTTTTCTGCCCTTCTCCTTTGGTATTAATCACTTCCTCCCTGTAGACACTCATTCTGTCCCCCAGAAGACCTGCTCCGTCAGGAAAGTGACCATGATTTATTTGTCTTTACACCTCCACATTACTTATCAAGCTGCCTTGTATTGGATCTAATAAAGGTTTATTAAATAAATGAATGAAGTCATTCAGCAAGACTTGTTCCCTCATTTTATTTTAGCAGGCCACAGTGAGAAAGTGTGTATATCTGAGCTCACTTTAGAATGTTCTCCTTCAGAAAGATGTGCATCATCTAGGAAAACCAGCTTCTCCTCAGGATTTAAGTTTATGCCCAAGTTAGGTTTTGACAAAGCTAAACCCAGTTCAATTTACTTCTTTATTTTTCTTAAATTGCACAAGTGTTACATGATGTCAATAAAAAAGAAAGCATGCTATAGTAAGCAGATTGTGAACTTTGGAATCAGTCAGACATGAATTTTTCTTCACCTCTCTAAGCCTCAGTTTCTTTAAATCTATAAAGAGGAAATAAATGATTTCCTTTGAAGTCTTGTGGTGATTAAGAGATGTATGTATGCCGGGCATTGTGGGATTCCAGCACTTTGGGAGGCCAAGGCAGGAGGATTCCTTGAGCCCAAGAGTTTGAGACCAGCCTGGGCAACAGAGAGAGACCTTGTCTCTACAATTTTTTTTTTAAAAGAGAGGTGTATGTAAACTGTCTGGGTTTTTATAATGGCTACTCATATTACTTCAAATAACAACTATCATCTCTGTTCTGTCCCAGCCCAAGGATAAATAGGATGATTTATTTGTTTATACCATACCTTACTTTAGAAAGGGTTTACAACATAAAAGAGACACACATTGCACGTTGCTGACATATAGTAAGGATACTGATAGCTCTCTCATACTCTCTCTTACATATATTTCCCTTTCTTAAATTATAGACTTAAAAAAGAAGTTTGGCATAAATCACTAAATAGTCATTGATTTTTCAGTGCAGAACAGCTTGACTCTGAAGATTATGCAATTTCCTAAACCTCTCAATAAGTAACAGAATGGCTGGTTAACGGTGAAATTGATTTAAAAAAAGGTAGAAGGACAATAAAAGAAATTAAGGGGTGCTTAAGTTTTCACCAGAGGCTGGTTTGACTAGAGACTCATTAGAAATTTAATAGACATTCCCAGGGGAGCTTGACTGCATTGCTATCTGGGGCACTGAGATGGGTCTTAGGGAGACCTATCCAAATAGATGGCTGTTTGAAGTTTAGGGATCTGCATAGGTTGGACTTATCTAGGCTACTGACACAATAGCCCACTTTTCTTTGCATGTGTAGACATAGACTTTGTAAAGGCACACAGAGTGGATAGAAATCCTGGGTATTTCATTTGTAGCAGATGAGCACTTTCAAATGAAGAACCTCAGATTTCTTCATGTATACTTTCAAAATCCAATAAGCTTCTAACCTGATAGCCAGGCCTTCCATACAAGCTTTCTGGCCTTTCTGACCTTCTTTGTCAACCTCATTTGCTACAATTCCCACCATGACCTTTGCACACTGGTGTCCTTGACTTGCTTAACCCTATTCCAACATGTCTGCAATTTCCACTATCGTGTTCATGCTTTTTCCTATGTATGTGGCAAACTCCTACTGAAAATTTAAGATCTCATTCAAATATTGCCTCTTTGAAGCCTTCTCTTTTACCTAAGGCATATTTGTAATGCTTTACTTCCTCTGGCTTCAACAGAATCATGTATAGTGTAGAGTAATGGAAAGGGCAGGCTTCTGTTGTCAAAATGATCTCAACCTGATGCTTGCACCTACTAACTGTGTGATCTTAGGCAAGCTAGTTAATCCTCCTGAGGCTCAGGCTCCTGATTTTTAAAATAAAGACTGTTCATTCCCTAAATTGATGGAAAACATTAGTGATGCTGTATTATCATTGTTTGCCTGCTTATATTTCTCTTTTTGAGCCTGCCTGGTGTTTTGCAGCACTCGGTGTTATTGCAATCAATGAAGAGTTCTGGAAAAGTAACTCAAGCACTGACAGTCACATTAAAGTCCAAGTTCATCTATAAAGTGCTCTCTGGTTATTCCTGCAACCTTTAATTTAAATTCTTATAGCTCGTGTACATACTACTAATAAGGCTCTTGTCACAGCCTGCTTTCACAGATACTAATTTAATCTAAGCTCCTCCAGGGCAGTAACCTTGGCTTTCACTCTGGGCTCCTCAGGACATTTCACAATGCTCTGAAAATGCCAGCTAATGATAAGGTTATTTAAAACACCCTATTATCCTTCTCATTCCAGACAATTTTCCTCCTCACTTTATGCTGAATTTATCCCAAGGTCCCAGAGAATGAGGCCCCTGCATCAATGACTTATTCCTGTAGTCCTTGCCTTTAATTCAAAGTGAGTGGCATCTCCTGACCCAGCTTTCCCAACTCTCCACATAGTTGTTCTCTCCTTTCCTCAGTGCATTTTATCTCTTGCTAATGGTTCTTTGCTTTCTACTTCTGGACAAGTCTTCTTATTGACGTATTTTCTCATAAAGATTTGAAAAACTTTGATTTATTACCAATTAATGCATGAGTAAATCTTATGGAGAGTTACTAACGTAAGGCACCTTAAAAAATCATTGAATCCAGTAACTGCAAATAGAGAATAATTCCCAATGTTGTGCTAGAGATGACTCAATCATGGCACTCTTTTTTTTTTTCTGAAATCATTTATGGCCTCAGAATCCTTTTTCAAAACAATACTCCAGATATAAACTATCAATCCATTAGTCTACACAGGAGATGAAACTTGTTTGACATCCCTGATGTAGTTTAAAGGTTTTATTTTGGTAATAAGGCCCAAAGAACAACAGTGACTTAGTAGTGAGCTGAAACCAGAACCCAGGTTACTGACCCTCCTGATTTTCCATTCAGGGCTTCCCTTCCCAGATGATTACTCCTTTCTTTCAATAGCGAAGTCCTATAATTTACAACCTATTCATTGGCAAATACCTAATGGTGTTTAACATGTATAATTAGAAAGCACATCATATATATTTCAGCCTTACTGAAAAGACATCTGGCCTCTCACTGATGTTAGGAGCTCTTGGGGAAAAGGGCCCATGTTAGACTTTGTGTCCTTCTAAAGTTCTAGTCCTGTTTCTGGCACATGGTAGGTATTCAGTAAAAATCCTCTCACATATATCCAACTCTATCTGTCTGTCTGTCTGTCTATCTATCTATCTATCTATCCATCTATCTCAAACAAATAAGAGGTCTATCCTTAAATTCTCACCAGGAATCATGGAAAAAAAACCTACCTCTTGTATACAAGTAGTATTTGTTTGAAAGGACTTTATGTCATGATGTCACATACCCTCACTTCTATGTAGAATGACATCCTATGTTTCAATAAATTTTCATTTCATTTGAATATTTTAGGGGAGGGTAAATTATTATGTCAATGACTGGGCTCCCTTATGATTCTAGAAATAGAAAGGGCAGTGCTATGATTCGGGCCTCAAAATCCCTGAGAAATTATAGCTTTTTTTTTTCTTGTTTTTCATGGTGACAGCAATTGACCATAACTTGTGATTCTGTATGATATTCACAAGCTACAATTGCTAGGATAGAAAGACGAAAGAAAGGATATGAAGAAAAAGAGAACGGGAAGAGAGAAGATGGGAAAGTTATTTTACAACACAGCAATAAGATACAGTATTATCTCTTCAAAGAATAGATTTAAAAAATCTATACAAGCCACAGCTAACATCACACTTCATGGCGAAAGACCGAATGCATTTCTGTTAATGTCAGGAACAAGACAAAAATGTCTGCTCTTGCCATTTCTAACATTATACTGAAGGTTCTAGCTGGTGCAATTAAGCAAGGAAAAAAGGCATCCATATTTGAAGGAAAGAAGCAAAACTCTCTCTTTTTGCATGTATATCTTGTATATAGAAAACTCTGAGGAATTCACTAGAAAACTGTGGCTTTAGCAAGGTTGCAGGATATAAGATTGGTCTATAAATAATTATATTTATGTACATTTGCAATGAACAATCCAAAAATGAAATTAAGAAGACAATTCATATGCAAAAGAATGAAATCAGAACCCTAACTCATACAACGTACAAATACTAACTCAACATGGATCAACCACCTAAATGTAAGAGCTAAAATTATAAAACTCTTAGAAGAAAATATGATATAAATCTTCATGACTTTCATTAGGCAATGGTTTCTTAGATATGACACCAAAAGCAAAAATAACAAAAGAAAAAATACACACATTAGACTTCACCAAAATTAGAACCTTTTGTGTACCAAAGAACACTATCAAGAAAATGAAGACAACCCACAGAGTGGGACAAAATATTGCAAAGCATATATATCTCATAAAGGTTTAATAACCCAACTATATAAAGAACTTCTGCAACTCAACAATAACAAGACAACCCAATTTAAAAATGGGCAAAGGATCTCAATAAACATTTCTCCAAATAATATATACAAATGGCCAATAAGCACATGAAAATATGCTCAATATCAACAGTCATTAAGGAAATGAAAATCAAAACCAGCATGAGATACCACTTCGTACCAACTAAGATGGCTGTAATCAGAAAGACATATAATAACAAGGATATGGAGAAATTGGGACCCTCATGCATTGTTGTGGAAATGTAAAATGGTGCAACCACTTTGGAAAACAGCCTGTCAGTTCCTCAAAATGTTAAGCATAGAGTTACTATATGACCCAACAATCTCACTCCTAGGCATACAGCCAATGGAAATAAAAATATATGTCACAGAAAAGTTTGTACACAAATGCTCACAGCAGCATTATCCATAATAACTAAAAATTGGAAACAATTGAAATGTCCATCAACTGATAAATGAACAGATTAAATGTGGCATATCCATATAATGGAATATTATTTGGCAATAAGAAGAAATGAAGTACTTACACATTCTACAACACAAACACGTCTTGAAAACAATGTAAGTGAAAAAAGCAGCCACAAAAGACCACATGGTGTATAATTTCATTTATATAAAATAACCAGGATAGGCAAATCCATAGGGACAAAAAGTAGATTAGTGGTTGCCTATGTTGGGGTGGGAGGGTGGGGAAATGGGAGGTGACTGTCAATGCATATAGGGTTTCTTTATGGAGTGATGAAATGCTCTAAAATTGATTGTGGTGATGGTTGAATAATTCTAAATATACTAAAAACCACTGGATTGTATTTTTTAAGTGGTTGAGTTACATTGTATGCAAATTTTATCTTATAAAGCTATTATTTTAAAAACATGTACACATGTATATGTGAGTAAATATTCTAATTTTGATGGCTAAATTTTAGTCATTAATTCTCTTCTATGTCTGTCACAACAATCCGTGTATTCATTAGATAATCCATGTTTCTATGACTACTGTCTTAGCTTCATAATGTGAAACAGACTAGATATATTTTCTGATGAGCAGATACTTTTTATAAAATCCATCATTTTAGAACATTAATTTAAAAGGAAAAAACTTAAAGAAACAAAAACCACCTAAACTATCTTGTTCTTCTTCATTGTAGTCATTACATCACCTTCATCAACACACTGCTTCTGCTAACCACTTGCAGCTTTACTCCCAGTGTTTAAATATATTTACCATAAATCCATTTCATCAGAAATCACATTATTAACTTCAGCAATATATTTATAACAGTGCTCTACTGTCTGGTACCTTCATAATTTGTTTGCTACTGAAAGCCTAAATGTGTTAATTATAGTTAAATCCATGGCAACTGAGAGAACTTGATGTTTCCATCATTTTGTACCTACCCCTTTCGAATCAATCACTCCAGGTTTGGCATTAAACTTCACTGTCTTCAATCGGGCACGTTCCTTTCTTTCCACCCTAAAGCAAATTGAGAATAAAGAGTCTCTCACGTGACAAGGCATTTATGACTAAGTTCCATATTAAGTGAAGAACATTTTTTCCTCCTATCCTTGAAGCTCAAATAAAATGTGTTCTAAAATATTTCTCTTCCTTTGTTCCATATAAAAAATCTTGGTACAAAGTCTCTAAGTTTCTAACATGTCCCTTGAAATTACTCCGATACGTATACTGAGAGTCACGTCATGGTATTTGTAAGCAACAGAGAGGTAGAAAAAAATAATATTTGCTATTTAAATGCTTAAATAATTAAATCAAAATCTATTTCAAATCTCAGTTCATAAAGATGAACACCTATATTGGAGACTAAACAAGTTTCTCCTCCCCTCTCCTCTTCTCTCCTCCCTTTTTCTTCTTTGTTTTTCCTTCTCTTCCCCTTAAGAACACTAGTGTATTTAGCTTCACTTTTTAACCAAACATGTTATATATAATCTTGAGCTTTCCTTTTCCCCAATGTCCTTCTGTCATCTCTGCAGATTCATTGTTTTCCTGCTACCTCATTTATTCATTAAACACTTAGTGACTGCCTACCATGTATCAAGCAAGGAGCTGGGGGACAAAGAAAAAATATTCTAAAAGCATGACTGCAATGAATTCTTAGCAAGAATGAATTTGGCAAGAACAGTGGTGTAAACAAACACAGAAAATGCTGTAGAACAAGATGGCTGATATCAATGTGGGAGCACCTATCTCACTGGGAGGGTGCAAAGGAGGAGTAGAAAGCATTAGGATGGGCTTCTTGGAGGAAATATCAATGTATCTGAGATTGAAGGATTAGAAAGAGTTTGTCAGTAGGGAAATTTCAGGGGGATTTTTCACAGAAGGAACAACACATTCCTCAACCTGAAGATATGAGTGAGCTACAAGATTGCAGAAAGATTCTAGTACAGGGTACATAGGGGATATATAGGATAGGGCAGTGAGGCTAGCGAGGTGACAGACTCCTTATAATGGGTATTCATCCACATTAAGGACTTGAGTTTTTTTCCTTGGGAATCATCATAAGCTCTTAGAGGATATGAAGCAGTGAAGTGATAAAATCAGATCAGCATTTAAATAAACAACCCTGGTCGAGGTGGAAGATAGACTGAAGGAGGGAAGGAGCAGAAGGAAGCTGGGGGCCTATTTAGAAGCTGTTGCCATAGTCCAGGTGAGAAATAATGAGAAATGATAGTGGGGTGGAGAAGAGGGAAAGGCTTGAGAAATATTAGGAAAATAAAATTGGGTGGACTCCCGCCTGTTTGAAGGCCAGGGTTGAAAAAGTGGAAAATAATCTAAATATTTCCTTGATTCTTCTGAGCCCCTCCAGTCAGACATGATTGCTCCTTTGTAACTGGAACAGTCTCCATGTCAGCACTACCTCTTGATTTCCTTGTGTTTACTTACATTTGCACTGCATATACAGGGTTGTATGTACCTTAAGGTAAAAGCCCACTTATCACTTGATGGTGTTTTATAGCAAGTCCTCAATAAATAATTGTCCAGCAAAAATAATATTCATTGCATTGTTTTAACATGACTTCTTGTTTAAATATTGCTAGCTTTAAATTTAAAGATGTGGGGGAAAAAAGAGAAAGAAAAAACCCGAACCTACAGAAACTTAATAGTTTATGGAGTCTAAGCTATTCATAGATCAATAATTAACAGCACACTCCTTTCTAACTGAGAGCTCTTTTGTGTTCCCAACTGAAACACAGTGAAGATCAGGGTTTCTATAGTTACAGAATGGAATTGCAGAATATATTTATTTCAGTGTGAGAGTAGAATATCTGAGTGGAAACAGCTGAACAAAATTTTTCAACTCTAACGTAATATATTAAAACAATGTAAGGCCGGGTGCGGTGGCTCACGCCTGTAATCCCAGCACTTTAGGAGGCTGAGGCAGGTGTGTATCACCTGAGGTCAGGAGTTCGAGACCCGCCTGGCCAACAGGGTGAAACCCTGTTTCTACTAAAAATACAAAAACAAAAATTAACCGGGTGTGTTGGCGGACACCTGTAATCCCAGCTACGCGGGAGGCTGAGGCAGGAGAGTCACTTGAACCCGGGAGGTGGAGGTTGCAGTGAGCCTAGATCATGCTATTGCACTCTAGCCTGGGTGACACAGCGAGACTTCGTCTCCCCCAAAAGTAAATAAATATAAATAAATAAATAATAAGTAAAACAATGTGTTCCACCAAGAGTTTCTACTTGCACCAGGCATACAACAGTTGGGGAGAAAGCAAGACAGATTTCAGATAAGATAAGCTGCCAAGTGGAAAATGCTCACTGATAAAATGCCTCCTTTGAGCTTCATCACTTCATCACCTTTTCTCGATTTTAATCCAAGGGCAAATGATAATTTATATTGATCTCTTTGTATTCTTCTAAAACTGTTGTTACAGCCCTAACTTTATTTCAGCTTCTTTGCATTAACTGGGCTATAGTCAATGCTTTGGCATCATTCAATGATGCCAAAATGGCTGTAGTATGCAGAGAATACATGGTTATTTGATCAGGGTATGCAAATAAATTCTGCATAAACCCACAGAACTCACACAGGTTCCAAACATACAGAATGTCAGGAGGAACTCAGTATTCAACTCTCAGAACTGTTTGGACAGAGCATTCTAATACTGTCCCCTGCCCTGCACCCCAACCCCATTTCTATGTTTATCCTTTTCAATTTTCTTGAGAAATGTCTCTGTTAGGAAGATTTTAATGGTTCATCCCTTAAATCTTAAAATGGTTGCAAAGAATATTAAGTCAGCCAGACACACACACAGACACACACACATACACTCACCTACCATTTGCTATAGTTTATTATTAATCTTCAAATGGGTAATAGAGAAAGTAAAAAAAAAAAATTGAAGCCATATGGAGGTCACATACTTCCAGTTCACCCATGAAGGAAGTTGAAAAGCTTTGCTTCCTATTTGGGTTGAAAGTTTCATTAATAATAATATAAGTGGCTGCTGAAGTTGCAACATATAATTATTAATAAAGTTCCTTCACATTTACATCATCTCATTTGGTCCCCACAACAACCTAAGGATTTAGGTATTATCAATCTCATTTTATAACTGAAGAAACTGAGACTTGAAGCTTGCCAGATCAGAAACTGGTAGAAACAGAGCCTGAACATACATTCTCTGACAGCTAACTTCAGTGTCTGTCCACAGCCACTCAGTTTGGGAAACAGCATTCAGGTACCTCCCAAGCCTGCATTATCCAAATTCTCAACAAACGTGAGATTTTTGGAGCAGCTTCCACAGTATGAAGGCACATACATATCCTTAGAAGTCTAGGCTGAGGTTTTCACAAATGATAACCAATGTACCCTTGCATCCCCATCTCCCTAATGTCCTGAATGCTATGAATATTATTAATTATTAAATAAACCACAACCAAATTTAAGCATACAATCGAGTTAGTAGCATACCACAAGAAGTTGACCTCAAAATTCAGAATAAATTTACTTTAAACATGGAAATCTGCTTAGTTAAATCCCTATTTGAGTTGATCCATCTCCTCAGCACACCAGCAACCCTAATAGTGCATTCCCATCACAGAGGCTTGCAGTACTGCTTCTTGGGGTTCTCTGCAAACCTCTTTCCTTGAGAGGGAGGCTATGTCTGTGGCTTAGCTTCCTCATCTGCCTCAGCCCTTTCCTCTCTCCTAGCTCTTTCTGGGATGCATGTGAATGATTTACTGTTGAAATGAGAGTTAAGTCTGGAAAATAGGGGTCTAAATAACGTGGTGTTTTTTTTTTTTTTTCTGGCAACTAAAGCTCAAATTTTGAAAAATGGAAAACAGCTATTATTGGAATGTACACTAAGTTTTAGAAACTGTGCTAAGCACTTCACCTATAATAGCTATAATCCAGGGGTTGACATGAGCTGGGTACATAGTAGATGCTTAATGAGACTTTGTTGAATGAGTAAATAAATAAACTCTCAAGGGGGCTACTAGTTCTTTACCTAATTGTGAAAACAATCAGGTCAGGGAGTTTAAGTGAATTGCTGAACAACCAGTTTTTCCCATAAAAAGTGATTTGCCATTTCACAACTTACTTTCCCGGTAAGAATCTAGGTAAAAGTCTAGCATCACTTTTTCTTATTGTTTTACTGAGTAAGACTTCTTTGGCTAGTAAATATTAAGGTCCAAAGGCTTTCACCTAAAGAAATTGTGGACCACCTGAAGAGACAGACCAAATCTCAATGACAACAACTGCCTTCCTTCCCCACTCACACTTAGACTCAAGCAATTAATTAGATTGTTTGAGCAGAAATAATCCTCCCTGTCCAAGTCTCATCACTGACCAAAATACCAAAAACATAAATGGAATGGCAAAATTTGAGCAATCAATTCTGACATTTCACATCTCTAGAGAGCACCAAATGGCCATGCTTTAATAAGCCCAACTGTCTTCCTCTCCCTCTCTCCCATCTGGTATTTTTAGGTTCTGGCCAAACCCATAATTGGGTCAGGCTTGGAGCATTGGACAGTGGGAACATCATTTGTCCTTCGGAGTTCCTATCCCTATGCTCCACAGGTCCTGTTGGAGGGAGAATTAGAATGTCACCCACATTAGTGGCCACAGGCTTGCTGTGACAGCTAGGTGAGTAAACTCTTATATAATGCCAGCCATATGCTGCCATCTGAGAGCCCAAGTGACCAGTCACTAGGGAACAATGAATAATCTCTTTGGCTTAAGAGAGCATGGGACAGCCAGGCGCGGTGGCTTATGCCTGTAATCCCAGCATTTTGGGAGGCCGAGGCGGGCAGATCACCAGAGATCAAGAGTTTGAGACCAGCCTGGCCAATGTGGTGAAATCTCGTCTCTCCTAAAAATACAAAAATTAGCCAGGCATGGTGGTGGGCATCTGTAATCCCAGCTACTCAGGAGGCTGAGGCAGGAGGATAGCTTGAACCCGGGAGGTGGAGGTTGCAGTGAGTTGGGATTGTACTCCGGCCTAGGCAACGAAAGTGAGACTCTGTCTCAAAAAAAAAAAAAAAAAAAAAAAAAAAAGAGAGAGAGAGATACCATGGAACAAAACCCAGCTTGGCCTCTTATACACTACATAATCTCAGAAAAGTGATTCTATGCTAAGAGTCCAGATTTTAAAGTCACACAAGCCTGGGTTTGAATTCTGCCTCTTCCACTTACTAGGTCTATAATTTAGGGTGGTCCTCAACCTCTTAGGATTTCAGATTTTGTGTTGATACAATTAGAATAGTAGCGCAGACTTCAAAAATTTATAATGAATGTTAAATGAGATAATACAAGAAAATTGTTTAGCACAATGTCTGATCTATAGTAATAACTCACTATACAAAAGGCTGCTACAAAGATGATTATGATAACGCTGCCCATAATGTCACTTCTCATTACTGGTCCCAGTTTCCTTACTTGTAAAAAGGAAGTAATACAGGTACCCTACTTCAGGTGCTCACTGCCAAGTCAGTCCCTTTATGCTAGGTGGGAGCAAGACATGGACTTCCATTTTTCTCTCTTAAAAGACCCTGCCACCAGACTTGAGAGCTGTAGGGCCAAGAAGAGCCCCAAACCTTTGCAGTTGCTCATAGAGACATCAGAAAGGCATGTGTTTGAATCTAGGCTTAGCCCTCTGCTGCCACTGTAATTTTGGCAAGCTACTTGAATTATCTGACTTTCTATTTCCTTCCTTGGCATATGCTCCTAGGGTAGTTTGTTCCTGGTGTAGTGTAAAGCCACCTGGCTTTGCTATCAAAGAGACTGGTGTTTGGTCAGTGGCTGGCTGTGTATTTTTGGGTAAGTTACTCGACTTCTCTGATCCTCAGTTTCCTTATGAGGTTTTTGTGTAGATTAAATTGAAATGATGTATTTGAAAGCACCTGGTGCAATACATGATCAGTGCTGTTATCAGATGGAATTCACTCTCTGTCTGCTGCCGTTTCACTTTCCTGGCCTTTACAATATAGCCTGCATTGCCCTAATCGCAGAGTAGCTGTGCCACAGTTACATGTTGGTCCCACAAGTGATGGGCTCCAGGTAGTGAACCAACAATAGTACGTGGCACTCAGATGCTGCCCAAGCAATGCTTGCTGAATTGAATTTTGCTAGCTCTTATTTTTGTATCTGTAGGGGGCAAGATTTCATATGTCTTAAGTGCAATTCTGTAGCCTGGATTCAAATTCCAGTTCTGCCACTTACTACACGGGCAATTTCAGGCACATTAATGAACCTCTCTGTGCCTCAATCTCCTCATTTGTAAAATAAGGATAATAACAGCAACTTACTCATAGGGTTCTAATGAGGTTTAAATAAATTAATAATTGTAAAGGGCTTACAACAGTGTCTAGCGTGCAACAGGAATGTTTTGTTCAATAAAATTTATTCACCATCTTCAGAAAAAAGGAGGGGGAAGGTGATAATATTCATACTCTTCATCTCATGGTTTCATTTGGGATGATTAAATGACATTATCAATAGAGAAACATTTTTGAAAAGGATATAAAGTCATACACTGATGTTATCCATTATAAGATTTAAAAAATTTTCCAGATCAGCACTACTAGGTAAATTATACTCAAGAAACAGGCTAGAAAGAAATTAATGATTGAAAAATAACATCAACCTAATAAATGTACGTTTTTAAATTACATTAAAATAAGTACATGGGTACTCTTTGTGGGGTAGAATTGTAAGTGATTTTTATGTTTTTCTAAATGTTCCCACCTTTCTACAATAAAAGGTATTACTTTTACAAATACTTAAAGGAATAAAAGTAACTATTTTGAAAATAATTAAAATCCTAAAAAGAAAATTTGGCAGAAATGTATTTACAGCTATACATTATATGTATATAATATATATTATATATATGAGGTGGAGCTACTGCACCCTTCATAAAAAGTAGAATGTAAATAAATATCAACCTTGCAGTCACTAATCAAACTTATTTTCCAGGTCAGCTATACTCTGGTTGTTAAGATGGTTCTCTTCCAAAATAAGAGAGAAATAGCTAATTCAAGAATGATTACCAGCAGGTGGAAAATTATTCAGGAGGAATAGCATTGAGAATGTTCTTCTGGAGAAAAATGATGAGCTAATTGAACAAACAAATGACTTGATAAGATTGGTTAGAATCATAGAACCTCAGGGTTGGAAAGAGTCAGAAAACTGTATAGTTCAACCCCTGTATCCAAAATTTGAATCCCTTTTCTATCTTCCCAGATAGTCCATGCCATCTTTAGGCAGCTCCAACTAGTGAGAGGATTTCTTTAAAATGACCTGACATCTATTTCCGCATAGCTTTCCTTCCTCCACCCCATTACTATCTTTGGGGCCATAATTCAACAAGATGGCTCTTTCTTCTAGAGAACAGCTCTTCAGACAGCTCAAAATAATTAAATCAAAGCAAACCAAAATGCACGTTGTCTTGACATTTTATTTGAAGTAAATGGAAATGGAGAGACCCGGAATATAAACAAGCCAGTGCTGAGTCAATGCTTTAAACATGTAACCTTTCAGAAAACACACACAGCCATTCTACAGTCAGAATGCCCTGGAAAAGCAATGTTAGGCAATTATCCAGGAGCCAAGAGGCTTAAAGAAACCCAGAGAACTCTGCTGGTGGGAGATCTATAGGCACTGGCATGGGGGAGGGAGAGGCTCCCTGGAATTTCGGCACCTTCACTGTGACTCCTCCTGGCTAAAGGTAAGAGAACAGCTGAGGACCAGTGAGCCCTCTGCTTTCCATGTCCCATTCTTTCCCAGGCTGTGCGACCACAGGCAGAGAGAAGAGAGGATCAGTTGTCTCGGGAGCACAAATACCCCACAGAGTTATTCTGAGGTTTAAGTTCCATCTCCCCATTATGGTTTGTACTAGCTCAATCACTTGATGTGTAGTAGCACTTGAATGCCCAGCTTCACTGGGAATATTTTACAAAGGCATTTTGGGTGTTTGGAGATGAGGATCAAAGCCCTTTGAGAAATCTGCAGCTTGAGAAAAGCTAGTGCCTGCTTTTATTAAGCATAATTCCTGACTGATTTTGTACTATATCTAGTCTCTGGGATACAGCCAATTTCTGTTTCTTGGACATCTTGGTGCCAAAGGGACATTTGTGAGAAGGAAAGTTCCTGTCTGGTGATGGATCTGCTGGGACAGATTAAGGAGTTGGCTGTTCTGAAGCACATTTCTGCTTTTCAAAAGCAGAGCTGAAGAAATGCTTGGAAGAGAAAGCATGATACTCTTGATTTAGGAAACACTTACACAGAACTAAATATCTTGGTGGCTATTGGAAGTTGTGAGGTGGGGAACAAGAGTAAAGAAAACAGTAAAAAAAGAAAAAAAATTGTAAACCCAGTCCTTAGACCTCACCAGATGTTTGACAGCTCACATCCCAAGCACCTGAATTTGAGATGAAGGTTTTCCATTTTTTTCTACTAATATTTGGAGATATCACACAGCCAGGACCTTAGCCTAGTAAATTGCCTACTTCATTTGCCTTCGACTTGGCCTTTCTATAACATTCATTGGTAAATGTTGAAACTCTGGAAATAAATGGACTGAATTTGTAAGTCGGCATATGAGCTGATAAGCACAAGTTTGCACATGCACACACTGGTAAAAGTTTTAGGAACACAGTGTAAGCTGATCCTCTTTCTTCCTTTATTTCTTGTCACAGTCACCAATTTTGGTAAAACCCTAATATAGGAAAAAGAGGATTTTTAATTCATGTCACCTGTCACCACTGACAATTTTCCTGCAGATTGACTATCCCATTTAAATAAATTTAATTTTGTGAACAGTTTCTCCCACCTTCTTCTTCCCTCATCTCCACTCGCTGGATAGCTGACAAGCAAATATTCTAGTACAAAAGGCATTCTTACCTCCTTTTGCTGGGGATGACCCCCATCTCCTCACTGTCTCCCTCCAGCATGACTCTCCTGGCTTGCCACCACTCATCATCAGAGGCATTGATAACGTGGAGAATATCTCCATATTTAAAACTAAGTCCTTGACTTGGCAGCCCACTGTCCTTGCTCTTGTCGTAGTCGAACATGGCTCTGGAGGAAAGGACAAAAGAGGACATTGTTAGGAATCTCTGGCAGCACAGATTTAGGATTTATGGTTTCAAATGTTTGCTCTTGCTCTGAGAACCTATCATCACTTGATATCAACTCCCGGAATGATTCCCTGGATCACAGTCCACACTCTCACTGCTTTGGCAACACACTAAAGTTAGTTCTTGCTTCTTCTTGGAGGTTACAGGGGTGGCCTATAGATTCCCCCAAACTGAGATCTGCTTCTTTTCTTGGAGACCATCAGATGTTAGAAGGTGATAATAGAAGATAAGAAAGGTACTTTACTACCTAGTTGAGATTTTTTTCCCCTCCCATTACAATCAAATTTTTAAAATTACTAAAAAAAGTAAAATAATAAAGAGAAACATGGCTATATTTCTAAATGAAGCATTTTGTACTGTAAACAAATCATCTCAGATGTATCAGCCTGTAGAACTGTTTCTTTTATAATGGGAAAAAATGGTAACAAATGTCCACCCATAGTAGGCGGTGATTCCTCCACTCAATGAAATATTGGACCACCACTGCAACTGGATGAAGAGGTTAATGTAATCACCTGAATACATGCTTAAAATGCAGTAAATTAAAAAATCTATGCGTATGTGTGTGTATGGATAGACAAAAATCATATAAACAACACGACAAATATTTGTGCTTCCATACGATGCCTAGCTTACCTCATCATGGCACTTATCTGTGAATTACAATTGCTTTCTGTATCATGCTGCCCCCACTAAAAAGCATTTGCTAAGCATTTGTTAAGGCCAATGCACTGTAATATGTATGAGTGGCAGCATGAGGGAGGTGGAATCAGAATCAAAATGATGAACCAGACCTTAGAAACTAGCTGTCATCATTAAGAGGTGAACATTTGCCACCACTCCTATATTGTCCACATCCTGCTGTATATCCCATTTTCAAAAATCACCACCCCACACATACAGCATATGACTTTCCCAGAGAAGCAGATTTCACTACCTGTCTATCTATTCCCCTTTGATTTCATTCTAAGAATTTCCTTAGAGTATAACCACTATGTATGCAAAACTAGCAAGATCTGGGGAACAGATTTTTCTAAAAAATTTGTTTTATTTTAGATTTTTCCACACTGAGGACCAAGTGTGGTTTCTTCTTCTTTTTTTTGCCCATCAAAGAAATGTCACATCTGCTGCCATGGCAACAAGAAAGAGCTGAAGACAGCATCTAGAGCTCTCAAACACAGCAGGAAAAGTATAATTAATTGCAACGTAGTCCCTTCTTTCATTAACACTGTCTCCCAGAGATGGAATTTGGAGAGGGTTTCTTGGTCCAAGCTCCCGGAATGAATCATTTTCACCTTGACCACCCCTGCCAAAGGCTCAGACAAAGTACCAGTCAGGAACAGGGAGCTGGGGAAAGGCCAATGCCCACTCCTGAAGCTATCACTTCTTTGATCCTGTGATGTGACATATATTAGTTAACATTCTTGAGCCACAGGTTTTTTGATGCAAAATTAGTCTAGTAACAACATTCACCTAGATTTACTGTGATCCTTAATGAAATAACACATATGCAGCATTAAGCCTATAGTATGTGCAGTCTAGTGTATTACAGTGTGGTTATGAATATGGACTACTGGGTCCATGTCCTGCTCCTACTATGTCTTAGTCTTACAGCTAGTCAGCTGGGCAAGTTACTTAGTCTCTTTCAGGCTTCAGTTTCCTCATATACAACATAGTGATAATGATGACAATGATGATAGCAATACCTCCATTATGGAGTTGCTGTATGGGTAAAATGTTACATAAGGTAATATATATAAAGCATGTACAAATGGACCTGGCACACAGTGACAAATAGTAAGTATGAACTAATGTTATTATTATTATCTCCCTTTTTCCTTTTGGGTAGAGGCTAATACAAATCTTTTCTATAGATTCTACTCTGTGCAAAAAGGAGTTAATGTAGCAGGCCTGAGACTGCTGTTCTTGCTTGTAAGGGTGGCCCTTGGCTGACATCTGGAAAGTTAGATTTTGGGAGGGTTCCCACCATTTTCTCATAAGAATGGCTTACTGTGCCTAAACTGTTTGTACAAACAATATCATTTATACTGAACACCTGCTTTCTTTCTGGGAGTCTGATATTCTGGTATGTGCTAGGCAGAGGCTGCCTACATGACCAGCCCCCAGTAAACCTGGACATTGAGTCTCTAATAAGATTCCCTGGTAGATAACATTTCGCACCTGTTGTCGCAATTTGTTGCTGGAAGAATTAGGCACTTCCTGTGTGACACTACTGAGAGAGGACTCTCGGAAACTTGCAGCTAATTTTTTCCAGACTTTGTCCTATGGTCCTGCTCCCTTATCTGACAGTTTCATATCTTTTTGTGGTAATAAATCATAATCATGAGCATGATCATGCTGAGTCCTGTGAACTATCCTAGTGAGTCATCAACCTGGGAGTTGTCTTGGGGAACCCCAACACACTCTCTATAGATTGCAAAGCATTTTCACAAAAGTTACCTTATTGTGACTCAATCAGTTGCTGTGAAGAAGGTATGACAGACATAGTACTATCCTCCCCACTTTTTTTTGTTGTTGTTAAAAGATGAGGGACAGATCTAGTGGGGCCCACTGACTAACTCCAGAATATATAGCTTAGTGGCAGCAACCTAGGACCAGAACTTGGGTCTCCAGATCCAAGTCTAGTTCAGTGCTCTTCACCTTGCCCCCTCATTCATCCTGGGAGGTGGTGATGATAAGGTGTTGAAGATGATAACCATGATGGCTACTACTACTTACGCCCTTATTAGGTGGTCTGGCACTTCATAGTCATCGTCTTATTTGATGTCACAGCAACCCTAAAGGTAAAAATTAGTATCCCCACTTTATAGATGAGGGAAGGAGGCTCAGGAAGTTAAGGAGCCTGGCCCAGGTCACACATACACATGTGGTGGAGGTTGAATATAAAATGAGGTGTATCTGACTCCAAAATCTGCTTCCTTAGCCATTTTATTATGTGGCTCAATTTCCCCACTTGTTGCCCTCTGGCCATGCTCACGATCTAGCAGTGCCAAAGACTTTTAACCTTCCCTTCAGGGCTGACAACTGCTTCTTCCCTAAATTCCTGAAACTCCCTTACTGCTCAGTCCTTGTCCAAGTATTTCTTATCCCCAAAGTCCTTGAACTGCTGGCCTGACTCCAGGCTCCTTCTGGATGTAAACTATGGGGAGTTGAGGTAGAGAAACCATCAGAAAGGCTAACAAGTAGTAGCCAAGGAGGCAGGCTCTGGAGCCAGACTGCCTAGGTTTGCAGTTTTTTAACTATGTGATCTTAGGCAAGTTACTTAACCCCTCTGGGCCTCAGATTTTCTTAACTGTAAAACTGGCATAAATCATAACACCATCTATCTCAAAAGAGTTATGGTGAGGATTAAATGAAATAATATATGTAAAGTATTGTAACACTAGCCTGGCACTAGTGAGGGCTCAATAAATGTAAGATATTATTATAATAACTGTTATTCTGAAAAATATATTAGAATTTGAATCAGGGGATCTGTGTGCCAATTGTGCCACTTAAAAGCTGTTTTCTGGACTATGTGAAAGACATCTAAAATATCTCTGTATCCTCAGGACCTGGTAGTGTGCCGGACCCAAAGTAGACCCTCAATACAGGTCTGTGAAAATGTTTCAGGTGACTTTTGAAAGCCCGTCTTCTTTCATGTCTCTGCATTCCCATTTGAAGTGGGGGTGGGACTATTCCTGGAGGTCCCTACCAGGTCAGACATTCACTCGCCTGTGTTCTTCTATTCCCAAGAGTCCTTAAGGGGAACTTTCCCACTCCTGCTGTTAGCTGCAGGTGTCCTTCCTGAGGAGCTCAGCAACAGGTTCTTTCCACGAGCTCTATTGATCTTGGACAATCTGCCCCTCTAGGATTACATTTATTCAGACTTGTCAGGTCCCTAAAACCAAGCAGCTGACACATTTCAGCAGCTTCTGGCTCCTTTGGATATTAATGGATCCTCACATCTGGGAAAAATGCTACAGTGCCCCATCACCTAATTTAACAAGCGATAAGCTGTTTTTAATTTGCTTTATGTGTTAATTCATCACAGCAACTTTTATAAAATGCCATTAAGACTCACACTTTCCATCCAGGGTGCTTTTAGCAAGGCCATTAGACAAATAGAATTGGACATGAATAATGTAACAACTCTCCCATCCCTCCTACCCCTCCTGAATTTCAATGTGTGGTGGCCCCTTGCCAACTGGGGAAGTCTAGTAAGGGAAGAGTGAAGCAGCTGCTCATCCTCATGACTATGCAACATGGCTGTGAGATACCTGGGTACCCTAACAAAATAGTGCTTTTTAGGTGTCGCACAATGTAGTAAGCATTTTATATTCATTGTCTCACTCAATTTATTGGGTAGGCAACATAGCATATGGGTTATATGCCAGGCTTCCAAGACAGAGGAGAGCTGGGTTTATGTCCCAGTTCTGCCATTCTTAACTGTATAATTTGGGCATGTTACTTAACCTCTTAGATAACCACTTTACCATAGATGGCCATTCTCTTATTTAGGAAATTCAGATAGTAATGGCACTAACGCAAAAGGGTGCTGCGGAGATACGACAATGGGATGACACATGTAAAGTACCCAACACAGGTGAGTTCCTCTTTGTTATTATTTCTGACAACAATTCTGCCATGTAAGCATTTTTGGTCTCATAAAGAAAATGAGATATAAAGAGCTGAAATGAAAATAAGATACTAAGTAGCAGAACCAGGATTAAAGTATAGGTAGATGTGTCTCACTCAAAAGCTCATGTTCCTAATCTTAGAATTCTTGGAATTCCTGATAAGAAATGTTGTACTTAGATCTTATACCTAAGGATTTCATGATTTGATGATAACACTTATAGTGATACTATGGACTAGCCTGCAAAAAAGATGCATGAGTAGTTTTTAGAGGACACATTCAATTCTCACAGCTATCCTGCAGTGCATATATTAGCCTTGTATTATAGAAGAGGAAATACAGATTTGGATAATTTAAACAACATGTTCAATGTCATGCCATCTATCAAGTGATGGGGCAGGACTCAAAGCCTGTCTGCTTCTAAGACCTATGAATTTCCTACGATACCAACCTCTATGCTCTTTTGCAAGCAACTCTTTCCAGCTCAAAACACTCACACTCTCCACTTGGCTTAGACTGAGGTAATATTTAACAATCATGGACCTTAAAAGTATTGGTGTTTACTATGTAGACCAGGGAATTTAGTTTTGGCTATACCACTTTAAAGCTAGGATAGCAGCGAATGATGAGGATGGAAAGACAGTATCACTAAGAATAGGAAAAATTATTTGATGTGTTTCATAGTTAACAAGGATATGATAGGAGAAATAATATCCTTAACTCACTCCCCCAAAATGTCCACACTTTAATTCTCAGAGTCTATGAATATGTTATCTTATATAGCAAAAGGGACTTGGAGATGTGATTAAGGTTAAGGATCTTGAGAAGGGGAGATTATCCTGGATTATCCGGGTGGACACAATCTAATTACATGAATCCTTAGAAGTGGAAGAGGAAGACAAAAGAATGGATCAGAGAGATATGACTTGGGAAGGACTTGACCCACCACTGCTGGCTTCAAAGTTAGAGGAAGAGGACCACAAGCCAAGGAAAATGGTGGCCTTTTACAAACTGGGAATGGTTATTAGGTTACAGCCATCAAGAAAACAGGCACCTTAGTCCTACAACCATATGATGACCTGAATGAGCAGAAAACAATTCTCCTATTGAGCCTCTAGAAGGGTTACAGACTGCTGAAAGCTTTATTTTAGTCTGGTGAGATCTGTACCAGACCTACAGAACTATAAGATAATAAATTTGTGTTGTTTTAAGTCATTAGTTCTGTGATAATTTGTTATGGTAGCAATAGAAAACTAATATCAACTTTGGTACTGGAAGTGAGGTGCTATGTAACAAATACCTAAAAGTGTAGAAATGGCTTTTGAATTGGGAAGTGGACAGAGGCTAGAAGAATGTTGAGGAACATGATAGAAGAAAACCTAGATTGCTTCTAAGAAGAGATTGCAGAAATACAGACTTTAAGGATATTTCCAGTGAAGCTTTAAATACTTCTTATGGAAATCTGGACTTGGAGAATGCTGAGGGTGACAGCTCAAATGGAAATGAGAAGCATGTCATTGGAAACTGTAGGAAAGGGATCCTGGTTACACAGTGGTGGAAAGCTTAGTAGAATTACGCCCTGTAGTTATGTGAAAAGAAGAATCTTTGGGGGCCAGAGGGCAGACTGTGGTAGGAAGAATAATGGTTCTCCAAAGATGTTCACGCCTGAATCTCTAGAGCCTTATGTGGCAAAGGAAACTTGTGGATGTGATTAAGGTCAAGGGTCTTGAGATGGGGAGACTATCCTAGATTATGTGGGTGGGCCCAGTCTAATCACATGAGTCCTTAAAACTAGAAGAGAAAGGCAGAATAGAGATGGAACATGAAAAGGACTTGAGTGCCATTGCTAAGATTTGAAAATGGAGGAAGCAAATTTGTCACGGCAGTAATGTAAAGCTAAAACAGAGGACAAGAAACAACATGCTTTAATAGAGGGCAGGTAGAAGACAAGGGCCACCAGTTTGAGGATTCTGTCAAAGATTCTTTGGAATAAAACAACTACTCAGCAACAACAACAACAACAACCCACTGAGTGCCTGTTATTGGCCAGGTTGTGTGCAAAGTACATTTATGTAATTCCATCTCATTGAATCCCTGTAAACAGTTTGAGATATAGGTATGATTATTTCTATTTTGTAGATAAAGAAGTTAAGAACTAAGGTTTTAATTCTAATTCTCACAAAAACCTTATGTGATAAATATAATTTTCCGTATTTTAAGATAAAGAAGCTGAGATACAGAAGAAGCAGCCTTTCCTTCTCTAAAATTGCAAATCACTCTGCTCTTTTACCTCTCTGGGAAGCCTACAGCTTCTAGTCTTGAGTGGGAATATGTCTTATCTCCTTTACTACATCAGAAACAACATCAGGAGCTCCCAGACCAAGTCTCAGCACAGAGTTTTCACAGATGGATTTATAAATGAACAAGTGAATCAGCAAATTACTCCCTTCTGTGCTGTGAACTTGTTTGGTCTAGGGAGGCCTTTGCTTTCCTGACAACATTAAGATGCAAGGAACAGAGTGCTTTGACTCAATTTCCTTCATTTCTTGAAGTTGAGGCCTCTGCTTGATTAGAGGAGACCTGGTCCTCACCTTTCTATGCAGCAAGAGAAAGAACACTAGCAACGGAAAATAAAGTCTGCTCTCTGCTCCATCCCACTGTGCCTGGCTTGGACACATATGACCCATTTTCACATTGTCAAGGTAAGCACATATGAATAGTGCAAGAAGCATAGATGTTGGAATGAAGAAACACACGGTTAAGTCAGTCCACTCTTTCTAGCTGATTGTCACTGAGAAAATAAGTGGAGTAATCTGAGCTTCAGTTTTATCTATAAAATGAGGTTTGTCATTCCTACATCTCACATATTTGCAGAGATTCAATGAGATGATAAAGGAAGAGCATTTCACATAATAACTGGCAAAACAAAAGTTCCTTTACTTCACCTCTTCTCTACTCTAAAGATGAGCAAGTGTCCCACAAGTACTGGAAGGGAGATGAAATAAGGATGGTGTTTTTACAAATGTGACATAAAAATGCATATGTAGTAAACTTCTTCAAAACATTTTCTCACT
Organism: Homo sapiens; assembly: GCF_000001405.40. Taxonomy (NCBI): domain Eukaryota; kingdom Metazoa; phylum Chordata; class Mammalia; order Primates; family Hominidae; genus Homo; species Homo sapiens. The sequence goes on from NC_000011.10 coordinate 83,549,631, forward strand.
AGAGGGGTATGGGAAAGGATGCTGGGAGCAGAGAGATCTAAACTTTAGTTGCTCTTATTTTATAAAAATCACAATTTTCTATTTGTATTATCTTCTTAAAAACAATCATTCGTCCACTCGTGCATTTAGTGCATATTTGTCTTGAAAACAGAGGAGGCACCCTGGAAGTAAAAAGAAGCTTAGATGGAGTTAGGAGTGCAGATTTCTAGTCCTGGCTTCAACATAATTCACTATGTGATCTTGAGTAAGGTACTTAACCTCTATGGGCTTCAGCTTCTATAATAATTAATAGACCAACTGCATTTCTCTAGGATGTATTCAACTGTGACCCAAAAGATAGCTCCCAAAATGTAGGCATTATTCTCATTTTATCGAAGGGAAGATTTATTATGTTCTGTGGATTGTATGACATGGGTTATACCACTTAATCAACCTTATAAAGCAGATTGGTATTATTTAAAGATACTCTTCGTATTACAACAGACTGCTTCTATGTTTTGAGGGTGTTGGCAAATGTCCATTTCTATTGTTCCTAAAAAATCAGGCAATCACTGTCATGACTGCAGATAGAACTAATTGGACACCAACCAGAAGCCCTTACAGGTTGGGCCTCCCTGCAGCTATAGCTTTTAGAGTATAATCAGGGAAGAAGCATAACTTCCAGGGGGAACAACTTTCTCTTTCTCTCTCTTAAGTCCTCAGTGCTCCCAATTCACCAAGAGATGTGGTATGAGCAGATTTCACATGTCCGGGGGCTTGCATGTTGATCATTTTGGACAAGTCATCAGAGTCTCCAGGGACGGGGCCCATTTGAGCCCACCTTCTCTTTCAGGCTGTCCTGGCAGTCTGTCAGATTGGCTGAGCTCCAATGTTGACTCATAAGTCTCTTATCTGAGGGAAACAGAGGCAAATCTGAACCTGCGCAGAGCCAGAACTCACTGGACCACAGTGAATGGCATTTCAGGTTTCAGGGCTGGGTGAAGCTGCAAAGATTAATCATCTTAAAATCATTTTCCTTTCCCCCAAATGCCATCAGCTTGCTACTCAAAAATTAAATGTGGGTAAGAGGAAGACTGCTTGGATGAACAGCCCAGGTTTTATGACACTTTCAAGAGCTCTTATGTTCTGGGTCTGTGTATAAGGCAATTGAGATATGTTAACTGAGATATTTCAGAGAAGCTGACACAGCCCTGATTACAGTCTTTTATTTCTGAATTGGGCTAAAAATGTAGATCAAGCTTTGATATTCACCTTTCAGTATTTTACTGCCATTAATTAGTAAGCTTGGGGTGGGAAAAAGAAGAAATAACCTGGCATGGAATTTTATTATTGCTAATAGTCGATTATCATTCAAACATTTAAGTTTATATATGCATGACTCGTGAAGATCATGAGATGGTAAACTCAGATAGTCCTGGATTCAAATATTAGCTCACTATTTTAAGCTGCAGTATGATTTTCAGCAAATTACTTCATATCTTTGTACCTGGGCTTCTGTATATGAAAAATGAGGGGCAAGAATCCCTGTCCGACAGGGTCCTTATAAGAATTACACATGAGAGCTTTTAGAATCCAGTAGGTACTCAATATTTGTTAATTGAGTCTAAAAAAATCTAAATTTTTTCCCCTGTAAATTCTATACCCTGGTTCTACTGTTACTCACTGGAATATAAACAACTTAAGCCTACCTCTGCTATCCAGTAGCACTCTTTTAAGTGTTTATGGACTGACAAATGATAAAGCTAGTACGGTCCCTAGCTCAGCAGAGGTGCTGGATAAAACTCGTTTTACTCATGAGTATATGAAAAACGGGAGAAAGACATTCAAGAGCATCTGAAATGACTCCTCCAAATCCTTAGTACCATCATAGCAGCTCATCAGGGTAAGTAATGACATTTACACACCACAATATCAGACAGTTGGGCAATCACTTTGCCTGCCCCAATACTGAGTTTGTTACTTTGCCTATGATTTTTCAGAAAACTGGATGGAAACTACAGGCTGTACTGTAGCAGGAGAAGACCTGAAATTAGGGAACTTACCCTTCTAAATCTCATATGCCCGTAAAGTTTCCCATTATCACCTGTTGACTAGAGATAGAGAGGACATATGGTTCCTTACTCACCCAGGCAAAAGCATTGAGTTCAGAATGTAATCAAATTCCCACAGATGGAAATGAGATAATATTCATTTAAATATTAAATGTGATATTATTTTCATAGTCTCTACTATGTGCCAGGCACTCTATAGTTTGTTGGGACTCAGCAAAGGCTTTCTTCCTACAGTTGTACAGCTTGATGTTTGGTTGGGAATATGGGTAAGAAGGTACATTCATTTGGCCACTTACTCATTTTCATTCAGCAAATACTTTTGAGCATTTACTGTATGTCAGTGATGGTTCTAGGAGCTTGGGATCTATCAGTGAATAAAAACAGATAAAAATTCCTGCCTTCATGGATTTTACATTCTAGTAAAACGAGATTGGCAAAAAACAATAAACATAATAAATAGGCAAATAGTATGATAGGTTAGGAGTTGATTGTTGCTATGGAAAAAGTTAAAAATAGAGCACGGTAAGGGGGATCAGGATTCTGGAATAGAGTAGGGCTATGGTGACAGTGAAGGCTGCATTTTCAAATGGGGTGTTTTTTAAGGTAGGACTCGCTGAAAAAGAGATGTTTGAGGCAAGGCTTGAAGGAGGTGAGGGAGTTAGATATACAGGCATCTGAGGAAAGAGTGATCTCAGAGGGAACAACAAGTGCAAAGCCTGTAAATACAGTTACAGTTGAGTCTCATATGTGCTATGTTAGGAATTAGTATAGGGTGCTGCTCTGGGATTGTAGAGCTCCTAGGAAGCCTCATCAGGTGCTCATAAAGAAGTTGGTGAATGGGGAGATGATTCATCCAGATTTACTAGCAGAGGGGTGGTAGCACATCTGCCCACCCCTACCTACTAAGCAGCCTGATCTTTAGGCATTTTCTTAGTGGAAGCCGCCTCTGTAATATAGTAATCTCATATTCTTGAGGGCTCAGCTTCCTTCCTTCAGCCTCTCCCCCTTCCTAAGTCTCATTGGAAACATGCACATGAGCTGGACCACTGAACAGCTTTTCTTCTTGTAGACACACATGACCACAATTTATAAAGTGCAAATCAAATTCTTTGGCCAAGAATTTTTTCTAACATTGTTATGAAAGTAGAAGTATTGATCAATATAAAAAATTCTGCAACTTTCATTTTTTGAAAACCATGACTTTCTCTGGGAATCCTTCCTGAATCTATCAAGAGAAGGCTATTTCTTCCACTCTCTGTGCCACATTGTAACCTTGTATGTGGTCTTATTCTTATGCTTAGCAGGCTACATTTCAGTTGATTTATCTGTAGGTGTATCTTTCCTTCTAGACTTCTTGACTCATGAGAGTTAGGTGAAGTCTTACTTATCTCTGTGCCCCTTGCAAAGAGGAAAAGGTGCTCACAAAACCAGGCTAAACTGAACTGAACTAAATTCAGAACACAAACTGTCTGAACTTCAGAAAATTGCCTCATCTTGTTTGGTCTCTTGAAGTTTCCCCATCTGTAAAATGGGATTAAAATATTGTATGACATCAACTCTAAGATTTTTTAAAATTTTTATGTCTAAAATCAAGATGTTTTTCCACTATCAATGCCATCTCATAATTGAATTGGCAGAATTTTTCCTTTTTTGGTAACACATAGGGTACATCTTAAAATCAAGGACAACCTAGATTCAATAAAACATGGTAGAAACTATCTCACAAGTTGTTGTGAAGATTAATGAATTATAGATGAAAAGCCCTCAGATCAGTACCTGGCACAAAGTAAGAAGTAAGCACCGTGTGTGTGTGTGTGTGTGTGTGTGTGTGTGTGTGTGTGTGTGTGTTTGCTGCTGCTGCTGTTGTGCTATTACATATTGTAAGTCACTTGGAATCACCTCATCATTCTCTTCTCTTCTTGTACACATTTTTGCAAACACTTTTAGTACTCTTTCCTCAGTGACTGTTCAAAAATTGCTGATAGCTGAAACACTGTGCTGCAGTCTGACTTTCACCCAGTAAGGTTCTGTTCAGTAGCTCTATTTAACTGAATAAAATGTCTGTAGAAAATGTCCCTAGCATTTGCCAATAGTTCAGAAATTTAGAGGAAAAAACCTAAAGAGATCCAGTACATTATGTTTATACTTTTAGTATTTATAGTTTATGTGAATATTATTAGTATTTTATTCCAATAGCACAATCTTTTCTTTTTTTTTCTTTTTTTTTTTTTTGTGGGATAGTCTCGCTCAGTCACCCAAGCTAGAGTGCAGTGGCGCAATCATAGCTCACTACAAACTTGAACTCTGGGGCTCAAGGGATCTTTGCCTTAGCTTCCTGAGTAGCTGAGTAGTAACCATGTCGGGCTAATGTTTTCATGTTTTGTAGAGGCTAGGTCTTGCTTTGTTGGCCCAGGTTGGTCTTGAGGCCCTGGGTTCAAGCAATCCTCCTGCCTTGGTCTCCCAAAGTGCTGGGATTACAGGAATGAACCACCATGCCAGGCCTATAGTCTTTAAACTTTAGCACTTAGGTTTTCAAGCTGGGACATTTTTCCATGCACCTAGTGTAAGTCATCCATACATCCACTCATTAATTTACTGAACATTGACAACATGTTTGGCAACAGGATAATGGAAAATGTTTGTAAGACTTGGGAACACTTGTTTTGCTGTTTACTTGCTCTGTGGCTATAGATAAGGTTCTTAAATTCTGTTTCCTACTCTGTAAATTAAAGACTAATCCTGCCTGAATAGATATTGTTTGAATTCATTGAGGTAACATATGTAAAACTCCTATATCAGGGAGGCTGGTATACAGATACATGAAAAAATTGCAATAATAATATGTATCAGCACAGAAACCTATGTTTCAACTCAACTTTTAAGGGATGCAATAATGATTTAGTACAAATTTGCATTTATTTTAATATTGATCTATCTAACAATATTTACCTCGTCCTTCCTCAGTGCCAGATCTGGGACTAGTGGTTCTATTGGCAATAAATACTATGGGAGCTTGGAGCAGAAGATGTTCCATTGGGCTGGACTGACTGGGCAATGGGCCTTGCTCTACTCCACAGTACTATCTTTCCAGTTGGTAAAGCAATCAGAGGCTGTAGGACTGCTCTGAAAATAGTCAATACAGTGTAACTTTTAGATGCCTGAAACCATGCAATCATGGCTTCAGTCATATTCAATAAATGCTCATTATGTGCCATGCATTATGTTAGGTATTTGGGGATACAGTGTGAATAACAGAAACAAGGCACTTTTGGAATTTAGAGACAAAACAGATGTAGAAGAAATAATTACCAGTACAACACATCATAAAAAGCAGATGGGCAAGTAATCCATGAGAGTATACAGTGGAGAGAAATGGAAACTATTCTGGAGGGACCAGGTTGGGAAGGCTTCCAAGAGGAGCTGCTGTCTAATCTGAGCACAGCAGGAGCAGCAGGGTGGGCAGAGGGAGCTGCACAGGCAGAGGCTCTGCAGTGGGAAACAGCAGGCAGCAAACCTGAAAGAAGATCAATGTCTGGGATAGTCTAAGATGAGACCAGAGGGAAGGAGAGGCCAGGTCATGGAGAATCCTGTAGATCTTATGAAGGATACTTTCTCTTTTTAGAGTAATGGGAAGCCTTTGGGGATTTTAAACAGATGTGAGATGATCAGATTTACATCGAAAACAGATCTTTCTGGCTTTAGGGTGGAGAATGGATTGGAGAACCATAGATTGGGCAAGACAGGATGTTGAGATCCCAGGTAGTGGGGAAAGGTAGTAATCCAAATGATGATGGTTTGGGTACAGTGGTGGCAATAGGATGGACAGAGGTCTCAGATATTTACTTTGGCCAATACCTATCTGTTTGTCAGTCTGTCTGTTTCTCTCACCAAAATCTATGGGCAATGTTTTCAAAATTTTATTACCAGAATATATCATTTTTTTTTCTTCAAAAGGAAACTTCTAGAAATATAAAAATAAAACATTTGATTGCAGACAGGGGAAACAGAATTTCTGGTTTCTCTTCCACTCCAACTGCAGAGCATACCTCAGGTCCCTAAGAAGAATTTTGGGTCTACTTAAATCAGAGCTTGAAAATCTTCAATCTAGTACTTAGTTCCCAAACACTGTAAATGAAGAAAATCTTCTCTTCTTTTATTGATATCATGACATCTCTAAACCTGTTTCCAATCTCACAGCCATTTCCAATCTCACAGACATCTATTTGTTTCCAAAATGAAAGCTTGATGGCAATTCTCCTTGGAGCATTTTTAGCAAATATAACAAGTCTCCTTGAGATTACTAGAGTAACACCAGGGTGTCCCGAACTCTAATTACAGGAACTCTGCAGGATGAAACTGTGATTAGTCCTCACAGGAGTAACCACAGCCACTCAACAGAATTCAGTAGCTATTTATGGCACGTGTTTTGAGGAGAAGACTTCTTTCTGCTCAGAGGCTGTTTATATTAATAAGCAGAAGGTGGTTCCTTGGAAGAAGAGAAATCTCGTTCGAAGTTTGACACATTCATAGAAAACAAGAGAAAGTTCCCAGGAGGAAGTCAATAGCACATCCAGCGAAACATGCGTATGGACTGAGGGCAATTTGACAGGCAGGGAAACGTTTCTACTGAGAAGAAAAAAAGAAAGAGAGATTTCTATTTGATATATACATATTTTCAGTTTTGTCCTTTTTCTTTCTTTTTTTTTTTTGAGATGGGGTTTCACTCTGTCACCCAGGCTGGAGTGCAGTGGCGCGATCGTGACTCACTGCAACCTCCACCTCCCGGGTTCAAGTGATCCTCCCATCTCAGCCTCCTGTGTAGCTGGGACCACAGGCGTGCGCCAAACTGCCAGCTAATTTTTGTCTTTTTTGTAGAGATGCAGTTTTGCCATGTTGCCCAGGCTAGTCTAGAACTTTTAGACTCAAGTGATGCTCCTGTCTCAGCCTCCCAAAGTGCTGGGATTACAGGCATGAGCCACTGCACCCAGCCCGATACCATTTTTTGCATGTTAGCAAAAGCTGGGCTTTGATAAGGAAGTAATTGGGAAACCTGAAGTTGGCCAGTCAGCTCTGATAGAAGTGTATAAATTGGGCAGAAAAGCATGAGAAACTCAGCCACATTAATTATTGCTACAAAAGTCAGCATCCAGTGGAAGGCAAGCTGGGATGATGCGGGGAAGATGACTAGACAAGGAACCAGAGGTAAAAGGCATTCAGGCTGTCTAACTGACCCCTGGCCAGTGGTACTTCAAACCAGCAAGATCCAGAACTCTAATTATCAGCCCATAATATGAAGCCATGACTGTGTTTTTCCATCCCACAATCTCAACAACCATGATTACAATTGTCTGGGGACCACCTTGAAACTGGCCTATGTCCCTTTATTTGTTCTCTGTTTTCTCTTCTTACCTGGGTCCCAGTATTTCTTAGGTGTTTCTTAAGAACTCCAAATAGTGTGTTCAGTGCTGAAGGCAAAAGATGAACAAGATGGTATCTCTGCCTTCACACAATTTATGAGACTAATAGGCAAAAAAGTACTGTAAGCAAATTCTTTCTATTTGGTTTGTTTGTTAAATGCAACAATAAAAGCATGTACAATCTGTAGAGAAAAACAAGGACAGTCTACTCTGAATGATGAGGTGATGAGATGACAGGTTCCTGTTCTGCAAGACCCCAGGCTGCTTTTGATGGTACTAAGAGTTAACCACAGAGCGAAGGGAAAATGTTCTGTAACCTAAGTTTGGAGTGATAACTTTAAAGTTGAGATCTCATCTGTCTTTAGGAATTTCTCGTTACCTCCAATTTTAGCAGGGATATTTGACACAAACTGCAAAGAATTATTAATCCTCTAGGCTCTGCATCATGGCAATACACTTGGCCAGTGTGCTTCCTGTCTTGAATCAAAGGTTAGAAATCATAGATAAATGAAACCTGCAAACAGGCTTATGTTGCTTGTAGGTGTTTCATCTTTGAGTTTTAGGCATAACCGCAATTGGCAGTGAAATAATTAAGTAAAATGAATACTTGATTCCTATCAAATCTGCCAAAAAGAAAGCAGGTATTGAGTTTTGAAGAAATGCCCTACAGATTGGTAATCTGGGGTGGTGGGGAGGAGGATTTCCTGTTTTACAGATGGGTGAGCGCTCTAAGGGAACTAACTTGTTGTGAAGTTAATCAAGGCAGACTGTTTGTCAAGGAAGAGGCTCATTGCCTAGGACAGATTTAGATCAATTCTGGCAGGAAGGAATATCCACAAGGGGCCTTTTTCAATTTTATTTAATCAGTTAGAGAAGATGGAGTTACCAACTCCAAGCAGGAGGACAATATGGAATCTATAAAATAGGCAGAGAAATATGTATTCAAGTGAAGTAATTTGTTTGATAATCCACAGACATGTGGGTTTCTGTAATTTCTTGATAAAGTCATATAGTTCATAATTTCTCCAAACTGGCTCTAGTTGTAGTCCCTTACTTAGTCCAAAACCTCCCACTGGGATTTTATGTTTCTTTGCTGTTCTGTCTCTTTCATTCCTCTCAACTTTTGCTTTCAGAATCTCATACATTTAATACATCTTCTTATTGGCTTTAAATAATTCCTTAGTGTTGTTTTGATAAAACTGTCAGAAATTTAAAAAATTTTTTATTTAAAAAACTTTTATCTTATTATCTTCTGTCAATCTTTATAGACATACAACATGAAAATACATGTTATGTATTTTTTTCAGGCAAAGATGCCTTAGTCTACCTGTTATCTGTTAGTATGGTGTTCAAGAGGAATAGAAAGTGAGGAAGGAAACTAACTGTTATTGAATGCCTGCTATTGGTTAACCGCTACAGTAGGCACTTTATATACCTTGGCACTGAATAATAAGAGCACTGTAAATTTGTTACCATTCTCTCTATCGTACAAGGTTCACAGACATCAATTTCACCTAGCATGTAAGTGGGAAAGTTAGGAATTCAACCCAGATCTGTTTGTGATATGTGTCTGGACTTGCCACTGTATCTCTACCTCTGGAGGGCATCTTTTCTCCCAGAGAGGAGGATCACATCATTAGCCCTCAGAGGTTGACTGACTAATTAAAGCTTCTACTTTCATGTTAATTTCCATTTACCCAGCATACATGAATTAACTACCTACTCCCGGTAAAAAACAGTGCTAGATGTCGTGTGTGTGTGTGTGTGTGTGTGTGTGTGTGTGTGTGTGTATGAGTAAAATCTGGCCCCCTCCATCAACGAGATTCTCATCTAGCATGGCAGATGAGATGTGCATAAATACAGGGCAAGACATACTGTAAAAGATGCATAAGGGAATGATGAACAACATGCTGCTGAATAAATTGAAGAAGAAGTAACATGAATTCCAATCATGGGGAACCAGACAAGGCTTCATGGAATAGGTAGTATTTGTTGCAAGCCTAGAAGAATGAATACAAGTTGGCCAAAGAAAGATGAAAATAAAAGCATTAGAGGTTGAGGAAACAGAATGAACAAAGGCATCGACTTACAAAAGAATGCACTTGGTTTAGGAAATTATGTATTGTACAGAATCTCTGGAGTCTAGTGGGTTTGCTTGGGTGTGCAGGGGGGAAATCTGCCTGGAAAAGTAGATGGAGGCCTGATCAGGGCTTTCAAATTTGTCATTCTCCATGTGAAGGGAGAATTACTCGCATAATCTTGTTGTTCCTGTTGTGTGTATCAACAGCCTTCAGGTAAATAGGAGCTTTTTATTCCTTTATGCATGAGATTCAATGAAGGTACTTTGTTTTGGATATGGTGTTAGTGGAGAAATCAAGCAGGTGGCTGGAAATGAGAATTTACACTTAGGATCAGGTTGTGGCTAGAGACAGATTTAAGTTATTGGTCCACAGTTGATCACGGAAGCCATGTTTGGCCATTTATCCTTCTCTCTCAAATTAACAGAATTCCAAGTTTTAACCAGGTACGTTGCCATGTACCTAAAATACTATATTTCTTTGCATCTAGCTATATCCATGAGCCTATAGTCTGACACATCAAATGTAAGCAGTAGGGGTATATGGTACTTCCAGAAAGTCTTCTTCAAAGGAAGAGGTCATATTTATCTTCCAAGCTGTTTGCTTTTAGCAAAGGACATGATGCCTGGCACTCCAGCAGCCAAATTGGATGCTAAAGACAAAGACCAAACCCTAAGAATGGCAGATAAGGGTACTGGAAGGAACCTGGAGGTCCTTGGTAAATCTGTAGGTAGAGCTGCCATACTCACCCTGAAGAGCCTACCCTGATGCTTCTTATATATAAGAAAGAAAGTAACTTCTTGTGTAAGTCACTGCTATTTTGGTATTTCTGGGCTTTTTATATGTAGTCAAACTTAATCATTACTGATACATGGTGAAATTAGAAGAAATTTTCAAGAGAGTATAATGAAAGAGAGGGGAAGGATGGGGGCTGAACTTTGCTTTTTTTTTTTTTCTTCTTGAGACGGAGTCTCACTGTTGCCCAGGCTGGAGAGCAGTGGCAGGATCTTGGCTCACTGCAACCTCTGCCTTCTGGGTTCAAGTAATTCTCTTGCCTCAGCCTCTGGAATAGCTGGGATTACAGCTGTGCACCACCATGCCCAGCTAATTTTTGTATTTTTAGTAGAGATGGGGTTTCACCATGTTGGCCAGGCTGGTCTCAAACTCCCAACCTCAGGTGATCCACCCACCTCAGCCTCCCAAAGTGCTGGGATTATAGGTGTGAGCCACCGCAGCTGACCTGAACTTTGAAGAGTGCCTACATTTGGAGGAAAAGTACAAGAACATGGAGAGTTGAGAGTCAAAGCTAGATTAAAGGTGGATGTTAATGTGAGCTTGTGTTGGAGGAGTGGGTTGGGGATGGTGGTGGAAATTCTATTCAGTCTAAAATGTCTGTTTCTCAAAATAAGAAATAAAGGGCTGATTAAGGAGCCACTAAAAACTGGAGTGATCCAGGCTACTCCCAAGACAGAGGATTAGGTTATATATGTCCAATTTCTGCACCTTAACTTTCCAATCTGTTAATTCATTCCATTGCTGACGTAGAATGATCAGGGATTTTCTTCCACAGGGAAGGTAAAGTCAAGAGGGGGAAAAAACTATTTCCCACCAATAAAACAGGGTCCTCGATTGTAACTATACTTAAGAATAAGTCCTCCGTAAATCATTTTCCCCCTGTGTATTAGTCCATTCTCACATTGCTATAAGGAAATATCTGAGACTGGGTAATTTATTAAGAAAAGAGAATTAATTGGCTCACAGCTCCACAGGCAGTAGAGAAAGCATGATGCTGGCATCTGCTCAGCTTCTAGGGAAACCTCAGGAAACTTACAACCATGGCAGAAGGAGAATGGGAAGCAGGCTCATCTTACAAGGCCAGAGCAGGAGCAAGGCGTTGGGGAAGGTGCCACACACTTTTAAATAACCAGATCTTGTGATAACTCTATGAGAACAGCACCAAGAGCATTGTGCTAAACCATTCACAAGAAATCGCCCCCATGATCCAGTCACCTCCTACCGGGCCCCACCTCCAACATTGGGGGTTCCAATTCAACATGAGATTTGGGTGGGGACATAGAGCCAAACCATATCACTCTGCATCTGACACCATATATGAATACCCCTTTTTTGTTCTAGCAGAGGCTATTTGGAGGACAAAACCCACCCATCCAGGACTCAGAGGGGTTAGTGGTGAGCTATTTAGTGCCTGCTCCCTGTCTCTTGTGCTCTACCTGTGCATGCTGCATCCCATGGACCTTCAGATCCTGGCACTGACAGTCATTTGTAAGGAGACTGCAAGTAAAGAGTCTCTGTAAGTTCTGCAAGTGAAGAGTAATTTTGGTTTTCCTTAAAGATCATAGACTCTATTATTTGTACTGTAGCTTAGTGGAAAGAGTTTTCCAGAGGCTCCAGTCTGTTTGTTAATTATTCTTTTTAAGAATCACATACAGTGCTGAGAGTTGTTGACAAAGCACCTTCACCTGTGTTATTTAGTCCTTGTGGTAATCCTTTGGAATAAGCAATGTTATTCCCTTTGATTTACACTGAGACCTAAAGAAGATGATGAAGAGAAGGTAGATTACAAAGATAATAATATAAATAGCTATCATTTACTGAATTACTAATAAGTACCAGGTAGGGCAGTAGGAACATAATATTTTTCTAACATAAACAATAATCCTGCAAAGTTTGACTTAGTATTTCTTTCTTTTTTTTTTTTTTTTTTTTTTTTGAGATGGAGTCTTGCTCTGTCACCAGGCTGGAGTGCAGTGGTGTAATCTTGGCTTACTGCAACCTTCACCTCCCGGGTTCAAGCAATTCTCCTGCTTCAGCCTCCCGAGTAGCTGGGATTACAGGTGCCCAGCACCACGCCCAGCTAATTTTTGTATTTTTAGTAGAGACAGGGTTTCACCATGTTGGCCAGGTTGGTGTCGATCTCTTGACCTCGTGATCCGCCTGCCTCAGCCTCCCAAAGTGCTGGGATTACATGCGTGAGCCACCGTGCCTGGCCTTAGTATTCCTATTCTGTAGATAATAAAACTGTGATTGTAAGACTTAAAGTGACTCTTTATATACACTCTTATATAGTTAAAGTGACGCTTTAACTCTTAGAATCAACACAAGCTTTACATTAATTGAACATGACACTAAGGGAGCATCTGTGGTGCACTGAGACTCACCCCTTGCAACATTTTGATTCGCATAAATGTCATAACTGACCCTGTGATGCCCTGGGTGGGGGGGTACCATTTACCCCTGACCACCCTGGGGAGTTGTTAGATGGTGATGATCCTAGTACAGGCACTCAGTTCACTGAGACTCTGGAAAGAACTCTGAGATAGAAATACAAGGCTATAATTGATAATCATTATTAAGGCTTTTATTTGAATAATGAGAAGAATAAAGAACAGGGAAAATGGTTGGATTTTATTAGTTTATTTTTATTATTATGCCAATAGAATTTATATTGTTTCTAAGCAAATAGGTACATATCAGTACAATCTGTGTTTTCAGTATATTGAAAAAATACATAGCTAAGGAAAATATGATAACTTAGTGAGGTTGAAGTAGGTTTTTTCTATAAAATTTTGTTGTTCTTTCATGTTACTTTTTATTCTAATTAGAAATCAAGGATAAACTAATATGGAACAAATCTGGATGGCAAACTCCACTTCTTTACATTTCTTGAGCGCCTTACCAATCTGCATCTGGTCTTTAAGATTTCCCTAGTAGGTTGTTCTCTGCACATGGGGAGTTGGCAGTAATGTTTCTGTTTTTGTTTCCCTAATTCTTTTTTTTTTTTTTTTTTTTTTTTTTGAGACAGAGTCTCGCTCAGTTGCCCAGGCTGGAGTGCAGTGGCTCGATCTTTGCTCACTGCAAGCTCCACCTCCTGGGTTCATGCCATTCTCCTGCCTCAGCCTCCCAAGTAGCTGGGACTACAGGTGCCTGCCACCACGCCCAGCTAATTTTTTTGTATTTTTTTAGTAGAGACAGGGTTTCACCATGTTAGCCAGGATGGTCGCGATCTCCTGACCTCATGATCCGCCCGCCTCGGCCTCCCAAAGTGCTGGGATTACAGGCATGAGCCACTGTGCCCAGCCTCCCTAATTCTTTACTACTGGCTTTAACTCTGAAACTTCTAAATTAAACGTTCTTTGATCATCCCCTTACTGAAGTAGTGAAGGGTCTTGTAAATAAAATCCACAGGACTTTGGGATGGTTCTGACATGGTTTCTTAATAAAGAAAAGTCATTGGAAGTGTTAACGTAGCTGCAGGTGAGGGTTTTGGAAGCTCATGCTTCACCTTACCTGCTCTCTATATTCTAAAAGTTGCAGAAGTAAATTCGAAAACACAACTTTCTGTAAAACTTAATGATGGGACTGAAGAGTACAATCGTGTTAAAAGCTACTTTTATATAGCAACTACTAGGTGCTGGGTCCTCTGCTAAGTACTTCACAGGCATTATCTCGAGTTCTCAAGAGAGAATTCAAGAATCCTACAAGGGAGTAGGGTGAAAAACATCCTTATTTTATAGATGAGGAAATTAAAGCCTAGATAGGTGTTAGCCAAGATTCATCTAATTAAAAATGAGAGCTTATCTTACAGAGTCATTGTGAGGACTAAATGAAACTGTATTTATTTACCAAATGTTTGGCATGGTATAGGGTTGCTGTTTAAATTATGTTCATCTTATTTCAATGTCTCTTTCATATTAGTCTCAAGCACTTCACTGTCTTCGTAGCATTTGGGTTCTTGAAATACTTCTGTCTGAGAGAAAACTGACAGTGATATTATCCATTGTTTTGATTTATTTTTTATCAAATAGCAGATAATTAGACTGTTGGCCAGAATTTTTCAATTGCTCACCATGGGCCTGTTCCAACATATTATTGGAAATCAGTAATATAAACCTAATTTTTCATGTGTTTTTTTTTTTGTTTTCTATGATAAAATCATTGGTGGGAATGTTTATGTTGGATATAATAAATTTGAAACATATGAATATCCTCTTGTGACAAGGTAAGGTATTAGTTAGGGATTCTTTTTTAACTTCCACCCAATTACTTATTTTAGAAAAATGTTAAATTCATTAGATGAAAATTGAAAATATTCACAAGTGTCCTAAGATACCATAGACAGGAGCACGATACAGTGCACTGGAATGGGGGGGGTCAGGAGCCCTAGATCTCAGTCTTGCCTCTGTCCCTGACTAGCTCGTGGCCTTGCTTAAGACACTCATCCCCTCATTGCTTCACAAGGTTGCTACCTGTAAATTGGATATTTCACTCCAGGATCTAAGTTTCATTTTCTGTTTAGCTGTTCATAATAACCCAAAATTCATTAGGGGAAATTCTGCTGCTTTGGCAGGTAACATATGGGGATGCAAAGGAAAAAATTCTGGCATCTATGTTTTTGGGGTTTACTGAGGGATCTAACCCTCCATCCACTGATAAAATTCTTTTAAGAAAGTTATATGAGTGAATGATTGTTTGCATTTATTATTGGTGGGTTATCTACTTGTTTAGAGAAGATTGATAATCTTGCAACAAGGATTAAATAAAACCATTCCATCTCTCATAATGTCTTATAATGCCTCCCCATTCGTCATCATCATGATCATTATGCTGGTCAAGACAAAAAGTTAATCAGCCACAAACAAACATAAGAAGAATTTCTTTTTTTTTCTGCACTGATTGGATCAAGGAAGGGGATTTGCAAATATCTTCTAGTCAAAGAACTTCATTCCAAGTTGCCATTGCACTTTATGCATTACCTAATCCAAACAGTTTACATAACTGTATTATAATCAATCATGCAGTTCTTTATCTGTTTCCCTCACTGGACTATGATCTCCTTGAGGGCAGGCGCCTATCTTAATGACTATCATGTTGCCATTCACTAGCATAGTTCCTGGTACAATCCCTCATGATAAGATAATTGTATTTCTATAATTTGACTTTAAGACTACAAATCCAAAGGCCACCTCAGTACTCTGTTACTGAGTACTGAGATTATAATATGACCATTGTGCTGGAGAATCAGTTCCAACTGCAATCTGAAGCTCCCAGAAGGGTGGATATCTGCATCCTTAACTCACATCTCAAACTGTTCACTCAGCAAACAAAGCAAAAACAATATATCTTCTCTTCTTCCTACTTCACTACCTTTAGAGTTATGTAAAACACTTTAATTTGCACCAGAACACTGGGGAAAGAGAAAAAGGCAGCCAGGATAATATAACAGTATCTTTATTAAGCCCTTGTGCAGTTTTAAAACGTCAGTAACTTGAATTGAGAACATGGTAGAGGCAACTTACAAATCATATTTGAAAGCAAACTGAATTTTCTCAGAACTGCCAGAAATTTCTATTCAGTGCAGAGTACACAGTGAAATTTTTCCCAGAGTATGTCTTGTCAAATAATTATTTAAATGTTGGATTAATCACTGTTGAATTGGTTTGTTTTCTACAGGGCCATCAGAGATTTCAATGCACTGTCAATCTACAAGAAGGGTATATGATATGCAGTTGTTTCACAAACACTGTAACAAATGATTTTGAAGAGGACATCTTAGGATACTCTGAGTTACTCCAACTTGGACATTTCACAGGTAGGAGAACTATTGAATGGTTCTGCAAGGTAAAGACACTTATTCAAGAATATTTCAATAACTGTACTTAGTACAAAGCCAGGACTGAATTTAGGTAGTCTGGTTCCCAGTCCAGAAGAGTGTACCTGTTTTCTGTATGCCATATTGCAGGCCCCTACTTGCCAATGAGAGAGTTTCTGCAATAGCAACATCATCCCTTCTGTTTCATGAAGTCCTACTGGTTGGATTAATAAATAATGGCATTTTCAGGGCAGTGGGTTGCACCCACTAAGATATTTTTGATTTCTAGTACAAAATGACTTTCCTAGAAATATAATTTCCCAGAAGAAGGGTACACAAGAAATGTGTGGCTTAAAATTCACCTTTTAGTCATTGTATAAAAGTTGAAGGATAACTGCTCAGTTATTACACGGGAGCAGCTGGTGGAAAAACCACAGGCCCAGTGATGATGATAGATACTGGACATAGAGGAATGAGATCCATTTTCCTAATAGGTCAGCAACTTTATGTTCTATCTGTGGGTGCCTGTCCTGAAGCCTGTGCTCCCACTGAATTCCCGAATTCTGCCCATCTAATCCCAATCACATTTTCACACTGGACCGACTAAGTCTTTTCCAGCAATTTCATTCCTTTTCCCCTGCCCTCTGCATTCCTTTGTGATCTCATTTGGTCTAAATATCATGTGATGGAATTGGAAGAGCCAAGTAGGCTAGACTTAAATTCTGGCTCTGCCTACACTTGACCACCTAGAAAACCTCATAGAGTTCCTGTAAAGATTTAAATACACCTACCACACATTTATATATAGTATTTAACATAGTGTCTAGCACAAAAGTGTTAAAGAAATAATTCTCTTTCTCTCTAATTGTTGTTTATATAGTAGACCAATTTGCCCAATTAGATAAAAGCTAAGGGCAGAGGGCATGGTGTGTGTGTGTGTGT
This sequence comes from Homo sapiens, assembly GCF_000001405.40. NCBI lineage: Eukaryota > Metazoa > Chordata > Mammalia > Primates > Hominidae > Homo > Homo sapiens. Next base: position 83,566,729 of record NC_000011.10, read on the forward strand.
GTGTGTGTGTGTGTGTGTGTGTGTGTATCCTCACAATGCTAGAAACATTCTTTCATTCAAAAACAATCTGTTAAATGCCTCACAGTAGCAGAACATCTCACAGTAGGTGTTTGCAATTTATTTTATGATAAAGCTTATATGAGAGTAAATAAAATACTGTATGCAAATTTCTGAAAACAGTGCCTAAACAACTAGTAAGTGCTATTATGATCACTAGAAAGTACACAAATTTATTTTAGTGCTGTGATAATACTTGGGATGAGCTATTTATCCCATCTTGACTCCGTCTCATGGGGTAATGATTTTTGCACAGGAACGGTTAATCCAGTTGAAAATCATCACCTCCTAGAAATGGAAACAGAGACATAAACAGGAAGGAGCCATCTAATTCTTAAGTTTCGGGTGACTCGTTGAAAGCCTGGAGTAATCAGGGATGACAAAGCTCAGCATTCTCAACCTCAGAAGGGTGGCACAAGAATGAGTCATATCTAAGCAGATCCCAAGCTATAATATTTTCTTGACTTAGCCAAGTCATGTTTTCTTTGCAAAGGCTTCATGGACTTAAAACTAAACTGTTTATAAAAGCCCCTTTTTAGTCTATGTTTAAGGCTACTGTTTTACAGAAATAGCAATAGAATAAAAAAGTTGGAGAAAGAATTGGAAGATTGGGAACCTGGTTTTGCCTCTACCATGTACTCATGGGAAGATGTTGGCCTTTCTCTATCTTCGTTTTCCCAACTATAAAATGTTATTTTATCCAAAGAACATTAAGTATTTTATATGTGCTAAGTATTTACTGTTTTAGGTGGTGGGGTGCTGGACATAAAAAAGGTAAGTAAGGCAGAGTCTAGTAGGAAAGAAAATTAATTTGATAATTGTAATTCAGCAACTAGTGCTAAAGGCGTAGATTGCAACAGAGGACTTAATCCCAAGAAGAAAGAGTTCAGGGGAAACCTCCTTCAGGACCTGGAGCACAGTCTGTCTGGGTAGGCTGTCATAAGTATAGTGAAGATGGCAGCTGCATGCAGAGTGAGTTGCATTACAAGGTATAGAGACCTGAGACCACCTTGACAAATGTAGAAACTGCAAGGAATTCAGTCCAGCTAGATATGGCTAGATAAGGATCATACAAAGCAATAGATTTGAGAATGTCAAAAACTGAAGAATTGAAGAGAAGCAGTAAAAGCTAGATTAGAGAGTATTTTGTGTATCCTGCTACAGGAAATGAGGGACTCTTTCTCTCCATATGCATATATATGTAAATAAGGCGTATGATCTTATATATGTAAATAAGGTGTCTGTAAGGACACAGACAGGTAAGCATTTTCAAGGATCATTCTGACTGCAGTATGATTGGCTTGGCAGGTGGCAGAGAACAAAAGCAAGAAAAACTATTAGGATGCTGTTGCAAGAGGACGCAAGTAATGATGAGTGTCCGAGCTAAGGTAGTAGCCATGGGGATGAGTATTTGAGAGCTTTTAAGGAGGCAGAGTCAACAGAGTTAAGTGAATTATTGAATGAGGATAGGAAGAGAAAGGGAAGTATCAGGGATGATGTTGAGGATTTGGGCTAAGGTAATGGATGGAAAGTGTTGTCATCCCTCCAGACAAAGTGATATAGAAACTTGGCTGGGAGAAATTTGCAAAGGGTGAGCATGAGGTACCTAGGGGCATACAAATTAAGAAGTCCAGTAACAGTGGGATGGATATCAGGAGCTCAGGAGAGAGATTTGGGCTGCAACTACCAAATTAGGTCGAAATTAAAGCTAATGGAAATCATTCAGTGAACTGAGATTGCCCTTAGAGATTAAAGTAAGGAAAAAAGCTGAAGGTAAAACCCAAGAGAATAACAACATTTTAGAGGAAGAGGGAAGAGTCATCCAAAGAACTATGGATGAGAGTGGGCAGACACATGAAGACAACCAGAGGAAAATGTCACAGAATGCAGGGGAGGAGGAAGATTCATAATGTGATAATGGTCAGTGGTGACAGATGATACAGGAGTCCAAGAAGCTTGAAAAATGTCCAATAGATAATTCTATCTCTCATCCCCTCCCAGGTTGTCATGAGTTCAGAAAAGATCATGGAAGGAAAAGGCTTTGTAAAATCGCATTCACATCTGTGATTCATTATTATTTCTTGTCTGTTGACCTATCCACAGTGCTGCGCTATCAGAGGACTTAAGATGTTTAAGCCGAAGCCCTACTTCCATAATCATTTACTTTCCTGTTTCTTCGATTTATTAATGAGAAATCAAATCAGAAAGAGTTAAATTACTTATCACTGTCTCAAAGGAATAATGTTGGTTTTCACAACATCCCAGTTTCAGGTATACCATCAGAGTCATTCAGAGATCTGAAGTACAGATTTTTCCTTCTTTGGGTGGTAGTATTCCTGAAATATCATTAATAAATTCATTTAAAAAATCTGTTTTAAGTACAGAAAAGTAGGTTGCTATTGAAAGCTTTATGCTGTTTTTTTTAATTCTGAATTTGATTCGTTTAACAATGAAATACATCTAAATTCTTAAGACAGTCTCTGAAGGCCATTATAAATCACAGTGCTATTTCTTTCTGACAATTATGTCAGTAAGCTCATGTCAGGAGGCATATGACAGGCAGAATGGCACAGAAAAATGGAAACAGTACAGATCAAGTATCAGAATAAAAATCTTAATAATAGCAGCCATCTTATTGAATTTTTTGCTATATGTCAAGTCCTTTACATATATTATATCCTTTTTTCTCTTCAACATTTTAATCCTCATTTTACAGATGAGGAAATTGCAGATCAGAGTGGTGAAGAGACTTTAGGTTATACAAAAGCCTCTGGCTAAGAAGCTGATCTGGGATGCAAACCCAGGACTGTTATGTAATGATTGTTCCAGGATATGATGCCAATGTAGGAGGCAGAGAGAGTCAAACCCAGGGATAGTTTCTCTTATCCTTGTAAGTCAGGCAGTGAAGAGGAGAGAAAGGGGATTTTGAGTTAATAGAGGACATGTCACACAACAAAGATGAAAACACTGCCTAGACAGGGGGCTGGTTAACAAAGCAGGGTATTAGGAAGATCTCTGCCATGGCAGGGGCCATGTGGAGAGACTCAGCAAGCCAGTCAGAAAAATTCATCCCATCTGAAAAATTCTTCAAGCTGCAGCAGAACTGGGACATCCGTTTAAACAGGACAGCTCCATGGGACTAGCTTCATGAGGACATGTTGAATGAGAGTCAGACTTTCCATCACACTCCCCCATGAAAAGAGAGAATGAGCTAAGCTTATCTGCCTTGTCTGTAAAAAAGAAGTTAAACCTATGGCTGGTCACTTCATGCACTTAGCAGTGTCTGGGACATGGTATCTACTTCATATCCAGTTGTTACTATTATTCTAAATATCTATCACTATCAAGCACACTAGTTATGGGTCCCATCAGTCTAGCACCTTAAACATGTACCCCCTCAAACTCATATGCCGATTACAAGAGTCTACTGGGGGGCATCAAAACTCTGCAACCAAAGTTCACAGGTAAAACTCTGAGACCTGTGATGTGTATTAACGTACAGAATATTATTAACGTACAGAATAGAGATGAAAATTCTTCTTAGTTCCCAGGATCCATGTGATGAATTTAAAGAAATAATGTAAGCACCCTGTAAACTGCAAATGACTATCCAAATGTGAAGGAATATCATTACTATTACTACTATTACTGGTTATGGCTATTTTTAGAATACTCAGGAAAACACATATTCTCATCAAAACACTTTTCTTAATAGTTTAGATCAATTTCCTTTATCATTTTATTCTGAAGCACTTCAGAATAAAAGTAAAGGAAGGTAAATAAAAGTAAAATTAAAGTAAGGAAAAAAGCTGAATGTAAAACCCAAGAGAATAACAACATTTTAGATGAAGAGGGAAGAGTCATCCAAAGAACTATGGATGAGAGTGGGCAGATACATGAAGACAACCAGAGGAAAATGTCACAGAATGCAGGGGAGGAGGAAGATTCATAATGTGATAATGGTCAGTGGTGACAGATGATACAGGAGTCCAAGAAGCTTGAAAAGAATAAAATCTGAAGAACTTCAGGTAAATAGTAAAGGAGGAAAAGGGTATAGGGATCTATGCTCAGGTTAAATGACAGATGAGTTACTATAGTTATTTATTTATTTATTGAAATGGAGTTTTGCTCTTGTTGCCCAGGCTGGAGTGCAGTGGCCCAATCTCAGCTCACTACAACTTCCAACTCCTGGGTTCAAGCAATTCTTCTGTCTCAGCCTCCCAAGTAGCCGGGATTACAGGCATGCACCACCACGCCCGGCTAATTTTGTATTTTTAGTAGAGACAGGGTTTCACCATGTTGGTCAGGGTGGTCTTGAACTCCTGACTTCAGGTGATCCACCCACCTTGGCCTCCCAAAGTGCTGGGCTTATAGGCGTGAGCCACCAAACCTGGCTATTTACTATATTTAAATAAATATGGGTTTTTTTCTTTTTGAAATACATTTGTTTTGTTTATTCAAGTACTTTAACTCAAGCAATTTAACAAATGTTTATTAAATCAAGATACCATGCAAGAGGCCAAAGAATAATATATTAAGAACACTGGAAGTTAAAAATTAAAAAAAAAATCTGGCCTGAATTCTACCTCCTCCACTTATGAACTTTCAAATCTTTTTTTTCTAGCAAACGTTGTCCATCGCTGTTAAGATGACCTTGAACACTTTACATGACTTTCTGAGCCTCTTTTTCCTCATTAAAAGAGAGATTGCATCACCCACTCTGCTTACTCACAAGGAATTTGTAAGGATTAAATTAAATAATGACTATGCAAATAAAAGTACTGTTATTCGAGCGAGACTCCGTCTCAAAAAAAAAAAAAAAAAAGTACTGTTATTCAGCAGAAGAGAGGCATGTGCATTAATAAGCACGATGATAGTTTGTTATATATAGTGAGAAATATTACTGATGAGCGGACTGAAACTGTTCATTGCATATTCTCTCTGTAGGAAATTCTAAATGGAAAGCTGATTATAGTCAGAAAGATGCCAGAGATTGGTATGGGATCAAAGGTGAATTTTAATGGCTAATGTCAACATCATTGTCTGATGTGTTGATCTTAATATATTCATATTTCATGTTTATCTTTTATTGATATCAAGCACTCATTTAAAAAATCATATTTCTAAAGTATATATAATAATATGGAGAAATGATCACAATATAATGCTAAGTAAAAGAAGACAGAACTCTCTGTATGGTGTGATTCTAATTTTGTTTTACATATTATATATAAAGATACAAAGCATATATACTAAAAGAATAATGTTTCCTTTGCAGTGGTGGAATTATGAGTGGGTTATCTTTGGCTTTATATTTTTCTGTATCCTCCTAATTTTATATAGTAAACATTTTTTAATGTTAAAAATATTTAAAATAAAGAATCTTAGAACCTTCACTCCAACTTACTATAATTCATTATTTTATATTTTTGTTTTATATTTGAAAAGCATACACCCTTTGGGCTTGAAGTCATCTATTACAGACAAGTATTAAGGACTTTGTGGGGTATGGCAAATAGAAACGGGAATGTGAGAAGATACAGGTGGGAAGATTAGGAGTATGAGTCAGTGATAAGAGACATAATCTGACCAGCTGTGTAACTCTTAAATTTTGAGAAAAGGAAGGTTGGAAATTGACAGAAAATCACAAAGCTAGAAAACAAGACCAAATATCTTACCTTTCGAGGTCAGTGATAAAACCTAGGAGCTTCTAAGAAAAAAGTAAGATGATACAGACAGGTAGCAGACCTATCTCCCCCTATTCAAGGCAATTGAATACTCAGTACAGAATCCCAGAAAGCTACATGCGCAGTGAGGATTTAAGGCCATCCAAAATCAGAAGGTCTATGGAAAACTCTAGTCTCACACTCAACCACTGAAGGAATGCCTTTTACCATGCATAATGGCCAGCTATGCAGCTTCTGCTGGAGCATCTGCTGAGGTGGAGAGGCAGCTCACTCCTTAGTGAGGCAACTCACTCTTTGTTGGATGGGTCTCTTGGTTATACAAGAGTCCTTTCTTACTCTGAATGAACTCCTTAATTCGTTACAGAGAATAAGTCCACTCCCTCTTCTGCCTGATAACCATCTAAATAATGATAGTGACACTAAGGACTTGAACCTGACTCTTCTAATTTCAAAAGACTACCCCTGCCCCATCACTTTACAGCATCATTAAGGCTTTCTGGTTAATTGGAATTATTCTGCCAGATTAAATGTTTCATGTGCCATTTAGTTTTTTAGTAGCTTTTTATGATTTGAAAACAATATGCTTTTTTACTCCTTTTTTCCCCAACTAATTGATATGTTGGTCTAACCTAATTAATAAATCTTTTGGTTTATTTACTTTAGGAGTAAAAAATATGCCCGATTCACATGATTAGAATCAATTTATGACTAAATAAATTATGAAGTTATGTAACATGTGATTTATCCTATTAAAATGATTACGAAAGAGCAATTCCAAATGGTGATTATAGTCTCCAACTGAAGTCAGATTTCGGTCTTAGTCATCTCTATGTCATCAGTTAGGCAAACAAATGCCTAAATTATCACTAATATAAGAGATGTGGCTATAAGTGTCTTAGTACTGAGTTCATTTGCAGAGTAATATAATTACATATTTGGCATAAATACAATTCAGAGACTGTTCAGAACTCTCTTCTTTCTCATATCAAAGTCTATTTACTACTAAAATGATTCTGATGAATAATGCAACCTTATTCTTTTATAGAACAGACTAACAATACACTGCCCGTCCCAGAAAAACACAAAAATCATTACCTTCATTTCTAGGAATATAAACTTTGGAAGCCTAAGGAAAATCTAACCTAATAAAGGTAACATTTTATTGAGAAGAGTAGATAATTGTCAAAAATTGGGCATTTTATTATTTATTTTCATTTTAGCATCACCTTTTGCTAAAATGTAGGAAACTTTTATTTATACTAAGCAAACTGAGCCCTGGTATTATGTATCACTGGGTGCATTTGAATGAACAACAGATAAGTTTGTCCCCCAATACAGGATAACTACATGTGGTTCAGTCCTGGAGAAGCACAATTTACAACAGTGCTTCGAGGCAGTATAACACATTGGAAAGAGCAAGCTTTTGATATGGATAGATTTGGATTGAATTCTAGCTTTCTTCTGTATTGAGTTGGTGAACTTTTGAGTCTCATGTTTTTCACATGTAAAATAGTTAAAACCTTCTCATGTGGTTGTTGTAATGATTAAATGGGGTAATATATAAAAGCATTTTTCAGAGCCTGGCACATAATAAGCATGTTAGACATGTTAATTTTCTTATTCTAAACTCTGTAATTAATCCTAGAGAAGCCCTCCCCTCACCACATTCTTTTGCAGGCACAAAGTTATGAAACTGGAGTTGGAGAAAGGTGGAGGGTCCCTTGAAGCCAAAAGTGAAGCTCAAATGACAGTGTCTGTCTTTTGCAGAAATAGCTGTTATATCAGCATGTACTGATTTTAAAGATGATGTAGACATACTTCAATCAATTTAAATTTCCTTTATGGTTAATACAGGGGAGTATAAAAGATATATATGTAGGGACTAAACTTATCCCAAGTATATTTGATAAATAAAACTACAAAAATACAAATATTGCATATAAGACAGTATTTTTTAAGGTTGGAAATAAATGTATAAGGATATACAATATAGTCATTTTCTGATTTAAAAAGCCTTTTAAAATTTTTATGTGCTGTGATCTGATCATTTCTCAAGTCACCTTTGTAAGTGCCTGTTTTCTGACGGCCTCTATACATTGTCATTCTGACCTGAACAAGCAGAACAATTAAAGTATTATAGGTTCACTGTATCCTGAGCTGAACCAAACTCTTGTGATTCCAAAGCTGCAGGATGAGCTGCTACCTCTGCCATAACTAGAAGATGAGTAATCAAGAACCTCCCATCAGAACTGTTGTTTCCAAGAATGTACTTTTTAGCTAAGCTACAGGGATCAGGAGGTTGTCTAAAACGATTGGATCCAGGGACATGATACAGTTCCTATGTCAGCACAGCTAAAAAGAAGATGCCCTAGGCACAACCACTTGGCACTTGTGAAATTATTGACTAAAGAATGGAGATTCTGATAGCACAGCTCAGAAAAACCCAACACATCTTACAACCACTGTGTATGCCAGAAAAAAGTAGCAGATGAAAAGGAAGTACAATTTCTAACTCATTTCCATATTCTAAGACTTGCCTAAGTAAGTTTGATTAGCTGAATCTAAATTATATCTGATAACCTAGAGACATGGCATCTGCAAGGGTATATGAGATAGGTAGTGAGCAGCTTTCATCTTTAAAGATGTAAGAAGGAACTTCAATTTCTATGCAAGATGGAATGAGAGAAATCAGCTTTAACCTCCTGCTTCAAACAACCAAAAGTAAATAAAATCAGACAAACTATAGGGAATAATGATTTCCCAGACACCAGACATCAGACAATGAAGGACAAGAATCTTTAGTAGATGGGAAACAAATGAGGTAACTGCCCCAGCTTTCTGCCTTGACAGAGTCTCGAGGCCATCAAGCAGGGACAAAGAACCCAGGAGAAGCCTGGCAGACTCTCTTAGTTGAAGACATGGAACTGAGAATCTGAAGAGATCAACATGGCTAGAGTTTGCAGAAAAGAGTATCAGAAGAGAGCTGCACAGAAAGAAAATTCTGGAAATATGCTGAGAACCACTCTTGAGTATTTAGCAGAGTACTGATTGGCATCTGTGTGCATGAAGAAACTACAAGAGGCCAGAGAAAGAACCATTTTGAAGGATGAGTAGGATCAATACTTGGCATTTGTAAAGGGCTGAGATCAGTGCTGGTTCTCACCAGCTAAACTAGAAAACTTCACAATTCATGGGGCATTAAGTAGTATGCTCAGAAAAATCTTGCTTCAGTAGTAAAACATAATTACCCCTAAATGCTGCCCTCCCATCTAAAAAAATTTAAAAGCAAAACTTGAAGAGATCAGCAAAACTTGAAAAGATCAGTTCCATGATACATTTCAATATTTACAGAAATGCAAAAATATCTGGCCCCAATAAAGTAAAATTCACCATGTCTGGCATTTAGTCAAATATTACCAGGCATAAAAAGAAGTAGAACAATATGACTGACAATGGGAGAAAAAAATAACCAATCAAAACGAACCCATAACTGACACAAATGTTAGAAGTGGCAGAAAAGAACATTAAAACAATTTTATAATTGTATTGCAGATGGTCAACAAGTTAAATAGGGACATGAAACATATAAAAAAAATCCAAATTAAACTTGTAGGCATAAAAACTACAATGTTGAAAATGAAAAATATGCTGAATAGAATTAAAGGCAAATTAAACAATGCCTAAAATATTAATGAACATAAAATACATAGCAATGGAAACTAACCAAGTTAGTTACTAACCAACTAACCAAACTAACCGTGAAAAAATAATTCTAAAGAATGACAAGAGTATCAACCAACTGTGAGACACCCTCAAGTAGACTAATAGACCTCTAATTGGAGTTTCCAAAGTGTAGGAAGAGTGAGAAGGAAAGGAAAAATATTTGAAGGAATCATGACCAATAATTTTCCAAATTTTATTGAAAACTATGAATATTTTAATCCAAGAAGCTTAATACCACAGAAGCACAAGAAACATAAAGAGAAACACACCAAGATACATCATAATCAAACAGCTTAGTAGCACTAATAAAAAGAAAAAATTTATTTATGCCAGGAAAAAGAAACATGCTTCATGCAAAGAGAATAAGGAAGACAAGGATGACAAGAGGCTTCTCATCAGAAACAACATGGGTAAGAAAACAGTGAAGGCAACATCTTTAAAGTTACCTGCACTGTAAGGGTCAACTTAAAATTCTATATCCAGATAAAATATCTTTCAAAAATAAAGGCAAAATAAAGACTTTTTTCAAACATAAAATGCTGAAAGAATTCCTTAGTAGCAGATGTGCACTTAAAGAAGTAGTGAAGGAAGTACTCCAGGCAGAAGTGAAATGACACCTAATGGAAGTCTGGATATATATAAAGGAAGTACCCTGGGAATGGTAACTATGTGGATGAATACCTAAGCCTTTTCCTTGTTATTTAAACTTCTTTAAAACAATTGTCCACTGTGATGGTTAATACTGAGTGTCAACTTGATTGGATTGAAGGATACAAAGTATTGATACTGGGTATGTCTTTGAAGGTGCTGCCAAAGGAGATTAACATTTGAGTCAGTGGGCTGGGGAAGGCAGATCCACCCTTAATCTGGTAGGCACAATCTAATCAGCTGCCAGCGAATATAAAGCAGGCAGAAAAACGTGAAAAGGACAGACTGGCCTAGCCTCCCAGCCTACATCTTTCTCCCATGCTGGATGCTTCCTGCCCTCGAACATCGGACTCCAAGTTCTTCAGTTTTGGGACTTGGACTGGCTCTCCTTGCTCCTCAGCTTGCAGACACCCTATTGTGGGACCTTGTGATAGTCTAAGTTAATACTTAATAAACAATAGAATATATATATATCTTATTAGTTCTAATAGGAGATATATATATCTTATTAGTTCTAATAGGAGATATATGTATCTTATTAGTTCTAATAGGAGATATATATCTTATTAGTTCTAATAGGATAGATATATAATAGTTTATATAGGAACTAATAGGATATATATATATAAAATAGGATATATTATATATATATATAATAGGATATATTATATATATATGTATTAGTCAGGGTTCCCTAGAGGGACAGAATTAATAGAATATATATATATATATATATATATATATCCTATTTATAATAGGATATATATTATAACATATATATGTTATTTATAATAGGATATATTTATAATATATAATATTATAAATATATCCTATTTATATCCTATAATAAATAGGATATTATAAATATATAATTATTAAATTATCCTATAAATAGGATATTATAAATATATAATTATTAAATTAAAAATATTAAATATATTATATTTTATATATTTATATTTTATATATAAATACAAAATATTAAATATATATTATATAATTATAAATATATAATTATATTATAAATATATATAATATAAATATATAAATGGAAGTTTATATATGTATAATTATATATATTTATAATATATAATATATATTTAATATTTTGTATTTATATTATATATAAATATATAAATAAATATATATAATACATCTACTTAACCCAAAATACTAACAATGTGTCATGGGGTTTATTTTGTGTGTGTGTGTGTATACATATATATATGTATACACACACACACACACTGTATCATATAAAATATGTGACAATACCACAAAAACCAGAAGAAAGAAAACTATACTTTGTAAGGTTCTAATGCGGTACATGAAGTATTATAATATTGATAGTAATGCTAGAATGGGATAAGTTAAACATGTACACTACAAACCCTAAAGCAACCACTAATATAACAACAACATCTGGAGAGTTATAGCTAATAAATCAACAAATGAGATAAAATGGAGTTATAACAATTATCCAGTAAACCTCCAAACAGACATGCAAAGAGAAAAAAAGAGAATAGAGAACAGTACCAAGATGATTAGACTTAAACCTAATGACACCAACAATCATGTCAACTGTAAAAAGTTCAAGGCACTTCAATTAAAAGGCAGCAACTGTTTGTTAGACCGGATAAAAAAGAAAGATCCAACTATATAGTGTTTATAAGAAATACACTTTAAATTCAAAGGTACAACTAGGTTAAAATTAAAGAGATGGAAAAAATATATACCATATTGACACTAGTCAAAAGAAAGTTGGAATGACTGCATTAATATATAAAAAAAGCAGATTTCAGAGCAAAGAATATTATGAGCAATGATGAAGCCCCAAATTTATCCAGAGGATATAAAAAGCCTAAATCTTTATTCATGTAATAACAGCTTCAAAATACATGAAACAAAAATGTGAACATTAGCAACTTGACTTAATTAGCATTTATAGACTACCCATCAACAATATATTCTTTTCAAGTGCGTATGAAACATTTACCAACAAAGATTATTATATTTCTGGGTCATAAAACAAGTCTTAAGGATTCAAGTCATACAAAGAATGTTCTCAGACCACACAGACAGTGAGTGATAGAATTGAGCATTCAAGACCTGCCTAGTATAGAATATTTGCTTCCCCACTGTGTTTTCCTCCTTGTTGCTTTACATGTGTTTGGATTTTTCTCTGATATATGTGGCTCTGGGCTTCTTTCCTTGCCTCAACAATAACAGCTCCCTGGTAGGGAAGAGGCTTCCACTAACCTCTTCCACAAAACTCCAGGAATAAACACTTTCTTCACAATCAGTCAACTGAAGCAATGTGTTGTGGTAAGCAAAATTCTTAATGTAAGATATTTGGACTTTGAGAGAGTAAATATCTAGGCAAATAAAATGTTGCATTTATTCTACACATTAATTTCAAGTATGAAAATAACTCCACTCCAGAAGCTGATGCAATTATATCATATTATGCTCTATTTTCTCAGCTGTTCTTATTTGCTATTTGATGTTTAAAAAACTACCTCTTTCTCACGTGGTCCATGCCTTAGACTACGTAGCTATGGCAATTTTGTTTCTGGCCAAACCAGCATAATGGATATCGCCACATTCCTGTGACTGTATCTAGATTTTGACCAAAAACTAAAGACAAAATTAATGCAAATTATGTGCAGATTTTATAGACGTTTATTTTACTTGTGGTATTATGCCTTAAAGCTCTTTAATAAGCATGTCTAAAGTGAAAGTAGACATTTTAAGATTGAAAAAAACTGGCCATTTTACAAGAAACAATAAAATGCTTAAAAAAATGAATTTGAAAAAAAATAAATAAAATAAATAAGTAAATTTGGGCCAGGTGTGGTGGCTCACACCTGTAATCCCAGCACTTTGGGAGGCTGAGGCAGGCGGATCATGAGGTCAGGAGATCGAGACCATCCTGGCTAACAAGGTGAAACCCCGTCTCCACTAAAAATACAAAAAATGAGCCAGGCATGGTGGCATGTGCCTATGGTCCCAGCTACTCGGGAGGCTGAGGCAGGAGAATGGCTTGAACCTGGGAGGTGGAGGGTGCAGTGAGCCGAGATCTCGCCACTGCACTCCAGCCTGGGTGACAGAGCGAGACTCTATCTCAAAATAAATAAATAAATAAATAAATAATAAATAATAAATTTGGTCAGTATGTGACACTGAGGGAGAAACAGCTACAACTTATACACTTTTAAAGTCACAATATATAGAACTTCCAATGTTTGTTGTTAATTTTAATGGTATCATTCCTACAAATTTCATTTGTATCATCATACAACTTTATTCATTGATCTTTTTTGTGCCATTACTAATAGAAATATTTGCAACATCATTGTACTCATGTACAGTGTAAATGGAATTGGACTCTTCCCATTTTTCCTCTACTTTGGTTCCTTCCTTATTAAAATATATGCCCATGGTTAAAATTTAAAAGACAGTTACCATAAAAATCATAATTTGCAATCCCTAAAACCATAGATGCCACAACTTTTAGGAAAAAAAAAAACATTTATTGAGCACTACTCTCTGCTAGGCACTAGGGCTAACAAAGATAGATATGGGTTCTGCCCACGTGAAATTAGGGGCTAGTTCAATAAAGTTCTGCCATGATGTCTATAAGTTTCCTTTTCTCTCCTACCAAGGAAAGATATACTGGAATGCAAGCAATTGAAAGGGCTGTCCATAAAAGAGTTATTTTAAATCTGACCCAATTTATAAAGAAAGTAATTTGCAAAACTTACTTACTTCATTAATAGTAACACATTACATTGGGTGATATATTTGTCTACTTAGTACCACTACCCACTCCTATCTCCAACTTTCAACATAAAAATTCTCACAGGAATTGCTGTGTTCTTACATAAACCTGCACCCTGGTTTCTGTGGGAGAGCACTTAATACAGGCCAGGAGAAGCAAAAACTGGCCCTCCCTCCCTCCCCTGCCCCGCCAGGCTTCCTCCCTTCCCCCCTCCCCCATTCTCCCCTTCCCCTTACTTCCTCCACCCTTCTCTCCCCTCCTCTCCCCTCCCTTCCCCTCCCCTCCCCTCCCCTTTCCCTCCCTCATTCCTCCCTTCCTTTCTCCATTCCTCCCTACATTCTTCTCTCTCATCCTTCTTTCATTTTGGCAATCTTTCTCTTGTAGCAGAAAGTTCAACATGTACTAATTAGGCACTCTGAGAGACAAGTTTGCGAATTCATGAACAAACTTGTCCACAGTTACAGATCTCAAACCTCCAAATGAAGAGGGTGAGTTCGAAGGCTGAGAGAGTCTTGATGGCACTCCTATGCCCAATATGTGTTGGTGACACACAACTCTAATCCTGCCCTTCTGTCCATTCCATGGAGACATATTACTCCCATTTTGCTTAAGCTTGTCATTTTCTTTTTAAAATCACCTGGAATAAAATTATTGACATAAACCAGTGTATTGAGACAGTCCAGTTGGGAACTGCTGCCTTAAAAATAATTATTCTTCTCTGGAAAGTCTCAGATTCAAGAAACAGAACACAGAATTACACTGTTAATCAAAGAGCTTAGTAATAATTCTATAAGCAAGATGCTCTGTTTTATGTTAAAGAATTACCCTAAAATACATGTCAAGAGGAAATAACATTATTTCAGCTCAAAAAAAAATACATTCTTGCAAGAAGACATAAGAGCTGTCATACACTTGAATTATGGTGTTCATTTATCAAATAATTTTGACTTGGTTTACCACAGGTGAAAATAGATATGATTCTACAGAGGAACTTTTTGTTTTTCCCCAGCAAGACTTGTCCCAAATTTAAATAAAAATTAAAAAGATCCTATGTGGAAGTTTTGAAACGATATAACATTGAATCTGGAGTGTGCCTCAATGTAAAGAGTAAGAGTGCATTAATCAGAGCTAAAGGAGATTTGAGGAAATACCTACTGTTTCTTTTCAAACATTCCATTTTATTGGTCCTAGCATGGAACCACATAAAAATCCTAAGAGAACAGTAAGTGAAACTGAGTTTAGGGAGAATTACATACTAGGTTCCCATATTTCCTTCTACTTTTCATTTTGATGTTCTTGAATTTAGAATTCTGAGTTTGGACTCTTTTTTTTTTTTTTTTTTTTTTTTTGAGATGGAGTTTCACTCTGGTTGCGCAGGCTGGAGTGCAATGGCTCAATCTCAGCTCACTGCAACCTCCGCCTCACAGATTCAAGCGATTCTCCTGCCTCAGCCTCCCAAGTAGCTGGGATTACAGGCAAGCGCCATCACACCCGGCTAATTTTGTATTTTTAGTAGAGGCGGGGTTTCTCCATGTTGGCCAGGCTGGTCTCAAACTCCCGACCTCAGATGATCTGCCCACCTTGGCCTCCCAAAGTGCTGGGATTATAGGCATGAGCCACCTCCCCGGCTGACTTTGGAATCTTTGCCATGGTGACCACAGGAATTACTGCCCCTGGTAATAGTGCTTTGGTTCCAAGACTGTCCAGGCCAAAGTTACTGGAATATTACAGTCAGACTCTAGACTTTTCCAATTCAAGGATGGGGATCCAATAACCAAAAAGACACTTTTCACCTCAGGTCTGTGTACATTTACTGAATGCTGATCATGTCCCAGGCATAGTGCTTGATGCTGGGGATGCAATTATGAATTAAGACATTCTCAGTATCCTCACAAGAAAAGGAGGAATGCCCACAGCTCATCAGCAAAATCATAAACTGGTTCATACTTAGCACTAGTCATTCCTGCATAGGCCATCCCCATTCCCCAGCAATATTATTAATGGATTGGTTGTATTTGTGGGATATATAAGTCTGCTATAGGCCTTAGTAGATAAGATTCTGATTTTCAAACAAAATGTATTAATAATGATAGTTCTTCAAGGGAAGATTAGATAAGTAGTAACAGGAAGCATACAAATATCTTTCAGCGACAAGCATTCTACTATATGTTTTACTTATACTGTATAGTTACAGAGAAATAATGTATAGAAAACATCTAGCTTAGAGATTGGCACAGAGATGCATTATTATCATTGTTGCTAAAAAGTATAACAACCCAGCAGGAGAGATAGGTATTATTTCCATTTAATAGAGGAAGAAATGAAGATTCAAAGCGGCAAAGTGACTTATCTAAATCTCACAGATAAAATGTATAAGAGCAGGGTACCAGCCTGAGGGTGTCTGGCTCTAAAGCTCTTGCTCTTTTCACCCCAATGCTATTGGATCAGTGCAGAAGCTAATTTGCATAATCTCTCACTTGAGAGTTTCATTTTAGTAAAAGTGCACTAGTTAAATAAGAAGAAATACTTAATTCTGTTCAACTACCATTTGTTCAGCCTTTATTTGGCAAAAGACAAAAAATATTCTTTGAATGCTAAATATTCAAAGGGGAAAGTCAGAAATTTCCTCTGTAATCTTTAATCATGTCAGACAGAGCAGGTCTCCTCCAGAGAAGGCTGCCCTCTTTGCACTGCCCCTCACACATGCTCATGAACATATTACCGAAAGCCTGCAAGCCCGGGCATTGCCCTTCACTGTACTTTTGGTTGAGTCCATTATTAGGGGCAGTGTGGCATGGTGGCTAAGAACACCAACTATGAATCTGAGAAATGGATTCTAGACCCACCTCTTCCTTTTATTCTCTGGGGCCTGGTATTAATTCTTCAACTGACTCTCAGCTTCTTTATCCATAATATGGAAGATTTGGAGTGGTTTATCTCTAAGGTAACTTGCAGTTGCAAAATGTCAGGGCTTCCTTTTTGGGTTAAAAGTGGTCTTAAATGAGTCAACTGATACAGTTTTACCATAGGGATTTCAAAGACAAGCCTCAGTTCTTCTTCTGGACGATAAGTTTCTTGAGAACAAGAACCTTTAACTATTCTCTCACATCACCTTGCAAAATACCTATTATTTAATTGTTGTTCAATTGATATGTTTCATTAATAAAGTAATGAATGAACACTTTATATACTGAAAGAAAATAGGTAAGATTCAAAATGCAAAATTCAACAGAAATATGTTTGTAGTGTATCAGATGTTTTGACACATCTATTTCTTAATCTAGCCCAAGAATGACAGAATTTTGGCTGACTGGTCAGGCTCCATTGAATCATGAAAAAGAAATCTGTATTTTTTTTCTATAATTAACTCAGTGTCAGAAAGTGTATCCAATGAAAGGCCAGGCTTAGTCTTCTGATTCACATTAATTTTGTGGAACACTTGTAAAGGACAACATCAAGATACTTATATGTGCTTCTGAGAAACAAAACACAAAGCAAACCAGGTCTCTGTTTCCTATTATAGACTTTTGTACTGAGTCACTTGTCTGAGTATTAGAGTCACAATGAGTCACTAAGGGTCTATGGTGGAAGACACTATCTTACTCATTTATTCCTAGCATCTAACACAGTGCTAAGCATGTAGTAGTGTTTAAAACATTCGTCTTGTCAATACACTTACGAAAATATGTTCGGTAATGTTTGTTATGATGTAAAGGAGTTGATAGCCCAGTTCCATATAACAATACGGCTAGCATAAGTGAGGGATTACTCTAAATGTCATGAACTCAATCAGAATACGCTTCACCAAAAATGAATAACTTAAGGTCTATGTGCCAAGTCTGAGAATGAAGTTACTGAAGTTGGGTCAATAATCAGGTCATGTACTGGAATATTAGTTGGTTGAAGAAGAACCATCAAACTGGAATAATGTTCTCAGTGAAATGAGGATTGTGTGATGAATAATAGAGTGTCATATAAAATAGTTTTAGATCCTGGCTGTAAATGGAAGCAAAAATTAGAGATAATAGAAATGAAACTCTAAAGATAGAGGATTTTTGAGCAATACGCTGAGCCATTGCCATTCCACAGAATGTGTTCTGTCCTGGGCCAGCAGCTGATGGAGAAGGGTGAGAATGGAGAAGGGGACAAGGTGAGAATGGAGGCATAAAGCAGATTGTAGTGTCAAAATCAGTAATTTAGGCAAACCCTAAGTTAAAAATCATTCATTCCTTTACTCAGTCAACTGTAGGTGCTGGGCACAGAACTGGGCATTGTAAAATATGAAATGTGCATAAGACATGATTCCTGCCTTCAAGTAGTTTATAGTGAAATTACTCCTCTACTTTTTAGGACTGAAATAAAAAGGACATCATGTAACTGCTTCTGTGCTTTAAATTTTTCATCTGTAAAGTGACCTCCCTACCTCAGTAGAGTTTGAAGATAAAATGGTAGCATTATTGCAAATATTTGTAATGTTATTACAAAATAACATTTTGTAATCATAAAATATTACATGGAAATAATTAAGATTCTTCTACTATCACTGTGATAATAACAGTGGTAGTAAAGAATCAAGTAAGATCTTTAAATGATAATATAAATGTTGAAATAAGTTTTTAAAATAGTAGTGGTTAAGATCAGTTCCCCAACAGGATGGAGACATTGATCTGGGCATAACTAACAACCAGTAACCAAGGCCAGGGAATGTACCATACAATCACAACAACCCACAACCCTCTCTGCTACTTTTGGCCCGTTTATAAAGAGATAGCTTGTGTAGCTTCTCTATAGGTGCCCCTAGATACAGCCATACTTAAACTTTCTGAGATTTTCCCCCTACACACCTCAACTACTTATACTGGTGTCATCCTATGATGTAGTACAAAATAATAGCTTCTATTTATTATTGTTCATTTCATTTAATAATCATCTCTTGTGACGTAGGATTTGGGACTCAAGGATGAATAACTAAAACTTGGACTGAAACAAGAATTAACACATGAACAACATTTGGATATTTTTCTGATTGAAAACATTACTTGAATAGTATTTTTCTACTGAAGTTTGCAAATGAAAATGGTGACATTCTACCTTCTCAAAGAGAATTTCTAAGCATTTATTACTAGACATGTTTAAAAAATTCTGAAGCTTTGAGTATTCCTATCAGAGCACACTGGAGGAAACAGAAAAGTCAACATTCAAGGCTGAAAATACACGAGAACAAGGTATATCATTACCATGGTATAATTATGTGCCATGAGGATGGGGCTTGGGAAACCTGACAATGCCTGAAGAAAAAAGAGAAGAGATAGAAGAAATGAGAAAATGTCAAGAGACAAAGAGAGAAACTAGGGCAAATAAAAGCCAACCTTCTCCTAGTGAAACCAGAAAGGACTCTTCAAGAAATAAGATTTTGAGAGTGGGCATGACATTTAGCCAAAGGCAGTGTGCAAGTGCTGAGCATTAGGTAGAAGAACAGACAAAAACAGGTGCTTCAGGACAGCTAGAGAATCTGGATGGATGCAAGCCCTCAGCATCATTCAGGAGTGGGGCATGGGCATTGCCCAGGTCAGGAGCCAGAAAAAAGGGCTTTGCCAGCCTTTTGGCATTTGTGTGGAGTAAACTTAAGTGTCATTCTGTGCCCACTATGTTTACCAACATAGGGAGAATCTTTTTGTGTTCTATTAAAAACACAACAGTAAATATACTTCAACATTTCTGTTATAGCACAGACAGATGTGGGATAAATTCCTGGTTTTGCCACTTACCAGCTAGGTGACTGGGTCAATTATTTTGCTTCTCTGTGCCTCAGCTTTCACTTCTCTTATGAGAATAACCCACTTAATGAGGCTGTTGTGAGGTTGAATGAAATAACTGTGTCTATAAAATATCAGCGTATTAGGTTCTTTAAAACTATCATTTTCTTCCTGCTTTTTACCTATATCCCTGAGGTACAGGGTCAGAACTCAAAATTAATAGCCAGTATTTATTGAGTGCCACATACTGTTCTAAGTTTGTTACTTATAGTAACTACTTAATCTGCATAGCAGCTCTATAGGGTAGATACTATTTTATTAACATTTTTTGAGAGAGAATACAGAGGCACTGAGAAGTTAAAAACCAGCTTGCGTAAGTTTTCACAGCTAGGAAATCTCAGAGCCAGGACTCAGTTTTACAACATCAGGGAACCTAGCACCAAAGCTGGTGCTCTTAACTACTGCCTTGTAATGTTTTCTCTAACCCACAGCAGGTATTGTTATCATGAATTCACACCAGGGTTGTGAAAATCGAAGTTGGTAGCAGAGCAATGGCCACAGAAGCTATTTTCCTTGACACTAGTAAATGAGGCTTTCAAAGAAAAACAATCTGACTTTAAATCCTGACTCCTCTTCTTCTAGTTATGTGGCTATGAATAAGTTATACCTGTTCACAAAGGGTGTTGTGATGATTACATGAAATGATCTTTGTAAAGTGCCTAACACAGAGCAGCCATTCCAGAATGTAGTTCCTATTATTGTTATGCTTTGGATTAAAAAAGAAAACAACACATCTGCTGCTTATAGTTTTTTTTAAATTATCTTTTAATGTTTGGCTATAAGCAGCCATATCAGCTCCAGTTTCTCCCATCTAACATTGAATTTGCTACTTTTTTTTTTTTTAATTTGAGACAGGGTCTTGCTCTGTCACACAGGCTAGAGTACAATGGTGCAATCTCAGCTCAC
Source organism: Homo sapiens (assembly GCF_000001405.40). NCBI lineage: Eukaryota > Metazoa > Chordata > Mammalia > Primates > Hominidae > Homo > Homo sapiens. The sequence goes on from NC_000011.10 coordinate 83,587,347, forward strand.
TGCAACCTCACCTTCCATGCTCAAGTGATCCTCCCACCTCAGCCTCCCAAGTAGCTGGGACCACAGGTGCATACCACCATGCCCAGCTATTTTTTTATATTTTTAACAGAGATAAGATATTGCCATGTTGCCCAGGCAGATCTCGAACTCCTGAGCTCAAACAATCTGTTCTCCTTGGTCTACCAAAGTGCTGGGATTATAGGCAAATGTGCTACTTTTAGGAGATAGTGAATTAGAATTTATATATAGAGAGAGTTTCTCTCTATAATCACTCTATGTATCTATAGAATTTATATAGAGAGGAATAGGAACAGCTCCGGTCTACAGCTCCCAGCGTGAGCTACGCAGAAGACGGGTGATTTCTGCATTTCCATCTGAGGTACCGGGTTCATCTCACTAGGAAGTGCCAGACAGTGGGCGCAGGTCAGTGGGTGCGCGCACCGTGCGCGAGCCGAAGCAGGGCGAGGCATTGCCTCACTTGGGAAGTGCAAGGGGTCAGGGAGTTCCCTTTCTGAGTCAAGGAAAGGGGTGACGGACGGCACCTGGAAAATCAGGTCACTCCCACCTGAATACTGAGCTTTTCCCATGGGCTTAAAAAATGGCGCACCACGAGATTATATCCCGCACCTGGCTCAGAGGCTCCTAAGCCCACGGAGTCGCCTAGCACAGCAGTCTGAGATCAAACTGCAAGGCGGCAGCGAGGCTAGGGGAGGGGCGCCCGCCATTGCCCAGGCTTGATTAGGTAAACAAAGCAGCTGGGAAGCTCGAACTGGGTGGAGCCCACCACAGCTCAAGGAGGCCTGCCTGCCTCTGTAGGCTCCACCTCTGGGGGCAGGGCACAGACAAACAAAAAGACAGCAGTAACCTCTGCAGACTTAAATGTCCCTGTCTGACAGCTTTGAAGAGAGCAGTAGTTCTCCCAGCACGCAGCTGGAGATCTGAGAACGGGCAGACTGCCTCCTCAAGTGGGTCTCTGACCCCTGACCCCCGAGCAGCCTAACTGGGAGGCACCCCCCAGCAGGGGCACACTGACACCTCACACAGCAGGGTATTCCAACAGACCTGCAGCTGAGGGTCCTCTCTGTTAGAAGGAAAACTAACAAACAGAAAGGACATCCACACCAAAAACCCATCTGTACATCACCATCACCATCATCAAAGACCAAAAGTAGATAAAACCACAACGATGGGGAAAAAACAGAACAGAAAAACTGGAAACTCTAAAAAGCAGAGCGCCTCTCCTCCTCCAAAGGAACGCAGTTCCTCACCAGCAACGGAACAAAGCTGGATGGAGAATGACTTTGACGAGCTGAGAGAAGAAGGCTTCAGACGATCAAATTACTCTGAGCTACGGGAGGACATTCAAACCAAATGCAAAGAAGTTGAAAACTTTGAAAAAAATTTAGAAGAATGTATAACTAGAATAACCAATACAGAGAAGTGCTTAAAGGAGCTGATGGAGCTGAAAACCAAGGCTCGAGATCTACATGAAGAATGCAGAAGCGTCAGGAGCCGATGCGATCAACTGGAAGAAAGGGTATCAGTGATGGAAGATGAAATGAATGAAATGAAGTGAGAAGGGAAGTTTAGAGAAAAAAGAATAAAAAGAAATGAGCAAAGCCTCCAAGAAATATGGGACTATGTGAAAAGACCAAATCTACGTCTGACTGGTGTACCTGAAAGTGATGGGGAGAATGGAACCAAGTTGGAAAACACTCTGCAGGATATTATCCAGGAGAACTTCCCCAATCTAGCAAGGCAGGCCAACGTTCAGATTCAGGAAATACAGAGAATGCCACAAAGATACTCCTCGAGAAGAGCAACTCCAAGACACATAATTGTCAGATTCACCAAAGTTGAAAAAAAGGAAAAAATGTTAAGGGCAGCCAGAGAGAAAGGTCGGGTTACCCTCAAAGGGAAGCCCATCAGACTAACAGCAGATCTCTCGGCAGAAACCCTACAAGCCAGAAGAGAGTGGGGGCCAATATTCAACATTCTTAAAGAAAAGAATTTTCAACCCAGAATTTCATATCCAGCCAAACTAAGCTTCATAAGTGAAGGAGAAATAAAATACTTTACAGACAAGCAAATGCTGAGAGATTTTGTCACCAGCAGGCCTGCCCTAAAAGAGCTCCTGAAGGAAGCACTAAACATGGAAAGGAACAACCGGAACCAGCCACTGCAAAATCATGCCAAAATGTAAAGACCATCGAGACTAGGAAGAAACTGCATCAACTAACGAGCAAAATCACCAGCTAACATCATAATGACAGGATCAAATTCACACATAACAATATTAACTTTAAATGTAAATGGACTAAATGCTCCAATTAAAAGACACAGACTGGCAAATTGGATAAAGAGTCAAGACCCAGCAGTGTGCTGTATTCAGGAAACCCATCTCATGTGCAGAGACACACATAGGCTCAAAATAAAAGGATGGAGGAAGATCTACCAAGCAAATGGAAAACAAAAAAAGGCAGGGGTTGCAATCCTAGTCTCTGATAAAACAGACTTTAAACCAACAAAGATCAAAAGAGACAAAGAAGGCCATTACATAATAGTAAAGGGATCAATTCAACAAGAAGAGCTAACTATCCTAAATATATATGCACCCAATACAGGAGCACCCAGATTCATAAAGCAAGTCCTGAGTGACCTACAAAGAGACTTAGACTCCCACACATTAATAATGGGAGACTTTAACACCCCACTGTCAACATTAGACAGATCAACGAGACAGAAGTCAACAAGGATACCCAGCAATTGAACTCAGCTCTGCACCAAGCAGACCTAATAGACATCTACAGAACTCTCCACCCCAAATCAACAGAATATACATTTTTTTCAGCACCACACCACACCTATTCCAAAATTGACCACATAGTTGGAAGTAAAGCTCTCCTCAGCAAATGTAAAAGAACAGAAATTATAACAAACAGTCTCTCAGACCACACTGCAATCAAACTAGAACTCAGGATGAAGAATCTCACTCAAAACCGCTCAACTACATGGAAACTGAACAACCTGCTCCTGAATGACTACTGGATACATAACGAAATGAAGGCAGAAATAAAGATGTTCTTTGAAACCAATGAGAACAAAGACACAGCATACCAGAATCTCTGGGACACATTCAAAGCAGTGTGTAGAGGGAAATTTATAGCACTAAATGCCCACAAGAGAAAGCAGGAAAGATCCAAAATTGACACCCTAACATCACAATTAAAAGAACTAGAAAAGCAAGAGCAAACACATTCAAAAGCTAGCAGAAGGCAAGAAATAACTAAAATCAGAGCAGAACTGAAGGTAATAGAGACACCAAAAACCCTTCAAAAAATTAATGAATCCAGGAGCTGGTTTTTTGAAAGGATCAACAAAATTGATAGACCGCTAGCAAGACTAATAAAGAAAAAAAGAGACAAGAATCAAATAGACACAATAAAAAATGATAAAGGGGATATCACCACCGATCTCACAGAAATACAAACTACCATCAGAGAATACTACAAACACCTCTATGCAAATAAACTAGAAAATCTAGAAGAAATGGATAAATTCCTCGACACATACACTCTCCCAAGACTAAACCAGGAAGAAGTTGAATCTCTGAATAGACCAATAACAGGAGCTGAAATTGTGGCAATAATCAATAGTTTACCAACCCAAAAGAGTCCAGGACCAGATGGATTCACAGCCGAATTCTATCAGAGGTACAAGGAGGAGCTGGTACCATTCCTTCTGAAACTATTCCAATCAATAGAAAAAGAGGGAATCCTCCCTAACTCATTTTATGAGGCCAGCATCATCCTGATACCAAAGCCAGGCAGAGACACAACCAAAAAAGAGAATTTTAGACCAATATCCTTGATGAACATTGATGCAAAAATCCTCAATAAAATACTGGCAAAACGAATCCAGCAGCACATCAAAAAGCTTATCCACTATGATCAAGTGGGCTTCATCCCTGGGATGCAAGGCTGGTTCAATATACGCAAATCAATAAATGTAATCCAGCATATAAACAGAGCCAAAGACAAAAACCACATGATTATCTCAATAGATGCAGAAAAGGCCTTTGACAAAATTCAACAACCCTTCATGCTAAAAACTCTCAATAAATTAGGTATTGATGGGACGTATTTCAAAATAATAAGAGCTATCTATGACAAACCCACAGCCAATATCATACTGAATGGGCAAAAACTGGAAGCATTCCCTTTGAAAACTGGCACAAGACAGGGATGCCCTCTCTCACCACTCCTATTCAACATAGTGTTGGAAGTTCTGGCCAGGGCAATTAGGCAGGAGAAGGAAATAAAGGGTATTCAATTAGGAAAAGAGGAAGTCAAATTGTCCCTGTTTGCAGATGACATGATTGTATATCTAGAAAACTCCATTGTCTCAGCCCAAAACCTCCTTAAGCTGGTAAGCAACTTCAGCAAAGTCTCAGGATACAAAATCAATGTACAAAAATCACAAGCATTCTTATACACCAATAACAGACAAACAGAGAGCCAAATCATGAGTGAACTCCCATTCACAATTGCTTCAAAGAGAATAAAATACCTAGGAATCCAACTTACAAGGGATGTGAAGGACCTCTTCAAGGAGAACTACAAACCACTGCTCAATGAAATAAAAGAGGATACAAACAAATGGAAGAACATTCCATGCTCATGGGTAGGAAGAATCAATATCGTGAAAATGGCCATACTGCCCAAGGTAATTTACAGATTCAATGCCATCCCTATCAAGCTACCAATGACTTTCTTCACAGAATTGGAAAAAACTACTTTAAAGTTCATATGGAACCAAAAAAGAGCCCGCATCGCCAAGGCAATCCTAAGCCAAAAGAACAAAGCTGGAGGCATCACACTACCTGACTTCAAACTATACTACAAGGCTACAGTAATCAAAACAGCATGGTACTGGTACCAAAACAGAGATATAGATCAATGGAACAGAACAGAGCCCTGAGAAATAACACCGCATATCTACAACTATCTGATCTTTGACAAACCTGAGAAAAACAAGCAATGGGGAAAGGATTCCCTATTTAATAAATGGTGCTGGGAAAACTGGCTAGCCATATGTAGAAAGCTGAAACTGGATCCCTTCCTTACACCTTACACAAAAATCAATTCAAGATGGATTAAAGACTTAAACGTTAGACCTAAAACCATAAAAACCCTAGAAAAAAACCTAGGCATCACCATTCAGGACATAGGCATGGGCAAGGACTTCATGTCCAAAACACCAAAAGCAATGGCAACAAAAGACAAAATTGACAAATGGGATCTAATTAAACTAAAGAGCTTCTGCACAGCAAAAGAAACTACCATCAGAGTGAACAGGCAGCCTACAAAATGGGAGAAAATTTTCGCAACCTACTCATCTGACAAAGGGCTAATATCCAGAATCTACAATGAACTCAAACAAATTTACAAGAAAAAAACAAACAACCCCATCAAAAAGTGGGCCAAGGACATGAACAGACACTTCTCAAAAGAAGACATTTATGCAGCCAAAAAACACATGAAAAAATGCTCATCATCACTGGCCATCAGAGAAATGCAAATCAAAACCACAATGAGATACCACCTCACACCAGTTAGAATGGCAATCATTAAAAAGTCAGGAAACAACAGGTGCTGGAGAGGATGTGGAGAAATAGGAACACTTTTACACTGTTGGTGGGACTGTAAACTAGTTCAACCATTGTGGAAGTCAGTGTGGCGAGTCCTCAGGGATCTAGAACTAGAAATACCATTTGACCCAGCCATCCCATTACTGGGTATATACCCAAAGGACTATAAATCTTGCTGCTATAAAGACACATGCACACGTATGTTTATTGCGGCATTATTCACAATAGCAAAGACTTGGAACCAACCCAAATGTCCAACAATGATAGACTGGATTAAGAAAATGTGGCACATATACACCATGGAATACTATGCAGCCATAAAAAATGATTAGTTCATGTCCTTTGTAGGGACATGGATGAAATTGGAAATCATCATTCTCAGTAAACTATCGCAAGAACAAAAAACCAAACACCGCATATTCTCACTCACAGGTGGGAATTGAACAATGAGATCACATGGACACAGGAAGGGGAATATCACACTCTGGGGACTGTGGTGGGGTTGGCGGAGGGGGGAGGGATAGCATTGGGAGATATACCTAATGCTAGATGACGAGTTAGTGGGTGCAGTGCACCAGCATGGCACATGTATACATATGTAACTAACCTGCACAATGTGCACATGTACCCTAAAACTTAAAGTATAATAAAAAAAAGAAATATATTAAAAAAAAAAGAAAAAAAAAGAATTTATATAGAGAGATCATTTCTCTCTATAAAAATCATGTGGAAATCCAGTCCTGGCAAGTATGAAGTTGATATTTGTAAAAACACGAACATAAAATTGCCTAGCTGATAAGGATAAAATTATAATATTCTCCAAGTCACAATATTCTCACTGCTTGAAAAAAAAAGATAAAATAGTGCTGTCATTTGACAGATTAAACAGCATGCAATAATTCCTTTTCTCCATATAGCATTGAATAAGTCCTTATTGAGACTACTTAAAAAATGGCTATATATATCGTAAACCAAAAGTAAACCTAGGTAAGTGTAATAGCAAATAAAAGGTTAAAATGGGAAGTAAAAAAATACAAGGCCCTTAGATTTGCTTAGCCTTGACAGAAATACTGGGAAAGAGACAATTATGGCTTGCCAAATACTGATCTGTTCCCTGTATTTCCTGGACCCTTTAGGCAGGGCCCTGTGGCATGTTTCAGTCAATGGTCTATGAGCAAGTGTGTCAGGATGCAACCCTTTCTCTTCTGCCTTGGCTATCAAGGAACTGATTTCTAATGGTGCAGCTCTAAGATTGTGGCCCCTCCATCATTGTGAGTACTGAGTGACTGTGTGGAGCAGAGCCCTTCCTCAAGCCCTGATTGGTATGTACTGTGGATGAGAAATAAACTTTTATGTGTGAAGCTAATTTAAGGATTGTTGCATTTAAGAAATATGTTGCATCATTGCCTGTCTTAGCTTTGTTAATACAGTCTTGAGTAATTTTATACAGCACTGTATAATTTACACAGACATTTCAGATGCATGATCTTGTTTAAACTGACAACATGCTTAAAGAACATTCATTTGGTCCAAAAAGCATAAAATTAGAGGCTGTATTGTCGTACATTGAAGCAATCAAGGTTTATATTAAATACAGGGAAAACTATCTAAGAATAGAGGTTGTTGAAGAGAAGCCATGTATAAAGGATACTTAGAAGAGGATTTATAAATTGGATGGGAAGGAAGGGTAGGACTAGAAGAGGTGGCTTTGGGTTGCTTCTAATTCTTGAGCTGCCATGGGAATTGTGAAATGTCCATTCCCAGGAGAGTTGCAATACTTGGTCTTGGAAGGTTTGTATGGAATTTCTCAGCAAAAGCAAGTGGGCTCCCACTCGTCCCTACTTTAAAGATGGTCCAGATTTTAGGAAGAAATAGAATAGGCTTAGGCTCCATACAGCTGAGCTGAGTTTGAACTAAAAGGTAGATCTTCCACTTTCTGTACCACAGCAATTAATGAAATTCCTAATGGCTTTATGTCATGGTGGTAATGAGTTTCTCAGCTTTTCACATTATACAGATATTTAGACATATTCTTTTATCAATGCATATGGTATAAAAGCTCATTCTGACTACAGAAGTTATTTAAATTATCTCAGAGCAAAAAATCTTTACAAGCAATAAATCTATTTATGGGAAAAAAAAACCACTTCTTTCTAGGCCCTTTGTTTCTCAAATGTAAATAAAATGTGAGGTGAGTTTTCTCCCAGCTCTTGGGTATTAAATAAAGCATTGCTGCACTGGGGTTTCAACTATTAATGAAGGCATTAAGTGCTTTTATGCTAGATAATGTATTAAGTCTTTTCTCTTACAATTCTCAAAATCCAGCTGTGTAAGGACTATTATCATTTGCATTTTGCAGTTGAGGAAACTGAGGACAAACTGTTGATAACTTACTGTGTTCCAGGCATTAAATGAGATAAACAGGGCATCCTCCTCATTTTTCTTACCATTAAGAATCCATCTAAGGAACCAAATTAATGGCAGGCTTTAATGGCTAAAACATTCATTGTAATTAATGTTACTGCACAAGTGGCTCTGTGACCACAATTAAACTGAACAATTCAGGCTGATTTGCTGTAGGACTTCTCCACAACCAAATTACTTTGTACGGAACTAAAAATGCTGTTACTGATGCGGTCTCAGGCTGATCCTCAGCAAACTGAATTACTCCTATTTTTTTCAGTCTTTGATTCTCCAGCCTTTTGGAGACACCATCTAACCGAAATGCAAGTTCATTTTAACATGTAAAGTATCACATTGCAAACAATTTATAGAAGAACGTAATGAACAAAAAGAATGGATGACAAGAGTTTCAAAAACAAACAAAAGTCTGCCATTATCAATTTACTGGCCCTTAATCTCATAACTATGCCCTTGATTAGGTAGAGATGATGTCGTAATAGGTGCATTATAAGACAATATATCAAAATGTTACCCAGATGCAAATAAATTTGCAGATATTAAGGCAAGAAACTTATACAACCCTTAAAATGCATTTATTCCTTTGTTTTGCATATTGGCAAGAACATGATCTGAACATAAAAGTCTCACAGCACAGTGGACCTTATTTTAACCCTAAAATTAGCTCAAACAATATAACTGAATCAAATAAAATATGCACAAAAACAACAAGATTTAAGATTAAGATTTAACTATGACTATGACTGTCATCACATCAAATCATCAAAGTTGGCTTCAATGATCTGATGTAAGGGGAGGATGTCCATTCTTCCCTCCCTTAAAGTTGACATAATAAAAAATAATTTTCCTCCCATAACACTGGCTTCTTCTCCTGTGTTTCCTTTCCTAGTTAATGACATAGCCGTGTATCCAACCACCCAAGCCAGAAACCTCAGGCTCATCATTGACTTCTCCCTTTCCTTCAAATCTAACATTGCTATCACTATTGAATATAATTTAGAATGTTGCCTTGCTCCTCTTCATTTATTCCCATTGCCTGTGCTTTAATCCAGGTCCTTCTTTATCCTTGCCTATGTTATTATAATAATCCCCAACTGGTTTACCAACCTCTGGTCTCAGCCGCCTATGATCCATCCTTCCCATCGCCATTGGGATAATTTCTAAATCACCAATATGTCTACATCACTCCTCTGCTCAAAATCCTTACTATTTAGAGTCCCAAGTTACTTTACATGATATTCAAGATTCCATTCACCTGAACCTAATCTATCTTAAAAAAATTCAGTCTGCAGTTTCCACGTTTTAATCCCATTATGTTCATTGTTCCCAAACATAACATTTACCTGTTCATCTCCACACTTTTGTACATGCTCCTCCTGCTTATCATTTTTTCTTTTTCTGTTTTTTTTCTGGTTATTCTTCCTAATCTATTTCAAATGTTTCTTCTTATGAAAATACATTCTGAGAATCGACCTAATCTAAAATTAATTGTTCTCCTCTCTCAGTTCTCATAGCTTTTAGTTCCTACCTTAGATTCCTCACTGTCATCAGATTTTTACCGGAGCTCATTATGAATATACTTGTTTTCTTCACTGAGACAGTGAAGCAATTCTGTGATGATCAAAGGAGATCTGAGTTTAGGGAGTCAGAATAACTGGGGTTAGTTCCAGTTCAGTCATTGCCAAGGCTCAACAGTTGTATCTATAAAATAGGGATGGATAGATACCTACTTCAAAAGATAAAATAAAGATTAAATTAGGTAACATCAGTGACAGCATGATCAACATGTCTCATGAGCGGGATCAAGAGACATCAAAATTAAGTAGCAGGATCATGAGCTATCTGAGAGTGGGATATATCTCTAATTCAACTCTGTGCCTCCACTGTACCCACACATGGTATGTGCTCAAAGAATATTTGGTGAAGAAAATAAAAAGAATGAGATAAAATTTTCTACTTTTTAATCTAGGAAACATAGAGTAAAACTTGGTCAGACACAGTGGCTCATGCCTGTAATCCCAGTACTTTGGGAGGCCGAGGTGGCAGGATCTCTTTAGCCCAAAAGTTTGAGACCAGGGCAATATGGCAAAACCCCGTCTCTACCAAAATTAAATAAATAAATAAACAAAATTATCCAGTCATGGTAGTGTGTGCCTATAGTCGCCCCAGCTACTCAGGAGGCTGAGGCAAAACCCCATCTCTACCCCAAAAAAAAAAAATTAGCCAGACATGGTGGTGTGTTCCTTAGTCCTAGCTACTCAGGAGGCTGAGGTGGGAGGATCACTTGAGCCTTGGAGGCGGAGGCTGCAGTGAGCTGAGGCTGCACCACTGCACTCCCACCTGGAAGACAGAGTGAGCTCCCTGTCTCAAAACAAACAAACAAACAAACAAACAAACAAACACAAAAACCAAAACTGGCTTATAGAATAAAAATAAACTCTACAATTGTAAGAATATTTGACCTTTCAAAATACTGACATTCTTATGCCTATCTTTACAACATCTTAAGAAGGCCAATATTATCATCTTCCTTTTGCATCTGAAGAGACTGAGGCATAGGACAATTAAGTGGCTTGTTTAGGATCCCAAAGTCAGGCAAGAGAGAGTCATGGTCTGATGCTCCCTATTTTAGTCTACAGGACTAGGTTGCCTGGTTGATTTGCTATTTGCTCCGGGGTGGGAATTAATTTACATCTCAAAATCATTTCAGAGGATATGTGTTTTGCATGGGCAAGATGGCACAGGTTTAATTCTGCATTTCCGAGAAGGGAAAAAAAATGAGATCAACTGTTACTGGAATACTTTTCTCAGCTCCACGCATGTTCTGTCTGTCCTCTTTGGCTGTTCTTTCAGAGAAGTTATCATCGTCTACTCATTCCCAGCAAAACGTTTCAGAAACTCCTGAGCACCATCTTAAAGTGAAAGATGGGACAACAAACCCCAAGCACATATTTCAGTTTTACAATATTTAATAGCTTCTCATTTCAGTCAGAATATGGCTGCTTATTGGAAAAGTTTAGGCTAATGACAGTGTAGTAGAAAGAGTCTGGATTTTTAAGTCAAAATGGTTCTAATACTGCTGGCCGTGTGATCTTCAAACATTGATTTCCTCTGTCCCAGCTTTAGGGTTGCTCATCTGCATTTGGATTCAAGAGTACTTTCCCAGCAGGTTATTTTGAGGCTAAATGAGGTAATATACTGATAGAGACCCTTTAATACTAGCTACTTAATAAACTTTAGATCTTCATATACACTAAAGCTCATTATTAGGATCTTTGGGAGTCATATATTAAATGTAAATGAATTATTCAGGCAGAACTTTCTCTAAAATAGATGTTACGCTTCACTGCTTTAGCAAACAGAGTATACTGAACATAATTTAAATTCTTCTGAAGTCTCATGACTATCATTCAACATGTCATTTTTGGTACTGTGTATCATGCAGTAGTATCTTCAAGGCTACTGAGGTGTATAAAGCTGTCTGCCCCTGCCCTAAATCTGCCACACATTTAAATCCTGCGGCCTTACCTCCAGCTGGCTTTCATCTGCCCCATATTCTCCAGTCCCATTGCTTAGGCCTAGTTTAGGGCCTCACAATTTCTAGCTTGGATTGCTGCAGCAGCCAAACAGGTTCCCCTATTTCCTATTCCTATTCTCAGCATCCCCAAGTCCTTCCTTGGCACTTAGCAAGAGTAGTTTTTCCAAAACCACATCTGAGTACTTGACATGCTTGCTTAATAAACAAAACAATTCTTTCAATGGCTCTCTATGAACTACAGCCTTAAGTCCAAATTCAGCATGGAAGGTATGTAAATACCTCTGTGAGCTCACCTTATCACCTCTCGGACTTCCCCTTCCCTCATGCCTAACCCCTCCAGAGGAGAGTAGGCTTCTGTCATGCTGAACCAGGTCTTGCATGATAGATTCCTGAGGGCCTTAGGCTATTTCACACCTCCTTGCTTTTGCTTATCCAGCTTCCTCTGATTGGAAAACTGTTACGTCTGATTGGACAACTATCTATCGCCTCCCTCCCTATCATTGGTTTTCTAATAAACACTTACCAATCCTTCAAAAGATCCAAAAAGCATCTTAGGTTTTAGGAAACCCATCTTGCCCTTCCTTTGTCAATTCCCTGACTAGGAGTGACCACTTACCCCTTTCTTTGTGACACCATGGGGCACTGAATAGCTCTTCATAACAGCGTAATACTGTGGAATTACCTGTGTAACTCCCACCGCCACTAGACATTGTGTTTTTTGAGGACAAGATCCTGTGTCATTTATCAAGCCCCAACCACAGGGCAGGCACTCTATAATCACTGGTTAGTATCTTTTTGAGTCCTACTAGTTCTCTCTTTCTCTCTTGCTCTCATTATCCTATCTGTAACCTACAGTGAGTTGAAAAGCAGTATTAGTAGTTTGGAAGAACTAAACTAATGTTAAATAGGTTTTGCATGAGGGGCTGTAGAGATATCTTTGAATTAAGTTCATGAGCTTGGAAAATCTATATTTCTAGGAACATTTATTTTGGCTACTGATTAGTTCTTAATAGTGTTTTGATCCTTGAGATTGTTAGATAAATTGCCTACAGATAAGCTGAGTGTAATCTGATGTGATTGACATTTATTGAAACCCTCCCTAATGTCCCAGGTTCTGGGCCAGAAACTGAGAACATAAAGGCATGGTCAACAAGGCATTTAAGAGGCTCATGTATACGTCTATGCCAGTTAAAATAAGCTCATGATAGAGAGATTATTCACACACACATCCTATTTTTTTCAAAGATGAGGAAAAGATGAGTTCACACAGCTAGCTATAGGGTGTGTGTGTGTGTGTGTGTGTGTGTGTGTGTATGACATTCAATTCCAGGTCTGTGTGAATCCAGCTGAGCTCTCCATTTTACTCTTTCCTGTTCCTATTGGAACCAGCCTGTGAAGACAAGAATGCAATGTTTCTCTTGAGAAATTTTATACATCTCCTTTTCTGCTATCACAACTTAAAGTCCATTCCTGAATATAAAAAATTGAATCACAAAATTTGGCAGCCTGTATTTAATGGGACTTTTAGAAAACTTGTTTGATGCTGTGGATTACTATCGTAGCTACATACAGTCAAGGCAGACAGGAAGAGAGAGAGGGTAGTGTCTGAGTGCCAAAAGTCATCCATGTTCTTAGTCTAGCAATAGCAAATACACGGCCCTCCTGTACAGAGAGATGTGCAGACTGGGGCCTCTGCCCTGGGGTGCATTACTGCCCACACACCAATCTCAGAAGCAATGACTATCTCTGAAAACTCCTACCTTTCCTAAAGCCTGAGCACATGTTCAGTCACCTCAGTGAAAGTGAAGGAGGGAGGAAGGGTATTAGTTTAGTCTTGTCAAACATGGGCTATAACAGAGGCTGCAAACAGACTTTGCCTCACATGCCAAAGCAGATGGTGTGATAGAGGCTGTTGAGAAAGCTTCTGAAGTTGTCTCTGGACTCAGTGGGAAGAATGCCGAGTGCAATGATAAACAATGTCTGTTCTGGTATTGAGGGAAGCATTGCCTATAGGTATTTACTATCCTTGGTAGAAGTTTCAGTTGTCATTTAGCATAAGCCAGGCTGTGCTATTACTTAGTGTAGAAGTTCTGAACTCAACTAAGAGCATGCAATGATAGAGTAAGATACAATCTATAATACCTGTCAAATCTGGCACATAGCAGATGCTCAATAAATGTTTACTGAAGAAATGAATGCAAAGTCCTATGGCTTTATGTTGGAAGAGAAATAGAGTTCTTCCCCTCATAATCAGGGGAAGTGGGGTACACTGAGATTACTTTGCCAAGGGTCCTCAATGCCATGCCGAAGAGTTGGGGGCATTATTCTATATGGGCTAGTAGTTTCCAAACTTAGTTTAATTCCCTAAGGTGTTCTGTATGTAGAATTCCTGTGATGTATGTAGCTACCCTGTGATGTTCTGACTTGGTAAGTTGGTAAGTGTGGGGATGGAGCCAACGATTCTCTTTTTGTTTGAACCACCTGTTAGCTTCTCAAACAACTTGTATAATCAGCCAAATATGAGAATTACAGCTGCAAAGTAATATGTGATGTTCTTTTTTTTTTTTTTTTTTTTTGACAAGGTCTCACTCTGTCGCCCAAGCTGGAGTGCAGTGGTGCGATCTCGGCTCAATGCAACCTCTGCCTCCCAGGCTTAAACCATTCTTCCACCTCGGCCTCCCATGTAGCTGGGACTACAGGCACATGCCAACATGCCAAGCTAATTTTTGTATATATTTCTTTCTTTTTTTTTTTGGTAGAGATAGGGTTTCAGCCTGGGCTGATCTCGAACTCCTGGGCTCAAGTGATCTGCCGGCCTCGGCCTCCCAAAGTGCTGGGGTTACAGGCGTGAGGCACAGGGCTCAGCCGTCAATGAAGTTCTTAAGGAGAAGAACAACTTGCTGTGATCACAGATCTTTGCTTCTGGTTCTCCAAGTTCTTAGTGTTTTCTGCTTATTGAGACCAGAACGAACCCTGCTTTGTAGAGACAGACCTACCAGACTGTGTCCTGGTGAATCAGACTCCAGCTCCCAAAGCACTTTGCCACAGACCCCTCTTCCTCAGGAAGAAGGATGAAGATTGAGCACTTTTGCAAAGCAACCAAGAGAGTAATGTGCTGCAGTGGGAATAAATCATGGACAGAGGAAATGAATGAACCACATGTTTCTGGATTTCAAATATCACTTCTGGAAATGAGCGAGTCTTTCTGCTTTCTGATTTCAATTAATTTTCTTACAAACTCTCCCTAGCATTTTTCATTGCAGTCAATTATTTAACTTGTTCCAGTATGAAAATTGGGTCCTTACAAAACACTTAATTGATTTGACCCGTGCTCTGACACAACACTTTGCAAAATGCATGTGCGTTCATACAGATTAGTCATCTGAGTCATTATTTTCCAGCAAATTACAGCACCATGCCGGCAGTGGATGGCACCTAATATTGTGAAAATATGAACTTCTTATTCTTGTGGAGAGTTACAACAAAGAAAGGGTGGTTGGAAGTCCAATAAGGACATCATTTGTCCTAAGACTTTGACTAGGAGTCTATTCATCTCTAACACTGCCTCCCTGCAGGAGAAAACGTTAAACCAAGAAAGAGATTGGGGCAGAATGGAGAGAATGGGGCCTGGGCCCGGCAGACTGAATCTGAATTTCAGAGCAGCTCCTTGGCCATGTTTCAGTCTTAGAACTGGACAAAATTTTTTTTTAGCTGTTTTGATTCACAGCACACCTCTGTGTAAATTTGGATACATTCTTACCTGCCTCATAGTGGTATAGTGAAGAACAGAAAAAATGAAGAGAGAACCTGAATATAGTAAGTGCTCAGGAAATGGTGACAAGGATGTGATATTGCTGACAAAATTAGTTTATCATTTTTTATTCCAATTTTACTTATTTATAATTCAGTCTCACCTATTTATAGAACAAACTGAGGCAATATGATCACATTTTAAAGAGCATTCTTATTATTTTCCTTCATGATTCTATTTTCTATATCCATACACTCAGTCTAGGCCTATGCTTTACCATCTTTTTTTGTTTTAGGGATAAAACCCAGTGACTGTGTGTGTGTGTGTATGTGTGTGCATGTGTGTGTATGTGTGTGTATGTGTGTTCGTGTGTGTGTGAATGAATGCATACAAGTGATGGTAGTGGGAGAGAGATAGATCGCATATTCAATAAATCATATAAAATCTCTGCACAATTTTTTAAAAATAAAATAGTATTATACACCGATCACCACGACAAAGAATATTAACAGTGACTTAGATTCCCTCAGGATGCCATTTTTTATATAATTTCCTTCCTAAGTACTCTTCTTCCATAAGTAACTCTCCTGAAATTAGGGTAAATCATCCTCTAACTATCTTTCTTTTTTTGGCCCATCCATGTTGATGTATATAACAGTTCTTCATTCATTCTCACAGTTATATTCATTGTATAAATATAACTCATACATCCATCTTACATTGTTATCTTTAGATTTTATTAACAGTATCAGTATATATATTGTTATACATGTCTTCTATCCCTGTATACAAATTTTCCCTAAGGTACATGCTTAAAGAAAGGAGTCGCTGAGTAATATTTTTAATTTTATTAAATAATGTTAAACTGTTTTCCAAAGTAGTTCTTCCAGTTGACACAGTGGATGAGAATTCTAACAGTTTCATATCCTCTCTAACACTTGAATCAACTGGACTTCATAATTTTTATCAGTTTAGTAAATGTGAGTGGTGCCTTATTGCAGTTTAACTTGTAATTCCTTGATTATCAATGATTTTAAGCATGTTTTCATATGTTAATAAGTAATTTGTGTTTTTTCCTCTTTGTTTTAAAAGTCCTTACCCATTTTCTATAGGGCTGTTTGAATCTTTCTGATTGCTTTATAGTTCTCCATGTATAGTATTCTAGAAGTGATTTTTTACCAGCTATGCAAGTTGCAAATATCTGTTCTCTTTTATTTTCAATTCATGTCACATTTCACCTCAGAAAAGTCAGATATAAGATCCCAAAGGTTTTTATTTCTCTAAACTGCTGGTATGAGTAGCTAAAAATATAGATAGATTTCAAAATAAATAATTCATTACTGTGGTTTAGCAGAAATATATTCATGAATATCTTTGCTCAAGCTTGCAGAAAGTGCTGAAAAGCTAATTAAACTAAACTAAACTAAACTAAATTAAAAACAAAAAGACAGCACTGTGATGATGAAGGCTTTCATGCCAAGACTCCAAATATACTAGAAAAATTTATCTTCAGCAGTTTACTATATTCACAATGACAATGCTTCAAACTGCTTCCTTTATTCATAAGAGATTCCACCTATTTCAAGTGTGTTTATCATCCAGCCAGCACAGGCAAATGTTACCAAGTTAAGATTGAATTTCAAGTGTGTTCTTGGAATAAAACTTCTGAGAATATATTTTTCTTTAATACAATTCTCTTGGAGTCATATTTTTGGTCAACTCATCTTTGGGTTTTTGAGGAACTGAATATCCTCACCTGCTTTTTTCTGAAACAAGTGTTTCTGGGAGCTGAAAAATACACTTTGTCAAATTTCAGGGTTTTTTAGGGTAGTGAAAGTACTCCATACGATACTATAATAATGGATACATGTCATTATACATTTGTCTAAAGCCATGTATTGTTCAATACCAAGAGAAAAACCTAATGTGAAACCATAGACTTTGGGTGATAATGATGTGTCAATGCAGGTTCATCAACCGTAACACATGTGCCACTCAGGTGTGGAATTTTGATAATGGGGGTGGCTACACATGTGTGGGGGCAGGGTATATGGAAATCTCTGTACCTTCCTCTCAATTTTGCTGTGAACCTAAAACTGCTTTAAAAAAAGAAAATCTATAAGACAAAAACTAATTTAAAATTTTGTTTTAAATTCAAAGGGTGTTAAATGAAATTTATGGGAGGCTATTGTTTGGACTAAGCTCCTGCACTAGGCCCAACAGGCCAGAGCAAATCAGAATAGAGTCATTAATGTTAGGTGCCATATAATCAAACTTTGAAATGGACCAGTTTTCAAAGACAGAGAGAGAGAGAGAGAGAGAGAGAGAGAGATTGATTGATTCACAGCAACCAATCAGAAGGGGCCCAGTTTAACAGAGCCAGAAGGATAAGGAAGTTTCCTCTGATTTAACCCTATGAGGAGGACAGCTTTAAAATGCCCAATTCAATTTTGTTTCCCATTTCTGCTTTCTTGAGCCATTTTCTGCCTATAAAGCCAATCTCCTCTCCTCAGCTCACTGGAGTGCCTTATCTAAGTCTTTGGATGAGATGCTGCCTGATTCATGAATGAAAGCCAATTCAATCTTTAAATCAAATTGGTTAAAATTTTGTGTTTTCTAACAGGGGAAATGAGCTTTTTACGACCCACTCGGCAATGGTATTTAATAACGTGGAGAAAAAAACAAAACACGTAAGCAAGCAAGCAAAGAAATAAACATAAATGTCCCAACTAATTTCTAAAGCAGTGGGACCAGGGAAATAACTCCAGAAGAGACAACAGTGGTAACAGCAACAACGATTGATTACTAAGTGCCACATAATATTCTGAAGAGCTTTACCAGAATAAGCTTAGTTAATCTTCATAAGAACCCTATGGGATAAGAACTGGTTTTATACTCACTTTAAATATGAAGTAACTGAGACTCGAAGAGTTTAAAAACTTATTCAAGGTCATGCAGCAAGTTAAAGGTGCAGCTGCTTCCTGCAGTTCTTACTTTCTATATTATCAGCTATGTTCTAAAGGACTGCAAAAGCCAGGTTTGTGAATGGAACACAGAACAATACATGCAAGAGTACTTGCAGTGTTCCACTATTGTCCACAAATGTGAGAACTTCATACTTCTTCCATTTCATGGCAGTCAGCAGTCAGCATTTTTCTGCTATCAAGCCATGAAAGGTAGCAATAAAAACATTAGTATCTCATAATGCATAGCATTTACCGCTCTAAACTGTCGCTGTGATTTACTTATCTGTGACTTGAGATACTAGGAGAAGGGAACATACATTTGTTGAGTGACTTCACTATACTAGTTGTTATGCTACTTTTTAGACTCATTCCACAGAGTCATCGGTGATTCTTTGGTGTTTAACTCCTTTTCAAGAAAGGGAGGAGCTGCTACTTAAAAACATAAATTATCTTTTCATACTTAAAAGATTTACACAAACTTGAGATCCACAGAGGATTTAAGCTCTTAGGAACCAGAGGTTAAAAGGTAGTCAGTATACACTACTATACATACTAGCATATATGCTAATATATGCTAACATTTATAGAATATATGTATATATACTATAGTTGTAGTCAGTAAAGAAATTTTAAAACACAACATAATGAACAAAAACAATTAGCTAATCTGTATCTATGTATCTAAATCCGTAGGCATTTATTGTTTTATTAAGAGTGAGGAAACCTTAGATGGGTGCAGCCAGAAGCTAAAAACAATCTTATCATAGTGAAAGATGCATCAGAGGTACTGAAAGCCTTTAACATCTCCACTAGTATTTCTCATCATCTTTGAAATCAGAAAAAACAATTTTGCTTCCCTTTAGGAACGTCAGCCCATACAGTTGTCAGGGTCTTCACGGAGTTGACCTCTGTTTAAAGGAATAGAGCTACTGCTACTTGAAAACATACGTTAGTGTTTGTTAAAAAAAAAAAAGGCCGGGCGCGGTAGCTCACGCCTGTAATCCCAGCACTTTGGGAGGCTGAGGCGGGCGGATCACGAGGTCAGGAGATCAAGACCATCCTGGCTAATACATTGAAACCCCGTCTCTACTAAAAACACAAAAAATTAACCGGGCATGGTGGCGGGCGCCTGTGGTCCCAGCTGCTCAGGAGGCTGAGGCAGGAGAATGGCATGAACCCGGGAGGCGGAGCTTGCAGTGAGCAGAGATCGCGCCACTGCACTCCAGCCTGGGCGACAGAGAGAGACTCCGTCTCAAAAAAAGAAAAAGAAAAAGAAAAAAAAATTCAGCTGAATTAAATTTAAAGGAGTTTAATTGAGCAATGAACGATTCGCAAATCGGGCAGCCTCCTGAGACACAGCGGGCTCAGAGACTCTAGCGCAGCCACATGGTGGCATAAGATTTACAGACAGGAAAAGGAAAGTGACATACAGAAAACAGAAGTGAGGTACAGTAACAGCTGGATTGGTTACAGTTGGTGTTTGCTTTATTTGAACACGGTTTGGATAGTTGGCTGCATTTGATTGGCCAAAACTCCATGATTGGCACAAGTGTAGGCTATGGTCTGTTTACACCTCCACTTGTTATAGTTCACGATGTACAGAGAAACCTTTAGGCCAAACTTAAAATATGTAAGGAGGCAGCTGTAGGCTAAACTTAATTTAACATGTTTAAATCTCATACTCTCAATTCACAGAAGAACCGTCTCAGTTAATGTATTCATGAAATATTGTCTATGGGCACTATGGTGGGGTCTGTTAGTTGTCTCCCAGTACCCACTGTCCCCGCTGTTCTCTTTTAGTAACAGGACTCCTCCCGTCCATCCACGACAGAGTCTTAGCAAGGCACATGGACACTTACTACATTTCCTACAACTACTATTAGCAAATGGTTTAGCAATTTATTTAAAGTATTTGATTATAACCCAACAATTTCACTCCTGGATATACCCAAAACAAATGAATGCATCTTTTAAAAAAGATTTCTTCAAGAAAGTCTGTAGCAACTCTATTCATAAGAGCCACAAACTGGAAATAATCCAAGTATCCTTCAACAGAAGAATGGATAAACAAATTGTATTATATTCATGTAATGGAATAATACATAAAGTAATAAAAAGCAGCAGACTACTCAAATACAAAACAATATGGATGGCTCTTATAAATATCATGTTGAGCCAAGGAAGCCAGACATGAAAGAACAAAGACTGCAAGTCTAAATTTACATGGAGTTTAAGAATAGGCCAGGGCTAATCTATGGTATAAAATTCAGAATAGTAGTTATTTCTCAGGGTAGGGGACAAGGTCTAGGATTGACTGAAATGGGGCATGAGGACGTCTTACGGGGTGTTAGAAAGTTCTGTATCTTGACCTGGGTGGTGACTACATATACATGCTTTTATTAAAATCCATTGATCCATGCATTTCAGTGTATATACAGATGCTCCTTGATTTTGGATGGATTGTGTCCAAATAAACCCACTGTAAGTTGAAAATATCAGTAAGTCAAAAATGCATTTAATACACCTAACGTACCAAACATCATAGCTTAGCCTAGCCTACATTAAATGTACTTAAATTAGCCTACAGTGGGCAAAATCATCTAACAATGAAGCTTGATTTATAGTATAGGTTGAGTATTCCTCATCTGAAATGCTTGGGGCCAGTAATGTTTTAGATTTCAATTTTTTTTTTTTTTAGATTTTGAAATATGTACTTTAAAAAATCTGAAATTCAAATTACTCCACAATGAGCATTTCCCTTTTCATGTTAGCACCCAAAAAGTTTTGGATTTTGGAACATTTCAGATTTTGGATTTTCAGATTTGGGATGCTCAACCTGTAAAATGTTGATTATCTCATGTAATTTGTTGAATACTGTACTGAAAGTGAAAAACAGAATGGTTTTATGAGTACTTAAACTACAATTTCTGGTAAACATGTATCATTTTTGCACTATTGAAAAGTTGAAAAATCCTATGTCAAGCCATCATAAATCAGGAGCAATCCATAATTATACTTCAGATAAATAAATCAGGACACACACACACACACGCACACACACAGAGAGAGAGAGAGAGAAAGAGAGAGAGAGATCCTTCAGATACTACAGCTGGTTCTAATATAAAAGCTAAAAGCAGAGTTGATTATGCTATTTGTTGGGGCAGCAGGCTAATGAATGAACTGCTTTATTTCATTTTTAGCTCTATCATTATAATTTAAAATCCAACAAACTATGGTGGATTTCTATTACACAGCCACCATTTTGAACCCTCTGCTGTCCAAGAACCTTTCTAGCCAACCAAATGATAGCAAGCCGTCAGCACATTCAAACAGAAGCCCCCCTTTAAAGTAAAATACTAGGCTGAATCATATGAAACCTTGATAGTTTCATATGGTTTAACCTAATATTTACATCAAATCATAGGATGAATTAAATCAGAGATGAAAGTGACCAAAAAGGAGATGGCAAGAAGAAGAGTACTTCCCTTGGTTCGACTTATTTCATTATGGGCACAAATGGCCTACAAATTGAAATAAACTTAGAAGATTTCCTAAGCCAGGCAATCTTTTAACCCTAGACATGCCCTTCTATACCAACATACAGGCTTCAGAGACCTGAGATAACCATTTCCAGCCTTGTAGCCAACCTGCCCCAGCAGGGCTTCATATGCTGTCATATTCTTGGTCCAACAGGTTTAGTGCTAATGAGAAATCTGGCTCTGTGCTCCTTTCTGGCTCCAAGCACAACTAGGGCAGATGGAGGAGCCCTGAGAGCTGGAAATGACAGAATTTTGAAATTTCCCATTAAGCTGGCTTGAGTTTTAGTTACAATGTACACAAAGTAGGAGAATCTGATTTTACGAGATTATCTAACAATTGATTTTAAACCCAAAAACGAAAATGTATTTCCCATTATTGACAACAACCTAGGAGTGTATAAGGGCATGTGTGGGATCTTTGCATGCATCCTCCCTTCTCCCCACTCTCATCCTTAATCTCTCTGCCAACCTTGGAGTTGAAATAACCTGAAATTTGAAATTCATGACATATAATCCCTTTCTATTTCCAAGCAAAAAAAACCCTGCTGGAAAAGTTTGCTCCTAAACTAGCCATGTTGGAGCCCTATCGTTTTCTACTGAATTTTTCTTATTAATTCAGAATTATGTCCTCATGTAAAATAGAATTTGCCTTTCTTGGGCAAAGGCAGCCACATAGATACAGGTTGGATATCACTCTCTCTGTAGGACATGTGGTCAAGTTTTAAATACTTGGTACTTGGATTTAAATGCTTGTCCTTTTGGGAAAGCTGAGAATTATTTTCATACTATGAAATTTTGACAGTGTAACCCCAGGGTCTCAACACTCCTCAAACATCACACTAGGTAAAAATATTGAAATGCTACTGGTAAGAATGTCCCCTTTTCATGTCCAGTGTTTATATTTACTACAAATACTAGGTCTCTAAGACCTGGGCTCCTGTACTATGCAGCGTCCCCAAGACCATGACTAAAACCGAGCGTGAGAGTCAGTGGATGTCGGACAGGAAGGGATCCCAGAGTTTACCTCTTCCTATCTATGTGGTTTACGTGAAAAACATCTAAAAGCCGGAAATGGAAGTAATTGGCACAAGGCTGCCCAGCTAACAAGAGGGGCACCACAACTCAAAGCTAGGTCCATGGTGCTGCACGAATCTGTATCAGTGTGGGAAAAAGGAATGTTTCGACTTGTGAGACATGATTGAAAACAGAGCAAAAGGGAAACAGTAAGCTAATTAAACATCTGTGGAACCCTGTGATTTGACGAGAAGTAAACAAAGCAAAGAGGGAAAAGAAGGGAACTTTAGGGACTGGCAGTATAGCAACCAACTATCGAACAGACAGGGTAACAGATCTGTGGTAACCATAATGGAGGTAATATTTATTAAGCACATTCAATCTGCCTAGAAGTGTGTCAAGCAATTTAATGCATCATCTCATTTAATCCTCACAACTATGCAATGAGGTAATAATAATAATAATAATAAATAATGACTACCATTTATTGAGCATCTTTTACATATAGACTGAACACTATGCTAAGCATATTATAAATAGTATCTGATTTTATTTATACAACATGATTATGAGGTTGGTACTCTTGTTATCCACAATAGAAAGAGGAGAAAACTGAGACTTAGAGAAAACAACATTTTCCAGATCACACAACCGGTAAACAGAAGAAACAAATTAAAACCCACATCATTTTATCAAAGAACCTAATCTTTTAAATGCATCATTTTATCAAAGAACCTCATCTTTTAAATGGATCACTATTCTGGCTCTCAAGTACAGGTTGCTTAAAAATTAACACAAAAACATTATTTATCAATACTCATGGTCTTTTATTTTCCACAAAAAAAATCAGATCTAAAATAAAAGTCAGTATTTTACAAAGAATAGTCTAATTGTCTAATCTATGTTGCAGGCTGGAGTGAATCACAGTTTTGGCACTGGATCTAGAACTGTTATTGTCTGTGGTGTTAAAAAAATTATGTGTATTAACATGGGAAAACAATTGCATAGCCCTTTTGAACGTAAAAGGAAATATGTTTAATGCATGTATATTGAGAAGGGGGGAAGGGGGAGAGAGAGAGAGACAGAGAGAGGCAATATGACAGAATTCAATTCACTGCTTCCAGGATTCTGTAGGAGGCCATGCTGTTCGATAATTTCAGAACTATAATTTTAAAATGAGTAATCTTGGTAACCAAATCCATTAGTGAAGCATGCTATAGAAAACAAACATCGTGTGATGACTGGCCCTAGACAAACTGACAAGCTTTGTTTTTTGCTTTTGAAACTCCAGGCATTATTTACATACACTCAGCTCTAACACAGGATCCTTTAATTAAGACTTTTACACTTATCTGTACATAAAAATGGAAATTATTTCAATAACAGCACATCTTTTTCTTTTGCTAAATTGCCAGTTAGAAAGGAAAATTATAGAAATTCACTGAATGGTACTGAATGATTACCTCTAAAGGTTAATTATGTCCCCTTAAATGGGACTCACTTAACTATTCTCTTCTTTGTCCGCTGAAGCAGTAAGGGACTGATACTGAACTGAAGGACGGGAACAGGGGACACTGAGGGCTTGTTGCCAGGTGGCAGCTGTCAAGGTGATTTAATAGCTATTCAAAGATCATTTCTTTCTGCTTTTCAGTTCTCCAGGAGCCAGTTTACCTTTAGCTGCTTTTGAAGGGGGGGCAACTGTTTGAGCGGGAGGGAAGCATGCATTTGAAGTAGCACACAGGTATAAACATGGGTGATAGAAGTCTTATATACTTGACCTTTACCACACACTTGGAGAAATGGTGCACATTAGGCCTAGACTAGAGGAAAGAGTTTAATTTTCCATTTGGATCCCCATGGAGTGCTTAGGATCATACTTTTTCCAAGGCAATTTATCACTAATTCTTCCATCCATTATCTGTCCCCACCCCCTCCTCAAGGGCAGGCACAGGGCTAGGTGCTTTACTTGCATATACAGGCACTAGAGCAGAGTAACAGAGTTAGATTTTGGCTTGACTATTGGCTTTGCCACCTAAGAGCTGTGTGATTTAGAACAGGCTTCTCAACTCTGAGCCATATTTTCCTAATTGTAAAAATAGGTCAATAATGTTTTATCTCTCACCGAATTGGTGTAGGGATTAAATAAGGTTAAATGAGAAAATGCCTAAAACATAGTCAGCATCTGATAAATAGTAGGCATATTAGGTACCATCATTTCCATTTCAGGTATGAGAAAACTGAGGCTTAAAAAGATAAGTGACTTGTGCAAGATCTTAATTCTAGTAATGAACAGAGATAAGATCTCACCCCAGGAGTATGAGAAACATACTCCTCACAGTAGCATGCCTCTCCTTTAATAAACTCACCATCTAGGGAGGAAAATAGTCCCTTAATCTTGGAATTTTCTACAACCATTATAACGGAAGTGCTATGAGAGTAGGTGCAGAGGTGAAAGCCTCTAGGAAGGCATGGTGCCTGAATGGAGTCTTGAAAAACCATTAAGAACCCCATAAACTGAATGGGAAGGAGGAAGAGACAGTATGCAGATTGAAGAAAGGGCCTGTGCAAAGGAAAGGAGAAATGAAGGAACAAAGTGCTTCCTGAGGCTCCATCCAGGGCTTTTAGGGGAAGCAGCAGAGGAGGGTGTAGAGGTAGGCAGAGTCCAAGTTAAAATAGTCTTCTTTACCTATTTGGTGATCAAGAGCAGTGGGTATGTTTTAAATAGATGGAGAAACTCAAGGGTTAAAATGGCTGGAAGCGAATGACACTTGAATCTTTTCCATTTTCACGTGGAAACAGAACATCCCTCCCACCAGGCAGGCTGGCCTAATGTTTCCATGCCAACCAATTGCAGAGGCCTGGGATAGGCTAAGCCTAAGTCAGGGGAGTGGCATGGGTAAACAAGAACACAGAGGGGAAAAGCTAGGGTTAGGGTCAAACTATGGAGGCAGGCAGCAAGGGGAGTGAGGAGCAGTGTACTATGGAGTCGGGAAGACTGGAGCAGTAAGAACCAGAACCAGAAATGAGGATTGGGTAAACCTAGTTGTACCTGAATTTACTGCAAGCCCAGTCATTGCTATATACACATGTGCACACACACATATGCGCACACTCAAACTATTAATATGTTCTTTGGCGCTCAGCTGCACTCTGAACATTTTCAAAGGGACCTCATGAAAATTAAGAATTTCTAATCAGTTCATTTCATCACTGGAAATCAAAATGTAAATGTGAGAACTCTGATTTTCAAGAAATCTTACCAACCTTTTCAATCTGTTTTACAAAGTTATTTATTTTTGAAACAGGGGGTTCTATTTTTGCTGAGTGTTAGCAAATTGTAGCATCAGATTCAAGGTTGGTTTCCAAATTCTGAGTCAACTAATGTTAAATGTGATTAAAATTGAAAGTCATTTTAGGAACTGGCCTTCTCATTAGCTAGCTGCAGGTTTGCACTAGACTTCCATGCAAGAAATCTGAGACTTTAAAGAAATGATTATTTTCAGCTTAAACATGAGCTGAGGAAGTAAAGGTAATTTTTTTAAAAAGAAAAGAAACCAAAAAAAGAAAGAAAAGATAAAATAGTGGTTCTCAGATTTGCTGCATACTGGGATCACTAGCAAAGCTTTAAAAACACTAATGCCTGGGGACCCACTCCCAGAGATTCTGATTTAGAGTAGGTCTGGGCTGGGGTGAGACATCAAGGTTTTGAAGAGCTCTACAGGTGCTTCTTACCTCGAGCTAAGGTTGAGATACAATGAGATAAAGCAGAGAGGCAGCTAGTAAACAAGGCGATTTTTGGCCCCTCCCTGGAAAGAAAGCCAGTGTGAACTTGATGAAGTAGGAAAGAGGCTGAGACCTGATTTACAATGGCAGTGGCTCCCTGCTCTTGATCAATGTGAGTTCCAAATTCAGTGTAGGGTGGGGAGGTGGAGTTGGAGGTTCTTTTATTATTGGTCCCTCCACTACACTGGGAGTACCCTAAAGCAAGGACTGAGTACTTTTATCCTTGTATTCCTTGGACATGTCTAACTGTCTGCAATATGGGATATCAACAGTTGTTTGTAAAACGAATGAATGAAAAAGTTTGAGGTCGAGTATGTGAAATGAATGTTACAGAGACTCAATTTTTACCAGATTTCTTTCTTAGCACATTCAAGAAGTCATGCGCATGGGCAACTGCAGCGTGCTTTAATAGAAAAAAATAATAAACAAGCTGGGAGCGATAGATCATGCCTATAATCTCGGCACTTTGGGAGGCGGAGGTGGGTGGATTGCTTGCACCCAGGAATTTGCAACCAGCCTGGGCAACATGGCCAAACTCCATCCCTACAAAAAATACAAAAATTAGCCAAGCCTGGTGGTGCATACCTGTAGTTGCAGCTAGTAGGGAGGCTGAGGTGGGAAGATCACCTGAGCCTGGGGAGGTTGAGGCTGCAGTGAGCCGTGATCACACCACTGCACTCCAGCCTGGGCAACAGAGCAAGACCCTGTCTCAACAACAACAACAAACCAACCAGATGCCGTCTTTAATTTCAGTGAACTTAACAAATATTTATGCAACTTTCTGTTTGGGTTCTGTGCTAGATCCTTAGAACCACAGACTGATACTTCCAGCAAAAGATTAAGTTCTAGAATCCTATCTAATTAGTCCAATATTTTAAGAAGTACTTGTTTTTCAATGGCATAGCACAGCTGATTTGCTTTGGGTGGCTTAAAAAGGGTAGCAAGTGGTATTCTGGATGGAGCTAGGGCAGATCATTCAGCATTTCTTTGTGTTTTCAACAGCGTTTCATGTAAGCAAATTTCTAAAAGCAGTGTTTCCCAAACTTCCTTTTACCTAAGCAGCACCTGGGGTTCTTGCTTATATCTTCATTTCTGAGGAATATTCATTACCAGGCAAGTTTAGGAAGCACCATTACAGAGGGTCTGCAAGTCTTCAGAATATCTTATTCTGCATCGAAGTCCTGACTGCAGCATTATTACAGGTGAAATGATGAAGGTGGAATTGGGAGAAGGGAAGGAAACAGGAAATGACAAATAACAGGGCTATGTTGTGACAGGCACTTTACAAGGCAATTGACATTACTGTTGGCTATAATACTTGCAACAACGCTTTATTAAAATGAATACTGTTATTCCTATTCTAGCAACATGACCCAAGGGTCATAATCGCTCTTGGCTTCCATCATCATGGGTTCATTTTGCCTGTTCTTGAATGTTATATAAATCATATTGTGGTGGGCAGAATAACACCCCCTCATCCCTAATCCCTGGAATCTGTAATATGTTCCCTTACATAACAAAAGAGACTTTGCAGATGTGATTAAGGTTAAGAAACTTGAAATGTGGAGATTATCCTGGATTATCCTTCGTGGATCCAATCTAATCACATCAATCCTTAAAAGCAGAGTATCTTTTGCAAGTGGGTCAGAGAGATACGCCATGAGAAGCACTCAACTTGCAATTGTTGATTCTGAAGATGGAAGAAGGGGGCCACGAGCCATGGAATGCAGCAGCCTCTAGAAGAGGATGGCCCTAGGCTGACAGGAGCAAGATAACAGGGACTTTGGTCTTACAACTGCGTGGAATTGAATTCAGCCAACAATTCAAATAAACTTCCAGAAAGAAACACAGCCTGCTGATACCTTGACTTTAATCTGGTGAGACCCATAGTGGACATCTGATATACAAAATTGTAAGATGATAATTACGTTTTTTTAAGCCATTAAATTTGTGGTGATTTGTTTCTACAGCAGCCTAGAAAACTAATATGCATATAGTAGTGTGTATGTGTGTGTGTGTGTCTGGCTTATTGTACTTAATATAATATTTGCAAGATTCCTATCTGCTATTATTGATTTTCATTGTTGTATATTATCCTTTTGTTCAAATATGCCATAATTTATTTACCTATTCTATTGTTGATGGACATTTGGTTATTCCCAGGTTTAGGCTATTACAAACAATGCTGCCATGCACATCCCTGTATATATTTTTGTTGAACACATGTACTCATTACTATTGGGTATATACCTAGGGATAGATCATAGGGTATATGTTTGGCTCTGATAGATACTGACAAAAAATCTTCCAATGTGGTGGTTTACTTCCCATGAGCAATGTTTGAGACTCTCTACATGTTCACAAACACTTGGTATGAACAGTCTTTAATTTTAGCCATTCTGGGAGTACCACCATTTCATGTGAATTGACCGTTTTACATATCCTCTTTTAAGAAATGCCTGTTCAAGTCTTTTGTCCATTAAAAAAAAATGTTTTTTTTTTCTCAAAGACTTGTAGCTGCTCTTTACATATTCTGAAGATAAATTTCTTTTCCAGATGTCTGGATTACAAATATCTTTTCCTGTGCTCTGTCTTGCCCCATTCTCTTCATGGTGTCTTTAGATGAACAGAGGTTTGTATTTTAATGTAGTTCATCAATATTTTCCTTTGTGATTAGTATGCTTTGTGCCTGTTTAATACTTAATCTTTGCCTATCACACACTTAGGAAGTTATTTTTCAATATTATCTTCTAGACTTTTATTGTTTTACATTTTATATTTTTATCTATAATCCATGTAGAAAGATTTTTGTGTATAGTGTGAGGTTGGGTCAAGAGCCATTTTTAAAAAAGTTGGATATCCAATTGATGCAGTGTCATTTACTAAAAAGATCATCCTTTTCCACTTCAGAGCAATTTTACTTTTGTCATAAAATCAAGAGGTTGTATGTGTGTGTTATTGTTTCTGCACTCTATATTATTCCATTGGTCTACTTGTCTACACTTATACCAATTTCATACTGCCTGTAATTATGTAACCTCATAATAAATCCTAACATCATATAATGTAAATTCTCTGACTTCATTTTTCTGTGTTTTGCCTATTGTTGGTCTTTTATATTTCCATATTAATATTAGAATCACTTTGTCTAATCTATCACCATCACCAACAAATAAATAAAAAATATCTTCTGAGATGTTGATAGGAATTGCAGTGAATCAATATATCAGTTTGGGAGAAATGAAATCTTTGCCACATTGCATCTTCCTATTCATGAATAAGGTATACCCCACATTTATGCATCTTCCTTTAATAACATTTGTGGCTTTTTTGTATAGTGGTGCTCTTTTGTCAGTTCTATTCCTATGACTTTAATGTTTTTCACTCCTACTGTCAATGATATGTTTAGTTTTCTTATTGTTTAGTATTGTTATATGGAAATACAACTGATTACTTTGATATTAACCTTGTTATTTAGTAAAATTGCTAAAGTTACTTTTTAATTATAGCAGTCTATCTAGTTATTTTGAATTTTAAACATACAGAATTATGTTACCAGAAAATAAGGATCATTTTATTGTTTTCCTTCCAATCATCTTACTTTTTCTTGCACCTCCCCTTAATAGCAGTAGTGATAGAAGGGTAGAGTAGTGATAGAAGGTGTCTCATACCTGTTTCCAGGGAAAAAGCTTCCAAAATTTCATTACTAAGTATGGTGTTTAGGCTGGCTCCCTGGCTCACACCTGTAATCCCAGCACTTTGGGAGGATCACTTGTGGCCAGGAGTTAGAACAGCCTGACCAACATGGTGAAACTCCATCTCTACTAAAAATACAAAAATTAGCCAAGCATGGTGGTGCATGGCTATAGTCCCAGGTACTCAGGAGGCTAAAGCATGAAAATCACTTGACTAGGGGAGGCAGAGGTTGCAGTGAGCCAAGATCTTGGCACTACATTCCAGACTGTGTGATGGAGTGAGACTCTGTCTCAAAAAAAAGTACAATGTTTGCCTTTTATTAGATTTAGGAAGCCCATTATTTTTCACGTTTTCTAAGAACTTTTGTTCACAGATGAGTTTTGAATTTTATTGAATGGTTTTCCTGTAATATTTAGATGATCATCTGAATCTTATCTTTTATTCTGTTAATGTGATTTTCTAATGTTAAAGCGTTCTTTCATTTCTGTAATAAATTCCAGCAGGTCATGATAATATTATTCTTTCTGTTTTGGGAAATACAGTCATCTAATATATAAAATATATCACTAGATATAAAATATATATCACTAGATTTATTTTGCTAATATTTGATATGTTTAATTTGATGTTTATGAGAGAGATTGGAGTATAAATTTCCTTTCTTACAATGACCTTGTTATGTTTTGGTATCACGGTGATGTTAACATTGTAAAAAGCTAGGAAGTACCCTCTCTTTTCTAATTTCTGAAATAGTTTGTATAAGACGCTAGGTGATTTACAAACGTTATTCCTCATAAACTTTAAATGAGTATTTCTATTATACCCATTTTATGGAAAAAGCGGAGGCCTAGAGGGAGAAGAATTATGTTACTGAGGTCATAAGAAAGGTACTAAGTGGCCAAGCCAGGATTTAAGGCCAGGTATTTCTGACTCCAGAACCCAAGCTTTTGGCCTACTCTACTCTGCTGTGAACTCATAAATGCATGGCTGATTGAGTTAGAATTCTACAGGACTTATCATTTCATTCTATGGTAGTGTATACCTCCTATGGAGGGGAAATATACTGCCAAAGATAACAACAACAACAAAAATACAGCTTTGCTTTTGGAACCTACTACAAGAGACTCCATCATAGTTAGCTTCTCAAATCTCCCCTATTTCCTACCCTCTGCATAGGTGTCAGATCCTGGAGCAGAATTTGTGTTCACAATAATAGCTTATTATTTTCCTCTGTTTTTTTGCAACTAACTTCAGCTGGATCCTCAAAGACATGTCTGATTCATCTTTTTACCCCTGACAGCATCCTATGTAGTATTTTATAATTAATACTCACTGAAGAAAAACTTAAACCCGTATCCATTCCATCATACTTGCTCTAAGGCAGTCAGAAGATCCTGCAATCGTCTTATCCTCTGTGTAGCATCCTGTAGCAGGAAACCTCATGCCTCTTTGCTAAGGATGCATCATCAACGAATGCATCCCATGGTTTACATCTGAACTAGTATAACTTCATGTCAAAGATCTACTCACTGACCATCTTTAACGTCCTCATTTATTACTGAGGGAGTTGCACTATATATTAGATGACTATATTTCCCAAAACTTATAGAACTTGCTTTAACAATTTTAAGTACCTACAGGAATGAGAGAGCATATATGAAATCAAATACATCTAAGAAAATGTGGTATTTCTAGAAGCCATGGAAATTAAGGTTAAGAGCCGGTATTTGGCATAGGACAGAATTGAGTTTTTATCATGTTGTCCTTCTTTGCTGTGTAAATATGGGTGATAACTTCAGCTATCTAACCTTGGTTTCATTAACTGTAAAATGGGAATAGTAATGATGCTCCCTCATAGATACTGTGAGAATTAAATGTTCACTGCCAGCTCCTCATCCTCAGGATACTTGAATCTATCATGTAATCAAGGGCTCATAAGAGGATTTGAGTGTGTTGTGGAGGTGGAAGTATCATGGAGGCCCCCATTTATGAGGAAAGGGGCAGGAACACAGAATTTTAGGAAAAGAGAAAAGTTATCTTATGAACAGCCAGCAATGGTGTTCATTCAGCATAGGCCTTTTAGGTGGAGAAACTCCCCACTCATCTGGATTTACAGCAACCAGAAACACAAGCAGAGACCCCTTCCTGATGATTGCCTAGGAACCCTCATTAACAGAAAAAGTAAGATGACACTGGCTCCAAAGAAGCCACTGGAACTAGTAAAGAGGTTTGTCTACAGTAAGAGCTACAAAGTTAATTTAAATGAGAATTAGATTTTCATGTTAGAGGGCATTAGAAGCTATTAAATACCCTGTTTGTTGCAAACTTATACTCAATTCACACCACATTTTCTCATTATGTTACCTGTGGAATCAGATAATTGTATGTTTTTTCATATATATAAAAGTATGGAATCCTGAGTTTGAAAGGACATGTCTGCCTTTTAAGACAATTAAGGGGAAAAAGTACATGAGGTAAGCAATCTGGTTTGAAACAATGTAGAATATACAATGTTATAAAATACAATGAAAGATACTATAATGTGATGATATCTTTAAAAAAAATCTGTTTTTTTAAACACACAAAATTGTATGTATAAAACGTGTAACTTTTTGCATATCAATTATATCTCAATAAAGCTGTCAAAAAGTGGGTCTGTTTTAAAATGTAGAAAGAATGACAACTTTAAAAATGAAAAATAATTTTGATGATGAAAGATTCCTTTTTATCTTTTAATAAGTATCACTGAAAAGCATCAGCTTATCACAGAAGATGGGTCTGGGCTTATTATTTATTGAGAAAATGGCATAAAAGATGAAGAAAGCATACGTACACAAAGAAAAAGAAAATCTAAAAGACGTCTTTCTTTGTCAAGAAAAGGACAAAGTTAAAAAAATGCATTCCTCCTGTAATCCCAGCACTTTGGAAGGCCGAGGCGGGCGGATCACGAGGTCAGGAGATCGAGACCATCCCGGCTAAAACGGTGAAACCCCGTCTCTACTAAAAATACAAAAAATTAGCCGGGCGTAGTGGCGGGCGCCTGTAGTCCCAGCTACTTGGGAGGCTGAGGCAGGAGAATGGCGTGAACCCAGGAGGCGGAGCTTGCAGTGAGCCGAGATCCCGCCACTGCACTCCAGCCTGGGCGACAGAGCGAGACTCCGTCTCAAAAAAAAAAAAAAAAAAAAAAAAATGCATTCCTAAGGATCTTAGAATGATTTAGATCCAAAATACTCAAGATTAAGAATTAAACAACTTAGTCATCATGATGCTTACTTTAATTTTTTTAGCTATAAGGTAAGATTATATGGATAGAAAAAATATGGAGATCTATCTAGTGAGGTTTTAAAACTACAAATTTATAATATTTGGAGGACTTTTTCTGATGCTCAGATTATGTTCATAAGTTTCTTCTGGCATTAAAATGCCCTCTCTTCTAGAAAATGATGGCAATATTAAAGAGCAACCAATTCAAATATATATTATAATTTGCCTTTTTGTTTATTATTTTTAGAATTCTTACTTGGTGCAATTTAGTTGTCAATTCCCTATCAACGCCATGATTTTTTTTTTCTTAATTGTAATGTTGCCAGTCAGGGGAATTTACAAATCTTGCACCCTCTGAATTTTGGCAATGACATATGGGAAGGACACAAGCATCCAACCGGTCTCACTGTTTTTCAAAGTCATCTGAGGCACTTTTATGCATTTTCTTTAAAACTTAGGCCTGAAGAGAAGGGCCAAGAGGCAGAAACTTTTGCAGAACAAGAAGACCAAAGTGTCCTGCAGGTGCTAAATAAATGTGAAATGATGCTACTTAGCTTTTGAAAGATTTGCTTTAGTGAAGACAGATGACTCAAAGTGGCCCCTTGACAGTTTAGGGCAAGTGGGAATGTAGTTTCTCAAGCAGGAAGATGGCTGGAAGAAAATGTTTCTACATATCATAAAAGCAGGCATATGCTTAATTTGTAAAAAATACTCTTTTAGAAAAAGAATAAGGCCTGGATCCTTGAAAATGTTCCCAGTGCTGATTTTGTGTTTCTTACCTCTACTATACTACATATTAAGGAAAATAATCATGCTTTTAGTTTTGAATTAAATGTCCTAAGTCGGGGGTCAACAGGAATGGCTTCATGGGTATGAGACCTGTGTTCCCCCGTCCCACACCTGGCATTATGCTCTGCTCTCACTGTCTTGCTACTAATTTTTTATTTTGATTGACTGATTGATTGAGACAGAGTCTTGCTCTGTCACCCAGGCTGGAGTTCAGTGGCAAGATCTCAGCTCACTGCAACCTCCACCTCCATGGCTCAAGCGATTCTCCTGCCTTAGCCTCCCGAGTAGCTGGGATTACAGGTGCCTGCCACCATGCCAGGCTAATTTTTGTGTTGTTTTGTTTTGTTTTTGGTAGAGATGGGGTTTCACCATGTTGCCCAGGCTGGTCTTGAACTCTTGACCTCAAGTTATCTGCCCACCCCAGCCTCCCAAAGTGCTGCGATTACAGGTGTGAGCCACCATGCCCGGCTTTGCTATTAATTTGTGAACAAGAATTGAGCATTTTCATTTTGCACCGGGCCCCTGCAAATTATGTAGCAGGTCCTGGGCAACCCATTGTGTGATAGGCACTTCAACTGTGCTCTTTAATGTGGGAATTCATAGGCATAGAGCTATGCTGGCTGTAGAATCTATCCTGGAACAAGAGAGGCAGGGACCTGGCTCATACAACTGTAATGATCACAACTCATTAGGGACTCTCTCAATTTAATCACAAATCCATATGCTCTGGGCATCTTCAAACTCAACTGTCCATTCGACATTTAAATTTTTGATGTAGGCATTTAGTGCTATAAACTTTCCTTTTAACACTGCTTTTGTTGCATCCCAGAGATTTTTGTATATTGTATTTCTGATTTCATTTATTTCAAATATTTTTTTATTTCTGCCTTAATTTTGCTGTTTACCCAAAAGCCATTCAGGAGCAAGTTGTTTAATTTCCATGTAATCATGTAGTTTTGAGAGATCTTCCTGGTAGTAATTACTATTTTTATTCCACTGTGGTCTGAAAGTATGGTTGGTAAGATCTCAATTTTTTTTGAATTTATTGAGAATCACTTTATGGCTGAACTTGTGGTTAATCTTATAATATGTTCCATATGCATATCAGAAGAATGTATATCCTGTGTTTGATGGGTGGAGTATTCTGTAGATGTCCAATTGGTTCAGTCACATTGAAGTCAAGAATTAAATTTAAGTCAAATTTAAGTCCAGAATTTCTTTGTTAGTTTTTCTGTGTCTATGATCTAAAGCTGTCAATGGGGTGTTGAAGTCTCCAACTATTATTGCGTGACTAAGTCTTTTCATAGGTCTAGAAGGTTTTATGAGTCCGGGTGCTCCAATGTTGGGTGTGTATATATTTAAGATAGTTAAGTCTTCTTGTTGAATTGAACTCTTAATCATTGTGTACTATCCTTCTTTATCTTTTTTTTTCTGTTGTTGGTTTAAAGTCTATTTTATTTGATATAAGAATAGTGACTCTGGTTAAATAATTTTTGAAAATTTAATCTGAGATGATTACCAAATAGGGTTCCATATTAATTTGATTAACAAGGGGCAAGGAGCCTAGTCAGTAAACCATTTGCAAGCCATGACATAATTAGGTAAAATATTAAATACAGTTAAACTCTCTCCAATTTGGTGACATCTGTAATCCATTCATTTTAATTGATTCAGCAGTTACTATATGCCAGACTGTCCGGAAGCAGAATTTAAGGAGATGAAATCTCCATCTTCGAGATACTCACAGTCCAATGGAGGGAGCAGGTGAGTCAACAGACAGGAAAGAGCACGTGAAGCCTGGAGGAGAGCTGTTCTGTGTGTGGTCCACAGGAAAACAGAGGAGCATGTGCTTGACTCCAGCAATCATTGGTGGCTCTCTTAATACCACTTTCTATTTAATCATCATCTTTAACTGCTAATCAAAAAGTTCATTCCACAAGTATTTAAAGTTAATTTAAAGAAGTGTCAGACACTGTTCAAACACTGAGACTTAAGGACAAGTGATTTCTGTCTATTTCCTTGTTCCCTTGAAACTAACCTAACCTACATGATTGGCAGTTGGGCAGGGGGAAGAGGGAAGCTCCCTCAATTTTTTCATGCCCTCCCCTCTCACCTATCCTCCTGTGAGCATTCTGTGTCTTACTTTTTACTATTCTGTTCTCCTTTTTAGCTAGAGCTGTCTAGTTTGTTCTAGAAAGTAGTCATTTTGGGTTATGAGGCAAAGTACCTCCTGCGGAGATGAGAGATTTCTGGAAATATGATTACCATGGGATTAGTGGAGAGGTAAGCAGAATCTAGGTTGTAGGAATGATCTGTGGGCTCCTTAATGGCAGAAAAGAAGTTTTATTAATCTTTTTATTTCCAGAGTCTAGCAGAGTGTGAGGTAGAGGTCTGTGGCTCAGAAGAGGTTTTCTGGATGAATCAATTAATGACAGGCCAACCATTAACAGTAATGAGATCTGGATTCTAGACCTTGAAGTAGAAGAATGGAGGAAAACGTGATGGTCAATGGAAGAGTCACTTATGATACTTTTGTTCCTCTTCCTACAGAAATATAAAAATTAAAAACCTTTTAAAATCAGGTAGCCTATGATTGCAGGGGAAAGAGGAAACTCCCAGATCCACAATGACTCCTCCTTCTTTCTATTTCTGGCATAAAATTAGCTGCCTAAAGACAAAGCCTTTTATTCCACAATTAAGGATACAACTAAAAATGCAAATCCCTGAAAGAGTAAGCATTATGCTAATGGGTCTCAAAATATAAATGAAGAATCAAAATCTATTCTGCTTTAAAGAAGGCACCAGTTTAGGAGGCAGGCTCTAAGTACTTGAAGCAATAAAAGGAACTCCCCTTTGCCTAACAAGTCCCATATAGCAGCCTCCTTCATACATTCAGTTTAACGTCATCCTAACAACAAGCCTGTGAACTAGGTACTATGTCCATTTTATAAATGTGACACTCAAGTTTTAGCAAACAATAAGCTATGCACGACTATCATTATCCATAACGATAAGTTATGAATTCTGGATGAGAAGCCAGATCTACTTGGAGGAAATCAGTACAAAGTATAAAACAGAAGTTATATAATCAATAGGAATTTAACCAGTGCCTTGACAAGTCTAGACTCTGTCCAGACTTCCTGCTTCATCCTGTTAAACTGTTTCAGGTACCTGATCATGTTCCCCTCCCAGTTACCTTTGCCCCCACTAAGTTTTTAAGAGAGAAAAGTAATTCTGAATTCAAGAAGTTTCTATTTCCTATTCTGCTGCAACATATCATAGTCAATATGTTTCTAAGTGAATAACTAATGATCTTGCTAAATAAGAATTATGAGGAAATGAATGTGTGCAATAAAAATACCACTGTCAGCTAGCCCTGTGCCAAGTACTGGGCAGGGGGGTGCACACAGCTAACTGTGGCATGTTCTCTGGGAAACAGCCAACATGTTGGGTCCAAGATTGGAGGGGAAGAAGACAAAAATGTGACTTATAACACAGTCCACGGATTTTATGGCTTTGCCTTAAATGTTCTCAAGAAATCCATCGCCAAGTGAAGCTGGAAGCAGCTTGTACCACTGGAGTGAAGAATCCTGCCATTCCACACTCTTCTTTATCATCCCCAGGATACTAACCAGCAGTTAAATGGGGCAGGAAGTAGAGTGAAAAGACATGTTTGCTACTATAGAGAAAAATAAATGACCAGAGTGTCTTACCTGCATGATGATGTAGCTTTTCCCTCCCACCAAAATCAATCAGGTGGGACCACCCTTCCCCCAGAACAAAAGCTCAAAGGCGAAGTGTCTAGGATGGAATGTGTTTTCTTGAGACTGCTCTTGACATAACTTCAAGCCTTAGTTCCCAGGAATAGAACGACTAACTGTGTTGAGAATGAGGTTCACCCTGGGCCCTTCCCTTACTTCAAGTTGTCTCACTAAGAGGTTATGGGCTGTGCGTGCTTGTCTAAATCCATTATTAAATTAGGTCCCAATTTAAAGAGTTTGTCACACAGTTTAGCAAACAAATGAAACAGCCTGAAAGGCCTTGCAGCACCACATATTTTCTGGAAATCCCAGTAGCAGCAGGTAGAGCCTGCATCCTGAGGATGCAACCAGACTCGATGCACTTGGTGTCAGCCAAGCTGGTACTGGATTTCCATAGGATTGTTCAAATACCTTGGCTTATATTTTAATATTTTCTCTCACATTTGTGTAGGAAAGATAGTCTTGGAATTAATTCATTTAACAAACGTTTCCTAAGGAGAATTCTTTATGCCAAGCACTGTGGCATAATGCACTAGAGCTATGAAACATCAAGACATTACTGGGATTTGCAGGTCCAGTATTGAATAATACTGATTCATTTCAAAACATTTTATCATAAATGCTTAACAAGGACCAGAGCAGTCACTATCTTAACAGGTGAGTTTCAAATATTAGTGGTCTTCTGGGCAAATTTCACTTCAGGGAGTCAATAGGCATGTTGTAAAAATCAAAATAGGATAATAATTGCAAGGCACATAACACATGGGGTATCAGGAAATGAATTACCATTTCTATGGTCTGCATACTATTTGGATTGCCTATAGATCTAGACTGTGAGAAACTTGAGGAAAGGGGTTCTGTGGTCTTATTCATCACTGTGCCCTTAACATCTACTACAGACTGGTACATTGCAGGTAAGTACAAACACCATATTTATTGAATGAAAGAATCAAGGCATGAAGGAATCAATTTATGAATGCCTTAAGTTAAACGAGGGGCAAGAAGCTGACCTGAGTGCGTTTGTCATATTACATAGCCTTTGAGGCAAAAACTGTCTCAGGTAGTAGCAACTTTGAGTAACATATAGACTTAGAACTACTGTAAAAGAAATAAGACTTTGAAATTCAGAACGAAACTATGAGCAGAGGGCTGGAAAGGGGTGAAGAATGCCGAGGGGAAATAGAAGAAATCATGTGGTTAGGAAGACTGATAACATATATGGAGACTTGGAATGGCCTACTGTATATGCAGTGAGTCTTTCTATCATGTGGCTTCTACTGAATTCCTTTCAGGTTCTGCCTCTGGGTAGAGCCTTGTTTGGATGAGAAATGCTGATGAGTTGACAGAGCTGAGCATTCTGGAGCCATGGAATGCTGGCCATCTCCTTCAGGCTTCATGGGGTCCAGAGGAGCAAAAATCTAAAAGTCATCAGAAAGTCTATCCTTCTTCCTTTGCTGAAGGCAAGCAATGGGATGAGAGAGGCTTATCTCACTGCTGAGAAAACAGCGTCTTAGTCACAACCAATTCTGTGGTCTCTCTGTCTGACAGGGAAAAGGTGGCTTCATAGTAAATGATGAATATTACCAACATTTATCAACGACTTCCCATGTGCCAGATATCTAAATTCACTATTTTATTTAATTCTCACAACCACTTATTTTATTTTATTTATTTTTTATTTATTTATTTTATTTTATTATTATTATACTTTAACTTTTAGGGTACATGTGCACAACATGCAGGTTTGTTACATATGTATACATGTGCCATGTTGGTGTGCTGCACCCAGTTAACTCGTCATTTAGCATTAGGTATATCTCCTAATGCTATCCCTCCCCTCTTCCCCCACCCCACCCCACAACAGTCTCTGGTGTGTGATGTTCCCCTTCCTGTGTCCATGTGTTCTCATTGTTCAATTCCCACCTATGAGTGAGAAGATGCGGTGTTTGGTTTTCTGTCCTTGCGACAGTTTGCTCAGAACGATGGTTTCCAGCTTCATCCATGTCCCTACAAAGGACATGAACTCATCATTTCTTATGGCTGCATAGTATTCCATGGTGTATATGTGCCACCTTTTCTTAATCCAGTCTATTGTTGGTGGACATTTGGATTGGTTCCAAGTCTTTGCTATTGTGAATAGTGCCGCAATAAACATGCGTGTGCATGTGTCTTTATAGCAGCATGATTTATAATCCTTTGGGTATATACCCAGTAATGGGATGGCTAGGTCAAATGGTATTTCTAGTTCTAGATCCCTGAGGAATCGCCACACTGACTTCCACAATGGTTGAACTAGTTTACACTCCCACCAACAGTGTAAAAGTGTTCATATTTCTCCACATCCTCTCCAGCACCTGTTGTTTCCTGAGTTTTTAATGATCGCCATTCTAACTGGTATGAGATGGTATCTTATTGTGGTTTTGATTTGCATTTCTCTGATGGCCAGTGATGATGAGTATTTTTTCATGTGTCTGTTGGCTGCATAAATGTCTTCTTTTGAGAAGTGTCTGTTCATATCCTTCGCCCACTTTTTGATGGGGTTGTTTGTGTTTTTCTTGTAAATTTGTTTGAGTTCATTGTAGATTCTGGATATTAGCCCTTTGTCAGATGAGTAGGTTGCAAAAATTTTCTCTCATTCTGTAGGTTGCCTGTTCACTCTGATGGTAGTTTCTTTTGCTGTGCAGAAGCTCTTTAGTTTAATTAGATCCCATTTGTCAATTGTGGCTTTTGTTGCCATTGCCACAACCACTTTATGGTATCCTATTACTATACTCATCTTCACAGATAAAGAAAGTAAGCCCAGAGAAACTGATTCGTC
The DNA here is from genome assembly GCF_000001405.40 of Homo sapiens. NCBI lineage: Eukaryota > Metazoa > Chordata > Mammalia > Primates > Hominidae > Homo > Homo sapiens. The sequence goes on from NC_000011.10 coordinate 83,628,337, forward strand.
CATGGTCACAGAGCTAGGATGTGGCAGAACCATGATTCACATGTTTTTCTACCTGGCAGAAGCTAGCAACTGTGTGCTTAAATGCTGCTCTACAATGTCTCACAAATAGGATCTGAATGTCCATGCTCATGTTGTCTAGCTGTGGGATCGTGGGGGAATCATTTAACTTCTCCGAGTTTCAGTTTCTTCATCTATAAAATGGAGGCAATATCCCCTGAATCATAGTGTTTTGGGGAGAATTCTATGGGATAATACATGTAAAACAATAGAATAATGGTTGACCCATAGAAAATGTCTGACAAATACTTCCCTCTATTTCTACCTCCTCATCTGCATCAGGGATAACTGCCTTCCAAGCTGGCTACAACACCAAGGGTCTAAGGATCCTCGATATGTTTAATATAAGGTAGTAAAGACACTCTCTTTTGTTTGTCTGTGTACCGTGTTATCTGCCTGGCATGTTCCCTCTTGTCTATTCCATCTGTAAGCCGTAAATCATGACCCATTAGTGAGTTATTAAATCAAGTTAATGAGCTATGATCTCCATTTTTTAAAAAGGAGAGAAACAGAATGGAAAATAACAAAGTACACTGTATACAAAAAGTGTTATTACTATTTAACAAAAATGTTCTTTCTGTTTTATGTGTATATGTATTTACTGGGTCAGGATAAATAATGTACTTCTTACTTTGCTTCTAAATATTTGAAAGGCTCTTGGTTACCTCATATCAGAGCTTCAAAAATTACTTAGATATCTTTCCATGGAAGCAATCAAGATTCCAGGCCTTTCTAGAGCTAACAGATCTTTTCATTTCACATTGCATTTAATTATCTTCCCTTCGTCTGTCTTCCCCAGCAGACATAAGTTTTTTGCAGACAGGAAACATGACTGTTACTGCTGCGTCCTCAGTGTCCATTATAGGTCCTGGCACATAATATACACTCAAAAAATGTTTGATGAAGGTCTGAATAAATCACAGCAACTGTTTCTTAAATCCACATTCAAAACTCAGAGGTTATTTGCTTGAACTCTGAAAATCGATACGTTTTATTAACAAGTGAACAGGGCTGAGTTTTTCTTTTACATTCTTTCCTGTGACCTTTTTCTCCTTCCCCTTGGTGGAATGATTTGCTTTTTTTCCTTGCCCTCCCCATTCTCCCAGCATCCTGGGTACTCTAGCTTTCCTTTTATCAAAACAAAGGATTGTTCTTTAGAAATCTGCACTTTTGTATAAATTTAACCCCCATATCTTTGGCTTCTCCTAGTAGCATTTATACAAAAGGTGCATCCCTGTTAGTAGCAGGAAAAGCCTTGTTCTTTCTTTATTATACCAGCTTTTATCAGCTAGTAGATAAGAAGGGAAAAGGATATTTTAGAGTAGGGAGATCTTCATGAGCTCATAAACTCACTCTTCCAAGGCAGTGAACGAGAGCCTCAAAATACACGCAATAAAATTCATATTCCAGTAGCTCAGGAGCCTAAATGCATCTATGTTTGAAGAATTGATAATGTACTTGTGCAGCATTTTGAAAAACATTTTATTCATATTTGTAACTTTATTTACTTTTAAATGAACTACATGTTTCACAATGCTTTACTGCTATATGTTTCACAATGCAGGAAATACACAATACAAGTAGCATATTAAATCAAACATACCCAAATCATTCCCACAGAACAAGAACAGTTAACATTAGCAATAATCAGTTCCACTTGCACAGCACCACTAAAGTACTTCAAGCACTTCACACGAAAGATTAAAGGAAAAAAAGTATAACTAGATTAGAAAATAGAGAGGGTTGGCTCATATTTAAAATACTGCCTGGCTCAGAGAGTGCTGGTTACCACTCCCTTCAAAATTTCAGGTAAACAAATTGCTACTACCTGGGAAGATCATTTCTAGTGGGGAAATGAAGGCAGCTTCTGCAAGACCCCAGGAAGGTACATTCTCTCTGACACCACCAGGACCAGGGCTAGAGTTGGGAGCATGCTTGTGAGCATGCGTGTGTGTGTGTGTAGGGTATGGGAGGTAAATCCAAGGGGAAGAATGGTTTTTTGGTGCAAGCAAATATTTTACTAAGTCAGCTAAATTGTTTCTCACAGAACAAAGAAGGTGCTTGCTTTCTGATTTAGGTTTTGGCTTCACAGAAAACTATAAATAATACCAAAGAAATCCCACATTCCTACAGCACAGTTTATCCTGTGCAAAAACCTCAAAGACATTTGTGTTAGAATTTCTCCTCTCCTTATTCCTTAATCAAAGAGTCCAGCACTGTGCTGACAGAAGCAGATTGGGAATCACAGCTAAAGTGTATTCAACAGCTGACACCACATAAACTAGGCCCTTAGGGAGGCAGAGTGATGTGGGGAGAAGTATGGGACTGGGGGTAGGAGAGCTGATTCTGCCACAGATAGCTGTGGGATCACAGGCAAGTCTCTGTCTCTGTTCTCCTCAGGTCTCAGTTTCCTCTTCTGTAAATTAAGCAGAGGGCCCAATGATAGCTAAGGTTCCTTCTAGCCCTAGAATTACATAAAGCTAAGTAAAGTGAGGAGAATAACACCATTTTCAGGATGTTATTCTCAGATTTGAGACATGATCATCCTCTTATATTTATATAATCAGAGAAACCCTGCTAGTAATTTATTCTGAGAGAGCAAGTAGTTGACTTTCTAAAATAAACACAACTGACCGTGGTCCTATACAAGCACTCTAGACAAAGCAAGCATCTGTATGAAAATCCTGTAGCCAAAATTAGTATTCAAGAAGTACAAAGGTACAAACTTGTTGAATCCTTTTTGGTAAGAATTTCACTTAGGCCTTGCTTCTTGCTTTTTTTTTTTTTTTTTTTTGGTCTGTTTTATCACTTTTCATGAGAATAAGGCCAGGGGGCTCTTGTAAGTTCTTTCTTTCTGATTTGCTGATATGACTATACGCATGGCCCATATTTCTTTTAATTTCATGTCTCTTAGAGTCATTTAGATGCTAAAGTCAGCCCTCTAGGTACAAAATAAGTAGTAATAATTGAACATTTGGAAACTAAATACCATATTTGTATATTACAGAGATTTCATTTGGGGACTTTCTTATGAAATGTCAAGTATTTTTGAGTCTCATTAAAAAGAGGTTCCTCCTTTCAATACAATCTCCAACCATTACTTTGTTACTCTAAGTCTTTGTCTCTTCTGTACGTTATACTTTTATTTATGATTTTAGAGAATAAAGATCTGAATCTAATTACTACTCTTTCAAATAAGTGTATTAGTTTTATATAATATCATATCACTTCATTTAATTTTCTTAATCTTCCAAAACTTAATAGCTATTAGCAATATATTTCAGCAAATTTCTTCTAGTATCTGAACAATTTATGCATTCTATCTCTTAATAAGACACTTGGTAATTTTCCCTCCGAGCTTTATTATATATATAACCATTTCAGTTACACTAACTGATTTAGTTCTATCCTATTAACCCAGCTGACTTTTTCCAATTTGCTACCAGGGACTAAAACATTTCAAAATTTAAAAATACTTTGTAGCATGTAGACCAGCAATACAACACAAGAGAGAAGAAGAACCACAAATGGAGCTTGTTAACTTTCCATCATATTTGTAATGTCACTACAAGACATGTTTTAGGGTGGTTCTGAACAGTCACAGATTACAATTAAGGGTATCAAAATAATCTTTTGAAATGGAGTTGGCCAAATTCATAGGGTTAATAACTTGTTTTTCTTAATCTCAGGGCTTCCCTGGAATAAGAAGGGACTCTAGGCTTATCAGTTCAGTCGGGAAATTAAGCCCTATGAGAACCTGTGCCTTCCAGAATCCCACTCCCTTCTTAGCCCTGCTGTGAATACCAAATACATACAAAACTTAACTTTAGAGCCAAAGTGGAACCAACAGCAAAAGTTCAACTCAAGCATGTAAATTAGTATCTATAACATATACGTCATGCCTAAAATTTCAGGTAAGAAGGATATGACCTCAGGCTGGAGTCAGATTGAATTCAGGCCAGAGTGGGGAGTGGAGAATACAATAAGAATGGGCATGGTTCTTCCATATGGTACATAGATTCATGTTGCCCGTTAATTAGGCATCACTTTCTTCCTTTTGCCTGTTAGTACTTATATATTTTTAAAAGTACAGTCAGCACTGATGAAGTTTGGAAGTAATACAGGAAGCTTGTCTTGGAAGAGGAGCATGTTATAGTTGAGTGTTGATGGATCTTACTCAAGAGGTAGCTACTAGGATGAAAGACTGGAAGGCATTTCACATTCAATCAATCATTTATCTTTTTCTGGTAAATTGATGAGTTTTGTCAGACAAGGAACAAGTAACTTCTATGGTCTGAGAAAAAAACTGGTAGCGAGATGACACAGAAGGAAGTCTTTCTGCCAAAACTTGTTAGAGAAAAGCACATAACTCTTTAGAAGAATGCCGTGGATTTTAAACTGATGCACTAAAGTTAATGCAATCAGTATCAGGCAGGTTAGGAGATAATACAGGAATATTTTCTTTTCACACTGATGGTAAGTAAATGTCCAAGGGTTTGGTCCACATATGCCATTTAAGATTTATTAGAAATGAAAATGTTTCTTCTCATTATTTTTATTGCAACCTATGCTGAGCATTTTATCCTGAATCATAACTTTGCCAAAGAATAACTTGATAAAAGCAGGCACCTTTAACTAATTTAATCTAATAACATTTCAAACATTTATTCCAAATGCTTAAACACAAGGTCTTTCAGTAGTGTACTGATGAAAGTGGGTTAAGTGGGACACATGTTCTGTTGCTACATGGTGTTGCCTTTGTTTTCTCAAGTTGAATTGCTCACAAAGTGCAGATAGAGAAATACTCCTTTGCCTACCTGACGTAGAGGGAGCGTTTCTGATTGGTTCGCAGGGATCCGGACCCGGAGCTCATGCTGTGGTTCATCATCTGCTCTCGTAGGTCATGGATTTTGGCCTCAAATCGAGCGTAATCTGGGAATGAAAACAAAGGTAGCAAATTTTGCTCTGTGCCCTCAAGAGTTGGAAATGCTGCACAGCCCAGGCAGCCCCTCACCCACGTTGTTGGTTCCTTTGCCAAACAATGGGGAGATGTGCAACTCAAGGGTATGCCTGTTTCCTATTATTTATTCACAGACATTTATAAGAGGAAAATGATAAATCAGTTATTTCCCAAAACGTACCTGGAAAACACACCACCATCAAATTCCCAACTTGTAAAAAGTCCATGGGGGCTGGGAGAGGGAGGATGGGGGATCATGGGAAGGCAGGGAGGTAGATGTGGTTATAAACAGGCAATGTAAAGTATCCTTGTGGTGATGGAAATGTTCTCTATCTTGCCTGCACGGTGGATATTGGTAACTGCACGTGTGATAAAATTACACAGAACTAAACACACACACACACACACACACACACACACACACACACAACTGCGGAAAATCTGAATAATATCGATGAATTGTGTCAATGTGAATATCCTAGTTGTGATAATATGCAATAGTTTTGCAAAATGTTACTATTGGGAGAAACTGAGTAAAATAGTTATTTCTTACAGCTGCATGTGAATCTATAATTACCTCAAAAACAAAAAGCAAAAAGCAAAAAACAAAAAACAAAAAACAAAAAAAAACTCCATGGGAATCCCAACTCAATAGGGTATTGAGGAGAGACTCTAGTTACTCTCAGCCTGATAGACCTGACAATCAAGAGTTTGGTGATGAATTGTGTAAGAAATTTCATTTAATTTAACTAAATTTTGTTAGGGGGTGGGGGTCTGCTAGAAGTTGACCACTTGGGATCATACCTCAATTTTGTCCTATAGCTTTGCCCACATGCCAAATTTTAGAAATTTTCAAACATTAAAAGTTATGGGGATAAAAAAATCAAAGAAATCTGTATATTATAACATTGCTATTGTTTCACAGAAAAAAATATTTTTGGCATGTCAACCCAATAAAGATAAAGAAAGAATCGGTTCTAAGGTACTTATTAACACAATGAACATGTAAAAAGAAACGGCTTTTGATGTTTCAATATTTTTTATCACAACCTAGAAACTTCTATCATTTCCTTGGCAAAACAATGTCTTGCTTTAGAAAATTCAGCAGGCTTAACTTACCCACAAATAAACTTAAAAATGTTAATTGGAATTATAAATGGTTCTTTTAATTACAAAGAAACTCACCATGAAGAATTTTAATAGAGTATATCAGTATATTTCAGAAAACAATTTGATTTTCAATTCAATTTATTCACAACTTTAATAAAACAAGGATGAATGTATACAATAAAAGATGATCTACTTACAGAGTGTTTCAAATTCTTTATAAGAAAAAGTTCTATAAAATGTAATTTCATTTCAACTTACTGGATATGTATTGATTAATGTAGGGATAGCTTTTCTAAAAGATTTGACCTTAGTTTTCAGCAATAAATAGATAACAGGAAAATAAACTCTGAATATTAAATATTTTTAAAGTTTAGTACACAACAGATAAAGCCATAATAGTTGGCTGGAAATTTCTGGTGCATAAGCAAAGTCTGGTATTATCCAGATTTGGAAGGCTTCCTGCTCATGCTTAGCTTTGAATAAATAAGTCCTAAATGATTAAATAAGTAGAACACATATTTAACAACATATTTAAGGTAAAAATCTATTGACTATAATTTAGGAAAATGTATTTCATTTTCTAGCAAGAGAAAACATTTATTTATAAACATCAATATGATACTGTATGCAGGCCAGGTGTGGTGACACACACATATAGTCCCAGCTATTTGGGAGACCGAGGCAGGAAAATCACTTGAGCCCAGGATTTCAAGGTTTTAGTGACTTATGATCTCACCACTGCACACCAGCTTGGGTGACAAAGTGAGACCCTGTCTTTATTTAAAATTAAGGAAAAATAAAGATACGATACTGTATGCAGATTTAAATCATTTTGAGCAAGTCGTATTTTCTTGCCACCTTGGAAGAGTCAATTAACATTTATTGCTGGCCACATGGCAGACAATATGCTCAATGCTTCATGGGCATTATCTCATTTCTGTTTTAAATTACAAAATGAAGTCTATGGATGTTGAAAATTTTGAAAGATATAGAAAAACACAGGATAAAAATTGAGAGGCTCTCGTCTCTTCTGCCTTCCCTTACCTTCTCTCTCACTGCTCTCTTTCCCTACAGCTTACCCTAGTGGTACATGTATGGTTGTGTGCCGGATATGTATGTGTGTGTTTGTGGGTAGCTGTGTGTACATACACACATAACCATACAAACAAGACCATAGCTATTTATTGTATTAAGACTTTTCCCCCCTTTTTAATAGTGTAATTTGGATATTTTCCTGCCTTCTACCAAATACATAAATATCATGTTTCTTAATACTCTTAATAGTCTATTCCATAGTTTAGACTGTATTTAACAACTCCCTTATCATTAGATATTTAGGCTTGTCCAGCTTTTTGCTATCACAAACAGGGATCTTGGTGTATATGTGAATGTTGGCAGCAGGTTAGCAGAGCACCAGAAGTGGGACTACTGGTCAAACCTTTGCACAAAAATCATACAGCCTCTAATAGCATTTCCCAGAGAAGAAAAGGGCCTTGTCTGGAACACAGATCAAGAACTCTTAACTTTTTCTGATCCATGCTTTACATTGCCACTTGATAAATACTACATGTCATCTCTAAGTACCACTAAATCTCCCATCTGGAGAGATGGGACACTCTCCTTTATACCTTTGATGACTTTACTACCCATGATAAAAGCAGGAGATCCCACCTTCCAGCTGCCCCTTCTTAAACATCTAACTCTGTGCAAGTCCCAACCCTCATTTAATCACTTTGCTACTTCATTGCATTCATCACACCAACTTGCAGTTATTTGTACAGTTGTTCATCTTCCATTAGACTGAGCCCTCTGAGGGCAGGAAATATTTTTCATTCTTCTTGGAACTTCCTTTTCCTAACATAGTGTCTGAGATGCTCAATAAACTTTTTTTTGAGTGAATAAAAAATAAATGAGGGAGTAGAATACCTAGATGAATTCAGTTATAAAATGGCTCCAGGTACTGAAATTGTCCATTTTCATTTTTATGTTTTTGCAATAAGAAAGATGAACATGCATCTCCCCTAGTGCTACTTTTTTCAAAACTAAATATTCTAATTCCAAGGCTTTATTTCCGTCAAATAACTACCACTTCCAAATTCTTCTGTTATTTTTATTGTTCTCCAGGATCTCTCCATCTCAATCATGTCATACATTGGAAACAATTCTCTGACACTTCATCTATATACAATCAACACTTTGTTAGGCTCTTGTAGCTGCCTCATTTTTTGTAACACAATAGAATACTTGCCTTAATAATAAATTATATTTGCCTTACAGTATGGCTTATTAGATACCCAAAATGTTTTCTGCCATGCTTTCGAAATGTTTTGACTGCATGACATTCTATGGTGTTAAAATTCCCCAAAATGAATGATTTATACTGCATTTGCCTTAATTGGAATCTATCCTGTTTTCATCTTTCCTACTTTGACAGTCATCTCAATGTAAATCCTGTGTCAGAGGTGCTTATCTGTCTCTTTGCTACTTTTCTTTGAAAACTAAACATAAACACAAGAAATTTCACATAGTAAAACTAGTAAGATCTGGGTTTATAAATATAAATGGTGCATCTGTGGCGGCAGAGCTCTGTCTCCAACTTCTTGGAGATAAACAAGTTCATAGTTAGAAATGCTCTAGAAGTAAACAGGAAACCTGCTACACAAATTGTGAAATATAAGTATGTTTTATAGAAGTCCTGAAATTGTATTTTTCAACAAGTTAAAACAGAAAAACCTAACACTACCATATCCATTAAATATTAATTCTCTCTTCCTCAAATGTTTTACTCATATCTATGCCTGTCCCTTTGGAACATTTTTCAGTCAAATTCATAACACTGTCTTGATTCCAAGCCTCAGGAGAACATTTGAATGAAATTTTCAAATGCTTCAATTTTTATATCATCCAATGTGGAATTCACATTTACTGAGCACCTGCAATGAGCTAGGATCTGTACTACATACTTTTAAAAATACATTATTTTTCCTAAGAAAGTTCTGAGGTAGATATATTATTTTACAGATGAGGAAACAGAGGTTCAGAGAGGTTAACTGACTTCACAAAAGTCATAGAGCTACTAGGTAACAGAGCTCATTGAACATGGAGCTAGGATTCAACCCTGGATCGCCGTGAAGCCATTTTGTTTCCATGACATCATGACATTGGTTATAACACCACAATTGTTTAGAATATAAGGCTTGTTTAGAATGCAAGGCTTCCTCAATTCTCCACCCTTCCCCTCTTGACATCTTGCTCTTCTTCCCTTCATCTATTGTGTTAGTCAGGTGCATGCTGGTCTTCCCTCTATCAAACTGTAAGCTACTTGGAGACTTGGGATGCCTCACTCATCTCTATTCCCAAACCTCAGGGTCTATCATTCTACCTTCTGTATAGACAGGACTTTCATAGTTTTGAACAAGTCAGAACCTGAAAGAATTTGCTTCCAGAACAGGACATTGACAGGAAAATTAAGCATGATCATGCCGAGGTATAAAACAATATTAAAATTGCAGCATTTTCTTCTGTCTTGCTTTGCATGAAATAGATGTTTGGTAAATGCTTTTTAAATTACAAGTTGTTTTATGTTTTGGGGGGATTTTCTTCTGTAACAAGAAGCAAACCACTGAAACCCAACTCCTAAGCAAACGTTTTAGAGGAGCTTCATGAAACATTACCCCCAGCTAGTTCTTTCTCCACCTCTATATATGATAACCCATTTTCTCCTCCACATTTTTGAGTATGTAAAGCCAGTTGTTCCTGACTAGGTGCATTTAATTTGGGGTTCTGGCATTTGTATTCACTTGAACAAGATGGATGATAATAGTAAAAAGTGTACAAGATTTGGGTTATGTAGATGGAGTCAAAATCCTGGTTGTGCCACTAAATAGCTATACATTACTGTGAAAGTTATTAACCTTTCTGTGCTTAATTTTCTCAAGTAAAATAGGAATAAGAATTGGACCTACCTCAAGATCTGTTGAGAAGATTATGAGAGAGCTGATGGATCTAAAAGATTGGCGCTTGGTAATGACTGTCAATTCTTTCTATTACTTCTGTGTGTAATTCATCACCTATTCTTGTTCATCACTTGCGAAAATTGTAACCCCTTTCTGTACTGAGTAAAATGGAAACCTGTGTCTGCTCCTAGAGCCCCCTGTTACGGCCTCCCTCTACTTGTTATGAATTGATGTCTTCACCAGGTCAAATAGGAATGAGCCACAGATGGCCATACTTTGGGACACTTGCCATCAGGTGGAACTTCTCATCTGCTAGGCAACCACTCAGGGTACTCTCATAAGTTCATAGTGACTTGGAGTCCAGGAGAATAATGTCCAATTCCAAAGCTGCTGCTATTTTCAGGAATATCAGTGATTTCATTCATCAGTATTATCTCAAGGCCTTGAGCTACTGATGGACACTTGGATGGAGCAAGGTCATAGGTGTGAACACCACAAACTACACAGTGAGGGGGGCTCTGCCATACACTTGTTTGCAATTTGTTAAGGGTAAGTAAGGCGACTCAGAATGCAAATCTACCATTCACACAGAAAAGGAGGCATTGCCTCCTGTGAGAAGGCTGGCATTGTTTAATGCAGTAGGATTAATCTGCATTGATTAAAACTGCCCAGCTGCTCATGTCTTCGAGACTCAGGTGGCTTACTTTGGTTCTGAGATAAGAAAACAATACACTCAGTGGGTTAGGCAATAGCATGAGGCCATGGCCTGCCCTCCCCCTTTCCCAAGTGAGATGGTGGGCAGCATGCCCCTCGATCAGTCACGACCTCATCCAGGGGTCTCATGATTGCCAGATAAGAGGAAGCCATAAACGGAGGGAACAGGGTTAGAAACTCTATGTTATGGCTGGCTGCATAGTATTCCATGGTGTATATGTGCCACATTTTCTTAATCCAGCCTATCATTGTTGGACATTTGGGTTGGTTCCAAGTCTTTGCTATTGTGAATAATAAAAAACGATGAGTTCATGTTCTTTGCAGGGACATGGATGAAGCTGGAAACCATCATTCTCAGCAAACTATCGCAAGGACAAAAAACCAAACACCGCATGTTCTCACTCATAGGTGGGAATTGAACAATGAGAACACATGGACAGAGGAAGGGGAACATCACATACCGGGGCCTGTTGTGGGGTGGGGGGATGGGGGAGGGATGGCATTAGGAGATATACCTAATGTTAAATGACGAGTTAATGGGTGCAGCACACCAACATGGCACATGTATACATATGTAACAAACCTGCATGTTATGCACATGTACCCTAAAACTTAAAGTATAATAATTAAAAAAAAAAGGTACTGGGAGTAAAATTAAAAAAAAAAAGGAACTCTATGTTAGAAGGCCAGCTTTTAGTCTTAATCTTGTCATTTATTACTAGTGGGGCCTTGGGAAGTTACTGAACCTCAGTTTGTTCATCTACAAATTGTGAGGTTCACATCACAAAGTGGTTGTGAGACTCAAAATGAGATTTGACTGAAGTGTTCTGAAAATATAAGATAGGTGTTGCTGTTATTACTTTGGTGACTCCTGTCAGGACAAAGACATATGCAGTTCTTAGTGGTACTAATGGTGACAGTGGCACCCTCTTTCTATTTGTTCATTATAAACGTGTGCAGCTTTAACAACAACTGGTAAGATCACTGAGCTGTAAACAGGACTCTGCACATCCAAGCAACAGAGACTGCTTTCCTGCTGAGTTATCCATTTCCACACTACAGGAGAATTAGTTTGAAGAGACCACCTGCTGTACACACGCGATGCTTTAAATAGACACATCTGAACTAGAAGCTCTTGGTGTCTTATAATAAAGGAAATTTGTGCTTTAGGACAACTTCCAATATGGCTGGGGTAAATGTCAATGGTGTGTAGTCTGTTGGGGGTCACAATATTGTTTACCTGGATGTGACCCTCATTGTCACTGAGGCTTAGGAAGGGTACATGGTAAGGATGAAGCAGAAATGGTTTACATCTATTCTTAGCAGAGCATGTAATCACTGCTCCAGGGATGAGATGCTGTGAGCAATTATAAATGTTTCCATTTCTTTGGCGGAAACATCCTTCTTTCATTTATTCAGTAAATATTTCTTCAGGGTTTATTACATGCCTTGCACAATCCTAATTGCTGGGGATACCGAATCCACTGAACAGATTTTTTTCCTCAAGAGGCTCACAGGATAGTGCATAGTTACTTGTAATTTTCTAGTTTCATCTTGTGAATACAAAAAGAGCATTTGGTATTTAAATATCTGCTCCATTTGAGGAGTATCATGTTCTTTTTAGATGGTAACAGGATATCAAGAAACCCTTCTATCATGGAAAGACGCTAATACAGTCAGTTCCATGTTAAAATGGACAAATTGGGGCAGGTTAAATCTTTGTGAACTATCTGGTTACTTATAGAGTGAGAAGAGCAACTTGGGGTTCAAAGCAGTACCTTGGAATCAGAGTTTCTGGATTTGAGTCCTGGCTCTGAGAGATGTTAAGAAAATACCATACCCACTCAGAGATGCTGTTTTCTCATTTGTAAAATATAGAAATCATCCCTACCCCCATACATTGTTGTTCTGAATATCCAAGAGAGTGTAATTTATTTCCATCCTTTTAAGCAGTATCGATTTTAAAAAGCACCATCAATGAATAAAAGCATCTTTTTCTTGGAGAGGGTGGACACAAGACTCTTCTGATTTCACAAGCTGAAATGTATTTTGTAGAGAGGGGAAGATGTAAGTCTTATAATCAATGAAATATGATAATTCAGAATGTTTAAAACTAGAAAATCCCAAACAAATATACTACTGCTCTCTTTCCACCGGACTCTTAACCAAATAGTCACACATAAGAGGATTAGCCATAGAACACTATTTACACCTCAATTTCAAGAAGCAATGCTTTGTCAACATTCTTTCATATGATGATACAAAAATAATTTTAATTATTTGGAGCTCAGAAAATATTAGACGGTTGCCATTTCATCACCTCTTCTTTTTCTAGTTTTCCTGGGATTTCAGAGCCAGATATGCACAGAAGGGGCCCAGTCACATTACTTTAGGCTTTAGAGGTACACTTAGAGCTTTTCTCACCCTGGCTGCTTTTCAAGTCATCCTGTCAGGAAGGACGTCATTAGGAACTATTTGAGGAGCGTGGCTCCCCTCCCAGATACGCACTGGAATGCTCACCTCCGTCAAGAGCGCTGAGCTCTGGTGACTGGAAGGATTTGGGGTGGATCTCTCCAGGCTACTGCCTAAGGATTTTACTAGCTTTTACTTCAACCCGACTTAGCTCATCTCTCAAGTTGCCAACCTGCCTCTGTGTTGAAGTGGTGACGTGGAATTTTCCATTGCTAAAGACTTACAGATGTTTGGCTTACAAATCCAAGAGAGAGGGAGTGTGTGTGTGTGTGTGTGTGTGTGTGTGTATGTGTGTTTGTGTGTGTGTGAGAGAGAGAGAGAGACATAGAAAAAGAGAGAGAGATACAGAGATGGAGAGAGACAAATAGATTATGAACTAAATTCATCAGAATCCAACTTAACCAGAAATTCTAGACAATATAAAGAGTCTATCTTTTCTGCACTCCACAAAGGAAGAGGATGTATGCACCTATCTCTTGTACTTCTTTGCTACTGACCATTAATAACTCAGTTATGGATACCATGAGGGCAAGGATGTTATCATGTTTTCTTCTGTATCCTAACACCTGGCATAGCGTGTGGCACACAGTTATCAGCTAATAAATGCTAACGTAAGTGCTTGCTGAATTGGATGAGTTAAATGAAGAGTTCTGATAAACAGAAATGATCCTTTAGCTTACCAGATCTAATACTAAATAGATCAGCCTTTTAGAATAATTTTTAATAACACACTGAATTAAGGTATGTCTTTCTCCATTCCTCCTCACCCCTTCTCTGTTTTCAGATAGAATTGGGATCATTTGTTTTGACTAGAACAATCTCTTGCAGCTTGGATGGAGAAACTTTACAGAGGTTTCAGCCAAACACTCATGAATTCTTTAATGTGTGAAATAAAGTAAGTTTTATAGGCAAATAACAATCTGAATCCCTAACTAGCTATTTCATATAATATGCATATAACTCTGAAAATTACATACATCAAATTTCAATTTGGCTTCATGCATGCTTTGTTTTATAGATTCATAAAGGCAGATTTTCTCTGATTATCAGACTTATTGCAAAATGGAGTCAACACAGAAACTTCCTGAAGTTGGCAAAGCTTGTTTTCTTTGGCTGACAGGAGTAACTGATGTATTATTATTTTTTAAGGCTCTGAGATAAATCTGATTCATGTTTGAATCATAAGTTTATTATTGATTTTTAGTGTGGATTTTGCATAAGATACTCAATTTAGAGAATACTCAGCTTTCTCATATGCAGAATAGAAAAAAAGTAGTTACCTGATCAGATTTTTTGAAAGGTAAATGCAACAGCAGTTGTAAATGGCATAGTCCATTGTTAGGAATAGACTAGGTGTTCAATAAATGAATAAAAAAAAACCGTGAAGCTCTCCTGAAGCTTTATATTCCCTGTCTATAAAATGGAGACATCACTGATTTCCTGCTTACATTACAAGACTGCTGTGAAGATCAAATGAAGAAACAGATAAAAATGTTTGGTAAACTGAATTGTACAGTATAAATAGAAAGCGGTGACAAAAGTAATTCATACCAATGCAGTTTTTTAAAAATATCCCAACCTGCCTACACAACTACTTCCTCTCTCTGAGATTTATCTCAAAAGTGGAATTAGATTCCTGTCTTAGCTGTAAAAATAAAGCCACAAAGGGCATCATGCATGAGAGAGTAAATGTGAAACTCTGTGGGGGAAAATGGAAACTTCAGATATTATTAGGGCCTAGCTGCCAATGGTGATTCTCTCAAGATTTTATTGGCAGGTTGAGTGAAAGTGCCAGAGTGTGGATGCACAAATTGTAGTTTAATTGGTGTGATTTATAGCTAATGGTGCATCAGAAGGAGGAACTAGGAACTGTGCCTTCTAATTTAAGGCATAGTACCTAAGACTGCATCCACTAGGTAAGAAAACCTTCCTTGGCAAACTCAAATATTAAATCTTCGCTGAATTTGTCTTGTTCTTTTATATAAAAATCATGGAGCCAGGAGCTAAAATAATATCTAAGTTTCCTCTTTGCCTGACGCCATCCATGCAAAATGTGACTTGCTTCTTCAGCAGCAGCATGAAAACAAACTAATACACCACTATTCCTAGGTAAGTAGAGCCACAATGGGAAGACCACTAAGGGAATATGGAGGCTCACAGAGGCTAGTCAATTTATCCAAGGCCACGCAGCAAAGCTGGGACTCAAACTCAAATCTTCTAGTCCTAGTTTCATTCAGTTTTTTTTTTTTCCTACATTGATTCTAGACTTTGTTCTACAAGTGACTACTTTTCTGTTTTGTTCCTGACATGAACATGTCCATGGCTGTCTCAGACTTGTTTGGTTACCCTAAGTAACCATTTAGCAGCCAATTTCTGATATGACTATAGATACATCTCTATAAGTGAATTCTATAGGTGATTTGGCATGATCAAAATGAAAAGGCTTTGTTTGAGTTCCCCAATATACTGCTCAAATGAAAGCTTCTCAAAATATCATTTTGAGATACGACAGGTCTTTCCTTCAAATACAACAGATACTTTTCTTTTGCAGCACTCAGCATACATACAACTATTTATTTATCTGTAAGTACTTGCTTAGTATCTGTGAAGAACATTGCAGGTACCTGACATATGTCTAACTGATGGAGTGAGGCTGCTAATGTGGCCATCTCTCCCTCTTCCTGATAAGAAAGTGAACCAGCCATTTCAAAATGTGGAGAATTCGATAAATATGTTCTACTCCTCTATAGCCCTCCCACTAAAATAATTTTCAATTTTCAATTGAGGTGAAAGGAAGAATCGGCAAAGAGACGGATTGAGAGAATTGTTTATACTCATAACTTCGTTCTCAACATAATTATCTATTTCTGAATCCTAAAAATCACCTAGCTAGATTCTCCCTCAATCTGAAGATTACCTTTTACTCCTTGAGATGCTAAATGTGTTCCTATTTATCATATTAATATTGCGAGTATTTTGTGTTATGCAGCCAGAAAAATCACATAATGGGAACTTACCCACAGCCCCCAAACTCATAAACAGGAGCTGAATAGAAATTCCTCAGTGCAATTTATGGTAACAATTTCATGCTCAGTTTAGTTACTTCCATGACTCAGAAAAGAAATTTCTTTTGCTTATTTCAGTAATTTTTTTCTAAAAAATTGTTCCCCTAATTTTTGGCAAAGGATCTATGAGAAAGTGAAGAACTCCCTGGTTGTACATGGATTTGGAATTGTCACTTAAGTGAGGCCAAAATGTAACCCTATGCCATTCATTGCATAGTACCATTTGTTATAAATTTGACCTCTAAAACAAAGATATTACAAAGCCATTGAGTGTTTTTTTAAGGGATATATTATATTTGTCACTTAGTCCCCAGTATTATGATGGAAAACCTGGATAGTGGATAGAAAACCTGGAGGTCATTTAGGCATCTCTTTCACTGGTTGGGTGAGAAATGGTGAAGAAGATGGGAATGGAGAAGGGACATACATTTGGTAAGTGTAAATAAGAGTCTTTGCTGATTAATTCAGTGTGGCCCATGAGAAAGAGTGGAAGTGTCCAAGGTTCCCTCAGGTTTACAGCTTGGGCAACTGACTGAGAACAGAAAGGAGCTGCCATTGAGAGGAAGAAAAGAAAATGACACTGAGTCCATGTTGGGACACATTGGGTTTAAAGGGATATCATTATGACCTAAGCTCTCTGAATTCCAGTGACTGGGAATATGGGAAGATACATCTTTAACAGTTGAAGCAATTTATACACTTTAACAATTGAAGCAATTTATACACCAGAGCCTAAGGAATATTTATAGATGAGGGCTGTGCTGCAATGACAGATAGGGTTGTATGAAACATACACTAATCTGACCATTCTATCCTCCAGACTCAGGGAAGGAAATAATAAAAGTAAGTAACCATAAAAAATAGACTTTTATGCATAAATAAATAAAAATCAGCTAGGAGACAGTTCATCCCTGTATAAGTAAAACAGGCAAATTTATCTTTCCTCTGATTAATAATTTAAGAAAAAATCCCAAGCAAGCTGCCTATGGAGGTGTAGGAGTAGCTCCTATAATTAGACTCCAATTTGAACCATGAGGGTGAGGATCAGAAAGCTGACTCAGAGCCTGGTGTCAATTATTTGCAGTTTGTACAACGAAAGGCTAAAAATTTGGGAGATGCAGGATGACTGAAGCCCGATTCTGGGGGTTGTTACAGCACAGTTACAGGGTAAGTTTTTTCCATTGTTATTTGCTGGAAAATTTATTCTCCATCTCCTTTAGTCTGTGCCTGAATTTTGTGGGACTTGCTCGAGAATGGTATTCATGCTTTAAATCCAAGAGCCAGGAATCATCGCATTTCAACAATTTTCCTATTTATTTTAACCAAAACAGAGCTGGTTTCTATAACTCAATTTAAGAAATTATCCTCTTTGATACAATCTACTTATGTTTGATTGATTTTAGAATAAACTAACAGATACACAAGAGCTTATCAAGCTAGCTCGGTTCAGTGGAGAACTATAGCAGAAACAGCAGGTTTCTATTTGGCACATTTTGGATTTATCTGGACGCAAGAGGATGTGAAAAGAACACCTTTCAGACAAAAGCCAGTCTTGAGTAGGAATTTAGTGTTCCTTGCCCAAACAGCTTAGTTTGTTTCCCATTTTGAGTCACTATCTGAATCCTTTTTTATCTCCTATATAGAACAAATTCTCTCCCTCTATTTAATAGGCTTTCAGATATGAAACAGAGAGAGAGAGAGAGAGAGGAAGGAAGGAAGGGAGGGAGGGAAAGAGAAAGGGAAAGAAGGAAGGAAAAGCTCTAATTTCTTCTGTTCTTTTGGTAACACACCTCCCCTTCACATCCTTCAGCTGCTCCCCTTAGGGCTTTTTGTAGACACTTTTGGTGGTCTCTCCTCTCACACACTGCTCACCACTGTACTTTATTTTGTATCATCTGTCTCCATCCTTTCCCAACTCCTGAGCACTCAGCCTCCTCTGGATCTTTTCTGGTTCCTTCGCTCCTAGAACTGTGTCTGATGGCTTATGAAGGCAAATGACAAATGTTTGCCATATGCACATGTATGTGCATGAATGAATACATCCAGGTTCTGACTTCCTCGGGGCAACCTCTACTTTCTCAATGCCCCTCTTAAGATGGGGGTGGGGGAGGGTCCTCCTAGAACTGAACATGATATTCCAGGTGTGATCTAATACATTTAAATGTCCAAAAGCTCTTTCTTCCCTAAACGTTCCTTTTTAAAAGCTACTGTTCTCAATTAATGGGTGTCTCATCTTCTTAAGTATATTAATAAGAGGTATTTTGATGTTTCCCTCCATTCTGTGGATTACCTCTTGATTCTCTGGATTCTTTGTGATTCCGTTTTGTTTTAAGGATGTTCTCAGGTGTCTGGTGATCCTTGCTTATAAGTCCAAATTAATGATGAGGCACTAAAATGCTGATTGGAAGCTCTCTGTGCAGGCAGGTATTGTTGAATAGTGGTAAACAGGGGACATGTTCATTTTGGAGACACTCAAATATCAGGACCTATAAATCTCTATGCCAAGTCAGTTTCCCCAGAGTCTCTTAATATCATTTCTTTCAGGTTAAAAGCCTGGTTACCAGGTTCTGGGAGTGAAGGGAGGAGTGGGGCTTAGACAAGGGTGGGGGCGGGGGTATGTCTCACAATTCACTAAATACCTTCTTTTATATATGTGTTCTCTGTGCAGCATTTTACCCCCACCATCGTCCATGTCTGATGCCTCAGGTTCAATCTTGTTCAGTCTTTCCAAAGAGGAAACATTGGTTGGGTGGGAATGATTGGCAGGTCGAAGAGAGAATTTGAAGCTATAGCTGCTCCTTTTAAAACTTCTAACTCATCTTTGTTTTTTCAGGCCTTCCTCACACCCATGTCTTCAGATACCCAAGGCCTTTAATACCCAAGTCCTTCCAGGATTCTGCACATCTCATTAGCTTCATATTCCCGTAAGTACTTGGGTTTCTGCTTTCTCAGCTCTGATGTGTCATTTTCTAATCAATCATCAGCATTCCAGCTTCCAAAGTTTTGTTCATATATCTTACATGTGTTGTCTTGACCGACTTCTTTTTGGACCTTAGATTATTTACCTATTTAAATTCCTTAATTGTTACTTTAGTGGAGTTTTGGAAGGGAACAAAAATATAGGCAGGTGTTTATCACATTTAACAAGGAACTCAAAATTTATATTTAATTCTATTTAATCTGGCTGCCTTCTTGCCATCAGTCTATTTGAAAAGTTCATATGGACCCAGCTCTGTCATCATCACATGTTCTATATCCCCAAACCTTGTGACATCTGCAAAGAAGTACAGAAGACCTCAAGAGAAGATAAGCTAGAATTTATTTATTTTTATACCTTTTATTCAGTTTTTATTAAAGCTTTCCTACCTTTCCAGATTGACACAGAATTATTCCATGAATCTGTCTATTAATCCATTTACAGCAAGTGCTGGGGATAGAAATTAAGGTTTAAACATATAATTCCTGCCATCAAAGGACTCCCTGTTGATTAGGGGACACAGGCAAGAAAATAGACAGTAAGTTTGTTAAGGCATGAACAAAGAACTGTGTTGGTACACACAGTACAGAGAGGAAGTACAAAGAGGATGGTGCTTAAGAAGAGTTAACACCTAGACCTAATCTTAGAGGATGAGGAAGCATTGGGTAGACTAGAAGACTAGGTGTAGGGGTAAAGGAAGGCATATCAGAGAAAAGGGAGCAGCTACATAGAGGCAAGGACTATGCCTCTTCTGCCTCTGAAGAGGAGAAATTTCTTTCAATCAATAGAAAGTGCAGGACAAAGGGTACTAAGTCATCTTTTGATGGGATAACTTGATGTTAGTGTCCTTCCATGAGAAAATGGGAAGCAGCCCCTTATAATAAAACCTCTGGCTTTTGAATTACCAAGTAAAACTGAGGTGTCAGCAACCCTTGGCTGAATGTGGAACTTGCTAATAGAACCCCTACATTCATGGGAAGGGATAAAAGAGCTTTAAAAAGTACAAAAGCATTGTGTGAATATATGGGATTAATATTACTACTACAATATTGCCTACCACCACCATCCCCAGCCCTGAGGAGTCTTCTTAAACTTACAAAATGAAGCTGCTTCTCTATGGATGTAGACATTTCCTGGTTTCAACATTGCACCATAGCTATGCATTATGTCAACATTGGGAAAAGGCAGGGTGGAAGGTGCACAGGAGCTCTCTGTACATTTCTTTGAAACTTCCTTTATACCTTTTAAAAGTTAAAAAGCAGCAGCAGTGGCAGCTTCTCAAGGCCAAAGATGGGGAGCTCTATTTCATTTGCATTTCTACTCAGGGCTATAATGAATTGAACTCAATGTGTTGCTAAAGATTATTATGAAATTAAAATCCAATTAGGATGGTCTCGTGGGTCTGGTAAAAGCTTGGATTAGAGACCAGGCACAACACGGGGTTGGGGGAGATGGACTGCTCAATAGAAGTAGGGCTGAGTGGGGAGTTTAAAGCACTGGCCTCTAAGTATAGGAACCACTGTACAAATTTTAAAATATACTCAGGATAGTTAATATTTGATCAAAATCCACTGTGAAGTGAGGAATTTTTCCTGCTGGGCATTCTATTTTCCAGTTCTATGATCAAGCCCAGTGACTGGTAAATACAATATGCCCCACTAGCCCCCAGCTTCTCCCAGCTCCTGTTCCCTCCTGGTGCTCAAAGGGAGAAAGGCTAAGAAATTCCAAGCCCTGGTCAGGAAAGTGATCTTGAAATCACACACAATGAATAGTGCCATCACTAATGACTCAGCTTGTAAAGAACCAGTGAAGTGAGGAAATTCTTTCTATGCACAGAATGTCTAGATATTTAGGCAAAATTGAAGGGGATGAGGCAGGAATAACCAGGACAAACTCAGTAAGAACTTCAACCCTGGTTTTCTCAAGATTCAGTTTATGTGCTGATCATTTTCTCTCATATCTAATTCCCTTACTTCCCCTGCTCTGTTTTACATCGAAAGTGCTGACTTCATGCAAATTACATGCAATTTGCATGTAATTTGGAATTTGCTCCCTGGGAAAATCACTTCTGACTAGGTTCAGCCAATGGGAGGCACTAACAGGAGATTGGAGGGTAGGAGGAAGGGAGGCATAAGGGAATTTCTTTCCCCTCTCTGTTTCAGGTGGCATTTCAAGAATGTCTGTTTTTCCTCCATGATTTCTATAGATATTCCTTAATTTTCAAGTCTCCATTAGCATAGGTATGAAGGTTTCTCAATGTGCTCTTGCTTTGGCTTCCTTTAGTCAGAATAGAAAGAGAAAGTTTTTTAACTTTATTCAAACATATTAGGGGTTTGCTAGAGAATACATTATTTGCCCCTAGTTATCCTGATGTTATAAAAGGAGGCAGACCTGGACAAGTGTAAATTAGCACAGACATTCTAACAATCACCAGAAAAATGCACCCATAAGTAGTGCCAATGCAAGAAGTTTTGACTGTAATGCCCGTGTGCAGTAGGCTGAATGATGGCCCCCAAGTATATCTATATCCTAATCCCGAGAACTTGTGAATGTTACTTGCTATGCTGAAAGGGACTTTGAAGGTGTGATTAAGGGTTTTGAGATGGGGAGATTTTCCTGGATTATATGAATGTGTCCTAAATATAATCACACAGGTCCATGTAAGAGGTAGGCAAGGTCAAAGGAGGAAATAGAAGGTAAGATAATGAAAACAAGAGGTTGGAGGGCTGTGAGGAAGGGGGTCACAAGCCAAGAAGCATAGGTGGCCTAGAGAAGCTAGAAAACACAAAGAAATGGATTTCTTATAGAGTCTTCACGGGGGACTAGCCTTGCTCACACCTTGACTTTAGCCTAGTGAAACTGATTTCAGACTTCTGGCCTCCAAAACTGTAAGAGAATAGAACTGTGCTGTAATAAGCCACTAAATTTGTAGTAATTTATTATAGTAGCAATAGGAAACTAATCCAATGTTCCCAGATATGAAAAAAATTTCTTTTTCTTTAAACACGCCACCTGAATGTGAACATATTCCTCTTGCTTTAAAAATTCCACATCTAGGCTATTAGCAAAATTCATACACAAATTCTAGCTTACTATAAAATAATCATTTAAGGAAGTGTATAAAATTTCTTTGCCTCAGATATCATAGTGCCTCAGATCCCCTTTCAAGACTGAAAGACTTTCTACTCCAGATGCCATTGGCTGAAGACAGCTTCTATTCAAACAGGGAAATGGCCTGTCTGCAACATGCAGCCTTTATTCTTATCTGCATGGCATACTCCTTCTCCTTCTTTAAAATTTGATAGTAAGTCTTTTATGATTTTGCTCTTTTAAATGAAATTAATCATGCCCCTCTTCATCTTACTTACTCTATACCTCATATATATATTCATTTTTGCATTTATGACATATCTTTTATGTTTATTATACCTGTTTCCCCTGCCAGCCTAAAACTCTATGGAGGAAGACATTATGTCTTATTTGACTGTGTATACTCAGCTCTTAGTACAAGTAAGTACCTAGTACAT
This sequence comes from Homo sapiens, assembly GCF_000001405.40. Lineage (NCBI taxonomy): Eukaryota > Metazoa > Chordata > Mammalia > Primates > Hominidae > Homo > Homo sapiens. The sequence goes on from NC_000011.10 coordinate 83,651,175, forward strand.
AATAGGTACTCAATAAATATCAATTGAATTGAATAAGAAAACTGAGTTTAGGTTAAAAAAAAATCTCAGATGGAATGTCAGAGAGTAAGTACATACCTATTGCTGGGGTGACCAGGGGCAAATTACTTAACATTTCTGAGTTGGAAATAATGCCAACTACAATTACAAGACCATTGTGAAGATAAATAAGATGACACAGGTAAAGAAGCTGTACAAAGTAGGGGTCTAGCTTGGGTGACAGGGTGAAACTGTCCATTCTTCTCATAATAAATGCCCATTCTCTTCACAATAAATTGAAAATTAGTTTGCAACAAACTTATTCCTGCCCTTTTTTGTATTCAGGGTTTGGCAAGACCTTCTGAGTTAATTTAGGACAACTTAGTGTTTAGCATAACTCTTTCACAGATTTGCTGTATTATCAGTGTCTGATGATGTTGACAATGTTGAAGAAGAAGAAAGAAGAGGAGTTGGAGGAGGAGGAAGAAAACATCCAGAGCATTCAATTTATTCTAGTTAAATTACTAACCAGAAAGAGAATGCCCTCGGAAGTCTACTTTATAATGCTGTTTGGTTCTAAGTAAAGAGCATCTAATAGGGAGACATGTAAATCCTGTTTCCAAAACACACTTAGAGGATTACAGCATGTGAAAGATTTGCTCCCTACCTGGCTCAGAGCTACGAAGGTCACATTGGCTGTCAAAGGACATGTCTTCTGGCTAGAAGAAGCCCTGGTGAAATCTTATGTGATATCGGCACCTTTGCAGAAAGTAAGAAACAAATCACCTGAAATCTACACACTTAAATTCAGCCTGTGTTGGTCTAATCAAATTTGGCCCTGTTAGAGAATTGAATTCACAGCAGAAAAGAGAAAAAATTATGCTCTTTTCTCAGTATAAATTAAAATGTAGTATCATCGTTTGCCCCCAAATGCTAAAAGGTTTTGTAAGTGATGTTATTTTGTGTTTTTTTGGTGTGGAATCTTGGCAGCGCAACTGGACCCCAGCTTGGAGCCACAAAGCAGCGACTGTAGATCATGCAGGAGGGTATCTATCTGGCAATAGCCTGCACTTGTTCTGTTTTTTCTCTGCTTGCTCTTGAAAAGGGGGAGAGGAACAACCTTTGAAAGCTAATTATTCACTTTGAGAGATGATTAAGATGAATAGTCCTCACGTGTATATTTGAAGTGCAGAGGTGTGGTTTGTTTTTGTGTTTTTGAGATGGAGTCTCGCTCTGTCACCCAGGCTGGAGTGCAGTGGTGCAATCTTGGCTCACTGCAACCTCCGCCTCCTGGGTTCAAGCGTTTCTCCCACCAAAGCCTCCCAAGTAGCTGGAATTACAGGCGTGCACCACCACACCTGGCTAATTTTTGTTATTTTTAGTAGAGACGGGGTTTCACCATGTTGGCCAGGCTGGTCTCAAACTCCTGGCTTCAAATGATCTGCCTGCCCTGGCCTCCCACAGTGCTGGGATTACGGGTGTGAGCCACTGCGCCTAGCCTAGATGTGTGTTTTTTAAGTGTGTTGTCTTAATATCATTGTGGTATGATTCACAATTAATGACACCTGAGGGTAGCCCTTCTGTGTATAGTGTCATATAAGTGTGGTTGTCACTTCCTCCTCAGGCTGATCTCCCTTTGATAAGACTAATAAGTTATATTTTGGGTTTCCTTATTCGACCCTTTTTGTTGAGTTTCATATCCCACCAAGTTGTACATTACTAGCTCACACCTTCTAGGTTTTATATATGCTCTCTTTTAATTCTTTCAAAAGCTCTGTGTGGAAGATAGTCTTATTCCACTGTACATATGTGAAAACTAAGGCTCACACTAGTTGTGAAATATGCCCAGTCACACAGCTAGAAAATGTTGGTGGCAGAAGTGGAACCCCAATCTAATAACTTCCCAATGCTGTACGCAACTTCATTCATGTACACAAAATGACTGTAAATATGAGAAATTACCTGAACAACAAAGAGAAGACAATGACTTTTCTATCATAGTCCCAATTATCATAATGATTTAATATCCATGGGGGCTGCATCATATCTAAATGTAACAACTACAAACTGAAGAAACCTGCCATGGGGCTGACAAAAGTGGATTTGCAGTGAATCTCCCTTGCTGTTATTTATTTTCTCCTCCAGAGATAAAAGACACAATTCACAAATAGACCGTCTTTCAAATGCAAGCAACAATCCCTCCTCCCTGTCTCCTGTGTCCATATATAATTCTCTTAAACAGCATAAATCTCTTTTCTATGCACGTTACTATTTGTATGCATTTTTTCTTGGTCCCAAATTAAATTTATTTTGTCTGTAAATGCAAGCAGGCTACACCTTGGGCCCCTGAGAATTCCTTGATTTATAACTGTCACTGTACATGTCATATCCATGCATAAAGTCCAATAAAGTATTAATCACTTCATCTCCATCACAGGAAGAATTTCTTTGGGGCCATTTTCCCCAAGAAATACATACATTTTGTCTGTTGATAAAGTGACCGCACATGTCCAAGGAGCACAAAAATAAATCACGTTAAGAGGTAGAAGTTAGATTTTTATTTTTTTTTTAGATGGAGTCTTGCTCTGTTGCCAAGGCTGGAGTGCCGTGGCACGATCTTGGCTCATTGCAACCTCTGCCTCCCAGGTTCAAGAGATTCTCCTGTGCCAGCCTCCCGAGTAGCTGGTATTACAGGCATGCACCACCACACCTAGCTAATATTTTTTTTAGTAGAGATGGGGTTTCAACATGTTGGCCATGCTCGTCTCAAAATCCTGACCTCAAGTGATCTGCCTGCCTCTACCTCCCAAAGTGCTGGGATCACAGGCATGAGCCACCGCGCCTGGCCAAGAATTTTTTTTTTTAACTAGTGAATATTAAATTTTGAAGTGCTGAATTTATTCTATTCTGTGGATAAGACTGGCTGCCCACCAGTCTGGAAGTTCTTAAAGCAGTGATTGTGTTCTTTCCATGCTATTGCCACTTCTCACCCAATCTGGTTCTTTGCCCCCATACAAGATAAAACTTTCACCAACCAAGTTAAAGGATGATTTGGACTCTGTCATGGAGCTACATTAGGATTAGAATAATATCAGAGAATGTGCCTTGAATGAATTAGCCTGGCATTCGAGGCCAATTTGATCTGCCCTCTGCTTTCCTATTTTATCCCCTCCTGACAACCTTCCTGATAACACTCCAAGTGTACCAAGTGTTTTCAGAGCATACCTTGTACTTTCCCATTCATAGTCCTTTTAGTTTTATTTTTTCTTCCCCTTACAATGATGGTTCTTCTGTCTTGACATTCTAACAAATCTTCATGACTCAGAACAATTACCATTTTCTCTTCCTGAGTCCTCAGGTCCAAAAGAAGCCACTTCATTTTTTGTATACTTACAAAGCACTCCATTATGACATTCAGGCATTTTGATGTATTTTGGTTCTATGTGTGTACTTGTTCTACTGGAGGACACACTCTAGAAGGATAGGAGACACATCCTAGCTATTGCTGTAACATCTAATGCCCCAGCAGAGAGTCTTGTATGAGCGACTTAAATACGTCTATAGAAATGAAGTAATTTTATTTAATGCATGGCAGCATTTTCTTAGGATATTGCCGAATGAGGTTACAGCATGCTAGTAATAATTAACATATTCATTAGAAGATAAGACCTTAGTCCCAGAATTTGGCTGTGTGGTCTTCTTGAGGACATCTAGAGATGGGGGCATGGATAAGATGTCTTGGGGACTGGTCCAGGTGCAGGACAAGAGAAACAACTATCACAAATAACTGTACATTCTGTATCAGGGTGTTGTAAGATTCCAGCCCATGTGAGAATGAATGGTTGTCTTCATGCCCAGGTGGCATGAAGTAGACGCTTAATAAATGAGGTGCCCTCTGTGCTCCCACACATCCATCCAGTGCTTTTCTCCATCTTGGCATTTACTCTCCAGTTGTATTGTAATGAGTGGCCTCTCTGTGACTCATTACTAAAGACTAGGGCATTACAGTTTAAAAACATAATCTTAACACCTAGTTCAGTGCCTAGCACATAATCAGCCCTAGATAAATAGATATTTATTGAATAAATGAAGAAAAGAGTATAAGAAGAAAAGAATGAAAGACAATAAACATGAACATGGAAGTTTCCTATTCAGCCTTTTGAAGAATATCCATTGGAATCATTGTGGAGATTATGAGCATTATGATATAGACATTGTTACTGGCTTCACTGTAATATTACTCAGCCTTTTCTGTTTAGAAAAGGCTAAATTTCAGGGAGAGCACTTGTCAGAGTGCTTATATTGGGTCAGCTGGGACATGCTTGGGAGCAGATGGATTAATCCCATTTCCTGCCCAGACCTCAGTAGCACTTTCTCTGTAACCCTGAGAGTTTATGTGTATATGTACATGCTTGTATGGATTTAAAAGAAGCAATAATAAAAATTCTGAGGAAAGTCTGAAGATATTTGATTTTATCATTTACATTGTATTCCTTTAAAGAAAAGGGAAATTTTAATTGAGAGTGTTTAGGCCAACTAATAGCTCAGGAAACAGCTCCCCACACCCATATACCCTGGCCTACCAACCCCTCTCCCATTCTTATTGCCAAAGTTTCATTCTCCAAATTCATATCCAAAAGGACCTATTCCACTGCCCCCAATGTGTATTTCTTTTCCCTGAATTGCTGTCACATACTGTTTTACTGTTTCAGCTGTAAGCTGTTGGCATCACAGTGCTCTGGGGAAGTTGTGCTAATCCAAGTCCTGACATCTCCTCAAAGATGCCTAAACAGTGCAGTAGGAATTCTGCAGGTGCAACTTGAGCCTTCTAGGAAAGGCTGTGCCACAAAGGCACCCTGGTCAGCACCCCACTCATCTGGCCATAACATGTCTGAGATTACGCAGGTCAGGGAACATCTTGCAGCACTTGCTGGTTTTGCAGAGAACTCAGAAATGTTAACAGATGGCATGCAGAACACAACCCTGAACAGTCAGCAGGGTGACACTCATTAAGAGTCATCACTGAATCTATTTCCAACAAAATCTCATTCCAATGAAACATCGCTTTTCAAAAAGTGTCAATCTGCTTAAATGAAAGTGACTACAGGGTACTATGATGCCAGGCCCGGTTGAATCCCTGCAGGCAACAAGAACTGTCTTAGAGCCTCAGGGCCTTTCCACCCATCATTTCCTCTCCAAGGTGGGTCCTGGTCAGATTTCTCTCCAGCAATCTTAGCCTCTGCAGATGAGACAGAATGCCTGGTAGCACTCAGAACTTCTCCTCCTGAGCCTGACATTCATTCCTCTGCCTACTTTTCCTCCCCAGTAGAACACTTGGGGAAGCAGGAGGGAGGGAAGAATGAGTAGAGGAAGAATAATATAGAAAACTTGTTGTTCCTCAAGTCAGAATTCCTTCCACGGTGGAAATGTATTTATTCTTACCTTTCTTCAAGTATATGACCAATTCATTCTTCAAGAAAAGTCATTTCCTCTCTCTCCCTCTATTGATTCCTAAAGGGACACATTGATCCCAATGCAATCTGCTAATCTACATTTTGTTGTACTTTAGATATCACTAATGAATTAAAATATTAATATGTGAAACTGAAGTCAAGTGTACACAACACCAATACGGGATGATGATGCTTAGGTTGTCAACCCCTTTGCTTAGCACTCACTGATGCAGAGGCCAACATCTCCCTTTCCACCACTTGCTTCCCTCCACCCCCACCAAGAGGTGGAACCTCCAATAGTCACGTTTTTCATACTTCCAGGTCTTCTCCCTACAAGGCCTTTGTTACCCCCATGAGTGCCTCCTGAAATCCTACTCAGTCATCCAAGACCCAGTGCAAATGCCACCTCCTCTAGTCAACATTCCATAAAGCTTCAGTCAGCAAGAGTTGCTCTCTTATCAGTGTTTCCATATCTCTTTATTATAACATCTAGATTAAAACTTGTCTTATTCTGTCTGTAATTTCCTGCTGCTACAACTCCAATGAAAACGTATTAAACACACCTAGTGCCTGGCATCATGAGTCAATTGGATGGGCTAACAAAACAACAGACCTCTTGAATTGATTTCCCTAGCTCACTAACCCCATCAGCAGGAGTGAGGTGAAAAATCACGAGTGAGGCCTTAACACTGCTTAGATGAAAGGCTGGTATCCATTAGTTGGTACATAGCCTAGGAGCTAAGAGACTTTGGTTCTAATCCCACTTCTGGCACTAACATTTTCCCCAAGCTCACACCATGGTAAACCAAAGGTATCAGTTATTTACTTACTTGGTAAATGTTATCAGTAAACTTTGTCTTGGTTATACTGTTGTTTACCAGTAGTCCGTGCTTTTATATATTGTCTATTCTTTTTTTTTTTTTTTTTTTTTTGAGATGGAGTCTCGTTCTGTCACCCAGGCTGCAGTGCAGTGGCGCGATCTCGGCTCACTGCAAGATCTGCCTCCCGGGTTCACGCCATTCTCCTGCCTCAGCCTCCCGAGTAGCTGGGACTACAGGCACCCGCCACCATGCCTGGCTAATTTTTTTTGTATTTTTAGTAGAGACGGGGTTTCACCGCATTAGCCAGGATGGTCTCAATCTCCTGACCTCGTGATCCGCCCGCCTTGGCCTCCCAAAGTGCTGGGATTACAGGCGTGAGCCACCGCGCCCAGCCTATATTGTCTATTCTTAACAATCTTCTTGCTACCAAAGCATTGGGCCAAGAGAACACCAATAGTTGCCTATAAAAAATAGACTCAGATTTCTTTCATGAGCACACACATATCAAAGAAGACATGGCTGCAGAGGAAGGAAGACATGGCTCTGCTGTGTGACCTCTGTGGAATAAGGATAATAGCCAAACCAGTCTTGGCTGCATGGTTATGGGCATACCAGAGCTAAATTCTGGAAAACACTTAGCAGGAAGTGCCCCCACAATATTAGCTACTTCTATTACTATCTTTTAATTTTACTCCAGCCTCATAATGTTCCCTGATTCTTATTTGCTTATAGTGAATTCCTAAGAGATTTTAAACTTGATACTTTCTATATCTAATGGGCTTTTTGAAAAATTACATTTTTATGTTCTTGTTTTCTTAAGAAGGATGGAAACAAATATATAGAGACTTTATTATTTCCAAAAAGTGCTTCTTTACTGTAATAATCTAAATCTCCAACAGATAGATGAGAGAAGAAAAATTCTTGCCAAAAATGATCAGTCCAAACCATAATTATGTTAATTATATCCAACTGTCAGCAAAGAGATCAAAGGTTAAGTCTGTTCTCTGCTTCACAGAATGACAATGATAATAAACAGTTATTCTTAGTAGCTAAAGTATATTTTGCAATTGTAACTGACACCATTTGACTTTCATTTTTTTATAAGCGAAATGATTTGCAATGAATTTTCATGCTTGAAACAATAAGTGCTTTTAGCTTAGTAAAATTCACTTTTGCCCAGCATGACCCACCTTCCTATTCACAGTCTGCTCTAGTACTTGAAAACACTGCTTGAGCAATGTAACAATGAACTTGGAAAAATAGCTTATCTTTTGGAAAGCCCTGGAATTGCATATACTCTTCAGTTTTCTGCATTTTAAGCACCTTAAAGAAGTTTACCACTTCTCTAGTGGTTTCATCACTCTTTCTAGTATTGAGCATTTACAATGTACCAGGAGCTATACTGAATGCCATATGTAGCAATTTATCTCAGTTGTTCTCCCAACAATCCTGTGGTGTGTAGTAGCATCACCCAGTTTACAGAAGTAGACACTTGCTCCAGGTTACTTAGGTGGAAACTAAATGAAGAATCCCAGATCTGAAACCAGGTCCTCCTGTCCAGATATGGTACTCTCACTTACTGTCTTGTATTGCCTTGGCTGCCCATAATATTCTGTACTTCCATATCTCAGTGCCTGTCGTAGTTTCTGATACACATAAGGAATACAACAATGATTATGGGATAACAGTCATTATAATGGCCAACATATTTTAAGCATTTACTTTTGTCATCAAATGTTCTAAGAACTTTACCTGTGTTAACTCATTTAACAAGTCTATAAGGTAGGTACTGTTATCCCATTTTACAGATGAAGAAACTGAGACACACGGGGATTAGTTAATAGTTAATAAAACAGAGAGAGAGAGAGATTGAGGGAGAGAGAGACAGCATTCTTGGACCACACCCAGACCAGAGCATCTGCAGGAGTCCAAATAATCCTCTCTGCCCATACATAAAGCATACAATTGCACTCCATCTCTTTTTGCTTACTCCTTTACCCTTCTTTACTCCTGAATCTTTCAGTCAAATTCTGGAAAACTTGGGTGATTATTTCCCCCAGGTCCTATAAGGCTACTCACCTGGCAGGCCAATAGGTTTGGCCTGTAAGGTTTTCTTACAATCTTATTCATCCAGGCTAACATGTCAATGGGGCTCTGCCTTTCTTTGTGTGCAACCCTGGTGGTGTAGGGATTACTCTCATGATATAGACAAGGAAGCTGGAAAGCAGAAAGGCTAAGTAAGCAGCTGAGCTGGGATTTGGTAGGAGACAGTCTGCCTCCAGAGCCTGCCCTTTAATCCACACACTATAAGAACACGCCCTTCCTGAATTCCCATTTGCATACTAAACTGTATTGTATTATATTGTATTGATCTTGTACTAAATTGTATTGTTATGTAATTGTTTCTAAAATACAGCCCATTTGATTATCAAGTGTTTAAGGGGTCATGTCATTCTTTTCATTTTGTGGCCCTCAGAGTGCCTATCTCAATGCTATTATTTGCTGAATCCTAAATTGGAGGTTCTGTCCCAGACTGGAATATCTGCTTAAGCACTGTGACTTCTGACGACTAGAACTTTACAAATAAACGTTGTATAGCTGAGAAGACTAAGATACGAAAAGATTGTTCTGGAGGGTAAATAGAGGGTCATACTTTAAGAAAAAGAAAATGTGCAAAAGGATAGGTTTTTGTTATTTTTTTTCTTTTGAGCATCTACTGTGTCTCTGATTTTTGAAAAATAAGACATAACCTAGCCCTTAGGAGCTCTTAGCCCAGTGGGAAGAATACACAGAAACAATAACATGTAATAACATGTAATCTGAAAGATTCTGTGACAGAGACGCTATGGAAGAGGTCATAAGTCAGCAGACTGCCAACCATATGTGACCCACAATTATGTTCCCTTTTATTTCACAGTGTCTTCAGAAATATGAATCAAGGGTTAACATTTAAAAATTAAAAATTTTACAACAAAATCCACATTGGTGGCTACCCAAAAAGTGAAAAGTTTGATGCCACTGAACCCCCATTCCTGCGCAGCCACCATCAGCCTGAGTCCAGTAGCTGCTACCTCCAGGGGTGGTATGTGCATATATTTTTATGGATGGTCCCATGTTTCTTTAACAATGTTTAGGACACTTACCTATAGCCATTTTCTACAAGAAGCACATATGATATAATACGTCACCTTGGTAACACTGCCCATGTGACTATAGATAAAGTCACACACTAACATGTAAGGTGACATAAATAAAAATTATCAAGGCAGTATAGACAGAAGGAGAAAGACTTGAGGTACATAAGGGGGTGGCTGATGGAAAAAAGTGATGGAAAGATAAACAGAAAGTTGATAAAATTGTACTATTTGACCTCTCTCCCTCCTCCCATCTTGGTCTCCCTCCTTCTGTCCCTCATCTCATCTCTCCCCATATGTACACTTCTTCTTCTGACTCCCCCCATAATAATAATATCCACAACCCTATATCAAGCACCTGCTTAGTGTTGGAGATTATACTAAGTTTTGTGAACAACAACCCTGCAGACTGATATTACTCTACAACAAAGATGTGTTTTTAAGATTCCAGTCATCATGTTCTTTGCATGATGCCCTTTGCTTGCTCTGCTTGTAGTAACAGAAAATTCAAACACCAAATATACCAGTTCTCCTGCTTTGCCCGAGGTTAGTGGGAGACAACCTTGTGCTGTGGGGGATGTGCTGGCTCTGGGGAAAAAGCATTTGCATTTAAATTCCACCTATAACTCTGAATTAGTGCAATGATCTTGGGTGAGTTATTCAACCTCTCTTGTGCTTAAATTCAGGATCTATTAGATGAGAATATAATTATTATTCAGATAACTATTCATAATAACTATTTATATAGTTGTTATGGAGACAAACTCTGCATAGGATGCCCATGTAAAAAGCATCTACTATTCCTATCATTTTTCAGATAAAAAATAAATTGAAATAACAAAGGAAATATCTACAACAATATATTATTAGTGGGTAAACAAATTAACGTGTGTGGAGCACCTACTATGTGCCAGATAATATATATTTTGTCTCATTTAATCCTCATGCTGCTACAGCAAGTTAGATTTTATAATATTAATTTTTTTTTGGTTAGAAACAGCAACAGAAAGAAAGTACTTTGCCACTTATGACTCTAATAGTAGAGCCAGATTTGTATGACTCCAAAGCTCATGTCCACCTGCTGTGACCCACGGCTTGGAATAAGGACAAGGGCTACTGCAGTGCTCAAGACAGCTTTTACCCTGGACTCCAAAGGGCACTGCAAGGCTCCCTCAATGCTGGATTCAAGTAAATCCGCTACACCTTACACTTCCGACTCAAGACAGAAATCAAGACATAGTGACCTCCTATTGGGGGCAGATATGAAGGTGACTGACAAAGCATCAGGACAGAGCGAATGAATCATTCATGTAAATGACAACATTAACACATGCCCTGACATGTTCATCTCTCATCCTCATGCCTACTGTGAAGAGGCAATGTTTGTATCTCTATAGGACATTTGTATTTTAATATACTTGGAGTGCATTTAATATACACATGTATTGAAAAATGTCTTCAAAGATGGTCTACCTTAAATACCAATTTTTTTGGTAAGGAAACAGCAGCAGAAAGAAAGTACTTTGCCACTTATGACTCTACTAGGACAGCCAGATTTGTTTGACTCCAAAGTTCATGTCTACCCACTGTAGCCCACAGCTTGGAATAATGACAAGGGCATCTGCAGTGCTCAAAACAGCTTTCACCCCAGACTCAAAGATGGCCTGAATTATCTATGGAAAGAATACATGCTCTGAGGCAGGTCCAAATGTCTTTCAAAGTCAATACAGATTGAAAATGGCTCTATCTGCAAAAAGCAAGCACTGTATTGAAACCTCACTATTTGGCCCCAAAGACACGACCCCCAGCTCTTCTCTCTCTAATCTCAGAATTATTTACCTTGTCAGAAATCTCATGGAGAGGAGGCGGAGTGTTATATTCTCTTGGGCCAATATATAGAACTTTAAAAAAGGGAACAAATACTTCTAAGGAACCTGCTATAATTCTGGCTCTATGGAATGCATCAATACATTAACTCAATGAATCTCCAACAATTAAATGTGATCCACATGAGAATATTTGTCTCTTCTATTTATCCCTGTACTCTCAGAACTGTTCCTGGCACATAGGAGGTGCCTGTTCTGGCTCTTGCTACTGGTCCTCTGCACTGTTCCTTAACTCTGCCACCACCATGCTTCCCACTGTATTACAAGATCAGGAAGCCCGAGAACTATATGCTCAGAACCTTTTGTCAGTAGAATTGCAGTTTAGATTCTCTCAACCACAGTAACTTCTGTTAAGTTCCAGGATGTTAAAGGCAAGTAGCAGACTGGCACAGGATCACAGGATTTTGTGGCTCTCAGCACTGCTACAGTATCTTACAGTTTCCTCAGACTCCACAGTCCACTGTTGGTCTCTAGCTTCAGGGCTGGAACAAACTGTGGCTCAGGAAACGGCTTCCTGAGGTTACCTGATTTGGTTGTAGCTGCCTCCATTCCTAACTAGCAGTCTTCAAACAATTTCTAAGCACATTATTACCCTGAATTACATTGCTTTCTGCTTAAAATAATAAAGGTGCTATCTATTTTCCTGACTAATTTAATGTTCAATAAATATATGTTAAATAATTGAGTAAACAACCCATTCAGTGGGCATTATTATCCCTGCCTTACAGTTGTGGAATTGAGGCTCCTAGAGACAAAATAATTTAAGATTATACAGCAAAGTATTAAATGTCAGATCTGAGAGTAGAGCCCTGGACTGTCTAATTCCCAATGTGCTTTTGCTTTTTCCATTCAAGGACTGCTCACAGTGGGTATAATATACCACGTTGCTGTCAAAATCTTATCTCAGAGGTTAAGAGTTGTTTGTATTTCTCCTCCTGCCAGAGCACCATTGCAGCTGAAAACCTCTCTATACATAGGCAAAGGACATTCATTCCCAAGACAAGTGGTTTATTAAATATGTATTAGGTCTGGCAAGACACCCTGTTAAAAACATACATTGTATCTGCAGCGTCATTGCAGATACAATGTGTGTGTGGCACATAGTAGAAGCTTGCCAAGTATTAACTGAATGAATAAATGAATGAAAGTTCACTGGTTTTGTTCCGCCAGACATTCCTTTGCAGATTGTATGCTCTGACTCAGGGGTCACCTGGGCCATAAGCCATCTGTGGGTTGGTAATACTATTATCCTTAATGCCTGGTTCCCTCCTATAGTTCAGCAAAGTAAGAATACCTCAGAGGTTCCTAGATACTGACATAAGGCTGTTGATTTTCCTTGGAAGCCTCAGTTGTCAAGGGCATTGTAATTCCGAGGCAGATAGAAATAAGAATCCATCCATCCCTACATTCCAAATAAGATTGAGGCACTGAAAACTATTAATCTGCCTTCATTGTAATGTATTAAAAAGAGTGTCACATTTGGAATCAAACTGATCTGGGTTTTCATCCTGATTCCTGATACTTACTAGACGTGAAACATTGGGCGAGCTGTTTCTGTGACCTGTTTTTTCATTTATATAATGGTAGAGATGATAGCTCTCTTACAGAGCTTACTGTAAGGATAAGCTATTGTAGACAGAAAGCATCTAGTTCTCCTGGCCCATGTTATGGATTCAGTGAATGAAAATAGTATTGTCTTCACTAACACCAAGAGTCTGTTGACACATAGGCTGTCATCCTGCAGGCTGGTCCACATAAGCCAACAAGGCTCTCCAGTCCCAAATAGGCAGCAGTGGTGTGAAGGAATACTTAAAAGCATGTTTTTTACTAGAGAGGTTATGTAGTTGCAAGGAATTAAATGTCTGCATATTTTGTAAGCTTCGCGGTGTCTGATGCCTTTGGGTGGAGGGGAGTGGGAATGGCTGGTAGAGAGTGGGTAGAGCAGAATCGTCAAACCTCACTTTTTTTTTTTTTTAAATGGGAACCAAGATTTGACTTACTGAAAGAATCTGAGGGGTGGACAGGTAGAGTTGGGTGGCTTTTGTACACTGGGAGGTAGTAGTTAAAGCTGCAGGAATGAATGAGGTCATGGATGGTTTGGAATTAAATGAGGGAAAACGAAACCACACTTGACTTCAGAAAACTCACAGTACTAGTCTCTAGCTTGGTGCTTGGGATACAGCAGATGCTCAATGAATATTTGTTGAGTTAAAAGCATAAGGTTAAAGAGTGCATCACCCTTCCTTAAAATGTCTGTGTGTCTAACTTATGATCCAGGTTCATTTTACCTTTGAAAAGCTAACTGATGTCTATGTGCTTCCTAAAGATTCCAAGTTTCTCATTCTGGAAAGGTCCTCTTCTGAAAGCTCATGAAGCCAGCACTAACATTTATTTAGCATTTAACTGAGTCCTGGAAGACACTATGAGTTTTTTCATTCTACTTATGTATCTTAAACCTCAACTAGAGTTTGAGGACAGAGACCACATTTTTTTGCATGGCTGAAAATTTCTCAGTATCTAGCAGAGTGTTTGACTATAGCAAGTGCTCAATAAATAGAAATGTAGCACTTGATTAATCAACCAATATTAAAGTATTGTTAGGGAAGAAAGAAATAAATAGAATGCCTTGAAACTTTAGATGTGTGGAAAAATGAAGTGTGTGCCTGTAAGAGATGACTGGTACTCAGCTTGAAAGAGAGAAGGCTTAAGAAGCCTTAGAAAGAGGTGCCAAGCTACCGTAAAATAGAACTGGGGTGTGAGGGGGAATCTTGCATAGAAGAGGCTGGTAGAGTTAGTTCTAGGAGAGAAGCAATGGGCTGTCTTTTATTCTTCAACTATGCATGGGTTGCCTTCTTATGTCAAGTAGTGTGCTAGGCAATGGAGATACGACAGTGAATAAGGCACATCATCTGGTCATAAGGGCTTTACGTTATGCTATAAGAGTTAAACCAGCAAACAGTCAACTACAACATAGTGTCACAGCATAGAGCAATATAGAGTACAAATGGGGGTTATACTTTCTAAATATTAGATTATCTCTTATGTACTCTCCCTCTGCAGGGATGACCTGAGGGATTCAACAGATATTGTGATTCAAGGGTTAAGCAAGCTCAAAGGAAGAGAGATCGGAGAGAATTTCAAGACTATAGAGCTTACCATTTTCTTTTATCTTTTTAAATGTTACTTTAACTACAATAATAAATATTCAAACCATTCCGTATGTTCTAGAGAAAAGAAAGGCAGATCAGACGTGCCCCTTGTCAACCACTAGGCAACTCGTCTAAGGAAAAATGAATAATTTCTACTACCACTTTGGAGATTCTTGAGATTTTTTTTTTTAGAGAACGGGGAATGCGTTACAATAGGAGCATGAGATTGGAATTCTCTATCAGCTGTAGCAGTTAGGAGTCAAAAACACGAAGAAGTGATATATACAAGGGTGCATGGGAATTGGAAGATAAATAAAGGACTATCACATTCCACGGGAATTTTTCTCAGGCCCCCTCCAACTTGACCCACTATCTCCCCCATGATTTTTTTTTACAAACATGAATGTCAAGTTCTCTGCTTCCTGTCTTCACTAGCATTATTTTCAAGATTAGCCCCTTCCATTTGCTAGATATATCTCATTATTCAATAGTTTTTTATACAGAACTATTTTCATTCCACCACATGAGATCTACTTCTGCCCTTTGCAGTTATAAAATAAATTTATAATCTCTTATCTCTTTAAAGGCTGTCTTGTATTTGAATGTTATTGTATTTGTTGTTCTTATCCCTTGAAGCTAGGCAGCCGTGGTTTCTTTAACTCAGAGGTCCCCAACCCCCAGTCCGCAGACTGGTAGGTGTCCATGGCCTGCAGGAACTGGGCCGCACAGCAGGAGGTGAGTGGTGGGTGAGTGAGCATTGCTGCCTGAGCTCCACCTCCTGTCAGATCTGTGGTTTCATTAGATTCTCAGAGGAGTGCAAAGCCTATTGTGAACTACACATGTGAGGGATCTAGGTTGCTGCTTCTTGTGAGAATCTAATGCCCGATGACTGATGATCTGAGATGGAATAGTTTAATCCCAAAACCATTCCCCTTACCCACCCCATCCGTGGAAACATTGTCTTCCACAAAACCAGTTCCTGGTGCCAAAAAGTTGGGGACCACTGCTTTAACTCATTTTATCCAGTAAGATTTCCAGACTTTTGTTCCCTACGTGGTTACCTCTTGAAACAGCTTAATTATAACTATCTAATAAAGTGATCCTTGTACCAAGCACAAGACTCCACCATGAGTTGAAAAGAACTGATACCCAAGAGAGGTCCCATGACTTGCCCAAAGTCACAATGCTGGTAAGTGAAGGGGGCAAAATTCAAAGCCTGGGCTTTGGCCTTCTGTGCTAGTTCTCATCCAACCTCTAAATACAGAGAAAGAATGGAGTCCCTTTCATTCCCTCTCCAACAGATCTTAAACAACACCATACTCTCATTCCAGCCCCATTTGCCTTGAGTCTGTGATCTTCTTCCAAACCCAGGCATACACCGGAACTGGCCTGGGCAAACTGCGATATACGGTCAACGCTTTATCTTTCCTTAGGCATGTTTGCCTTTGAATAATTAAAGTTGTATCTATTCATAGACATAAGCCAAGACAATGAAATATATAAAAATATGAATAAAGGATATTTATTTTAAGGAAGAATTTCTTAAAATATGCTTTTGTCTTCTGTCTACAATGAAGTTTAGATAACCTTTTCTTAGTGTATCCAATGAGTTTTCAAGTGCATTTTTCATTCATTTGCCCTTTGAAATGGACTTATTACCATTTAATGGTGATAAGCAAACTCTGTCCTACCTACGCTTATTATAGCTGTCTAAGGATATGACATTCAGATTGACATGCATTCCTGGAGGGTGGTGAATATGCAGCTGGCATGATGTTAATAGATTTTCTCATTCACTTGTAAACAATTCTGTTTTTATTTCTGCCGATCCCAAGGTTTGGATTGAACTTTTGTTTTCTAGTCTTAAAGGAGGAATTTCATGTGAGCTTCACAAATACTCATTACCTGAATATAAAGGTCTCAGCACGGTAGTTGGTCCAAAAATGCAGCCAGCTTGTTCAAACTCCTTTTCAATTCAGAAAGCCATGCTAAGGAAATTAGTGATGTTCTCTTCAGAGGTGGCTAACTTCCTTCTAGTTGGTCTAGGTCTTGCTACTAATCATGTACAGAAATTAAAGGAAGAGGCCGGGCGCAGTGGCTCATGCCTGTAATCCCAGCACTTTGGGAGGCCGAGGCGGGCGGATCACGAGGTCAGGAGATTGAGACCATCCTAGCTAACACGGTGAAACCCCGTCTGTACTAAAAATACAAAAATTAGCTGGGCATGGTGGCAGGCGCCTGTAGTCCCAGCTACTCGGGAGGCTGAGGCAGGAGAATGGCATGAACCCGGGAGGCAGAGTGCAGTGAGCCGAGACCGTGCCACTGCAGTCCAGCCCGGGCGACAGAGTGAGACTCCGTCTCAAAAAAAAAAAAAAAAAAAAAAGAAATTAAAGGAAGAGGGAAATGACGGCCCCTGGCTGCCAGTCACTTTGCAATTTTCTGGGGAAATGAAGTAAAAAAAAAAAAAAAAAAAAAGCAGAAACAAAAACAAAGAAACCAAACAAACAAAATGAGGGCACTCAGGCTGATGTTCATGGAAGCAATGGCTATGTCTGGCATCACAGACGTGGTGGATATTGAAGCAGGGTCAGATTTATGTAGAAACAAGGTAGAATGGAGGGCTTTCAGACTGATGCATAAAAATATCCAGTTGTCAATTTGCCAAGAAAATCTATTTTCAATTCTTCCTCTCCAGGCTCATCTACCACTCTTCTCTGCAAAGACAACACATTTTATAGCTTAAGAACAAAAAGCTATCAGTCCCAGGACACATCTTGCTGTTTCATAGCTCCATACTTTTGTATAGGCTGCTCATTCTACCTGGGATAGCCTTGGTTCTTTAAAATACTGCAAAGACATTCAGAGAAGTTTTTCTTAGCCCTACTAAGTAGAGGTAATCACTGTTTTCTCTGGGTTACCTCTGTACTTTTTTAACAGTAATATAATTGTACTCATATGCTATTACTGTAATTTAAATTACAATAAAATGGAAGAAAAACTATATATACACACACACATGTATATATACACACATGTGTATGTATATATGTATAAGTATATATGTATGTGTATATATATGTGTATATAAACACATATATATGTGTATATAAACACATATATATGTGTATATAAACACACATATATATGTGTATATAAACACACATATATATGTGTATATAAACACACATATATATGTGTATATAAACATATATATGTGTATATAAACACACACACACATATATATATATATATATTTTTTTTTTATGATAGACTATGAGCTTCTAAAGCCCAGGAACAGTTATTCGCTCAGCACCAAATTACTAGTCCCTGGTAAAACTCAGAAGGCAATACATGTTTGCTGAGTTTAATGAAATCTACAGGCAGCAAAAATTTCTTCTTTATTTTATGGCCAAAGAATTTCCTG
Source organism: Homo sapiens (assembly GCF_000001405.40). Lineage (NCBI taxonomy): Eukaryota > Metazoa > Chordata > Mammalia > Primates > Hominidae > Homo > Homo sapiens. The sequence goes on from NC_000011.10 coordinate 83,669,039, forward strand.
GCCCATCAAAATGCTCTATTGGAATATTTTCCCAATCCTGAGCTTGTACTAATTGATCTGTTTATTCACTGAACCCCTGCTACTGTGTGCCAGGCAGAGTATTATGTTAGGTCCCAGGAATACAGTAGTGGGTAAAACAGTCCTGGTCCCTCTCCTCATGAACCCCCTCTCCCTACTCACACTCTTTCAAATTACTCATTCCTATTAATTTACTGCAAAATAATATTCGCACCTCTAGCAATAACTTTTCAATTCAGAAGGCCACATATAAAAGCAAATTGATACTGAGTATGTTTCTGCTGAAAAGTCTATAAAGAAACATTCTAGGCTGCTGTGTCTCATGGAAGGTGTACTCCATCTTCATGAATACATATATAGATGTATGTATTTCTGTCTACATGTACATTTCTATGCCAATGTATACATATATTATAGATATGCAATACACAATTAAGGCTCACAAAAGAATACAACCCTCTTATAAACAGAAGGATCCCTTGACCTTTCAAACTTAGGTCCACTTAATTAAAAACGAAGCATAATTTGTACCCTTAATATAATGGCCTATGATTTTCAAGTTTAACTATTTTCATGTTGATTGCTATGTTTTGACTCTATTTTGAAGGGACCACAAGGGTGTTTATGCCCTGAAATAAAGAGGAACAGACAACTTTTCCAACCCTGAAAAACAAAGGAAAAAATTTAAGACAAACAAACATGAAAAGCTATCATGTATTTCTCTGCACCCAGAACAGTGCTAAACATAAAGTAAGCACTAAATGAATACTTTCTAGATAACTGAATAAATGAAAGAGCAAACACTTGCAATTATGCAGTTCCTCGTTAGGACAAGCCAAAGGAAGAGCTATGGATTTAAGAGGGAAAGATAGTTTAAAACCAAATCTTGACCCAAATGGTGAAAAGATGATTATCTGAAAATAATTTTAATCTTATAGCTATGCTTTAAATTCTTTGGTCTCTTAGCTCTCAGAGCAGTGATGTATACTGTGGTGGGTGCAATATCACATCTACCTAACTCAACCAGCTTATCCAGCTGAGGACAGGCATCATAAATATTCCAGTGAGTTCCATGAGGATTAGGAGTAAACAGATGTCTAGTTCACCTCTGCATTTCTCAAGAGTCTTGCCAAACTCTGTAGACTTTTCTCCAGTTAATGTGCTTTTATCATTTCCAGGCTTCTTCTACGTGTTACAAATAGAGTGGATGCTTGTGGTGGTAGGTGACAAGGTTCCCAGGAGAAGGTGAAAGCAGGAAAAAATGTCAACAAACATCTACCAAGCACCCACAGGTTTCAGGCCAAGGCTAGGTTCTGGACATACAGAAAAAAAAAACCCATCACTGGTGACTCTATATATGGAGTCTCAATACTTCTTGGTCACCATGATAGGTTTTGGTATACATTGTCCTTATTTGCAATTTAATATCAGGAATTTTATCTCTACCACAGAAGAAAATGAATACCTTTGGGCTCACTCACAAGCACATATTCATGAAATTTTAAGATGTAAGAAAATTCATTGTGTTGTCATAGATGAAGACATTTCTTTAAAAAAAAAAACCAAAACACAAAAAAACCCAGCAATTCCATCTGGTCTGCTAAACAGGTTCTCTTGGGAACATCATGAATGTTTTAATAAATTTATCTCATTGCATTGCTCCTGGGTGGGTAACTAAGAACTCTGAAGGACAGATATATTCCCAAATTCTTTCTCAGGCAAATTTTTGGGCATGTACATGTTAACATTAGAAGGGAATCTAAGTAAATTGATATTTCCAATAATAGTATACTACTATGAAGTGATTTGATTAAAATATTCTCCTTAAAAATAAAAAGGAGGCAAACTTTTGTTTCTATAAAGAAACATTCTAGGCTGCTGTGTCTCATGGAAGGTGTACTCCATCTTCATGAATACATATATAGATGTATGTATTTCTGTGTACACGTACATTTCTTTGTACATATTATATTTAAAAAGTAGATTCAAATAACCCTAATTTAATTTTTAAAAATTTTAAACACAAGGAAAATGTTTTCCTTTATATCTTCCTTATCACTATGACAACTAAATGGGTTTGGTACAATGCTATCTTATCCTAATTAAGAACATGGCCCTGCAACGTGGTATTCTATTAATATTAAATGAAAATGTGTGAATTATCTAGTTTTAATTAGAGTGCTGCATTTATGGCTTTCCGTTGTGAGCAAATGCTGTGTGGTATATAGAACATAAATTGAGATTTATTTCTTAAGAATTAGATGAATGTAGGGGAAATCAACGTGAACCCACACTGCTTGAATCACACATCCTGATGTAGAGTCTGTATCGATTCATTTATCTTTTCATCCTTCTACCCAATACTATTGAGCCCCTCCTATGAGCAGTCAATGGAAGGACAAAGAAAAATCTGTCCTTACTAATGAGCTCCCTCTGGTGATAAGATCCACCAAAACAGATAATTATCATATAATAAGATAAATGTAGTTAAAGAAATAAGCTGTGAGTATTTGGGATATAGCAAGAAAGACCCAACTGGTGGGGAGGAAGGGAAGAGAAACATCTTTCAGAAGGACAATTAATCAATAAATAAATAATGCTTATTTATTTTTTGTTTCATCAATATCCCTACTCCCTTTCCCTCTCTTGTATTATTTTGAGGCAAATAATTTCATCCATGCCTATGTCAGCGTGTAGCTCTAAAAGATAAGGGTGCTTGTTTTTAATATAAGCACAATACAATTGTCACATCTCAAATATTACCAATAACTTTTCACCACATATATAATTGATGTCCAAATCTCCAATTGTCTCATTGTCATGACTTGTTTTACCATTTATGTTTTGTTTGAATTGAAATACACAAATGTTCATTGCTTACAATTTGTTACTTTTAAGTGTTTCCCCTATGTCTCTTTTTTCTTTGCCAATTATTTATTGAAGAAGCCTGAGTTTTAAAGAATGAATGGAGGGTAAGACAAATAAAGGGGAAGGGAGTAAGGAAGGAAATCTAGAGAAATGGGACACCAGGAGAAAAAAATGTTGTAGAAACATTGAGGCCTTCCTTGATTTCCCTTCCTTCCCTTCTTTCCTTTCCTTCCCTTCCTTCCCTTTCTTCCCCTTCTTTCTTTCTTTTTCTTCTTCTTTTTGATGGAATTTCGCTCTTGTTGCCCAGGCTACTGCAATGGTGCCATCTCAGCTCACCGCAACCTCTGCCTCCCGGGTTCAAGTGATTCTCCTGCCTCAGCCTCCCAAGTGGTTGGGACTACAGGCACCACGCCCGGCTAATTTTGTACTTTTAGTAGATACAGGGTTTCTCCATGTTGGTCAGGCTGGTCTCAAACTCCTGACCTCAGGTGATCCGCCCACCTTGGCCTCCCAAAGTGCTGAGATTGCAGGTGTGAGCCACCGTGCCCGGCCTCCTTGATTTTCTTAAACATGCAAACTCTGTGAGCATACTTACTTATTTTGGGAAGATTGCTCAGTGTACTCCTAACAATACTCTTCTCTATATATCTAGTAAATTCCTGTATCATCTTCTAGTTCAGCTTCAGAAATTCTTCCCCACCTTTTCTATCTCATGTTGTCTCCATCCTCCTTTGAAGGATGTATCAGCTGGCATTTATCAACCAGTATTTTTGGTGTGTTTGTGTTGAGGCATCATGTGAGATGCTAGGCATATAGGGATGAATGAAATCAAATCCCTGTCTTCAAGAAACTCTCAGGCTGGATGCGGTGGCTCACGCCTGTAATCCCAGCACTTTGGGAGGCCGAGGCGGGTGAATCACGAGGTCAGGAGTGTGAGACCAGCCTGACCAACATGGTGAAACCCGTCTCTACTAAAAATGCAAAAAAATTAGCTGGATGTAGTGGCACACACCTGTAGTCCTAGCTACTCGGGAGGCTGAGGCAGGAGAATCACTTGAACCCGGGAGTCGGAGGTTGCAGTGAGCCAAGATAGCGCCACTGCACTCACTCCAACCTGGACGACATAGCAAGGCTGTCTCAAAAACAAAACAAAGCAAAACAAAACAAACAAAAAAAACTCTCTGTGAGGTATTTTAGTAAGAAATGAGGCAATGCCTATGTTTTGGACTAAAAACATATATTTGTCCATATAATTTTTAGTCATGACAAACACATGCTCATTGTTGTGCAGGGCATAACTGGAGAGTTTTTTAAAAAAGCAATATTTGCCACAGAATCATTAATAAATAGGCTCGCTCTTTCAGTTTCCATTTAAAGATGGAAAGCAACACTTTGTCAATAGGCTAAACATTTTGACTGTGTTTTATTGCTTTTTCTAACGTCCTATGTTATGAAAAGGTCATGAGAAGACTAATGTTGGAAGATCAGATAATCAAATTATAATGAGTTTAGCTAGTACCCTATGGCTCACATTTTACTCTTTATGTTGCTAGTGGGGCAACTGAAGCAAGCAAGACAATAATGCATTATCCTGTAATATTTTAAAATGAGGTTGTTGATGGTAGAAGGCCCACTAGCACTTTTTTGTTCGATTAAGGGGCTGCCAATATTTCCTTGGGTTTGCTACTGGCCCTTACAAGTAGAAAGATACATCTTCATATTCACCATGCCAGCACCTAATACAGTGTCTTGAACATTGTGGGAAATGGTGGGTATCATATGTGCTGTCCTGCTACTTTCCAACTGTGTGAACAAGCCTCATTTTCTCCTCTATTTTTATAGTGCTACTGTGAGAAGTAAATGAGATAACATGTATTCAGTGCTTTGCACACAGCAGCAGTAAACAAATGGAGAATTTTGTTATTATTTGTTAAGTAAATGAATTTTAAAAATTGTACATTCTGCCATTGTCTTTTACTCCTTTACCTCTGCCCTATCCAAATCCCTGACCTGTCTTTCCAGACAACCTCAAATATCTCCTTTACCACTTTTTAAAAACTCATACATGGCTGCCTTAAACATCTTAATACTTAGTTACACATTGTTTCTGTGTCTAAATGTTATTCTCCCTAATTGTAGCCGTAAGTTCTTTAAAAATAAGATGAGTATTACATAGAAGTGATGTCAAAATATTTACAACTAGCTGTGCCAGGTATTAATGCTTTAGTTGCTCAATCATGGAGATGTGTGAGAGTCCTAGGGAAGGGATTCAGGGGTTCCAGTGTGAAGCAGCTTGTAGAGGAGCACTCAGCGGGCCCAGGGTAGAAGCTCTTTACTAACAAGAATATATTTCAATATTTTAAGAAGCAGAAGCACTGCCTGCAGCCAGAATATTAGTGCTGGCATCTTTGATACTTCTTTGGCATCCTCTATTTGTCAGGAACTCAACACACTTACTGATAAGGTAAGAAATTCATCCAAGGAACAGTTTCTCTATTTGTACAAGGAAGCCACAAAACAAGACAAAGAAGATTTTATCTGGTTTGTGCTATGGGGAAATGAAGTTATGCCATAGTAATAATGGTACCTTTTAATGCTTATATGACATATGACATATGTGCTTTTAAATAAACATTATCTGTCACCCTTCCACTATTTTTAGTTGCTTCTTTCTCTGCACTGAAGAACTGTCTAATCTGAAGAGGAAGAAGCCAGTGCCCTGGGAAGCATTTCCTACCTGGTCACTGCACCCTTCTCTGACTCAAGCATGTTTTCTGAGTGAAAACAGAAGTCTTGGGCTCCTCAGTGACACAGCTAGGCTGGGAGCACTTACTCATGCCTGGATGCAGGTTTTATGAACAGATTTTATACACCAGAAGCAAGAGGCAAGAAGAAATATACTTTGATTCTGTTTATTGCTATTATTGTCTGTTCTTTGGAAAGAAGCTAGATAGAAAAATGAATATTTAGGAGCATACCCACCAGGTAGGTGGATTGACAGCACTGAGACAAGCTTCATGAGTGAAAAAAGAATGTTTTATCATTGCATTTGGATGCCAGAAAATTGTGAACTGTATGATCACGCTTGTGATAGAAAGTAAATAACAGTTTTGTCACTTCCTCTTCTATGCTGTAAAAGTGGAAAAACAATCCAAAGTGTAGTTAATTAAATTTGGAGTCAGAAATTTTAGCGGAAAACTATTACCAAGCCCATTAAGTACAATCTTAATGAAGGAACTATTCTACTTCCTCAGTGGAAAGAAATGATTATTGCCAAAGGCTGAAGAACTTATAAATTATATAAACTTTGAATTATCCAGAAATCAGAGTGAAGTCTAATTTTTCTTTGAAGCATTGACATTTTGTTAACAAATATTTTACTCTATGTCTCATTCGCAAAGTGATATACACCATACAATTAGCAAACACATGTACAAAAATATATTCTTATTTGTCTTATCATATTTTTTAGTATCACAAACATCATGATATCAAAATCCAAATACACTTGAGTTACTGCATAAGTCATTAATCTTCTCTGAGCAGGTTTAATCAGAAGTAAAAAGGAGAAGAAGAAGATGATGATGATTTTGTTCAAAATACAATAATTCTTGAGCCTGGTAACATATATTTTAAAGTTCACATTGATTGACTCCAAATCTGTATCCACATTGTAAAGAATCAGAACATTTGACTGTGGTTTAGCTTATAATTCAACGGTCATTTTTCAACAACAAATTTTTGTGAGACTGATACTTTAGGTTTTCTGTTCCTTATTCTACTGGGCACATGGCTTCTGGCTGTCTGGTGATTTCTGCAATAGTGCCAACGTAAAGATAGGCAACGAGTTGAACAATTACTTCATTAGCTTTTGTGACTGCAAAGAGCATTTTTCTCTACCTCAAATCCTTTCCTTCTTTCTTCTCCCCTAGCAAACTCCTACTCTTCCTGGAAGCCAATTTAAGGACATGCACCATCATATGCTTGGCCTTCATTCCATTATGTTATGTACTAACTCTAGTAGACATTTGTACATTATGTATTGTACATTTCACAAGTTATAGATGGCTGCTGGATGCTTTTCCAGCATCCTTCCCCACCACCATCCCATCCTAACAGCAACAGCTGCCAAATTTCAGTTAAGGACTCATAATGTCCTGGGGAGACTGTCTTTATCCTACCTAAGCTTTAGAATGGGGCTGGAGATTTGGTCTCATGTTCAGGGGTGGATATAAGCCAGTCTCTTCAAAGTGAATTCTAGGAATCATTGCCAGGATCTCTTTCTAGCTGGATGTGACTATGAAAACAAGTTGTCTAGGAGTCACTGGCAACTGTCCTGGGGCCATGAGGGCAATTAGTCTTGGTATGAAGCTAACACAAAGACAGGCAGTGTGGCAGGACCAAAAGGGATTTCTTAACAATATTGTGAGCTGAGCTACAGGATCAGATCTCTTGAAGCTAGCTTTACTGATGTACTTTTAAGTTATAATCACCACTATGAGTATATATTCCCTTTGTTGAGCAAGTCAGTTTGAGTCATCAGTTTAACTGCTGTATTTTCAGACTGGGTGGGCACTTAATGTAGGCATACTATGTGTTAAGTATTTACTGTGCCAGATACTTTCATATGCATGAGAGCATAGCTTATACTGGGAAATAAACTTATCTCATTTATATCTTCCCAACCGCCTGTGAGACAGGAATTGCTATGTCTGCTTTATAGCAAAGGAAAGCAAGGGTGCAAGGTTTAGTAGTAGGGAATACTTCCAACAATGCATTCTGCCTTTCCACCTAGAAAACTACTTTGTTTTGCAAGCTTGGCACTACTTACAATGGAAAGCAGCCTTATCTGTTACTGTCATGGCTGAGAAGGAATCACACTTGCAACTAAGGGCCCATTTATCCATGTCCCTTGGATTATAAACTCCTCGAGTTCAAAGATTAAAATATTTCATCTTTGTTATCTCATCACCCAGCAGAGCACTTGGCACGTGGTCCATGCTTAATAAATAACTAATAATAGACAAATGAACTAGAAAACGACCGAACAAAGCAAGGTAATCTGGATTATTCTGACTAGAACACATGGCTTTCCCAAGTATTTTGCATTTTTTTTGATATTTGGCTTGACTCTTTCAGAGTTAGATGTTCACAATATACTAACAGCTATTTTCTCCCCTAATTTCCTAAAAGTGTGTTTTCCCTTTTCTTATAATCATATGAATGATTCATGTTTATTAAAAGTTCAAATGATAAATAAAACATAAAGAAGAAACTAAAAATAAAATGGAGATACTACCACTAAAGGCATGCTTTGTCTTGCTTTTGTTTGTTTGTTACCTCTTTGCACCATCCCTACTACCAACTCTTCCAGGCAAAATAAATATGGCACCCATTAGTCTTCACAGAGTCATCAATTTAACTGCTGTATTTTCAGATTGGGTAAACACTTAATGTAGGCATACTATGCGTTAAGTATTTACTGTGCCAGATACTTTCATATGGAGGAGAGCATAGCTAATACTGGGAAATAAAGTTATCTCATTTACATCTTCCCAACTTCCTGAGACAGGAATTGCTATACCTGCTTTATAGCTAAGGAAAGCAAAGTTGCAAGGTTTAGTAGTAGGGAATACTTCCAACAATGCATTCTGTCTTCCCACCTAGAAAACTACTTTGTGAAAATAATACTAAAAGAAATAAAAATAAAAGGAAAAAATCATTCATGTTAATTGCATAATAGCTTTCATTTCATTAAAAAACAAAAACAAAATCCCCCAAACCTCAAATTTCTTAGTAATTACAAAAAGATTTGTTGCTTAGAACTCCTGGCTGTTAATTCTCCTTAGGAGGGTCTTTGTCTCCAATGTGACATAAGATGAAAAGGAACTATTGGGAGAATGATGCACTAAACAGAAGGGGCTGTAGTAATGGCATAAGGCCACACAAAGACATTGATAGCCATCTCTGCTTTGACTTGACTCTTCCTACAGGCGGAACCTCCCCTGTGAGGCAGGGTTCCACTTGGATGCTTCAGGCAGCTTTCTATTAGTCCTCAGCTCTAAGTGTTACAATTGCAATTTAAAACTAGAGATAAGGAAAATACACCTGAAATTAGCTAGGGTCTCTCCAAGCAACTGTTTTCAAGTGCCCTAAAAGACAAATGGCAGACAGTTTTAATCCAGCCAATCCTAAAATTGCTTTCCAAAGTAAGACTATGCCCTCTGAACTAGAAAAGCCAATGTCTTCCCTTGAACCTGAGATCATCATTGTTTTGACCACTTCCTTCTTCAAATGATTTCTTTTGGGTTAATGGAGGAAAAAAGTCAAAAGCAAAAACAGACAAAAGCCCCACAAAACCAACGCAGTGGAATTTTAGTTTACTACTCTGAAATAGAAGTAAATGTTCTGCAACTCAAGGTAGGCTGACTCATATTTTTGGGACCCAGAACAAGAACATAAGCAGAAGCTCCCAGTCCTGGGCTAGCCCTTCTTCTTTTTCATAGTTTCTTCCTGCACTACAAAAGACCTTTCATGCAGATGTGTGGACATCTCAGCTCATGAGTGCAAGCAGTGATTAACAGCATCCATCCCTTGCCCTATTTCCTACCCTCATGCAAATAGAAGGCTCTTGGTTTCCCCTCAGACTCAGGGGCAACGGGTTGGGGAGGCACATCATACACCTCTTGAAAGTGAGCTTAGGAATGTTTGGGGAAAAAATTATTGGGTCCTATTTACCCTGAATGTGATCCAGAAGGGACAGAGAGCAAGATCTAAGTGAGCCCATCCTCTTGGCCTACAGCCTCCTCTAAAGCCACAGATATGGGGAAATTTGCTCAGTTCAAAGGGTGGTACTGATTTAGGGTAACTTTCAGAGCTTGCCTTGAATTTGGTAGATTTACGAACTTTTTATGTTTCATTTTTTATATCAAATTTTATACTTCGGTAAAAATAGGAGAGATGGCTCAGGAAAATGTGATCTTAACTGGCATAGACCAAAAGTGAGAGCAAGGAAATCCCCAACTTCATTTTTAAAATATTCCCTAAACTCTGAGAGGGATTAAACATATGAGGAGAGGAATCAAAGCAGATATGGGGCCAAGATCCCAAAATGGAAGTGTGAAGAGCTGGGCAAACTCTATTGCATACTTCCAACATGTTGGTCATCGTGTGGATCCTGAAATCAGACAGGCGTGGGTTTAAATCCTAGCACTGCTATATGCCAATTTACATTAGTAGTATATTTAAACAAAATTTTCTTTATCAATTCCTCATTTGATAACGGAAAGCAAAATAGGATCTACCTGGTAGGGTAGTGAGGAGGATTAAATGAGAAAATGCTTGTCAAACCATTAGCACAGTGCCTGGGACATCATAAACTATATTTACTAGTATTGTCAGGTATTTTAATACAATGTTAGGGCTGGAATTCTGGCCTAGTTGTTATTTGGCAAATAACGTGGAAAGCTATGATATGTTATTTGGCATCAGTTTATTTCCATGTTCTCTATTTGAAATAAAATGTATTCTTTGAATAATTATGTAAGGATTTTGGATACTATCCTAGGAATTAGTTAAAAGTGAACAGAAAGGTAATAACCCTGTTTTTACTAAGTTTCCAAAATAAAAACAAAAACACAAAATGATCTAGTTATAAGAAGTCTATCTGGTTAATTTAAAAAATTGTATAATCTTCCTGTTTACCATGCCAATTTCTTTCAAAATCAACATCTATCAAAATGAGTTAAAGTATTTGACAAAATACAATTTACAACAATAATAATTACCTTTCATTGGGCATCACTTTGTGCTAAACAGTATACTATTTGCTTTACCTACATCATCAATTTGGTTTAATTCTCCTAATTTTCCCCTCCTCCATTTTACAGATAAAGAGTGTGAGGTGCAGACAATAATACTTGGTTGGGGACACAGAACCCCTGCCCTTTCCATTTACACCTTGCTGAGCCAGGTCTTTGAACAGCACCTTTAAACCTGTCCTTTTTGCCACCTTCCCTACCCTCTCAAAGGAAATTATATGTGTCACGTAGGCAAAATTAACATTTGCCTCTTTCGCTTTTAATCCTGTTTTGAGAGACATGGTTTTGTGTGTATGTGTCCTGTAAGAGGGTTCTTGTCACAGCTTATATTTGCCTTGCTGTAAATTTAATTGGGAATAACTCATACTAAATTTTCTTTTGTTGCTATAAATAGAGTTCATCACGGGTGGGTGGAGAAAATAGAAAAACCACCACCAAATGAGAAGAAATTCAGTTTGTTGAGATTGGTACATAGGTTTATTTTTCCATAAAACCACACTGAATCAAAACCCAGATACTGCTGTAAAATAAACCGTGGAGTGTGGCGTGTAATTTTAAAAAATTTAATGTACAGTGCAGCTCAAAGGTACTTTACAACAAATAAACTACCTTGTTCTTGGCATTAAGGTATATTAACACTTTTAGGACCCTTCAGCTGTGTGACCTAAGCTTTAAAAAATGTCATAGGCTGGCTGGAGCATCAAACACAGATGTTCATTTGTATCTGTGATGATTTGCTGAATCTCCTATCTTAATCATTATTGCTCTATCCAGAAGCTTTGAGCCAAACATAAGACATTTTACAGACCCCTTGTGGGGCAGCCGCTTGTGGATTAGAAACCAAGTCTCAGGTTACACACCCCTAAGTGCCAACCACAATACATCACTCCTCTGCTCTTTAAGCAGAACTTATTCAGAGAAACGGAAAATATGGAAAAGCTATTTATGGACAAAAGAAGCATGAACAAAAAAGTGTTCCTGAAAAAATATATATTCCATTTTCAAATCTGCCAAGTTTTTGGTATAATCAGAAAGTATACTAAGAAAGGAGAAATAACTTTATTGGAAGTGTGGTGGTGCCGATAACCAAAATATTTATGCAAAAAATAAAGCAATGAGTAAGCTAAGTCTTTGGTGAAAAAAATGCATACATTTTTTTCAAAGAGATGCTAAAATGAGTTGCTTTCTTTGAGGTTAAAGAGGACATTTGTCACATCTACAGATTCTACATGTAAAGAGAAATTACAATAGTGTACAGGTAAACACTTTGGACAAACAATTATGGGTTTAGAAGACAGTAGCTACTTGCCAGTGAAATAAAGCAAATGTCAACAAGCTAGACACACTTGAAACATTTGAAAAAAATGTCCTTGCTACTCCTCTCCATATATAATATGCCATATGACACCAGAGTTAAATCTGCTATTGCAAAAAAAAGTACGTCAAGCTGTCGGTTTCCATGAGATTTGGACAGAGGCAAAACAACACAGCAGAGAGTCTAAGAAGGTACAGCTTTCACTTCTCTTTCCTTCTGAAGAGGAAATGACTTCCTATAGTTAGCTGACCAGGAGTTAGCACGCATCCCGCCTGGAGCTAGGACCTGGAGCAAATACCCGGAGCCCACCCAAATGAGACCAAAATGCAGCTTCAGGTAATTGTTAATGGTGATAATGAAACTAGAGAAAACAGCCAGCCACAAGTCATGCAAATACAACAGTCATGCCTTCTGCATTTGTCCGTCCTGCGGGTACGTCGTACAGCTCTTTCCATAACGATCTAGTCTTTTCTTTCACTCCCTCTCCCACATCATCAACAGGCACGCCAAATGCAAATCTCATTGGATTCTGATCCCATCCCGGCAAAACGCAGGACTACCACCATACTGAGTTTCACAATAATCGCCACAATGCCAATTATTCACAGCCCCTCTGTTCTGTTCACACAAAAGATTGCAATTTGAATCTTGCCTTGCACAGGTTCAGCTCAGTTGGAGCTGGTTACCAGGCAAACAGTCTGTTTTAAGATTTGCCGATTGCTGAGGAGAGTGAATTAGTGGGGTGGGGATGGACAAACCACCCTGTACATACCTCCTTTTGGCAGCTAAGAAAAACAATTTCGTGACAAAGAGACTTGTTTTTTTCAAAGCTCACCCAACAAATGAAACTGATAGAATGAAACCTGAGAAACTTTAGCAACCAAAGAAAGCAGCCTTCCAAGGATCAAGGTGAATAATTGATTCATCGGCTTTTCTTTCATCTTTTAAGCTATTTTGCTCGTTAAAAGGAAATTGTGGAATTTGTCAGGAGCCCAAACACTGACACACACTTCTGACAGCAAGTGCCTATTCCAAACTATGGGTACGTTTGCCAAGCTTATTCAACAACAACGATTAGCTGCAAAGCCAGGAACTTACCGAGCACAAAATTATTGGAACAAAGCAGGGAGGAGGCAGGAGGCACCAAAGGCAGCTTCTCCGTCTCCTTGGTGCCAGGTTCTCCTGTCTGCTGTCCGGTTCACACTTGCCTTTATAACTAAGACTCTGACAGAACTCACTAGCGGAACCTGATGAATTATAAAACAGCCCCTCCTAGATTCTCATATTTTACATCACAGGGGGTGACCATGCAGCATTCTCGCTCACTGGGTACATATATTTCCTTGTAACTCATCCTGATAAATATATCAGCCTTAGAAGCAGTGACAGTAATTGGTGTTTGGGATGTACCACTATTAACCAATAAGATGCTTTCCCACCATCAGTAGTGTACCCCCATCCTCTGCTCGTGTTCCCCTACACCTTGTTAAGGTGGATCCACCCAGCTCAGTGAGGAGTAGGCAAAGACAACAAAATGTGGAAAAAGCCCCTGCACCAATGCACATACAGCAAGGCGTATTACTCAGGGTTAAAGCTCTTAATAGTAAGGATCAACTCCTATATTTGCATAGCCTGTCACAGTCTACCAAACACTTTCACTCTCACTGAGTCTCTCAGTGACTAAAGAAGGTATCAGGAGTGCTACAGTACAGATGAGCACCAGAGATCAGAGAGACTAAATGGCTTTATTTGGTATTCACTGAATTTATGGAATGCAAGGAGTCCTAGAGATTAGGGAGTCCTACCCCCTTACTGAGCAGATAAGGAACCCCTGGCAAGAAAGATAAAGTGACTTGCCCAGGTCACACAAAGTGTGATTTGAACTTGAACCCAAACCCAGGTCTTCTGATGGCAAAGTACAGTGCCTTTCTATTCTACCATGCTGCCTCTGGAGCATGAAAGCCCAGCAAACGAGAAGACTGGAAATCATAAACAGTACTGTTGACCAAAAATCATTAATAGGCAGGCTTCATGGGGAGCAGTGCCTGAGCTTTTTGTTCCCTCCCTGACAAGGTCAGTTTAACCTTTTTAGGTTCATCGAATAACAGCACTGGAAAATATGTTTTGGATAATAATAGCTAATATCTATTGAACACATTTTAGGTGCCATGCAGTATTCTAAATGCTTAGCATGTATTGACTCAATCTTCAAAATGTCCCTGTAAGGTAAGTACTATCATGAGCAACATATTGCAGAGAAGAAGCTGAGATTCAGGGAGGTCAACTAATCCACGCAGGATCATATATCTGTTAAGTGGCAGAGCTCTAATGGACTCCACGCAATTTAGTTTCAAAGCCCAGACTCATATATATTATCTGGCCCCAAGTAGTGTTTTACACTAAACTGCTAGAGGCAGATGAACAATGAGAGCAGACTGATTTACTATGGCCTTTAGTAGAAAGGATAAAAAGATAAGTTTTGAAATTCAACAGAATTGTGTTTAACCCTGTCTTTGCCACTAATTTACTAAAACGCAGATTGTTTTATCTGTAAAATGGGTATATTGAAACGTACATCACAAGACTAAATGGAGAATATCAAGAAAATATAGTGCCTAGTTTATAGTATGTACCCCCAAATGGTTCTCATTCCTGCCGTATTTCCTTTGACAAAATGAATTTCTGCCACACCTTCTCCCTCAACTACCTTTTAAGATGTTAATTTTACTGTGCTAAGGAGTCTTCTAACCTGCCAGTCAGTGAAGGGGAAAAAGCCCTAAAGAGACCTAACATCTCTCTACCAGAGATGGGCTTTCTATAAGAGAATGAAGGGCCCAGGGCTCTGTGCTGGGCTGCTGGCCCAGCTCACTAGCTTCTCTCTGCTTTACTTCCACCATTACTCAAATAAATTCATCAGCCCAAGAAAGCAAATTTGCAACATGTCTGCTATCCACTGTGAGACCATCTTGGCTTCTCTCACCCTTTTCAAACAAGCTCCTACCACAAAACCCATAAAAACAATGAACTTTTATATGTAACTATACACTTACAGCCACTAAGTCATGGTGTGCCAAGCAGGAAGACAGGTATCTCTGTCTTGAACGTTCCACTGCTAACTCCTACCGTAAGTCAGTATAACCTAGTATTTGGCCACTGGTGAGGTCTCTATCTGATGAGCTCCTCCCGATCAGAAACTGCTATCTTCAAGGTATGCAGTCAGCATTCCTTGAGAGCCATCAGAAGTAACCCTCTGTGGGACAAGGTGATGCTGTAATGTTGCAGGATATGCAGGTTTAGACATGAGAGATTTTCTTAGCTCCATGTTTCCAGAGAATAACTCTGTGGCCAACTTAATTTGCTCACATACAGTCTGTTCTCTCTTTGTTTAGCTTTTCCTCTGAGCGTCTTACTAGAAGGTCTGGAATACGCATGGATGAGATGCCGTCTTTCCTGACCATACTTAATAGTAGGTACTATAGGAGCAGAGGTAAGAAATATAATTGGAGGTAAGGGGTGGAGTAAGACATGTGCTTCTAAACTGGTAAGAAAAGTCAGATGTAAACAAAGAACAGGTGATAACTACAGCTACAAGATCAATGGTTACTTCCTATATGTCTGAAGTAGGTATCCACTTATTATCTGAAATGGCTTGGTCTCGAAGTCTTCTCAGTGCCTTCCACCTACATTTAGCCCCCAAATCCCCTCAGGAGCCATTTCTTCCCTGTCCATTTTCCCCTGCTACCTGGCTATACCACCATCATTCCATGAAAAATTAATATATATGAGTCATGATAACTCTTATATTGTAGCATTTCTCTGTTCCCCTGTCACGAATAATCATAATTTTATACATATTCTTTCATAATTACCACTTCAACCAACAATTACTCTCAGACATAATGAATTATGTAGAACCTTGAAGCTGTATCAATATTTTGCTTAAATTAGTGATGGTGCTAGTATTTATTGAGCACTTATTATGGGCTGACAATATACAAAACTTTATGCATATCTCTCATTTAAGCTTGACAACAACTTTTTGAAATGGTCTGTACTATTATCTTTACCGTATAGGTGAGGACTCTGGCTAGAAAGGTTAGGTAACTTACTAACAGATGGCACAGTCACAATAATAGCTGAGGTCTAAGACCACAGCACCTGTTCTCTTAAATCTCATATCCACTGCTTCTAAGCACTTGCGGCAACAGGTAACATAAAACATTAGTGTCTGTTTTCACTTCCTCACATCCCATTCTCTCCTTTAATGACTTCAATCAGGCTTCCCACTACAATTGTTCTTATCAAGGTAAATGAAAACATTGTCACTCACAAAATCAATATCCGGTGCACAGTTTTCAGTTTATTCAACCATTCCCAGCATTTGGCAGAATCAATTACAACTTCCCTGAATCGATCATTGTCTCTGTTTGGTTATCAAGACCCCCTTGGTTTTTCTCCTACTTCACTAATCTATCCTTCTACGTCTCCTTTGCTGGGCGCTTCTCTGCTTTCTGATATTTTAAATTTGAGTGTCCCCAAGTTTGTCATTAGACTTCTTTTTTATACTCGCTCCCAAGGCTAGCCATCCGGTATCAAGACTAAAATGCCATCTGTAGATCAAAGGCTACCACATGTAGATCTCCAGTCTCAATCTGTGCTCTAAGCTCCAGACTCTTATATCCAGCTGCATACCACATCTAAGCATCTCTACTTGATTGTTTAATAATAGGCTTCTGATATTTAAAATGCTCAAAACTAAACTCTTGGTTTCCTCTCCTGAATCTGCTCTACTCCCAGTATGCACCATTTAAATAAATGGCGCAATCATTGACCTAGTTGCTCTGGCCAAAAACCTGGGAGTCATTCTTGACTCTCCTTTTTATCTTACACCCCATGCCTTATTCATCATCAAATCCTGTCAACTCTGTCTTCAAAATGTACCCTCTGTCTTTTTTCCATCTCCACCCTCATCTCCCTAATCTATACCACTATCATTTCTCACATGGATTTCTGCAACCACCTCCTCACTGGTTTCTTTGTTTCCATTCTTGCCTTGCCGCCACCCTTCCTCCACACAGCAGCCAGCCATGTTTTTAAAACAAAATTCAGACACCAACACTCCTTGCTCAGCTCCCTTCAGCAGCTCCCCTTTCACTTGGAATTTGCTCCTTTCACTGCAGCCAGAATTCCATCTGCTCAAGTGTCTCCTTGGAAGAAGAGATTTCTCTGACATCCTGTATAGAACAGCATCCTCTATTCCTCCATTTATCTCTCCCTCTTATTAGACTTCTAAAAAATTTATAGTACTTATCTCTGCTTAAACATTATATACTAAATATTGTATATTAAATGTATATATGAAATATTTTATAGTTCTTTGTTCATTTCTTTACTTTTGCTCCTCTACCCAACTAGAATGTAAGCTCCATGAGGCCAGGGTCGTTGTCTTTTTTGTCCTTGGTTGAATCTCCAGCACCAGAACAGGACTTGCCACATAATATGTACACATTAAATGAATGTTATATGTAATATGTATTTATTAAATGAATGTATTTGAAGTCTTATCTTCACTACTTCTTAGTCCTATATCCTTACACAAATTTCTTACTGTCCCTACATTATAAATTTCTCAATTATAACTTGTTTTTTAAAAACAAACAACCCTCCCTTATTTTTCTTTCTGATGCTTTATAGGTACTTTCTAATATATTCAGCCTATCCTGTGTATGACTTTGATACAACAATTCCAGAGATTGGTCAATGTTGTGGGTTGAAATGTGTCACCCCAAAATTCACATGTTGAAGTCCTTGCCCCCAGTACCTCAGAATGTGACCTTATTGGGAAATAGAATTGTTGCAGATGTTATTAGTTAAGATGAGGTCACACTGGAATACGGTGGGCCACTACTTCCATCTAGTTCAATATGGCTGATGTTCTCATAAAAACAGGAAATTTGAGCACAGAGGTGCACACAGGGAGAATGTTTTGTGGAGATGGGAGTTATGGTGCCACAAACCCAAAAACTACCACAAGGCAGAGAAGAGGCCTAGACCAGGTATTTCCCTAGTGCCTTCGCAGGAAGAATGGCCAAAATAACACCTTCATTTCAGACTTCTGGTCTCCAAAATGTTGAAACAATACATTTCTCTTGTTCTAAGCCACCCAGTTTACGGTACTTTGTTACAGCAGCCTTAGGAAATGAGTATAGTCAGTGAGATATTATCCTCATTTAGTACATGAGGAAATCGCAGCTGAGAAAAGTTGAGTAACCTGCCCCAGGTTTCACAGCTAGAAATTGGCAGGGCCGGGCTTTAAATCAAAATCTGTACCGCTTCAAAGTCTATGCACAGTGGCGGTGGTTCTTAGACACTGGTCCCTGGCCCTTGTTGGTCCAGAGCAGACTGAGAAAAGGAAGTAGGATGCAGTGATTTTTCATTGAGCTAAAATGACCTTCTTTTATTATAGAATTATTGCCTTCCTGCTATTTATTTTTTCTTCCTATTGTTTTGGTATTGTTCTTTTTACTTCTGAAATGATGGTGAGAATAAACAGTAGTTGGATTTTTTTCGTAAATTTTTATTTTGTTTTTTAATGTCTTTCATTTTATTGACAAGATAAAAAGTTGGCAATTCTGTGGCCTATAGAAGTTTGTTCTGAAATGTTTCTGGTTTATGAAACATAAATGTCTGAAGACAAATGTTCCAATGCTGTCCCCTTTATGAAACAAGTCCTCAGCCTGGGCAACACTGTGAGGCCCCATCTCCACTAAAACAAACAAACAAACAAAAAATACCAGCTGGTCATGATGGCATACATCTGAAGTCCCAGCTACTCAGCAGGCTGAGGGAGGAGGATCACTTGACCCCAGGAGAGCCACACTGACACTACAGTGAGGTATGGTCACGTCACTGCACTTGTGTTGCCTGGGTGACAGAGCAAGGCCCTGTCTCAAAAGAAAAAAAAAAAAAAGGAAGCTCTTCACAAACAGTAACACACTTGGTAGAGAGAAGAAGCTGTGCTCTCAATCAACTGTAGAGGTCCCTGCTCATAAACAAAGTGTCCACGTTAATGGTCACAATCTCAATTAATTACCACGAAATTATTCTGATATAATCCCACGCAACGAATTTGTTTGAATTTAACAATATTCATTTATTCAGAAATTTCCTTAGTCTTGTCCCCTTCCTTTTTAGTATAGATTTCCTAGTTTTCAGTAAAATTCTTGAGTTGCTTTTGACTTGATCCATTTTCTTTCGGGTTCAGGATTTGTGGGCTTGTGCGAATGTCTGAGGATTAAATGAGATCACCTTTGTTAAGTATCTAGAACACCATAAAAAAGCTTTCAGTAAATGCTAGTTCCCTTCAAAGAAAGAAGTGAAGATTTATGCATCCAGAAGGGAAACGACTTTAGGACTAAGGGAGATTTACAGCAACTGGATGACTTTGCAAGATGGACCAGCCTGGAGAGTGTTAATAAACTTCAC
This sequence comes from Homo sapiens, assembly GCF_000001405.40. Lineage (NCBI taxonomy): Eukaryota > Metazoa > Chordata > Mammalia > Primates > Hominidae > Homo > Homo sapiens. The sequence continues at coordinate 83,688,545 of NC_000011.10, forward strand.
CCTCTTATTGAACATTCAGTGATCCCCATGACAGTTTATAGAAATTGTGGCAGTCTATTTTTATGAATTCGTGTTCATGAGTATGTGTGCATACATATAAACATAAGTATATATAGAAATTAATATATATTGATGTCATATACATCATTAATATAAATTTGAGTGGTATGATTGTGTGTACCTTCTTCAATTTCTGAGAAAACTCAGAAGGAGAAAGCCTTCCTACATATAAGAGTTTGCCTTCTTTGTTTATCTATTATCTGGTCCCCTATAATCTAATTTGGGGACCACCAATTTGTCCTATCCTGAGAAACCTTAGTTAAGACCACTTCAATCTATCCCTTTGCCAAAGTTATCTCAGACTTCAAATCAGTAAAGAAGAGATTCCTTCATTCTGTGAGTATATATGGAGGGCTTACGATGTCCCAGGCACTACATTATTACGTTGAATGCCAGAAGAACGATGTAATCAAGGTCATATTCTCCCTCTCCTTAGGCTCTCAGTCCAGGGAGTAATAAATTTAATAGATAATAGCTAACTACACAGCTGCATAGCATATTTTTATAAGGACTTTCATTAAGGTGCTATAGAGGTTGAGAGCAATGGCATCTAATAACTCAGTCTGGAGACTGAGGTCATGAAGGCTTCTGGAAGGAGAGGATGAGTCTTAAGCTGGGTCTTAATAGATGAGTAGGAGATATTGAGATATCCAAACAACAAGTGTTGCAATCAGAGTAAGAAGCATATGCAAAGAGATGGTGGGGGGTTAACCACGGAACTCTGGAGGAGTGAAATTTTATCCATTTAGCACTTAATAACATAAGTACATGTGATGGAAAAAAAGACTAACTTGATAGTAGGAATACCAGAGACTAATCATCTTTTTTTATGAACTTCTTCAATGCAATGAAGGCTAAAGTGGAAAATGTCATGCTTTATAGTTAGACAGTCCTGATTCATTCAAGCTGACCTTTGCAAGTTGCTTAACTTCTCTGAATTAAACCTTGGTTCCTCATCTATCAAATGAGGATAATATTATCTAGTTCATATAGCTGTTGTGTTCTTATGAAATAAAAAAAATGTAAACTATCTTGTTTCTCACACAATGTACTTACATTAAATGTCAAAACAAGACACCAGACTAAATGTCAGTTTATGTCCTGAAAACACTTGTGTCATTGTGAATAAGAACATTCATCACTCATACCAAATCTGGTTTCCCATTGGGATATATTCATCTGTTTGCTTCCTAAACCAGTGGTTTCAAAACTTTGCTTGCTGACACCATCATTTAAAATCACTTTGCATACTCACCCATTATCTTAATATTTACATAATTGATATTTACATAAATATATTTATGTAAATATTATATATTTACATAAATATATAATATATATTATATATATTTATATAATATATATTTATATTATAATATATTTATTATAATATTATATTTATTATAATATTTAATAAATATTTATGTAAATATAAATTATGTATTTTTATATACATAAAATATTATAAATTATTGTGTAACTGTATTACTGTGTCACAGTGTGGCACACTATAAAACATATAACAAAACAGAAATTTAAAGGCTGTGATGAAAAATTAATAAAAAGAGAAGGTCTTGGCTACCACTGGGGTGCGTATAATCACTTTGAAGAATACCAAGATCTCCTAGACAGAAAAGACCTAATCTCATTCATTTATGGAGCACCCAGAAGCACAGACCAAGCACTAAAGAAATATCTAGGAATTGAAGAAGCAACACTGGGACAATAGAAAAAACCCAAAAACTCTGTGGCCTACTAGTGCCACTATCTGTACAAACCAGTTTTTTAGTTTTTATTTTTAATATATATTTTAATTATAATACAAGTTTAATATAGTAGAAATGTTAAACAACCTAAATGTAATGGCTCTCCCCCCTCAAAGGTCAGTGGCAAATAGAGAGTCAATATTCATTATTTCTAAAAGAGCTAATTGTAATAATAACCACTTGCTGAACACTTATAAGGGGCAGACACTACATTAATGCCTTTACAAGTACTTATTTGCTCTTTACAATAATCTGGACACCATATTATACCTCTGTAGAGGGTATCAAACATTTCGGTCCATGCTGTGGGTGGGGGTGGGGGGGGTGTCTGCAAACCATGGCCTGCAGGCAAATCTGTCCCACTGTCCATTTTTATATAGTCTATAAGCCAAGAATGTTTTTCACATTTTCAGTTTGTGGAAAGAAAAATCAGAAAAGAATACTGTTTTGTATGAAACTTTTATATAAAAGTTACATGAAATTCAAATTTCATGACCACAAATAGTTTTACTGAATCACAGCTACATCCATTTATGTATTTATGTATTGTCTATGGCTGCTTTTGCACTACAATGGCAAAGTTGACTATTTCAATAAAGATTGTATGCCCTATAAAATATAAAATGCTTAGTATCTGGCCCTTGACAAAACAAGTTTGCTGGCCCCTTGTGTATATGACTGGAGTCTACTGGACATGTGCACGTTGCAGCTTGCATGGCTCTAAGTCATGGTTCCAATAACAATCCTATCTGGAAATGTAGGTTCAGAGAGGTTGTCACTTCTCCATGCACTTAGGAAATGGCAGAATCAGAGGTTTTTAGGATAAATTTTTAAGGCTGAAATATGCACTTGATCTCACCTAGAGTTCAGGACACTTTTCTCTTCTGGCCTCTTCTGGCTATGTAACTTAACTAGCCACACGTAATATAACTTCCCCACTGCCTCCACTGTCTTCTCTGTACTCTCCTATCTAGCTTTTAATATATTTATGGCTAAGGACAGGGTAGGGTGGGGAACAGGTCAATGGAACAAAAGTACAATTCACTCATTCACAATACTTTTCATTCTCCCTCTTCGAGTCTCTCAAATACACACTTGGCCCCTGCGTATGAGGCTCTGCTGTCTCTGGCTGAGCTGAAAGTGATGAAAAGGACGTGTGATGGAATGCTGGAAACCTCATTACTGGCTCTTTGCCTACAGAAACTCAGCCAGCTTATCTTCTTTCCCAACGAACTTCAAACTTACACTGGCTCAGCTGGTTCTAGGTGCCTGTAACAAGCTGCTCTGCCCAGTGGAGATCAGAAGCCGATAGAAGATACTCTGCATATGCTTTGCTGTCCTGGAGAATATGTTCCCTTTTTTCTCATTCTCATTGTAGCAGATTCTCCAAGGGTCTCGGCCACTCCTGGGTTGTAACGTGGATACCGAAAAGTGCAAGTTACAATAATTTTTTCCTGGACGGTATCCAGAAGACCAGACATGTGAACATAATTTCTGTGGCTGCCCAATTATAGTTAGAACTTCACTTCTAAGCAAGGACAACTACACTGGCAGGACATGGACTACGTAAAGTTGTGAGAAGAGCTTTCACATATGTTAATCTCATTGACTCCTCCCCGCAAACAGGAATTTGTTATTCCCATTTTATAGATAAAGATGCTGGGACTCAAGAGGAACTAAGCAGTGTATATTTTTCATGTATCCGGTAAGTGGTAGATCTGAGTTTCAAACCTGAAGCTTTCTGACACCTAAGTGCCTGTCATTTCAGTAAAGGAGCCTGTTATAAAGAAGTCAGTTTGTTGCCATAATAGTCATTAGAAAACAAGCAAACAAACACCCCTTCCCTGCAACAAATCATGGCATGATATGACTGGGATGCAGTACAGCATAATGGAGTTCAATGATGAGCAGGGCTTAAAATTATTGGCAAATCATTTAAACAGCCTGATTCTCTGTAAATTTATCTGTAAAATGGAAGTAATAACATGCCTAACTTTTAGGATCATGGTGAGGGTTATATAAAAGAATGTAGGTATTCTGTTTATATGAAATGCCTAGAATAGGCAAATCCATATAGATGGAAAATAGATTGATGGTGCCTAGGGCTGGAGGTAGGGGGTGGGAGGAAATGAGGAGTTGCTAATAGTTATGGGGTTTCTTTTGGAGATGATGAAAATGCTCTAAAATTGTGGTGATGGTTGCACAACTCTGTGAATATAATAAAATCCACTGAATTGTATATTTTAAACAAGTGAATAATATGGTATATGAATTTAAAAATAATGTAGGTAAAGGGCTTAGCCAATGCCTGGCACAAAACAAATGCTTTATAAATGTTAATTTTTGTCATTACTACTTTGAGGCAGAGACTATCTGGTTCACCAAACTCATTTCCTCTTCTCCTAGAGCACAAAACTAGACTCTACCCTAAAAATTAGGTGTGGCCATGTGTCTGAGTCTGGGCCAAGGGAATGTGAGTTCTGGCCAATGTAAGGGAACAAGCTTGGCCCATAAAAATAATCCCCTCACAAGCCTTCATGTTATTTCCCTTCTACTAGCTTGATGCAATGAATCTTTTGGCTTCAGAGCTACATGTTGAAGATGAAGGAGCCATAGTGTGGAAAAGCCAAAGTTCCTGAATCACTGACCAGGGGAGAGTTGCCCATTAGCCAAGAAGACCGGCTTTAGACTTTCTGAGAAAGTAAATAAGCTTCTAATTGTTTAAACCTTTTTTTGAGTTTTGATTGTAACAGCTACTGGTATTATTATAACTAACATATTATTGTTAGTTTTTACAGTACCAAATTGAGGAGAAGTGTCAGCCCTTGTCACATGCCTGAAATAAATTCACTGTAGATTGGCTGACCATGCTGGGTCTGGGGGCATGAGTGCACACAGGAAAAGTTGTCTGGTGAATTTGAGCATTATTTTAGTACTGTTGAATAGTCACTGGACAGTTTGAGTGTAGTATGCAGCTTCTAATTACCTTCCCCAACTTTGGGGAAGCAGAGTCCTTGTTTTGCCCTCCAGTCCCTTCAGGAAGGGCCAAATGAACAGCAGGCAACACGCAATCAAACCGTGCATAGCAGTAGGGTGTGGGAACGGCGAAGGCAGCTCTGTGCCTGCTGCTCCACCCTTCTCTCCTACCCTTCTTTGTGGAGGACACCGTACCCTGTCCACTTCCCTTTTGATAAAAGGGAAAGTAATACAAATTAAAGATGTGACCCAATCACATTGTTTTGTCCTTGCTTAGTGCTTTTTAAAGCAGTATCCTACACTCTAAATGTGGAAGGCAGAGACAGCTTTTAGCTCTCCGGGTGAATAATGCCAAAGTATTTGATTGCTATTGTCTCTCTTTCAGAGGGTTTGCTGTCAAAAGGAAAAGCTCTGAGTCATTCTTTAGAAAAGGTGAAGAGAGGATATGCAACCACAAGCCAAAGGTGACAGATCGGAAAGGGACCAATCACTGGGAGCAGGGTTTCTCGGGTTTGTGAGCCCCTTCCCTCATGCAATTGTGTCAAATTGGGCCAAAAATGCCTTCTGTATCTTTCTCACAGAGGAGTGCTGTAAAACCCAAAGGGCATGTAAAATGAAGTACAGTCAGATCTTATAAAAATAGCTATTGATTCCTGAGTGTTTACTGTGAAGCCCTCTTACATAGCTTGTTTAATCTTCTTGACAAGCTTAATACATAAGTATTATTGGTCCACTTGAGAGCTATTGAAACTGAGGCTCAGAGGTTAAGCAAAGCCGTGTCCCCAGGATCACACAGGTAGTAAGCAACAGAGCTGGGACTCTAACTAAATCTCTCACCACCATGCCCTTCAAGGACTTCAAACAAATGAAAAGCATTAGCAAGGTAAATGGCTCTTCTGCTGGAGAATCTAGAAAGTCCAAAGCCAAAATGTCTACCCTTGCGTGGAAAGAACATCCTACAGGGCTGCCTGTGTTCAGCATATTAAGTGCCTAAGAGAATAATGAAACAGATAAGAAAAGGGAAGAACAAAGGCCATTGTCCCCGGCCCTGGAGACTAGCCTGCCTGAACATGATTCACAGTCATTCATGGACTCAGACCTCATAGATTTTGAATATCAGATCATTGCAGATAGAAATGTGAACTTCCAGATAGCAACCATATCTTCTTGCTGAAAATAGCTTCCCTCCCCCCAGCACAAAGTCATAAAGAAAGAAAAAAGAATCTTAATTTCCTTCTGCTTCCTGTTTGCCAGACTGTTCCTTTCTTCCTTCAACCTCACGGTCCCATTGTTTCTCTTATTTCTTCCTAGTATGCTCTATTTAAACCAGATGGAGCAGTAGCATTTTGAAGCGATTTTTGAACCCAAGGGACTCGCGTCATAAATAAATAAAACAAATGAACACTTTAGCAATTGGCAAATCAGGCAGGAATGGGTTTAACAACGGAGCTGGAAATGTAGCTGAAAATCTACTCCACGATGAAAGATCGGAATGTGGCACAAGTTCTTTTCACCGAATAGGTAACCACACTGACTTCTTTCAGTAAACTGGGGGCTAAAGAGAGACGCAGTGGGAAGGCAGTGGCAAAGAGCTTCAGAGACACATTCAGTGGCCCCGTCTACTTTGCATTACCAATATGCTGATACATTATCCCATGGTTGCTACGAAATATTTGTTCACCACCTATAAAAGTAAGGCATTTTCAAGAGCTGGTTTTCTTTAAATACATTCTCTTTCCTTTAAGTCTTACATAATTCAACTATCATTCCATGTGAGGCTTAATTTAAAGAAAACCATAAGTTGAGTTAATTCACTGTGAAGGGTTATGGAAGCTATATTTATTCCAGAGAGTCAGCAGCAGTGTAATGGAGCATCTATTATATGCCTGACCTAGTGCCAGGTTCTGGGAATACAAACATGAATAGCCCAGCCCCTGCCCTTAAGACGTTCACAGAACTGGGAGGATTCACAAACTAAGTGAAAGTGAAAGGCCTGTTACCGCTATTAAGATAGAAGAAAATATATGAGGTGCTTAGCGATCACCTCTAATGAGGGAGAAATTATGTGTGGGGAGGGGAAGAGGATAGAGTTTGTGATTCAGTAAAAGAGTCCTAGCTGGGTGCAGTGGCTCACGCCTCTAATCCCAGCACTTTGGGAGGCCGAGGTGGGTGGATCACCTGACGTCAGGAGCTCGAGACCTGTCTAAGATGTTGAAACCCTGTCTCTACTAAAAATACCAAAATTAGCTAGGCATGGTGGTGGGTGCCTGTAATCCCAGCTACTTGGGAGGCTGAGGCAGGAGAATCACTTAAACCTGGGAGGTGGAGGTTGCAGTGAGCCGAGATGGTGCCACTGCACTCCAGCCTGGGTGACAGAGTGAGACTCCATCTCAAAAAAAGAAAATCCTCAAAAAAAGAAAATCCCCTGTCTGTCTACCTAGAAGGCCTAAGAAGCTGTTAACCAAGGGAGAAGAGGTTGAGATGATGGTCTGGGCAGAGAGCACAGGAGGAATTGGGACAGGCTCCACCGTGATGTGAAACAACCTGAAGGTTATGGTCACTGTAGACATTTGAACCCAGCTGGAAAACAGACTGAGGAGAGAAATGAGAGGCAGGCTTGGGAGTCACGGGGTGGATCATTCTCTGTCATGTGGGTCAGGGGACTCCATCCCATAGGCCATGGGAGCCTCTGTAAGACTTTAAACAGCAGAGTGAACATGATCTGATTTGCACTTTAGAAAATCACCTTGGCAACCAGGTGGAGGATGGACTGGAGGTGTTGAGGCTGGGAGCATAGAGAACAGTTAGGAGGCAATGGCAGCAGTCCAGGTAGGAGGGATAGGGCCTGATCTTAGATGGCAGCAGTGGGAATGTAAAGAAAAGAAGGGAGAACTAATATTAGGAAGGAGAAAATCTGGGCTGGAGGTAATGAAATCTAGATTCTAATCCTAGCTTTGGCACAATCTCTTAACGTGACCTTAGATAAGCTCTTCCTTTTCTGGACCCTGTTTCCCAACGTGGCAGGTGAGAGGGCGACATTTTGTGGCTATATGAGAATGCACTTTATATATGTACTTGGTTATTATTATTTACTCATTAGGTAAGCCAGCCAGTCAGTCAGTCAGTAAAGGCACTCATTCCTTGAGTCACAGTTTTGGGCATCTTGATATGAAAAAGCAAAATGGTAGTACAAAAAAATCCAACCAAGGGAATGAGGAGACTTGAAGTCCATAAGCATTTACTGATGATACATTAAGTACAAAATGTACATCATAATCTACTATAGATATAATGGAAACAGAAATGACCAAGATGTGTTCTCTACCTTCCGAGAGGGAAATGAGGCAGCCTATGATTAATTCAATTAAACAAATATTGAGTAAATGACTATGTGCAGAGTATTGGGTCTGTCATAGTAAGGAAACAGAGAAATAGGACATGGTCCCTAACATGAAGGACTTCGTAGTCACAAATGGAAGAAAAGTGATACTGCTATTGGAGAGTTGCAAAGCACTATGGGAGCCCAAGACAAAAGAGAATATGTACCAAGTCAAAAATCCATTTTTAATTTTCGCCATAGTAAACAGAAATATAATTTCCCTTTCTGTGGTTCAATGCTGCTAAAAGCACCTTCAGAAAAGCAGATGAAAGAAGAGATCATTCATTTTACTCTAAACAAAAATTTTTCTGTGGGTGAGGTCCTATACTAGGTGTTCAACGTAAGAATAACAAGACATGCTCTTTGCCCTCAAAGAAATGAGTCAGTGTTTGTAACATTTTGAATTCTGGGGAGGAGAAAGTAGAAGTTTGGTTCTACTTTTTCTACCTAACAATTCAAAGTGCCTTGAACAGTGCTTAGCACAAAGTAGGTGCTCAATAAATGATCAACTGAAGTGAACAATATTAAATTTGCTACTTAAAGAAAGAAAATGAAGTTGACTCTAAAATAACAAATACTTGACCTCTAATTATCCAAAGAATACATTTAGGAAAGATTACTTTTATGTAAGAAGTCATGAGTAATTAATCAAACCACAGGCCACTGGCTTGTTGTAATACTAATTCAAACAAGGTTTCTAAGCAGCAGGTCTCTACTCCCAAAGTCTTGGGAAGCAGATGGTACCTAATTGCTTTAAGGGGCATTTGGTTGACCACACTTAGTTCTTTAAGCCAGAGTAAGTTCAGTTTTTTGAACTCTCCTTAAGACAAATCAACCTCCAACCCCTTACGTATAACAAGCTGATCTGTTTCTAAACATGTAAGCTAGAAAGACCAAACTTGGGAATGGTGTTGCTTAGAAAGAAAAAGTTATGTCTTCGGGGCATGGCAGGGGGATTCTACTAGCAGCCTGGCCAAGAAAAGTTGCTGACTTGGCATATAAGGTATGTAAAAAGCTTTAATAAAATTAAAGGTGCTAACAATGCAGGTGGGATTTAAAAAGAACATGCACCACATTGTGATATTTTTTCAAGAACAGAGAGGCCCAGAATATTGAGATACCAGCTGGTAAGAATTATGACATTTACTTTAAAATCTTTGGCCAGTAAGAAGTGATTCTAAAAGACTTGCAATGGGTTTGGCTCATGGTCTCTGAACCTTGTTATAGGCCAACTTGATAAAACACAGTGATTTCACATAGGAGCTTTTGATTACAGACTGGCTTGATTGTCATCAAGTCTCTGCCATTCACTAGCTGCTACAAACTTGGATAAGTCATTGAGTCTCACTTAAGCATCAATGCCATCTGTAAATGAAGACTATGATGAATAATGTCACAGGGTTGTGATGGGGAGTACATGAGATAATAGAGGTAAACAGCTTAGTACAGTGCCTGGCATATAACAAGTATGGTGACTATTACTATTATAATTATGTTTGCTGAGAGGGAAATGTTCTTTCCAAAATTGGCTAAAAACCCTGTTTCAAACATTTCTGAGACTGAAATGAAATATATAGATGATAGGTTTGCAGAAATGGCAGTGGGTGTTTCATTTTCATATAATTATAATGTGCAGAAGAACATAGCAGCATCTTATGCCAATCATGAATCTTTTCTCATAGTAAAATTATTTTGTGAGTGAACCTGAACTGTATGTACAATGTCTTACTAAATATGTACTTCCATGTGACATTTGGTATCATGGGTTTCTTCTGAATTCTATTTGATGATAAAATATAGAGAAACCTAGCCTGGAAGGACCTCAATGTAGATATCATCTCTGTCACTTAAGGACTGTAAGCTCTGGCAAAACAAAAACTTTCTGATCCTCAGTATACACATCTGTAAAACAGGTATAATAATTGTACTATAGTTAAATGGTTTTGAAAGAATTTCATGAGATGATAATAATATCTTTACTGAGTTTTTGCCATGTGCCAAGCTCTGAAAGCCTATCCTAAATTATCTCTTCTCATCCTACGTTATCTCTTCCACATCCTATGTTATCTCTTCCACATCCTATGTTACCTTCCAGAGTGTGGTTGTAAAGTCAGGGTCTGCGGCCAAGAGTTCAGAACCCGCCAGGTGGGATCAGGTGATTAGAGAGGCAGAGGGCTGCTAAATGACAGCCAAAAATATCAGTAGCTTTTGCTGCATTCAAGAGAGAGCTGCATCTTTGACATGTGAGAAGTGGGCTGCAGGTAGACGTCCAGCAGGGGCAGAAAAAAAATAGTTCTGAATATATGCAAACATCAGAAACTTTGGGACCTGTGATCATGCCCTAGGTTTCCAAAGCTTATTACAAATAACTGCTTCCAAATATCTGTCTAGAGAAGACGTCTAAAGGGCCCCAATAAAGGCAGATAGGAGCATAAGGATAGATGTCCCCAATATATCACATGAGTTAAAAAGGATGTAAAGAAGAAAACAAAGCACATCAACCTGCTCTGCTCCAAGTTAAAGTTATTTAGCTCCTGGAACTGGTTTCATCTTTAAAATTGAGATAATAAAACTATGGCACAATTCACATTGGGCTACTCCACACTTGTAAGAAAGAATGGAGAAGCTTTCTATGTACTGATACATAAAGATCTCCAAGACACATCATTAAGTAAAAAATAATAATAATGGCTGGGCACAGTGGCTCACGCCTGTAATCGCAGCACTTTGGGAGGCTGAGGCAGGCGGATCACGAGGTCAGGAGATCGAGACCATCCTGGCTAGCACAGTGAAGCCCCGTCTCTACTAAAAATACAAAAGAAAAAAAAAAAAAAACTAGCCGGGCGTGGTGGTGGGTGCCTGCAGTCCCAGTTACTTGGGAGGCTGAGGCAGGAGAATGGAGTGAACCCAGGAGGTGGAGCCTGCAGTGAGCAGAGATCACGCCACTGCACTCCAGCTTGGGTGACAGAGCAAGACTCCGTCTAAAAAAAAACATAATAATAATTTAAAAATAATAATAATAATAATAATAATACAGAATAGTGTTTATAGAATGCTCCTTTGGTATATAAGAATGGGGCTAAAAATTTATCTATCTATCTATCTATCTATCTTTCCATGTATGTATGTATGTATGCATGTATCTGTCTGTCTTTCTATGTATGTATGTATGTATGTATGTATCTATCTTATCTATCCCCCCACCACACATGCACACACACACACACACACACACACACAAATACAGTTTGCTGCATTTGCAAAGGAAACTACAGAAAGATACACAAAAACCTAAAAATAGTGATTAGCTTTGTGAGACGAATGAGGGCAGGAGAGGAACAAAAGTTTTCAATAAATACCTTATAAAAATTAAATATTTAAATTAATTTAAATAATAAAATTAGGATAGCAATTGGTACATACCTTATAAGGTTGTTTTGAGGAGTAAATATAATAATGTATTGAAAGAGCTTACCATGGGGCTTGACACACAGTAAGCATTGACACACATCAGTGAAGATTATCCTCTCTTTTTGAGAAAGAGTGGGAAGGAGCCCTTCCTTGGCCTTAACTTTCTGCTCAAGGGCCAAAGAGAGGTGGAGACAAGTTGTAGGAGGCTGACTGCTGGGGCTTTCATTGAGACTTAAGGAGCAAAGAGGCTATGATGACCTTCTGGTATCTTCCTAGGTCATGCAGCTCTATTCCCAGAAATTTGAGAGAAAAAGCCCACTTAGAAATAAAGATGGAGCTTTTACTTAGGAACCTGAATACAGTGGATGAAAGACTACAAAATGTAGAGAATCAAAATCCAACACATACCAGATCGATCCATGACTCTGAGAATTAGAAATGATTTAAAAACAAGAATGTCTTAGAACAAAATGAGAAAAGATGAACAGTTGCCAATGAAATGTTATTTTCTTTCACTGTGTTCCTAAAAAATTTATTCAATGTCCTTAAATAATACATCTTGCGGGATTAATTGAAAATGCCACAATGGAATGAAAATAAAAAAAAACTGGCTCTGAATAAAATCCTTTATATAGTCACAAAATTGATAATCTACATTTTTTTTGCTCCATCTGCACTGAAAAGGAAAATTTAATAATCAGATACAAAGGTAGGAAATTATAATGAATCACAAGTGTTCAGATATTGTAACCCAAACAATTGCTCTAGTAGTGCCTGCTTTACTTAGGGTTATGCTAAGTGGCTGACAAAATAAAGACTAATTCTTTCAGTTTCTTTTGAATTAAAACACAGCATTTGTAACATAGAAAAGCACCATTTTGGGTACTTGTTTGGGAAATCGCACACAACAGGATGTCTAGGCTTTGTTAGATGCTTCTTTAAGTAGATTCTATAAAAGGAGCAAGCAGGCAGGAGTCCGGGAGATGGTGATGAGAAACCCCCTTTGGGTAGCTGCCATATTGTTAGTTATGGTGGTTGAAAATTCCAGCTCTGAAAGTAGAAAGATCTGAACACAAACTCTGTCACTCATTAGTTGAGTAACTTTGGCAAGTTACTCAACTTTGCTGAACTTCAATTTCCCATCAATAAAATTAGGATAAATATAATCCCTACCTTATAGGGATGTTATGAGGATCCAAAGAGATAATGTATTTAAGAATTTAAATATACCTTTCTTAGAACAGTGTCTGGAGTAGATATCAGTAAATATTAGCCCTGATCATAAACATCTATCTTTGTATTCATTCATCCATCCATTAAACCATCATTTAGGGGCCACTTCAGGTCAATCTTTGGGTTAAACAAAGGAAATTGAGGAAGAATAAGACATAGTCCTTGTACACAGAAAGCTCTCAGCCCATTAAGGGAAGATGAACAAAGAAGGCTGTATGGAATTAGGGACGCTATGAAAGAAGTCAACATCAGTTATACCGGGACATACAAAGGAAGTGGTTGATGTGGAAGGAGTATCATAGAGAAGATGATACTTAATGAAAGGCTTGAAAAGGCTTGAAATGTGTGTATATACAAGGCATTCAGGACAAAACAACAGGAAGAGCACAGACACTGGGATAACCTGTCGTGGTAGGGAAGGGAAAGAAGTCTAGTATGACTGGGTCCCAGAGAACAAGTGAGCCAGCTTGATAGGTAAGCCTGGAGAGGCCTAGGGGCCACATCACATAATGCTGAGTATACAAGGAAGTTTCTGTAATTTGGTGTTCAACAAATCAACTTACTTAATTTGAAGTTGAGAGATAGTCAGCATTGCCCTGCTAGGGAAACATCCTGAGGCTATTCCACATTATTATAGTAGAAAGATAATTTTGTGCTTTCTTTGTCAGCTGTATAAGATACCTGCTGAAAGAGTATCTTGCCTGATCTTGCCAGGGACTTACCCCCTTTGCAAACTCAGTGTTGGCTTGGGATCAGGATATCTCAGCAAATTCCCCTTAACTTTCACTTTTTTTTTCCCCTAACATATCTTCTCTTAAACAGGTAGTTCACTTCTGTACAAAAGGATTAACAGTGTCAGTACTGGTTAAAAAAGTGTTTTTTAATGGGGTGTGGTGAAATGACCAGGATATAGACACCTACAGTTTCAAACATCTTCTTCTACTTAACAATGGTATGAACTTGGACAATTTTTTACCTTTATAAATCACAATTTCCTTATCTACAAAAAGGTAGAATGTGACTTATCTCATGGGGTGTTGACAGGAGCAAATGTAGTAATTAACGCTAAGTATCTACTATCAAGACTGACACAGTTCTACAAATGGTAGCTGTCATTATTGCCCATGAAGGTGAAGTAGGTGATTTACATGGCAGGCTTGGGAGAAAGAAATGAGTCTGTTGGGGAAGAAGAAGGCCAGGTTTGTTTGAAGGCAGAGGAAGCTAGGCCACCTTGCACTGCTAAATTGTGCCATGTTCTGACTGGGGCTGGGCCCAGAGAAAGCTCTAATTCCTGTGTGTTGATTGAAACTGAGGTTGAAGACACTGATCTGTCTCTTCCTGGTGCTCATGAAAATTCTTCCTACCTAGCCTGAGCTTCATGGACAAATAAAGGCTAACCAAAGCACTTTCTTTTAAAAGTTTCAAGTTACTTAAGGTCTCTAGATTTGGAGCAGAAAGAGATGCTAATAATGAAACTTGCTAAATACAGCAATTTTTCTGCAGTCCATACAAATTTTATTAGTTAAGGAGGTGATGGGAAGAAAGCAAATATACTCTGATGGTAAGGAATTGCAGTTCTTCCGAAAAGCACTGTAAATGACAATATAATGACGCATCAATCCAGTCCCCAGGGGGGAAAATATATTATCCTCTATGGTACATCTGTGCTGTTCCAGCATTTCACAGACAAGATTGAACTCTCACATAGCCCCAGGAAAGCCACATGCTCTTGCCTTTTAACCCAGCATCTTTAACTGGTTAAAGCCTATTTCCTCTGTAGCTCACAAATATGTTTATAATAAAGGTCACCTACAATGGAATATAAAGGGAATCTCTCTGACCATATCACACAAATTCTATAATCTGGATCCTGTAAACCCACTGATGAAAAAAACAGTGACAAAGAAACAAAATGGGACTTTATTAACCTAGGTTCTTGAATTGTAATGTTTAATGCCAAGCATTAATGGAAGAGTACACATAAAAATTTCAACAAACGGCCGGGCCTGGTGGCTAATGCCTGTAATCCCAGCACTTTGGGAGGTCGAGGCAGGTGGATCACCTGAGGTCGGGAGTTAGAGACCAGCCTGACCAACATGGAGAAACCCTGTCTCTACTAAAAATACAACATTAGCCAGGTGTGGTGGTGCATGCCTGTAATCCCAGCTAATCGGGAGGCTGAGACAGGAAAATTGCTTGAACCTGGGAGGCAGAGGTTGCAGTGAGCCGAGATAGCACCACTGCACTCCAGCCTGGGCAACAAGAGTGAAACTCTGTCTCAAAAAAAATCAACAAAAACCAAAGTTTTCTTTACATTTGAAATAATTATTTTCCATGCCAATTATCTTGAAAAGCTTTGGTTTTTAGATGAGAGCTCTGAAAGATCATATAAATAACCCATAACAAGCTAACCTAATACTCA
Organism: Homo sapiens; assembly: GCF_000001405.40. Classification (NCBI taxonomy): domain Eukaryota; kingdom Metazoa; phylum Chordata; class Mammalia; order Primates; family Hominidae; genus Homo; species Homo sapiens. The sequence continues at coordinate 83,703,792 of NC_000011.10, forward strand.
TCATGACTGTTATTTACAGTAGTGAAAAATCAGAAACAACCTAAAAGTTTAATAATGGTAAATAGGCTAAGTCAACAGTGTCACTTCCCTATTATGGAATCTTAGATCTCTTTTAAAATTTACTTTTACAAAAGAAAAAAAATGTATGGACATGAAGAAGTGCCCACAAAACATTGTTAAATGAAAAAGGAAGTATCAACTACCATGACTACCATGTACAATAAAATTACAGTTTTATAGGATGCAGAAAATAAATGGCAAGGACCTACAACAAAATCAATAGTTATTTTTTATTGCCTTATTTATTTTTTATAATTTAAAAAAATCCCAATAAAATATCCTTTTAAGATATTTAACTTTCTAAGTAAAAGCTGGCAGGCTGTGGAAGTATAAAAAAGAGTGCATCTGAAAACATGAAAAACTTTGCATGAAAAATGTTTGTAACATATTTTAGATGACATTGTTAAATGCTTATGCTATAATGTAACTAAAATGAACCAGGGTAGTTAGTTGTACATATAATATAACCTCCCTTATGTATTTCATAAACAGAAATGATACTAAAATGAGACAAAAACAGAAACCAGTGGTTGCCTCTGGATAGTAGAAATTATTGCTTAGTTCTTCAATTGTTTTTTTAAACATGCTTCTGTATTTTGCAGTTTCAACAATAAACATGTAATACCATTATAATTGAAAAATAGTTTCTGGTTTTTTCTTTTTTTAAAAAAAATGTATAATTTGACCGACTGAGGTGGCTCATACCTGTAATCTTAGCATTTTGGGAGGCTGAGGCAGGTGGATCACCTGAGGTCAGGAGTTCGAGACCAGCCTGGCCAACGTGGTGAAACCCCGTCTCTACTAAAAAAAAAAAAAAAAAAAAATATTAGCTGGGCGTGGTGGCACAGGCCTGTAATTCTAGCTACTTGGGAGGCTGAGGCAGGAGAATCACTTGAACCTGGAAGGCGGAGGTGGCAGTGAGCCGAGATCACGCCACTGCACTCCAGCCTGGGCGACAGAGCGAGACTCCATCTCAAAAATAAAATAAAGATATAATTCAGCAGGAAAAAAACTGAGTATAACCTTAAAGTCACTGAAATATTAAGTTATTCAGACTAAACTTCCGGATATTACACTTACTACCTGGGTGACAGAATCATTTGTATCCCAAATCTCAGCATAATGCAATACACCCATGTAACAAACTTGCACAAATATACCTCCTGAATCTAAAATAAATGTTGAAATTATAAAAATAAATAAATGCGTTAATTAATTTAATTAAAAAATAAAGCATAGACATGAACAGGAATGTGATATACCTAACTTGTACTTGCCCTTTGTACTTTCTGAATGCAGGTGGGAATTAGCTGCAGCTCTGTTTCCTCTGCATATTTTCACTTATTAAAAGAGTTCTAAACTTCTTTTCTCCAGGCTAAATCTTCAATGTAAAAAAATTATTTTGGAATTAATACATGTGATTGCCTAAAAATCAACTTATTTGTTATTATCAAGTAAACTTTTATTCTCTGGAATCCTCAGAGAAAAGAAGTATCTTTCTGAATATCTGAATTTTCCATATAGCTGAAGATTAAGACTTCAAATGGAGAGAGTTAAATTGATTACTTTTGCGATTACTTTACTTTTCAAAACATCATTATTAAATACTTGCCTCACCTCCAGAATAATATACTAGATATAATAGGTTTTTAAACTGATGACTCAAAACTATCATTATGAAGATCTGTTATTGTGATAATAAAACATCAAGTAGTTCTTAATAAATAAACTTCTAACCCTTTAAATTCAAATCTACTTTACTTTCCATGTTGCTAACATTTAAAAAGAACAACAAAATAAATCTAAGAATATAATCCTATATCAATTAAATAAAGTAGAAACGTTTACAGTTTCTACTTAATTCCATTATTTTATTTTTTAAAATATGCCATAAAAGATTTACAGATTCTCTAGCAATGAATTCTCTTCGTGAAAAAACCACATAGACTCAAAAGCATATGAAGGCTTATTTTGCATGGCTCTTGGAAAAGTAGAACTATGCTTGGAAGGCAAAAGACAATAGATTTGCAGTCATCGCGCACACCAACAAAAGTTTCAACTTCACAATTAAACATTTTAAAACTAGGCCGGGCGTGGTGGCTCACGCCTGTAATCCCAGCACTTTGGGAGGCCAAGGCTGGTGGATCATGAAGTCAGGAGATTGAGACCATCCTGGCCAACATGGTGAAACCCCGTCTCTACTAAAAATACAAAAAATTAGCTGGGCATGGTGGCGGGTGCCTGTAGTCCCAGCTACTCGGGAGGTTGAGGCAGGAGAATCGCTTGAACCCGGGAGGCAGAGGTTGCAGTGAGCTGAGATCGCGCCACTGCACTCCAGCCTGGGTGACAGAGCAAGACTCCATCTAAAAAAAAAAAAAAACATTTTAAAACCAACAAAATTTTTACTTAAAAATTTATTTGACAATGTTTATTAAGCTCCTATTCTATATCAGGTGTTGTGCTAGGTGCCGGGGACATGTGTCTAGTGCCTAGACATGGTACTGGAGACAGCATATTCCTTTCATAGGACATGTTAAGGCAGCGGCTGAATGACCACTTGGCAAAGATATTATAGGGGGAATCCAAATACATAATATCCCCCAACTCCTATGATTCTCACCCTCTCCAACTGCACTTCCATAATCCCCAGGAAAGCAGAGCTTGAATCAAAGGTTTGCAGTAATATATGCAGAGGCTCACATGTGATAGTTCATTTTGAGCAGTGATCCTGAGAAGAGGAAAGAGGAAGCAGGGAAACCTTCTGAGGAGCATACACAATGCAATTCAGAACTATCTATCCAAGGGATGGAGGAGAGCTCTACCCACCAGTTCCCTTCCTCTCCAATTGTCGAGAGTTGCCACATGCGATGCCAACTCCCTTGCACGTCCAGTTTTGTGCATGCCAGAGTGGCGAGTGGGCTCTCGGGTAGAAAGCAGAGAGAGGCGTGGCAGCTAAGGCAAGGTGGTGTCAGTTACACCTGGATGAAGCTGGTTGCTACAGCAATGCCTTGAGTTAGTTTGGCAGAAAAAATGCAAGACTGAGTGCAAGAGGTGACAACACCTTTAAGATTCTTCTAACCCATATGGGGTCATGATAACAACAAAAGTAATTAACACTTATCATCAAGCAAACATAGATACTTTCCATACATTTTATCACTTAATTATCAAAATCAACTCCATGAAGTAGGTCATACTTTTATCTCTATTTATATATACTTTTATCTCTATTTCAAATACGAGAAAATAGCTTTCTAGAACTAAGTGGTCTGCCTGAGGTCATCAATAAATGGAGAACAAAAGATGAGGCTGAAGGACTGGCTGCAGAGCCCTAGAACAACACTGACTCCCCCAGGGCCTATAAGCATCCAAACTTCTCCTATATAGGAGAACAGAAGTAGAAATCAGTTGCCCTTAGGAGTTCCTGTTTCTATATCTGTCTCTGACAAGAGTTCCTTGAAGGTAGAGATTGTGCCTTATTCCTGAATTATATCCAGTACCGTGCAGTGCATGACATATAACAAGTGCACACTGTTGGCCGGGCTCAGTGGCTTACGCCTATAATCCCAGCACTTTGGGAGGCCGAGGGGGGCAGATCACCTGAGGTCAGGAGTTCAAGACCAGCCTGGCTAACATGGTGAAAACCCATCTTTATTAAAAATACAAAAAATTAGTGGGGCGTTGTGGTGCATGCCTGTACTCCCAGCTACTCATGAGGCTGAGGCAAGAGAATCGTTTGAACCTGGGAGGCAGAGGTTGCAGTGAGCTGAGGTGGTGCCACTGCACTTCAGCCTGGACAACAGAGTGAGACTCGGTCTCAACAACAACAATAACAACAGCAATAACAAAAACACAAACAAACAAGTGCACAATGCTTTTGAGATTGGTTGAGTGTCTGTTCCCTCTCAGTGCACTCACGGTTCTTGAAAGCAGGAACCCTGTCTTAATCATCTTTATATCCCAGCACCCAGCACACATAGTTCAATGTTTGCTTGCCCTAACAGAATAAAATTTTCCAGAAGGCAGAATGCATAGGGTTAAAAACGTGCAGCTTCTGTCATATGGGCCTGAGTTAGAGTCCCACCTTTGATACTTTAACTAGTTATATGATCTTGAGTGAACTATGTAATAGTCTTTTAAATCCAGAGCTTCCTCATTTGCAAAAAAGCATGATACTAATTGTATTCCATCATGAGGTTGTGGTGATTATTACATGAAATTTACGTAAAAGCTCTTATCATTAATACTTGGCACATGGCAATCTTGCAATAAATATTAGATATTATGATAATTGTTGGAAATTTATTCTGTGTTTAAGTTATATTTGAAGTTCCTAAACTAGATCTGAAACATTTAGAATGTTCACAGTGGCACATATGGGAAAATCTCTAGAACACAAAGTACCTAGGAAACAGATAGTACCTGTACACAGTGATGCTCAATAAATATTTGTTGAATGTCAGATAAAAAACAATGAGCCATGTTTGCTTTTGGCATGAATTACCAGCACAAATGTTGAAAATAGAAAAATATAATATACGTTGCTATTTAATACCTGACAGGGAGAAAGTATCAGTAGCCCAAGATCTGACTGTAAACAAAGAGGAGAAACAGCTATATAACCTATGAAAGGTGTGAAGCCATAAAACAAGGCCAGAAATTTGGTAATCATTCTCAAGACAATATGATAACAAATGTCTTTCAATACTTGGCTTTATGTACCTCCCCAATTTCGTATCACTTGTGTTTTATGGTCAAAAATTGCAATATGTTGCCATTTTTTTAAATTACAGAGCTATGTATTTCCTTAAAGTACTGTATTTTCCTTAAAGTACCTAATTAGCTAATACTACTTAATTACAATTTACATTTAGATTCTGCAGACTGAAGGATCTATTTTGGAATCCTTTTTTTTAATGGGATATGGAACCCAGATACTAAGGAAGAAACTGGGGGATAGAAGATCAATGCCCAAGGCTGTGTAGGCTTAGTGGGTATTCTCTTTGGATCATGAGAGAAAGACTTGGATTGCATTCCAGCTCTGCCACTTATTTACTAGTTGAGTGATCTTGGACAAATTATTTCCTGTGTAAATCTGTTTTTCATAGTCTCTAGTATGAGGCTGCTGGTGCCCATTTCCCTGACTTTACTTGATGATTTATTAGGGGAACAAGCAGAGTCCACTGTATGTGGTATGTACTCAACCGCTGCTTGTTCTCTTCCCCTCTTAAAGGTAAGAGACAAGTCTGAGTCCTGGGGTAGCTGCCAATAATATTCATTCAGGTCCCCTTCTTAATTATGCAATTCATCAAGAAAGAATCTTTTTGAGAGGAAAAAAATAAAAGTCTGAAATCAGCATGCCTAGGACAAAATTTTACACTGTGTGTGTGTGTGTGTGTATATGTGTGTATATATGTATGTATATATACATATATGTACATATATACATATACGTATATATGTATAAAGTTATATATATTATATATACATATATATAATATATATACACACACACACACATATATATATAACTTTAGTTTTTTCAACAAGATTGCTCATTAAGCAAGAACCACATTGTAAAGTTCAGCTCCACCTTAGTTTGCTTTCTGGCCAACTAATCTGGGCAGACTTTTAAAATCACACTGGCTGGTAGGTGAATATGGTGTTTCATTACAATCATTACATTTACCACCCCAGTGCTGGTAATATTCTCTAGGCTGCCTGTGATGCTTAGTGGCTGAGTGGCAAGTAAGAAGTTTAATTTAGCTTTCTCAGCATCTGCAGGTTTTGTTTTCAACAAAGAACTTCAGGTTACATAACAGCCTTGGCTTGTTTCAGAAGGTGAAACTTGACTCTCCAAATTAACTGTTGATACAGGTCTTCAGAAGCAGAACTTGATGTATCTGGAAGTGATCCCCCCCAAGTCATTTGGAAAGTAACAATGGCACTTGACCTTCCTGGTTACTTAGCAAAAGAAGGCAGGAGAAAGAAGGTTCTAAGCGTAAGTAGGTGATCATTGAAAGGGCAGATACAGCCTCTAAAAATCAGGTTAGGCCTTCCTTTCCCAACCCTTTCTAGCTTTACCCTCTTGCTGTCCACACTCCACTGGATAGGTGTGTCTCACTGTTGTGGGTGAGCATTTTGTGAAAGATTTTAGAAAAAGCAAAGGGGAAAGTGTAACATGAAAATAGGGTGCCTGGGATCATATGAAAACAAAGGAGAGAGGAATATGAGGTGGGTACACTGTCCTGAACTATTTCATTTAACACATGTGAAATGTGGATGGAATGAAGCCCAGCACAGCAAATAAGGTACTTTTTTTTTTTTTTGAGACTGAGTGTTATTCTGTTGCCCAGTCTGGAGTGCAGTGGCACCATCTCGGCTCACTGCAATCTCCGCCTCCTGGATTCAAGCAATTCTCCTGCCTCAGCCTCCCAAGTAGCTTGGACTACAGGTACCCGCCACCATGCCTGATTAATTTTTTATTTTTGATACAGACAGGGTTTCACTACATTGGCCAGGTTGGTCTCGAACTTCTGATCTCAAGTGATCCACCCCCGCTCAGCCTCCCAAATGCTGGGATTATAGGCATGAGCCACCTTGCCTGGCCAGATACTTTTCATCCACTCAAGAGGAAGACACAAGAAGCGGATAATTTTAGTATAAGATAGTGAGTGCCAAGATGGACAATTCATAGGAACAAAGAGCAGTGGTATTGGAATGACAGAAGAGGATAATCAGAGACTAATTAACAACAATATATAGTTCATATAACATGTTTCTATTTGCAGATGTGGACGGCATAACCAAAGCTTGAAACTGGTACAAGGACATTCATGTAGTTAGTAGGACATGAGAGACATTTAGGGTTTAGTCTTGTAAATACAACAGAAATAAATTTTCTGACTCCAAATCCTATGTATTTTTCTAGTAGCGAGAAGAAGCTGAGGGCAGGTGGAATGGGTTCATATAAATATACTCCAGAATAAAAAAGGTAAATGTAATATTATAAAGTATTATAGTAACATAAATATGCTAGTAACAATCATTTGTAATACTAATAAATGTAACCAATTTTCATGGAGCACTAACTGTACCCAAGGACTGTGTTAAACTCTTAACATGGACTGTCTCATTTATTCTCACAGCCCCTTTGACAAATGTAAAGCCTGATACTTGGTTAGGTGACACACCTAAGGTTCCACATAACTAGATCCTGACTATAAAACCATAGCCTCAGCAGTCACCAACCCCCTTATTGAACTGTGCATTCAAAGAATGCAATTCAAAATCAGATACACATTCCTTCTTGCCTTGTGCACACAAAGAGAACTAGATAAAGAAGATGACAACTCAGCAAAGGCCAAAATGTCACTGATAAGCTGTGTAAAGGGACAATCACATGGGATAGGGTGTATAGATGCTATGACCACTCTGCTCAGTAGAGGCACTACACTGCTGAAGGTTAGTTAGACAGATAACTAGCTTCCCAGCATTTCCCCTCACTTGGACGCCTCTGTGGTATCATTTGCTACAAAAGGAGGTCTTCTCGGGTAATGGGATGACGTCCATCTGTGACTTGACGTCAAGTGAGTCATTGGACTGTCGTCATAGGGCAGGCACCTCAGTGTAGATCAAGTTCACCCTGTGGGAACCCTGCAAGTTTGCTGGTGAGTTTTATATTTATTCTGAAGTAACACACTTGGCACCTCAGGCTGACTAATATCTATGTGTGACCAAGGTAACTACCCAGCTAGCCAGCTTTCACAGTTGTAAGAAAAGTTACAGGCAGAAAAACATAATTGAACACTAAGATGAGGGTCACTGTGCAAGTATCATGTCTAGACTCCAGTCTAAGTGTGTGGGTGTTTCCATTGCCTGTCTTTTTATTAGGGTTTACAGGAAGCCTTGCTAATCAAAGCATGCTCCATGGGCCAAAGCAGGAGTACTAGGTCACCTGAGAGCTTGCTATAATCATTTTAGACTCTACTTGGTGAAGCATGTACATATTCTTTTAAAGAATTTATTTTTTACTAAGCTCAACATCAAATTATTAGAGAAATGCAAATCAAAACCACAACGAGATACTATCTCATGCCAGTCAGAATAGCTGTTATTAAAAAGTCAAAAAGCAAAAAACAAACAAACAAACAAAAAAACCGGATCTTGGTGAGGTTGCAGGAAAAAAGTTGCATTTACACTGTTGGTGGGAGTGTAAATAAGTCCAACCATTGTGGAAGACAGTGTAGTGATTCCTCAAAGACCTAGTGGCAGAAATACCATTTGGCCCAGCAATCCTATTATTGGGTATACACCTAAAGGAATATAAGTCATTCTATTATAAAGATACATGCACGTGTATGTTCACTGCAGCACTATTCACAATAGTAAAGACGTGGAATCAACCTAAATGCCCATCAATGATAGACTAGATAAAGAAAATGTCGTACATATACACCACGGAATACCATGCAGTCATAAAAAGGATCAAGATTTGCCGGGCGTGGTGGCTTACACCTGTAATCCTAGTACTTTGGGAGGCTGAGGCGGGTGGATCACCTGAGGTCAGGAGTTTGAGACCAGCCTAACCAACATGGTGAAATCCCCTCTCTATTAAAAATACAAAAAATTAGCCCGGTGTGGTGTTGCATGCCTGTAATCCCAGCTACTCGGGAGGCTGAGGTGGGAGAATTACTTGAACCTGTGGGGCAGAGGTTGCAGTGAGCTGAGATCATGCCACTTCACTCCAGCCTGGGCAAGAGAACATAAATCCATCTCAAAAAAAAGGATCAAGATTCTGTCCTTTGCAGGGACATGGATGGAGTTGGATGCCATTATCCTTAGCAAACTAACACAGGAACAGAAAACTGAACACTGAATGTTCTCACTTATAAGTGGGAGCTGAATGATGAGAATACATGGACACACAGTGGGAAACAACACACACTGGGGGCTGTCAGTGGGGACAGGGGCACGGAGAGCATCAGGAAGAATAGCTAATGGATGCTAGGCTTAATACCTAGGTGATGGGATGATCTGTGCAGCAAATCACCGTGGCACAAGTTTACCTATGTAATAAACCTGCGCATCCTGCCCATGTACCCCGGAACTTAAAATAAAAGTTGAAAAAAAAAGAAAGAAAATAAAAAAAAATTTATTTTTTTACTAAATATTTGTTTAATTGCAAACTGAGAATATACAAAAAGGAAAAGATAAATGAATACACTAGGCAGATTATCATATTAGTTACACAGTGCTTTCACATGTTTTCCTCCTTTAATCTTTTTAAAACCCTTAAAATCTTATCTGTTTTCTTACTGATAAATAAATTGTCTGAAGAAGGTAAAAAGATCTCATCATTGGGGAAGAATTTGAACCTAGGCATTCCAGCTCCAGATTCCACAATTTTCCCCATAAGTTACACTACCTCATTAAAGGAATTTAGAAGGTTGCTTTAACTTGGAGTAGTCAAAAAAGGAAAAACTTGAACTGAGATTTGAAGAATGGGTGAGGTTTGCATAAAAGACGGATTTCCAGAGTCGAAGAACATCAAAAACACAAATACTTGGAGAATGGCAAGACAAAGTATTTTTCAGGAGAAGCCTAAAGAAAGTATTTAAATGTAGGGTTCATGTTCCTACGTGAGCAGCAGGAGGGAAGAATGAGATGACGATGAAAACCAGATCATGGAAGGCCTTGAAAGCTATAGGGCAGAGAGTTGGGCTACTTGGAAACTCAGGGAAAGAGTGACATAAGGAATATATTTCCAGAAGATAAATTATTCCAGTTTGGTTCATTAAGCTTTTATTGTAGATTTTAATATGCAATGGAAAATATGCTTTTAAAATGAGGGATGAATAAATTCCAAAAAGTACTTTAGAAAACTCTCTTCACACTACTGCACTGTGGCAATTGCACCATCTGTAATTCTGCACCTGCTTCGTCAACTGCTGGCTGCATTTCAGGAGACCTGACTTCACTGTTTTCTGACTGAGGCATACAGTATTTGCCAGAGTACTTGCGAATGTGCAAGGATGAAAAGAGCATTGGCTAGGAACACAGATGTCTTTTCAGCAGAGAATTAGGTGGATGATTCATCTCTAGAGTATCAAAAGTGTGAAGTAAGTGAAGTTGCCAGAGTGGGTCTGAAAACATACTATTGGGTCAATGTTGTGCAAGTGGGACATATTTTTCTACTAAGGGTCACATACATAAAACAACTTGATTCCAAAGCAACTGTTTTGTTCTTAACAAAACAGAAACAGTTGGTTGCTGTTTATGTTAAGAATAGAAACTACAAATGTAACTAAAGTAAAACTTTAAAATGTCAGTTTAATATTATGTGAAGATTAAGAAAGAGAGAAAAGGAGTAGTTCTAAAGGGGAAACAATTGAGGAAGAGGAGAAGAGAGTAAAATGTAGGCAAATGCAGAGGAAATGGGGAGAAAAGATAAAGAAAAAGAGGAAAAGAAGGAATGGTGGGGAGACACTTAATTGAGGGCTATCAAGCCTTTTAATGTGCATTATCTACTTTAATAATGATCTGACTCCATATGGTAGATAGTATACCCATTTCATAGATAAGAAAACTGATACTATTAGAGATTAAGTAATCTGTCTAAGATCACATAGATAAATAGTAGAGCTGGAATTCAAACATTCAATTCATTTGAATCTCAGGATATATTGAAGTGAATGTCAGTCAGAGAAGCCATACTAGGCTACTTAACCTCTCTAACATTAACATGTGCTTCCTCATTTGAAAGATGAGTAGCATTTCTAAAGCTGCTGGATACAGTAAGCTCCACAGTAACAGCTATCATTACAGGAGCCCTTTGAGAGGATCAGTTAACTCACTACTGATAACTATAATTTGTTTTATTATTATTATACTTTAAGTTCTAGGGTACATGTGCACAGCATGCAGGTTTGTTACATAGGTACACGTGTGCCACGTTGGTGGGAGTGTAAATTAGTTCAACCATTGTGGAAGACAGTGTGGCGATTCCTCAAGGATCTAGAACAAGAAATGTCATTTGACCCAGCAATCCCATTACTAGGTATATACCCAAAGGATTATAAATCATTCTACTATAAAGACACATGCACACATATGTTTATTGCAGCACTGTTCACATTAGCAAAGTCTTGGGACCAACCCAAATCCAGTCAATGATAGACTGGATAAAGAAAATGTGGCACATATACACCATGGAATACTATGCAGCCATAAAAAAAGGATGAGTTCATGTCCTTGCAAGGACATGGATGAAACTGGTAACTACAATTTTAACTCCTTCCCTCTGGTCCCAAGTCTGAGGATCAAAAACTCACAGGAATCATTGGTGTTCTGGGAAAGAATCCTCAAATCCACCAGGCACCAAACATTCCACATGCTGAATCAAGAATATCTTCTCCATATATTTCCTACTAGATATTAAATATACATAGATTGCACTGTGAATAATTTAATTTGATGTATCATTCTATCATTCACCATTATCTTTATCAACAGAATCTAAAAGTACCAGCATTCTCAAACAGTTAAAAAGGGATTCCTTGCATTCAAAACCTGGGAACGACTATAAGTATAATCTTAGAGTTTTCCACACTAAAGAGGCAAGAGAGCAGCCAGCTGAGGCCTATACCTGACATTTCCACCTTTGAGGCAAATGATCCCCACCCTTGTCTTCTTAATGACTGTCCTTTGTTCACTGCAGAGAGATGTGATTTTTTTCTAATGGCAAAATTGATCTTGTCCCTTTCCTGCTTAAAACCACTTAACTGGTTTTACTACCTTCAGACTAAAAATCAAACTCAACTGGGCATAACGATTGTTCCGTGATCCTTCTCTGATTCAGGTCCTTCCTAGCAATCCAGGCCCGACCAGATACTCATCTAAGCTCCTGCCTATTGAACTACTTTCACTTCCTAGGACAAGCTGAGAGCTCCCTCTCCCTGTCCTACTTTTCTACTTACTGTTCCTTCTCCTTTCCACTCTTCAGGGTTGACTTCTCAATGTTTCACACCTCAGCTTTGACATTTCTTCTTCCAGGAGGCCTTTTCTGATCATCTCATTAGGCTGAATTAAGCATTCCTCACCTAGGAGCCTATAAGACTCCCATAGTATTGATTACATTGATTATATTGCATTTTGATTGCCCCCAAACTGGATTCTAAGCTCTGTGAGGATGGAGGTCATGTTTGATTTGTCCTCCAATGCCCACCATGCCTGGCACATAACATAGCAAGTGCTCAATAAAGATCTGCTTAGTACATTTAAAACTCCATGAGAGTCCTAACTCCAAAGGTCAGGGAAGCACGTGTTTTTTTGTTTGTTTTTTCTTTCTTTTTGGTTTATTTTGATTTTCCGCAGAAGAAAACCACATATCAATAAATCTATTTCCTACTTAAAACCATTAAGTTACAGCTTCAAGCACAGAGACTAGAGAATGGGAGGGAGCCAGCAGCCCTGGCAGCCAGTCCTGGGGTTCTTGGCCAGTTGTCTTACTCTCAGGCCCTGGCTTTTCCTACTTAACCAGTGGAATTAACATCAGTTGCTCATTTTTCATTTCTACAAGAACTTCAGTGTCTCTCAGTAAGTTTTATAGAACTAGTGATAAAAATTGACAGCTCAGTGGTGTTGCTTTAGATGCACTGTGTTTTAACATGGGGATTTATCTATGCTCGGGGATATACAAACTGTTTTAAGTCCTCTCCAAATGCTCTTCAAAATGGATCCCAAAAAAAGTATTAGGTCACTGTCACAGATTATACCCATTTTGCAGATAGAAACCAAAGATCGAGAGGTCAAGGGATGATTTCCTTTTGATCACATAATAGAATGTTTTGGAAAAGAGATTTTTTTTTCTCGATTCTACTTCTTTCCTTTTGGCCCATCATACAGACTTTTCTCACATAATCTTCAATGCTTTAATGTATTTGGTTTTTTATAAGTCTTTCTTTTACTAGACTTTAAGCTCCTTGTAGGCAGGGACTAGATCTTGTTTTTCTTTCTGTTTTTAGCTTAGGACCTGGAATTGCGTAGGCATGAAAAAAATGTTACTGAAATGTTTGCCCAGCTCTTACAAATGCTCTAACAACCATACTCTTAGGCTTACTGTCATGAAAGTATTCCTGTCTTGTGATTTACTGAAATCTCAGTTTTAAAAGGAACTTAAATATTTTGTAGTACCCTCCACCTCCCCACTCCTGATTGTACTAATGTTATACTCTACTTAAACTTCTTCAGTAAATTGGAGCTCCTGTCTTTTCGAGAAAGTACAGTATACCTCTCACTAACTAGGAAAAAGTCCTAGATTTTTCCTTTGAAGCTACAGAGAACATGATTTGCACACACTGAGCTCCCTAAAAAACGACCACCAATACAAATTAAAAAGCAACACTCTGCAAGTTTAAATTTAAATCTTAATTCATCTAATCTAGATGACTTAAATGTTTGCTTTTCACTTTAACAGCAGGGAACCCATTTAAAAATATTTTTCAAATAAATAAAGACTCCTAGATATTAATGCAGATGCAAATCTGTCTGGAGATTAATGAATTACTGCCACATCCTAAAAGTGGCCACTAGAGAAAAGAGGAGTAGCTGAAGGTTTTGTAGGGGCTTAGTCACATAGTCCAGTAGTAATAGTTGGGAAATGAGTAGAGAGGGGATAACAAAAATAAAAACAAACAGTTCAATTAGTCTAGATGGAGAAAAACAGCCCACAGGCTAATTGACTATAGCTGTCACGACAGTTGATTACAGTGTCTGTCTGTAAAAACACAGGGGGAAAAAAGTACAGAAAAACTCATGGCCTGTTTGGCTGCCTTTTGTTGGTGAAATATCCTACAAATAGATGATGCAATGCAAGCCAGCCCCTCTCTGGTAAGAAACAGAGTGAACCCAGTGACGTGGCAGTGTGGTAGGAGGCACTGTCTGCTGACACAGAAAAAAAGGTGGCCTTGCAGACTGTGGTTTGAAATGCCTTAGGAGCCAGGTGCTAGGTTACATTATTGTGTTCAAAGACAGATCCTTTGGGTTATATCTTTTCTGTGTCCAAATGACTTACAAACGATGATACTCTTAGGGCTACTGACTCAATAGTAAAGGAACAATCCCTGTTCTGGTCTATCTTTGGGAGTAAAGACGGCTTTACCTTCAAACCTGCTCCGTACTCCCTCTGGGGGTCCATTATGCTCAGGGGGACAAAGACAAGTGCAGCACATGCTTTTGGGAGAAAAGATTGGTCATAAACAGTAAATTAAAATGCAATAGTTTAAATTCTATAGGTGCACAGAGGAAAGGGAGCACCTCTCTGCTGTGGGCAATTGGGAGTAGAGACGGCTTCTCAGAGCAGGACTTAAAACTGGGCTTCTAAGGTCATTAAGAGTTTGTTAAGGCCAGGTGCAATGGCTCATGCCTGTAATCCCAACTCTTTTGGAGGCCAAGGCAGCCGGATCACCTGAGGTCAGGAGTTCAAGACCAGCCTGGCCAAGATGGTGAAACTCTGTCTCTACTAAAAATACCAAAAATTAGCCGGGCATGATGGTCCAGCTACTCAGGAGGTTGAGGCAGGAGAATTGCTTGAACCTGGGAGGCGGAGCTTGCAGTGGGCCGAGATTGTGCCACTGCACTCTAGCCTAGGTGATAAGAGTGAAACTCCATCTCAAAAAAAGAAAAAAAAAAAAAAAAAAAGAAAGAAAAAAAGAAATATCCCATGTTATGGAAACAATCAGCAGCAGTTCTTGATGGCTGGAAGATTGAGGAAATGACAATGGGTTTCTTATTTTAGCGAGGTAAGTATATTGGCAGGGTGGAAAATAGACTGAGAGGCTGAGAGGGAGGTGAAGTTGGGGAGCCCAGTTAGGCAGCTGTTATAAAAACTTAAGTCAAGATGAGTAGGATTACTCTCTAAGAAGACAATATTGAAGAAAATGTTGCCCTGGGGTAAAAAGAATAAGGAGCAACTGGGTTCTAATACACCGTAGGGCCAGCTTGCATCTCCTAGCCCAATCCAGTCACCAGGCAAGTGAAGGTCACATTCTTGTCCAGACAACTGCAGCTGGGACTAGTTTTGATCTCAGATTCCAGCACCTATAGGCACCAGAGCAGCAATTCTCAATCCTGCCCATTCTTCACCTGGGAAACGTTTTTTAAATGCAGGTGCCTCAACTCTACTTCAGACCTACTGAGTGAGAATCCCTGAAAGGAGCTACAGTTTAAAAATACCCTGCACAGCCAGAACTGAGAGCCATGGCCCACACAGCAGTCAGGCCTAACAGTGACTCTTATTTGGTGTCTTTCTGGAAAAGTCTGTAGGTGTATGCATATGGCACTTGGGACACATTGTAATGGATGCAGTGTTAGAGGACTGAGAAGCCCATGAAGCAAGCTGCTTTTTCCAGGGGAGACATCACTATTAGCAGAAATGGAAGAGACGCCCTGCCACTATGTGACTTGAGTGTTTTGATCTTGAGAGATTTGAACATACCTCTGAGCACACTCAAAGGAGATGTCTTAGTCCATCTGTGCTGTTATAAAAATAAAAACAATTCTGAGGCTGGGTACTTTATAAAGAGATTATTTTGGCTCACAATCCTGCAGGCTGTACAAGAAACATGGCACCAGCATCTGCTTCTGGTGAAGGCCTCAGTGTGCTTCCACTCCTGGCAAAAGGGGAAGGTTAGCGGGCATGTGCAGAAGTCAAACAGTGAGAAAAGAGGCAAGGTGGAAGTAGGTTCCAGGCCCTTTTTGGCAACCAGCTCTGAAGGAATTTACTCAGTGACCCCAGGGAGGGCATTAATCTATTCATGAGGGATCTGCCTCTGGGACCCAAACAGCCCCCATTAGGCCCTACCTCTAACAGTGGGAGAAAATTACAACGAGAAGTTTGGCGGGCAAAAATATCAAAACTATAGCAGGAGGTGTTCCAAAAGAATTTGGGGGACTGACTCTATAAAGAATATAATACAGGTTCTTAATCATCAATGACAGTCAATAAGGAGACAGGAGAAAACACCAGTCTTAGCCTTTGTTCCCGACAAACAGACTGGATAACTTCCATCAAGGTGAATCTGTATATTACATGCTATCTCCACATCCAGAACTCTTGTATACTGTGAATAAGAAAATCTTAGTAAAAAGAATGACTTTCAGCCGGGCGCAGTGGCTCACGCCTGTAATCCCAGCACTTTGGGAGGCCGAGGTGGACGGATCACCTGAGGTCAGGAGCTCGAGACCAGCCTGGTCAACATGGCAAAACCCCATCTCTACTAAAAATACAAAAAATTAGCTGAGCATGGTGGCTCGTGCCTGTAGTCCCAGCTACTTGGGAGGCTGAGACATAAGAATCACTTGAACCCAGGAGGCGGAGTTGCAATGAGCCAACATCACACCACTGCACTCCAGCCTGGGTGACAGAGTGAGACTCCATCTCAGAAAAAAAAAAAAAAAAAAAAAAAAAAAAAAAAGAATGACATTCACTTAAGTTATGTAAGTTATGCCTGAGAAGCTAAAACCATTTCTGTTTCTCAAGCTTTTCCACTACAAAAGGTACTCCAAGTGTATTGTGTTCTTTACCTTTTTCAAGATTCTCAAAAGCCCAGGGAAATAATAATTACAACCTACAGATGGAAGAATGAGGTTCTAAAAGCTTCATAGGCTTAGTAAAGACTATATAAAGTAACTTGGGAAAGCTCACAGAGCTAAGAAGTGATGGATCTCTCCCTGAACCCATATCTGACAAAGCCAATGCTGGTAACCACCACACTGTAAATACTTACATATCTCCAGAATTCACAGTCCGTCTTGAATATTAACACATTGAAATGAAAGAGTAAGTAAAGTTTAGGATTATCTTTGACTCCCTTCTTCAGCCCTCCCTTTTTTTTTTTTTTTTTTTTTAATTACCAGAGAGTAGGGCCAGGGAAGAAGCTTCTCTAACTCAAGAACCCTCTCTTCTGCTGCTCACCAGGTCTGAATAGCCCTTGTGAAGGCAGCATTTGAGAGAACTTCTCTGCCACATGCTGATTCCTCTCACCGCGGGAAGAAACCAACCTACCCTGGGGAGCCTGAGAGCTCTTTGAGTATCTGGGGGTGAATCAACTAATCTGATTAATTGTTTTCAGAGGTGAGGAGCTGGGTACTGAGGAAGGGAAAATTTTGATGAGAAAGAATCTGGGCCTTTAGCATGTGAAACATGAGGCTCAGAATTTAATGACTTGTTCAAAGGGAGATTTTTAATAGACATGCTTTAACCAGCTATTTTGGACATCTTATACAGGTGAGAAGAGAAGGGGGATAGCAGTTGGCCAAGCTATAAGGACACTTAAAAGGACACTATAAGACTGCAAACCAGATCAGTGTGAACGTACAAGTTAATTAACTCATTTAACAGACCCTTACTATTGAGTAACTACAGACATTTTTTATTTGCATGGTTCCAATATGCATGAATTTTCATTACCATGATTTGAGTAGTTCCAGTCCCCCAACAACACAATTCAAACTTTAGCTACCACAATATATTAAGTATGAGTGATTGCATAAGGCACAAACCTGCTACTAGCTCTTCAATTCACAAATTTCTACACAATAACACATGCGCATCATCATCAGTGACTCACGTCAGTTCTTTCAAGGTCTGTCAGTGACTGGTCACTGAGCACCTGCTATTCACTTCACAACACAGACAGTAAAGCATACTTGTTTTGCCTCCTTGTCTCCAGTGATAAATCCACAGACATTTTACAAAAATGGATAATTCAAAGAGGGACTTTGTCAGCAATGAGGAAAGCACAGCAAGAAAACAAAAAGTTATAATGCTGTAAGTGAAATTTAGATGCGACAACGAATTATAGAAGATACAGCTGACTATGGGAATGTCGACCTCAACGCTCATTGAGAAATTCCACATATGCAGCCAGAGGAACTTACTGAAGGCAAACTTATGAATATAAATAAAGAAGGTGGCTGGGATATAAAGGATGAAAATGTCCCAGAGAATATGATACTGGCAAAAAAATTTACATTGAAGAACTCTTGTAGGTATTTCAAAACACAAAGTGCAAAGGATAAAAGGTTGCCAGATGATTAGAAAAAAGTGTGACAGTTTGCCAAGGCATATAAAAAATACTTGCTCTGTATCACAAGTTATATGACTGACAAGAAGAAAAAGGCAAGTACTATTCCAACTACTCTTTTTTCCAAAGAAATATAATAATTTTCACTGTTTCTAATATTTTAAAGAATAGCATACTAATAAAATATTATTTTACTATTTTTTATTTCCCTATATATCTAACAAAAAGATAATTTTTAACGTTTTGACAAAAAACTGGAAAGTTTATGGGTCAATCATAGTTTTTCTCATTGATCATTATGGTTTCATTCTTATGGTCTCCCACTGCCATGCAAAGTAAGAATTTTCCTGTTTTAAGTGCCAAGCATAAGAAGACATGGTCCCTACCCTCATGGTGGTCTTACGGCAACAATTAATTCTAAAAATCTGTGATTGTTCTATTTAATAAGGGTGCTAGCCTAGCTCAAGGCACTCATAAAGCCTGTAGAGGAGTTGTGGGAAGTAAATTTGGTAGGGGATATGGAGAAAGTAGCAAAGGAAGTACTGATGGGGGTGAGCTCCAACTCTGAGGAAAATGCAAATCTCTCCAGTCCAGCAAGTTTACCTCCTCACCTCCAGAGGCGGGGTGGGGAGTGACTCCAGGCTGGTTTTTAAACTGGCTGCCAACTGCTCAGCTGTAATGCCAGATACATATTAATTGCCAACAGAAAGCAGAGACACAGGTTCAAGTTCCTTCTCAAAAGTAATACAGAAACTTGAAATGCTAACAAGTGCCACCTTCAGCCAACTTAGGTGAATAAACTTTCTTAAAATCAGTACAAAATGTTTGGATGCAAGTCTCTTAGTCCCCAGAGCCACAGAAATGCAAAGAAGCATCAGGGGCTGTGACAATATATGTTCTTAAGGAAATACAGTTATAGGAGCATATGAAATGACGCATCTGGCTTTATGAGCTGGCAATGATTTTTAAGTCCAGAACGTATGTTACATTGCACTGTTTTTCCATCATAAAACATTTAAAAAATTTTATTTATGGCCCCTACCAGAAAGATGTGTGGCTATGTTACATGCATGTGGATGCAATTAGGAACAAAGCCACTAAGAGGTAGAAGGTTCATTAGGATTCATCTTGTCCAACTTCTCATTTAAAAAACAACAAAACGGCCAGGGGTGGTGTCTCAAACCTGTAATCCCAGCACTTTGGGAGGCCGAGGAGGGCAGATCATTTGAGGTTAGAAGTTCGAGACCAGCCCGGCCAACATGATGAAACCCCATCTCTACTGAAATACAAATATTAGCTGGGCATGGGGGCGGGCACCTGTAATCCCAGCTACTTGGGAGGCTGAGGCAGAAGAATCGCTTAAACCCAGGAGGCGGAGGTTGCAGTGAGCTGACATCGCACCACTGCACTCCAGCCTGGGCAACAGAGTGAAACTCTCTCAAAAAATAAAAATAAATAAATAATTAAATTGAAAACAACAAAACAACAAATGAGGTGAATTTAGTCGAAGGAGGCCAACTGCCTAGCTCCATAGTCAGATTCCTGCATCATAATAACAACAGCTGACATTGAGTGAGTATTAGTTTGTGCTGGGTGCAATGCTGTGGGTTTTACCAAAGAAGCATTATCTTGGGGGGCCAGAAATAGTGGCTCACGCCTGTAATCTCAGCACTTTGGGAGGCCAAGGCAGGTGGATCACCCGAGGTCAGGAGTTTGAGACCAGCCTGGCCAGCATGGTGAAACTCTGTCTCTACCAAAAAATACAAAAATTAGCCAGGCATGGTGGCACATGGCTGTAGTCTCAGCTACTCAGGAGGCTGAGGTGAGAGAATCACTTGAACCTGGGAGGCGGAGGTTGCAGTGAGCCAAGATCGCACCACTGCACTCCAGCCTGGGTGAAAGAGTGAGATCACATCTCAAAAAAAATAAATACATAAGTAAAAATAAAAAGCATGAACCTCAGAAATTGTAAAATAGTTACTACTACCATTATCATTTTACAGGTTTATGTTATTCAGCTAACCATGAGAGAGCTGGGATTTGAATTCAGGCAGAATAATCTGAGCTGACATTCTTAACTATGAAGCTATGATTGTTAAAAATTATCCTTTCCAGTTACTTAACTATGTGGCCCAAAATAAGGTAACCGTGCCCCCTGGAGGATGTTAGAGTCTAGCTTTCCATATACTACTACTAATCTTTAAACAACCACCAGAACGTACTACCCATTTTACTGATAAGAAAACTGAACGCGTAAAATAAAATGGTTTCCCAAGGTTGCACAGTTTATGATTGGTGAAAGCAGAATTCAACATTCAAGTCTGTCTGGTTCTTTCACACACATAAGCCTGGCTCCCTGGATTAGAACTAGGCTCTCCCGAAGCACGCTCTCTGGTTTCTGTTTGAACAGGACTTGCATACATTAAATGTCTGATCTGAAATCAATGTGGATCCAGGTATTGCTGGAACCAATTTAAGTCTAAAGCAAATATTTCACATTCCTTAATCAATCTCTCTCTCCGTGTGTGTGTGTGTGTGTGAGAGAGAGAGAGAGAGAGAGAGAGAGAGAGAGAGAGAGAGAGAGAATATCAAGAGTCTAGCAGTTCACATGAGATAATCCTGCTGAAGAGGCCAGTGGTAAATCAAACTCAGAGTGTGATTCTGAGGTTGCATTTAGTTGAAGGAGGATAAAAATTCACTGATTGTTGTTCTCACAGAACACAGATAGCAACAGACATGAAAACAGAGCCACTGTAGAAAATGCCTGCAAGCAGTGGCTACTAACAAACGGCAGGGAAAGGCTGTTTTAGGAAGGAAAGGGAGGAGAATCTGCTGCCCTCTTTTCATTTTACTGGCCACACCTCCCCCACATGGTCTGTCAAGAGAAATGGGTCTGAGAAAAGCAGCATGATTCTCACCACAGCTCTTTAGCAAGTTTCCAGGGGTTTTCAGCATAGCAGGCAGCTGCTTCCCAAATTCAGCTCTGTTCCCTCCTCCTGGTTGAGCTGCTTGGTGTATAAACTCCGCCTGGCCAGCACACACCTCCTGACGCTCTTGAGTGGTGGCCAAAGCCTGTTAGGAGTGAAGCAGGTAGGGCTACCTTCCCAGGCTAGTGGCAGAGCTAGTTTGAGATGCTTTGCAACACAAACAAGCCAATTTGAAAGATGGGATTATTTTCTCCGTTTTAAACGCTGTAACAAATCACTTTCCAGATGTTGGCTATCTCACTCACCTCTTTTTCTTTCTCTTCTCAGTTAAAAAGGCTTAGTCCTGGAAAAGTCGAAGAGGTGAAAACCTGCCTGGGGAGGCTGCTGAAGGACGCCAGGAAGAATTCTTATCTCCAAATTCAATCCTGCCTCCCAGCTAGCTGCTGGTGTTTGAAATTCCAACTCTGAAGTGGTAGTCTGGTATCTTCTTTTAAAATGTGGAAGAGAGTAAACAAAGTTATTCACAGCGTAGTGTTAATTCTTCAGCTGCAGGCTGGAATCTGCTGGCTCCCCTTAGGCAGGAAATGCCTGCTTAAATCGTCCCTTAGGTGGGAAGAAAATTCAAAAAGGGAAGGTTTATGGAGGCGGACTTTCACTAATTTCACCTTTTTGCGTGGCAAAACCAAGTCAAGAAATAAGGTCCTCTCAATCTCAGAAATTAATCTTTGTCTTCATTTAATTTGAACCAGGAAAACTTGTAATGCCAACATCAAGACTTTGTTAGTTAAAGCTTTTCTTAATATTTTAGGATGAATAGCTAAAACTTGGAAACCAGGACGATTTAGATTCCTTCCTAAAACCATTTTCCAGGTACGCTTAAGGACTTTTGTTTTGATGTGTGCTATATATGCATTTGAAGCCAAAGCACAGATGTTGATATTCATGTTTTAATGGTTGGTCATTTGATTAAGCGGAGCTCAGACATTTTCACTTTCCCTCTCAATATTATCACTGCAGTTCGGTTTAACAAGGCACTATTTCCCAGCACGGTCTACTGCTACCCAAATCAGCTGTGGTGGTCACCATGGTAACCACCCACTCATTTTTCCCTGTTATTTCACTTTATAACACTTAAAGAGCAGTGCACAGGCTAAAAAACCCTATGAGGGAAAAAAAAGTCCCTCAAATAGGAGTCAATCAAGCTCACCTGAGATGCAAAGTCATCTAAGTGTAAATGTTTTATTTTTTAAAAAAAATCAGCTGTGAATGTATTCATCAGAAACAAATGATCACTAGGAAAACAGCACTGAAAAGTTGAATCTGCTCATTGCTTGGAGACTAAAAACATTTTAAAAGTGTTTTTTAGGGATAAAATGGGGTTAACACTAACATTTCTAACTAATCTTGACAAAGGGCTTCCCTCGATGGGATTGAAAGCTGTGGAAGTCTCCAGGGTTTTAGGTTAAATCATAAAACTAAACAAGGTCTGTTTAAACCACACCTACGAGCTTGGGATTGTATTTTTCTATATGAATTTCCTTCCCTCCCCACACAAAAATATTAGGAGAAAAGTTTTTTAAAAAGAACTTTCTTTCAAAGCAGTATTTTGCTCATTTATTTTATGATTGGTTATTGAGTCTGCCAATCATACGTCTAAATGACAAGGAGGTATGGGAAATCAGATGAGTCACTGAGCCAGGCAGGAAGGCAGGTATTCAATCAAATCCCCCCAAAAGATAAGGGCTGCACAAGTGTAGACCTGTAGACCATCTCTCTGTTAGACACAGGTATTTGACCATTGCCAAACAGGTCAGCCACAAGTGGAAGCTAATCTTGACAGCAAGTCAGTTATTGCAGACCCTGAGAGACATCAGATCTGCCTGAAAACAAACAAACAAACAAACAAACAAACAAACAAACAAACAGTGCTTTGAGGAGTATCATGAAGACTTTCCGTTTCTCTGCAGGCATCCTGATAGCATGCCCCTTTTGGCTCCTAGAAAGACAATAATGACCCCTTCAGATGAACACTCTCTTCCTGCCCACAAATGCCTGTTGCATCTAAGACAGGTGTCTTACCTCTTCCCAATCACCACCACGGATAAAAAATAATTGAAAATGATTCTCCCACCATTGCAAAATGATTCTACTACTTCTAGTAGAGAACTTCTGGTTTTCAGGGATCAGGACTCTCCAATTCCTCTGCTCACTGAGGTTGAGATTCAGTGTTGTTTTAACAATATAAGAGCAGCTCCTATCACTTTTCAAACTGAACAAGCTTATTTTCATAGCCTCTACATAGTCTACATAGATAATTTTATTCAACACAATCAACAGTCCACTCATTCCCTGGTTGAGATTGCCTAGGGACAGATTTTGAGGGTGATGCCGATAAGTAAGTTGTAAGGGACCTCTTAAACAGACAGGAGACTTGAGGGACCCAGGGTTCCAGAGTCTGTCCTATGTAGAGGCCACAGTGATTGTTGTTCACAGCCATTATCAGCTGGTCCCTCTCCACCTTCCACTCCCCACCACCCAAGGCTAATGTGGTGCACAGGGGAGAGGTTTATAGGGAAAACTCAGTGGATTCAGGTGCAACAGGTGCCCTTGGACTGTGAGTAATGCAAATATTGACATCTGGAAAGCCTGGAAGAGTCATTATTACTTGGCTCCCCTTTGCCTTCTACTGGACACCTCTTCCTTCCCAAAAGTTCCCAGGATTTCTTTGTGACTTTTCCAAAGCTCCCTGCTTCCTATTCTGTTCAAAAGTCTCTCCAATTTTAATATAGTCCATGTAAAATATAAAATGGGTGGAGTGGATGGAGTGCAAAGCTATCAGATTTGTTATTTGATTTAAAGTTTAAGACTAGGGAACATGGAGACTTGGTTCTAGTCCAACCTCCGAAAAATCCACTTCGGTGATTTTAGTCAGATTATTTTCACTTGGCTTTTTCATCTATCAAACTATAAATTTAGTGAGATCAAACAAAAGGAAGTTCTCTGTAAAGTTAAAAGTTTAGTTCAAATTTTAAAGGCCACAGAACTATTATACAGCTGAAGTCATACTATAGATTGGAGAGTTCAGCCAAATTCATGGATTTTACAGGGCATAAAGTCTTTGGTTAGTGGTATCACAATTGTAGTGATATGAACTAGAATCTTCAGCCTCAAACCTCCACATCTAATCAGGCACCAAATCCCATTAATCTTACCTCCAAAATGTCTCTCTACTCTGTATGTCCCTCTGTTGCCACTGCCACTGTCATGAATGCTACTCTCTCCAAACTTGCTCCTTCCCTCTTATGTCACGTTCCCTTAGTGCATTAGCCACACCAGCAGTCAGAGGACTCCTTCTAAAATGCTCACCTGATCTTGTCTCTTCTCTGTTCAAATCCATTGCTGACTCCCCATCAACTAAAGCGCAAAGCCCATGTTTTTAGTAAAGCACATGACACCTTCACAATTTTGCTTCCCTAATAGCCTCTCTTCTCACCATCTTCTTCCTAGAAAACTTGGTGACTTTATACAGACAGCTCTTTCTTCTTTTTTGTACACTCACTTTATTCATTCTTCTAAAACACACTCAAACACTGCTGCCTCTGGGAATCCTTCCAAACCTCACAGACTGAGATAATGACCAACCCACTATTCCCATAGCATTTCCTATATGCCTGTTATTCCAGCATTTCTCACACTATCCTGCAATGTTTTGGATCCTTGCTTGGCTGAAGGTTCCACTGGTATGACCCAACATAGCATTTCTGATGGCCTGGTTTGAATAACTCACAAAGGACTTTGCACAAATCCCGGACACATCTAAGCAGTTCTGGGGCAAGGAGTCATTCTTCCCCTGCTTTCAGCAATGTCATGCCAGCAACACTCTTGTCTTAGGCCTAAATCACAGGGCCTTCCTCCTTGAAATAGGTTCAGTTCCTGGGAATCCATTTGGTCCCTGCACTTTAACTTACAACTGAACAGGGATTTAACAGCACTTATGCCAGTGTTTGCAAAACCGTGATACACAGTTGTCTTGCCCAGGAATAAATTAAGGTTGGTAGAATATTGTTGTCCTGTTTTATTTTTCTTTCTTTTTTCTTTTTAAAATTCTTTCCTTCTACAATGCAGGCATGATTATAAGCATTGTTACTTCCACTAGGTAAGTTCCAAGATATGCTACTGTGAAGATATCTTAATAAATTATTTTAGACAATGCTAGGTAAGAAAAAGTCCCACCCAGGAAAGACATGTGTAAGTCTGTAAAGTATATATTTCTTATTTATCAACTGCTTAACAGGCAAAGTTAAAGGTTTAAATTCTGATGTTTGGACGTTCATTGCCACTAAGGATAATATTGTAAGTTATTCTGCAAATGACTCTAAATACAACATTTAATGGTGGGGTGGACATCTTTCATTCAAATCTAAAGCTAAGGAAGGGAAGTGGACCTTATTAGGCAGAAGTTTCCTGTGGTACTTGTGACAGTTACTGAATGAAAAACAAAGGTAGAGTTTTTCAAAAGCATATTTCAAGCATACAATCTCCGTGTGGGACAGCCCGAGCCTTCCTGAAAATGAAGCACTCCAAGCTTCCTCAGGTTAATCAAGTCTAATAATACAGGAATTACTCTTCCTCAGCTGGGTACTTAAATCATGAGCCTGGAGATAGTACACATGTGGAGGACCTTCCAAAATGGACTATAAATCACATCACCTTGCATTAAGTTCTTCAAACCAGCTGGACCAGCCTTCACCATTCTCTGTGAGCTGAAAAATACAGGATCATAGTTCGCAGGGCTGCAGATAAAATTCTGCAGCAGTCAATTCGGTGGAATTGATGAAGGTGGCAGTAAATTCAGTGGAGATTCTATACATTAGACTCCAGTCTGGGCAAAGTTGAATTGGCAGTCTTTGTGCATCTTAATAATTGAATGTTTTATAGTGAATCTGAGTTGCCCATTTCTATACAGATTCATTTATTGCTAAATGAACATATGACCATTAAAATATATCTTCATTTAAGAAGAGTGAGCATGAAAGCATGATACTTTATACACAATAACGTCAGATCAGAAACCAAGTCACTTGTATCAGAAAAGTAAACCGCTTTATAGAACCAAAAATAAAACAAAACAAACTTTTTTTAATTGTAGAAACAATTGGAGTTTACTAAGTAAAAATACAAGAGATTTTTAAAGAAAAGATATTAGAACAAAATAGATATTGCTACTCAGGGTCAATCATTGTGAGTATATTTGTCATTTCCTTCTAGGTGTTTTTTTATGGTTTTTTTTTTTTTTTTTTTTTACAATGTTAAGGTCACACTATATCAAAAAAATGTTCACTTTACTGTTTCATCTGCTATAATTGCACACATTTTCCTGTTAATACCTCTTTGTCAGAAACATTTTAATAACTCCTTAAAATTTCACTGAGTAGATACCTTGTAAATTACTTAACCATTTCCACTTGTTGAAAATTTATAATACAATATTTCAAATTTTAAGAACATATACTTAAGCTATAATGTATATGATTGTGGGAGACCGGAATATGCCTCCCCAAAATATAAAGAATTACTGAGCTAAAGACAATCAAGAAGAAGCAGATGTGGGAAAACTCTCTGCCCTCCATTTTCCTAAAAGCAGCACATAGATTTACAAAGACAAAGGTATTCTCCCCCCATCCCTGCTTTTCTACCAGGGAGAGCAAAGGTTAACCACTGAACACAACTTTGGACCCTCATCAGCCTGGTCATGGTACCAGGAGAATCTACATTAACAAGCTTTACTAAGTAGCCTTTATCTGCCATTTATTTGGCTTCCTACAAACTGCTCGCTGTGCCTGAAGAGACTCAAAGTCCTTTTCCTTCATCTTGTCACTTCTCTAAAAATTTGCTGTTTCTCGTTGAAGATGTTACATAAGCTGAATTTCAAAGTCACTTCTTTGAGAATTACTCATGCCCTGGTTGTCGCCCATGTGTATATGAAACCAGGGGTCTGTTCCAACTAAGAACCTATAGGGGTCATTCTTCCTTTCTCAGCATGATTATTTCCAATAAGGGGGCCTTACTAGGTCCCTAAATTTTAGATGATGAAACAGAAATTAGCAAGGGTCAAAAACATCTAAATAAAGCTCATTTTATAGATAGGCTAGTGGTTATGAGTTTATTCTGTTGAGTTAGTATACTCATCGGCATTAAGTCCTGGTTCTGCTATTTCCAAGTGGCCCTCTGCGTTATGTAATTTCCCTACCTCAGTTCTCTTTCTTTTTTTCTTTTGTAAGTTCAGAGAAACAAGTGCAGAATGTGAAGGTTTGCTACATAGGTATACATGTGCCATGGTGTTTTGCTGTACCTAGCAACCCATCATCTAGGTTTTAAGCCCCTCATGCATTAGCTATTTGTCCTAATGCTCTCCCTCCCCTCTCCCCCCAGCCCCTGACTGGCCCTGGTGTGTGTTGTTCCCCTCCCTGTGTCCATGTGTTCTTGTTGTATAGGTCCCACTTATGAGTGAGAACACGTAGTGTTTAATTTTCTGTTCCTGTGTTAGTTTGCTGAGGATGGTGGCTTCCAGCTTCATCCATGTCCCTGCAAAGAACATGATTTCATTCCTTTTTTATGGGTGCATAGTATTCCATGGTGTATACGTACCACATTTCTTTATCCAGTCTATCATAGATAGGCATCTGGGTTGGTCCCATGTCTTTGCTATTGGAAATAGTGATGCAATAAACACACATGTGCATATGTCTTTGCAGTAGAATGATTTATATTCCTTTGGGTATATACTCAGTAATGGGATTGCTGGGTCAAATGATATTTCTGGTTCTAGATCCTTGAGAAATCACCACACTGTCTTCCACAATGGTTGAAATAATTGACATTCCCACCAACAGTGTAAAAGCATTCCTATTTCTCCACAGCCTCGCCAGCATCTATTGTTTCTTGACTTTTTGATAATCTCCATTCTGGCTGCCTGCCTCAGTTTTCTTATCTGTTAAATGAAAATAAGAGCTATACCACCAGAAAGGGTTATCATTAAATTAGTACCTTTAAAGCACTTAGTACAGCATTTGCCACACAATAGTCATTTAAATAAATGTTAGCAACTTAAGAACAATTGTCAATGTTACTAGTGCTTTGTTACTATTTGGTATTATTCATAATTATTATTACTAATAATTTGATTTTGCTGAGCCATGGCTATATTGTCAGAAGAGACTGACTGAAATGTACTTACTGATTAATTTCGATCTAGTTAGTATGTTAAAGACGTGTTCATTTAAAGAGAAAGCCATTTTGTGTTTTTGGATGTGATTCCAGAAAGCACGTATAGGAAGCTGTTTTAGGGAAAAAACTCGGTTGTGGGCTGGAGAAATAATTAAATTAATTATTTAATTAAAACATACAATCTCAAGGGTGGTAGGAAGCTAAAGGGTAATTTTGGGTAACATTCTCCCCTTACTCCAACCAGATGCCAGGTGACCTTCAACTATTCTTAAATGTCTCTCATGTTGGGGAGCTTAATACCTACCAAGGTAGCTATTATGCTTAGAAATTTAGTTTTATATGGAACCAAAATATGTCTTTCTGTAACTTCAACATGTTGATAATAAACTCACAGATAACCCTAAACAAGCTTTAACAGTGAATTTTCCGTGTAGTGAAATGATGGGGATCACAACTTCTAATGGATTTATTTTGGAATTTAAAAGAAATTGGTAAGAGCCCAAAGCGTATAAAACCAAGAATTCATTATGCAGGCTTTGTGGGTATTTGAGAAGATTTATGTATTCATTATCATGTGTGCTTTCCTGCAAATTAAACAATCTAAAATAAAAGGAAAGCTTAATGATTTTTCTCAAGAAAAAATGTCTAAAGCTAGAATTCTAAAATGGCTCCTTTAAAGTTCAGATGGAAGCTCTTTCATAGTTTCATGCTCCAACTGGGGAGGGGAATGGGGGAAGGAAGCACTGGGAAACACTTTCGCTGAGGTAGAAAGCTCATAGCTCACCTTCTGAGGACATCTGCTTCTCCATAACTGAACCACTTTCTGCACAGTAGTGAACACTCAGAAGTATTTAGAAATTGACTCAATGGCTGGGCGCGACGGCTCACGCCTGTAATCCCAGCACTTTCGGAGGCTGAGGCAGGCAGATCACTTGAGGTCAGGAGTTCGAGACCAGCCTGGCCAACATGGTGAAACCCCATCTCTGCTAAAAATACAAAAATTACTGGGCATGGTGGTGGGTGCTCGTAATCCCAGCTACTCGGGAGGCTGAGGCAGGAGAATCACTTGAACTTGGGAGGCAGAGGTTGCAGGGAGCTGAGATCATGCCACTGCACTCCAGCCTGGGCAATGGAGGGAGACCCCATCTCAAAAAAAAAAAAAAAAAAAAAAAAGGAAAGAGAAAAGGAAAAAGAAATTGAGTCAAATGGCAACCCTGGTAAATGAGGAGCTCTGTGAGTCACTAATAAAACCACTCACTAGGACTTAACAAAATCTCTCCATACTGCATATCGTATCAGGCATGTTGACCTATCACATCACTGAAAAAGCAGGGTTTCTTTGCATAAAGATTAACTAATGTATTTGGTATTTGATTTTCAGTCTCTAGCACAGAAGCTGGCAAGTAGCTGGTGTTAAATAGTGCTCAGGTGGCTGAATGAGTGAAAATCCATCCCTGGGAGCCACAGGAAGAAATGCTTAGTCCCTCTAATGTCTTGTTACTTCGGTAGCTGCTCAAATATTGGAGGACTGAGACTTACTCTTCTGGCTTCTTCCTCCTCTCTACAATCATCACTTGTCTCTAGCCCAGGCTAACTATGCCCAGTTCTAGCAATCAACTTCAAATCCCTTCATCTAAGAAATTTCCAAATGTGCCTTTGCTCATTTGTTTCTTTGTTGTTGTTGCTTTAAATGGATTTAGGAGGATACACGTGCAGTTTTGTTACATGGATATATTGTGAAGTGGAGAAGTCTGGGCTTTTAGTGTAACCATCACCCAAATAGTGAATATTGTACCTATTAAGTAATTTCTCATTCCTCATCCCTCTCCTACCCTCCCACCCTCCCAAGTCTCCAGTGTCTACTATTCCACTCTGTATGTCCACATGCACACATTATTTAGCTCCTACTTATCAGTGAGAACATGTGGTAGTTGACTTTCTAAGTTATTTCACTTAACACAATGGCTTCCAGTTGCAACCATATTGTTGTAAAAGACATGATTTCATTCTTTTTTGGCTAATATTCCATATCTATATTTATCTATAGACAGAAATATCTCTACATCTCTCTATATGTATCACATTTTCTTTACCCAATCATTTGTTGCCCACACTATTCATAGAGGTCACGGTGAACTCATATCTGGCATATCTGAGTAACCTTCTTTAAAAGTATGCTTTCCAAATTGCAAATCACAACCCAAAAGTGGATTGTGAAATCAAATCAATTTATGATCACTAATTTTCCCTTCCTTCCTTCCTTCCTTCCTTCCTTCCTTCCTTCCTTCCTTCCTTCCTTCCTTCCTTCCTTCCTTCCCTCCCTCCTTCCCTCCCTCCTTCCTTTCTCTCTCTGTCTCTCTCTCTCTTTCCTTTCTTTCAGATGTAGCCTTGCTGTGTCACCCAGGCTGGAGTGCAGTGGCACTATCTTGGCTCACTGCAACCTCTGCCTCACAGGTTCAAGCGATTCTTCTTCCTCAGCCTCCCGAGTAGCTGGGACTACAGGCACAGGCTACAATGCCAGGCTATTTTTTTGTATTTTAGTAGAGATGGGGTTTCACCACGTTGGCTAGGCTCATCTTGAACTCATGACCTCATGTGATCTTCTTGCCTTGGACTCCCAAAGTGCTGGGATTATAGGCATAAGCCACTGTACCCAGCCCATAGTTTTCTTTAAAAAATAAAATAGAAACTTCAGAGGATAATGCACACAGTAAGAGTATTATTTCATGAAACATTTATGTCAATTGTTTAATTATGTGTGCCTATGTATCGTTATATATACATTAATATTATATATATACACATATGTATAAAATACACATTTTATACATATTTGTCGTACACCACACACAAACAAGGCGCCCCACACAGATTGTGCAGAACTTGTTATAGGTATTAGCCTCTACTCACCTGTTTGTCTTGTCACCTTTGTGTAGGGGTTAAACTGTATTGACATAAGTGGTGGCTTTGTGTATGTGTGTCCTCTGTTTTAAAATAAATATAATTATTTTTTTAACATTTGATATTAATATTGGCCGATTAGAGAGGGTTAGGATGGAAGGTGAGGGCATCACAATCATGCCACATAAGTTTTTCTTTGGCCTTTTAAGGTAAATCACTTGTAATTTCATAGGTACGTATTTTAAAATGTAACCAGCACTGAGTGAATTGTTAAGGATTATTGATTTGATATTTAAATTAGTGTTTTAGTAAAATTGATTAAGGATTTAATTTGGTATTATACCAGGAAGACTAGGTCACACAGCTTCTACTGCACAGGCAGAGAGGTGGAATCCTCCCAGTTTGGGGGCAAGATGCTTTTTAAAAAGCCACTGAATCCTCAGTGTTTTCTTTAATTGGTCATAGTTGTTAAATCCTACTATTCCTACTTTTAATGATAAATTTAATTTAGGTTTACCATTATCCCTTCTATTTGTTGCAGATAATTTTGTTAACTCTTGGTGACACATAATTTGCACTCTGACTATATTTTGGCCTAATATTTTGTAATAATTAGGCTTTAAGACATATGGACACTTAAATCATCTGTATTCCTATTGCTAAAGCATATGCAAACATAATTCTTCCCACACGTACATTTTGCTTTTATAGTCACATTCTTTCTAACCAGCGGTTCTGTTTACCACTGGAAATTGAGAGTGATTGGAATGAATGAGACATAAGATGGTTCACCCTTTCTAAGTGAACTACAGTCTGAAAAGTTTGAGATCTGCTTATTTAACAGATGAAAAGACAGGTCCAGGGAAATGAACTGACTAATCAAAATTAGCAATGGGACTTGGAAAATTCCAGTCTCCAGATTCACTCTCTGCCACCAAATCATACTAACTCCAGCAACATCCAGAAAACAGGGCCTGACCCAGAGCAGAGGCCTCATAAATGTGTGCTTAGTTGCTTTAGTTGCGATTAGATTGGACAGTATAAAACTACAGATCTGTTAGGTCACAAACTGTCAAATATTGACATTTTTCATACAGTTCAACCTAAATCATTTTATTTTAATAACTCTGCCTATGCCACTCTGAGGTTTTGCTTTTCACATGAGGAGCATGATAGTATATTTGTTAAGAGGGCATATTTTTTAAGACTTGAGCCAAACCGCTCAGGTTCAAGACCCAAGTCTTAAACTGATTGGTCATGTGTCCCTGAGCAGATTAGATTACTTAGCTTCTCTGTCTCTCAGTGTCCTCATAGGGGAAAAGGGTATTACACAAGTGTTTGCTTTTAATATTATTATTACTAGAACTCAACATACATACTAATTAGCCAGATGGCCTGACCAAGTTAGGGCAACTTTATGCACCTGTTCTGAAATGCATTTTTTAGATACAAAAAAAAAAGAGAAAGATACAGAGATTCTGCAATGTCTTTTCTTGGCAAGATTGGCTATTTATTTGTTTGACTGACATTTGGCTTTATTGTTTACAATGGTTGTCTCAAAAGTCCTATTTTTCTCTGCTGACAGCGCTGGTTAATAAATAAAACAGAGGCCAAAACATCCTAGCAACAGAAATCAACTGTGTGTATGATTTGTTGCTCTGTTTTAATTTCATCTATTTTTGAAAATGTAGTTGCTCTCTAAAGTGCCTGTTTCTTCTCTAGAGCATTGCCCTAAAGAATAAGAAGAAGAAGAAAAAAAAAGCATCCAAACTTGAAGAACAGCTTTGATCAGCTCATAATGCACAGTGAAGACAATAATTTAAGGGTGAATCAGAGTGCAGCAAAGTGATTCCAATGAAACCTGATGCTGGCTAATTACTTCTCTATAGATGGCAGTGTTCAGTTTACTGAGCATCTGTGCATGACAGAATTTGGGACACTGTGGGTGGTACAATTCCAAGATATCTACACAATCTGAAAAGCAAAATATTCCAACTACAAGTATCATTTTATTAGGTGAAATAAACTATGTATACAAAAATCTCATTTTGTAATTAAGCCATAGGCCACACTGTAGAGCCCCAAAAACCACACCTGTTTGGATAAAAGCAAACAAATCATACCATGGAAGCTGTACCTGTTTGGAATGGGACTTAGAACAAAAGGGTTTAGAAGACAGATGCTACTGTGATGCTGCAAAAGATTATTTACCTCCCAGATTTTAGGTGTGAAGCTGTAATAAAGTTAATACAACTCTTTTATCAGATGAATTATTTTTAGAATTACTTTTTCACTACATTCTCATAATGTCCTACTGAAAACAAACATTCTCATAAAGAAAAAGTGAGTGGAGGAGAAAAGCAATTAATCAGACAAAAAAAGATAAAGTATGTTGAGAAATGAACTTTCATATTGATTGGTTCTATTTTTTAAAATTATGCTTTAATTAATGGCATACATTTTCATGCTCTCTTGGAGCTATACTTTTTCTCCATTTCTGCTGAATCTGAAAGATATGTTTCTACTTAAAACACATCTCAAATATATTCGGTGGCAAGGCACATCAAAGTCCATACGATTATAAACACAGATTGGAAAAGGATAGCAAATAGAACTATATGCTTGGTCCATAGTTAACTCTAGATAATTGTTAAATGAATAATTAAGAAACAATAAATAGGCCGGGTGTGGTGGCTCACGCCTGTAATCCCAGCACTTTGGGAGGCCAAGGCAGGTGGATAACGAGGTCAGGAGATCGAGACCATCTTGGTTAACACTGTGAAACCCCAATTCTACTAAAAATAGAAAAAATTAGCTGAGTGTGGTGGTGGGTGCCTGTAAAAGGGTTAGTTGAACTGGTTCCTGAGGTTTTCTTCTGTACTTGCAATTTTCCTGTCTTCTCCACTTATTCTTTTGGTGATGCTGCCTTACATAATCTTCTTTTCTTCTTCTTCTCTTTAATACCTGTGCCCCCTTGCTCTCCTCCCTCTCCTCTCAGATCCATATTCAGAGAGGAACCCCAGAGGGAAACAATTAAGAGATGAGAGGATGGCATTGGATAGCTTATGAAACAGGGTTAGTGATGATGCCAATTCTCTTCCTCCTGATCCTTCTGTGAGAAAAGGAGGTTTAGAACAAGTTCAGATTCCAAGGGTCTGTGTTTTCCAGGGGGAGTTAAACATGCACCATCACAAATTATAAACTGCTGCTCTTTATCTACAACCAGCCACCATTACAATGTTTACCCAAACCCACATCAGCAACCACTCACTGTCCACAGTAATGCTGACATTTACCAATTTAGGCTTCTGGAGATAATATGATGTGCAGTACACAGCCAAGATTTTTTTTTTCTAGTTCTTATGTTGAAAAAGAGGGGCAGGCTTCTCTTTGGGGGCTGCTCCCCAAAGACACACACTAGTCACTAGCAAACCACTGGCATTATTGTCCAAATGAAATGTACCTGTCTAGCACACTCAGCTGAGCGGGCTGTGATTTGATAAATACATTAGGGAGAAAAGCTTCGAAATAATTTGAATTTAGTTCCAATTTCCTCTGCCTCAAAACAGCAGGAGATACAGTCAGACGGAGAAGCTGTGCTCTGTACAATAAGGGACAGAATTCTAAGTCACCAACTATCACCAAAGTTGTCATAATCTTCCTCATTTCTCTAAAATTTGCTCTACTCAGAGATTCTCCATCCACCCAAATCCTAGGCATCATATCCTAATTACCAAGTGTTGTCAAGCCGACTTCCTACACACCTCTCATATTCACCAGCTCCTCTCCCATCATAGCTGCATGATGATGGGTCCTTGTTGTCTGCCATCTGGACCATGAAAGTAACTGTCTTGCTTTATTCCTATCCATCTTCTGCCATCAAGGTGAACTTTTAACACACAAATCCTGCTCAACATCTTTTAAATGTTGCCTACTGTTGGTGACAGTGAAGTCCAAAGTGCTGGGGGATAAGCAGAGCTCAGTTAAGTGTGCATGATGGTTCAAATGGTTCTATTTATATTATTTTATTATTTATATGATTGTTTTCTCCTTGTATTAGTTCTTCTCTCTTTTTTTAAGGATTGTAGGCATCTTGAGGAAAGAGAGACATTCACAAAGCTGAAGGGCTTCACTGTGCCCCCATTTGAATTCTATGATTCAAATTATCTTAACTGGACCCACCACTGATGGGTTAAGATAATTTGAATCACAGAATCTTTACAGTATTTTGTAATAATCTGAAAAGTGGCCATAAGAATCTTTTGTGCTATGCAGAACTTCACTGGTGTCAAAGTACTTAAAAAGAGGTGTTAATAATAAATTATGCATTTTTATTTTTCATAAGCCTCTAAATTCTACTAATCGTTTCTATGGATAAATTGTTAACAGAAACATGTTACTTAGCAGATAATTAAAAAGAACATTAAGCATACTCAAGACATAAAGAAAAATATGCATTGGAGCCTTAAATCATATAATACTTCTGTGATATTAATCAGTAAGGAAAAAGAAAGATAACTCAATAGAAAAAATGACCGAGAGATTTGATCAGGCAATTCACAGTAGAAGATATTCAAATAGCTGAAAAATATATAAAAAAAGAGTTCAGCCTCAACCTCATTATTCATCAGAGAAATGCAAATTAAACCAAAATGAGATTTCCCAGAAGATAAAGTAAGCTTATTTTCCCCCATTCCTCCCTCTAATTACAGCTAAAAATCTTACATGTTATTTAGAAAACAAACACAGGAAGACTGAAAGGTAGACAGAAGGTAGCAGACTGGCTAGGGACCTCAGGGTACACCACAGTATGGAGTTCCTTGGATTCTCATGGACTCATCACAGTGCAGCTGGAGAGGAGCTGGTGAACATGAGAGGTATGTAGGAAGTAGGCTTGACGACACTTGGTAATTAGGATATGATGCCCAAGCATCTGGGTGGATGGAGAACCTCTGAGGAGAGCAAATTTTAGAGGAATGAGGAAGGTGATGACAAGTTTAGTGATAGCTGATGACAGAATTCTATCCCTTTTAGTACAGAGCACAAAGACAGCACAGAGCACAATGCAAAAGAAAAACTAATGTGGAAGTAAATTCATCTTCACTTTGCAAAACTATTAAGCAGTTGCTCCTAAAGCTAAACTAATACATACTCTACATTCCAGCAATTTTGCTCCTATATATACACCTTTGTTCCAAAGGACATGCACAAAAATACTCAGTGCAGCATTGTTAATAATAGTTAAGTACAGAAACAGCCTAAATGTCCATTAACAATAGAACGGATATGTGAATTGTGGTATTTTATACACTGGAATACTATACAACACTAAAAATGAATGAACTACACCTATATCCAATGACATGGATGATCTTCACAAGCATCAAGCTGAGTTTAAGAAACCAGACACAAAAGATTATATACTATATGATTATATTTATTTAAAGTGCCAACTGGATAAAAACTAATCAAAGACATTAGGAGTTAGGATAGCAGTTACTCTTCAGAAGGAGGCAGTACTTCTGGGAGAAGTACAAAGAAGCATTGTTTTCTCTCCTCATCTGAGTGGTGATCACGTAGGTATCTTCACTATGTATTAGCATAAGCTGTATACTTCTGATTTGTGCATTTTCCTGTCTATATGCTATCAATACAAATTTTATGAAAACAGTAAAAATAAATATACTTTCTCTGTCTCTCCTGATACAAAGTAAAGATGATATATTAGCAATGAGTGAAAAAGTTACTGCTTTTTGAAAACACTTGTGCCATGGAGGGAGCACTGTGAAGAAAAGAGTTTGGAAAAGTTTTCATTGCTGTATGCTTTTGCCATGCCCCCAGTGACTTGTGTTTTACCTCTCTGCATACTAAAACACATGGGGACAGAATTTTTGTCCTGCACAAAAATCCTCAACAAAATACTAGCAAATCAAATCTAGCAGAACATCAAAAAGTTAATTTACCGTGATCAAGTAGGCATTTTCCTGCGAGGCAAGTTTGGTTCAACATACCCAAATCAATGTGATTCACCACATAAACAGAATCAAAAGCAAAAAAACATATGATCATCTTAATAGATGCAGAAAAAGCTTTTGATAAAATCCAAATTCCCTTCACTGATAAAAACCCTTAACAGACTAGGCACTGAAGGAACATAACCTCAATATAATAAGAGACATTTATGACAAACCCACAGCCATTATCATATTGAATGACCAAAATCTTGGACCATTCCACTTTAGAACTGGAACAAGACAAGGATGCCCACTCTCACCACTCCTATTCAACATAGTACTGGAAGTTCTAGCCAGGACAATCAGGGAAGAGAAAGAAATAAAAGGTACCCAAATAGGAAAAGAAGAAATAAAACTATCACTCTTTGCTGATGATATGATTCTATACCAAGAAAATCCTAAAGACTCTACCAAAAGGCTCCTAGAATTGAGAAATGACTTTAGTAAAGTTTCAGGATACAAAATTAATATTAAAAAATCTGTAGCATTTCTATATACCAACAACATCATGGCTAACAGTAATATCATGAACACAATCCCACATATAATAGCCACAAAGAAAACGGAATACCTAATAATACAGCTAATCAAGGAGGTGAAATATCTCTAGAAGGAGAACAATAAAACATCTCTGAAAGAAATCAAAGGCAACACAAATAAATGAAAAAATATTTCATGCTCATGGATTAGAACAATCAATATTATAAAAATGGCCATACTGGCTGGGTGCAGTGGGTCATGCCTGTAATCCCACCACTTTGGGAGGCCGAGGCAGGTGGATCATGAGATCAGGAGAAAGAGACCATCCTGGTTAACTTGGTGAAACCCTGTCTCTACTAAAAAAAAAAAATGCAAAAAATTAGCAAGGCGTGGTGGTGGGTGCCTGTAGTTCCAGCTACTTGGGAGGCTGAGAACCTTTCCCTGACATTCTAGACAGACACACTGGAACTCTTCCCTGAAAACTCACACTGTATTTTGGAAGCTCAACCAAAAGACTGAGAATGCTGTCTCCCAGAAGACTGGTGATTTCTTGGGCACAAGGAGTATGTGCCTTTTTATCTCTTTATCCCAGTGCTTCAGACCAGCTAGAATACTAGAAACTTCACAAACGTTTTCTGAATAAACAAATGGGTTTCAAATTTTAGGGAAATATTGTATTGTATAATGGAAATTTGCTAAGAGAGTAAATTTTACCACACTTTTAACACACACACACACACACACACACACACACACAGACGTAACTGTTAGATGATGGCTATGTTAATTTGACTGACTGTAGTAATAATATCATAACTATGTATATGAAATATCAAAACATAATGTTGTGTACCTTAAATATATATAGTTTTTTTAAAACTTTAAAAGAGAAAAATAAATAGTACTCTAAGGAAAAAAAATCTATGGAAAAATTAGTTATTAGCAGGAGAAGGTTAATTTTCCATAGTCACAGACTTCTATCATTTGTGTTAGCAGAAATAATGCTACCAAGATTCAGGAGTCCTTGACTTTGCACCCACCTCTGCACTTTCTGGCTGTGTGATCTTTCATGGTCACTCTCCTTCTCTGGCTCTTTATTTCCTCTTTTGAAGGGATTGAATTAGCTCAACTCTGGATTCCTTCTAGTTTTAACAGTATGTACTTACTTTCTGTATGATACTCCTGATGTTAATGAAGCAGTAGTATTTACTGGGCACACACTACATTTCAAACCTTCCCAAAATACCTTTCATCCTGGTCCATATTGTCATTTTTACAGTAGAATTAGAATTAGAATTTTTCTGTCTTGAGATTAAAGTTTCCTCATTATCTGGCCCTAATCTACCATTGGACCATAAAATTCATTCAATTAAATTTAACATATAGTTATGGCATTAGACACCCAGAAGTTAGAAGTAAATGAAGACATCTCTATTGCTGCTTTAAAGTACCATATAGCCTAGTGAGAAAGACAACACAGGAACACAAACAAAGTAAAATATGACTTTGTGGGTTTCTGTAACCATCAACTTAATGTTAGTCAATAATTCTATCTTTGGCTGCATTAATAATGACTAAAAAGAAATGGATCTATCCAACCAAGACTAGGGTAATCTTCTTAGGCCAGGTCATAGGTAGGCCCTACATTTAGCTCTACAATTCATGTTTTAAAAGGAAGCTTGACTGAGCAGAAGAGGTGGTTTTATTCATCTCTGCTAATGGGACTACCCTCCATAGTCTTCTAAACCAGTAACTTCTAGCACCCTTGTCTCTTCCTTTTTCCTAACCCCTGCATCTAAGAGGTCATGAAATCCTGTCAGTTTTACTGCAGAAATATCTCTTCAATCCATTGTCTTCTTTTTCTATGCCCTAAGCACCCTACTTTATATCTCTGTCTCTTTCTCTCTCTTTCACTTACAATGTACATAACAGTGGGCAGGCCATTTTTTTTTTTTTTTTTTTTATGACAGGGTCTCACTTTGTCACCCAGGTTGGAGTACAGTGATGTAAACACAGTTCACACTACAATTTCGACTTCCTGGGTTTAAGGGATCCTCCCACCTCAGTCCCCCAAGTAGCTGAGACTACAGGTGCATGCCAACACACCCAGCTAATTTTTGCATTTTCTGTAGAGATGGCATTTCACTATGTTGCCCAGGCTGGTCTTAAACTCCTGAGCTCAAGAAATCTGCCTGCCTCATCCTCCCAATGTGGGGAGATTACAGGCATGAGTGACTGCTCCTAGCCATGGACAGGCTACTTCATCTTCTCAGTGCTTCAGTTTTCTCATCTATAAATTGTAGACAAAAAATAGCATGCACCTCAGAGGGTTGCTATGGGGATTACACGAATGAAAACAGGTAAAGGGCAGTGAATGTTCAATAAAGGTTGGCTATATTTATTACGTACTGGGTATGTCAATGGGTCTTCAGCATCTATTCCTACTTCTTTCTATGGGATTTCCTGACTACAGAGGCTGGAAAATGAAAAACTACATTTCTCAGACTCCCTTGCAGCTAGGGTTCACAATGCAAATTGGGTTTCCACGGTTAGATGCCCTAACTGGATGTGAAAGCTGAAGTAAGAGAGAGACCATCTTCCTGTTATCTTTCTACTGTCAACCAAGCTTATCCAGAATTGAATGTTGAGAGGCAGTTCTGTGGTAGTGGATAATATAACTGCTTTCTAATCCTTTTCCCCTTCTCTCTAGATTTCAAGTATTGCAGTGTGTTCTTGACTTTGATCCAGCAGCTGCCTCCTAATTCC
Source organism: Homo sapiens (assembly GCF_000001405.40). Lineage (NCBI taxonomy): Eukaryota > Metazoa > Chordata > Mammalia > Primates > Hominidae > Homo > Homo sapiens. The sequence goes on from NC_000011.10 coordinate 83,744,253, forward strand.
CACTCCTTCAATTATTCAGCAATACTACAAACACTTAATTCCCTGAATTAAATTTCTTTCTTCTTAAACTACATAGGATAGTTTCTATTTCCCATATGCACTCTGATTAAATCATATGGTGACCTGTGGTCCTACACATAAGTACAGGGCAGAGATACAAACCAAGTACTGCACTATAGGAATATAAATTATAAGGTATTGCTTTTTGGCAAATCTGTGAACTCATTTCCCATATTAAATATGAAAGTCAACATCACCACCCTTTGTTATTAAGGACCTACACTTACATATATTCACTTTACGTAGCCACATACCAGAGAGTGATTTACAGTATGTTCTAGAAAACAGACAATTTAGTCCTCACCCAGAGATCATCTGCTTTCAGAATTCTGGAAATCCTCAGCAGTCTTTTAGTGTTTGGATCCGTTACCACTTCAATTTCATAGCTGAAAATACTGACACAGAAAATGCCTCATGAATGTTTATGATTCACCACTTCTGGGAGTCTAGGACACCTGCTTGGCACAAGGCTTTGGTATAAACAAGGGTTTCAGGAAGTTTTTTATTCTACCTACACAGAAGCTAAAACTGTGTTAAGTTAGCTGCCCAGACCTGCCCTGTAGTCATCAGATTTTGTTATGAAGTAAAATGATTAATTTCCAGAACCTTTCATGTTGAGGGAAAAATAATTCACTTTCCATACTTAGCAGTTTAATCCAGCGTGGCTCCAAGCCAGCTGTCTTCTTAGGATGCTGCAATACTCATACCTGTCATCAGCAATTAGCGAAAGCAACCAAAAATACGAATCTCAGTTCTCAAACTCTGGATACTGACACTCATGATTGGTTCCCATGCATCGCGATCAACTCATCTGCTCATCCTGAGGTTCTTTTTACAGGATTTAAACCCCTCATATATTCTCAGTGTTTGTGATGCATTCTGTAGAATAAAAACCTGGCCAAATGCTGTGAAAACAAATTTTGTTGGTTGTGTTCTTTATACAGCAAGAAGTGGCCAAAGTTTGAAAAAAATTAGAAAACTATGCAACACTATCCTTGAACTAAATTTATAAAATTGCATTGATTTAGCTTTCTTCTGTTCTACTCTAATCCTTCCACCTCTGTTTTTGATTTCAAAACCTCCCTGTCTCTTTCAAGATTTTACTCTCTCAATTATTCCTTTACTCTTTCATTTTATCTCCAACTTCTTCCTCTGTCCTAGCTCCTTCCCCTCAACAATTAAATATACTCAAGTCTTTCCTTTCTTAAAAGCCTGTAGCTGAGCACAGTGGCTGTAATCCCAGCGCTTTGAGAGGCTGAGGCAGATGGATCACAAGGTCAGGAGTTCGAGACCAGCCTGGCCAATATGGTGAAACCCCGTCTCTACTAAAAATATAAAAATTAGCCTGGCGTGGTGGCATGCACCTGTAGTCCCAGCTACTCAGGATGCTGAGATAGGAGAACTGCTTGAACCCAGGAGGCAGAGGTTGCAGTGAGCCAAGATCATGCCACTGCACTCCAGCCTGGGTGTCAGAGTGAGACGCTGCCTTAAAAAAAAAAAAATTTTTGCAATCTACTCATCTGACAAAGGGCTAATATCCAGAATCTACAAAGAACTCAAACAAATTTAGAAGAAAAAAACAACTCCATCAAAAAGTGGACAAAGGATATGAACAGACACTTCTCAAAAGAAGACATTTATGCAGCCAACAGACACATGAAAAAATGCTCACCATCACGTTCATCAGAGAAATGCAAATCAAAATCACAATGAGTTACCATCTCACACCAGTTAGGATGGCCATCATTAAAAAGTCAGGAAACAACAGGTGCTGGAGAGGATGTGGAGAAATAGGAACACTTTTACACTGTTGGTGGGACTATAAACTAGTTCAACCATTGTGGAAGACAGTGTGGCGATTCCCCAGGGATCTAGAACTAGAAATACCATTTGACCCAGCCATCCCATTACTAGGTATATACCCAAAGGATTATAAATCATGCTGCTATAAAGACATATGCACACGTATGTTTATTGCGGCACTATTCACAATAGCAAAGACTTGGAACCAACTCAAATGTCCAACAATGATAGACTGGATTAGGAAAATGTGGCACATATACACCATGGAATACTATGCAGCCATCAAAAATGATGAGTTCATGTCCTTTGTAGGGACATGGATGAAGCTGGAAACCATCATTCTCAGCAAACCATTGCAAGGACAAAAAACCAAACACCGCACGTTCTCACTTATAGGTGGGAATTGAACAATGAGAACACATGGACACAGGAAGGGGAACATCACACATCAGGGCCTGTTGTGGGGTGGGGGGAGCGGGGAGGGATAGCATTAGGAGATATACCTAATGTAAATGACGAGTTACTGGGTGCAGCACACCAAAATGGCACATGTATACATATGTAACAAACCTGCACGTTGTGCACATGTACCCTAGAACTTAAAGTATAATAAAAAAAAAGTTTGTAATACTACACTCCCTTCAGTTTTTCTTTCAAAGCAGCTCCTTATAACTTTATTTCTTAGATTGGAATTAGGTGACATATTACTAAGGTCCATAAGTTCTTCACAAGAAGATTAAGCTTCTGTTTGCATTTTCATGATTATCTTGAACAATAATATAAACACATTTTAGATCATCTGGGTGCCTGCCCTAAAACCAAGCAGTACCATAAGATTTCTTATCTCTTACCTTTGTATGTATGAATGCGTCAATACCAAATGGTACTGATTTAATTTTCTTGAGCCAAGAAGAAAAGAAAATTGATGGACATATAATAACCTTAAACAGTACCTTGGAATATTATACAAATGAGGAGAAGTGGTGGGAGGTTGGAGTGAGTCATAACATAGCACATGAAAGTAGAAGTATATCAAACTCAAAATTACCTGCAGCCAGTATCATACTTCATGTGGAGAACTGTTATGTAGTTTTGGTAGAATAACATAAGCAATTACATTAAATTAATATTGTAAGTTTGATTTTAATTTGCTTTAAAATCTTCCTTCCTTCCTTCCTTCCTTCCTTCCTTCCTTCCTTCCTTCCTTCCTTCCTGCCTTCCTTCCTGCCTTCCTTCCTGCCTTCCTTCCTGTCTCTCTCTCTCTCTCTCTTTTTTGACAGGGTCTGGCTCTGTCACTTAGGCTGGAGTGCAGTGGTACAATTCTGGCTCACTGCAACCGCCTCCCAGGCTCAAGCCATCCTCCCACCTCAGCCTTTCCAGTAGCTGGGACTACAGGTGGACGCCAACACACCTTGCTAATTACTTGTGTATTTTTGTAGAGATGGGGTTTCGCCATGTTGCTGGGCTCAAGCTATCCACCCTCAAGTGATCCATCCTGGGCTCAAACTATCCACACATCTTGGCCTTCCAAAGTGTTGGGATTACAGGCATGAGCCACCGCACCCGGTTTTGAATTTTCTTTATATTTATTTTATAAGCATATTTAGTTTTTATGGTTGTATTAGTGCTGCAAGTATAGATGTTTCATATGAAGTTTCTGTTTATATATATTATATATTTAAGTAATATAAACAAAAATTCTAAGCCAACCTGAGTTTACTCAAGGATTCTTTTCCTTTCTTATTTGAATTTTATTTTACAAACACTCATATAGAGCTTTCTATATACCAGATATTAAGTACTAACTCCTTGTAATAATCATATGACATAGGTATTGTTATTAGCTCCACTGTGCTGTGGAGAAGATTGAGGCACTTATAGAAATTAATAACCCATGATCACACAACAAGTAAGTGGTACAGTTGGGATTTAACAGGCAATCTGGCTTGAGAATCCCCATCTTTAATCATATAAAATGCTGCTTTCCTTTAGATAGATTCTGTATGTACTCTGTCAAGGTTTGAAAAATACCACTTTAGGAAATATGGTCTACCCTTGATACATATTCACGAGGGCTCTGTTCTTAGCTTTCTTCCCTTTACACTTGACATGTTCTCCCAGGACGATATCACTGATTACTACAGTTCTAACTATCAACCACACCTTGACTAGTTCCAGATCTCTAACTGTGGATTAGACCTGTATTCTGTTCTCAGGATGCATATAATCAACTGGACATTTTCATCTGCAACTTTCAGAGACACCTCATGTTCAACCTAGTTTAAATAAAGCCAAGCTTTCCCTTTCCCTGACTCCACTCTTACTCTAATAAGCCTGCTTTTTCTACTGTATTAGCCCTCCTGTTTAATGGTCCCACTTCCTACTCAAAATGCTCACTGTTTAGTGAAGAAGAGAGATAAACAGTCATTACAGTGAGTACATGACAATCACAGGGATATGTCCAAAATGCCATTCAGCTCAGAAAGAAACATGACTCTGCCTGAGGTAGAAGGGTCAAGGAAGGCTTCACTAAGAAGACAATGTTTAAACTGATTCACAGTAATGCCTGCTTACATTTAGAAAAGGAACTCTCATCTTTGTCCATTAGTATATAGTTTAAGGGTATCTTTTATGTGCACTATTTATATTGGCGGTAGAAAATAGAAATGTATGATAATTTTTCACTTTAGCTCCAAAATGAAATCTCTACTACTTTGTTCCCCTCCATTTCCCAGAAAAGCAGAAGTAGCAATTTTACAAGCTTTTTTTGCCATTTGAAATGAAATAAATGAAAGATAATATTTTCCGTACTCTTTTAAAAGATCAATTTATCTCTAAAACATTTTTCATACTCTAACATTTTATGGGAAAAATTCTACATAGATTTTGGTCAATTATATCAGTTTTGACTGACTCTGAGGCAGCTGCAGTATGTAGTTCATTAGTGGTCATGGCTCCCCATATGGCTTTTGTGGGTTGACCATCATAGGCAATAGGTCCTTCTAGACTTGTGCAGGTACCACATTGGAATTCTAGCAGCACAACACAGATGAGAGATGGCAGTGATGATTAGCATGGAGAGCCATAGAATCAGGTCACAGTTGCCAGAGAGGCAACCTTTTTGCCTTTCTTTTTGAAGATGTTCATCCTGATAGCGTCTCCTTCAGAAATAATTTTATTGCATAAAAGAGATGTCCATTCAAACTGCTCAAGCTAAAGTGATAATTTCCTTGTCAGGATACAGGGGTCATTTCTAGGAACCCAAGAAAAAGATGCAAATCCTGGCTTTGAAACAGTCTAGAAACAGCAACCACAAGGCCTAGGAATAAAGGGAGTTTTTCAGTTATGATCTGTGCCATTTGTCTCTCTCTTGGTTATACTGTCTCCTCTTGTTTCTTCCTGTGTCAGTTTCCCTCTTCCTTCTCTCTGCCAACCCACTTTCTCTGCACACAGAGCCCCCACCCAGCAGCTGTATTTCCAGCCTGCACCCCAGCTGTATGCCATCTTTGAGTTTAAGCACTAACAGAGAGAAATGCATCTCTAAGATGCAATTTCAAATCCTGAGGGGGTCTGATGAGTTCCTTTTGGTTCACATCTAGCTATGCACAGCGAAGTAAGATTATTTCTTAGAAATGTGTATGTAGGGACCTACACTGGGGAAAATTGGCAGATACCTTCAAATTGTCTCCTATGGGTATGTTTGTAAACACTGAAGTTTTGTTTCAAAGAGAGAACAGCCACAAAGCCTGACCTCATAAGATAAAATAAGTGAAGCGTTTTCTCTGCTTCCTAAGAATTATGCTGTTACTAATCAAAAAGACTGCCCTAATTACAGCCACCTGTGCCATTGAATAAACATAATTCTTCAGGATCAGGTTGTTATGAACTAATTTGATACATGTTACCTTTCACTTTTAGGGAGGGGGAACTCTGATTAATGCTAAGGTAAACTCATGGACAAAGACTAAAAGGGGTCACAAGAAAAAACGCTCAAGCTTGTCTTTACTCTAGTTCTTAAGTTAAAGCATCAAGAGGAACCCCCAAGATTCCCATCTGAAGCAGCTCACTGGCCCTAGGATTTAAGGCTAAAAGTCGTGTAGGATAAAGAATATGGGTTTTTCTAGTGGTGTTCATGGGAAGTCCCTCTGGCAGTTTAGTTGTTATTCTGTGACTGAGGCTAATGACCACGTATAATACTATCGACAAGTATGAGGAATGTTTTCTTAACATTCTGAATACCTGAATTGCACTGAAATCCAATATAGTTAAAGAGCAGAGTCTTCTGGTTAATCAAATATTGAGATAAGAATTACCAAATGTAGAATAATAGGACTTTTCGATTAGATAATTATGCAGTTCAGTTACCTTTAGACTCTACTCTGAGGTGCCATAGAAGCAATAGAGAGAGGCTCTACTCCTTGCTGTACCCTACATTCATCTCTACTTTCATCTGTTCTACATATAGACATTTCAAATAATGTGCCATTTGAACAAATGGTTCCATGACATTATAGATATATGAAATAAATATGCTTGCCTATGAAAACTGCTGATGTACTTCAGTCTTCTCAAGAGAAAACTGAGAGCCCCAAAAAAGTTAAATTTCCAACACTGATCAAAACATATAGAATAAAAAATAAAGAACACACTAAATATGATTATTTTTTCAATAATAATTTAAAAGGTACCTTTAGGACTTATTGTCCCAGAGTTATAGACCTCCTAACTTACAGTCCAGATATGGAGTAGACAGAGTTAGTTTATTTCTTTATGCATTTAACAAACATTTATTGACCACTCCCCGTGTATCAGATATTTTACTAGGCACTAGAGGTTCAACAGTGAGCAAAACAAGATAAACTCTCTGTCCTCACTGAACTTCTCTTCTAATGAGAGAGACAGAAAAATATGTTAGATAAGTAAAATATATATTGATAGTGTTCAATGTAAAAAGTCAGAATACAAAGCAGAGAAGTGGGATATAAAGTATATGTATACTGTGGAGGCAGAAAAGTTCTCATGTGGAAGCTAACTTTTTAATAAAGTTTGAAGAAAGGTGGTTATGCAGATACTTTCAGAAATAACATTCTTGGCTAGAGAACAGCAAGGACCTGAGCTGGAAGTGTGCCCAGTGTGTTAGAGGAACACTAGGAAGCCAGTAGGAATACAGCAGAAACAGTAGAGGAAGAGTAGCTAGAAACGAAGTCAGAGAGTAAATGGGAAATGGGAGAGAAATATATAGGAGCTTAGAGGTCAATATTAAGGACTTTGGCTTTTGCTCTGGGTGGGATAGGAGAAGTTTAGAGTAGAAGAATAAGATAATCTAACTTACATTTGTGTTGACAACAGATTGAAGGGAGAAAGAACATAACCAAGGTGACCATTAGGAGTCAGTTGCATTAACCCAGGTAATGAATGATAGTTATATGGACTAGGATAGAAAAATGAGGATGCTAAGAAATAGTCAAGCCCTGGATATAAATCTAAGGTGTAGCTGATCAAATTTGCTTATGGATCAAATGTGAAGATGAGAGAAAGGGAGAAGTTAAGGATGACATCAAGTTTTTTGGCCTCAGCAACTGGAAAAATGGAATTGCCACTGAGGTAGGAAAGATTGTAGAAGTTTCTGGTTGTAGAAAGTAGAAGATCAAAAGGTCAATTTTGGACATGCTATGTTTAAGATACTTACTAGACATTTAAGTAGAGAAGTCAAATGGGAACTAGAACACCAATATGGAGTTCTTTGGAGAGTTGTTCCAGTGTCCAGATTTCAGATAGCAATGGGAATTATTAGCATTGAGCTGGGATTTAAAATTATGACACTGCATGAGATCAGCAAGGGAGTAGGTAGAGATAAAAAAGAGAGGACTTGCCTGGCTGCGGTGGCTCACGCCTGTAATCCCAGCACTTCGGGAGGCCGAGGCAGGTGGATCACGAGGTCAGGAGATCGAGACCATCCTGGCTAACACGGTGAAACCCCGTCTCTACTAAAAATAGAAAAAATCAGCTGGGCATGGTGGTGGGCTCCTGTAGTCCCAGCTACTCATGAGGCTGAGGTAGGAGAATGGCATGAACCCAGGAGGCGGAGCTTGCAGTGAGCTGAGATGGTGCCACTGCACTCCAGCCTGGTTGACAGAGCGAGACTCTGTCTCAAAAGAAAAAAAAAAAAAAGAGGAATAAGCCAAGGGACACTCCAAATTACAGGTTTTAACAATGAAGGTGAACTTCCTTCCCTCCCCATTCCAAAACACACAGAATTGACCAGGAGAAACCAGGAGGAAAATCATCCAAGTATGAATCATATAAGCCAAGCGAATCAAGTACTTCTAGGAGAAAGGAGTGTTCAACTATGACAAATGCTGCTGATGGAGAAATATGGTGAAAATTGAAAATTGAGAAGTGACAATGGAGATCATTTGCAACACTGAGAATAAAAATTTTGGTGAGTGGTGGGGATGAACGCCAGATAGAGTGGGTTCAAAGGAGAATGGAAGAAGAGCAATTGGAGATATAAAGCACACTTTTCCAATGAGCTTTGTTATAAAGCAAGATTGTTTAATTGTTTTAAGATGGGAGAAATAGCAGTGTGAGTTTTCTCCTAAGGGATTGATTCAATAGAGAGAAAATGTTGATAATGCCAAATACAAAGAGGAATTGCTGAATTAATGTCACCTGGAATATGAGAACGAAGAAGGCATTGGCCAGAAATATGGGAAATTCATCCACAGTTCCAGGAAAGAAATTACAGATGCAGATAGATGGGCAGATGATTCTCTCTTGATTAAATAAAGTTGTTTCAGAAAAGTAGAAAGGAAGCTCAGCAGCTGACAATGAGAATGAGGAGAGTGTTGCTGAAAGTTTAAGGTAAGAGGAGAAATAAAAAGTAGTCCTTGAGGGGACAGTGAATTTACAAAGGAAATGTAGTATGATTTTTAGGTAGTATTAACTGAGACTCAGAAAGGGTAAATATTTTGACCAAGGTTATTTATCTAGCAATAGAATAAGGAATAAAACTCAGATCTCATGGCCGGGCGTGGTGGCTCACACCTGTGATCCAAGCACTTTGGGAGGCTGAGGCGGGTGGATCACTTGAGGTTAGGAGTTTGAGACCAGCCTGGCCAACATGGAGAAACTCCACCTCTACTAAAAATACCAAAATTAGCTGGGCGTGGTGGCAGGCGCCTGTAATCCCAGCTACTCTGGAGGCTGAGGCAAGAGAATCCCTTGAACCTGGGAGGCAGAGGTTGCAGTGAGCCAAGATTGTGCCACTGCACTCCAGCCTGGGTGACACAGCAAGGCTCTCTCTCTCAAAAACAAAATAAAACAAAAAACCAAAACCAAAAACTGAGATCTCTCCACTCATGGCTCTTTGACCAAATTGTTTTCCTCTATACTGTATAGCATAGTAGATGTTTATTTAGGGAGTTTCCAGGAGAAATGCAAAATTCATACTCAAGTAAAATTAAAGTTTATTTAACTCCTGTGCCAGTCATCAATTTAAAATATATATATAAAATTGATATAAAATATATCAATAAATATATATATATTTTAAATTGATATATATATCAATTTAAAATATATATAGTGTCTATTTCATATATAGACACTATATATATGATATATATATATTTCATATATGTAATATATATGATATGGCATATATATGTCATATATATGATATATCATATATATCATATATATATTTCATATATATATGATATATATCATATATATCATATATATATTTCATATATATGATATATATCATATATATCATATATATATTTCATATATATTTCATATATATAGTGTCTATTTCATAGCTTTAAATTATCGAATTACATGCCAAGTGAAATAGAGAAAAAAGGCAGTAATACAACAATTCAACCAAATCCTGCCTCTGCCCCATCCCCAATTCCCCAGTGCACATAAACAATGCTTTTGCCCTAAACATGGAGCTTATTTAGTTAAAAAATACTGGGTTTACAATTGGGGGAAATTTATCCTGAATTATCCAAATAATGATCTTTAGTTCTCTACCAGCAGAATATCTTAGAAAAATACTTGACCCCCGCAAAAAACAAACAAACAAATAAACAAAAACTGTTAAAATCAATTGTGCCCTATATTTCTTGGGGGAGGGGTGGAGTTTCTAACACTAACTTTTTAATGAGTATCTACTATTGTATAAATAGTAGTGGCAGTGGAGCACTTATTTTGCATTAAATGTCAAGTATATCCAATAAGAGGATTAGAATTGCAAATAATGAATTTGGTTTCTGTCTTGCCTAATTGTCTTTAATTTATTATGTTGAAATCTCCTATATTTAGGACTCCCATTATGGAGAAGCAGTGCATCATGCTAATTAAAGTGAGTAAATTGCAAAAGTAACATTTATCATTTGCATCAAGAAGGTAGAGGTCTCCTATCCTTACTGACAGTAAATAAAATAGGGGTCTATTCCACATGATCACTTTACATTCCTCACTTTGGTGCCTGCCTTTCTGGCCTGTGACTTGATGATTAGAGATTCAGGAGGACCAAAGGGTAAGAGCCTTACTTGTGATTGCTGAAGCTTGTCATGTAAGAGATACAAAGATTTCACTGAAACACAAGATACAGGAGGAAACAATTTGCCATGTGAAAAAGAAGTCATTAGAAAGCAAAGAGAGTGATGTGAGTTAGTTGGAGAAACAATATTGGCAAAGATATGGCCCAGGATGAAAAATATGTAATTATCAGTGATAATTTAATTTATAATTATTTATTCTAATTTCTATAATCGCTTTCATTTAAGCAAGGAAGAAAACTAACTTGCCTCCAGGAAAATATAATATTATTTTAGGTAAGTACTAGAATATGTTTCTAGCTTCTAAATACCAGCATGGTTTAAATGTCAGATTTATTTGTTGTGAGAAAATTTAAATGAATGTTGCCTATCATTAACATTCAAAAGGTAAACTGATGTGTTGCAAGATCTTACCTACTTTTACCTTATTTCAAAGAAGATTGTGTAAATAAAATAATATTTTTTAAATGTAGGTTTTAAAAATCAAGAAATAAAATAAACGTAACTATAATGAAAAAGAATACAAGTTAATATCTTTTAAATTACATTTCCAGCACAGATTATACACTTGAATGACTATAAATGGCTTTAAGCTATTCAAAATTAGTTCTACTCTGATATCGAGTTTGCGATATGTTTATCAGAACTCAAGTAAATCTGTGGGTGATGTCCACAAGCAAACGGCAAAAACTAGATATGACTGTGTTTTCATTTCAATGTAATAGTCTCATATGAATGTACATATACATATAGTATTTTTAATATAATACACTGTAAGAATCTAGACAGTATATTTAAGTTCATTAACAAAGGGTAAATATAGGAATGTTTTATTACTTTCCCAGACTCAAAAAACACTGTTTTGATTTCCACAGCCCTAAAAATTCCATAGTCATTGATTAGATAGAGTAATGGACACACATTATGATCTATAGTGTTAATTTACTGGCCAAGAATCTAAGCTATTGTAATAAATATGTAAGAGGACATGAAATGGTTAACCATACAAACCTCAGGGGTCAATTTTTAGACCATTTGAAATACAGCTTCTAGGAGAAAGGGGAAAGAGGGAGACAGTGAGGAATAGGAAGTGACTATGGCGGTTACTACGCAATTAAGGTTAAGAGAATACAGATATCTTGAAATTTGGCTTTAGGTGGTTGGCAGACTCTCTTACTAGTTAAGGGTTTATTCCCACACGTGCCTTTAACAAAATTACAAATCACTACAAGCTATGGGCCTTATGAGTTACACTCAAATAGTTGCAAATTAATTTTGAAAATGTCAAGGTCCTACTGCATATACTTTTTGCTTCAGCAAAAGATTAAATTGGGTTGTCTATTCCTCGGTATATTTAATTCTTCTTAACTAATCCTTTGCTTTACTTTATAAGCTCTAGAGCCAAAAGAATAGTTTCCGGCATCATTATGGAGAGGCACCACACCCTCAGTATTAGAATCTTTTTGAATTATATAATTATTTAATTGAATTAATTTATGAAATAATTTATAATTATTTCACAGGAGTGAAATCCAGAATGCATTACCTGCTTTTAGAACCACCTGGGCCACAGGTTTAATTCTGAAGTGTGAACTTATGTAATGTTTTGTGTGCTAAAGATGGCAAATAGCTATGAACTTAGTGTAATTATATAATTGGTAAAGATATAAGATTGCCAAATGCATTTATTTTTACTGTGCTTTAAAAGACTGAGATATATTGCTAATTTTCATAGCTTTTATGCTAAAAGCAAACAAACAAAACAATAAGAACTTGTGAAGAGAAGCGTAGTAGTTTCAAGTCCTGGCTCTAAGGCCAGACTTCCTAGCTGGAGTCCTGGGTCTTCCTCCTACAAGCTGTGAGCCTGAACAGATCACCTTACATCTTTATTTCTCAGATTCCTCATCTGAAAGAAGGAGATAATAACCTCATAGGATTCTTGTGAGAATCGAATGTGGTAATACATGTAAAACAGAACAGTATCTTATACCAGAGAAAGCATTTGATAAAAGTAATCCAGCCCAGTTTTGAAAAAATATATAAACAAATAGAAAAATTTCCATCTTTATAATCTGTTACTGGGGATTATTACATAGAGTTAGCAGTCTTAGGGAGTCTTGGAGTTCATTATTAACATAAAATACAACATTTGTATGAGAAAAACCCATTATAGTTAGCCTTTCAGCTTTGTTCAGCAAATATTTATTGAGCATATACTATGTGTCACATTGTGTCTTAGGTATTACAGATACATAAAGCACTAATATAGAAATACATGTCATATATTGTATATTAAACAAACATACACAATATGCATATGTGGCAAGTGTGCCTATGAGGATAATAGTTATCACCTGTCCTATTCACCGAGTGCTTAGTTTGTATATGGTTCTCTACTAGGATTTCCTGTCTGCATTATTTTGTTTATGTGTCTTACTTTTGAGGAATTTATATGATCCCCATTTTCACTATGAAGAAAAATGAGGCTCAGAAAGGCTAAACAACTTTCCCAAGGTCAGCAGAGTAAGTGACAGAGTTGGAATTCAGAGGTCAGTCTGACTCCAGAGCTAGGGCTCTTCTGCTTTTTGATACTGCTTTGGTTCTTACTGACTGAGTAACAGTGAATTTATATATTTCAAACAATTTAAATTGGGTTCTACTGAGTGGAGACTGCATTGTTTACATTCTGAAACTTTTCAAAGCTAGAAAGTCATCACTTAACAAAGAACTACTTTGTGGCCTAAAGTGGCACTGAAAGTGTTAAAGAGGTGAGCTGGGACCCAGAGGTGGGATCCAAGATCGCCACTCAATGCATAATGGTAGGGACAACCCACCATGTTGTAAAGCAAACTGTCTTTAAATAGAGGCTGAGATGAATAGATGAAGACTTTCAGAGACTGGGGGCAAAGGTAAGGAGACCTTAGATAATTTGTGTTGATCAGAAACAGGGATCCTGATGCCTTCTCTTGATCTCAGGGTTGCTTAAAGGAGATGGCTTGATGAAGGGGGGTTTAGGGCTTCTTAGAAAGCTTCTCTGACTTCACACACACATATACACACTCATACATGCACATTCCCTTTCCTCATCAGACTTTGATGCCTAAAGTTCCTTTAATATAACTACCACCCCCTTCTCTTCATTTCCTACTTTTGTATTTCCCTTATTTTCTCTCCTACTCACTTCCTATAACCACCTGTAGAAAAGCTGGTATCAGAACAACTGCACTGAGTACTGATCACCATGTCTGTTGCCCCTATTGACTTGGTTAATACAAACAAAGCTAACATCTGTGTCCACCAACTATAAGTCAAGGACATAATTATTACAGAATTTAGGCTAGAAATGGTTATATGGAAGTAATCATACAGAGATTCAAATAAAATTTTTGCTGACTGTAAATGTCTTTTCTTTTCTTGGGAGAAAGACTCTGAAGGTTGTAATAAAAAATTCTGTAACCTAACAAGTCACTCTATTACCCAACAACTCTGTGTGCCTCTGCTAGACTAATCTTCCAAACCTGCCACTTCTATTGGTTAGTCTCCCATTCATTTCCACCAGGATCTAGTTCAGCCTTCTTGGTCCCTTTTCAGGCCCCACACGTCTTTCCACATCACATCCAATTACCCCACAGAACTATGCACCCCTCTCCACCCACTCCCCATAACCCAGTCCATCAGGGGACTGGATCCCTTGATCCTTTAGCTTACCAGCCATGTTCCTTTTCCATATCTTTGCAGTCTATAGGAGAATAGGTGGCTTCTATTCTCTAGTCACATTTATCGAAATCTATGAGACTTCGTTGCATAGTACAGCATAAATGAAGTTATATATATGAGTTGTATGTGAAACCCAGCACTGCTACTTAATGGCTGGGTAATCTAGAGTAGATTACTTAGTTTTGCCAAGTCTCAGTGTCCTAATGTGTACCATAAAGAGAATACAAGTAACTATCTCATAGGCATGCTTTGAGATTAAATGAAAAAATGCATGCAATCTGCTTAGTCCAGTGCTTGACATATAGTAAGGAGTTAAAAAAAGTAACTTAAAAATAATTAAATACCACAGTTTCAATCTTACTTTCTAGGCTGATCATTCTTGTTTTGATTATATCACCCTCCTCTTTACTCATAATATGGCTTGCAATTGTATCATTTATGTAATTTCTTAGGATATTTACCATTTTGTAATATAATATTTTTATGGATACGACTGCTGAACTTTTGATGAAGCAGAAACTATAAAAGAGATGCTTTCCAAGGCCACAGAGAAAGTACACTTCAAAGGACATGTTATTTATTTTCACTGATTGAGTGGTTAATTGATGGCTTCATTCATTCAATCAATGAAGAGATATACATTGAATATCTAATATATTTCAGACACCGGAATGAGTCAGAAAGATTCTGATTTAAAGGAGAGAATAAGAAGTACATAAATTACTATGACACAATGTAAAAAGTCATAAGTGTCTATATAGGTAAAGTACATTAATGGTTCAGAAGATAGAAAGATAGCAACTGGAAGCTTTATAGAGGAGGGAGACTTGAGCTGTCCTGGAAGGGCAGGTTGTATGAGTTGATTGCAAAATAAGAGGTGAGACAGGGATAGCCGAATGGCAGAGGGCACATTCCAAATCAAGGCACATGCATGAGCATAGAATTGTGGTTGGAGAGAACAAGTACCTGCGGTGAATAGCAAGGGAACAGCCGTTCAGATGGGGGGCATCCAAAAGCTCTTTTCAAAATCTGCTTGACCCCCTTGGGCTTTCTTTTAATTAGCACAACTGTGACCTCGAAGGCTTTAGCAAATGTCTTTGCTTTCCAGCTGTTTTTATTGATTTTTTTTTCATTGTAGGACTTTAATTTAGAGTAGTTCCTCCCTGCATTCATTGTTCAACAAATTACACTCATGCGGCTGTCATACCACCCTACCTGTTTCTTTAAGAAGTGACTTCCCTCTGTGAGAGAGGTTCCTGTTGACACAAAATCACAGAACGTTAGATGAGACCTAGGAGGGCTTTGTACTCATAGTGGTTTTAAATGGAGAAAGATCTCTGCAGAAAAATTTATACTAGTAGCTAAGATGGACTGCCAAATTCCTGTTCTTCACTAGGAGAAGTCCTATAGGTTCTATAAAGGACATCCAGAACCCAAATTAATAATTACAACATTGATAATAATTACCAGCTCAGCTCAGCTCTGTCCCAGATTCCAAAACTCACAAGTAGGACATTCAAAACGGAATCTTGAAGCTCCCGAAGATGTTTTATTAAATCATTTCAAAATGAATAATATTCAATATGGTTTGTGATATTTAGAAGGCAGAGAGGACATACTAACTTTCCCTCCATGGGTGGCCTTCTATTCCCTTACATTAAAATCTAAGGCACTGACAGTTGAATTGCTTAATAAACAAACTCAACATCCAAAAGACCCTCAGCTGAGCAATATCCTCAGACTCTTCTTGTGAATTCCTGAAGTTCCCTTGACATGCTCAGTTCATTAAAAGCCTTTCACCTGGTGGGCAGAAATTGTCTCCAGGCTTATGATGAATGAAAAAGAACAGAATACTAAATTTAAGAATTTAAGAAGTCCAGCTTATATTCCCATTATTGGCAGATAACAAAATTGAGGCTCAAAAGAGGCTGGATCAACTGGATCACTTAGCTGCATAGTGCAAAAGCTGAGACCAAGTCCTAAACACATATTCTTTCTCATTTCTAGACTTCCAGTTCAATGCCTGCTCACTTTCTTCTCTAATCTCACTATCTCCATCTATTCTTTTTTTTTTTTGGAGCTGGGATTACAGGTGCCTGCCACCACGCCCGGCTAATTTTTGTTATTTTTAGTAGAGATAGGGTTTCACCATGTTGACCAGGCTGGTCTCAAACTCCTGACCTCAGGTGATCCACCTGCCTCGGCCTCCCAAAGGGCTGGGATTACAGGTGTGAGCCACTGCTCCTGGCCCACCATCTCCATCTATTCTAAAAACAGAAACAGAAAAACAACAACAAAAACAACAACAACAAAAAACTGTCTCCAAATAGATCAGTCACAAATCCAGTCCCTTCTTTCCATTTCCACTGGCATCTTCCCAGTTCAACACCACGGTCCCTTGCCTAGACAACTGTAGCAGCTTACTAACTCCTCCTTGTTTCTCTAGTCTTGCCCTACCTTTCTGCCTACATCAAGTACATCATGGGTTGTCTCTATAAAAATATTCCCTTATTTAACACCCTTTGAATGTACCTCATTGTCTTAAGGTATAAGACAATGAGCAGAAGATACAAGACCTTTCAAGGTTTAGCCAAATTTTTCTTTTCAGATTTATGCTGTATAGATTTTGCTTGTTGGCTTCTCAGCTCTCCACCCTTCTTCACTCTGATCTGTGCCTGGGAAGCTGATAAGCATGGAGCACATATGGCTTCTGGTTGGGTTTGGCAAAGGGACAACACTAGCAGGAGATGAGAAGCAGAATGACAGTGAGAATGGGCATTTATTTGCTGGATTCCTCACTGCAGTCTCCTTAGGAGAATCTCTGCAGTTGGATAATTGCTACAAGGACACCCCGTCTAGGAGGGGTAACAATCCCATACTTAATAGTCCTGGAGTACCTCTCAAGTGTTAATACATCTGGCCCACTTTTTGGTAAATAACTCCTATGTTAAATTCTCCACAAATAATTCACTTCGAGTTCTATTAGTGGTTCCTTGCCAGTCTGATATTTGGCCAATCCCAAGTTGATGCCTTAATTTACAATTACAATTTGCAACTTACAATTATATTGAATAATGATAGTCTCTGAAACAAATGCACCCTGTTCATTCTTCTCTGAAGCTTTGTTCCTGTTGTTTATTTCTGTCTGAATTGCATTTGTATGCATGTATTTCTGTCTGAATTGGATTCCTACTTCCCATTACCCCCAACATCATATCTCAGGTCCTAGACTAACTGCTCCTAGACTCCTTCTGATTGAATGCAAATGGCTACATAGACATCTCTAATCCCCCTGTGCTTCCCCCTATTGGATCACCCTTGACAACGTGCTGTTGTGTGTTCCCTAATACATGGGAAACATGGAGGCCGGGAGCTGTATCATTCATCCTCATAAACTCACTACCTAGCACAGATCCCACAACAGCATAGCAACTCAACAAATCTTACTTAAATAAAATGTATCTTTATTTGGATGTGGAGGTCTTTCCCTTCCAGTTCTTACTTGGCTTGAAATTTTCCCTTGAATCTCCCAGGGAGTTATTGTAATTACCAGATGCTGGGCAAGTACCAACAAACCGTGAGAAGAACACTGTTCTAATCCTTGAGAAGCTCAAAGTCCATGATCTAACTCCCAGGCTATTTAAGAGCTCAAAGCAGATGATATGTAAGTAAAAATGCATTTTAAATAAGATATTGAAGCCAAATATGATTTGGTTTCAAAAGAGAAATTAATATTTTGAAGAAGGCATCACAAATCCAGATCCATTTATCTGAAGTACAAGACTGCCCTGCCAAATTAAATGTCTGATTCTTTATTCCCGCCAGTTTCTAAAATCTGTCAGCGATTGCTGACTCAAAAACAAAAGCATAAACAACACAGTTTAAAGATGTTCTTAACAAGTATCTGGTCCTTTCTGATGCTATGTGACAGAGCAGGGAAGACCATGCTGCAGGTGGACCATTCTATTCAAGTTACAATGGCTTTCCAATTAAGTTAGGGCAAAATTGTCACCACATTCTAGCATCACCTCACATTTTGTTCTAAAGATTTTGTCGACTATACCTCACATTTTGTATATAGATTTTGTCAACACATGTTTGTGCCATGAGTTTGGGAATTGTAGTAATTTTCATGATAAGGACAATGGCAAACCTAAGTGTTGAGATTAAGTATTAATTTTTTTTTTTTTTTTGAGACGGAGTCTTGCTCTGTCACCCAGGCTGGACTGCAGTGGCATGATCTCGGCTCACTGCAAGCTCCGCCTCCTGGGTTCATGCCATTCTCCTGCCTCAGCCTACTCAACAGCTGGGACTACAGGCGCATGCCGCCACGCCTGGCTAATTTTTTTGTATTTTTAGTAGAGACGGGGTTTCACCATGTTAACCAGGATGGTCTCGATCTTCTGACCTCGTGATCTGCCTGCCTCGGCCCTCCAAAGTGCTGGGATTACAGGCGTGAGCCAATGTGCCTGGCCAAGTATTAAATTGTTATATGACAGCTTCTTAGAAGCTTTGAACATCTGAGTCAGAGTCTGTGATATAGTTTCAAGCAAGTAGTTGTTTGTTTTGTTTTGTTATTTTCTGTTCCCATCTGCCAGGTTGGCTTTTTGAGCAGCAACCTCCCTGTCCACCCTTGAAGGCAAAGTTCCCTATAAAGGGCTGCCATACTACCCTTTTGCTAGCTTGGGACATCAGTTCTCCCCTATGGTGCATTACATACTGTTACATCACGTTTTAGCAATTATGTACAAAGAACTGAAATTAAGAATTTTTTTAACTTTTATTTTAGGTTTAGGCGTATATGTGCAGGCTTGTTATATAGGTAAACTGTGTGTTGTGGGGGTTTGGTGTCCAGATTATTTAGTCACCCAGGTAATAAGGATAATACTCAATAGATTTTTTTTAAATCCTCTCCCTCCTCCCACCCTCCACCATCAAGTAGACTCCAGTGTCTCATTCTTTTCTTTATGTCCATGCATTCTCACAAAACAGATTTTTAATAAATTAGTGTGAATCAAGATTGTTTCTATTATAGCTTCCTTCTTACTTTTGCTTGCATTGCAAATTGCTCTCTTCATTAGGAATGAAAGGAGTGAACTTATCATAAATGCATAGAAAAACCCACAGCCAATCTCACTTATGCCACATGTGACTGTTCACCATGTGAGTTGCAAGGAAAATGTGAATGATCACCATATTTCATCAATTGTAAAAGGCAACTTTTTCCACATTTTTATATACCTGAAATAAGGCTGCATCTTACAGTTGATCATACCTTATAGTTAAAATAGGCAGGTTTTTAAAATGGAATATAACATATAATGCTGTATCCCACATTAGCTGCATTTTAGACTCAAAGTTAATTACCCCAGGACCCATATCCCACTCTTTATTTTGAAATTTCTCTCTAGTCAGGCACAATGGTTCCTACAATATTGTCTGTCCTTCTTCTCTCACTGGTCCTGTCATATTATTAACTCATTTTAAAAATATTGATTGTCTATTTTGCCGGATCTCATATTCTTATAAAGTGGTTCCATTTATAGAACAGTCATTGCACCTAATTTAGACCAGTTCAAGATATTTCAGAACTTATCTTTCAGGTAAGCCCATGTTGGCCATTTGTTTGAACAAGAGCCTCTGAAAACTGTTTGGTGGATTCTAACTACAGATGGGTTATTTAGGAAAGAGAAGCCATTTCTTAATGAATGGGAGTATGCCTCATACCAGCTTATGTAAAATCACAGCAGTACTATCGCATGGCTGGAATCACATAAGCATTGGCTACCAGATCCCCTGAGACAGGTGCAGAGCTGAGAAAATCACGGTGGGAGTGATTGTGGAGGGAGTAATGATTGTGAGACAGCAGGAGGGAGAAGCTTCCTACCCTACCACTCCCAGCTTTTGGAACTTCAAAGTGCTGATGTATCATAGACATTCAATATATGGTTGTTTAATGAATGAATATATTTAGCCAAAAAATCAGATTAAAGCAATTTGAATGAGTGGTGCTGAAAAGAAATGGAAATCACAAAGGCCAGTTGCCCCAAAGGGGTGTGCAGGGAAGGGAGAAGGCAAATGTCACTGACCTTGCTGTGGTGGTGAGGTTGGATGGGAGTTACTCTATCTTTCTGCCTGTCAACACTTGGGATTTATTATCATTGAGTCACTATTGTAAGAGCTTTATAAACATTAACCTACTTAATCTTCAAAATTATCTTATAACATAGCTACTATTATCTCAATTTTATTAATAAAGAGACTGATACACCAAGAGGTGAAGTGCCTTTCCCAGGGTCTCACAGCTAGTAAGTGACAGATTTAGGGTTTGAACACAGGACTCTGGTTCCAGAGTCTGTGCTTTGATCACTTCATTTCAGTGCATCTTTCTTCACTCAGGAGGTGTTCTCTATTTTAGTCATTACAATACTATGGCCTTTGAAGCCAGATGTCTGTGGTCTGTCCCAGACTTGAGGAGAGACAAACTCGGCTCTCAGGCTGCAGAATGATAGGCTGATAGGCCTGCCCTGTAGGTGTGGTCAGGCAGAGATGGCCGGCACACTCTCTAGATTTGACTTGGATATGATCCATGTTTTTAGAAATACAATTAAAAACTTTACTTAAAATTACATGTTCTGTTATAGTATTAAAATGACATCTCCCCTGTACCCTCAAATCCCAGGTTAGAAAAAAGTAATGTTTGACTTTCTTTGTTCTTTTTTGTCCTGGCATTGTAAAATATAGCCTAAAGAAAGTCCTGGGGAACTGCTCATAGCTATATGTCAAATGAATTATTTTATCAGTGTGTTAAAACAATTTTTTTAAGCCCACATTTTCTCTAAAACTCTTGATGGAAAATTAACATCTTGATGGGATACAGAATTAAAAACAAATACTTTAAGAAATTACTGCTAGAGGAATTAATCAAAATACTGAGAGGCAGCAGATTTGTTCTGAAAATAATCCTGATATCTGAGTTTCTGTCTTGAAAAGGAGAAATATTTACCTTTTAAAATTCCATACTATAAATACATTCTAAATCAAAATTCTGGCTCTTGATTGTTGTTTAATATCCAGAAAGGAAAATGGCTTTTGATTTGGGGTTGGCGTTTAACAGAAATCACAAAAGTGTCCATTTGTACACCATAGGCTGGATTTGGGCCTATGATACTAACAACATACCTTCAGTTTTAACAGAGGTTAGATATTTAATGCAGCATTAGAATCCAAGATGTAGACAGATGTCTCAGACAGACAAACATGGTAGCCAAGTAGACCTTGCTTTTTCAGCCTATGAGAGTGAGAGCTGTGTCTTTGTTCCTAGTGCCTAGCAAAGGGCTGGAACATAGGAGGCACAATATATGTACAATTGAGTTTCTCCAACTGAACAGAGATAGAAAACTGTTGCCTTTGTGCACCAATGGAAAGTTAAGGTATTAGAATTGCTACCCAAATATACTCAATAGTGATAGTGTATGTTTGTCTGGAATGTAGATGTAGATAATAAATAAAAAGTAGATTCACATGAAATTTTGAGAGCACACTTGACAGCATACAATGTCCATTTTATTTATTTCCTTGACACTGTGTTTTGCTCAGTTACTTGGATGTTGACAAATGCTATTATCATATTTTCTTCTTAGAAGCAATATGAATATTAAAACTAATCTTGGGAGATTCCACTGAATGCTTTTTTTTTTTTTTTTGAGATGGAGTCTCACTCTGTCACCCAGGCTGGAGTGCAGTGACGTGATCTCGGCTCACTGCAACCTCTGCCTCCCGAGTTCAAGCAATTCTCCTGCCTCAGCTTCCCAAGTAGCTGGGACTACAGGCACGTGCCACCACACCTGGCTAATTTTTTGTATTTTTAGTACAGATGGGGTTTCACCATGTTAGCCAGGATGGTCTCGATCTCCTGACCTCATGATCCACCCATCTCAGCCTCCCAAAGTGCTGGGATTACAGGTGTGAGCCACCATGCCTGGCCTGCCTTTTTTTTTTTTTTTTTATAATGAGTTATGAGTTAAGCCTATTTATCTTTGGTATTCTTCTTTGTGTTCCATGGCAATGCAGATTCCACTGTGTTCCTCCTTCTTATAAATTTGAAAAATGAGGAAAAATGAGATTGTGTGCCTTTAATTATATTATCAGCAATTGAGGGAAAATACAGGTACCATGTATTTTGCCAAGGTTATCTTTTCTAACAAACTGCCTGTTAATTTGTGGGAATGCTTCTGAGTCATTATTAGCAATGCTTTTGTTTGCTATTGTCTCTTAGAATCTTAATTTCTTACATATATTTTCTTTCATTTTTCTAACTTGATTCTCTCATCATCTTTTATGGTTTCTTAACATTCTTATTTACCAGTAGTAAATACAATTATTATCATTTTTTCTTAGTAGCTCACAGCAACATACATTTATCTGAGAGTCTAGAGTTTAGAAGACAAAAATAGGTTTCACTGGAATAAATTATCTGTCCACAGCACTGCATTCCTCCTAGAGGTCCAGGGAAGAAACTGTCTTCAAAGCCAGCGATGCCCTGTATAGTCTTTCTCGGGCTGTCAATCTGGTCTCTGCTTCTGTCATAACATCTTCTTCTCTGACTCTCCTGCCTCTCTTTTTCTATCAAAAGGCCCTTGTGATTAGATTAGGCACATCCAGATAATCTAGGATTGACTTCTCATCTCAAGATCCTTAATTTCGTCACATCTGAAAAGTCCTATTTGCCTTATAAGGTGACGTAATCATAGGTTTTAGGTATTGGGATATGGACATTTTGGGATTAATTATTCTGTAGTGTTCTTTTTTTAGGATAAAATTTTATTTTATATTTTCCCCTCTACTTTTAAGTTCTGGGGTACATGTGCAAAATGTGAGGATTTGTTACATAGGTAAATGTGTGTCATGGTAGTAATAATTATTTGATTAGAGAATTATCCCATCACCTGGGATTACAGTTATAATTCAATTAGGTCCTTGTTCTCATGGAGCTTATTTTCAACTGGGAGAAGGAAGACCATGGCAAATAAATATGGTAATTATATGTGGTGACAAATGCTGTGAAGAAACTAAAACAGGCTATCATTTTACAATAAAAAGGTAGCAGGCTCTGATGGTCAAGAGCAGGGAGGCTACAGCCAGACCAGAATTTTAATCTCAGCACTAATACTTTGCTGTGTGATCTTGGGCAAGTTATTGAGCCTTTCTGTGCCTTTGTTTCTTCATCTCTGAAAAGGAAACAATCATAGCCCCTATCTCACAGGCTTGTTTTAGGGATTACATTAATTAATACATGGAATACATAGAACCCTATCTGATATACAGTAGGCACTTTGCAAGATTAACTTTTTTTTTCATTATTTTAGTAATTAATACCTCCCGGATACTTTCTATCAGCCGGAAATTATTATTATAACTTGTCCATCAAAATTACCCTATGAAGTAGGTGTTAGTCCCTTTTCACAGATGAGAAATCTGAAGGTTGGAGAGGCTAAATAACTATCACAAGGTCATGCAGCTAGCCAAGTAGCAGAAGCACTGCATTTGACTTCTGCTCTGTCCTCAAACATCTTTGCCTCTCTTCATAAGACGTAAGTTTGATTTTTTCTGAATATTTACTTTCTAGTGGCTCATTAATTAAGCCCATTATATCCATAATCTCACATTTAGGACTAGCGAGATAATGCACATTTACTGACAATAAAACTCATCCTTCTTAGCCTTTTTCTTTTCTGATTTTTTTCTTATACAAAAGAAAAAATTTTGCTGCTGCCTAAAGTCAGACTGATTATAACCTCAGCAACATCTTTTATATACATTTGACTTAACTTTATTCATATAGAATTTATTAATTACGAGCCAAATATCTTGCTCCTTAAAGGTTGCATGCAGTTTCCTGTTGCATCTGTACCTTCTACATTAGATGCTTTAGAGTAGGGTGCTTTAGAAAGTATTTCCATTTGTGATCCCCCAGATTTCACCCATTTAGTTGAAATTCAAAATTGCTATTATTTTTCTTTTCATGACTTTTTCAGATGTCTCTTTTCTTTTCCTAATCACAGTTCCATTTAGACCAAATGACATTCAGAAATTCTCACTTCGGTGGTAATCTGCTTTCTTTAACATCCAGTTTTAAACCATAATCACTACCCTCTTCCCTCAATTGCTCAGATAGTTGGTGTATATTTTATTAAGCAACAACTTGCCAGATTTAAGAAAAGTGCTCTCTTAGAGCAAAGCATCATTCTAAAGCCCCAGGGCTTGGCAGCACAACGTGGCTCAGCAGATCCTGAGGCCATGCATATAAGTTTAATGAGGCTGTGAAGGGAAAGTGCTGTAAAATCCATGAACTTCGCCCATACTAGTTAAAGGAGCATGGCCTTTTTCTCCTTCTAAAGAAGTGAGGAATAGGTGAGGACCCAGAGATTGGCAGTTAAGATCTGGCTGTTGGCCCCCTCTTGGAGATATGGTGTTTCAAATGGACACCAGAGTCAGGCAGGCCATTATCAGAATTTTGCCTCTTCTACTTAATTGTTGTGTAACTTCCCTGGGATTTTATTCTATCATTCACAAAATGGGAATAACAGTGTTTACAGTGCTTTGTGAGAATTAAATGGCATAATGTACATAAATATTTAGACATACTGGGCACTCCATAATGATAACAAGTATTATAACTAGTTACTACCTGTTCTTTCTACATTCACTTGTGATTTTTTTCTGAATCCTTGAACCCAGTTCATTCCTTCATAAGTGGACTTTCATGATGGTGTAGAGCAAAACCTCTCCTTTGGCTTTGTTAGTTCACCATTTATTTTTATTATTTTAAGGACTAGCCATCAGCTTCTCCACATGAACCTACCCATTTTCATGATGCTTAGGCTTAAAAATATTACTGGCACTCAAATTTTTATTGATCAATTGACTGAATCATTCATCAAACATTTATTGACTTCCTACTAGAGTCACTCCTTTCCCCCATGAAGCTCATAGTCTCTGGCCAGGTCAGGTGCTTGTTTACATGAAGTACAAGTCTGAGGGAGAAAGGCAACAACACAAGATGCTGAGATAGCACAGAGGAAGCAGTGTTCCTCTCCTGGGGATGGAGTGTATGGTTAGGGAAGGCTTCCTAGAGGAGAATGACTCTAGCTTCTTTTTTTTTTTTTTTTTTTTGAGATGGAGTTTCACTCTTGTCGCCCAGGCTGGAGTGCAATGGCGCAATCTCAGCTCACTGCAACCTTCTCTTTCCGGGGTCAAACTATTCTCCTGCCTTAGCTTCCCAAGTAGCTGGGATTACAGGCGCCCACCACTACGCCTGGCTAAGTTTTGTATTTTTTAGTAGAGACGGGGTTTCACCATGTTGGCCAGGCTGGTCTTGAACTCCTGACCTCAGGTGATTCTCCCATCTCGGCCTCCCAAAGTGCTGGGATTACAGGCGTGAGCCACTGTGCCCCGCCTACCTTGTTCTTTGAAAGTAAAGGTGGGTTCCAGTGGCAGCTGCCCCAGGGCCTGCTTCCTCTTCCTAAGTCTGTTGTCCTCTGGAATGGAGGGGTGGTGCTCCAATCTGTGGTGCCCAAAAACCCAAGTTTATTTCTCTCTTAACACTGGCAATAACCCGTCCACATGACTGTTGCCTTTTAAAACCTCTTAATAATGTCATACTGTGTTTGTTGTTGATTCCAACTAAATTATCACCAGGGCTGTGTGGGTAAATGCTTTTAAATACTCTCTCATCTTGCTCTTTCCCCTGTATGATGCTAATCTTGTCCCTAAGTAAGTTTCTTCCTGCTCCTTTTGTACCTTCCTTTCTTGTCTTTCCTCCTACCTTTTGTCTCGTGGTGTCTGGTGTTTTTTTTTGTTTTTTTGCTTTTTGTACAAAGATTAGTTTCAATGTAGTCTATAGCCTCCTTTGTAAACCAGTTAAAAAGTTCTTTAATTAAAAAAAAAAAGAAAGTAAAGGTGTGTTAAGTAGGCAAAGGAAAAAGGGAATTCTGGGCAGAATATAATTACTAAGCCCCAGAGGATGAAACATCAAGGCCTGTCGGGTGAAGGATGAGCAATTTGGTGTCATTTGAGTAAACATTCAAGGAGAGGTATAGCTGAGAAGAGGATGATAAGAGAAGACATACATTTGGATGTATAAATTTAGAGGAAAAGTGCCCAAGAAAACTGCCTGACATATAGTAAATGCTTGATAAGTGCGCTTATTTTTTTTTCTTCTAAAGACCAGCTCTTGTTTTATAAAATAATATACATTATGCTTAAAAGCCAGATATTATACTTGATTTTCTTTATAGCTTGTTCTGTACTCTCAGGCTTTCTGTAAAATTTTACTTTTTATTTTTGGTTTATAGTTAAGAAAGTCAAAGATGGAAAATACAAATTGTGAGAAAAAATTACAATAATGTATCCTTAATATTTCAACATCAACAATCACAAAACGAACAAATAAGAGATTAATAAGAAAATCCACTTTTTTTGCTTTCAATAAGAAAATTAAACATCCATATGTCAGCAGACTATTAAAAACGTTTTCTCTTGAATCTATTAGAAGGAGGGAAAAATGCATTCCTAATGATAAATAGAACTATCCAAGTTGAAAACATTTGATTTTCCTCAGCAATTTTCTCAGCACGTCCTTCTGTCTCCCACACCCCTCCCAATAATCTTCACATCTTCATTTCTTTGGAGTTTGTTTCAGCTTTGTTTTGATAATGATAGTGTAGACACACTACTTTCATTATTTCTCACTAATAGTTACCTAAAGCAACTATTTGTCTGCAATTTTATAGATAATTGTGTTTCTTTTAGAATGCTCTTTGTGTTTCTGCTGCTCATTACTAAGTATACAACAGTGGGGAATTGTCTCTAAAACCCTACTACTCCTTCTTTTGCATACTGGGAAAATCTCCCACAGTGAAGAATGCCTATTTTTAAGAAATTCAAATATTTCTTTTTCTTTTTTGTAGGAAATTCAAGTGTTTAAAAGAAAATAAAAATACAGCAATGTGTTGCTTAACAATGGTGATTATGTCTTTTGGTGTCACGGGAACATCTCAGAGTGCACTTACATGAACCTAGATGGTATAGCCTAATAGACAACTAGGCTGTGTGGTATGGCCTCTTGTTCCTGCGCTACAAATATGTACAGCATGTTACTGTTACTGTACTGAATACTCTAGGCAACTGTAACACAACGTAAGTATTTGTATATCTAAACATATAAAAAGTACTATAAACATATGGTATTATAATCTTATAAGACCACCGTTGTATATGTGATCCATTGTTAAACATTATTTTGTGGTGCATGATTATTTTAAAAATTTGGATAAATGGGGTATGATTATTTCTATTACCAAGAAATCAATCATTTATAAAATCAGTTCTTCTGAGTGACCTTCAACAGAGGTATTTACGCGTTGACTATTGCATAATGAAAACGGATTATAAATATCTTTATATGAAGATGTCTATGATATGAAACTGGTTAATTTTTGCACATATTTCCAAGGGAATGGGGTGGTTTTAACCTTGATTTCATATCCCTTTAGATGCCAGTAACCTCTTTAAAGATTATTGTGTTCCATTTTTTTTTCTAGAAAATCACACCAGTTAATGAAGTACAATTGCATGGAGATTTCTTTTGTAACTTGTGATCCCTTGGCAATCTACAGAAGATTGGTTATTATGATAGTCACATTGAAAGAAAAATCTAGGCCGGGTGCGGTGGCTCATGCCTGTAATCCTAGCACTTTGGGAGGCTGAGGCAGGCAGATCGCTTGAGCTCAGGAGTTTGAGGCCAGCCTGGGCAACATAGTGAAACCCCGTTGCTACCAAAAATAGAAAAAAATTGGCTGGGCATGGTGATGTGCACCTGTGGTCCCAGCTACCTGGAAGGCTGAGGTGGGAGGATCCCTTGAGCCTGGGAGGTGGAAGTTGCACTGAGCTGAGTTTGCATCACTGCACTCCAGCCTGGGTGAGAGAGCAAGACCCTGTCTCAATAAAAAAGAAAAGAAAAGAAAAGAAAAAAAAAGAGAAGGAGGGAGGGAGGGAGGGAGGAAGGAAGGAAGGAAGGAAGGAGAAGGGGGAGGGGAAGGGGAAGGGAAGAAGGAAGGAAGGAGGGAAGGAAGGAAAAAAGAAAGAAAGAGAAAGAAAGAAACAGAGAAAGAAAGAAAAGAGAGAGAGGAAGAAAGGAAGGAAGGAAGAAAGGAAAGAAGGAAGATCTAATGCTATAAAATTATTTCTGATTTGGGAAAATATCTTTAGGCATGAAGAGCAGGTGTCAGTGGTAAGCCAACTAAGAAATCACAATGTTTCATTCCTTAACTCCCCAGGCCATTACACATTCTCCTGTTAAGTGTTTTTTTCTTCTTTAAAATAATACCAATAAGATTTACCTGTATTCCTCTATGGTCTTAGTTTCAGATTTTATTTAGATAAGTTTCTCATTAATTTAACTGGCTACTAATAGGGGCAAGAAGAAATTGGGATCAATGGAGACGAAGAGGATATGTGACTTCTCAGTGTACACATTTTAATATTATTTTGATTTTTGAACCCACATATTATGTTAGCATTAAAAATAAAGTTAATATACCACCAAGCATTCACTCATCAAACAGGTAAATAAGTTTTCTCAAAATATGATTAGCAAACTTATGGAAAGCCTGATAATTCTATGCTCCAGCTAGTTATTATTTGGATAATAAAATTAATTAGAGTATGATGCTGAAGAAAGAGCACAAGAAATGGAACCAGAGCATCTGGGTGCAAGTTTGGCTCATAGTATTTACTAGTTGTGTGACCTTGAGCGAGTCACTTAACTTCACTGAGCTTAACTTCTCTTATCTATGAAATTACAATGATGATAATACCACCAGTATATTTACCTCTTGGAGTTGTTCTGTAGATTCAATAAGAAACACACATGAGAGCGCTTTGTAAACTGCAAAGTCTTATACTTGTGCTAGCTAATATTTTATATTTCAATTAATGTTTCCAAGACTCTATTTTCAAATTCTCAAAGCCACTATTAAGATCATTACGAAATATGTTTATTTGTTTGCTTAATCTTTTGCTTTCATGCACCAAACAACCAAAGTAAAACTGAGTGTGTGTTTGTCTTTAGTTAACCTGGTCAGCAGGAGTGTCAGAATCATTCTTGGAAGCAAAGAAAATCTGCTCCCATAGAATGGCTATTTTTCGGCATTGAAGATCAATATTTGGGAGCTCTAGTTAACTAACAGAACTCCCAACAAGCATTTCAGCGGGGATGAATTTACTTTGTTACCCATAGTTCGAAGAGAAACTGCAAGGTATGGTCATTTTTTTGGCCCATTTGTTCATTCCACAAATATGTATTGAGTGCCAACTCTGTGCTGGGTGCTCCTCTAGGCACTTCGGACACGGCTGTGAGCAAGACAGACAAAACATGATGCTCTCATGGAGGTTACTTTCTACTGGAAAAATAACTGAGCTTACAGCTTTTTTCATCCTAAGCACACAAATACCTTAATCTGAAGAGCATTTCTTGCCTTCTGATAAACAGCTTTAAAACTGTTTTTTGGTGGTAAGATCCTTGCTTCATGTATCCAAGACCAAACATGAAAAACAAATAAAGATTGCTCTGGCTGGAGTGGGACTGGGGCCAGGGGCCAGGTTGTCTCCTCCTACACTCCCCATCCCTGCTCCTGCCATCCCTCTGCCAGACCCCAGGACTCTTCAGAGGACAGTTTATTTGAAACTTCCACACAGGGCGTTATCTCCACATCAGTTTTGATACTGAAGACATCCTGTAAGTGCCTGCATCCACAGTCTCCCAAGGGTTTTCTCAAGTTCCATTCCTCCTCTGGGTCTAATTATCTCTCTCTCCACATAATAGCCACATTATAGGGTTTCTGTTGTTTCTGATAATTATGATAATAACGATAATTATCGCTTATGGAGGACATACTATCTGTCAGGACAGTGCCAGGCATTTTATATGTACGCCTTCGTTTAATCCCCAGAGTCATCCTGTGAGATAGGTATGAATCATCATTTTACAGATAAAGAATGAGACTCCAAGAAGTGAAGTAATTTTCCAAGGCTACAGAGCTGTTAATGGTGGAGCTGGAATTTGAACATATCTATCCGATTTCACAGTAGGAATTCTTTTTTTTTTCTTCCTATATTTCAGGCCCATCAGCAGGAAGTAAGGAAATTCTTAACTACTGCTGCTTCCCAAACTCTGTGAAGCTCTTTGACCCTCTCAGGGATAGTTCTAAGTATGGTGCAAAGGGCTGATTAGAGCAAAGGGCAGCACAATGCTCACTCAAATATGTGTTGAAGGTTATTACACTAGCTGTCATTTACGCATGGCCTACTCCATTCTGAACATTCTACATCCATTTTCACTAATCTTCCAGCAACTCTGGAAGGTAAATATGATTACCCCTACATTCCTGGTGAAGACTCTCTGGCACAGAGAGGTTGTCACTCACTTGAGGTCTCACAGCTAGCAAGTGGTGAGCCCTCTGCTTGCCTTTATGACAGCTTGGGGCCAAACTATTCCTAGAGCCAAACTATTCCTAGAGCCAAGCCCAAGACTCCCATATCCCCCAAAAGAACAACAACAATTTTAAAAAGAGAAAGAAGACATACTCTCCTAGCCCGCATCTGCTCCTAATCCAGGCCCTACTCCAAGCCGCTACTGTCGGACTCCGTTCTCATTTACAACTGGGTGCTAAACTCTCCAACTCCACCAGCATGAACCCTCCTAACTCTATTTCCTTGTCTGACAAATTTTGTCCCTCCATATCCCTCTCCTGGCATCTTTTTCTTTTGGTTTCTCCACACCCATTCCAAACTATTTTATTTGTTTCCTCTTCAAGCCTTTTATTACAGCATGAATCTGTTTATATTTTCTTCCTTTTATGAGAAACAGGATGGTGCACGGGTTGTTCTGGAGCCTTTCTGCCTGAGACTGAAACTTTGTTTTACTCTACTGTATAGTTTTTAACCTC
Source organism: Homo sapiens (assembly GCF_000001405.40). Lineage (NCBI taxonomy): Eukaryota > Metazoa > Chordata > Mammalia > Primates > Hominidae > Homo > Homo sapiens. The sequence goes on from NC_000011.10 coordinate 83,775,415, forward strand.
GGGAAAACCACTTATGCTTTCTGTGTCTCAGTTTCCTCATCTGTAAAATGAGTAAGGGAATATAACCTATATCACAAGTTTTTGCAAAGTTTAAATGAGTTAACACATGCAGAGATTTTTAGAAAGGTGTCAGGCCTGTAGTGAGTGCTTCATACATGCGAGTTTTAATTATTCTCTTCTTGTAACCATGTCCCATTCTCTCTACATCTTTCTTTTTCTCTCATCTATATTTTACTCTGCTTTAGCTACACATTGTTTTAAAAAGTAAAAACAGAGTTTATATAAAATAAGTTCATTGTCATTATTCTTTTTTTTTTTTTCAATTTGGTCTACATTTAAATGCCTACTATTAGCCAGACACTGTACTAAGGAAAAAGAAGGAATATAAAGATGAATAGCCGGGCGCAGTGGCTCACGCCTGTAATCCCAGCACCTTGGGAGGCCAAGGCGGGCGGATCACAAGATCAGGAGATCGAGACCATCCTGGCTAATACGGTGAAACCTCGTCTCTACTAAAAATACAAAAAATTAGCCAGGTGTGGTGGCAGGAGCCTGTAGTCCCAGCTACTCGGGAGGCTGAGGCAGGAGAATGGTGTGAACCCAGGAGGTGGAGCTTGCAGTGAGCAGAGATTGTGCCACTGCACTCCAGCCTGGGTGACAGAGCGAGACTCTGTCTCAAAAATAAATAAATAAATAAAATAAATAAATAAATAAAGATGAATAAAACATGCTTTTCTGTGAAGGGTTTGTTAATTTTTTAATTAGCCAATCATGCTTTCCATGTTTTCAGGAAAGGATGAATTTATGTATTCATAGGTCCATATTTATGTCTATTGGTTTTATCACCTACATCCTTCCCTGAATCTATCTACTTCTCTCTACCTATTCTGCCACCCCTCTTTATTTTTTATTTTACCTTTTTTACAGATAGGGTCTTGCTCTGTCCTGCAAGCTGGATTGCTGTGATGTGAACATAGCTCACTGCATCCTTGAACTGCTGGTCTGCCACCATGCTTATCCAACTAGCACCATCTCTCACACAGACTCATGCCTTTCAACTGGTCCTACCCCAGCCTCTTCGGTGCTTTCTGGCCTACTTTCTATTCAGCAGCCAGAGCCATCTTTGTGAACAGCAAATCTGATCTTGCCAGCCTCAGGCCTAAAACCTTTCAAAGGTCCTTTCATTGTTTTTAGTAGAAATAACACAGTCCTGTGTGATCTGTCTCTGCTTCTCTCTTCTGCCTCCTCCAGTGTTTCTCCCACATTCCCTGGTTTGCTTTCAGTCCCTCCACTGCACCATCCTCTCTCCTTCAGATACACTTCAGATATCTTTCCCTCCTGAAATACTCTTCCTCCTTTTTCTGCTATGCTTTGACAATACCTACTCACCCTTCAGATTAAAGAAAGTATTATTCCCGTGGAATGCCTTCTTGACGCTCTCCTCTAGGTCAGAGCTTTTGTTTGTCTTCGTTTGGTCTGGTTTAGTATTCTCTGAGTACATTTGAGTACCTAGACTTTAAGATTTTGGATCCAAGTTCTCTTCTTTTTCTTGAGCATTCACTTTGTATAATTCGTTAGTGTGATTTTACTTGGCTGACTGTAGGTCCATTAGGGAAGGAAGGGGCCATGTCTATTTTGCTCACCATTGTATCTCCAGAGTGCAAGGCAGCATGTCACTCACTGGAATAATTTAATAAATATTAGCTGAATAAAGATTGAATGAATGAATGTTGTCCTGCCATTGCTTAATTTTACCAATGTGCCAGCAATTCTTTAGTAATAAAGTAAATTACTTTTAGCAATGGGAACATGATAAATGTGAGGAAGCTAAGAGGAGAATAAGAGATTATCTTGAAACAAAGTGCAATTTGGAATTTTTGTCTTTTAAAGACTTAGGTAATGAGTCTATCAGGAATTCTATGTGAATTAGGAATCTAAAAAGCACATTAAAGATGTATACTTTCTATTTCTTGGGCTTGGGTTTCCACCCTAAAGCTGCCACTACTTGTGATTCTGACAGTTCAAGACATCTCCACTATTTCAGCTTTCTGCATCTTTAATGTCCTGAAATTGATTTTTTACATTACTTTCCTTCAGCCTCAAAAAATCTATCTGCAAGTTTAGCAATTACAATTTAATTTATTAAACTGATAAGATTTAGGCCACAATGGTTCTATAAACAAAAAGATCATGAACAGTAAGTTGTTAATCCTGAAACCCCCAAGAAACAATAAATGCTTCTACTTGAATTAAACTTAAAATCATTATTGAATGTTTCAAATCCCATGGTACACAGAGACAGCAAATTACACAGATACAGATCTTTCCCCTTCTTCCGAGTGGGTGAAAGATAATTTCTGTGTGTTTAAAATGTATGGGGAAAAAAGGAAACATTTAGAAATTACCTTCTTGTAATAATTGTTATTTGATGGCATGTTTTAATCAGAAGACACAATAAACTAAACTTCATAGAACATCAGCTGGAAAGGGCCTTAAAACTAATCTCTTGAACCACCTTAATTAACAAACAATGGAATCCATGTTCAGAAAAGTGATATGACTTAGGCGTGCTCAATAAAGTTGCAGAGTGAGGGACAGGACGAGAAAAGTGCCTCATTACTCATTATTAAAGTTGAGGACTGACAAATAGCTATTCAAAGAGATGTGAGGGTAAACTATACTGGGCACCCAGAATATAGAGTGAAGTCAGAAAGTTTTAAAGCTGTCTTGCTTTATAGTCCTCTTTGCATATCTCTGTGCAACATTCTTTTACAGTTCTCTAACACCCTGAAATTCCTTATCAAATTGAAGGATTATCTAGTGAAGATCTGTGTTCATTTTGTAATACTTGTAGAGTCAAGAGTAGTATTAGAACCCTTTATTTCCATGCATTTGATCTGGGTGTTGCTAATGATAGATGTGAATCTAAGAGGTCTCCTTGTTGTCAAAATGTCTCTAGCACAAGGATTTATTTGGCTTTTTCCAGTATTAATGAGTGACTGATTTATGTCACTAAATGTCAACATACCCCTCAAATAATATAAAATCACAAGATGAAACTGTCAAAGATAAATATACTTTATTACGGAATGAAAGTTTTTATGGGGATGTTCGGAACTGTAATCATACAATGAGAGGAGGTTATATCTATTATTAACCTATAATCAGCTTTGTAAATATTTTTAACCCCTTTGATATGAGTTAAAGATGCACCATTCCCAGGATAGATAATGAGATGAAGAGAGTTTTCTAATTTAGGAGTTAGGAAGTGATACCTGCTTTTGTCCTTATTATATTACTCGAGGTCAAAAACTGGCTGTTAGGCATGGGGAGAGGTATGCAGCATGATTAATTATTAAGGAATCTGGAAAGGACCTTTCATGAATGAATCTGCAGACTGTTCAGGAATCATCTTTTTAGTCATATTCTACGCTGCTATGGGTTAGATGGAGGTTGGGGAGGAAACAAAGGCAACTAGGAGAAGGTTATTAAAAGGATACAATAAGTGAAGAGACTTCCTGGGAAGTGTCTAGTTGCTGGCAGAGGCCTTTTTCTGTTAGTAGAATGTGTACATGTGTGGGAGAGAGTTGTGGAGAAAGAAATGTCTAAGCAATAAAAATCTAGAGTCATGTAAAGTTTTATTTAAGTTTCTTTCCTAATATTTCAGTACAAATTAGAATATGATAACTAGATTAATTAGAACATAATTAATGTAACATATTAGGTGAAATTTAATACTTGGCAACAAAGAGTATCACTAAAGACAAGCTTATTGATAACAGATAAATGAATGGATAAGCAGCTGGCTGGCTGGCTGGATAAAGGGTGTGCACGAAGAAGGTAGGATGGAAAGAGAAAAACTGTAATATATTTGAACTACTTGTTGAAAAAAATAACTATTTCCAGATTTGTGGCTATTTTAAAAATTAACAATAGTTGCCTACACTTACAATAATGCTGTCATGTATACATCATTCAGTTGTGATACAGAAACAATAGCAATTAACAACAGTAACATGCTAGAAATGAAAGTGATGCAGTATGCCCGAGAAAGTGGTGAGGCTCCCTCAGAAATTTTTTGACCCCTTTATGTCCATTTGATTATAATAATCTCATTGCATTCCATTCCTTGGGCTATTAAAGCCACTCCCCATCATGAGCTACTACAGTAAATTTTAAAAATCAAGGAAATTACTAACTGCTCAGCTAGCCTCAGCTTTAACAGCTATACCAATTTTAAAATATTAAACGGCTTTCCTATCTAGATGCTGAACTTTAGTTCCTCCATATGTGAAATGAGTAAACTTGACAAGATTATCTTTAAGGATTCTTAAAACTTTTAATTTCTATTTCTTAGTGATTCTAGTTAAACTACACAGAATCTATCAAGTTAACTAGGTCGTGCATTCATTTCTCCTTATGTATTAAAAATGCAAAGAAAAGATGTAATGTTAGCGACAAAACTTTCAAGTAATGAAACTTATGCTTCTATCTCACCTAAGTTGGAATTTGCACTAGAAAACTGGTCTTGTCCAGTCCAAGTCGTGTACGGTACTTTCTGTTCTGAAAGCTTACTTAAATGTTCTCTGATGATTCTGATGCAATTTCTGATCAAGATCCACAGCTGGACTTTAAAAATCTTTCCTGGGTATTTGTGATGCAGTTACGTGAGTTGGGAAAATGTTTCAACATGCCACAGCTGCTCATTCATATGCATAAGCCTACATAGATGTTGATTTAAAGAAAGAAATATGTCTTGCATTGTAAGTATGCTTCTTGGATGGCGTATGTACTTTCATTTCTGAGAACCTTCAGGTACAGAAGGTGTCCATATTTTTCAAGGGATAAATTGCATATTCATGTCAAGCTTTCATTATATCTTTGACCCCATAGAGAAATGCACCGTGGTGTCCAACTGTGGTTTAAGCTCTGTGACAGTGGTTACCCCAAATAACATCAGAGTTTCACTTATTGCTGAAAAGAATAGTTTTCCTTCTGAATTAGCCTCACAATTTAAAAGGAGTGAAACAGATTATTTACATGAGTTTCTGCATTAAAGTGTGGTAAGCTATTCAAATTTTCAAATTTTATAGTGAAGCCTTAATGACTTTCCCTTGGTTCATAGAGGCATCTGTGAGGATAGGAATCAATGTTACTTCATCCCAACTCACTGCTTCTAAACTCACTTGCTGTAGAGGTCATAACTAAAGGCAATGAAGCCCGAATAGGTTCATTGTCTCACTAGCTGAGGAGTTCTAGCAAGACTTATGAATTTGCTTGATATTGGTATTTAGATGGGCGGGGTAGACAAAGTAGAGCTGAATGGCACATGAACTTCTTAGATCTCCTGCAGTTTGACCTATCCCTGCTAAAACCACTGAGCCATGACCAATCATTGGGTGACACATGCCAGAAATCAAATCTAGTGATGCAGCCTCATGTGACTTTGCCCAGTTCTCCAGGTAGAGGGAGTCCAACCCAACAGTGACAAGTGACAATTTTTGCAGGGTCTCCAAGTATGTTAGGGCAACGCCTCACAAACTCTAATGTGCATACAAGTTATCTGGGGAATCTTGATAAAATGCAGATTCTGATTCAGTAGGGTTGGGTTGAGACCTGAGATCTTACAATTCTAAGAAGGCTCTCATTTAATATCTATGCTTTTGGTCTGTAGACAACATTTAGTAGAACAAAACTCTAGAATAATTCATTTCTTCCTTCAGATGCCTGCATAGCTTACTCCCTCATTTCTTTTAGATCTTTGTTCAAATATCACCTTATTAGCATGGCTTTCTTGCCCACTATATATTTCTCTGTCACTATTGTCTTTCTCCTGCTGCTTCTTTCTTTATACTACTTATCACCATGTGACACATTTTACATTTATTTGAGAGGGGCTTTTTTGGTTCACTGCTTTGTTATTTCCTTATAACATGGACTGAGGCATAATAAGTATCCAGAAAAAAAATACCTATTGATTGAATGAATGTATAAATGAATAAATGAACCATGTGGTCACTCTGCCACAATTCCATAAACCAGACTACACTTATGAGTCTCCAGGCAATTATCAACTCTGCTTTTTGGGCTTTTCTTTTAACTCCAGTACCTTATTAAAGAATAAAGGGTGGATGAAATCAGGTCCCTTCACTATCTACCGAAGTTCCTCATCACTGGTAAGGACTGTACCATCCACGACTTCTTTTCTACCTGCAGGCCATTCTGAAATCCTGGCAGTCTCTCCAACAATGTCCTGAGAAGTCATATTCAAGGCAAAAGAATTTGTGGTTCTCACAGGGACCACTTGGCTCTTAACTCCATTTTGAGCTTTATCTAATACTAGCTACTGCCTACCTAGTTCTCCAAGTCAATATCTGTGGCTTATTATTTCAAACCTAATCAGTTATCTCACAATAAATGTAGATATTATTAGAAAGAAGGCAGCAAATACAGATCAGATTTACCCTGATCTGACTTGGGGAAATGCTGTGTTATCTTTTTTGAAAAATGTATAATTAGGTTGTAATCAATTCCCTTTTTATTCATCAATGGTGTCAAAGTTGAGTTTCAGAACTTGAAAAAAATGTTAGTGCTTTAATCATCTTATCTTTGTGCTATATTTCAAAACAACAGCTGTAGATTTTCTGCAATGCAGGGGAAATGGAGTTTATCTACTAGGGTTGCTAAAGGTTTTATGACTGAAAACCAAAAGGCACCATCTAAAAACTGTGTCAACACCAAATGTCCAAACCAGGGATTCAATTACCATCTCTGAATCTAATATAAAAACCCATGCCATTCCTTTAATAATTACTCAGCAAACATTTCTTAAGCACCTACTATTAATATATGTCAACACACTGAAAACATTATATTGCATTTAAATTAAGAGCAGACCCATTCAATAACTCATTAATAAACCATAGTCAAATTCATATTGCATGGATTAACACAAGATATAAAATGAGTGACAGAAGGGTCTATCACAGCTCCTAGTGCTGTCTAGGAGCTCACTCGAGTGGAGAGGTGTGCAAACTGTCATAATGGGCACACCAGGTGTTTACATACAGTTTTGGGGAACTCAGATAAAGAATCAATTAATGCTGACTAAGCAGATTAAAAATGGCTTTGTAGTGGAATTGACATCTGTGGGCTCTCAAGATGAGTAGGAATCCTGCAGGTGGAAAGGGAGAAAGGCAATTCTGGGTAGAGGATTCCACAGAGCAAAGGCATAGTTCAGGAACAAGTGTAAGAGCAGACAGCAGTCCTGTGTAGCAGGGGTACAATGAGAAAGGCTGATACTGTGGGTGGTGGAGGGGTGAGTGGGGTGAGTTGGCTGGGAATATATTGTGAAAGACAAGGAGTTAGTGCACAGGGATCTTGGTGTCATATCTCTTAGAAAGATAATTCTGAAATCAAAGGGGAAGGTTTCTGGGAAGGGTAAGGAAAGGGAAGGGGTACCTGTGGGTGCACATGTGTGTAAGACATTATATTTCCTTCTGTGAAGTGGCATTACAGCAACTTCACTAACTGGGTATAGGTAATTAAAGGTTTGACAATAATTAACTTTGCATAGTGCTTAAATGGAATTATTATTGAAGTACAATGTATGTAATCCTCTTGAAAGAAAGAAAAACAACTTCATTATTTTCCTCTTCTTATGAAAGTAATACATGTTAATTTCAAAGTAAGTGCATGATAAAATTGAATTTTAAAAGTTGGCAAAAATGAATCACAATCACACCACCAGAGAAAAACATCATATATGACTCTTCAAATTGGTGTCAATTCTACTACCATGAACCAGACACTGAATAAGATTGAGGATGGATATAGCAATGTGGACAACTGGAGACAAGCTCATTTTAAGCAGAAGTGAGTAAAATTGTGATCTCGCTTTGTAAAGTGAAACTTGCCAAAGAAGACATTTATTGCTACATTATGTTAATTAGACATTTTATAAATTATTTATAATTATCACAAAAATATGCTAAAGACTATGAGGAACACAGTTGGAAATTGTTTGATATTTTGCAATACACATTTCTTTAGCAATTCCTTTATGTCTTTGAAGCAAAAATGAAAAGCGCAAGTAGTGAAAATGAAGAATCCCTTCAACCTTTAATTACCTTCAAGTGAAAACTCAAGTGCTGAGGAATGGTAGGCTTTTATCCACTAGTTCATCAACTCTTTAAGAAATACCAAGTAGGACACCAGAGATAGAGCTATCAGCTACCTATATTTTGTTAAATATAGGTATGGTGTCTGCATGCATGGAACTCACAATTTTGTAGTTTAGCAAGATATTCTTTCTCCCTCCACTCCTGAATAGAAATTTCACCCATTTTTCAAGGTCTGGCTCCATTTCCACATTTCCATGGTGCACTCTTGCACTGTCCTGACCCCTTCAGGCTTATCCTTTCTCTGACATTCCATAATTCCTAGAAATACTGCTGCTAAGATCATTCAATCTGATCATATGTTACCAGGAACTATACTCTATTAAATGTATAAAAATCTCTTTTCCTCAACTAGATTAAAAAAATCCTTGAAGACAAAGACTATGCTTATTACTTAAGGTTAGGGGCAGATTTTTGTGAGCATCTGATAATACTGACAGATACATTTAGGAAATTTTTGATAAAGCATTTGATTATGACTGAAAAATGTATTCACTGAAAGTCTAATTCTTGACCATACTAAAAGTATGCCAATAAAATCATCTGCCAGCATTGTCTTAAGGGTTGAACGACTTACAATATGGGTGCAGATAAAGGGCACTTGGTGAGAATTTCCTAATGGAATCTCATGAGGCACTCTTCATTTCATTTGTTATTTTAAAGGTAAATTATTCTTTATTTCCTAAAACTGTTGTACAATTTAAATGTCTCTAAACAATAATTCAATCACTTTTTCATTGAAAACTGCAGTTAAATTAAGGCTCAGTTACACGTAAAGTTTGGATAGGAGAGGAAAGAAATCTGATTGCTTGATGTTGCCATTACCACATTTCCAACTAATTTAAAGCTGCAACAGATTAGTATACAGTTAGGCTATTAAAACAGAGAAGTCATTCTGTGAATCCAATCTGTACTTTGGCATTTTGTAAAAAGCTTGTTGTTATCTGCAGGTTTCTTTACAAGCACTTTAAAAATCAATTTGTATGATTTATAGGACATGCTTTGAACAAGCATCTTGATAAACTACAGCATAGTAACCAAATTAAACATATTGCTTAAAGGAAACCAAGATGTAAGGAAGCTCCAGTAGAAAGATGAAGATCTACATTGATAGAACAGGGACATGTTTGTCCTTTTATGTAAACTTTAAAGCTTGAAGTCATTCTGTTCAAGGTTATTTGAACACTTGATCACTATCGAGAGCTTCTAATTGCTTATCTATGATTCTAACCATCTTATCGTCTGCAGAATTGTTTGAGATGAGATTTTTCAGAAACAGGAAAATGGGGACATTTATGTTGCAATGTCAGGCGATGGTGAAGGACATACAGTTTGAGACTGAAAAAAACAGCTATTAAGAAAATGGAAGATTCCGATGAAAAAGTTCTTACTCTATATGAAGTAGAACTTGTTATTCAAATGGTACCAGCATATATCTTTTAATTTTCAGCTTTATAATGGATACTTATTTTTTTTTTGAGATGGAGTCTTGCTCTGTCACCCAGGCCAGAGTGCAGTGCCACGGTCTCGGCTCACTGCAAGCTCCACCTCCCGGGTTCATGCCGTTCTCCTGCCTCAGCCTCCTGAGTAGCTGGGACTACAGGTGCCAGCTACCACATCTGGCTATTTTTTTGTATTTTTAGTAGAGACAGGGTTTCACCGTGTTAGCCAGGATGGTCTCGATCTCCTGACCTCCTGATCCGCCCGTCTCAGCCTCCCAAAGTGCTGGGATTACAGGCTTAAGCCACCGCACACGGCCTATGATGGATAATTTTTAAAGCATTTGTCCCTACTGAAATACAAGTCTACTAATATTTAGCAAATAGAAAGACTTTTCAAAACTATCTGAGAAGAGAATATTTCCTTGGTGTTGTCATCATCCATCTGTGACCATCACAAATCTCCTCTTTCCCACTCTCTGGCCATATCTGGCCTAGGCCACATAGGAAAAAACATTTATTAAAAATTTTGAATAAATTAATTTCAAATTCTAATTCTAAAGCCAGGCACAACTGAAAGTAACATGTCAAAACATGCATGGAAGAAAATATTTTCTTTATTCATGGGCAGACCATGTGATTGGCCACCATTAATGGTAAGATCTAAGCTGTCACAGGCAAGACACAAACCTCAGTCTTCCAAACAACAATAGACCCATCGATGCTAACAAATCATCACTTGAAAAGGAGCTCCTAATACTCATATGCACAGAGACTCTTCCTTGATGACATCTTATACTCTCATGTTCAGCTGTTTAATACTCCTCTTTGCTAGCCATATGGACCAAAAGCAATGCGCTTCATTTCTTGAAGACAGTAGCCATTTTCCTCTTCTTTTTTTAATAACAAGATCTGACCCATAATTGTGTGCTTACATTAAGTACGTTTCATTTCCAAAGGAGCAACCTATATATGAATTTTCTAAGAAATCAACCATACAATAAGTAACATCCCAGTTGTCTCATTGAGCCTCATTTTAAACACGGAAACAGATGTTTAAATAAACCAAAAAGCAGGGCATGGCTAATCCAATTTAGGATATCTCATCAAGTTTAAGTTGGCTAATCTAATTTACATGATCTCACTGAGTCTCATGGTTTACAGTGATTTATTTCAAACAAGGGATATTGTAGGAGTAAAGGCAAAAAAAATGTCAATCAAGCACCCCCAAAAGCCATGTTAGTGTTAATGAGAATTAAGTTAATGCCATGAGGAGAGAATATGGTCTACTGGTCTATTTCTGCAGATGAAATCTCTCCCTTTTGCTTCTTAAGTCTTAACTGTTTTTACAGTATCCATTGGTGACCGAAAGTGTGTACCACATAAGAATATAAATGAAATAAAGCTGATGCTGGTTGCTATTTATTTGAATTCATATTTTCATAGGCCTTTCTAACTGCTTGATATTTTCCTGGAAGATTAGAGGTAACAAAGCCACGGTTCACGTTCTTTGGACATGAACCATCAATTTTTCACTATAGGTAGGTTTACAAAACACCAATGATGGTGACTCTAGTTAATAAAAATTATTAGTAATGAGGGTACAGATCCACACAGAGACATATCAGAACATTATTAGTTTGAGTTCTGACTGACCTTCAGGTTGATATTGTGCTATAATCGTCACTGTCTGTCCAGCCCCCTTTAGTGCAGCAGCTGCCTGCTCGTGGGATGCACCACGGAGGTCAATGCCATTCACCTGAAAGAGAGGAAGCCAGAGAATCTTGGTATTTCATAAGGCATATTATCCTGATAGAAGAAAAAAGTTTCCCAAAACCAGGCTGTCTAACATTATATCACATGCCTCAGAAACCCCTCATATCCTACTCAGGTGTTTGTGGACTTTCATGATCTTAATCACTTTTAGTTAGGAGAGACATTAAATTTCACCTTGTGGTGTTTGTGCCATGGTCTGACCGGGTTGGAAACATTTTTATCTATTCATGTTCTAGTGTATGCATTTAATATGCCTCTGTGAGCTTCCTAGATTTCTAGGGTAAATAGGGATAAATATGAGCCTTCAAAATTAGAGGGAAAACAGGATGATAAAGAGAGACACATGTAATGTAAATAGACAAATATATGCTAAAAGATTAAAACATTCAGATGAGATTCTGGGGACATGGTATAAAATGGGGCCAGATGGTTGCCAAATCCCTCTCTGTGGTCAATTGTCTAGCCTTGTCATCCTGAGCCTGGTTAGACAGCCTTAAGCCTTGTTTTTTTTTTGTTTTTTTTTTTTTTTTTAGACAGAGTCTCGCTCTTTCGCCCAGGCTGGAGTGCAGTGACGCGATCTCTGCTCACTGCAAGCTCCGCCTCCCGGGTTCACACCATTCTCCTGCCTCAGCCTCCCAAGTAGCTGGGATTACAGGTGCCCGCCACCACGCCCGGCTAATTTTTTATATTTTCAGTAGAGACGGGGTTTCACCGTGTTAGCCAGGATGGTCTCGATCTCCTGACCTCGTGATCCGCCTGCCTCGGCCTCCCAAAGTGCTGGGATTACAGGCGTGAGCCACCGCGCCCGGCCGCCTTGTTTTAAAATATATACTTGACTGTCCTATTTCTCATATACAATTCTAGAATAAATTCTGACAAAATGAAATAAAGAGTGCCTGGAGTTTATTTAGCTATTGCTAACTCCCATTTTGGGTCCCATACTGAAAGAGAAACAGAAATGTCTTAAAAGCTCCAAACTCTGCCAGGGTGAAAGGCATTCTTAACTCAAATTTAATAAGAAGAAAATGCTAAAATTTTTCTTGAATCAGTTCAGCCTAAGTCAATATAATGTAATTAATAAGTGCTCTCCAATGACAGAGTTCTCTGTCTGCCCCAGAAGAGGGACAATGAGTGGAGCACAAAGGGAGACAAGATAAGCCCTCAAGAAGTTTTTCTGATGAACACACAGTAAGTATGGGTTTCTAACCTACAAAAAACTAACTTTTTGCAGATGATAGCAGAATTCTGCTTCCTTTTATTCATGGGGCAGGTTGATATGGGCTATGAAAGAAGAATAAAGAACTGATTAGCTTATACACGTTCAAAATGTATAATCGTATTTTGCTTTTCATCAATCCTATTTGAGAATGACATTGGGTGGCAGATGGGGGGTTACTACTTTGTTTCCCCATCAGGCCTGGGACATCCATACGCTTAAATTCCACATCATGATCCTCTCATAATAACTTCGTTAACATCTCCTTATTCTCTTTTGTAATTTTCCTTGCCTCATCCCTGGCTTTCTAGTGTGGTGAACTCCTTACAGAAAGCATTGATTACATGGTAACATTGGGGAGTCCACTGAGCTAGGCCTGATCTGGCTGTGCCACTCTCTTGCTGACTGTCATACTACCTGAGACTCAATTTTCTCCTCCCTCGGAGGGAAGAGACTGTTAGGCTATATGAATCTAAAGCCCCCTTAAAGTATAAAATTCCAGATCTATTCTTGAGTTATTCTTGCTAGATATAGTCATTTCAGAGACTGTCTAGGCTATTGATGAGTTAGAAGTATGAATCTGCTGGCCAGAAGAGACAGGAAAGGTAATTAGATCCAGGCTACTGCCTACAGGAGGCTGAATTGCACAAACTTCACATGCCAAATAATTTATTCTCTTGTCAAACAGTTAAGGTTTACTTTTTATAAAAGAATAAAATGTGATCATGGCAAATAAATTCTGTTTCAGAAAGGTCTAAAAGGAAGAGGTAAAAGTCCCCTCACCATCTCCATTTCCAGTGGAACCACTTTTATGGATACTTTTTTCTTTTAGGATCATCTAATATTTCTTTAATCATAATTCTAGTTCCATAGGTTTTCATGTTATGGCAATTTGTACCTGAGTTTAATGACAGAAAAGGCAACAATTTCTAAATTGGTGGTAAACATTTCTTTACAATTTTTTAATGTAAGGCCATTTATTATAATAGGCAAACTATAAGATGAAAATGAAGGCAACAGATGAAACGAAGGCAACAGAAAAGCTCAACTTCTCACAACCAATAAAATTAGCACAACCTAAGAAATAATTTAGAAAAAAGTGTTGTTAGAAGATATGTTGTAGATCTCCATTCCATTACCCAAGAGTATGCCAATTCATGATTCTAAATAAATCTTTTTAAAGTAATAGATTAAAAATTCATCTTCAGTGTATACGTAAATTCTGTGTTTTATCACACGGGTATGTTTATTCAACACTATCTTTTGAAAATGGGCCATTTAAAAAGACATAGCAATTTCCATTCTGTTTAATGCATAAAAATCACAGTGGATAGCAGCAAAGGACAGGGCGGGGCGGGAGGGGGGGCAGCATTGAGGAGAATTTGATAATTCACATTGTGATTATTCTGCACATTGAGGAAAGGTAATTCACACTTCTAAAACCTCAAGACTTCCCTTTTTAAATAACCAAAATAAACCCAAGACACCTTGCTGACACTTCCCCACCCCTAAACAAACTGATGACTTTTTTTTTTTTTTTGAGACGAAGTCTCGCTCTGTTGCCCAGCCTGGAGTGCAGTGGCATGATCTCAGCTCACTGCAGCCTCCGCCTCCTGGGTTCAAGCAATTCTCCTGCCTCAGCCTCCTGAGTAGCTGGGACTACAGGCACGTGCCACCACGCCCAGCTATTTTTTGTATTTTTAGCAGAGATGGGGTTTCACCATGTTGGCCAGGATGGTCTCAATCTTTTGACCTCGTGATCTGCCTGCCTCGGCCTTCCAACGTGCTGGGATTACAGGCGTGAGCCACCACTGATGACTCTTTTATACATAAAAGTGAAATAGTTATGGCAGCAAAAGATTTTGATGGCAATGAAAGTTTGTAAACTGTGTTTCAATCTCTTTTTCTTATTCCCAAAGTGCAAGATGCAGGGTTCTCAGTCTTTCAGTAGTGCTTCTCCTGTAAATAATCCTTCATTTTGTTTGGCAAAGGCAGTTTCTGAATTAAGTCTATTCTGGTATACTGACATAAAACAAAATGACACAGGTACTGCAACGAGTGTACCTGCATGAACCGAGACACTGGCTTGGCCAGTCTGACAAGGTAAGTTGCAGATCCAGGCAGCTGAGACCTTGAATAACAAAAAGTTCCATTTTCAGAGTCCCTGACTGAATGCTCAATTAGATCAACTATGGATGTATGCCCTTCCACATTTGGCTGTTCATAAAAGCTAAACCTACCATTTGAGTGCCCAAGTCTAGTGTGAACTGTTTTACCATGGGAGCGAAAGCTCAAGCTTAAAAGGTAACAGTCTTCAGAACTGTCCCAATCAAGGAAAGAACCATCTGGCAGGACTGCTAGCTTCCCTTCTGCCTCCCAACATGTGATTGGTCCCCAGTACCATCCTTGTTTTGCAAGATCTTTTTAGCTCCTCTGTAAGGCTTGTCACTACCATGGGACCACTACTTTGCACTGAGACATAAACTCTTGCAACACCAGGAGCAGAGTTAAAATCAAAATTCAAATGACAGAGCATACTTTCAGCCATGTGGGCTTCTGTGCCAGTAAGTCCACTGAAGTTCCTTTGGATTTGATTATTTTGCATTGGAGGTAGCAATGGTGAGAGTGGAGGGACATGATGCGGACCCACTCTGGGGCTCTGCAACATGACTCCCGTGGTGCCAGTCAACAACCCATTCATGGACTGATCCACAAAGATCTCTGGGGCAACAACTAGGTTCTGGTCTGCCTGACTCTCATCTTCGGGGAAAGAGCGCCCTCCCACTTGAGAAGGAACCACAGAGACTTCCATGGTAGAAGAACTGTCCAGACAATAGCTACTTGATCCTTCCAAAGGACACATCCCCTCATCTAAAGGCACAGTATACTGAATGTAGTCCTGAGGCAGAAGTCCAATAACGACAGGCACATGTTCATCCAGGCGAAGATACAGGTCTCCGTTCTGAGAAGCCGAGCTTTTCAGTGAATTGGCTTGTTCCTGGCACGCGGTCTCAGACTGAAGGTCGTGGAAATCCTTTCGGACGCCATTCAGGGGTGGACTCGGACTGGAAGAGTGGCCTTGACTCTCACCTCCATCTTGATGCACGTCTCCTCAGAGTTTGTGGGTCGAAGAGGCCATGGCATGGGACTGCAGTGATGGCTGCGGAGGGAGGTGGCCTTATCGGCCTCTGAGCTCTCACGGCTTTAAAGACTATCGGTGCTGAGGAGGAGGAGAAGGTGTCCTCATCGGCAGAGCTCCCAGAGGGTTTGCCCGCCTTGCCTTTTGGCTTCTGTTTGGCAGAAAGCTGCCTTTTTAACGTATCCATCAAGCTTTTGCTTTTTGATCTGTCTTTTTTTTCTTTTCCACCTTTTTCGTCTTTCCTGTTGATATCGCAGTTGGCCATATCTTTACCATAGCAGCTACCAAATTAGGAATTATCTTTCCAAAGTCACTGGCTAGCGATGGTTGTTGTACTACCATGAAATCAGTTTATTTTTTACTTTTATTCAAGTTAAAGGATTTCCAGAAGGTTTTAAAACTGATTTTCTTCATTATGACTAGTTACCTAATCCAACGGATGAAAATACTAGGGGATTCACTTCTGGCATGATGGAATGAGATGGTCAGCCGGGCGCGGTGGCTCACGCCTGTAATCCGAACACTTTGGGAGTTCGAGGTGGGCAGATCGCTTGAGCCCAGGAGCTCAAGACCAGCTTGGGCAACATAGGGAAGAGCCCGTCTCCGAAGGTGGCCGGGCTACGCTTCCTCTCCCAGGACCGGCGTGACTGCTGCGCTCGCCTTTCCTCCAGCAAGTCCTTCTCCCGCCTCCTTCCTCCTCCTCCAGCTTGTGTGTACTTTTTAAAGATTCACTATATGCACATGCAAGCACATGACTTTATTTCTCTTGCTCTCCTTACATACATATTTTAATATATTATTGCCTTTTTATTTAACTGAATAGATCATAACATATATAATTTGACAGCTTTTGTTTTGCTTTTCATTGAGCAATGTATCTTGGACATCTTTCATTATCATATCAGCTCATATCATTCTACCTTTTTAATGAAAGCCCAGTATTCCATGTTATGGATGTCCCAGCACTTTTCAGTGAGATCCCTCTTGATGTTGTTAAGGTTGTTTCCAGTTTTTCTGCTACTATGAACACTTATAAAAGTGTTTCTGAAGGATAAGTTCCCTGGAAAGACTTCTTGGTGAAAGGGTATATGCATTACTTGTTTTTTTTTAATTTGCTATTGCACATTTTCAAAATGATTATTTATTCATTAAACATATAGGAACTAATAAATAAGAAAACAAAAACAGGCCATAATTGAATTGCCCAGATAGTGTACTGATATGAAAAATAAAATTAATATACCCACATCATATCCATATATCATAAGTAAGGCACAATGAAAAGACATACAATTAAAAGGCTCCCTTACCTCCTATTATTCTCTACAAAGGTAATCATGTGAATGGTTTCTTGTATATACTACTAATTATTTTTGTTGTGAATATAAGCCACTTTATAAAATATATAATTTAAAATTTTATACAAATAAGATCATGTTCTACACCTTGATTTTTTCCACTTACTAATATACCTTAGTCAGCTTTCTAATTTACATATTTCTTCCGATTAATCTCATTCTTTTTAATAGCTATGAGTGTTCTATTATTCAATGAAAAACAATTTGTTTTACCAGTGCATGGCTGATAGACAGCTAGGTAGCTTCATTATTTTGTTATTATAAACAATGAGGTAATAAATATCATCTAACAGTAAGTTGTTGAGTAAAGGATATGAATGTCAAATTTTGATAGGTATCGCCAGACTGCCTCTAAAAGTGTAGTATTAATTTATATGCCAACAAATAATATACGATTTTCAACTTCCTCACACTCTTGTAATAGTTACATATACCTCGACATTTGACTTTTTCCATTCTGATAGGTAAACAATTTTATTTTTAAATTTTGTGTTTCTTCAATTATAAGGTTAAGCATCTTCTTATATGTTTATTGGATATTTGAATTTATTTTTACATAAAATCCCTTTTTATTTATTTTGCTTTTTTTGTTGTTGTTGTTTAGGCAGTTTGCTCTTTCAAAAAATTATCTGCAAATGAAGAATGTTATTGTTCCTTCTTAGGTAACTATTACAAATATTCTTAGTTTGTTATTTGTACTGTTGTATTTTAACTTTTCTTTCGTACATTATTTCATATCATAGATAGAGTGAATTTTTAAACATTTAGTGAAGTCTTATTTAATTTCCTTTTCTTTTTTGGCTCTTAAGTTTTAGATTATATTTTCTCTTCACCAATCTATTTAACAAATTACCCATGTTTTCCTGTAGCAAACTATAGTTTAATCTTTAGCCATTTAATCCTTAATCAATTGGAATATACTTTAATGTTTGATGTGAGAACCAAGTGAACAGCCACAATTTCTTGGACGTTTCCTTTACAGCATAAGATTTCTACATGTTTCATCATTCTAGTCATCCTCTGAATTTTTTTTCAGTGCATTAAGAAAACTGCATGGAAAAATGGGAAGGAACAAAGGATTTGCAGTTAGACAAAACGGGTTAAATCTCAAGTCTACCTAGGTTTCCTAGGTAACCTGGGGAAGTCACTTAACTTCTTTGAACCTTAGCTTCCTTTTCTATAAAATGAGTATACCTACCTACCTACCTACCTATCAGGGCTGTTGCAGGTATAAACAGGCATTCAGCAAATAGTATCTATTATTATTGTTTTAGCATTTCTTCAAAGAGCTGTGATTATAAGTGATGAAATAAAATCTAATAGAAATTAACCAACACAGAGTGCAATATATTAGTTACTTCATGCTTTTTTTAAAAAGAGGAACACAACATTTTAGGAGTAGAAGAGCCTTAGAAACTTGTTTGTCTAGCACTTATACATTAGAGATGAACCCCGTAAAGGAAGGGACTGGCCCAAAGTCATACTGAAGTTAGCATAGGGATAGGACCAGCCAAGCGCTCCTCTTGCCAAGCCCAGAGTTCTTTCTAGTTTAGCAGATGTGCTCTAATATGTGAGTTTGTTTCTTTTTCACTGGACCAATAATAAAATCTTGTTCATTTTAGGCCCAAATCTACATGGGCCTCTGCATTTTTGGAGAGGTTTGTTGCTGCTGTTATCCTGAAAAATATCATATTGCCCTTGTTCCTGTTGATTTCTTCCCTGGTTTTAGCAAACATGTTCTTCTCCAGTCTTTCAAACTTTTCAAGATCACTTTGATTCTTATTTCTATCCCTGAGGTTTGAGTTTTTATCAGTAAACCTTGAACAAATAACATTTTCAAGTATTCACAGTTTACATCATTGATATGACATTTTAAAATACCAAGTGTGACACAGCCTCATATATTTACTATTGGTTTTTTTTTTTTTTTTTTTTTTTTTTGCTTCAGTTTGAACTTTTTCACCTGGATGCATGGATTCTGAGAGTTCTATTTAGAGTCCTCTCCTCTCCAAGAAAAATTCTTTTCTTGAAGCATACATTCTCAAAGATTGGATGCCATTAATTATTGTTGAGATTAATAATAATAATTGTTAACATTAATTGAGCATCAGGTATGTACATCAGAGATAGTTATATATTATTTCATTTAATCCTCAGGAGGGTGGGATTATTTTTCCCATTTTACTGATAAGAAAACTAGGCTCAGAGACTCACTGACTTACTCAAATTTATATGGTGGAAAGAGGCTAAGGATCTAAAATAATGTAACTAATACTCCTGAGTTCCTAACTACCAATTTACACTGTAATTTAATATCCTGTCTAATTCCGAGGGTCTACGCCTACAAGATTCTAGTTCTGAAACCTGTCTTTCAAGGGCATAAGTCAAGCTCCCTGAGACTGGCAGCAGATGATTGGGTGTGTTTTGCCACTCTGCTCTGTGGTGGTCCAAAAGCAACCTGATCTAGAAATTATGGCCCAACTTATAATGATTAGATCATGTAGGGCTAAAGCAAAAGGCATTGTCAAGCTAGAACAATTTCATTTATTGCTACCTCTTTATGTATATGACTTTTATTGGATCATTAAAATATTTATATTCCGGCCAGGCGCGGTGCTCACGCCTGTAATCCCAGCACTTTGGGAGGCCGAGGTGGGCAGATCATAAGGTCAGGAGATTGAGACCATCCTGGCTAACATGGCGAAACCCCGTCTCTACTAAAAATACAAAAAAAAATTAGCCAGGTGTGGTGGCAGTCACCTGTAGTCCCAGCTACTTGGGAGGCTGAGGCAGGAGAATGGCGTGAACATGGGAGGCAGAGCTTGCAGTGAGCTGAGATCGTGCCACTGCACTCCAGCCTGGGGGACAGAGTGAGACTCTTTATAAGAAAAAAAATATCTATATCTATATCTATATCTATATATCTATATCTATATCTATCTATTTGGGTAAGTTCCTTAATCATACACATATATATTCCATATGTTTTGGCATCCTTTTCACAATAATATTGGTAATGAATAGAAATTTGAGCACTTTTAGTTGACTTCTAGTTGTGTTGCTGCTGCTGTTTTTCACATCTTAATGTGAAGATGAGTGGTTTACCATTCCCAAGGTCAAATTTTTTTTCTTTTTGTTTTTAAGAGATGATCATTATATTTGCTACTTCTCCCACTAGGGGCATTTATTCCTTGAATAAATGATGATTCTCTGGAAATATTTGTCTATTTCTTAGTGCTATAGAATGAATGATATCAGAATCAGAGGATTTCAAAAATGGAGGAAGTCTTGTGATCTTCTTCAACCCCAATTTATATCATTAGGCTGATTCAAACACATTCTTATACCCTTGTCCCTCACCATGTTGACCTTTTAAAATTTCTCTGATTCAGCCATTTCTGCATTTATGCACATGCTATTTTCCATATCTAGAACATAGCTTCTCACTCTTTCCTCATCTGGAAAACTTCTTCTAGTTCTTAAAGACTCAATTCAAACTGAGTTGTGTAATGTATCTATTTATAAGCTCCTTAAAAGTCAGATCTCTGCTTATTGGAACTTGTGTTCCTGGCATAGGGTCAGGCAAATAATAGGTGCAAAAGAATAAAAGAGGATTGTGAGTGAATAAGTGAGTGGATGAGTGAATAATATTTTCTCACTGCATTATCCTAGGCAAATGATCATCTAACCTCCATGTGACACTGGATCAACACTAATGAAGAACTCACTGCCTTTCAGGAAAATCCATTCTGTTTGGGTCAGCTCCAGTGATTAAAACAAACAAATGAAAAAAACCAAAACAGTTCTTTGTGTTGAATCTTTCTTTCCACCTCTTGGCTTCAGTTCTGCCCTCTGATGGCTCACAAAACAATATCATTTCTTCTTCTATATGATCCTAATATTTGAACACATTTTTCACTTTTCCAGGGAGTGATCCCACTCCCTTCCGCATCCCTTCATATCATTCTCACCAAGTGACCATTTGCTTGTGCTTGCATACCTCCTGTGTCAGGGAATTCTCCTTCCCTAGTTTCTAAATTCTATTTTTTGTTATCTCTTATGGGTGTTATTTCCAGCATCTTGATATAATGTAATATCTCATTAGAGACTCAGATAAGTGATTGTGAGATCAAATATGGCAATATGGATGCTTACCCTATGGTTCACTGTACTATCTTTTAATGTGTGCCTACCGTAGTGCCTAGAGATAAACACAGTATTGAAATATATTTGTTTTTTAAAAAGTATCCACTTAGTTATTTCACTTTCCAGTTTAAGGGAAGAATGAACTAGAGTGACACATAGCCATTGTCAAGCAATGTGCTGTTCATTGCAGGACAGTGACAGCTAAACACATGATTAAATGCTGGGCGGTAAGTGCTAGCACAAAAAAAGTCAGAATTCTGTGGCGTACAGAGGAGGCATTCCTACCAAGGGATGAGGAGGAATGAGCTTTCCTGGAGAAAGTGACATTGAGATGAGGTCATGAATGTTAGCAAGGTGAGGATGGGTGGAGGTTCTCACAGAGGGGGAGATTGGGGTGAGGAGACCAGTGGCAAGAGTATTCAAGGCAGAAAGGGAGGCACATATGGAGGGCTGGAGGTGAGAGAGGGCCTGCACATCTGAAGAACAGGAAGCAGTTGTTACTGAAGGGTAGATACGGGAGGAACAAATGTGAGAAAGAAGTGATGAAGGAAAAGAAGAAGAAGAAGAAGAAGAAGAAGATGATGATGATGGTGATGATGGTAGCTGACATGTACATAACACTTAATATGTGCCAGGCACTGTTATAAGCATTTGATATACAGAAATTCCCTTAGCCCTCATAACAACTGTGTGAAGTAAGAACACACAACAATCCCCATTTTACAGAGGTGGTAACTGAGGCACAGATTAAGTAACTTGTCCGAGGGTACATTGCTAACATATGACAAAGTCAGGAATGAAACCCAGGCAGTGTGGTTTAAGTGTCTGCATTCTTTTTTTTTTTGTTTTGTTTTTGTTTTTGTTTTTTGAGACAAAATCTCTCTCTTTTCTCCCAGACTGGAGTGCAGTGGTGCTATCTCGCTCACTGCAAGCTTCGCCTTCTGGGTTCATGCCATTCTCCTGCCTCAGCCTCCCGAGTAGCTGGGACTACAGGCACTCGCCACCATGCCCAGCTAATTTTATGTATTTTTAGTAGAGATGGGGTTTCACTGTATTAGCCAGGATGGTCTCGATCTCCTGACCTTGTGATCCGCCCGCCTCGGCCTCCCAAAGTGCTGGGAATACAGGCGTGAGCCACTGCACCCGGCCGCGTTTGCATTCTTAACCATGACATAGCCTCTCAAGGATCTGGTGATCCAGGGCATGATAAGCCATTTTAGTATATTTGACCATAATGAGGAGTCATTCCTCAGCTTAAAATTGAGAAATATTATTTTAACGTCATTCTTGTGCCCCAGGAGTGCTTACAGGTAGAGAGAATGCACAGGAAGGGAATATGCAGGAAGCATGTGCTTATGGCCAGCCTGGCTACAGGACTCTGAGGTTGGATGGACCCCCTTGGAGATGCTGCTTAGAAGGCAGAGCAAATGCTCATGGCTGCCAAGGTTTTCCACCACAGCTCATGTCATCTGCCTGCTCTGAAAGCAGTGTCCTGGGAAGAATACTGGGTTTAGACCCGGGAAGGCCAGGATTCAAATCTTGGTCCCTTCCCTTACCAGCTCTATGACTTTGGGTAAGTTCCTTAATCTCTTTGAACTTGTTTCCTCATATGCATCAAAAGATGTGAACCCTTCTTTTGTTAGGCTGTTATCAGGATTATTAGAGTTTAAGCAAATAAAATGCTTAAAATAATATTTGGTACATGGTAGGTACTTACTAAATAGTTGCTATGTGTATTATAGCATATCCATTATCTATGTGACCAGGACTTTTAACTGGCTTTTATTAGCAATAATAAAACCAAAGAATATGTTTGGTAGAAGACTATCTTAGGATAAAAGTAGGTAAGAACTACAAATTTAACAGAATTATTAACTGTGAAAAAAATACAAAGGAGTAACCAAATGGGAAAAGGCTAGATAATTGGCACCACATTTCAATTAAAATGAGACAGGTACAGAACACAGGGGACTGTTTCAAGCCAATAATTTCACAGTTGGGGGTCTGGGTGCAAGGTGGCAGGGGGCAGCAGGGAAGAAATTGGTGTAGGATCCAAACTATCTCTACTTTATTCAGAGAGACCATGGATAGGAAGATGAACAGATGTATTACAGTGTATTAAATACATGTAGAAGGCTCCCGTTCTTTTTCAAGAGGGAAAAAAATCTATTTTCATTTTTCCTGAAGTGATGAGATGCAACGAAGTGAAAATGTAAGTTCTGTTGCCAACTCTGCCATCAACTTATTCAAGCCAGCTAAGGAGCTGCTCTGAAAAATGAAGGTGCTGGGCCACACCATCTCTAGGGTCCCCTGTGTTGTAAATTTAATTATTTCTATGGCTTAAAAATAACATCTCAAAAGTATTTCACAGTTAGTAAACTGCTTCCCCACCTCACATTTGTTACTGAACAAGGTGATACATAAACTAACAAATAGAATAAACAAATTCACATGTATTAAATGATCTTACCACATACTTATGTGGGTAACAGGGAAACTACAGATATCACATTCAATGTTGAATTGTGAGCAGTCTGATGGCTGGCATAGAACATAGATAGGGAGAAAGAAAAAATGCTGCCAGCAGAAGTAGACCTTGAATGCCAGGGCAAGAAGTTTTGTCAATAAGTGGCTATGGAAGGGTTTTACAGAAGCATTTAACACAATTGGACCTGTGTTTATGGGAGAACAACTCTGGCAACAGTGAGAAACTGGGGTTAATGAATTAAGTGAGGACAGGGTAGGAAGTATCCCAGTAGATAATCGGATGTGATACTATTGAAGTGTTACCAATGATACAAATAATTAAGGCCCAAATTAGGCAAATGAGGGTGGATTTGAGGGTGGGAGATGTGGCACAAATTTGAGAGAGGAAAACAGAGGAAGATTCTATGCAGCTATTCTCCTCAAATACTTCTGGAAGCCAAACAGAGTTTAAATAATATTTACTGTGTTGAGCAGATTGAAAATGGGAAATGGGGAAGGTGTCAAAAAGCTTTAGGATGATTGGAGGTGTGATGATACCATTAATCAAGACAGGAACACAGGATGGAGAGTGGGTTTGGGTGGGAGGATAATGTATTTTGTTTTAGACATGTTGACTTTGCTATGTCTGTTGGATATCTACAGTTTTGCAGACAGTTAGAAAATATCTACCTGAAGCTTAGAGAAGTGGCCAATGTTCAAAATCATTTTAGATTTCATATTCCTGTGGTCAGTACCCTGGTCAAATTAGACACAGATGTAGAAGAAGCTTGATATACAAGATGGGGATAATAAGAGTACCACATCACAGAGTTGCTGTAAGGTTAGATTAGTTAATACATGTAAAGCATTTAGAACAGTGCCTGGCATCTAGTAAGGGCATATAATTATTAGCTATTGTTGAACCCTCTCCTGACGTACACAAAGAGGATGACTTGGGAGAGTATAAAATTATCTCAATGCAGGCTCATTTGACCAGGGAAAAGTGCTAGGGTTGAAGGCACTGAAACAGAAAAGCACAATCCTAGGAGTCAGGAGTGCTGAGTTCCAGTCATGCTGTTAGCTTATTTGACTTTGAGAAGCCCCTTCATCTCTCTGGGCCTCAGTTTCTTTATCTAGAAAGAGAGCCTCATACTAAATCACAGAGGTACCGTCTAATGCTTAATAAACAAATATATTCTATGCTCAAAATGTATTTTGTTGACAACTTGAGACAAACAGATCATTATGCATTAAATTTTTCAAATACCCTCCAGCATGTTTCAGAGTGAGTGAACTATAAATTGTATTTGAAGTGGAAATTTCTAATTAAGTTCCCTTCCCCTCCTGGAGGCTGTTATACTTTGTGGAGAGTGGTAATATTTCTGACAGTATATGCATTACAGCTCAAGACTAGAATCCTTCTGGAGCAGAGGCAAAGTGAAAAATTGATATTGAATATTTATGTATCTTAGCAGTTAAACATTAACTTCCCTTTAAATTTGGATTCCTGATGCAAAAACAGGCTTATAGTTAAAAAAAATTAGACCTTTAAAAATGTTTTGGATTACCAGGTCATTTCTAGAGGGATGATTATTTTGGAATCTTTAAATGAAAATAATAAAGTATAACTTGGCTGTCCAAACCCAGCTTATTAAAGGCTGAAAGACAGTAAGATCTAGAATTCATGCATTTCAAGTAAAAAGTTAACTATCTTTATAAGAATATATAAGCAAAAAATAGTTGAAACCTTATACAAATATTATACAAACACAAGCTGATACTAGTATCTCCAAGCTCTGATTTTTACATTAACTCCAGACTTGAAATCTATCTGCTTACTTGACATCTGCAGATAGATGTGTAAGACTTTTCAAACTCATCGTGCTCAAAATCAAACTCAAAATTTCTCCCAAACATGTTTCTCGAGAGTTTTCTCATTTTCAGCAAACAGTACTACCACCATTCTCCTCTCAAACCACTGAATCAAGAACCTCCATTCATTTCTTACCCTCCCACCTCCCCATGCAATCCCTTAGTTCATAGCCATATTCTAATTCCATGCATTTTCTCTAACTCCACCCCATCCCTCTAGGCCAAGCTATCATTTTCCCTGGGAATACTACAGTAGCCTCGATGGGTCCCTCCATTGTCTCTGTGGCCCACTCCTCCCACCCTCCTCTATCCCCTTTTGACTCGGCAGCCAGAATGATCTCAAACTCTGTATCAGATCATGCCTCTCCTCTGCTAAAATCTTTCTTTTGGCTCCTTGTTAGACTTTGAATGAAATTCAAACTCCTTTCCTCGGGCTCTGCCTATCCCTCTTATTCCATCTTATTCCACTCTGTCTTCTTTACTGTTTGCTGGCCACAAGGGCCTTCATTCTGTTTTGCATCAGTCCAAGTTTCCTCCAGTCTTACAGCATTTATGCCAGTGGTCCCTTTGACTGGAGTGCTCTTACCTAGCTTTTCTCATCTTTGACAACTTATTTTCATAAGCTCAAATGCCAATTCCTCAAAGAGCTCTTTGCTGACAATCACATTGAAAGTAGCCTCCCAGCCTATCTCTAATTCATCTGGTTTTACTTTCTTACAGAATTTAGGCCCACATGTTATTCTGTTTATTATCTCACCCACCCCGAGAAAAGCTTCCCATAAGTAGAGACCTTGAGTGTCTCTTTTAACTCCATACTTTTAGTGCTGACTACACTATGTAGATATTCAACAATATTCCTTAAACTAATGAATGGTTATAACTATTAAATCACATAACTTTATTTAAATCATTAAAATTTATTTGACAACCAGTTACTGTGCACTTGTTATAAGCCAGGTACTAATTAGAGTCCTTTTCAGAAGGCATTTGTCCTCTAGGGGGAGAATGGTTGATGAAACTGAACTCACTGAATCAGCATCTTTGAGGGTGAGGCCCAAGACTTTTTTTTTTTCTTTTTTTGAGACAGGGTCTTACTCTGTTGCTCAGGCTAGATAGCAGTGACATGACATGCACCATTATGCCTCGCTAATTAAAAAAAAAATTGTAGAGCAACCAATATGTTCCTTGAAGCACCAATATGTCTTAAATGTCCTTGCAAACATTGTTAAACAACCACCTCCACTTCATCCAAGCCTCTAAATTGTTCAGGCAGTGTCAGACTCTGGGCTGAAGGCTAAATTCCTACCCTTCAAGATCTGCTTTGTGGCTTCTCAACTCACCCACCAAATGTTCTATCCTGAGATGAGATGTGTGTGTGCTGCTAGGCTGACAGATTCCCTTTGGTTAGGGTTAAATTTGAAGCTGAGATCCTTTCTCTGGTGGATGGTGGTAAGAAAAAAGCCTTCTGAATTTGCTCAACATGTTCTCCCTTTTGAAATCAGTGGACTAACTGAAAGTGCTCTATTATTCTTTATTTAAACTTAGTTTTTTTGTGATTTCTGGGTTTCAGGTATTAAAATATCACTATTTAATCTACTGTTAAAACACTATCAATAATAAATTGATTAAATAGATAATGAACTATTCATATAATGGAATACTATGCAGTCATTAAAAGCAACAGCATACATGTCTAATATTTTGAAACTAAAAAAAAGTCATTATCTATTGCTAAATTAAAGAAAAGCAAGCTGTAGAACTATATGTGTATCTAGTTTGTTTGTTTCAAAAAAAGAAAAGGATGAATGATCTTATAGAGAATGCCTGCAAGGTTACACAGTGAATTGATAACAGAGGCTTTAAGGGGCTATGGTATTGTGGTGGGGAGGGGAGAAATGCTGAAGAGGAGAGAATGGGTTACATTTCATTTTATAGCCCTTAACAGTATGTGAATATTTTTAAGTAAATATGTTGTATCATAACAATTTTAAAAGTCATACAAAAAAGTTTTAACTACTGAATTTGAGGTTTGTGTTACCTTAGCAATAAAAGGCAAAAGGGGTTATGTAGGCAAATTTAAAATATGATAATATTTATAGAAAACATGAGTCCTAGGGTAATCAAATTTTCAAACATTGCATTAATCCATTCAATACATATTTACTGAATGCCTTCTTTGTGCCAGTCATTGTGCTATTTTTGGGGGATGGATTGGTGAAGAAAGCAATGGTTCAGCCCTAAGTGACTTAGAATCTAACAGTAGTTCTCAACTGGGTATGAAAAGGTGTCTATTTGTGAGGGGGGATGGTATTTTCTGTTGTTAAAATGTCCAAGTCAGGAGTCAGCATTGGCATTAATTGTAGAAGGCTCATGTGTGTTAAATGTTTTGCAAACCGTGGCACAATCAGGCATAGTGAAAAAATGTCCTTCCAAAGGTGCAATAACACCTGCAAAAGGAAATACTGAATCAATACCATTTTTCACATAAATGCCCTAATTCCCAGTGAACCTTATTATTTTGTTCAAACAAGTTCAGTTGGCTAAGTTCTGGGTCAAAGTTATTAACTAGGAATTTGTCTAAATAGTATACAGATTTGAAAGCAATAAGGATGTTCATTTCTACATATCCTATAATATTCACTAATTTGGTTTAGTTTACATAAACTAATCTGAGTGAGATTGTAATGTAAGTGAAAAGGGTTCTTGTTTCCTTTTTTCCTCATACACAATTAATCTTGTTCATAAGCTTTGGAATCAATTTTAAAGGAAGGAATAATGCTGCCTCCAGAGACATATCTGTCAAACAGTCCACTCCTAAAACATCTGAAAGGCTTGAGCAGGAATAATATATTAATGGAATTAATCTTGGTCAAAATCTGTTAATGCAAAACTCAAACTCTGGCTGCTGCATGTGGGACTCATCTGATGTTTTTTTCATCGTAGTTCCTCAAGTTGATGACATTCTTTTGTGTTTGGGCTTATGTGTATCTTGGCATCTGGCTGTTGCCCATAATTACATCTTAGTATTTCTTTGACTTATTCCTCATCTAAAAATAAGGTAATCATCTCATTGCCTAAAAGCTCCCAAGAAACAGGTTTTGTGAGTTTAGGCAAACTGTGTCAAGAACTCTTAAGTCCCCTCTTCCCAATTACTTTCATCAAATCTTCCCAATTGCAATCAGTCAAATCTTTTTGGGAAGTCAAAATCTTCCCAACTGCAATCAGTCAAATCAAGAGGAGGAGATCTGAATAAACAGAGATGCATGAAAATCAACTTGTATTCACCACTATGAATGAGAAATAATATTTATTAAACTATTTCTCTTCAAAATATCTGTTGCTTTTGTTTTTTCCTTTCTAATTTACTATGCTAGTTCTAAGCATTGATCTGAACTATTGAAACAGGCCCTGTTTCCTGTTTATTTTGAAAAATTTCAAATTATAGAAAACTTGAAGAACATTATAATAAAAACTCATAAAGATTCAACAGTTCTTAACATTTTGGTACATTTGTTCTCCCTCTCTTCCTCCTTCTCACTCTCTCCACTTACCTACCTATCTGCCTAGCAGAAGACACACACACACACACACACACACACACAGACACACACTTTTTCTGAACCATTTGAATTATGTTGCAGACGTCATTCCACTTTCAATCTAACATATCAGCAAGGCATCTTCCCAGTGTAAAGACATTTTCTGTATAACCACAATGCCATTATTACTCCAGAGAAAGCAAACAAAACTAATATTTCTATAACATTTAATATATTGCACCTATTCAAATTTCCTCCGTTATCCTCCAAATGTCTTTTACAGATTTTTTTCTTAAATCCAGGATTTAAGTTTTATGCATTGCATTTGGTTGTTACTATGTCTTTAGTCATTATTAGTCTTGAACATTACCTACATTTTTCTTTAAATAAAATTTACTCTTTTTTTAAAAATAATTTCAGTCAGATGCTTATAGAGTGTTCTGCATTTTGAATTTGTCTGATTGTTTCTTCAGAATCAGGTGAAACATTTTTAGCAAAATCCAGTGTGTAATGAATGCTGTGTATTTCTTACTGCGTCATAGCAGGAAGCTCAAAATACATGGACCACCAGATCTCTTCATTTAAAAGGCACCTTTCTATTTTGCAAATAACAATCTATAAGGTGGTTTATTTGAGACCATGTAAATATCCTTTTTCCAGTCAACTTTAACCCCTAATTGTTTTAGCATCTATGGATTATGCTTTCTTGAAATAGTTATTTTGTAGCGGGTTAAAAAATGGTTATTTTATAAATTCTTTATTTATTCTAGAATTATTAGCTGGTATTATTTTGTGCAGGAGAGCTTCTCCCATATATATATATAATTTTTCTCTATCATTCTGGATTTATTTTTGATATATCATGACATAATTTTTTATATATCATATTAGAATGTTTTTGATATATAATATTGTTCTTTTTGATATATCATATATTTGGTTTTTTGATATAGCATGATATTATATCTCATTACCATGTGGTAGACTTCTAATTGATGTTAGCTTTTCCTCTAATCTCTGTCTCTCTCCCATCCTCCCTCTCCCTTTTGTCTACTCTCAATACCTTGATAGTCATCTTGTATATCACAACCACTCTACTTTTCTTTAAATACTGCCTTTCACATTTTATACATGCCACAGATGCTCATATTCATCTGTGTTCCTAACTGCTTGTAAATTATGTGCAAATTTCTTAGCCCTATATTTAAGCCCTTTCACAATGCAGCTTTTACCACAACCCTCTCTAGTCTTTTTAAGACCAGATACTTCTCTGATATGAGGGAACGTTAGAGTGGATTCTGTCTAGTCCTCCCATATCATTGGTGGAAAAAGTGAGGCACAGAGAATGAAGTTATTTTCCAAGGTCACTCAGTGTATTTGTAGTAGAGTCCAGATGAGAATGCTAGAGTTCAATGTCCTACATTACACGCCTCCTCTCCTAAGCAAACCCTCTGCTGCTGCTAGAAGCTTCATGTCCATCCCTAGCCTAATGTTATTCCCTTGGGCCTAACTTCCTCCTCCTTGTTTTACTTCCTGTTTTCCTGGATTCTTTGAAGTCTTGGCCTTCTCCCTTGTCCAGGTCAGGTTCTATCTTCCCAGACCTCCTGTAATCATGATGGTCCGTGACACTTACTTGGCCATCAGCCCCACAACCTGGCAGCATTACATGAATTTTGGTCCTTCTTTACTCTTTTATTATTATTTTTCAGGTGAGCAGTAATGCAAGCTCATTTTAAACAACTAAAACAATACAAAAAAACAGCAAGTAAACTGTGAACATCTTTCTATCTTAACCTTCAGGTAACCACTGATAATAAACTAGACAAATTAACTCTATACACTTTCTCTACACATATTTACATATCCCCAGCTACATTCCCAATGTCTAGGATAGTGCCTGGTTCCTGTCAGTGAGTGAATATATGTGAGTGGAAAAACATTCATGTTTACCTCCATATATAGTCATTGTTTTAAAGAATGATCCCATAATAACACACGATGTTCTGTGATTTGCTTTCTTTTTCTATTTACCTTTTTAATGAATAAATATCAATAACTAGACTGTAAGCCCCACGAGGGCAGTCCCAGCCACTGTTTCAGGCTTCTTGTTTTCCCAGGATGTGGCACAAATCGATGTCCTCATACATTATTACTGAGGGTGACTACAGCTTTACGTGCTTGATGAATCTCTTCCTCAACTCTGAAGAAGCCTTAAGGTTCACAAAGACTCCTGTTCCTCTAAAGAGGAATTATTAATCAGCTCACCAAGGATTTCATGGCCAATTTCAGTGTCTAATAGTGAAAACGATGTAAACTAGAAAAGAAAGTATAAGCGAGGAGAATAATATAGCAGACAAGCAGGACCCTAGAAGGTGGCAACCAACTTTGCCACCTTGAAAGGCATAATTCTCTATACTGGAGCTGCCATCTTGAATGTGGACTTTTGTGGGAAGTATTAGGCAGACCACATAAATACAGCCTTAACTCCAAGCATTACTGATTTCAAAAAATGCTTCTAGACATTTGGGAAAACTAGAAGCAGCAACAGAATCATTTCAAAACTCTCCTGAAAAGACAAACTCCATACAATAAGGAGTGAGAAAGAGTGACCATCGTCTGGAATCATCTCTCCTTCATCACTTTCCTTTGTTCTCTGAAGCATATATCAAGACTTCATAAAAGCAGTCAAGGCTGTGCTGAATCTTTCACTATCAGTCCCAAGTGGATATTATAAGCATCAGAAAAATTTTCCATTTACACAGGCAGGGAGGTATTTTCAGTAATTTATATCTTTTCTAATTACTAACCAATTCTCTCTTTCCAGCCTCCCAATTTAGCACATAGAATTGCTGCTCCCTGCAGAAAACAACTCTCCAGCAAGGTGTGAGTTTCCATGGTTAGTTGCCAGAGCTTCAGATGTGAACGGAGCTGCAAAGCCACAATCCATTCAGTAGATAAAAACATCAAGAAATAAAGTTCCACTGCATTCGTTCAGTTCCTAGCACAAAGTGAATGCTCAGTAAATAATAGGAAGGAGGGGAAAAGCGAATCAGGAGAACAGAAAAGAAAAGGAGAGAGGGAATAAAGGGAGAAGAAATCAAGGCAATTGACTTTCAAACTGTTTGTGACCAAGAATTTAACTGTGGAAGGAGATCACTAATAAAGATAATACTAGTTACTGAATACTGAACAAGAGGGTATTGTGTTAGGCTTGTTATTGTTAATCCTCCCAAGAACTTTGCTGAGGTCAACTTTAAGATGGGAAAACTGAGGCACAGAAAGATTAGATGCTTCGAAAGTAGCAGAGCTAACATAAGAGATACGGTCTGTGTGGTGCACACACTGTGTCCTTTCTCCCCTACTTAATCTTCCCTCTTCTCTTATAATACCTGCTGTCTCCAGCCTTAGGTCTGCAGGTAACACTCCTATCTTTGACAGTCATCAATGTTGCTATGTGCTTCCAAATCTACTTCTGCTCCCCACGCATACACATTCCCTTCCCCATAATATCACATGCCTTCTAACAGCAGCCTCGTGCCGGTCATCACAATGGGCCACTTTGCTTTTCCATCTCAGTAAACAGCCCCCTCCAGGCATACTGTAGTCTTGGTGTCTACAGGCTGTTTCCCTGTTTCTTTAGGGCAAGCTTGGTCAGTGCAGGGACCAGCTTTCCTCAACAGCTCTGCCACTTTGGGTATTAGAGAGCACAACAATCTCCCAGAGCATTTTAACGTCAAACCCTTTTAATATTCCTGTGGCCAAGTTCAGTGCCTTCTCACCCAGCTCCTTCCTTGAATTATGCTTCAGCCTATATTGGGGCCAGTTCTGTGAGAGGCTGGCTGCAGGTTCTGATCAGCGGTGGGCTCTGCCACATCTTGTGAGACCAAGAGGCATTAAGTCAGTAAGCACAAGGGCAGCAGTCATCCAGAAGGGGAAGAAGCACTGGAGGCTGCCTGAAACAGAGGACCTGGAACTCTCAAACTCCATTCACTGCACTAACAGTTGCCAGCAACAGAATAAAATATATGTGACTAGCCCTTGCTGTTCTTGGCACGAGGAGTTCCATGAAACCCAGACATATAATTCTGCATTCTTTAAATCATCATCCTCTATCTTTTCCCTTTCCAAGTTTGCATTGCATGCAGTTTCCTGTTGCATTGTTTTCTCTTTTGTCAAACTCCTACCACCTGGAAAAGTTGCCATGTACACTGCACTGTACACCGTACACCATACACTGCACACTGCACTGTAAAGGTGTGGTCCCTTGATTCTCATTTTTTTTCCTCTCTATTATACCCTCACCCTTTCCTCCCATTCTCCCCTGCAGGGTCTCACCTCTGTGATCCTCTCCTGATCTGTCTCTCTGCATCTGTGACTAGATTCCCTTCACTTCTTCCTTCCTTACCTTTCCTCTGCGGCTGGGCTGTGTCTATTTCCTCCTCCTGCAGCTGGTCTCACTTGCTTTTTCTTACCACCTCCCTCTGAGTGATCTGCCTCTACTTTCCTGCTGCATCCTCTCTTCTCTTCTCTGGTTGATTTATCGTGCTTTATTGGGAAGACAGCCTATGACTGGCTGTTTACCACCTAATTTCTGGAATTGTGTTATCCTTTTGAAGTCCAAACTGATGTGCTGTGAAAGTCTCATAATTAGACTTATAAAAATAAATCTTTCTCATTCCACCATCAATACAACTAAAACACTGGGTTAGCTGTCAAATACAGGCAAGCCAGAGGAGCTTGCTCCTGAAAACTAAAATAGCAAAATTATCTGTGCTAGCATTTGGAAATGCTATCTTAGGCTGTGTTGCTTATACATAATGCTCTGTGACTCTAAGTCAAGGACAAGCCTCAAGTTAGGGTTTTTCCATGTAGGGCTTCTGGAGAAACTCCTTAGGATTTATAGGTCTCTGGAGCTTCTTCAAAATCCACTTGTTCCTGTCTACTATAGAGACCTGCTACATATCAAAGAACCAA
Source organism: Homo sapiens (assembly GCF_000001405.40). Taxonomy (NCBI): domain Eukaryota; kingdom Metazoa; phylum Chordata; class Mammalia; order Primates; family Hominidae; genus Homo; species Homo sapiens. Next base: position 83,809,520 of record NC_000011.10, read on the forward strand.
GTGAATGTTCAACCCCCTTCTTAACACCATCATTATAAACTGAATGTTCTAAATTCTATATTTGCTCCTGAACTGACCCTTAGTCCTTGCCTAGAACCAGTCAGTCAACAATAGCTCAACTTTGGGCTTTTGGGTATGTATGTAGCTCAAGGTTTATATCATCTGCATTGTAACCTCCATTTCTTACCCATCCTTTGCCAATATTTTCTTCCCTCTTAAAAGTATGAAATAAGTACTGAAATGTTTCAATTTTTGTATGGCCCTAAGATACAAAATACGGGTTGAAGAAGCACTAAGGGGAAAATTCACATTTGGAGATGTGAAAACCATGAATATTATATTAGAAGACAGATGCATGCATGCCATCCATTTGCAGAGAATGCATCATTGCTAAATATTGCTTCTCTTCAAAGTTATGCATAATGAGAAAGTCAGGTAAACCAGGAAAAAGTATGGATTTTTGGATGAATAGGAGACTAAGCAAATAACTATGCATAAAAAGCATAAATCACTCACCAACAAATTGTATAAACTACAATGTGTTTTCCAGGATAAAGTGTGTGAAGGTATCTGTTGTATGAATACAAATTCACCCTTCTTTTCTTTCTTTTTCAGGCTTGTGAGTGTTTGACAATGTAAATTATTCTTCCTGAGAACAAGTCCACCTGAGGATTAGTGAATGGGTGTGATTTTCAACCAAAAAAACTTGTATTTAGCTGCCTTCTTTCTCACACCTATAAGTTCCTGGCTAATGTTGATATTTATCAAATGCTGTGTGCAATAAAAACAAGTATTTCCCTAAAGAAAGTAAATTGTGCTGCAATTGTTTATGTGTGTGTGTGTATGTATACATGTATATATGCTGTGTATAAAAATATAAATAATTTTGGTAATTATTGATGAGTAGATAATACCTTAGCACATTTATGTTCCTAAAGGAAGAAAAATCCAGGGATAGGTATATTTTCAAGAAGGCTTGGTAGATTTGGCTCTGGCTTGTGTCATCATTTAGCTTTGGAATTTTGTACTTTAGTTCCTTTGTTTATTAAATAAACAACAAACAAACAAATATTGTACAAGAGGAACTCTGGTATTCCATTCGGAGTTATGATTCTGTGATTCTATCTTGTGGTTTTAAAATACCTACATACTGTAAGATGTTTGATTCTGCAAAGAGCTATGAACCTATTCTGCCTTTTCCCATGCAAAAGTCATTCTTTTGTTTACTCATTTATTCTAGAAACATTTATTTGTGATTTACTATGTTTATTTATGATTTACAATAGGTTCTGTGCCATGTCCCATGGATTCAAAGATTATTTAGATAGCCTCTGTTCTTGAGGAGCTCAGTATATATAAGATGATCTCCTACTTTATAGAATTTTTTCTCAAAGACCTAACTGTAGAAAGTCAAGCTTTCTATGCAAATAACTCAATATGTACCCATAACTCCAAGTCCTGACGCTAACTGGTATTGTATTTTGGAGAAGTGGTTTATCTTCTGTGTTAAATCTCTGAGGTAGTGTAATAGAAGGGAAAGAGTGTGGGTTTTGTCCAGCAGACTCAGGATTGGAATTTTGACTCTGTACATCTATTAAGTGATGATAGGAATATCTACTTCAAAATGGTTGCAGAGTTATATTGAGAACTGAATAAGGTGATGCAGATGAAAACCCACTCAATGAATGGTAGCTTTTGCTTTTACTATGGGAAATTGAAGAATACTTCTGCTTTGTTTAAGCACCCTTTTCAAATCAGTAAACCAATAAATTCATTTTTTCTGGACTAAATTCTTTGAAGACTCTTTTCTTAGTATAATCTATGGCTGTAACCTCTATGCAAGAGTCTGTATTAGGTTGAACCACACAAAATTGACAATATTCAACTTGACCTACAGAAATGGCAACTTCATATGGTTCAGCCTAATAACATTATTAATATCACTAAAAGAAAATTTTAATTTCTACTTTTTAATGTAAATAGCATGTACAATTTCAATTTTTTTCTAGAAGAGTATTTCCTCACTAAAAAGTATGTTTAGTGTGTAAAATTCACGACATTTGCTGTTTTGATTAAGAAAAATAATGTTAAAATAAATCTTCCTGGTTCTTTTTCCCAAAATAGTTTTAGGAAGTTTAAATTTGAGTTAAATGTTGTGAAAATTTTAGCCTCAGGAAATGTGAAAAGGGACATTAAAGTCTTATGTATTGTTGGCTATCAGGGAAAAGAGTAAATCTTTGACCATTCTAAAAGAACAACATTGGAGTTGTCAGCTAATGAGCTGAAAGTTGTTCTGTGATATATTACTGAGCAAAAGATTAGAGGAAACTAGTATAACAGAGAGAAAGAGAAAGAGAGCCCTATTTTTTCCCCTGCTGTATATGTGGCAGAGACTGAGGACTGGGAGTGTGTAGAAGTGTGAGAGAAAAATGTGGGAGAAGTGTTTAAAGTGTTCCAAGGAAACTAAAATGAAGACAAGAATATGTATGCTGGGGTTCAGGTTTTCAAAACAAGCTAGCTTCTACCTAGAACTTGTCATCAACACCCTTTACTAGTAGCTTTTGAACTTCCATCTGTCTACTGAGCTGGAAACACTCTTCTTCGTAGCCACATGTCATGCTGCCACCCTTGCCTTGGGAAGCTCAATTCAAATCCTACTTCTCCTATGAAATTCTCCCCAGTTACAGGGCATTTTCTAGAAGAACTGTTATTTCCTCTATCCTTAACACTAAAGCAAAATACTTCTATGTCTTCCAACTCTCCCATCCCAAGTGTTTTATAGATGGTTTGTGGTTGTGTTTAACAGTAATAGATGGGCTAAGAAATATATTTGTCCATCTGATATGGCCTCAAGACTATCTAGTCCACATTTATTGAACATCTACAATGTGCCAGGGGCTGTGTCATGTCATGTACTGAAATCAATAAAAATAAGACTTGGGTTTGGTATGAAGAAGATCACAGCCTTATGTAGCCATTTTTGAGATGTATAAATGAATAATCCTATGAAGCACTTATGATGTTTCTGAAATTCTTTCCTCATAAGGTTTACTGGGAATCCTATAATCCCACCATTTGAGATTCACTGTTTTGGTCTTAAACTTAGTAGATATACTGTGAAAATCTCGATATAGTTAGTTAAAATAATGCTTTGCCTGTTTCCTAACATTCAACCTCAGTGTGAACTCCTTCATCTGATTTCTTTCACTGAAGGACAGACAAGAAAGAGCATGAGGACACTAGACCCCTAGGTACCATAGAGTGTGAGGAGGGACCAGAATTGTGGGAAATGTACTTGAGGTCAGCTTTTATCTGGCAGGAGTTGCACAATGTTACAGAGTTGAGGAGATGGGATGATGACCAGAAGGCCAATGCCCATTCCTCTTAGAGTTGAAGCTCATTCTTAGAGCCTTGAGCACTGGGACTGTTGGTGGCACTGTCAAAGAAGGCAGGACCACTTGCTTTGTGTCAGGCACCATGATGGGTGCTCTATACCCCTTGGCACATTTAACCCCCATAACAATCCTTTGAAGCAGGAGTCATTGGCTCCATTTTATAAATAAGAAGACTCAGTTTGGGGAAGCTAAGTACTTGTCCAAAGTTTGCACATCTAGTTGATAGTAAAGCAGGGTTCAAGCCTCTTGCTGGTTCCAAAGCCATACTTTTTCATCTTCTTAACCTTTGAGAAATAAAGGAATCCAGTTACCCTCAAAAGGCAGGTACTACTTCAAGGGAAATACTTTTGAATGCAAGTCCATTTGAGGACCAGCCTCGTGCCGTATCAGAGGAAGACAATTTCAAAGTGAGAACAAATTTCATTTCCAACATTTTCAAGAGCAGAAACAAAGATTGTTTATAGGATCCTCTGAGATTTGATAAAAAAATTCCATCCTTTGCAGGAATGCTTTCTCCCAAGCCCTCTAAATGCCTGCAGATGGTCAGCTGGCTCCTGCTTGAGTAACTACAATGCAGTGACACAAGGCCTTTTCACTCCACCCACAGTGCTTAGCACAGTGAACAGACACATTAAGTCCTCAGTAACATCAGAAAATGGAGACTGAGTAAGGTTGAGTGACTTGTTCAAGATCAGTTAGGCGATACATGGTTTAGTATTTAAAACTAAACCTGTTACGAACTCTTGCTTTTAGATGATGCCTCTTTTGGTTCTAATGGCATTTTCTAGGGCAACACAAATAAGTCTACCTTCATTTCTGCAGAATGGTCTTGCAAGTGCTTTATCAACAAAAACAACAGCAGCAGCAGCAACAACAACAAAAATAACAGCCAACATTTATCAAATCCTTCCAGGTGCGAAATGTTACACTAAACACCACATGTATTATCAATTTCTCCTCATAACAGCCCTATACGTAGACACAGTCATCATTTTATTGATAAGAAAACTGAGGCACAGAGAAGTTAAATAAATTGCCGAAATTCACAATTACAAACAACAGAGTCAGGATGCAGACTCACTTTTTTTTCTTTATGTGCACTTTTATTTTTACATTGTAGAGAAAGTAATGACTTCTAAAAAGAGTATGTAAATGAGTATAATATAAGCCCATCAGACCAAAAAAATATTAGAACGTATTTAAAAGAATCAGGATTTCTATAAAACAATAAACACCTAGATCATACATTCTTTTGGACCAAATGGCAAGTGCATATACATACAAGGCAAGTACTGGCACATCAGACGTATCAAAAACACCTTCTTTGATGCAATCGCTTAGGAATTGTAAAAAATAAGTATCATTCAGCATCTGGATGCTAATAATAAAAGCGATAGAGGCTAAATAAACAGGGCCGTTACTCTACTCCCTTTCCTATTTCCTATTTTTAGGAATTCAAGTTTATTCAAAAGGTTTATATATAATCCCAAAACTGCTATTTCTCTTCTTCTATAATTTCAGAATGATAGCTTTACACAACTTTAAAGCTTGAGCTTCTTCTGAATTCCCAAAGTGTTTCTGTGCTCCTTTACAAATGGGCCACATCTTCAAGGGTCAGCTTTACCTGTGTAAGGTCTGCAAGACCATTCTCTCTCAGATACGAGGAACACTGAAGAATACATCATTCATTCCATAGAGGCCCTTAATTATGTGGAAACTGAATGCGCTCTCCTAGGATTCTCTAAAATGCTTTCTGTTCAATCTGTTACAGATGGGCCAATGGCCCAAGAAGTATAACCTTTCATTTTCATAATTTCATAAGCACTGGCAATCACTTCTTTGTGGACATTTTCCCCCTTGCTCTAGATCTTGATCAATTCCTTTATCTGAGTTTAGATCCTTCAGAGGGACACCAGCAATGTTCACTCCACTCCACACAGGAACACTTGAGTCCCCATGCTCTCCAAAGATCCACCCATGGCAGCTTCCAGAGTGGATTCCAAGCACTTGCACAGTCAAGAAATGGAAATGGGCAGTGTCCAGATTACAGCCATTTCCAATAATATGGGTTTTGAAAAATGTACTCAATTTCTAAGCTACATAAATTAAGATATCCACTGGACTGGAAACTATCAATTTGCAGCAGGACTATATTGAGTAATATTAGACATCATTAATTTAACGATGGCCACATTTAGACTGACTAAATTAAAGTGTTTCACCTTTTTCCTGGCATGCACCTGATGTGATAATCACTAGGTTGGAGTTTGCAGAGATGAGATAATCTTTGCTGGAAGCACTATCTGGCAGTTTTAGGAAAAGACTGCCATGTTTAAGATCCATTGTCTCACACCCTTCAATTCACCATTATCAACAGCTACAAAGGCAACTTCATCCCTCAAGTCTTTTAATAACATGGTGATTGCACGGGCCATGCTAACTGATCCAGTTCTTATAATGGAGACCTTACTGTGGTGAATAACCTCCTCTGAAGCAAAATTCTCAATAAATTCATTCTGGATAGTTACCATCACGTAACCAGAGGTGGGAAGGTTGGTTAAGGGCCAGCTGACCCTGTGATGTGCGTTCTCTGTTGGTGACACAGATTTATCCTGGGGCCAAGAAAATTTACTCCCATAGTGCCTACGCTCCAGCTGGACCACAGAACTCCTGCAGCCCACCTTGGGGATACACACACAAGAGGTGGATGGAGCAGAGAATGGAAGAAAGTGGTGGGCAAGCTGCAGGTTGAGCTTGCTGGGGCAAGCCGAAAGAACCTGTTTGAATGTTCAGTGCCTTTCACTTTACTTCAGCTATTGCAGTTACCAAGCAAGGCCATGCTTAGCTCCCTGCACACAGGCCTCATGGGGGCCTCTGGAAAGTGCTTCTGATGTCTGCTCAGATTAAAGCAGTAAAAAGGCTTCTTCTTTAGCTCTGTGTGAATCCTGGAGAATACAAACAAGTATTCTCTTCAATATCTGACATGGATAAGAGGCCAACCCAGATCTCTGGAATTACTCATTTCCTGTTTTTAGTAGGTATGCCAAGTCGGACCCACTCTGGCTCCTGAGCCTATAGCTTAAGCATCACTGTGTCTAATTCCCTCTCTTTCTCTCTCCTTCTTTGGGACATTTCACTTTGCCCTTCACCCTCTAATATATCATGTCCAGGAACCTTAATCCTATTCTGTGGCTTCTTGATATCTTTATAAAAATGCAGCAACTAGAGTGGAACATATAGCTTAGATAGAGTCTAACCAGTGTGGAGACAGAAGGATGTCTCCTTCCCACATTCCAGGACTACATTTCCGTAAATAGGCTCCAGCCTATTAGCCTATTGGCAGCATCATCAGATGGCTACCTAAAACCACAAGATCTTCTTTTAAGGAGCTGTTGCCATATGTCTCCATTCTAAACTGGTACAATTAATTTTGGAACCTGTATTTTCCCAGACTGTCTGTCTTAGCAGAGAATTTTGTATGCCTGGTAAATGTAAGTAGTTAATAAGTATTTATAGGATTTGTGTCAATATTTTGCTACCTTATGGCTACTTACTAGCTTAATGCCTCTGAACCTCAGTTTTTTTTCACTGGAAAATGGGAAAATAGTATATTCCCTGGTAGTGCTACAGGAGGTTCATATGAGATAATACATGCAGTGTAAGGTGATGTTATTATCACAGAGAATCTAGGTTTGAATTCCACACTAGAAAGGTAATTATAACTACTAAACCCATAATCACAGAAACCACAGCCTACAGGTCCTATAACTATCCCAAACATAAGATTATATGCCCAGATTTCAATCAGAAAACATTTTACAATTCCTTTCCCCCAAAGGATGTTCAACGTTTGCTTTCATTGCCCTCTAGTGGTTGCTATACAAAAGATATAACTACATTTTGTTTGTTTCTCATTTTGATTTTTGAGATGTCAGACACAATATCTTATAAATATTCTTCAAGTTTGGTTAGGTTACACACATTCCTGTCAGCTGGAAACCTTTAAATAATCAGCCTATAGGGACAGTACCTAACATTGTGTCCTGCGCAATACAGGTGTATACTGCCCATGCATTGTTGGCCATGCATTTATTTTACTAGATCTTTACTCAGAATCTACTGACTTAAAATAGTAATCTAGCTTCATTCATTCATTATATATTTATAAGATATATTATATGTCAGGTAAACAAGACAAGCATTGTCCTGGCTTACAATAGAGTAAGGAAAATGGAGTACTAAACATGTCTTTAAAAATTAACATGGTAAGTGCTGTCATAGGAAGAGTATGGGATATACAAAGCACATTAAGAGGGGTACCTAACTTGGAGGTGCTTCTGTGTGTTTTTGGAAGGTGAAGTGGGAATGGCAAGAGAAGGCATTTAGAGAATATAACAATCTAAGATTTGAAGGATGAATAGAATAGAAGAGTTATTCAGAAGAAGGTGGGGTGGGGAAAGTTTTCAGGAGAGGATACAATGTCAGATATAGTTACATGACAGAGAAAAGACTGACTTTTAGAGATATGGCTGGACAAGTTAAGAGAAGCTATATCGAGGAATTGAGACTTTATTTGGATGGTTAAGTTATAACCAATGGACTCTGAAAAAAGTATGAATGTATGCCTTTAATTTTAATTTCTGATTTTAAAACTTTTATTATTTAAAGGGAAGTCTTAGGCTGGGTGAGGTGGTTCACACCTGTGATCCCAGTGCTTTGAGAGGCTGAGGTGGGAGGACTGCTTGAGGCCAAGAGTTGAAAAACAGCCTGGGCAACATGGTGAGACCCAGTATCTTAGAAATATTTTAAAAATTAGCTGTGTATGGTGATGCATGTTCATAGTCCTAGCTATTTGAGAAGTTGAGGTGAGAGGATTGCGTGAGCCCAGGAGCTCAAAGGTTTAGTGAGCTATGATTGTGCTACTGCACAATCTAGCAGCAGTGAGACCCTGTCTCTAATTAAAAAATAAATAAATAAAATAAAGGGAAGTCTTTATTCATAACTAACATACGTTTAGTCATAACTAATAAAAAATTAATTGTTCAAAAACCCTTCAGTGCATCCTTTTTATCACACAAAGTTCTCTCAAACACATACATTCCTAGCATATTGGAGCTGGAAGGGCCTTTAAAGATCCTGAGTCTCCGTCTTTTCACTTTACAGAGGAGTGAGAAGATCAGGAGTTTGTTCAGGTTGTCCTGAGTAACTGAATTGTTGCTCCTGGGAGCTATTTGCTTTTCCTAGCCTAGCCCAGTGCTTAAACTCCTCATCCCGTTTATTCAGAGGCCAAATAGTCTCCTGCATCTGGTGTCTTGTTGGTCTGGGCTGTTGATAATTCTTGAGCACTCCTGCTTTTCAAAACTTCTGCATTGGACTTCATGTTCTTCCTTTGTGGCCTGATGAAAAAATCGTTTATCTTAGACTTGCAGTGAGGATCTGGGAAGGTCTTTCCATTACCAAGGAAAACATGAATCCTCCTCAGAATACCTGGTGAGGTTTTGCCTTTTCTATGGAACTCCCTTGCCTCACTGTACTTTTCTTATAGTATAATTCGGGGTGGACCTGCTTATTACTTCTGTTAGACTATAAGCATCCCAAGGACATGACACATGGCTTAGTCATCATTACATTCCACATAGCAAGGTGACATAAACACAGAAGCCCCTATCAAGTTCGTTGTAGACAGGGATGAGAGGATACATGAATAAACAGAGGAATGGAGTGGAATATCTTATTTCCTGACAGGAGGTTTAAATCTATGTTAGTAAGGGTATGAAAGCTATATATATTTTTTCCTTCAGGGAAAGATGGTGAGCCACCCAAGGTGAAAAGAGAATCTCTGACAAGCAAGCAAAAATTAAGGTTGTACTCTTTGTCATAAGAAATGACTATGAATATGAACGTAAAAAGACATTAGAGAAGAAAAGTCAGGAAAAGGGGAAAGATAAATTTGGGTAGCATAAGAGACTGCCCAAAGGACTTTAAAACCAGAGATACCTGACGTTCATTTTTAAGTTTTTACATGTTTATGCAAATCCACTGCCATCTTTTTGAGGCATAAGTCCTGTCTGCTACACACAAAGGAGATGCTAAGGAACACTTGCTTGCCTTTATGTTAGAAACAGAAACAGTGTGATTTTTTCTGATGTTCTCAATTACAGAGTCTACTGACTCAGGTCTATATGTGCCTGATGATGATCACGAGCCCCATCAACAAAGGGAGTTCCCGCTCAGCATGGAGGCAGACCCTCCGCCAAATGAAAGAAAAATGTAGGCCAGGTGTAGTGGCTCACACCTGTAATCCCAGCACTTTGGGAGGCTGAGGCAGGTGGATCACCTGAGGTCAGGAGTTCGAGACCAGCCTGGCCAACATGGTGAAACCCCATCTCTACTGAAAATACAAAAACTAGCTGGGCATTGTGGTACATGCCTGTAACCCCAGCTAACTGGGAGGCTGAGGCAGGAGAATTGCTTGGACCTGGGAGGCTGAGGTTGCAGTGATCCAAGATCATGCCACTATACTCCAGCCTGGGAGACAGAGCAAGACTCTATCTCAAAAAAAAAAAAAAAAAAAAAAAGAAGAAAAGAAAAAGAAAAGAAAAAGAAAAGAAAAATATAGTCTTCATTCTTCTTAATTCTATCATAAATCTGAGAGTAGAATAATAAAAGTACATGAAAAACTACCCATAGCTTAGTATAGTTTATGTTACACACAAAACCTGAGAGATATAGGCAATAAATGTTCCTGGAATATGTTTTACAGCAACATTGGTCCATCAGGAAAGTTTCCCTCCAGGAAAGATTCTGAACATAGAGAAATAACAAGAAATCAAATTATAAGGAAGATTAACTATTGACCTTTTCCTGACCCCTCTATTTCTCCCCTTCAAGCAGGAGAATTATAGGTCAGTCCAACGTTGAAGAAGGAGTAACATTTCTCATTTTGAGCTTTCTCAAGAAATCTTGGCTATCAGAGCTCCCAGCTGATTCCTAGTGGTTTCTTATGTTTAAATACAGGACCCTCACAATAATAATAATAATAATAAACAAAGTCACAAATGTTACTTTCAGGTTTGAATTCCACTTGAATTCATTGAGTTATATTTTAAAAAGCTATCATTATGATAACCAGTTTTAATACTGTGATCAAATACAATCACTAGTATGAAAACTGGGCAAAAGGCCACATTCCACTAGTGTCTCCAGTTCAATGCAAAATCTTTTACTGCCATCTTGTGGATTTTTAGGAAATAATCCCAGTCACTACATATTATTTATTGTCTTACGGGAACAATAGGTTCATAGGCCAGTTTATGAAAATAACTGAAAAAAAGTATAAGAAAAGAGCAGCTAAATAGTCAGGTTTCCATCTAACATTATCACTTTGTATTCTCTACTAAGCATCTCTGAGGCTTGGTTTCTTCATAAAAAGTTGTTATTATAATAATACCATCCCCTGCCTGTCTCAAGGTTGCCATAAGAATAAAAATTTTAAATTGCTCCATAAATCAAAAGTACTATTCAGAAACAACCAATTATTATCAATGCTATCAGCCACATTATTAGAATGACGATACCTAAGCATTTCATATGTAACAAGGTAAACTATGGTTCAGGCTGAAAAGTCCAGACCTTGGTACCTGCTTTCAGAGTGATTTGTCTCATCTTTTATGGCTTTCAGGGCAAGAAAATGGATGTTTCAAATGAAAATATTCCCTGGAGATAGTTGTTCCTGGGGCAGAAAATACTGTGGGCCTGACAACTGAGGAAGGGAATATTTCCTTTTTTACTGATTCACTGATGAGCAAGTGAGCCCCGACATTTGAAAAGCACAGCAAATATGTAGTATAGGAACAGCTTTTTCCAGTGAAAAATGCTACCCCTGGGATCCTATCTACTGATCCATATTTAGTTATTCTCTGGTAAGTTATTCATCCAGGATTTCTCTCTTCCAACCAACCGACACTTAAACTGGAAAACCAGGCAATAGGTTGGCTCATAGATGTCACAGACAACTTAAAAAAGAATCTTCTGAGAATTTCAGGGAAAAAACTTAGAACAAAATCTCCAAAAGCTTTCCTTTCCCATTAGCGAAGACTTCAAGTTCTTTCATCTAATTTATTCATCACCTATGAACACCTGTGTGTGCCTAGCACTGGGTTAGGTTCTGGGATGCAATGATGATGCAGACATAACGCTTATGCTTACTGACCTCCATACTAGCTGGAAAGTTCACATCTCATAACTCATGATATCTGCTGCTTCAAGCTCTGCAGTTGTTCAGAACCTGAGCAGAGAAAGGGCCAATGCTGCCCTTGGGAATTTGAAAGAGAGAAGCAGCTCATGTATGAGCAATTTGCTGTTAGAGGACGCTCATCGACTCTCCACTTATGTCAGCTGTTGAGAGCGGTCATTGCATGTGGTGGAGTGAATGGTGTCAGAAGTGGTGATGGTGATGATGAAGAAGATAAGATGATACTTGGAATTAAGAAACTTATTATGGATTTTTTTTAGATGAATGGATTTTAAATAATGTCAGCGTGAGAAGAATAAGTCATAGTAGTTGTTTCTTTTTATCAATCTGCCATGCATTACGACCATGTTCATATCTTATGTCTCCACTAAGCTATCAGCCCCTGAAGGTGAGAACAATGTCTGATATACCTCTCTATTTCCTATAAACACTAGAATAATATTTGACAGTCATGTTTTCATTATTGAACACTTATAAAGTGCCAGATACTTTTCAAAACTCTTCGAATACAGCAATAAACAAAATAAATCAATAAGAGATATTCAATAAATCAAATAATTAACAAATAAGAGTCACAGCCATACAGCCAAAGTGTTTTCCACTTCTTCCACTTAATATACATGTATATGAATTGCTAAATAAATCACCAATTTCCTTCTCTCTACTGAATCATTTCCATCAACATATAAACACTGTTACAAAAAACAAACTCTACCCTCAAGTTCCCATTCTATTGCATTCCTCTCTAGAGCAAACTCAAAGGAGATAACTCTTCTCCTTGTCATTAAAAGAGGGAATTTGGATGGAAAGGCAGGAGGAACTTGTCGAAAGATATTAAGTGGAGGAGTAACATGATCAAAGTTGATAGAATCTATGGAGTTGGTGTGAAAGATGAAAAAAATACTGACTTTGAAGCTGGGCAGACCTAGAGTCCAGTCCTTTTACTACAGTCTGGTCTTAACCAAATTATTTAACCTCTCAGAATCTCAGAACTTTGACCTGCAAGATAATAGTAATCAAACCATTTGAAGTTCTTACTAGGTAGGAAGCACACAATATGTCTCTCATCCTTTGTCTTCAATTCTTCTCCTTTTATTCTCTCAGGCCTAGGCTCCTCCCACTAGAGGCTTCTCTCTGAAATAATTTCTATTGTTTAAGAAGCACTTATGATCCTTAAGATACTAGACCTAAAACATTCCTCAAATAGAGCTCAGTGAGCCAAATAATCCCCGATGGTCATTTATCATTTATCTACCCAGTGTTCAGATATGCTTCTTATTTGGGGACAATTCAAGACAGGAAGGAGGCACAGCCTTACCCCCATTAGAGAAGCTGGAGGGGGCAGCTATTCCCTTTTCCCACCCCTCAGCAGCTACAACAGGGCAAGTCAAGCAGATGTTCCAGTTGGGAATTTAGCATCCCCACACTAACGTGTAAGGTGCATGGAGAAACAGAGATTTTTCATGGCAGTGTGGTTTGGCTATAAGTGGCCAGTGGTGACAGCCCAGCACCCTTAGTAGGAGGATTTCCTCCTTGGCCTCTGAGCCTGGTTCCTCAGGCTTCCTGAAGAGCTTGTAGACTATCTGTTATTTCTCCAATAAATTCTTTTTTTTCATATAAGTTACCTGGAACTGACGTCTGTTGTCTGGAGTCAAGAACTCCAGGAGGTAAATTCACCAATCAAGCTCCCATCAGGTATATTCCTAGAGTAGTTAGCGTTAGAGGTAAGGGAGCTTGTCATGAAAGAAGGAGGCCTATACCTAGAGTCAAACAGGCTTTGAGTTAGAAAACTGTTGAACCCTTCAGTTTCTTCTTGAATAAAACAGCAGCATGATCACTTTCCTACCTATCCTGAAGGTACCCTATGAGGATCAAATGAGATAATCACAGTGAGATACTTTATACATATATATGGTAATGCAAATCTAAGGGTTATTAGAGATTAGCTAATAAAATAGGTTATTCTGAGGCCCAAACAAATTGGACTAAAAATCAGTCCACTTTTTGACTCAAAAGAGATTTCAGGAGGGATGATCAAGTCGATGATCACTCCTTCTTTAAAACTTGAGAACTCTTTGCACGATTTCCCCTTTATCTGTGATCAGCTGTTATACCACAGTTTAGATGTTTACATAGAGAAGACACTTTGAAACTTGTATAGGAAGTCCTTGCTACCCAAATTTTTTGGAAGAAGAGAATATGTCATAAACATATTTTAAATGATCATCAAGTATTTAGCATTTAATATGTAATAGAATAGTTAATTAACATTTTTCTGATCTATAGGAATTCCTCTTAGTCAATTAGGAAATGATCTGTCTGAATTGGAAATATATTCCATTGGCCAGAAATCTAAAAGCTTTAATGTATTCTGAATCTTCAGGACAGAAGGGATTAATTGGCCAGAGCGCGAGATGAATAAAACTGAGAGGGGTCCTAGGATTTCCAACTGCCTTCAGAGAAGTGGGCAAAGATGAGTCATTCATTCATTCATTCATTCATTCATTCGTTCATTAAACATTTGCTCAGTAGCTCCGTTCTAAGTTAATCAACAAGGGAGCAGAGATGAATAAAACACAGTTTCATCCTCAAGGGAAGCTTCAAAGGATCTGAACGTTGCTTCTAAGTGCCTCAATCTTACAGCCTTCGTATACAATGGCTTCCTGTGGTGACTCATATGTCTCCTTTTAAATGCTCTTTTTTTAGGCATTTATGCTTTTTTCATTAACTAGACTTTGAGTATGGACTGCCTCAGACATAAGTAAACTGCCAAATTCAATTCTTTGGTGAAGGCCTGCATCGCAGAAAGAGCATAGCTTTGAAATCAGAAGCAACAGTATTCCAAATACCACCATCATTACTGATTATCTGTGTGATCTTGGACAAATTATTTAATTTCTCTGAGCCTTCAATCCAACAAGGTTGTTAGGACAATTCAGTGAAATCACAGCGCAGTATCCAGCAAAATGCTTTGTGCTGAGCATATATTCAATAAAGGTTAGGCATTTTATCTCCAATTCTCTACTGGTTTTGCTTTCTAGGGGCCCTCTTTGTTGGGAAGTTTCCCCTCCAGAATCCTTCTTACTTCCCCAGGCTGAGCTAAGGATGGTCTCTTCTTTACGCCCATGTGGTCCCTGGAACTTACCGTTAGCATTTCCATGTTATATTGGAAATAATCTATTTATTTGTCTGTCTCCCTTCATGAGGCTACATGTTCACTGAGGACACAATGATTTTTTTCACGTTGCATCCTTAGTGTCTAGTAGCTTTTGGTACTTTGTGAATGTCTCTGAGCTCTGCAAACAAGATTTTAAGGTGAAAATTTACTTCCGTCAAATAAAATACTTGCAAGAGGTTTTCTGGAGATTATGACAGAATTTTCAAAAAATATGTTTCACTTGATAGTAATTTATATCCAAAGACTAAAAAAGTTATTTTGTTAAATAATGTTAAAAAACACTTTATCAGCATTTAAAAAATTTGCTGCAGGACTTCTCAGATCTTTCATTGAATTATGAACCTTTTTTATG